>NC_000006.12:112570790-113820790 GCF_000001405.40 Homo sapiens | reverse complement strand
AGTCCCCTAGAAGAGCGCCTAAATACGGTAAGTGCTCAAAAATTGTCAAAAGAATGAATGAATTATCAAACTGCTCAAAGCTTAACTTATAAGCCTCTTGGGTCACAATGAAATAAAAAATATAGTTTATTTAAAAAAATAACTTTTTAAGTTAGTAAAACTATATATCTACATACAAAATACACTTAAATAAAATATAGATTATATCTGATGTGTGTGTATTGTACAACTATATGCATATAATTTATATATGCTTTTGAAAGTTAGCAAAACTAAAATATAAACAATCACATCATCAAAAATACTCATTTGGTGTATAAGTGTTTTCACATTTTTTCTGTGCAGTATGTGTATAAATTAAAAAAAATTTGAATCATATCATACCTAACATTTAATAAACTCTACCATTTTGTTTACTTAAAATTATAGTATGAATTAAATGTCTACTTTATAATAAACACCAAAAGTAGGTTTAAAAGGCCATCTATTTTTGTTATTTTCTGCTTTCTACGTATCTATTCTTTTGGTCTCACGTTCTTATCCTTATGATAAGGTTTGCAATATTACAATTTAAAATGCTGTTTCTGAAGGAAGAAGGTCTAACTCATACTAGAACATGTTAGCATTCCAGAAAATAAGCTGAATAACTTTGCTTTATACTTTATTACTTTGGTTTTCCTTTTAGATTGATTTTTTAAAAAATATTTTATTTTACATCAACTCACAGGTGAAATTCCCCACTAGTTTTTAGAACAAACACTGAAATTAAGGATTTTATAATAAAGTATAAATGTGATGCACATTTAGGTTAGGAGGTCAAAAACATTGTTTTTTGATTCAGGGACTCCACAGTTCACCAATATTACAGGACCTCACCACTGGCTCTCTCCTCCTGATAGGTGTTGAGAGAGAGTAAGGACACTGCTGTTTTTCCAGATTCCATTTTTATTTAGAAACAACAATCAATTTTAAAGGTCAGAATAGTGGCAAAATAGGTTGGCAAAAAGGGAACAACAATTGACCAAAAAGAAAAATGACAATAATTTAAACCAAGTAAATTATTGGGACAAAAGTAATAGAAAATGTGCTGAATCAAAATAAATCTGATTAGATCCTTAAGTGGTAACTCCTTTCTGGAGCATACACTTTCCTCCAGCGTAGCCCTGTCCAGGGGCAAGGCCACGTCTGTACTATGAACCAGGAAGTCTCAGGTTGTCAGTAAACTGTCTTTGCTTTCACAAATATTTACAAACCACCACCTTCTTCTCCTCATTGCTATAGAAATAAAAAAACAAGGGGAAAAACAGATAGGATCATGAATTTCAGTTTGAGACTTATGAAATATTACAAATAAGAAAATATAAAGAACTATTTTATTTTAAAAAAACAACCAGGATTTTTGACTCTTGATTCTCTAGCACAGCATAGCAAGTAAATGTTTAACCAGAACTCAAGATATAAGAAATGAATTTCATGTGGAACTTATAAATGAAATTTATCTAAATATCCAATCTATTTTATAAATTTTGCTGAGTCTGGAGGTGAGAGGATAACAGGGGAATACTTATTCCCCTGTTAGATAACAGGGGAACAATAATATTGTTATCTTATTAAGAATTATTAGGGTGCTTAATTATATCTACAGAGAAAAACATTATTTAATGAAATGACAAAGGTAACTAAAAGTTTCTGCACAATCACTATACTAAACAATACCTTAAACCAAAAATTACAACATATATACCAGTCAGAGTGTCCATGTAAGCATTTTGAATAATTATATGTGGCGTATTTTCTTAGTTCAATGGTTAACATCATGCACAAGCCAGAGATACTTCATTATTCCAAAGGTTCTCTAAAAGGATTTTTCAGCTGAAGTGAATCTGTCACTATTAGCGCTCTAGTCATGTCCCTATTGCTATTAGTAGAAAAGTACATTTTTGTGACATTAAATTTTATTTGCTTGGAGTTTGTCTTCCAAATGAGTAATGTGTAAAGAGAATCACAATCTGAAAAGACAGTGAAGCTTCAGCTGGTCAGTTTCATTTCTCCCTCCCTTTAAATCTGTCTCTGGCTTATGCAATACCAACAGGATGGAGTAATTTTTGAAGTATATTTACTTTGTAAAGATAGTAATTTTTTAAACAAACTTTTTATATATCAGAGGGTGTATGAAAAATGAAGCCCTATCTATCTTTCTCTTTCTTTCTGCCCTCCAATACCCCGTTTAGTAAAACTTGTAGAGCAAATTGTTTCCTTGACCTTGAACATTTTAATCACATCCTCTGAAGAAAGGCAGGAATACAGAATGATTTTTTATAAGGTACTGTATTACAAAAGAAAAAGAGTGCCTGATACTCAATGTTCCAGGTAATAATACTTCTCAGGCTTCCAATTTGGGAATGCACAGATAACTAGAATATTACAGCTAGGAGGAAAGACTCTTAATGATAACATCAAACCCTTTTGATTTAATATAACTAGAAGAGATTTAAGAAATTCCTTGTTTCTGCTCCAAACTCAAAATACTATCCATTTTTTTCTTTTATTATTGTTACTATTATTATTTTGAGACAGGATTTGGCTCTGTCACTCAGGCTGGAGTGCAGTGGCATGAGCTCAGTTCACTACAACCTCCAACTCCCAGGCTCAAGCAATCTTCCTGCCTCAGCCTCCTGAGTAGCTGGGACTCACAGGCGGGAGCCACCAGACCCAGCCGATTTTTTCTTAATAAAAAATAATATGGAAGTTTAATGTAAAAATTAGGAAAAAACAACAATTACAAATACTTCTGTGCATTCTATCCAGCTTAAAATACAGAACATTACCCTAATCAGTATAATGTTGAGTTTTGTATGTTTTTAAAACTTGATATAGATGGGAATCACAATGTATAATAATTATATGACTTGCTTCTTTGGATCAATATTGTTTTCATGAAGTTGACCCATGTTGATACACGTGGCTGCCCATAGCTTATTTATTTTCATATCTGTATGACAGTCCATTGTGAAAGTGTACCACAATTTATCTATTTTCTTGTGACTGAATGTTACTTCCAAATTTTGCATAAACATTGCTGCCATGAACACATGACTACTGGTGAACATGTGCAAGAGATTTGGATATCTAGAAAGAGAATTGCTGATCATGTATAATATGCATTCTTCATTTACTAAATATTACCAAATTGTTTCCCAAAGTGCTTGTACCAGTTTATACATACATACAAAGTGCTATCAACAGGGTTCAAGTTCTGATTATTCCACAACCATGCCAACACTGGATAAGGATAAACTTTAAAATTTTTGCTTCCCTGGTGGTTGTGAAGTGGTATCTTTTGATCTTAATTAGGATTTCTGTGATTACCAACAACATTGAACATCTTTTTATGTGTTTTCTGGCGGGGGGTCCATTCTTGTTTTCTTTTGATTGCTTTCCTGTTTAAGTCCTTGCCCATTTTTTTCTCTTGGGTTGTTTATAGTCTTCTTAAAATTTATAGAGATTTTAAAGTGTATTTTGGGGCTGGGTGCGGTCGCTTACGCCTGTGATCCTAGCACTTTGGGCGGCTGAAATGGATGGATGACCTGAGGTTAGGAGTTCGAGACCAGCCTGACCAACTTGGTGAAACCCCATCTCTACTAAAATTACAAAAATTAGCTGGGTGTGGTGGCACATGCCTGTAATCCCAGCTACTCGGGAGGCTGAGCTGGGAGAATTGCTTGAATCCTGGAGGTGAAGGTTGCAGTGAGCTGAGATCCCACCACTGCACTCCAGCCTGGGTGACAGAGTGAGCCTCCATCTCAAAAATAAATAAATAAATAAACAAATAAATAAATAAATAAATAGTTTGGATACCAATCTTTGTTAATTATGTTTTGCAAATATATTTTCTCACATTTATATTTTTACATCATTTGCCTTTAACTTTTTTTTTTATTATGGAGGTCTTACCTACAATCAGCAAAGTGAATAAAGCTGTGTACAGAATTATTATATATGTGTATATCCACATAGTCATCCCCTAGATCAGTGTATAAAACACTTCCAAGACCACAGTAGGCTCTCTCATGCCTCCGTTCCAGGTAATGTCTCTGAATCTCCCACACCTCCAGTATTTTCTTCACTCCCACTCAGGATTACTTTTGCCTTTTTTGAACTCTTAATGAATAGAATCATAAAGTAGGTACTATATCATATTTGGTTTCTTTCACCCAATATTTTATGTGAGGGATGTTGTGCATAAAACTATTGTGTTCTTTTCATTGCCGTGTAGTATTCCAATGTGTTAACATTTTATGATTTCCCATTCTACAATTGATGTGTGTGTAGGTTGTTTCATAGATTAGACTCTTATACATCTCTGTACTCATCCTTTATTGTACAGTAGCCCTCAATTTCCTTCAGCATGTATCCAGGAGCAGAATTTCTGGGCATAGCATGTATGTATGTTTGGGTTTAGTAGGTATAGCCAGAAAGTTTGCCAAAGGGGTTGTGCCAATATATACTCACATCCATGGTATATGACAGTCCAGTTGCTTCATGTCCTCATCAGTATGTGGTATGGTTAGTCCTTGAATTTTAGCCACATTGTATTAGGTTGGCACATCTAAAATAATCTTTTTGTAGGTGATTTTATTTTCATTTAGTTAGTTAGTTTTCAGAGACAGAGTCTCGCTCTGTCACCCAGGCTGGAGTGCAGTGGTGTGATCTGGGCTTTCTGCAACCTCCGCCTCCTGAGTTCAAGAGATTCTCCTGCCTCAGCCTCCTGAGTAGCTGGGACTACAGGCACATGCCACCATGCCTGGCTAATTTTTGTAGTTTTAGTAGGACGTGGTTTCACCATGTTGGCCAGGCAGGTCTCGAATTCCTGACCTCAGGTGATCTACCTGCCTCAGCCCCCCGAAGTGCTGGGATTACAGGTGTGAGCCACCGTGCCTGGCCTTTGTAGGTGATTTTATGTGTTTTAACCTAATATTCTCATTTTCTCTTTGATTTACATTTTTCTCATGACTAATGATGTCAAACAAGTTTTCATAGGTCGTTCTTAAATTTTTTATCTATTCTTTTTTTTTTTTTTTTTGAGACGGAGTTTCGCTCTGTCGCCCAGGCTGGAGTGCAGTGGCGGGATCTCGGCTCACTGCAAGCTCCGCCTCCCGGGTTCACGCCATTCTCCTGCCTCAGCCTCCCAAGTAGCTGGGACTACAGGCGCCCGCCACTATGCCCGGCTAATTTTTTGTATTTTTAGTAGAGACGGGGTTTCACCGTTTTAGCCGGGATGGTCTCGATCTCCTGACCTCGTGATCCGCCCGCCTCGGCCTCCCAAAGTGCTGGGATTACAGGCGTGAGCCACCGCGCCCGGCAGAGCTCAGGAGTTTGAGGCTCCAGTAAGCGATGATTGAGTCACTGCACTCTAGCCTGAGTAACAGAGTGAGACCCTGTCTCTTAAAAAAATTAAAAAAAAAAAAACCGAAAAATTTATGTTAGAAACATTTTCCCCTCAAAAAATTGAAGCTATTTCTTCTTTAATTACTTCCTAAAAGTGTAACTATTTGAAATCCAATGTCATTTGTATGTAAACTGTTTTTCTTTCTGGAAGCAATGATGGCCTTGGTGTGCTTTTTTGCTTTGTAATTAAATGTGGAAACTCATGTTCATTAGTTCTGGAAGCTTTTTATATTATTTCTTCAACAATGTCATCCTTGCCATTTTTTTCTGAGCTTTCTCTTTAGTATTCCTATTATTCAGATTTCTTGGATTGATTCTCATTATCTTTTCACTATTATGTTTAGTCTGTTTATCATTTTGTTCTATTTCCTGGGAGATTTTCTCAACTTTATCTTCCAATTTTTCTCTTGCTTTTGTGTTTTGTTTTTATCATACATTTTTATTTTTGATTTTTATTTGCTTTATTTTATTTTATTTTATTTGAGGCGGAGTCTCACTGTGTCACCCAGGCTGGAGTGCAGTGGCGTGATCTCTGATCACTGCAACCTCCACCTCCCGGGTTCAAACGATTTTCTTGTGTACCTCAGTCTCCAGAGTAGCTGGGATTATAGGCATGTGCCACCACGCCCGGTGGTGTATTTTTGTATTTTTAGTGAAGATAGGGTTTTGCCATGTTGGCCAGGCTAGTCTCGAACTCCTGACCTCAAGCGATCCACCCGCCTCGGCCTCCCAAAGTGCTGGGATTACAGGTGTGAGCCACCGTGCCTGGCCTTCTTTTACGTTTTTAAATTCCCAAAGTTCTTTATGTTCTCTGAATGTTTTCTTTTATTCTTTCCTTTCTTTTTCTTTCTGTCTTTCTCTCTCATTCTCCTTCCCTTCCCTTTTTCTTTGCTGTCTTTTTTTGTAATCTTTTAAAACTTTTTTTATTCTGCTCCCTGCATTTTCCCCTATATACTTGTTTATTTTGATCTTATTTGAGGTTTAAACCAAATGTCTGTGGATCCTTGGCTAGTCATTCATATGATGAGTGAGGCACTAAAAACCGGATTGACATCTCCAAGAACATGGATTTTTAGCCAGGCGTGGTGGCAGGCCCCTATAATCCCAGCTACTCAGAAGTCCGAGGCAGGAGAATCACTTGAATTCGGGAGGCAGAGGTTGCAGTCAGCTGAGACTGTGCCACTGCACACCAGCCTGGGCAGCAGAGTGAGACTCCGTCTCAAAAAACAAACAAACAACAACAAAAAACATAAAAACATGGGTTTCAACATTATGATTTTGTTTTAAGATTCTAGAAGGTCCTCTACAACAAGTTTATTTAAGAACATTTTCTTCCATTACTGCTTTGCTAAGAAATGTTTCAAAAACAAAACCAAAAATAACAGGAATGAATTTTATATTTCAATAAATGCTTTCTTGGCATATTCTGAAATCATCATATACTTTTTAACCTTTACTTTGTTAATGTAGTTTCCTAATGGTAGGGGTTTTCTAACAGTAGTCTTTCAGGATGGCTTTACTACTCTTCTCCGAGGAGACACTGAAATATTTTTTAGGAAAGGGGAAAATTTGAGGTGGAAGGCTAACCAGGCTGTTTCTGCTTCCTGTATCTAGGGTTGGTGCTGTACTCTCTTTGTTCTGGGCCATGCAGAGGTTAAGATTTTCCTTTGCAAAACAAGGATTTGACCTAGAATCTCTAAAACATATTTTAATAATTCAACTAAATTTGTTGCTATTCTTACATTTTTGTTTTAATGGAATTTTTGCTTCATAAACACTCCATAAGAAATTAATCTCCTTATTAGCACTACACCTAACACATTGCCTTTGACACATCTTAAGGGTAAGAAATGGAATTTACAAAATGTTTTTTCAATGAACGCCTCATCTGTGGTTCAGCTACTTTCCTTACCACAGCATAGTTTTCCTCCTACTCTTTATCCTCACATGGCAGTCAAGAGACAAGACTTTTTTTTTTTTCCCTCCTGCAGTATCTTTCTCCTCCATGTACTTCCCCTAAGAGGAGGAAAGAGGTAGAGATCTGCTCTAATCATTAGTATTAACTGTGGACCCAGAGTCTGAGTTGCCGGGTACGCCAAAGAATGTTTGGCTAAGACTCTTCCTTAACTGTTAAGCTAAGAAACTTTGCACAGAGGCCTCAGAATGATTGGTAGAGTGACAAAATGAGAGGCAGCTGAAGGTTTAGTAATGGAAGAATTCTAGATGTGGGAATCAAGCCATGAGGTCTCAGCCTAGCTTCTGTCCCTCTTGAGCCTCTCTGAGTCTTAGTTTCCTCATATATAAAATAAGGAGGCTTGACTTTACTAGATTGTCTTCATGGTCGTTTTGGGCTGTAACATTCTTTTGCATTTAAAATAATACCGGCTGGACATGGTGGCTCACGCCTGTAATCCCAGCACTTTGGGAGGCTGAGGTGGGCAGATCACCTGAGGTCGGGAGTTCTAGACCAGCCTGGCCGACATGGAGAAACCCCGTCTCTACTAAAAATGCAAAATTAGCCAGGCGTGATGGCGCATGCCTATAATCCCAGCTGCTCAGGAGGCTGAGGAAGGAGAATCACTTGAATCTGGGAGGCGGAGGTTGCGGTGAGCCGAGATTGTGCCATTGCACTCCATCCTGGGCAACAAGAGTGAAACTCCATCTCAATAAAATAAAATAAAATGAAATAAAATAAACTGAGGCCCAACGTGGTGGCTCACACCTGTATTAGTACATTTTGGGAGGCTGAGGTGGGCGGATCACTTGAGGCCAGAAATTCTGAGACCAGCCTGGACAACATAATGAATCCTCACCTCTATTAAAAATACAAAAAATTAGCCGGATGTGGTGGCACACGCCTGTAATCCCAGCTACTGGGGTGGCTGAGACAGGAGAATCGCTTGAACCTAGGAGGCGGAGGTTGCAGTGAGCCGAGATCACGCACTGTACACCAGCCGGGGTGACAGAGACCCCTGTCTCAAAAAAGTAAATAAATAATAAGAAAGTATCAACTCTAGAAAATCTTCAATAAATGTGTAGGTTCCATTTAATGTGAACTTCACTTTTTAAATTGAAAGAGATCTTACAATGTTTCAGAATTGAATCATTTTCCTTTCTGTTATGAATACTGTTTTGTTTTTTAGATATATGATATAGAAAGTTTCCTGGAAATCCCTAAAATATCCCCATGGTAGGCAAAATAAGTGGCCCCCAAAAAGAAGTTCATGTCTTAATCCCTGAAACCTGTTACGGTGTTATCTCACATGGCCAAAGGACTTTGCAGATGTGGTTAAACTAAGGATATTGAGAAGGAAAGACTATCCTGGATTATGTGGGTGGGCCTAATTTAATCACAAGGCAAAGCCGTGATTACTTTTGCACCAACCTAATAGAAGAGGTCAGAATGATGTCATATGAGATGGACTTAACCTGTCATTGCCAGCTTTGAAAGTAGGGGAAAGGAGCCATGAGCCAAGGAATGTAGGCCACCTGCAGAAGCTGGAGAAGGCCAGGAAAATGGACTCTGCCCTAGGCCTCCAGAAGGAACACAGCCCTACTGATGCTTGATTATGGCCTTGTGAGACACAGTTTAGATTTCTGATCTCCAGAACTATAAGATAAATTTGTGGGCTTTTTTAAAGCCACTAAATTGTGATAATTTGTTAAAGCAACAGTAGGAAATTAACACTATCCCTCACCTCTGGCCTTTATCATGTTGAGCAAACGTACTTTAGTTTTTGTTTTTATTTCTCTGCATGTTGTTCACATAGTAGCAAACACTTCTGTTCTGCCTTAATAACCAAGAATTATGCCATGTTGAATTATTTGTTTATATTATAGCTAAAGGAATAATTAGAAAATTGATTAATTATGCTTCTGTGTACCGTTATGTTCCCAAGTCTAATTATTTCCTAGGACTATGTTTCATTCTTCGAATTCACAGAATGTTGGATCTGGAAAGAACCATTAATATGATCTAATGGAGTCTAACACTCCCCTTTTGTAAGAGAAGAAATTGTGACCTATTAAGGGTAAACCCATGAGCGTCCCCATATGCATCTAGTTAGTTGCTTATAATACTAGGATAAAATTTGAGGACCTCTGGCTCCCAGGCAGGCATTTGCCCCACAGTACCATGCTGTTTCCACAAAAGTGTGAGAATGTGAAAATATGTAATGAACCTGGTCTCTTAATGCAAAAGGTGAAGAAACGTGAAATTCAAATATGTCTTGTATAATTCAACCCATTCTCACTTGAGAAGCAGTGTAATGCAGTAGTTACAATCTAGGACCCCAAAGCTCGATTGCCTATATGCAAATCCCATGTCTACTACTTCCCAGCAAAATGACTCTAGACAAGTTACTTAACCTTACCATTCCTCTATTTCCTCATCTGTAAAATGGAGATGATAATAATAGTATTGAACTCATAGGGTTATGGGGAGGTTTGAATACATAGTAGGTCAGGTGCCGTGGCTCATGCCTGTAATCCCAGCACTCTGAGAGGCCGAGATGGTGGGTTGCTTGTGGTCAGGAGTTCAAGACCAGTCTGGGCAACATGGCGGAAACCCATCTCTACTAAAAATACAAAAATGAGCTGGGCGTGGTGGCGGGTGCCTGTAGTCCAAGCTACTTGAGGGGCTGAGGTGGAAGGATTGCTTGAGCCCAGGAGGCAGAGATTGCAGTGAGCCGAGATCACGCCACTGCACTCCAGCCTGGGCAGCAGAGCAAGACTCTGTCTTAAAATAAATAAATACATACGTATAGTAATATTAAGTTGGTGCAAAAGTAATTGCGGTTTTTGTTATTACTTTTAATGGCAAAACTGCAGTTACTTTTGCACCAACCTGTTAACTGTAAGGCTCATAGAAAAGGCTTTGGACTAAATTTAGTAATAAATAATTATAAGCAATGATCATTATTAGTGGTAGACTGTATAATAAAGACAAATTATTTCAGTTAAACAAAGTAACACTTTTATTAATATTATTATTAATATTTGTTCCTACTGTACCTATTAGCCACCTCTTATGGTGAAGTCATGAACATTTAATCCTAATACAGGGCCCAAATGTTCTGGTGAACTGCCTGTAGATTGAAAATCATGTACTTTTCTATGCCAGCAGACATTTTGTGGACAGTTAGCACATGACAGTCATGAGTGTTCTTGCTAAAGTCACATTAATACCAAAGAACTGTACAGTGACTCGTTCTATACTGTCATTTCTTTAAGTTGCATTGTTTCAAGAACTAAGTGGCTGATGTACTGTTTCGTTTCTTTCATAATGCTGAGCATGGGTATCTAATAGACTTGCTTAGGCTGGCACATTTTTGCGTAGAAGTGCTAGATTTGTATGCATCTTTGAGAATGGGGCAGTTCAAAGCTAAAGTGAGCTAGGAACAAAACAGGAAGTGAAAAAGTAGAACGGAAAGACATAGGTAGATAGAGGAAGAAAAAAGGGGAAGGAGGAAAGGACCCACAAAAGGATTTTAAAGATAAATGAAAATATTTCAGCCGAGAAGAGAGTTTCAGAGGCAGTTAAGGCAAAGAAGAGACAATGCAGGCAGAGGTGTTTTATATGAAGCGTCTCTGAGGCCTAAACCAAATTTTACCATGCACGAGAATCACCTGGATTGCTAGACAATTTCCTGTATCCCGGCCCCAGGGATACTGATCTAGTTGGTCACAGCAGAGCCCAATCATTTGCATTTCTAACAAGCCAATCAGTGGTGCCAATGCTGCTGGTCTGAGGACATTTTGAGAATCTTTGGGCTAAACTATATTTACACAAAGTAAATATAATTGTTCTCAGTTTTTTTATGGAGCTCTATTTTACAAACAGTAAATTGCACAGATCTTAATGTTTTTGGTTTCCTAACAAGCAATTCCCCACTAAGGTTATGTAAAGATCTATCTGTTTCCATATACTGTCTCTGTCAAGAATACCAAGATACTTTTTTGAATAAAGTCCTAATGGCCTGATATTATTTTCCACCAGAATAATATAATGAACCCCAGTAGGTTTTCTATCTTTTTGAGGAAAAACATGTATTTCTGTAACCTAGAATTGAAATGCCAAAAACTACAAAGCACCTACATTACTTTGACTGCACATGCAATGTTTCTGGTCTCATGTAAGCTATAAATAGCCCATTTGTTATTCCTTATTATCCCACTTGAGAGGAGGAAATATGTTATGTTATATTGAATTCTCCCCCCTTCCTTGAATTAGCAACTTAGCAGATTTATGTAAAAGGTAATCTCAGACACTGGGCAAGAAAGCTATTGAGATTGAAACCCTTCAACAGTGCTTCTCTAACTTCACTGTGTAACTGAATCACGTGAGATCTTATTACAATGCAGATTCTGATTCAATGGGTCAGGTGTGGGGTCCAACAAGCTCCCAGGTGATATTGATGCTGCCAGTCCATGAATTACCTTTTCAGCAGTAAAGTCCTGTCTAGTGTATATAGACGGTTCTCAGACTTCTGCATCAAAATCGTTGTTAGAACCTAGATTGTGGACCCCTAACCCAGTGTATCTGATTTAGGGGGAGTGGGGCCTGAGAATTTGCATTTCTAAGTTCCAAGATGATGCTGGGATAGTGTGGGGAATATATTTTGATGACTACTGATCTATGGACCAATCTTTGTTTTGCTGATGCTAATTGACTTGCCAGCAATTTACATGGCTAATAGATAACATCTCCCCTCAAACTTTTCTGCCAAAGTCACCAGTGGCCTCTTCATTGGCAAATCCAGTGGAGTCCTCTTCACATCACTTGGCTTCTGACTGTTGTTACTTCCTTCTTGATCCCCTCTTCTCTCTTGGTTACTGCAATAGAATTTGCTCTGTTTGCTTCTCACTTTCTAACTCAAACTCTATTCTTTCTCAGATTCCTTTGTCAATTTCTCTTTCTTGCCATTCCTCTGCTCCGCCTCATGATTGTGCCTTAGTTTAGCCTTAGTTCTGCTCCTTTGACCACATCAGTACTCTTCTAATGAATCTCCCTGCCTTGATCTTGAGTCCCCAAGGCACCCAGCCCACCTCTACCACAGCAAACTTTCTGAAACACAAGTGTGACATGTTGCCACCCTGCTTAAAAACCTTAAGTTTTAAGGGTTTCCCATTTGCCATAGGACTCATTCCAAACTCTTCAGCTTGACTAATGTGGCTGTCAATAATCTGGCCCTTCCTTATCTACCCTTTAGCACTGCCTTTCACCAGGCCTACTGTAGAATCTTACCAGATATACTTAAAAGCATCCAATATTTGTAGAGGTTATGTGATTGCATACCTCCATACCTCTGTTTATGATACTTTCTCTTCCAAGAATTCCCTCCCTCCCATTCTTAACCCTCTTGGCCAGCAAACACTTCTTCAGCTTTTCTGTGTCTCTCTTCTTTGAACCCTTTTGTGACCATCCCAGGAAGCAGTGGTCACTTCCTTCTCATGCCTATACATAATAATGACATTGTAATACTTCATTGTACTTACATGTCTGATTCTCCCTATCAGTTTATAAAGCTCTTGAGAATAGATTTATTTTTCAACTCTGTATCTCTCGTGCATTGTCCAATGCCTGACACATTCATTGCCTGTTTGTTTACTGAACAAATGAATGAATAATAGAAATTGTGGAATTAGAAACTGAAAACAAAAACAAAAACAAACACCTTAGTTTACTGTATTAGTTTCCTGAGGCTGCTGTAACAAATTACCACAAATTTAGTACTTTAAAACAACAGAAATTGATTCTTTCATAGTCCTGGAGACCAGAAGTCTGAAATCAAGTTGCTGACAGGGCACGTTACTCTCTCTGGAGGCTGTAGGAGATATTTTTTTCTTTTCTTCTTCCAGACGCTGGTGGTTCCAGTTGTTCTTGGCCTGTGACTTCCTCCCTCTAATCTCTGCTTCCATATTTCCATGGGCTTCTCTTCTGTCTCTCATAAGGACACTTGTCATTGCACTTAGGGCCCACCTGGATAGTCCAAGATTACCTCATCTAAGTTCTTAACTTGATTTCATTTGCAAAGACCTCTTCTCCTAATAAGGCCATGTTCCCAGGCTCTGGTGGTCAGGACATGGACATACCTTGTTGGGAGTCACCATACAATCCACTACAGAGATTGTTAAAAAAAGACTAAAGGGGTTGTCCATCAGTAGAAATAAGGGACAGAAACTCTTTCTCCCTGTAGATCCCATGTAATAGCAATGAGTAGAAGGTGGCTGGGTGTGGTGGCTCATGCCTGAAATCCCAGCACTTTGGGAGACTGAGGCAGGTGGATCACCTAAAGTCAGGAATTTGTGACCAGCCTGGCCAACATGGTGAAACCCTGTTTCTACTAAAAATACAAAAATTAGCCTGGCATGGTGGCATGCACTGTAGTTCTAGCTACTCAGGAGGCTAAGACAAGAGAATCGCTTGGACCCAGGGGACAGAGGTTGCAGTGAGCCGAGATCGCGCCATTGCACTCCAGCCAGGGCAACAAAAGCAAAACTCTGTCTCAACAAACAAACAAACAAACAACAAATGAGTAGAAACTGATAGACAAGGACTCTGTTAGTCCAGTTCTCTTCAAATCAATGATTCCCCCAATCATAAACTCTTTTTCTTTAAAACCAAAAAACCAAAAAACGGTGTTTGTGTGTGTGTTGGAAGGCCAAGGGTCAAGCACTGAGAATATTCTCCTTTTTGCCTAAATCATACCAAATCATCCTCCTCAAGCTTAAAAGAAACAATGATCTCATCAGTTGGTCTTTGAAAAATATAATCCTTTCTTAATTGGTTGTTTTGTAACTTTACATTGGTTCTAGCAGGGAGGAACCTATCCGTTTCACTTCTTGGTACAGTATCTTTGCCTTCTCCACCAATTAGGAACTTCAATACTTCTGATTAAAGTGTTGATTTGTGTTGGAGAAAAACAGGCAGAGAAGTGGGGTTGGGATAAGCAGCTGTGGAAATTGTGGGGAAGGGAGACTTAGCCAAGGGACAGGAAGGCTGTTCCAGAGCTCTGGCCTGACCACTTATTCCATGGTTTGCACATGATCCCCCAGCACCGGAGCCAGGGTTTCCAGAGTGCACAGCTTTCATTTCCATTAGTGACTGACTTAGAATCGTCAAGACCAAACCTTTCCCTCTGACTTTACAATTGAAGTTCAAAGGCTTTTGCATCTAGTCTACACCTATCGGTGAGTTCAGGAGAATTTTGGGAAAATAAAAAATACAAGATAAAACTCTATAGAGTTACATTTCCCTTTCTTTCCACAAGATGAGAGAACAATACAGGATGCTGTAATTTGTCAAAACCCCAAACAAAACAAAACAGGTCTGTTGTTAATACGGACAAATGGTCACAGCTGCAGAAAAGTTACCACATGAACTCTTTCAGTCCTAAATAGTCATTTTTGCAGTTCTGCGATCACTTTTCCAGGACTCCTTTTTTCCCTCCTCAGTATTTATTCATATTAACTATTTTTTCCATGTTAGATTTCTTCTGTTCGATATATTTTTTAGACAATGCTGCTTCCTATACAGCAGCTTTCTAATATTCTACCCAGGTTCACCATACATATGTGTCATTTCAGTGCCACAATAGCCGTACAGTGAAAGTAAATATTTTGATTACGTAGTCCATCAGAAGAACTGCTGTTAGATTCCTCTCTCTACTCCCATTCTCGACGTTCCCATGATATAGGCCTCCCTTCCCAAGCATGCTGCTAACTGTTGTGCCACAAATCAGTGCAATGAAGCTTGAGGCCCAGGTTGTCATACAGCTGAAACACGCCAGGTGTGTTGAGAGTTTTCCAATGTTTGACTAATTTAGGTTAAGTTGAATTGTCTAAGCTGGCTTAAATTGCTGAGAAAGTAAGAAAGGCAGGCCTGGAGAACTGGTGTTTGATCATTTAAGGCTGAAATTTAAACCTCAAGCGAAACAGGGAATCCAAAACCAATTCAAAACAGAAAGAAGAAAGTTGTATGTGACATTTCTGTAATCGAAACTGATGAGTTATACATTTTTACTGTTGATTCTTAGCTTGTCTTCCTCTTTTGCCAGTATATATTTATCTCTTCAGGCATAATACCATGTTACAGCAAAACTGCTTTCATTTTGACTCCATTTGTGATAGACACATAGGGGTTGATGTTTACTTTTGAACTCACAAGAAAGAGTCTCTAAAGTTTGGAGTATAAGATTATGAGATCAGTGTTTAACCCCATGCAAGAAAAAAAGGAATTTCTGGGCCTTTGAAAAACACTTTGCCAGCACAGAAAGAACTTAAATATATATGTAAATTATTACAAAATTGAAATGACAAAATATTCATATCTAAAGCGATGTTCAAAGTTTTGTACTTGGCAAATTTTATGAACTTCCAGAATTATTCAGCGTAAATGAAAGATATAAAAATAGAGCTAAAATACATAGTAATTGTTGGAATACTTTTCACAATGTGTCCACTTATTCAGATGTACTTTTATCATTTAGATAAAATATCTTACTTATCTGTAAGATATTTGCGTATAGAGTCAAACTTACAAGTTTTTAAAGTTACATTTATTTATGTGCATTTTAAGCTATAATTTTGTAGGTTTTATGCTATAGCTAAAGGAAAAGAAAAAATGAACATGAAAATTTAAAAGCTTTATATATTTTTAGATTACGAAGTAATACAGGTTTATTGTCAAAAATTAAGAAAATGCAGAAAGGTATAAAGAAGACAAGAAAACAACTTATAATCCTATCACTTAATAATAACTATCATTAATGCTTTCAGTTTTACAGTTGGTCCTTGAACAACACAGGTTTGAACTGAATGGGTCCAGTTTTACGCAGATCTTTTTCAACCAAACTTGGATAAAAAATACAAAATTTGGCTTTTCTGACTATGAAGTAGCCATTCTTTTATTCCTTTACTTTCTTAATCAACTTGCTTTCACTTAAAAAAATACAAAATTCATATTTGAGGGATGGGAAACTTGCATATATTGGCAGTCGGAGGGGGCTGACTTTTCATATACATGGGTTCCGCAGGTCCGACTGAGGGACTTGAGTATGAGTAAGATTTTGGTATGCACAGGTGGTCCTGGAACCAGTCCTCTGTGTATACCAAGGGAAAACTGTACTTTTAGCCTTTTTGTCTGTATATTATACTTTACAAAATAAACCAAGAGAAGCTGGGTGCGGGGCTCATGCCTGTAATCCCAGCACTTTGGTAGGCCAAGGTGGGAGGATCACTTGAGCTCAGGAGTTTGCGACCAGGCTAGGCAACATGGTAAAACCCTGTCTCTACAAAAATGCAAAAATTAGCTGTGGACTAATTTTTAATTAATTTTAAACTAATGCCTGTGGACCCAGCTACTCAGGAGGCTGAGGTGGGAGGATCACCTGAGCCCAGGAAAAGTTGAGGCTGCAGTGAGCCATGGTGGTGCTACTGCACTTCAGCCTGGGTGACAGAGTGAGACCCTGTTTCCAAACAAACAAACAAACAAACAAACAAACCAAGATCAGTCAGTGTACCAAGTCGATTTCCAAAGGATTTAGCAATGCTGCTGGAGCAACTGAATATCCACATGGAAGAAAACAAATGAACTTTGACCCATATCTCATTCTATACAAAAAAACTCATTTGAGACAGATCATAGACCTCAACTTAAAACCAGAAACATAAAGTTTCAAGAACAAAAAGAGAATATCTTTTTGATCTTAGGGTGGGCATAGATTTCAAGGAAAGAACACAAAAAGCATTAACAATAAGAGAAAAAATGTTAAATTCGATTTCACAAAAAATTTTCTGCTTTTTAAAAGGCATCATTCAGAAATGACTAGACAAGTCTTAAACTGGGAAAAAAATATTCTCAGCTCATATGCATGCAAAAAATTTGTAGGCAGAATATATAAAGAACACCCAAAAATGTTCTATTTCTTGTTGGATGGTAGTTATGCTAGTGTATACAATTGCCAAGATATGTAAAACTGAACACCTAAAATTTGTGCATTTTATTTTATGTTAATATTATAATAAACATAAAATGAAGATCACTAGAGTTTTATTTGATGCTTCATTGAATTCACATTATTATTTTTCTATGCTCTTTACTACTTTTCGAGAAAATGTTTTTGATAGCTATGTATTGTTGTATGATATGAATACATAAAAACTAGGCTGAACTCAAAAAAATTTTAAAGTACAGATAAATTTTCTTTTATCTCTGGATATCTTGTTTTGTTTGCATTTCTGATTATGAGAACATCATATTTAAGCTGTTATTTCAAGAATATCTGTGTTCCTGATTGAGCAATGAGGGTTAAGATTCTCTTATACTTAGTTGTTTTCTCCCTCCCTCCCTTCTTTCTTTCTTTCCCTTCCTTCCTTTTTCTCTTTCTCTCTTTCTCTTTCTTTCTTTCTTTTTTCTTTCTTTCTTCTTTCTTTTTTTCTTCTTTCTTTCTTTCTTTCCTTCTTCTTTTTCTTTCTCTTTCTCTTTGCATCTCTCTTGACTTTTGTATTTTACATATATATATATTTTTCTTTTCTTTTTTTTTTTTTTTTTTGAGATGGAGTTTCACTCTTCTTGCCCAGGCTGGAGTGCAATGGTATGATCTTGGCTCACTGCAGTCTCCACCTCCTGGGTCCAAGAGATTATCCTGCCTCAGCCTCCCGAGTAGCTGGGATTACAGGCATGTGCCACCACATCTGGGTAATTTTGTATTTTTAATGGAGACAGCGTTTCACCATTTTGGTCAGGCTGGTCTCGAACTCCTGACCTCAAGGGACCCATCCACCTTGGCCTCTCAAACTGCTGGGATTACAGGCATGAGCTACTGCGCCCGGACCCATATTTTTATTTTGAAAAAATTCAATCTTACAGAAAAGTAGGATTAAAGTAGAATATAATGAAGAACGTATATTCTTCACCTAGATTCGCCAATTCTTAACACTTTGCCACATTTGCATTCTGTGTGTGTGTATTCACACAGTTTTTTTTTAAGTTTCAGATGTTTCTTCAGTATGTGGAAACAAGCTAATATATTGCATAACAAAATTATTACTCTCTCAAAATTTAACACTGATGCACTAATACCAAATAGAGATTACACATTCAAATTTTTCCCACGTGCCAGAAACATTCTTTACACTTAAAAAAATGCAGGCCCCAAGCAAATATAATGCATACATTAGTTATTGGATATCCTTAGTCTCCTTTATTTTAGAAAAAGCCCTCTACTTTTTAAAATGTCTGACATACATTGATATTTTGAGGAGTCCAAATCAATTGTCTTATAGAATAGTCTACACCTGGATTTTTCTGATTATTTACTCATGATTAGGTTCAGGACAAACATTTTTGGCAAGAATACTTTAAAGGTGATGTGTATAATCTGTTATATTATATAATGTGCATTATACAAAGATTGGTGATGTTAAGTTTTATATTTTTGGTAAGGTATTTTCACCAGATTTCTCTCTTTTTGGAGCTGAAAAGTATTAAGTGAGGCGATTGTATGAATATCCTGTCCTCCAATAATCCCTCACGCAATAGCATTAACATTTGTTAATAATGATCCTTACCTGGCTCATTTATTACAGTGATGGTTCCAAAATGGTGATTTTCTAATTTCATCCTCATTTTTACATTTATTAATTGAATAATTTTCTGTACAATAATGCTTTTTCTCTTTTCCTCTATTTTAGTATCATGAATTTTTTTTAATTCAGAATGTAATGATTTTTTTTGGACACTTTTATTTGACTAGTGGAGACCAGAGATAATATTTTAAACTACTTTTAGATTGTTTCAGTCCACTCTAGGCTCCCAGAAGTCCTGTAAATTTTCAAGTCCAATTGATTTCTTTAATATTTGAAAGTGGTGTTCCGTGGTGTGAAGGTTAAGTATTTACCAATCAGCTTTCTAAGAAAAAAAATCCTATTTGTAGTAGTTGCTGATTTCCATGGTGTACACATTCCCACTTTGGTTGATTTTAAGTAAACAATGGCAGGAGATGCATGATAGCATGCTATTATTTAGTATTTCCACCGTACAAGTACAATAAATGTAAATAACCTCAACAGCATATGTGATAGTAAAATAAACAATTAGGAAGTGATGAATTCTAAGTATTATTACCTTCTAAAATATAATTTAATTTTAAGTTTATATAGGTTAATTTTTAACAATATTGGGGTTTAGCAGCTGGCTTACCAAATTTTTTGCCAAAATTTAACAATCAACTCTTGCAAGCAAGTACAAGCCAGCTTTAGTACCCTAGCACAGTGTTTGCTTCCAGTCAAGGTCTAAGCCTAACTCTTGGCTTCAGTACTAATTAAATATGATAAAATTATGCCTAAAAGCAAGGTGGAATATTTTTGCAGATTTTTTTTCCCAGAGAAATAACTTTGTCAAAGAAATCAATTTCCGTCCCCCTTCTCCACCTACACTTGATGCTCTCAGTTTAACAGCGTCAAGAACCATAACTATCTCCAATTTATTGAACCGGAAGGTTGGGAAGAAATTCAGATGATATGCAAAGAGGAAATTAAAGAACATTTAGGACATTGGTGTCTTATCCATAGTCCAGATCTCCTGTGGTATAACATTGTTTCCTCTAACTAGCTTCTCTCCCTTTTAGGAACAGCTCCCTTTTTCCTAGTCAATGCCCTTTCCCTACATCGGGTAGGTACCAGACTCCATTCCCATAGTTGTTTGTTCCTTGGAAATTTTTGAACTGGATCCAGGAGAAGAGACTCAGTCCTTCTCTGGAGAAGAAAGTGTCATAAGGATCTTGGAAGAAACTGGTGGCCATGATTCCTACCATATTTGAAAAAAGAAAGCATAAAACAGGCGGAGGAAGAGTTCTGGTGGAACTCTAGGGCCTTTCTAAATTCTTTGAGCCTTTTGGCAAATTCTCTTTTCTCTGGCCTAGAACAATTTGAGTTGGGTGTCTGTAGCATGGCTTAAGGAGAAGGAATTTGAGTTCCAGAGAAATTCAGAAATACTAAGACTTACAGAGCTAGTTGGTAGCGGGGAAGAAGAGTAACCAGATTTCCTCTTCCAAGGCTTGGTGCTCTTACCACCACTGCAAAGCATAGCTCCATGTTCTCTGTGTCTCTAGTAGCCTGCGAATGCCTCTACTTAAAGTAAGATAGAGAAATATCACACGTGTGGATATGCATATAATATATATACTCTGCCTATATTTGTATCTGTATGTATATGCAGAATATATATGCTTGTATACAATAAGCATATAATGATATATATACACACATGTATACACACACTCTAACCCTAACCGTAACCATATATATGTGTGTGTGTATATATAGAGACACATTCTCATAATATATGTATATATAATATAAATACTCTGCCTATATATGTATCTGTATGTATATGCAGATATATCCATCTACCTATCTATCTTTTAGTCAGTTCAGGCTGCTATGGGCATGGTGGCTTCTAAACTACAGAAATTTATTTTTCTCAGTTCTGGAGGCTGAAAGTCTGAGATCAGGGTGCCAATATAGTCAAGTTGTCATGAGGGCCCTCTTTCAGGTTGCAGATGGCTGACTTATTGTATCCTCACATGGCAGAGAGCAGAGAGAGGAAGCAAGGTCTCTCATGATCCTTATGAAGGCATCAATCCCATTTATGAGGGCTCTACTCTCATGATCTCATTTAATCCCAATTACTTCCCAAGGTCCCACCTCCTAATACCATCACATGGGGTGGGGGTAGTGTTTCAACATATAAATTTGAGGGGGGGGCACAAACATGCAGTCCATAACTCTCTCTCTCTCTCTCATCTATCTAGCATTTATCTATTTCTCCTAATATCCTAATATATATTATATTATCTATCATCTATCTCTCCTTACATACACACATGCACGCACACAGTAATACAAACACTAATATATATTTTCTAAGTGAAAATTACACTAAGTGAAAATTACAGAATATATACATATATTCTGTGATGCCAATATTACTTTTTAAAAGTGTATATGCATGGAAAAAGGAAAAAAGAAATACTACAAAATGAAGAGTAGGTGGTGGGTTATGAATGATTTTATCATATTATTTTTTGATATGTTTTTGTAATTTTCGATATTTTCAGGTAAAGGCTAATTTGGTCGACATCAATACTCAAAAACTACTGCATTGTTAGAAATATTGCTCAGTTACCACAGATCTTATATTGCGTGGTGTATTAGCCTCCTAGGACTGCCATAACAAAATACTATGGCCTGGGTAGCTTAAATACAGAAACTCATTTCTCACAGTTCTGGAACCTGGAAGTCCCACATCAAGGTGAGGGCAGGTTTGATTTCTCCTGCAACCTCTCTCTTTGGCTTGCAGAGGCCACCTTCTTGCTGTGTCCTCACATGGCCTTTCTTCTGTGTATGCATGTCTCTGATAGATCTTCTCCTGCATGTAAGGCCACCTGTGCCATTGGGTTAGGGCCCCAGCCTTATGACCTTTTAAATCTGAGTTACCTCCTTAAAGGCCCTATCTTCATATACAGTCACATGACGGGTTAAGGATCCAACATAAACATTTTTGGAGTAGGGATCGGGATGGGGGAGCCCCATTCTTCCCATAACATGAAGCTTGTAAAAATGAGCTTTAACTTATAAAACTGACTCAAGATAAAGCAAAGAAAGTCCTTACACAAAACAAAATTTCTATGTGGATTTTTTCAGCTAGTGATTATTTGTAATATCCTCATAGACTTGAAAATCAGTGTCTAGCCTCTAAATAAATGTTTCCATCTCCATTTCCCACATCGCTACCCAAATATTTCCTCAATTATATTGTCATCTAATTATGTGAGTATGAATGATATTATTGTTAAGAATAATTTGTGCTTTAGAAATTAGCTTATCTTTGAGACTTGATCAAACAAACATTGTTTGATCAAATAAAATCAAACAATGAATTGATTTTATTTTCTGAAAATTAACCAGGCACACATTTTTGTAAATGACTTGATTATTTACATTATAATGAATGAAAATTTATGTTTAGGTCTATGAAAATGTTGTCTTAAGTATAAGAAGAATTTAGAGAACTTTATTTGTTGGGTCTGCCATTATGAATGATGTATAATATATACCTTGTTTCTCACTTGAAGATAAATATGTCTATACATAAATATGCATATAGGTGTATATACAAACAGCAAGATACATATTTTTTTCTGATTTAAAAATAATATATGGGCCAGGCGCAGTGGCTCACACCTCTAATCCCAGGACCTGGGGAAGCCAAGGCTAGCAGATGGCTTGAGCCCAGGAGTTCAAGACTAGCCTGGGCAACATAGTGAAACACTGTCTCTTAAAAAAAAAAATACAAAAATTAGCAGGATGTGCTGGCATGCACCTGTAGTCCTAGTTACTCAGGAAGCTGAGGTGGGAGGATTGCTTGAGCCCAAGAGGTGGAGGTTGCAGTGAGCTGAGATCATGCCACTGCACTCCAGCTTGGGTGACAGAGTGAGACTTTGTCTCAAAAAAAAAAAAAAAAAAAAAAAAGAAAAAAAGAAAGGAAAAGAAAAGAAAAAATAAAAAGAAAGAAAAAGAAAAGAAAAGAAACCACAACACAATAGCAAAACCATGTTCATTGTAGAGATTTTAGAAAATACAGAAAAGTATGAAGACGAAACGTATAACCATTATCCCATTACTCAGAGCTAACATGTTTAGTATGTTGCTATGTATTTGTGGCTGGCTTCCAAGATAGCACCCAATTCTCACCTCCCGCTATTCACACCCTTGTGTAGACAGCTTCTTCCCCTATGGAATCAGAATGATCTATGTGACCATTAGAATAACTGGAAAGCAGGACTGGGCATTGTAGCTCAGGCCTGTAATCCTAGAGCTTTGGGAGGCAGTGGTGGGAGGATCGCTTGAGCCCAAGAATTTGAGACCAGGTTGGGCAACATAGCAAGCCCTCATCGCTACAAAAATTTTTTTTAAAAAATTAACTGGGCATGGCAGTACATGCCTGTACTCCTAGCTACTTGGGAGGCTGAGACAGGAGGATTGCTTGAGCCCAGGAGTTCGAGGCTGCAGTGAGCTATTATTGTGCCACTGCACTCCAGCCTGAGAGACAGAGCAAGACCCTGTATCTAAATAAATAAATAATAAAATAAAATAAAGAATAACTGAAGGCTGAGCTCAGTGGCCCACACCTACAATATCAGCACTTCGAAAGGCCAAGGCGGGCAGATCACTTGAACCAGGAGTTGGAGACCAGCCTGGGCAAAATGGTGAAACCTAGTCTCTACAAAAAATTAACGAGCATGGTGGCACATGCCTGTAGTTCCAGCTACTCCAGAGGCTGAGGTAGGAGGTCAGCAGGTTGGGCTGCAGTGAGCCAGGATCCTGCCACTGCACTCCAGCCTGGGTGACAGAATGAGACCCTGTCTAAAGAAGAAAAGAATAACTTGAAAGTGACTGTGTATGATTTTTAAGTATAGGTCTTAAAAGAATTTGCAGTTTTTGATTTGATCTCTTGGATTGGTTCCCCTGAAGGAATCCAGCCACCATGTTATAAGGATGCTATGTTATGAGGATATTCAAGGATTCCTGGGGAGACCCATGGGGAGTGAAACTGATGTCTTCCACCAACAGCCAGACTCAGCTTGCTTGCCCAGTGGGTGAGCCAGCTAGGAAGTGGGTCCTCTTTCCCTGGTCAGACCTTCAGAGGACTGCAACCACTGCTAACGTCTCATTGAAACCTCATGAGAGAACCAAGGAAGAACTGCCCATCTAAGCTATTCCCAAATTCAAGACATATAAAAAACATGAGAGGTGATAAGTGATTATTGCTGTTTTTAGCTGCTAAGTTTTTGGGTGATTCAGTGAAACAATAGATAAATAATAGACTATGTTTCCAATCTTTTGTGTTATATTTATATTTTTATCCAATAAATTGTTCATTGAACATTTGTTGCAACAGTCAGGGCTGAACCACAGGGTCAGAACCAGAAGGAAATGTAGATGTGGGGTGTGTGTTTTCATGGATTCACTACAAGGAACTGACCTATGACATTGTGGAGGCTCACTAAACAAGCCTGAAGTTCACAGAGCAGGCAGCCAGGAAGGAAAATCATGAGCAGGGTGGAGTCTCAGGGGCATGACCTGAAGCTTGTTGTCCACTGGTAGCAGCCAGATAGGGATGAAGATGCAGAGCTTGAAAGGAGCAATTGCACACCCAACTGCTGTTTGGAGTCTCTGAGTTAAGTGAAGCTCTAAGTCTTCTTTTAAAAGCCTTCAAACTAATTAACCCAGGTCCACCAAGCATAATCTCTCTTTCAATTAACTTAAAGTCAACTGATGTAGTACTTTCACAAATTACATTTGTGAAACCTCTTCATAGCAGAACTTATATTAGTGTTTGAATAACTGGGAGAAGGTGCTTGCATGCCACAAAACAGCTGTTGCCTCCCTTCCATCCTCCAACTCTCAGAAGAGATTATTTCTTGTAGCCCTCTCTATTTGGAAACACAGTAGAAAGGGAACTCTAGGGGCTGTAGTTTAGCCTAACGAGGTTGCACATTACAAAGCCATCACACACTGCATATGTGCTAGACGTGATCTGTGATATGGTTTGGCTATGCCTTCACCCAAATCTCATCTTGAATTGTAGTTTCCATAATACCCATGTGTTGTGGGAGGGACCTGGTAGGAAGTGATTGGATCATGGGGGTGGTTTCCCCCATGCTATTCTCGTAATAGTGAGTGAGTTCTCACGAAATCTGATGGTTTTATAAGCATCTGGCATTTCCCCTGCTTGTGCTTCTCCTTCCTGCCACCTTGTGAAGAAGGTGCCTTGCTTCCCCTTTCGCCTTCCACCATGATTGTAAGTTTCCTGAGGCCTCCCCAGCCATGCTGAACTGTGAGTCAATTAAACCTCTTTCCTTTATAAATTACCCAGCCTTGGGTATTTCTTCATAGCAGCATGAGACTGGACTAATACAGTCTATGTCCTTGGGATACACTAACAAATAAAACAGACAAGATCACCTCCACAATGGAGCTTATAGCTTAGTAGGAAAAGACAAAAAATTAACACATGAAAAAAACTTATTCAAACAAATAATAAAAACAATATCAGAATGTGATGAATAAAAAGAAGAAAATAAAACTAGATAGTGGGATATAGGGTGACTAGTCAGATGTTGCTAAGGAGGTCGGGAAAGCATTCTTGGAAGAGATAATATTTGAGTTGAGCAGAACAACGAAAATTTATGTCTAGTAATTGAAGGCCAACAGAAGAGCCTCCCACCCCAGAAATAGCAAGTACAAGGCTCTGAAATGGAAACGAGCTAGACTTCTTTCAAGGGGCGGCAAGCAGGCAGTGTGGATGGGGCCAAATGGGAGAGGAATAGAGGGTGAGTGCAGAGAGGTAGCACAGAGCCAGGTCAGGGTTTTATTTTTGGTGAGATGGGAAACCACTGTAGGTTTAGAGCAGAAGAATGACATGATGTAACCTACATTGTAAAAGCGAGCAAGGGCTGAAGAAGGGAGACCAGTCCAGATGCCATTGCTGGAATCCAGGTAAGAGATGATGGTACTTGGGCAAGATAGATATGATGGCAGTGCCGAGTGAGAACTGATGAGAGTTTGAATATATGCTGAAGGTTTTGCTGATGGTTTGAATTTGGGGTGCATGAGAAAGAGAAGAATTAAGAATGACTACTAGAATTTCCGAACACAGAATTTTTGAATGTCTGTTTTGTTATCAAACAGGCTTGAAACAGATGGGACATTATAAAGCCAGAACCCTTCTTTCCTGAAACTTTCTTCTAGTGCTGGTTTTCCCATATTATCACCAGCTTATTACTGGTTAATGTGCTTCTCTTCTGCAAATTTTGCTTATTCAGATTCACTTAACATGAACCATGCACACAATATTACATATCAATCCTATGTCTTTCATCCATGATATATATAATTTTTAGTAAACATGTCCAAGCTGTTTTCTATATTAAGTAATATGTCTAAGATATCAATGCAGAACAATAATAACTGACTTAAAAATCATCCACAAAACTCAAACATTGTTCAAAGAATTTTTTATTGTTTATTATCTAAAGATAAATAAGTATGCCTTGCATTTGGATTGGGGTTTTCTTCCCATATTCAAAATGCTTTCTTATCATCCACCTCCTATATCTCTACAACATCCCTGAAGGAGGGCAGGGCAAGAAGGGTACACAAAACAATGGACTAAGATAGAATGAGGTCTTCTGGTTCATTGTTAAACTACGAAGTTTAAGATTTAGAGCAGAAGATACAAGGATTAGCAGGACTGTTTCTATCTTAAGTAGTTGTCAGTCTAGAAGGGGAGAAAAATATGTAAACAAATAGCTGTAAGAGATTCGATGTAATAAGTAGTATTATGAACAGCAGACAGAGATGAGTTTTGGAAACATGGAGGTGGAAGAGTCAGATTGAATGAACTCACGAGGAAAGATAGAATATGCCTCCCAAAATAGAGGCCGGGAGTGGTGGCTCATGCCTATAATCCCAACAATTTGGGGGGTTAAGACAGGAGGATCACTTGAGCCCATGAGTTTGAGACCAGCCCAGGGAATATAGTAAAACCTCATCTCTTATACTAATACTGCTACTGCTACTAATGCTAATACTAATAAGCCAGGCATGGTGGTGCATGCCTGTAGTCCCACCTCCTTGGGAGGCTGAGGCAAGATTATTGCTTGAGCCTGGGAGGTCGAGGTTGCAGTGATCTGTAATGGCACCATGCACTCCAGCCTGGGCAACAGAGCAAGACCCTATCTCAAAAAAAAAAAAAAAAAAAAGAAAAGAAAAGAAAAGAAAAGAAAAAGAATATGCCTAAAATGTCCTGTCAGTAGCATATCATAGCTTTCTTGGCACATATTTGTCATGTAAACTTGGGCCACTAGCAAGCCATGAATGTAAACAACAAAAGTAGTATATGAGTCTGTCTCAAATAACATTTCCTTGAAGTAAGCACAGAAGATATTATTGTACCACGTAGAAGAAAAAGCTTTATGGAAAACATGAGTTCTTTCCAGGGCATCGATTAAACTATGAATTTTCTGTGGCTGAAAATTTTCATCAGGTTGGTAAATGACATTGAATTTTATTTTAGAGGGGATTGAAATCTTTTACTATTTAGAACATGTTTGTTATTGACATGGAAAACCTGTGGGACTGGTCATAAATGGAGTAGGAGGAAGGGAAAACAACAAATGACAGCCAGGAAGGAGCCCTGAGGGTGCAATGGTGGCCCCGCAGTGGGGTGGCACTGTGGACATGCAACTGCTGGAACCAAAGTGACTGCCATCCTGGTAGTCATCTTGGGCACTGCAGCCTTTGCTAGACCAGTGTGCACATTTCTTCAAGCAGGGACCATGCATAGTGTAATGGCAATCAGTGTATCCTTCTGTCAAGGGAAAAAAGAAAGAAGCTTCTGTCCCTTCTGTAGGGAGGGTGAGGAAGGATGAAATCAGCAGGTATATTCTTCAGATGTTTATCTTTTCAGAGGCATTGATTTCCAATTGTAGCTAAATAATATGATCAATAAGTTAGGACACTTCCGCACACTATGCTAGGAAACATCTCTTACTTAACAAGGTTCTTCCTCTGTTCTTTTGAGTGAGGTGTCTAATGGGAGCAGTTAATTCATTGTGTTTTGAGTAATATTATTTTCTTAGAATGCCCTTAGGGAAAATCTCAGCAAATCATTAAATGTATGTATATGTGTGTATAAATACCATTGCAATAAAAGTCATTAGATTGCAAATCTCTACACAATAAAACTGTTTCTGACAGCGTGTTTATTTCAAGCACTCTTTGCTTGAATACTCTTTTAACCTCCTATACACTTGGACTTTCTTCGATGTCAAAATACATAACAGATATCCCTGACACCGAAAAAAAAAATACAATTATTCCTTAAACTATTAGCAGCCAAAGGAAAAAATGTAGAGAAATTTCAGGAGTTCAAGGGAATGCTCTGTCTTAATTTTTATATGAATGATTGAATAATGTTAATGTCAATGCATAATAGAATTAACCTGGATGGAATAAGAAATAAACTTTCTTGTTTCATGTGTATATTATCTTGATTTCAAGTTCAGAAACCCCTAATTAACTGGAATTCAGTAAAGTGAAATTGTAAGTAACCATCATTTCCTTTCTTAGAATTTCTTCAAAAGCAGAAGAAAGATCACAGGAATTAGCAGGCTGCATGGTGGTCCAATTGAGAAAAAAATGTGACTGCACCACTCTTCTGTCAAGAGTCTATGAGTGGCTGCAATATAAAAAGAAGAAAACGCACCTCAAAGACTTTAAAAAGCAACAGAAATAATGGTAGGGTCATTGTGGGGGTCAACATGGATTCACGTCAATATTTGTTACTTTCCTAGTCAAATCTATATAACTATTTAATTATAATTGTCATCAGATAATGACTATAAAATAGGAACATTTTCAACCACAAAATAAATATTAAGACAATTTTTATACACTGTTTACTAAAGCAGAAAATATATTTAAAAATTTTAGAAAAATTATCAGTCATTAAGATTGAAACAAAATGGGATGTCATTTGAGTCCACCTAAAATTTTTTTTGTCTGGTAGTTTTTGAGAAGGAGTCTCACTCTGTCTCCCAGGCTAGAGTGCAGTGGTGCCATCTTGCCTCACTGCAGCCTGTGCCTCCTGGCTTCAAGCGATTCTCTTGCCTCAGCCTCCCAAGTAGCTGGGATTACAGGCACCTGCCACCACACCAGGCTAATTTTTGTATTTTTAGTAGAGATTGGGTTTCACCATGTTGGCCAGGCTGATCTTGAACTCCTGACCTCAAGTGATCCACCCACCTCAGCCTCCCAAAGTGCTGGGATTACAGGCGTCAGCCACCACGCCCTGCCTAAAGTTTTTATTATCTGAAAGACCTCTGTCCTTTAACTTCAGGCAATAATTAACTTTCCATTTTGCTTTGGCCTAGGTATTGCCACTTTTAAAATGAATTCTAATAGCTAAAGGCATAAACTATTTAGTAATTACTAGAACTATTTTCTGAACTTACGAAAAAAATTAAAATTTCAAAGCAAGCATGTAGGGAAATTTAAGGTAACCTCTTTTCTGCTCCCAAATTTAATTGTACATGTACTCATGATTATGTGATCATATGCTCAAAACATTGTGTGAACTGTTAGTTTGTTTCTCATTCTATTTCTGTTTTGTTTTGTTTTGCTTTTGGCTGTTATCAGAGCTAATTCACTCAACAAGCAGGTCCCAATTTGCATGGAAAAATATTATCTCTCTGGTTTTCTAATATCCATAACAAAGGAAATCTAGCCAAGCATCCCATTCCAGATTTAGTGAGGATGACATGTTTGGCAGGAAGAAGAATATGATTTACCAATTGAAGAGCAGAATATCAAAGTGAGGAGAGTAAAAAAAAAAAAAAAATTTAAATAGATCTCTATTTTCATAGGGAAAGCTGATGAAAATAACATTAAAAATAAAAGCTATCTCTTTAAATTGATTTCTGTGGTCTTTATTAATATTTAATATTTCAATTTTATGTGCTATATTTCCTTTGGTAATCTTCTGTTTTCATGGACAAGTTCAGTCTATAAATGTGCACTTATTGTCAGTAAGTTCCATCTTCCTCTCATACCAGGCCTTATTTAAAGCTAAACAAATTCATTCCGGATTTTAGGTGTATATGTTGTGGAGTTTTTGTTTCATTTTGTTTTTAAGTTGCAAGTGTAAGACACAGTTCAGACACTAGCACTAAATAAAAATGATTGCAAATTTATTACTTTTCTAAAGATTCTGGAAGGGTCCCTTTTTATAGGCTAGATCATAATTTTAAATGTTACTGTGAAAGCAGGCACACAGCACAGTGGTCTTCTGTCTGACCAACTGCTTCTAATGTTTAACCCAGCATCCCCGAGCAGCTCTCAGGAACCCTTTGGGTCTAGCTTCTGTATCTGTGAAATGAGGGCTTGCACCAGCTAATTACTAAAGGTCCTCTTGTTACTTTATGATTCTATAAAAACAATTATCTTTGCAGTGTTCTTTTAAAATAAGATATAGGGGAAACTTTGGATCTTTTAGTATAAGAACTGAAGAAAATAGGGAGCAGAAAGTTGTAATTGAATGTTTACCAAAGATACACATTCTTATAAAAATTCTCATACAGAACTAGGTAAAATGAGAGTCCCACCAACAGTATCCGCGTGCGCTGAATTTTTTTCGTTTTAATATGTTTTGATACACTGTTGTGCCAGTGCTAACAAAATGAGTTTTCAAGCAATAATGTTTTCCCAAAGGAAAAAATGGTCGGTTTTTGTCCGTGTGGGAAGTGTGTGGGCAGGACTCTCAACTTTCAGGAAAACTTCTGTCTTTTTAGAAAGAGATTTTCCAGATACTTTTTGAATTACTTCTCTGAAAATAATGAGAAGTCTATGAAAACAGAATTGTCACAACTACTTGCTTGTTGGTGGGGGTGACCTGTGGCTGCTTCCACCTCTCTAGGTGTTGAGAGCAGAAACCAAGACGAAGGAGGGAGAAGATGCCCACAGTGAGGCCAGGGAGCAGTGGGCCCATGGCTGCTTTGGATCATTATCTGATTAACCAGATCTCCACAAGGGATATAGATTGTGGATATATAATGTTTGTGTCCCACCAAATTTATATACTGAAGTTCTAATCCTACTCTTAATTTCTGAAATATGATAATTTTTATGTTGAAATACCGTATGTGTCAGTGTTAGAAGATAAGGCCTTTGGGAAGTGATTATGTCATGAGGGGAGAGCACTGATGAATGAGGTTAGCGCCCCTATGAAAGAGGCCCCAGAGAGACCCTTGCCCCTTCTACCATGTGAGGACACAGAAAGAAGGCACCATCTACGAACCTGAAAGCAGGTCATTACCAGACACTCAATCTGCCAGTGCCTTGATCTTGGACTTCCCAGCCTCCAAAACGGTGAGAAATGAACTTCTCTTGTTTATAAGCCACCCAGTTTATGGTATTTTGTTATAGCAGCCTGAGTGAACTGACACATTTGTTATGGGTTGAATAGAGTCCTCTCAAAATTCCTGTGTTGAATTCCTAACCCCTAGTACCTTAAAATGTGACTTTTTGGCTGGGCGCAGTGGCTCACTCCTGTAATCCCAGCACTTTGGGAGGTCGAGGCAGGCAGATCACCTGAGGTCAGGAGTTTGAGACCAGCCTGATCAACATGGAGAAACCTCGTGTTTACTAAAAATACAAAATTAGCCGGGCTTGGTGGTGCATGCCTGTAATCCCAGTTACTCAGGAGGCTGAGGCAGGAGAATCACTTGAACCCGGGAGGTGGAAGTTGCAGTGAGCAGAGATCATGTCATTGCACTCCAACCTGGGCAACAAGAGTGAAACTCCGTCTCAGAAAAAAAAAAAAAAAAAAAGATGTGACTTTTTGTAGAGATACGGTCTTTATGGAGGTAATCACCATAAAATGAGATCAGCAGAGTGGACCCTAATCCAATATGACTGGTGTTCTTATAAATAGGGGTGAATTTGGACACAGATGCACAGGGAGAATGTCATGTGAACACAAAGGCACTGATTTACAAGCCAAAGAGAGAGACCCTGGAATAGATCCTTTCCTGACAGCCCTCAGAAATAATCCTGCCAACACCTTGATTTTGAACTTCTAGTTTTCGGAACTGTGAGATAATAAATTTCTGTTGCTGAAACCACTCAGTTATGACACTTTTTTACTACAGCCATGGCAAACTAATACAACACCCAGTCTAAATAAATTTAAGGATTCAGTAAGCAGCAAAAATCCTAATCATATTTGAGCTATCTCACAGAGTTAAGTAACATTTTTGTTTCTTTGAAGTAAAATTTTCTTGTGGTTTTATGGGTAATCAAACTAATTTTTAACTGAAAAATAATGTATGTATGTATGCATGTGTGTATGTATGCACACACACATATATTGTATAAAATGTTAAACTAACTGAGGCTGGGCATGGTGGCTCTCTCCTGTAATCCCAGCACTTTGGGAGGCTGAAGCAGACTGATGACTTGAGGACAGGAGTTTGAGACCAGCCTGGGCAATATAGCAAGACCCTGTCTCTATAAAATATCAAAAAAGCTAGCCTGGTGGGATGACTAATGCCTATAATCCCAGCTACTTGGGAGGCTAAGTGAGAGGATTGTTTGAACCCAGGAAGTTGAGGCTGCAGTGAGCTGCGATTGCAGCACTATACTCCAAGCCTGAGGAATAGAGCAAGACCCTGTCTGAAAAAAAGAAAAGTTAAATGATATAGAATATAAAATAAAAGTCATTCTTCATCTCCCTTTCCTCAGTTTTAATTACCTCCCTAGAAGTTAGCTGTTTGGAACCTAACATTATAGTTTTACAGTGCTTGATTCTTAATTCTACACTGTACAGACTTGAGTAAGATTCTAGCCTGATTTTGGAGTTTTGCTAAAACATCACATTTAGAGTTCATGTTGTGGAACTATGTTATAAGTAGGATCTTACACTTCTACTATCTCAGCACTATGGATAGGCTCCAAAATAGGCCTGTTATTTTAAAATTCCATTCTGTAATAGGCCACATGTTTAGAATTTAGTATATTACCAAGCAAGGGAAAATTTTAAAATATCAGTTATCAACTGTGTTTTTCTCTGGCTTTGTTTTTTACTTATTATTATTATTATTATTTTTGAGAAAGAGTTTCGCTCTTGTTGCCCAGGCTGGAGTGCAATGGTGTGATCTCAGCTCACTGCAACCTCCACCTCCCAGGTTCAAGCAATTCTCATGCCTCAGCCTTCCAAGTAGCTGGGATTACAGGCATCCGCTACCATGCCCAGCTAATTTTTTGTATTTTTAGTAGAGTTGGGGTCTCACTGTGTTAACCAGGCTGGTCTCGAACTCCTGACCTTAGGTGATCCACCCACCTTGACCTCTCAAAGTGCTGGGATTACAGGTGTGAGCCACCATGCCTGGCCAATTTTTTTTTTCTCTTTTTGAGAGGGAGTCTCGCTCTATCACCCAAGCTGGAGTGCAGTGGCACAATCTCAGCTCACTGCAACCCCTGCCTCCCAAATTCAAGTGATTCTCTGGCCTCAGTCCCCTAAATAGCTGGGATTACAGGCACGTGCCACCATGCCCAGCTAATTTTTGTATTTTTAGTAGAGATGGGGTTTCACCATGTTGGCCAGGCTGGTCTTGAACTCCTCTCGTCAAGTGATCAGTCTGCCTTGGCCTCTCAAAGTGCTAGGATTACAGGCTTGAGCCACTACGCCTGGCCTATTGCTTAAAATATTTTTATAGTTAAGAAAAGAACAATTCGATTGAGGGAATGGGGAGATGTTGGTAGAAAGCATCAGTTAGAATGGATAAGTTCTAGAGGTTTATTGTAGAACATGTTGATTATAGTTCATAATAGTAAATGTATACTTGAACATTGCTAAGAAATTAGATCTTAAATGTTCCATCACACACACATGCACACACAAAGATAAAAGTATGTGAGGTGATGGATGCGGAAATTAGCTTGATGTAATCATTTTAGAATGCATATATATATATCTAAACATTATGTTGTATACTGTAAATATATATAATTTTTATTTGTCAATTGTATCTTAATAAAACAAGTGAGGGGAAAAAAAAGGAACAACTGACTACCTTGTGTTCAAGCTGTTTTCTAGAAACCAGGAATAAATTACCTGCCTTCTATGAAGTTTGAGTCAGTTACACCATAGTGATACTCTTTTTACAGACAACTCAATAAATCAGTAGCTCACCTGCCTGAAATAATAAACTAGTACTTCAGCTATTAAGATTCTGAACAGATTAAATTAATATTACAAAAGCCACACAAGACAGCTCATAGAGTGATAGACATGTTCCTTCAGTCCTTACTTGGTGTCTGTACACTCATGATTCATATATCATTCTAACATTTTTTCCTGATGTAGTTCCTGGGTCCAAAGTCCTCTTCACACAAAGGAGGCAACATTTTACTTCTAATATGCTTCCTGGTTAAGATTAAGAAGAAAAAATTAAACTCCTAGTCATTAGGAGAGAACCAAAAGCTATAAAACGCTACAGTAGGTTGAAAACAGTTGTCTGGAGTCATTTTGTAACAAGGAAAAACGTCCCACTTGATTCTTTGTCTTAAAGTCATCCTTATATTAGAATTATTTTAGTTAGTATTTTTTTGTTGTTTTTGAGACAGAGTCTCCCTCTGTCACCCCGGCTGGAGTAAAACGGTGCAATCTCGGCTCACTGCAACCTCCGCCTCCCAGGTTCAAGCGATTCTCCTGCCTCAGCCTCTCGAGTAGCTGGGATTCCAGGCACATGCCACCAAGCCTGGCTAATTTTTGTATTTTTAGTAGAGACAGGGTTTCACCATGTTGGCCATGCTAGTCTTGAACTCCTGACCTCAAGCAATCCGCCTGCCTCGGCCTCCCAAAGTGCTGGTATTACAGGTGTGAGCCACCGCGCCTGGCCTTATATTAGAATTATTAATAACCGAAGCTCAAAAGTGGTCCTGGATCATTTTGAAAAAAAAAAAAGTGTTGTTATCAATATGCCCTCTTTAAGAAGGTAGAAAATTGTGTAATATATTTAAGAATGATTTCTGGCCGGGTGTGGTGGTTCACACCTGTAATCCCAGCACTTTGGGAGGCAGAGGCAGGTGGGTCACTTGAGGTCAGGAGTTTGAGACCAGCCTGGCCAATGTGGTGAAACCGTCTCTTCTAAAAACACAAAAAATTAGCCAGGCGTGGTGGCACACACTTGTAATCACAGTTACTCAGGAGGCTGAGGCATGAGAATTGCTTGAACCCAGGAGGCAGAGGTTGCAGTGAGCTGAGATCGTGCCATTGCACTCCATCCTGGGTAACAGAGTGAGACTTTGTCTCAAAAACAAAATAAAACAAAACAAACAAAGAATGATTTCCACCTAAAGTTGCTCAAATATCAAAAAGGTTTGGTACTTAAAGAGGGAAAGATTGGTTATCTGAAAAATGTTGCTCTCTAGATAGATGAGATTTTATTATATCCTAATTAAAGTATTTCACTTAAAAAAATAAAGTATTGGCCGGGTGTGGTGGCTCACACCTGTAATCCCGGCACTTTGGGAGGCCAAGGAGGGTGGATCACCTGAGGTTAGGAGCTCAAGACCAGCCTGGCCAACATGGTGAAACCCTGTCTCTACTAAAAAATACAAAAATTAGCCAGGCATGGTGGCGGGTGCCTATAGTCCCAGCTACTTGGGAGGCTGAGGCGGGGAGAATTGCTTGAACCTGGGTGGCAGAAGTTGCAGTGAGCCGATATTGTGCCACTGCACTCCAGCCTGGGCAACACAGCGAGACTCTGTCTTGGAAAATAAATAAATAAATAAATAAATAATAATGAAGTATTTCATTTATTAAAATACCTGCATTTATGATTATACCTTAGTCTATTGGACTTTAGTAAGATAGAGTTTTATTCCATTGGTTGACAGTAAATTTTATATATATATATATAAACTTAAATGTGTGTGGTACTGTTATTTTATTAGGCAAGATGATAGCTATATTGTGTCAGAATAAAGTGCGCCCCACAGCATTAGTATACAGGATAGGGTCACTAAGATGAATGGACTTCAAATGAAGAGGCAAGTAAAATGTATAGTTTTCACTTATTTATAAAAAGCCTACGGTAAAGGAGAATCAAGAGACCATAAAAAGATGATGTACTGTTGGCAATTTTACAGGTATCTTCTTTTCCTTAGCATCATACCAACTGGCCCATTGTTATTCAAATCATATTCAAATAGTCCAAAAATGTCAGTTTAGGATTGAAAACAATTAAAGGCTGGGTACATATCAGATGAAGTTTTCAGCATTATAATTAAATGAAGGCAATATTTGTCATATGGAACAAAGGAACTGTCTAGTAATAAAATTTACACCAACTTCTAAACAATGAACTTATGCATGCATGCTATTTGGTGATTCCTTGATAACATATCTAAGTGTGAAGTTAGGTGCATTAAGCTAACAAAGGAAAAAAGCTTATTTATAACAGCACTGTAGGCAGAGGTCTTTGAAAGTGCAAAGATACCATCTTCCCTTCCCAGGGAGCAATTGCTTTGCACAGATGCTCTACAAATATCAAGCACAAGGAACCTGGGTTTTAATTACAAAGTAAAATATCATTTCAAAATTGCATAATTGGTGGTTGCCTTTTGCAATGCAATGAGCATAAGGGAAACTGACATTAAATGTTTGATGTGTTGCCATGACATTTTCTGAAATTTTATTTTATGCTGCTTTTAAGCTGCAAAGTATGTTAAATTTGAATTCTTTAAAGGGTGGGTTAACAGAATGATACAGTTAAAAAACCTGACTCTGATGTTGGAATGCCTATGTTCACAAATTGTACAGTTCAGATTTTAGAAAAAAAGTAAATACAGAAGTAAAGACATAATGGGGTCTTTATGTTCTCCTTACAGTAGTGACATGTTTTCCTGGAGATAGAGCCCATTTAGTCAGGGAGGGATGTCTCTAGCTTTCCCTTTGAGTAAAGGGAAAAATAATAGAATGAGGAAAATACAGTGGCAGTCAGTGCCCACCACATTTGAATGTTTAGGCCATTGAAATTGAGAGAAAAATGTCACAGACGCTGTGTAGTTACAGAGCTGCTGGAAGGAACAGTGGTAGGACTGGTGTTGCTCTAGTTTTCTCTGTTCCAGAAAATGTCTTCAACCATTATATATATACTGCTTGCCTGGTATGCACTGGAGTATATACTATTTGCTCAGCAGGGTTTGACTTCAAGAAGTCATCTATTCTATCTGTAAGAGCAAAGGACAATTAGGTGTTGAATATTTTTCCTCATAGTAATGTAGTGGAAGAATATAAATAAATAAATTTATTTATTTTAATTGAATTTAATTTTATTTTGAGACAAGGTCTTTCTCTGTCACCCAGGTTGGAGTGTGGTGGCACAATCGTGTCTCACTGTAGCCTCAACCTCCGGCACTCGATTGATTCTCCCACCTCAGCCTCCTGAGTAGTGAGACTACAGGCACCTGCCACCATGCCTGGCTAATTTTTGTACTATTTTTGTAGAGACAATGTCTTGCTATATTGCCTAGGCTGGTCTCAAACTCCTGGACTCAAGCAATCTGCCTGCCTTCATCTCCCAAAGTGCTGAGATTACAGGCATGAACCAACACATCCGGCCCTTAAAAAAAAAAAAAAAAAAAAAAAAAAAAAAAAAATATATATATATATATATAAAATTAAATTATATATATAATTAAATATATATATATTTAATTAGAGATGAGGTCTTACTATGTTGCTCAGACTGGTCCTGAACTTCTGGGCTTCAGTGATCCTCTAGCCTGGGCCCTCCAAGATGCTGGGATTACTGGCATGAGCCACCATGCCTGGTTGAAAATAAATGATTAATGGGGAAAATACAAAGCCTTGGGTTGTTAAACCATTTATTCTCTCTTAAGACACCTACTGACTCATACAGGAAGATGCCTTCTTGGGTGGATACAATATATTTTGAATGCTTCCCTACTTTTGACTGCTTAATGTTCATATTGAAATAAGTATTGTTAGGAAGGCTGAGAATGAAATTGAGCCCAAGGAAGTGGTTCACAGCCCTCCTCAGGTAGCATCCTCATATTTTACTAAACATTAGCATTTCTTACTCAGTTATATTTTGGGGTCAGTTCCTCTGCCCCAAATGGACATTTTTTGTTTGTTTCAATGTCATTATTGAAATGTCATTATTGTCAAATAACAGAAGTAGGACCACCTATATACACAAACAACCTGTATTTCTGGCATTTTCCTTAATTTTAGAAATATGCATAAAAGTCATTGTAAGCAGAGAAAGACCAAGACTCACTAGACTAATGAAAGAAGCTCAAGGCCGACACTCAAATTTTCCCTTCTTTCCTTTAAAATGATGATTTCATTATGAATTTAAAATATCAAATTATTTCTGTTGATATTACTGATAATATTACTTGCATTTATGAAGCAACACATATGCAAGATATTGATGAAGAAGCACTTCTGTTAACTGCTCTATAGGAAGTTGAAAGTCTTTCTCCCACAGTTGTTCAGCTTGAGGGCTAGAACTCCAGAACTATCTTGTATTTCATGGTTTTTTTTTGCCTGTTGCCATGAAAAAATTTAGCCTGTCTCCAAATGAACATTCCCATTTTATATGCCCTTTTTAAATATCATGCTTTAGATACGAAAGTGCACCCAAATCAGGCCCATTATGACATGCATAGAGGTTGGATTAATATGGAGGCTTCTAATTCAGCCAAAACAATTCTTCTTTTTAAAATTATGGTGCTATTTTTATTAGGTTGATCACCAAAATAATTGATTTGATTTTGTGTGTAAGCTGCTTGAAGGAATGCTGCAGATGGACAATTTTGAATACTATAGGCTGGGCGCAGCATCTCATGCCTGCAATCCCAGCACTTTGAGAAGCGAAGGCCAGAGGATCACTTGAGGCCAGGAGTTTGAGACCAGACTGGGTAACAGAGCAAGACCTCATCTCTACAAAAAAATTTAAAAAAAATATATATGTATATATAGCCAGGTATGGTGGCATATGCCTGTAGTCCCAGCTACTTGGGATGCTGAGGTGAGAGGATCACTTGAGCAAGGGAGGTTGAAGCTGCAGTGAGCCATGATTGTACCACTATATTCTGACCTGGGTGACAGAGCAAGCTCCTACCTCAAATATATATATATGTATCTTTGGTCTACATCTATTTTCCAAGAGTGATTGCTGATTCAGTGAAAAATCTATGCTTTAAAAGATATATCAAAGACTATACTTCCCAGCATCATTGCTATGGTTCATTACTAGAAAAGTTTCTCCAACTTTGTAGAGCACTAGGAGCCAGAAGGAGGAGGTGCAGTGTTCTCTCTTTAGTGTGAAGCCAGCTTTGCTCTTCGGGAAGGAATGCAGTCTGAGCGATTCCATTTTTAATTTAAGAATTTTTTTCTTAAAAAAAGATACAACAAAGAGAATCCAAACACCAGGTTAATAAGGTGGTGAAGATTCTGAGAGTTGTAGGAGATGTTGTAATAATCCTAGTTATATTTCTTTCTCATATAAAAATGAAGGAACAGGATTTATTTTATCAACTCTATAGAAGATTTGTTTAATCTCCTATAGAGAGTACATGTGTATCTTTACAATCAGGATTAAAAATATTATTTTCAACAATTGGCAGGCTAAATTTGTACTAGAAAGCTAAATTTAGGCCTTAGATAAATGTAGTAAGTATATTTTACTCAATGTACATTTATGCAGATTTTTCAATAGTGGTAAGTTGTAGTGCCTTGGTTCAAGACACTGAAACAAGTAAGCAGAAAATCTCATTTTCAGAAATAAAAAAAAAATAAGGAGAAAAATCAATTTGTAAAAGACCACATCCGTTCAAATGAAGTGAAAATAACAGCTATAATAGACTTTGATGTTCACAGAATATACTTATGGGAATTATGAACCAATTTTATTTCCTGTTGTTTATAATAGATTAACAATATATATAGACTTTTACTTTTTAATTCCTTATTCATGGTTCTTGGCACATAGTTTAAAATGTTTGTTGTTTTTTAAGTAAAAGAATGAATGATACTATATTGGAGAATAATTCAATCTAGTTTTGTTGGTATGACTTAGGCTCATATCTGATTTGCTCTATAACAGTCATATTATTATATAATTTATCAGCAGTAAATGATCATGATTATATATGGGTTCACATTCATAAAACATATATAATATAAAAACCCAGGTTGTTTCACTTGAAATGGTTTTCAAAGGTTCAGTACAGACCAAATGCCTTTCACCTCTAAAACATCCAACACAGCTGAAAATAATACGTTGAAGTCAGTGAGTGAATAGTAGTTATTTTGTAGATTATCATGAGTGGGGTTGATACAGAGATTTAAAAAGTCTATTGTCTTGTTTTTAAGTTTCACACCAGTAGCCCATGTATGCACTTTAACTCCAAAAGCTAAATGTTTGGGAATGAGTCCTTATTTATTTCCTTCAGTTCTGCCTAGAATGTTCTTGCCTTCCCTTCTGCCTATCCAAACCCTCAGAACCAATCTAAAATATCACCATCTACAGCCCTGTTTCCATGAGAACTTTAAAATTCTAACCCCAACGCGGTGTTATAACCTTCACTGAGCCCCAATGTTATTATTATACCTTTCTTATACCACTTTCTATATTCTGCCTTTTTACCTGTGTCATTTACCAAACGGCTATTATAAGCTGCTTATAACTATTAGCTTTTAGTGATATTCTTATATTCTAGTATTTTTAGCGTGTTTTGCATATACCAATTACTTAATAAATACTTGCTGACCTGGGTCAACAGCTGTCTTCCTGCCAACCACAAGATACCATTTAGAATTTTCTTACTGTCAGGAGCTAGTCATCTGTTTGTTGACCTCTTCCTGCTCCACAATGATAAAAATACAGTCTAATAGAGATATTGAGCTCACCTCAGAGCTTTGCTAAGAAGTTCAAAAAAATTATACACAATAGCTAACATTTATTCATATTTTACTATGTGTCAGACATATCAAGGTCACTGTGCTAAGGCTTGTGTGCTAAGACTTGTATAATCATGATCTCATTTATGTCTCAGAATAATAATTTTGTGTAATAATAGTTTTACCCCATTGAGATCTTAGAATTATTAAATAACCTGCTTAACGCTACTCAACTCACTAATGGCAAAGCAAAGACTTAAGCCCATGCACCTAACTACTAATTCTATTGTGTCTATTCAAGTGCCCAAAGCCAGTCAAGAAGCAGGAAGAACTGAGTTCTAGAGTTCTTAGTGCATGGTTGGGCAAGCGGTTCATTTTGACCCCTTGATGCTTATTTATTTAATTTATTTATTTGAGACAGAAGTTACTATCTTGCCTAGCTGACCTTGAGCTCCTAGGCTCAAGTGATCCTTCCACTTCAGCCTTCCAAGTAGCTGGGACTGACTACAGGCTTGCACCACTGCATCGTGTGATGCTTTTTTTCTAAATGAATATTGTAAATCCAGTAATATATCTGAAACATTAGGTACATAGAATATTTGTGGAAGTATTAAGCCAGGTAAATATGGTATTTATCGAAACATAATACCTTAAGTTGAATTTTAGTTTAAGAATTTGTTTCATTTATATCAAGTGCTATAAATTACAAAACATTTTCACATACATTATATATCACTAGATTCTTACAACCAATAGGTCACTGGCTATATATTATCTGGCTTTACTGCACAGGATTTGGGTTTGAGAAAGGGTAGGTAACTTTTATCAAATCACACAGCAAGTAAATGTCCAAGAATTAGCTTTTTTATTACACTTTTCTGACTCTAGGACATGGTAGCACGTATTAATAGCTCAACATGTAATGTGCATTTATAAGCAAGATTCCACAAAACTACTAGACATACATGTTTACTATTTCTGTATGTATTTATTTATTTTTGAGACAGAGTTTCACTCTTGTCGCCCAGGCTGGAGTGCAGTGGCGTGATCTCAGCTCACTGCAACCTCCGTCTGCCTCCTGGGTTCAAGTGATTCTCCTGCCTCAGCCTCCCGAGTAGCTGGGATTACAGGCACCCACCACAATGCCCAGCTAAGTTTTGTATTTTTAGTAGTGACAGGGTTTGGCCATGTTGGCCAGGCTGGTCTCAAACTCCTGACCTCAGGTGACCCATCCTCCTCAGCCTCCTAACGTGCTGGGATTACAGACGTGAGCTACCACGCCTGGCCCTACAATTTATTAATAACAACAATAATAGTAGCTTTACCACATTCACACAGGTTGAGCACATAAATTATCAATCATTCAAATCAGGACCCCTTGAGAATGACAAATACCAAACTAACTGAGAAGCTGGAAAACAAGCATAAATTGAGACGAGCTTAGACAAACTGGGATATGTGATTCTGTAATTTTAATAGCACCTGTCATGTGCTAGGTCTTACTCCAAGAACTTTACATGAACTAACTCAATGAATTCTCTTTTTTTTTTTTTTTTTTTTTTTTTGAGACGGGGTCTCGCTCTGTCACCCAGGCAGCTGGAGTACAGTAGCATGATCTCGGCTCACTGCAATCTCCGTCTTCTGGGTTCAAGCAATTCTCCTGCCTCAGTCTCCTGAGTAGCTGAGATTACAGATGCCTGCCGCCACAACTGGCTAATTTTTGTATTTTTAGTAGAGACAGAGTTTCACCATGTTGGCCAAGCTAGTCTTGAACTCCTGACCCCAGGTGAGCCACACACTTCAGCCTCCCAAAGTACTGGGATTACAGGCATGAGCCACTGCACCCGGCCTCCATTAATTCTTATGAAGTAAGAATTACGCTCATTTTTCAAATTAGCTTTTTGTGAGATGTCCCAGGCCACAAGGCATTTGTGGATTCTTTCCAATGCACTTTGCTGTCTTCAATCTCTTCGCTTGCCTAATACAGGGAAAGGGAGAGCAAAGGCCAAGAAGATAAGGATTTGGATAATGGCAGGCAATGATTATCAGAATTTAGTGGCTGAAAAAGTTATCTAGCTGTTTTCCAATGCCAGTATCAGCATAGAAGTTCGTGGGAAGCCATCACAATTTTATACCAAGTAAGTGTAAGTAACATCTAACAATCTTACTGATTACCCTTTTTCTATTGCATGCTTACACACTTTAGGTTTTGATGTACTTGGTGCTCTTGGAAAACTATTTGAAGATCTGTGAACAATTACCTAGGTAGAGCCATTAGCAGATAACTTATGTATGTTTCTAGGTGAATTGAGGCAACCGATCATGATTAATATACTAGGCTTCAACCTGAGATCGATCCCAATTTCACTGCAGAAAGATCTCAGGCTGGTCCTGACTCTGCTAAGGCTAAAGTTTGTTTGTGTTTTCTAAGTGGGTGTCATTTGTGTGAAGTCCTGAACCACGTCTTTAAGTACATTCTTTTCTTCTCTGCTTTATCTTCTGAGCTTGTTGAGAGGAGATTGTTGGCATTCCACTTCACTTGTCAAGCTGCGTAGAAAAGACTGGAGATCTACAAGTGAAAGGAAATATTTCAACAAACAATGCCTGGTGCTTACAATCTGATCACTTTACAAACAAATGGATGCTTTCTCTATTGTGCAAATGACCTCATCATGGAAAGTAGATTAAGCTCAGCATCACTCTACTCAGAGCTATCTTCCAACACTTCTCATAATCCTCTGCTTATTCTCTTACTCCATTGTTCCCTAAAACAACAGAGAAAACTCTGAACAACAATGTTCATTTGATTATTTTAAAGAATGGGTAAATATTTATACCTTCAAATAGTTAAATGTAAATAATGTTTTTGTTAAGTGTGGTAAATTACATTCACAACTACCTTATAAAGCAACCTCTATTTTGGGCAGGCATTATTCTTGGACCTCTTTCATGACTTATTTTATTCCCACAATATTCTGGGCAGCACTACTTTTTCCATTCTATACATAACAAAATCAAGGGTCAAAGAGATTACATAACTCACTCAAGGTCAACTGTAAATTCTTCAAGAAATAAATATGTTGCCTCGGTTGCTACCAATTTTTAAAAAATTGTCAAAAAAGGTACAAGAATATTTACAATGCTCTTTATTATTTTTGTGCCTTAATTTGCCAATCATTATGCCAAATTATTTTAATACATGTTTGTATTTTAGTTTTACCATAACTTTAGGAAAAATTCACTATTATCTTCATTTTACAGATGAGAAAAAGATGGTTACATAGTTTATCCAGGGTGATCAAGAAATAGTAGAACTGGAATTCAAACCTAAATCTGTCTGACAGCAAAGAAATCTTCATTATACTAAATTATTATTATTATTATTATTATTATTATTAGAGACAGAGTCTCGCTCTGTTGCCTAGACTGGAGTGCAATGGCATGATCACAGCTCACCGCAACCTCCACCTCCCAGGTTCAAGCAATTCTTCTGCCTCAGCTTCCTGAGTAGCTGGGATTACAGATGTGTGCCACCATGCCTGGCTAATTTTTGTATTTCTAGTAGAGACAGGGTTTCACCATGTTGGCCAGGCTGGTTTGAACTCCTGACCTCAAGTGATCTGCCCACCTTGGCCTCCCAAAGTGCTGGAATTACAGGCTTGAGCCACCACGCTGGCTCTAGATTATTTTTAATAGTGCAACTGATGTCCTTTAATAAAGCATTCTGTCCATCATTGATAAACTTTTGCAACTTTAAGTTATTTTTTGACTTTTTTCTTTCCCCACAAATTTATATCCAGACTGATGAACTAAATATTTCTATTTGGAATTCTTAAGTTAAATTCTTCTACCATATGATGACCTTTCATTTATTTAGACAAAAGAAAAAAATCTTAGGTGTTTAAGGAAGTGATTCTAGAAATTAACTAATTAAATTGGATAAAGAAAATGACACACAGGGCCGGGCACGGTGGCTCACGCCTGTAATCCCAGCACTTTGGGAGGCTGAGGCGGGCAGGTCACCTGAGGTCAGGAGTTCGAGACCAGCCTGGCCAACATGGTGAAACCCCGACTCCATTAAAAATACAAAAAATTATCCAGACTTGGTGGTGGGTGCCTGTAATCCCAGCTAATCCAGAGGCTGAGACAGGAGAATAGCTTGAACCTGGGAGACGGAGGTTGCAGTGAGTGGAGATCGCACCACTGTACTCCAGCCTGGGTGACAGAGCAAGACTCTGTCTCAAAAAAAAAAAAAAAAAAAAAGAAAAGAAAAGAAAAGAAAATGACACACAGGGCCAGGCATCACAGCTCATGCTGTAGTACCAGCTACTCAGGAGGCTTAAGGCTGAGGCCAGGAATTCAAGGCTGCAGTGAGCTATGATGAAGTGTACCCACCGCACTCCAGCCTGGGTGATAGAGAGAGACCTCATCTCTAAAACATAAAAATGAAGAAAATGACATGCAGAAAAGTGAGGTTTGCTATCATCACACGGGTTCTAGACAAAATATCTCCTGACTTTACAGACAGTGCTCATTCTATCACACCTAAGGTACAAACAGTTTCTGCAATTACTTGTTTTGTGGATCAGGACATAATAATAATAGTAATTACAATTATTATTACTATAACCATGAGCACTTATGAAGAGTTTATGATGTGTCATATGGTTCATCACATGTTGTTCATATGTATTATCCCATTTAAGGCTCACAACGTTGTGAGGTTAGTACTAATATTATTCACATTTTTAGGAAAGGAATTAAACTCAGAGAGGTTAAGAATGTTCAAGGTCATACTGTAAGTAAACTGAGGTCAGTCTAGGTCAGAGCCAAGGTTCACAGCTATGCTCAGCTGTCAGTCTTGCTGGGTCTTTCCTCTCCACAGCAAGAGGCCCTTGACTTCTACCAGCATGCTGTGTCCTAGCTCAGCCACTGGAACCAATTCAGATTTGTAGCTGGAAAGATTTGAAGTCATCTCTGCTGCTAGAATGGCTTTTATGTTTTCTGCTTGTTTTTGAGACCCCTCTCCTCCATCTTCACCTCTTGCCAGTTCCTGTTACTTTAGATCTCCTCTCCTGGTAGCTGTTGGTACCTCCTCCTGTGATGCAAGCCTCTAGGGATGGCTTATAAGCTTCTGCATACTTCCTTGTAGAATCTGAGCACAGACTGGTTAACTTCTATTACAGTCAGTTTCACCATTCACTGCTGGGTGAAGATCCTATTATACAAGCACACACACATACACACACGCACTATATATATATACAGTTTATCACCGGATATTAACCAGGAATGACTGACTCTAAATGAAGTGCTGCTTTTGGACTAAATTGATATATGTGTAGTATATATTTTATATATCTTCATTACATAAGTAGAAATTATTTTGATTTAATTGCTTTTTGGGGAATTGGCCTCTTACATTCAATGAGTCAGAATGTGTCATAGGATGTTACCAAATTAGGAAATAATTTCTTTTTCTCAAAAACATCTTTTGTAGATAAATATCTTCTTCAGAATCAATCTTCTGTTAATCAGAACATCATTAACCACTACTGCCAAACCTGATAAATGAGGACTTGTTGGTGAAGAATGTTAGCCTTAAATGTATTTGTGATTTTTAAAAACTGGCAAGGATGAGTATATTTCTAAAATTATGTTTTTAAGTGAAAACATACTATTTGTGGAAATCCACACACACACAAAAAGAGATTCAGATATCTCAGGAAATCCAAACCAAGCTTATCTATTAAAAAGCATTTTTGTTTTTTGTTTTGTTTGGTTTTTGAGACAGAGTCTTGCTCTGTCGCTCAGGCTGGAGTGCAATGGGATGATCTCGGCTCAGTATAACCTCTACCTCCCAGGTTCAAGCTACTCTCCTACCTCAGCCTCCCGACTAGCTGGGATTACAGGGGACTGCAGCCATGCCTGGTTTATTTTTTAATTTTTTTTTTTTTTTTTTTAGCAGAGATGGGGTTTCACCATGTTTTCCAGGCTGGTCTTGAACTCCTGACCTCAAGTGATCTGCCCGCCTTGGCCTCCCAAAGTGCTGGGATTACAGGCGTGAGTCACCACATCCGGCCTAAAAAGCATTTTTGAAGTAACCACCATTTTATAATTGCAAGTTTAATTAAGAAAAATAATTATTTGTCATTTCTAAATTTTTCAAAATATAGTTAAATGGAAAATAATTGACGGCTCTTACTGCTGCAAATTTTGTTCTGATAATTGAGTATCCTAGATTTAAAAATTCAAAGTGATCTCCAGCTGCTTGAGGCAAACGTGAAAAAGGAAGAGATGAGTAATAAATTCTCACATACAGTTTTTGCAAGATTTTTGTTCAATAAATCTTAACCTTTAAATCTTGGTCCTGACCTAGAAGAAACATCCAATGAAGCATGCCAATGTTGTGTATTGTTGAAAAGTGCCATCAGGTCACACATAGTTCAGAAGGAAATTGGTGGAAAACTACTAGGTTCACATTTGTGAGGATCTCATAGACATCTAGTTAAAATGAATTCTGTTCTGTCTGGTCAACACTGATAAATCACGAAAAGGAAAAGCCATCCATCCTGCTATTATTAAAAGTTGAGAATCTGGAAAGAACACATACAGATGAGGGCACAGATGTTTGTATTGGGCATAATGCCATTATGCTTGTCTGTAGAATTACACATAAAATGGCATTTTTAGTTGAGTATTGTATGTTGTCAGTGTACTTAAGCATAGAGAGTTGCAGTAACACAGTACTCAAATGTGGGAGCTAAGTCAAGAGAAGTTCACACTCTCCATGGTTGAATATAGTAAAAAAAACAACACAGAATAGATGAGAATGCTCATGTGAAGAGACACTCACCTTCCTGATAAATATAGGGTGTTTCCCAAGTTTTTATTTAGAGAGCTGGTGTGTTCTCAAAGAATTCATGATTGGAATGTGATGGTATAGAGAAACTGAAGTCAACTCAATTGTCTTGTAATTTGACTGTCTGAGATAAGAATGAGTTAAGGCCAAGAGTTGATTAGAGTACAGACAAACTTCCCAGCTTCTCTTTCCAGTGACTAGGAATTACTGGTTCTAAATGAAGTGCTGGTTCGTTGGACTAAATTTGTTTGGAAGATAATTGTACACAACCGTTTAGTGGAATTTTCCTTGGGAAACATTCCAACATTTTTTGTCCTAATTTTTTCCTCATCAAAATTCCATCTAAATCCCAACAGAGGCTGGGTATGGTGGCTCACGCCTGTAATCCCAGCACTTTGGGAGGCCAAGGTGGGTGGATCACCGGAGGTCAGGAGTTCGAGACCAGCCTGGCCAACGTGTTGAAACCCCGTCTCTACTAAAAACACAAAAATTAACCAGGCATGATGGTGGATGCCTGCAATCCCAGCTACTTGGGAAGCTGAGGCAGGAGAATCACTTGAACTGGGGAGGTGGAAGTTGCAGTGAGTCGAGATCGCGCCACTGGGTGACAGAGGGAGACTTCATCTCAAAAAAAAAAAAAAATCAATCCGTCACTGGAGAACTATGAAGAAGCAGAGAGGGGGTGAAGGAAAAGAGTTTAGAAGCACACGAATAAATCTAGAACAGTCTAAAATTTACCCCTGACTCTGTAAAGCAGAGTTTCACAACCTCAGCACTTGGTATTTTAGGCTGAATAATTCTTTATTGTGGGGGATGCCCTGTGCACTGTAGGGTGTTTAGCAGCATTCCTGGACTCTACTTACTAGATGGGGTAGCATCTCTCAGTGGTGCCAAGTAAGTGTCTTTGACATTGCCAAATGTCAGGGGTGAAGGGTGTAGGGGGTTGGCAAAATTGCCTTGATTAAAAAACAATTCTCTAATGCTCTAGGAGGACTTGATGGGGCAGAACCCACAACGAAATAGTATTTCTTGGTTTTTACTGTTTTATTTTGTGGAGTCATATTTTCAAGTGTTAGAGAAACCAATAGATTAAGCACATGCTTCTCAAATGTTGAAAGAGTCTATGCACAGCTAATCAGTTGTCTTTGATGTGATGCACCCAGTGTAGGTTCTTGTATCACAAAGGAGCTAAAGACACCAAATGACATATAATTGTGTTTTATTATCAGTCATCAATTCTACCCTTTTCCAGATTATCTGGTAAAGCAAGCCATTTAAAGGGTTAGGGTCACCCTTCTCTTGGATGAGTTGCCTTTATATTATGTTCTTATTGATCATTCTTATTTTATCTTACAATGAAAGAGAAAATGTATCTTGTACCACAATTTATTTTAAACAATACTTAACACAAGCGGTTTTCAACCTTTTTAAAAAGAGAACTATTTTCTTCTCTAGACATCTGTTGAAAAAAATCAGCATATACAACAGATGAAAACAGTATTCTATTAGAATGCTTGGTTGTAAGGTCACATTCATAGTATTTGCTTATAAAGTCAGATATGTTAACAAAAGCTATTCCTATGAACATTGATATTAAAAGTCAAGTGTAACAGAAAATAGTTGCAGAGTTTTATCAGTTTTACCATTCAGTTTATTTCTGTTTTTAAATTTGAATTTGACAATTAAAAGTAATAGTTGATATGGATAGGAATTAGTATCCTGAATGTGCAATTTTTACATATTTAGAAGAAATCCTGAATTTAAAAAAACTCAGAGCTGTATGTTATTAATAAAGTACATATTTACATTAAATTCAAATATTTTTATAGAAATGGTAAGAGAAATTGGCTGCTCAGGTTAATGTGTTGGTGGGTTCCTATTTGGTACAGAACCTATTTCAGTATAGTATAGTATAGATTTTCTTTTAAATTAGAATTCTCATATATTGTTGAAAGTATACATTTTAATTTTTTGCTTTATTTATCTGAAAGTGTATATATATATATATTTATTTTTATTTTTATTTTTTTAGAGATAGCCTCACTCTGTCACCCAGGCAGCAATCATAGCTCACTGCAGCCTTAAACACTTCGGATCAAACAATCCTCCTGCCTCAGCCTCCCAAGTGGCAAGGACTACAGGTACATGCCATCACACCAGGCTAATTAAAAAAAATTTTTTTTGTAGAGATGAGGTCTTACTATGTTGCCCAGGCTGGTCTCAAACTCATGGCCTTGAAAAATCCTCACACCTTGCCCTCCCAAAGTGCTGGGATTACAGGTATGAGCCACAGGCTTTATTTGAAAGCATATTCTTTTAATGATTTTTTTTTTTGAGACGAAGTATCGCTGTGTTGGTCAGTCTGGAGTGCAGTGACGCGATCTTGGCTCACTGCAACCTCTGCCTCCCGAGTTCAAGCAATTCTCTTGCCTGCCTCCTGAGTATCTTGGATTACAGGCACCTGCCACCATCGCTGGCTAATTTTTGTATTTTTCTTAGTAGAGACAGGGTTTCGCCATGTTGGCCAGGCTGGTCTTGAGCTCCTGACCTCAGGTGATCTGCCTGCCTCAGCCTCCCAAAGTTCAGGGATTACAGGCATGAGCCACTGTGCCAGGCCTTATAATGAAATTTGAACTAAATATTTATGGAAGACGAATGACCTCCCAGAAATTTTAAGGTTCTGGGAAAGACAGTTTAGAAACCATTATCTTACTTTGCTTTTCCTTATATTTTCTTTTTATCATTTATTCAAATACCAACGAAAACTGCAAAGCATTTTAGCATCTGTACTTTGTAGTATTCATAGAGCTCGTTACACATAGAATGTTTGAAAATATTATCAATTAAAACCTTTTTATTTAATAGTCGGGTGTGGTGATGCACGCCTGTAATCCCAGTGACTGGAAAGGCTGAGGCATGAGAATTGCTTGAGACCAGGTCAAGACAAGTCTGGAAAATACAGAGAGATTTCATTTCTAAAAAAAAAAAAAAAACCAGAAAAAAAACAAAAAACAAAAAACAAAACAAAAAAACACCGCCCCAACCCCAACAAAAAAAAATGCCTGTTTATTTTTGCCACTGTTATAGGAATCTCTGTGCACCTATATTTTTTCTCTCTCTCTCATATGTATATATTGCAAATATCCTCCTCCAGGTTTTGTTTTGTTTTTAAACTTTTCTTTAAGGTTTTTTTTTTTCTATTTTTATTTTTTCCTTCCCTATTCCCTGTGAGATTTTTAAAAACATTATTTTAAACCTATGAAAAAGGTACAAGGTTAGGTCAAAGCACTCTCATATCTCATGTTAACACAATGCTTAAAATTCCAGCATACATGTCTCAGAAACAAAGATATTCTCTTCTTAATCCTAAATAATCCTTCAAATCAGTAAATTGAAACACTACTTTCCAAGGCACAGAACCCCCTCAAATTTGGATAGCTATCTCAATAGTGTCTTTTCCCTTTATGGTCCAGAAACATGCATCACACTTATTTTTACCACTCTTTAGTCTTCTCTAATCTGGAGCAGTCCCTCAGTCTCTCCCTGTGGTGTAAGATCATGATGAGTTAGAGTATAGGTGGCCGTGCGTGGTGGTTCATGGCTGTAATCCCAGCACTTTGGGAGGCCAAGGCGGGCAAATCACTTGAGGCCAGGAGTTTGAGATCAGCATGGGCAACATGGGGAAAACCTGTCTCTACCAAAAATACAAAAATTAGCCGGGCGTGGTGGCTGGCGCACACCTGGCGCACACCTATAGCCCTACCTATTCAGGAGGCTGAGGTGGGAGAATCACCTGAGCCCGGGAAGCGGAAATTGCAGTGAACTGAGATAGCACCATTGCTGTCCAGTCTGGGCAACAGAGCCAGACAAATATCAATAAATAAATAAATAAATAAATAAATAAATAAATAGAGTATAGGTGTTTAACTTGAAAGGATGTCCTTCTACCTGGGCTTTTGCAAGGTTTTCTTTTTTCTTTTCTTTCCTGAGATGGTGTCTAGCTCTGTTGCCCAGGTTAGAGTGCAATGGTGCCATCTCAGCTTACAGTGATCTCAGCTCATGGCAACCCCTGCTTCCAGGGTTCACGCCATTCTCATGTCTCAGCCTCCCAGGTAGCTGGGGTTACAGGCGTGCACCACCACACCAGGCTAATTTTTGTATATTTAGTAGAGACAGTTTCATTATGTTGGCCAGGCTGGTCTCAAACTCCTGACCTCAAATGATCTACCTGCTTCAGCCTCCCAAAGTGCTGGTATTACAGGCGTGAGCCACTGTACCCAGCCCTTTGCAAGGTTTTCTTTTTAAAAAAAAATTTTTTTTTTCTTAGACTGAGTCTTGCTTTGTCGCCTAGGCTGGAATGCAGTAAGGTGATCTCGGCTCACTGCAACCTTCGCCTCCTGGGTTGAAGCAATTCTCCTGCCTCAGCCTCCCGAGTAGCTGGGATTACAGGCACGCACTGCCACACCTGGCTAATTTTTGTATTTTTAGTAGAGATAGGGTTTCACCGTGTTGGCCAGGCTGGTCTCAAACTCATGACCTCAGGTGATCTGCCCACCTCAGCCTCCCAAAGTACTGGGATTACAGGCGTGAGCCACCACTCCAGGCCCCTTTCCAAGGTTTTCTTATGACAAGGCTTAGATCATGCATTACCAGCAGGAAGCCCCCAGAGTTGACATGCTCCTTTAGAGCTAACCATGTGAGGGAGGCATAGAATCATCATCCATCCTACCCCCGGTGATGCCAACCTTGACCACCTGGTGAAGCTGTCAGCTTTCACTGCTTTAAAAATCACCATTTCCCCTTTTATAATTTATAAACTTTTTAAATTGAGATACTTCAAAATTATGCCAACACTCTCTAACTCATTAAGCCTCGGTCATCAGCTTAGCATCCTTTCATGATTCCTACCTGCATTAATGACCCTTACATGATTGTCAAAGGAAGATTTTCTGTTTCCATCATTTTTATTAGATGGGTAGATCTTTCCCTTTTATTTCGTATATATTCATTCAATCATGTTTTTATTATTTTATTTTATTTTTTGAGACAGGGTCTTTCTCTGTTGCCCAGGCTGTGAAACAGTGGTATGATCTTGGCTCACCGCAGCCTCATCCTCCCGGACTAAAGCAATCCTCCCACTTCAGCCTCCTGAGTAGCTGGGACTACAGGCACACAACATCACACCTGGTTAATATTTGTATTTTCAGTAAAGACAAGGTTTTGTCATTTTGCCCAGGCTGGTCTCTACCTCCTGGGCTCCAATGATCCGCCTACCTCAGCCTGCCCAAGTGCTGAAACTACGGATGTGAGCCACTGCACCCAACCTACTTATTTATTTTTAAATAAATACATAATAGATGTATATATTTTTGAGATGCTTGTGATAATTTGATATATTCGTATAATGTGTAAAGATCAATCAGGGTAATTGGGATATCTATCGTTTCAGTCATTTATTTATATCAGTGTAGACATGAATTTTTATTTTTTTTCCAATGGATTTTAATTCATTATTATCATTATTTAACCTGATGCTGAAAGTTTTCCAGACTTGGTCAGTAAGAACCCTTGTAAGCTGGTGCCTGTGTCTTTTTGACAGTGTTTACATCATTCTTTGTGTCCTATCTAGCTTTCTGGGACAACAAGATATCTGGGCCTATAATGAGCCTTCTCTATACTTGATCTCTGGAGTCCATTGTTTAAGGAGGCTTGGTTTTTTTTAGCAGAGAAAGGTATTTGGAAACAAGATCTGCTCTCGGAGTCTTCCTTGACACTGGGGTGCACTGCTTCTAGGCCCTTTTGGGAAACAGAATTGAAATTTTGTATATATACACATACAGATGTATATATGTATATATACACATAGAGATGTATATATGTATATATACACATACAGATGTATATATGTATATATACACATACAGATGTATATATGTATATATACACATAGAGATGTATATATGTATATATACACATACAGATGTATATATGTATATATACACATACAGATGTATATATGTATATATACACATACAGATGTATATATGTATATATACACACACACGGATAAATCTATATCTATTTATTCATTTACTTATTATCTATGTATCTAAAACTATAAGTTTATTCCAATACTTGCAATTCCAGTTCATAATTTCAGGTTTATTTCCAGACTTTTCTTTCACTTTCTTTGACAGTGAGAAACCTGGCTCTCATTATTGACAATATAGTTATATTTCCTCAAAATGACTATATATAATTAATCTTTTTTCATACTTTGTCCTCTTTCTACCATCTGCAAGGGAAGGGAAAGGAAGGAAAAGGGAGGAAAGGGTGTAGCTGAACTTTTCAGTCTACAGGGCAAGAGTGGTCCTGAATATTGACTACGGTGCATCTCTGGAGGTCTTTCCTAATCATCTGTACCTCTCTAAATTTTCTCTAGCTTCAGATTTGGTAACTGAATGATTATAGAGTATTTTTTGGAACTAGATAGAAAGCAACATTCAACAATTGTCCTCTGTCTAGCTGCTATTTCTTTCTTGATTTTCCCCCTTTGTTCTCCTCTGTTTTGTCACTGCTGTTGCTTTCTTCTCCCTTGAATTGCTTTAATACTTGCCTAAATGCCTCCAATCTTGCCTGCCTCAAGATCTTCTTCCACCAAAGAAATCCCTCTAAAACATGAAGCTGAGTGCAACATTCTACTGCTCTAAAATTTCTCAATGGCTTCCTATGGCTCCACACTCCTTAATGTGGTTTATAAAGACTTCTATAACTTGATGGATGCTTGTTTTCTCCCCCAATCCATCTCAAATCACTCTCTGCACTGAACTGCCTATGTCAGCAACCACAGATACCGGTATGTCTACAAAGAAGCTATGTTTCTTGGGAAACAAGAGCTAAAGGAATGGTTTTCAATGTCAGATTTTCTGGATTTGAATCCTTTTTCATTGCCTGCTTAGGCCTGTGTTTTTGTGACTTGGTTACTACTATTGCTATGAAGCAAACCACTAAAACAGTGGTATAAAACAAGAAATATTTAAGGCTACAAATTCAGTGGGTCCAGATTCAGAGAAAGGCCAGTGGGGACAGCTCATCTATGCTGGTCTGGAGGATCTGTTTTATGATGGTTTCTCACTTGCCTGGTTCCTGGACCGCAATGGCTGAAAGATGGACTCAGCAGGGATTGTCAACTGGAGTGCCTTCAGGTCACCACTCCAGCATGGTGATTTCCAGGTAGGTGGGCATTTTATTGGGATCTCAGAGATCCAACACATATGTTCCAGAAAACCAGGTAGAAGCTGTTTGGTCTCTTGTAACCTGGCCTCAGAAGTCTCATAGCATCACTTCCATGTACTCTTGGTCAAAACAAGATTCAGAGAAAAGGACACAGATGCTTTTAGTGTTTTAATACTGGTATATCTTGGAAATTACTTACTATTTCCTTATCTGCAAGATGGAGGTCCTAGAAGTATGGGCTAAATGAGTTATTACATGTAGAATGGCCAGGACACAGTAACTGGTCCATAAATATTAGATATTTTTGTTTTTCAATGACACTACATGCTATTTTTAAGCCCAGAATTCAGTTAGCCTTCTTCATTGCCTAATGAAGACATATTAATAGATAGGTCGGTATCTCCTCCGGGATGCTATCTCTGACTCTGCAAGGTGTGTTAGGTGTTCCCCAGGGTCCCTGACCTCCACAGTGCTTTATAAATGCCAGTGTGTGTGTGTTGGTTACCCCTACTAGTCTGAGGTCTCTGGGGCAAAAACAGCTAATATACTATCTCTAGCATATATCACAATGTCACATAGTATACACTTAGTAAATCCTTGACAAATGGATGTCTTTATTTTTAGAAGATGAGACCTCACAACCTAAAGACAGAATAATCCTGTGTTCTGGCCAGGCGCGGTGGCTCACGCCTGTAGTCCCAGCACTTTGGGAGGCTGAAGTGGGCTGATCACTTGAGGTCAGGAGTTCAAGACCAGCTGGCCAACATGGTGAAACCCCATCTCTACTAAAAATACAAAAATTAGCCAGGCGTGGTGGTGGGTGCCTGTAATCCCAGCTAATCAGGAGACTGAGGCAAGAGAATTGCTCGAACCCAGGAGGCTGAGGCTGCAGTGAGCCAAGATCGTGCCACTGCACTCCAGCCTGGGGTGACAGAGCAAGACTCCATCTCAAAAAAAAAACAAGAAAGGCCAGGCGCGGTGGCTCATGCCTGTAATCCCAGCACTTTGGGAGGCCGAGGCGGGTGGATCACGAGGTCAGGAGTTCAAGACCAGCTTGGCCAAGATGGTGAAACCCTATCTCTACTAAAAATACAAAAAATTAGCTGGGCACGGTGGCAGGCGCCTGTAGTCCCAGCTACTCAGGAGGCTGAGGAAGGAGAATCATTTGAACCCGGAGGGTGGAGGTTGCAGTGAGCCGAGATCGTGCAACTGCACTCCAGCCTGGGTGACAGAGTGAAACTCCGTCTCAAAAAAAAAAAAAAAAAAAAAAAAAGAAAAGAGAAAAAAGAATAATCCTGTGTTCTGATTTGACTGGAAATTCCCCCATTTCCATCTGTTGTTGCTGCACAATTATTAGTGGTGCCACATTTTATTCTCAAAACGTTCCCAGTTTGGATAGTAAATTATACAGTACTGACTCAAAGAGGCTTCTGGAGTCTCTCCGATGTTGGTGAAGGAAAGACTTCCCTTGAACCTCTGACCCTCTGACCCTCTCTCCTCTCGTAGCAAGAGTGCTCATGAGTAATTCTAGCCTGGGAAACTCACCTTTCACAAGGTGGTGGGGTGGCTGTTAAAGGAAATTTCACTTACAGTGTCCCAGTGAGCCAGGATGTAGTGCTGAATCACCAGCAGCATTTCTCAAAAGGGAGTTAAGAAATGACTTCCCATTGACTCAAGGGGTGTGGGGCTTTCACTTGTCCATGGTGACTAGAAAGGAATTGCCTGGTTAACTTTGACTTATGTTGAAAGGTGGCTTCAGTTTGCTCTCAAACCCATTCCCCACTGATCTCCAAGGGTCTTCAGAGTGTTGCCCTGTTGTAGAGGTTTTTCAGAAAGTATTGGCTAGTGAGTGCTCTCAGGTTGTCCTCTGGAGGAGTTTGAACTGGGGCAAATTTGGGTTAGGACTAAATTGTAAATGAGCTCATCTCTAATGTTTGCACTTAGTTGGAAAAACAGGTTTAAAAGATATGGGAAATCAGTCTGTCAGGATCACCCAAGAAAGGAGTTTCAAGGAATGTGTCATCACCTCAGATAGTCCTGCCAATCTCCATTTTTGGAAGTAAACAGAGACTTTCTTTGCCTTTTAGCTGGTCTTTCTAAATTTTCAAGGCCCAGTATAAGTCCTGCTTTGTCCAAGAAACTTTTCCGGGGCTGCCTCAGACTGTCTCATCTGTTCTTGACAGCTGCTTCTCCCCAGTATCTGAGCTCACCTTCATCTTTTAAAATTACTCATCTGGGAATTCCTCTTCAATGATAATGATCTTTAATACAGCACTTATATGTGCCTGAGTGCTTTGCAACAATCATTTTTTCTAATCTTATCACCAAGTAAGTAATATTCCCACATTTTAGAGGTAAAGAAACACAGATAACAGTGCCTTGTGTTTATGTTCCTAGCATTATATCACCTCTTCTCACTTGGCCTGTAAGTCTCTCAAGAACTGAAAACAGGTTTCTTACTCCTTGATATTTCACTTTCCCCCCAAAACAGTTAAGAACTCAGAGGAGCAAGTTGTCCATGACAATGGCTGATTTTACTTCTTATCTACTCCATGAAGACAGGAGTTTAAACATAAATACATTTAAGTGCCACATAGGCCATCTTTTAAGCCCTGGAAACTACCTTGAGTCAGGAAAATAAATTCAGGGTGAAGAGAAGAGATGGTAAATATGTGGGACTTGCCATTTTGAGAGTCCATCAGTGTTGCTTTTGAAACACAGGAAGCTTTGCTCAGCATTTGTTTAAAAGAGGAAGAAATGTTTAAAATATTAAGCACATTGTGACAATTTGAATATTCCCTGGTTGATTTCCTGCATTACATCTTTGAAAATTTCCTGATTTTCATATGTATTCCAGTGCTGAGTGGTATTTCCTGTGTCAGCCTAAAAAACGGGATTTTTCTCTTAACGGGAAACATCAATATCAGCATCAGCTGCAGGGACTGAGATGTTGAAATGGTGACTACATTCAAACCCATATGAATTTTGATCTTAAAACAAGCCACACACACTGAATAAGTGTATAAATGTGTATGAAATAAGTATGAGTACCTTATCATACATTTAAACCCGATTTTTGTTGACAAGAATATTTCCTTTTAAAGTTCTTTAACTCTTGCCTTGAAGAGTTGACCAAAGATCATTTTTGTGGTTTTTCTTTTTTTTGCCTTAAATACTCAAATTGTCAGATATCATGTGTGAAGATACCATTCAGAGCAGAATAATGAAAATTACAGAGGGAAAATTAGGTCATTTTTTCTCTCATTTTAAAATACAGGCTATATCTTTATAGAATACTCTCATATGTATTTTTCCATTCTTGTTTAAAATTATATGTGTGATGGAGACATTACCAGTTCCCCTGGGAGATTATTTCACAGAATCACGGACCTTGCTACAGGTATTTTTTTTTTTTCACTAATTTTCAAACTAAAATTTCTTTTGCTCAATTTCATTCCATTATCCCTTGGACCACCTGTACAGTTCTGCACAGAAGGTTGCAAAACGGTCTATTTGATAGGAAATGAAGCCCTCTGCCAAAGTGCATTAAGGAAAAAAAAATGATATGGAGTCTCATGTTGATGATAGCTACAGAATATAAATTTGAAGAGGAAATTCCCAGGTCTTAATTGCTCAGCAATAATCAACCCTCTTGTATTTTAAATTCAGTTGAATACTTCTTTTTTTCCGAAGAATTGGGGGAATTCTGGTTTCCAAAAAGAGCAAGGTGTGGGATGTGTGTGTGTGTGTGTGTGTGTGTGTGTTAGAGCTGCATAGAAAAAATAAAAATATATTAAAGATTCCTCATACCCTTTGGCTCTGTGCTCCTTCTAGGTTTTTTTTTTACTTTAGATTTGGTACTTCTCCCATCCTTTCTCATCATCAAGATAGCAAAAACAACAGAAAGTTATCTACATATACCCTTCACCTTTCAATACAGAATACTGCAAATAAGAATTTGGAGAACTAGGTTTACTTAGTTTTGATGTGCATAAGCCTACTTTCTCTATTGCATGTTTATTAAAATAGCATAAACAGGCATTGTGATTGTGGCATTTCATAATTGCAGAACTAGATTGGAAAAAGATTCATAAATATCTTTATAAGTAGGTGTAAAAAATGTCAGTTCCCTTCTTTGGGGCACATAGCACGCCTCTCATTTGTGGGAAAATAAATGAAATATGAGATTTGATCCATTTGGGTTGTCTTGAATTCATTCACTTGTATGTTAATCTTATATCACTGTGTTCAGTCTGGCCTCATATTTTATCCATAATCTAGACCTTTCCAGTCTACCATATTCTAGTGCCACTGACCTTGAGACACTAGCTGTGTTTTATTGGTCTCTATTATCCACCACTGAACCCACTGCCTGGCAGATACCAGGTGCTTTGTTGGATAATTCAATAACGAATCATGCACAATTTAGAAAAAAAATCCAGTAAGGGCAGTTATATACCTAGTATTTTTGATGCCCACTGCTGATCATTTTTAATACTGCCAGAGGAAAAATATATTTCTTAATAATCATGATATGAAATGAGTAATAGCCAGAAAAGAAACATAGACAATACAGTTGCATTAAATTTAATATATGTAATCATGCAAGTAAATGAATTAAAAACGAAAATAAAACAAATATAGAAAAAAGTATTTAATTATATGTATAAAATTAATATATAATACATAAGTAATATATAATACACATTAATTAACATATAACACATCTATAAATAAGATGATAATAATATATACTACATAATAATATATAATACATAACAATTAATATATAATACATAATTTCTTGAGAAAAAATATGGATTCAAAACAATAATTGTGATACTACTGTGTACCCTGTTCCATTAGTTTAAACTTTTAAACATGAGTAACTCTAAGTAGTTATATAGAGGCAAAATTGAAGTCACTCAATTTTTTTTTTGTCTTCACAATTATTGTTTTGAATCCATATTTTTTTCTCTTTGTTTTTTGTTTTTTGAGACAGAGTTTTGCTCTTGTCACCCAGGCTGGAGTGCAATGGCGCGATCTCGGCTCACTGCAACTTCCACCTCCCGGCCCTTCAAGCAATTCTCCCGAGTAGCTGGGATTACAGGTGCCAGCCACCACGCCCGACTAATTTTTGTATTTTTTTTAGTAGAGATGGGGTTTCACCATGTTGGCCAGGCTGGACTTGAACTCCTGACCTCAGGTAATCTGCCTGTCTCGGCCTCCCAAAGTGCTGGGATTACAGGTGTGAGCCACGGTGCCTGGCCCATAGTTTTAGACATATGAAGCTGTATACCCTAAGTGCTGGAGACATTAACTGTTCTCCAGGTGAGCTCAAACGATTCTAAATAATTTTGAATTTGCTCTCAAAACAAATGAGGGCAGCTAAGTCTCTGGTATACAAATGGAAATTCTTTGACTTCCACAGAGAATACAATGTTTATTTTTTTTATTTATGCCTTTTTTTTTTGAGATGGAGTCTCCCTCTATCATCCAATACAGTGGAAAGATCATAGCCCACTGGAACATCAACCTCCTAGGCTCAAGCGATCCTGCCACCCCAGCCTCTTGAGTAGCTGGGACTACAGATATGCACCACCTCACTGGCTAATCATTTTAATTTTTTAAAAAATTTTTTGTAGAGATGGTGGTCTTGTTATGTTGCCCAGGCTGGTCTCTAACTCCTGGCCTCAAGCAATCCTCCTACCTCCTAAAGTGCTGGGATTACAGGCATCAGCCACCAGGCCCAACTCATGTTTATTAATGAAAAATATATTCTCTATGTATGTGAAGATTACATATATATTATTAAAACTCAACAGTAACCACATAATTGTTTAGAACTTGGATCAACAAAAAATATTTTGCATAGGAGCAGTATTTTATCATTGGCAATTTAGAATTGGCAGAGCATAGGGAAAATAAAAAGCAGAGTGACTTTATTTTAGTTTATTATTATTTTAAAATTCATCTTAATTATTTTAAAATTTAAAAATTCTCCATAAAAAATAAATTGCTTTTTCCGGAGGCAGACCTCTCCCATTGCCCTGTCCCTGGCACACCAATGTCATCTTCCACTAATTTTCCTTTGAACACAATTTTATTTAAAAGTGTTAAAAATCCCAAGTTATCTACTCTTGTTTGATTTCCATGGTTAGCAGGTATTCAAGAAGTATTTTTTCAAATGCCTGACCAGGAGAGAGCATGGAGATGGGTAAGATCCTGCAGACTGGAGCTATGGGCAGACAGGGAGTAGCATGCCAGCAGTAAACAGGGCATCAGCAGTTTAGGAAAGGAAGTAAGCAGTATGTTAAGTTCTTTTGGTGATTGCTCTGGGGTAGGGGTGAGAAGAGCAGAAACAAGTCAGTTTTTCTAGGCTTAACTTCCCATCTCATTCTTTTAATTTCTGCCTTCGACCAGGGTTAGCCATACACATTTTCCCCATTCTGTTGCCCAGTTCCTAAGACCCCTCCCACTCTTCCTTCTGTAGCTTATCTGCTTCTGTCAGGCAATTCCATAGTGAAACTGTGCAAAACAGTGAAAACACTAAACTGCATCTCAGGGTCATCCAGAACATTTTGAGTTCTTTACATTAAAGTCTTCCTTTTTTTTCTCTTCTGAGGCTCACTTTTCTCTGGCTGTCTTGGAGTTAGGAGGGAAAATCCCTGCTATCTTTTGCAGGCATTTCTTGTACACTTCCTCTCCAGACAGAGCAAGGGTAACCAGTAAGTACAGTTATTTGAGATGACTCTTAGTCATTCTGTTTTAGTCCTTCTCACTCTGCCCAAGAGAAGTCTCATACAAATTTATGAGACTGCCTTGTAACCTGTTTAAATCTGACCCCTCCATCTCTCACTCATTAATTAAAAATAGAATTTCAACATACCCATTAGGATGGCTAGTACCAAACAAACAGGAAATAACGAGTGTTGGTGAGGATATGGAGAAATTGAAACCCTTGTGCATTGCAAGAGGGAATACAAAATGGTGTAGCCACTATGAAAAATCATATGACAGCTCTTAAAAAATTAAAAATAAAATTAATATAGGATCCAGCAACTTCGCCTTTGGGCACATACCCCCCAAAATTGAAGCAACGTCTGTAAGAGATACAGATACATGGATTGAAAATACAGTATTCAAAAGGTGAAAGCCACGTATATGGAAGGCCAACTTTTTGTGTACACGGGTCTCTCAGGGCTGACTGTGGGACTTGAGTACGCACAGATTTTGTTATATGTGGGTTGTGTGTGTGTCTTGGAACCAATTCCTGGCATATTCTGAGAATCTGTTGTATTTGTTTTTGTTTGTTTGTTTTGTTTTAAGAGGAGTTTCATTCTTGTTGCCCAGGTTGGAATGCAATGGCGCAATCTGGGCTCACTGCAACCTCCACCTCCCGGGTTCAAGAGATTCTCCTGTCTCAGCCTGCACCACCAAGCTCAGCTAATTTTGCATTTTTAGTAGAGATGGGGTTTCTCCATGTTGGTCAGGCTGGTCTTGAACTCCTGACCTCAGGTGATTTGCCCGCCTCAGCCTCCCAAAGTGCTGGGATTACAGGCGTGAGCCACTGCGCCTGGCCGAAACTGTTGTATTTGTACACCCACATTCACAGCAGCATTACTCACAATAGCCAAGAGGTGGAAGTAGCCTGAGTGTCCATTGATGAATGAATGGATAAACAAAATATGGTATATACTGATAATGGAATATGATTCAGCCTTAAAAAGGATAGAAATTCTGACAAATGCTACAACATGGATGAACTTTGAGGGTGTTATGCTGAGTGAAATAAGTCAGGAAAAAAAAGACAAATACTCCATGATTCTACTTACATGAGTGGTCAAATTCATAGAGATGAAAAGTAGAATGGTGGTTACCAGGTGCTGGAAGGAGTGAGGAATGGGGAGAATTGTTTAATGGGTACACAGTTTCAATTTGGAAAGACGAAAACATTCTGGAGATGGATGGTGGTAATGGTTACACAAACAATGTGAATGTATGTAATATTGCTGAACTGTACACTCTTGAAAATGATTAACATAGATTTTTATGTATAATTTACCACAATTGAAAATAAAACTTCAAGTTTGATTTTTACATGTCACTTTTACTATAAGAGAACAGAAAACTATTTTAGGTGAGTTAGAGTCTGATGGTGTGGACCACACGATTTTGCTTATCCCAGGCAAGTTTTAAAATAATGCTTGGTAATGGGGGTGGTTTAAATAAGACATACAAATGAATGGCACCACTGTCACCTTAATTCCTTCCAGGTCAAAGAGGACAATAGAAGAATAAATCAGGAAAGAAAATGGCCACTACTATCTAATGGGATGGTATATGTATTAGTCTGTTTTACGCTGCTGATAAAGACATACCTGAGACTGGGCAATTTACAAAAGAAGGAGGCTTTTTGCACTTACAGTTCCATGTGGCTGGGAAGGTCTCACAATCATGGTGGAAAGTGAAAGGCACGTTTCACATGGTGGCAGCAAGAGACAGAATGAGAGCCAAGTGAAACGGGTTTCTCTTTATCAAACCATCAGATCTCGTGAGACTTATTTACTACCACAAGAATAGTATGGGGGAACCGACCCCATGATTCAATTATCTCCCACAGGGTCCCTCCCACAATATGTGGGAATTATGGGAGTACAATTCAAGATGAGATTTGGGTGGGGACACAGAGCCAAACCATATCAGTATACTGTGAGACCAAGGGTTTATACTTGAAGCCCCTGGGTTGTATTTACTGTGCATTGCAGTCTTCAGCTCCTGCTGCATCTTAGTTGAGGCTACTCATGCAAAATGATTTTTGGTAAAATGATTTTTGGTAAATGACTCTGATCAAAATTAGATGCTATGTGAATTAAAAGCAATATTTTAAAGAACAGAGGACTTCAAAACTGTAATGTGATATACATCTTTTGACATTTAGGATACCAGGCCAGAGGTAGCATGGGTTATTAGTAGAAGAAAGCTATGATTACCATAGATACTATTTGGCAATAAGAAATAGCAATAAAGATGGTTTAAGTCTTTCTTCCCTAGGGCTCACGTATGTAATAATTTCTTTTCACAATATACCAAGAAAGTAGGAATGAGTATGATTATCTCCACTTTATAGTAGGTGAAACTGAGGAAGCAAGAAATAATTTGGGCGTGAGGCAGTGACTCATGGACAGGGTTGGAAGTTAAGAACAGGCTTCTGGAGTCCTGGTCCCAGGGCTTTCTGGCTATAAATAGCTTGCCTTCTGTTCTGTTGATCCTGTTCAACAAAGCTGTACCCCCAAATCTCAAAAAACAGTCACAGTGGGCTCCTCTCATGAGCTTTCTGAGCAGAGAAGCCATACAAGGAGATTGGAACTTTCAAGTCCTTCCAGAGGTGAGTGAACAGGTGGATGAGGGTCATGTAACTTCAGTGTCAGTTGAGGAACCTCAATTTTCTTGACTGTCACATGATAGTGTTTCTAACTTTATTTGAGCAAGAAAAAAAATAGAACCTCAGTGAGCTCCACTTTCTTGGCTTGGAAGCCACAAACCCCATTAAGTACCCTCCAGAATAAGTGGCTCTTCTGTGTTCGGGAAGAGACCACCCCGTGACCAAGAGAAGGGGTTTCACAACATGCAGATGGAGGTTTCAGAAGTCCTCAGCTGGAGCAACTAAATATGACTGAGACAACACAGTCCCACAGACAAAGGTCAGACCTATTTTAATCTCTGAGTGAGGTTATTACTCTGGGACAAGGCCCTTTTTGTCTGATTTCTTGCTATTTTCAGTGATTCACAAGCTTAAATCTCTTTCATCTGGGAGTGCAGAGCCACATCTCCTCTTTCAGACTTGTCTGTGAGTTAATACAGTTCTGATCTTCCATCTTCTTGGAGTATCTTCTTACAGCCATAGAATTCCCCATGCTGTGAGCCTAGAGGAGTCCCTGGGGAAGCAGAGTCAGGACAGGCTTGCAATGCAAACCCCTGGGGAAGATTTGGAGGATTAGCAGGAAGTGGGGTGACTGCTTGCTTGGATGGTCCCACAGCGGCTTTGAACCAATAACGCAGCAGGTTATGGGGGCTGACCTCTTGAAGAAATGAGCAGAGCTCTGGAAGCCTTCCACATCTCAGTCATATGTATGCTTTCCCTGTACTGTCTGCTGAAGTATACATATGTCAGTGTTTTGGTCAGAGTCATTTTATTAATAGTATTCAATGAAGTTAGGATCAAAAAGGCTCCCATAGTTTCTTGATGGTACAGGCCTCATGTTCAATTACTACTAATTACTGGTCCACTTGGAATACTAGGAACTTGGATTGCCCTTATATTTTTGTGTTATTTCTCCATAGTGAATGCTGCATTACGGAGGCCTGCTTGCCCAGTTTTTACATATCCTATGGTTTGTGAGTTTCCTACTTATCACCTTTTTCTTTTTCTTTCTTTTTTTTTTTTTTAGATGGAGTCTCGCTTTATCTCCCAGGTTGGAGTGCAGTTACCCGATCTCGGCTCACTGCAAGCTCCGCCTCCCAGGTTCTTGCCATTCTCCTGCCTCAGACTCCCGAGTAGCTCGGACTACAGGCTCCTGCCACCACGCCTGGCTAATTTTTTTGTATTTTTAGTAGAGATGGGGTTTCACTGTGTTAGCCAGGATGGTCTCAATCTCCTGACCTCATGATCCGCCCGCCTTGGCCTGCCAAAGTGCTGGGATTACAGGCATGAGCCACTGTGCCCGGACTCTTTTTTTATTAATATATAATATTTGTACATATTTGTGGGGTACATGTAATATTTTGTTACATGTATAGAATGTGAAATAATCAAGTCAGGGTATTTGGGGTATCCATCACCTCGAGGACTCATCATTTCTATGTCTTGGGAACATTTCAAGTCCTCTTTTCTCGCTATTTTGAAATGTACAATACACTGTTGTTAACTGTAGTCACTCTACTCTGCTATTGAACATTACGACTTAATCGTTCTTCCTAACCATATGTTTGTAACCCATTACACAACATTTCTTCATCCCTCTCCCCAACCCACACACCCTTCCCAGCCTCTGGTATCTATTATTCTACCCTCCACCTCCATGATAATCAACTTTCTTAGCTCCCACATATGAGTGAGAACATGAAATACTTGTCTTTCTGTGCCTGGCTTATTTCACTTAATATAATTACCTCTAATTCTACCCATGTTGCTGCAAATGACATAATTTCATTATTTTTTATGGCTCAATTGTATCACATTGTATATATATGGCACATTTTCTTTATCTGTTGGTCCACAGGTTGATTTCATATCTTTGTTATTGTGAGTAGGGCTGCAGTAAACGTGAGCATATCCTTTTGATATACTGATATATATCCTTTTGATATACTGATTTCTTTTCCTTTGGATAAATACCCAGTAGTGGGATTGCTGTATTATATGATAGTTCTATTTTCGGTTTTCTGAGAAATCTCTGTGCTGTTTTCCATAGTGGTTGTGCTAATTTACATTTCCACCAACACTGTATGAGTTCCCTTTTCTTTGCACCCTCACTAGCATCTGTTATTTATTGTCCTTTTAATAAAAGCCATTCTAAGTAGGGTAAGATGATACCTCATTATGATTTTGATTTGCGTTTCGCTGATGTTCAGTGATGCTGAGAAGTTTTTCCTTTCTTTTCTTTTCTTTTTTTTTGAGATGGAGTTTCGCTCTTGTTGCCCAGGCTGGAGTGCAATGGCACCATCTGGGTTCACCAAAACCTCCCCCTCCTGGGTTCAAGCGATTCTTCTGCCTCAGCCTCCCAAGTAGCTGGGATTACAGGCATGTGCCATCACACCTGGCTAATTTTGTATTTTTAGTAGAGACGGAGTTTCTCTCTGTTGGTCAGGCTGGTCTCGAACTCCTGACCTCAGGTGATCCACCTACCTTGTGCCTCCCAAAGTGCTGGGATTACAGGTGTGAGCCACCGCACCTAGCCAAGAAGAAGTATTCCATATTACTTGTTGGCCATTTATATGTCTTCTTTTGAGAAATGTCTATTTATGCCCTTTGCTCACTTTTTAATAGTATTATTTGTTTGTTTGTTTTTTTACTGTTGTTTCAGTTCCTCATAGATTCTGGATATTAGTCCCTTGGCAGACGAATCTCTGGCAAATATCTTCTCCAGTTGAGCAGGTTGTCTTTTCACTATGTTTATTATTTCCTTTGCTGTGCAGAAGCTTTTTGGTTTAATATAGTTCCATTTGTTTATTTTCATTTTTGTTGCTTGTGCTTTTAAAGTCTTAGCTATAAAATATTTGCCTAAACCCATGTCCTGAGTGTTTTCCGTACATTTTCTTCCAGTAGTTTTATAGTTTTGGGTCTTATGTTTAAGTCTTTAATCCATCTTGAGTTGATTTTTGTACATGGTAAGAGATAGGGATCCAGTTTAATTCTTTGCATATGGATATCCAATTTTTCCAGCACCATTTGTTTAGGAGGATGTCGTTTTCCCAATGTATATTCTTGATGCCTTTGTAAAAAATCAGTTGGTTATAAATATGTGGATTTATTTGTGGGTTTTCTATTCTGTCCCATTGATCTAGGTGTCTGTTTTTATACAAATATCATGTTGTTTTGGTTACTGTAGCCTTGTAATATATTTTGATGTCAGGTGATGTGATGCCTCTAACTTTGTTCATTTTGCTCAGGATTGCTTTGGCTATTAGGGCTCTTTTTTTGGATATGAATTTTAGGATTGTTTTTCCTATTTCTGTGAAAAATTACATTGTTATTTTGATAGGGATTGCATTGAATCTGTTGATTGCTTTAGGCAATATGGTCATTTTAACAATGTTTGTTAGTTCTCCTGATCCATGAGCATCGGATATCCTTCCATTTGTTTGCATTCTCCTCTTCTCTTCTCTTCTCTTCTCTTCTCTTCTCTTCTCTTCTCTTCTCTTCTCTTCTCTTTTCTTGTCTTTCGTCAGACAGAGTCTCACTGTGTTGCCCAGGCTGGAGTGCAGTGGTATGATCTTGGGTCACTGCAACCTCTGCCTCCCAAGTTCAAGCAATTCTTGTGCCTCAGCCTCCTGAGTAGTTGGGATTACAAGCATGTCCACATGCCTGGCTAATTTTTTTTTTTTTTTTTTTTTTCTGAGACTGAGTCTCGCTCTGTCACCCAGGCTGGAGTGCAGTGGCATGATCTCAGCTCACTGCAAGCTCCACCTCCTGGGTTCATGCCATTCTCCTGCCTCAGCCTCCCAAGTAGATGGGACTACAGGCACCTGCCACCACGCGCAGCTAATTTTTTTGTGTTTTTAGTAGAGATGGGGTTTCACTGTGTTAGCCAGGATGGTCTCCATCTCCTGACCTTGTGATCTGCCTGCCTCGGCCTCCCAAAGTGCTGGGATTACAGACGTGAGCCACCGCGCCCGGCCTAATTTTTGTATTTTTAGTAGAGATGAGGTTTCACTACGTTGGCCAGGCTGGTCTTGAACTCCTGGCCTCAAGTGATCTGCCTGCCTTGGCCTCCGAAAGTGCTGGGATTACAGGTGTGAGCCACCATGCCTGGCCCTTCTTCCATTTCTTTCATCAGTGTTTTTGTAGCTTTTTTTTTAGGTTTTTCATCTCCTTGGCTAGATTTATTTCTAGGTTTTTGTTGTCGTTTTTGTTGTTGTTGTTGTTTTTGAGGCCATTGTAAATGGAATTGCCTTGTTGATTTTTTCTCAGCTAGTTCATTATTGGTGTATAGAAATACATTGTTTTTTTGGCTTCTTTTTTTTTTTTTTTTTTTGAGATGGATTCTCACTCTGTTGCCCAGGCTGGAATGCAGTGGCATGATATCGGCTCACTGCAACCTCCACCTCCCGGGTTCAAGCGATTCTTCTGGCTTAGCCTTCCAAATAGCTGAGATTAGAGGCGTGTGCCACCATGCCTAGCTAATTTTTGTATTTTTAGTAGAGACGGGGTTTGACCATGTTGGCCAGGCTGGTCTCCAACACCTGACCTCAGGTGATCCACCCGCCTTGGCCTCCCAAAGTGCTGGGATTACAAGCATGAGCCATCGTGCACAGCCAAAATACACTGATTTTTGTAAGTTGATTTTGTATCCTGCAACTTTACTGAATTGATTTATCAGATCTAAGAGTTTCTGGGGAGTGTTTAAGCTTTTCTAGATATCTGCAAAGGCGGACAATTTGAATTCCACTTTTCCAATGTGGATGCCTTTAATAAGTATTTATTTCTTTTACCTGATTGCTCTGGCTAGGAGTTTCTGGGGGAGTGTTTACACTTTTCTAGATATCTGCAGAGATGGACAGTTTGAATTCCACTTTTCCAATGTGGATGCCTTTAACAGTGTTTATTTATTTATTTATTTTATTATTATTTTTTGAGATGGAGTCTCGCTCTCTTGCCCAGGATGGAGTGCAGTGGCGCCATCTTGGCTCCCTGCAAGCTCCGCCTCCCAGGTTCACGCCATTCTCCTGCCTCAGCCTCCTGAGGAGCTGGGGCTGCAGGCGCCTGCCACCACGCACGGCTAATTTTTTTTTTTTTTTTTGTATTTTTTTAATAGAGACGGGATTTCATTGTGTTAGCCAGGATGGTCTCGATCTCCTGACCTCGTGATCCACCCACCTCGGCCTCCCAAAGTGCTGGGATTACAGGCGTGAGCTACTGTGCCCGGCCCAAAAATAAATAAATAAGTAAATAAAATAAAATATTCTTTTTATCTGATTGCTCTGACTAGGACTTCCTGTACTATGTAGAATAGGAATTGTCTTTTTCTTATAACTACGGTTACTGAGGAAATCTCTGAAATCACTAGTTTTTAATTGTTTAATACTTGAGTTTGATGTGGTCAGAGAAGAGTTTGAAAAATGCAGCCCATGTTAACTTTCAGAGGATCTGCCTAGGGCAATAATAATGTTGCTTTATCATTTATTGAGTCTGTCTTCTTTGCCAGACACTGTGAAAATGCTGTACATATATTATTAAATTTAATTTACATAAGATTCACATGAGATCATTTTACAGAACACAAAACAAGATTTAGGGATGTTAGGTAATTTTCCCTAAGTCACACAATGAGTGGATAGAACTGGGATTTTATCTCAGATCTTCACATGCTATACACAATACTGTATACAATTTGGCTGAAAGTTTGAAAATTAGTGTTGGATCATCTGTCCAAAGTCATAGTCTTGGTGGATATCATAAAAGTATATAGTTTCTGAATTTTCTTCTCTTTCTCTCTCCTTCTTTCTCTTTAAAGATAAAGGCCCTGAGGTCAGTGAGAAACTCTGATGAGTTGCCCTTTTGTTGTGTGATTATAAGAGGAAATGTGAACTTTGTGATCGTTCCACACATTCTTGCCACTTCCCTAAATCAAAAAAAAAAAAAAAAGTCACAAAAGCATGGCTGTAATGCATGTTTTCATATCAAAAGGTCAAAAACCAAAGACCCTTTAGCTTGCCACAAGGAAACAGTGGGAAGAGAGCATTGTCACAAAAATACCAGGAGTTCTAAATAAATAAATATTAATAGAAGTTTTATGGGGGTGATGAAGAGAAGGAAATAACATTTCGTTTCTGAGTTCTGATCCAAATCTAATGTATTCAGAAGTAATAATCCAGCAAAAGGCTTGAAGCCATTGGATTTGATTGTGTCAAAATTCCACCCATAATGTGAAATTAACAACTGATTACCACCATCACCACTCCTTCCTCTGTAGGCCAAGCAAATGGCATAGTGCACTACCTGGACTTTGGGGCTATGTCCACACCCTTGAGCAAGGTGGAGAGTTAAGCCAATTATTTAAAATTTGTTTTTGAGACCGAGTCTCGTTCTGCCACCCAGGCTGGAGTGCAGAGGCGTAATCTCAACTCACTGCAACCTCACCTCCCGGGTTCAAGCAATTCTCCTGCCTCAGCCTCCTGAGTAGCTGGGATTACAAGCGCGCAGCACCACAGCTGGATAATTTTTGTATTTTTAGTAGAGACAGGGTTTCACCATGTTGGTCAGGCTGGTCTTGAACGCCTGACCTCAAGTGATCCACCCGCTTCGGTCTCCCAAAGTACTGGGATAATAGTCACGAGCCACGGCACCTGGCCCAATTATCTAAAATTTTAAGCCAAAGAAAAAGTAGTTTGGCTTTAATTATCTAGTTAAAATGTTTGGAAGACTGAATTGGTTATACATATTCTTATCTTCACTTAGTATAAGCAGAGTGATTTTGTGTTTAGACCATTTCAATTGATAGTTATTCTTCAAGATCTTTTAGATACTAGATGTATCTGTGATCTTATAAAGAAAAGTAGCTTCATGATCCATGAGGAGAGAAGGAGTGAGGTCTAAGATGTGGTTTTTAGGTCACTTCCAATGCTGGGGAAAGATAGAAAGAGAGGTTCTCAACCCTGACTATACATGAGAATCACCTGGGGAGCTTTTAAAAGTATCCTGGGCTGGGTGGCTTATGCCTGTAATCCCAACACTTTGGGAGGCTGAGGTGGGAGGATCGCTTGAGCCTAGGACTGGTAGGATTGCTTGAACCCAGGAGTTTGAGACCAGCCTGTGCAACATAGTGAGACCCTGTCACTACAAAAATTTCTTTTAAAAATTAGCTGGATGTGGAGGAGTGCACATGTAGCCCCACCTACTCAGGAGCTGAGGTGGGAGGATCCCTTGAGCCCCAGAGGTTGAGACCGCAGTGAACAGTGATCTTACCACTACACTCCAGCTTGGGCGACAGAGCAAGACCCTGTCTCAATACATAAATGAATGAATAAATAAATAAATAAACATCCTGTTGCCTTGGCCTCGTCTAAGTCCAACTGAATCAGGAGCTCCGGGGGTGGAACTTAGGGCAGGTGGTTGAGAAGCACTGGATTCATCATGGATATCATGTTGAGGGTGGGAGGTATAAAAATGTGGAGAATACTTCAGCTCAGTTGCCTGAATGGTCCGCAGACATTTGACTTTTGAGCTAAAAGTCAAAAAGAGACGAGGCAAAATGGTAGCATATGTTTATCTTCTTGCTTTTTTCCACTAGGATTGTAGCCTCATAGCATTTTCCAATCCAGTTATAAAAGCAAATTCTAAAACACAAAATTTCTTTCAGAAAGATGAAAAAAATCTCTTATGTTCTGATGAGTACTGCTGAACAGAGAACAATATTGACCTAAAAAGTATATTTTAGAATTATTCATGCATTACTTTCATAAAGTCCCTTGGCCTTATCCTTTCTAACTATTTACATAGGTATAATTGTTTACCACACCCATTTTATAGTTTAAAGTATTGGTACGCAAACCTTATTGTGCATCGAAATTACCCAGAGGACTTGATAAAACCCAAATTGGCTGGGTGCAGTGGCTCATGCCTGTAATCCCAACTTTTTGGGAAGCTAAGGCAGTTATGAGCATTTGAGCCCAGGAGTTCACGACCAGCATGGGCAACATAGTGACACTTTGCCTCATAGGGGGAAAAAAAAAATTATAAAACAAAAACAAAAAACTCAGATTGCTGAGCCCTGGTCCCAAAGTTTCTGATTCAGTGGTCTAGGGTGAGACCCAATCATTTGCATTTCTTTTTTCTTTTTTTTTTGAGATGGAGTTTTGCTCTTGTTGCCCAGGCTGGAGTGCAATGGCATGATCTCGGCTCACTGCAACCTCCCCCTCCTGGGTTGAAGCAATTCTCCTGCCTCAGCCCCATCAAGTAGCTGGGATTACAGGCACCCACCACCATGGCCAGCTATTTTTTTGTATTTTTAGTAGAGACAGGGTTTCACCATGTTGGCCAGGCTGGTCTCGAACTCCTAACTTCAGGCGATCTGCCCACCTCCGCCTCCCTAAGTGTTGGGATTACAGGTGTGAGCCATCGTGCTTGGCCAATAATTTGCACTTGTAATAACTTCCCGGATGATGCTGACACCCCTGGTTCTGGGAACACTGCAATCTAAAGTAGAACTTGAATACCGCTCGCCTCAAATCTCATTCTGTCATAAGTTTGTAAAGAATAAATGTAAATATGTAACTTAGTAATATTCTGTCTCATTCCAAAATGTGTTTAAATAATTCTGTGAAAGTATACAATAGGTTAATTTTTTAAGTTTAAAAAAGATAAGGAAATTCAGGTGAAAAGTAGGGGATGAGTAGTAAAATAAAACAAAATAGCATATACATATAGGAATTATTTTAAGAAGATAGAGAATATAAAATTTATATCATTATTTAAGAAAATACAGATTTGAGAGTATCAATACTGTAAAGCCAATCTTACTTCTGAACTTTTTCTTAGTTCTGAATTGCTTTGTAGCATAAGAAATATAACAGTTAGCTGTTCTATAAGGAGGTCAAAATGGAGGCCAGGCACAGTGGCTCATGCCTGTAATCCCAGCACTTTGGGAGGCCAAGGCGGGCGGATCACTTAAGGTCAGGAGTTTGAGACCAGCCTGGCCAACATGGTGTAAACCCTGTCTCTACCAAAAATACAAAAATTAGCTAGGTGTGGCAGCAGGCACCTGTAATCCCAGCTACTCGGGAGGCTGAGGCAGGAGAATTGCTTGGACCCGGGATGCCGAGGTTGCAGTGAGCCAAGATTGCGCCACTGCACTGCAGCCTGGGAGACAGAGTGAGACTCCATCTTAAAAAATAAATAAATAAAAATTAAAAAAATAAAAAAAGGAAAATTGCCTGGCCAATCTAGGGATACCAGCCAACGATGTGGGATTCCATTCTGTTCCTCCTTATGTAGGTAGACTGCTTTCAAACAGAACACAATAAAATGGAGTGAGCAGTGACATATCTGGTTTATTTAATAAAGCTGTGTATAGTAAGATAACTAAACTGAAAAAGTATTCATTTGGAGGCTTGGCATTTTTAGATTCATTATCTACACAGGGACACAAAGTCAAAAGCAGGAGGCAGTCTGAGCACACAAAACTAGTCAGGTGGAACACGTGGTCCCCTGATGTGGCTCCCTGTTTAAAGGGATCATCGTGTCCTTGCCTTGTTAGTTGATTAAGAGAAAGTAGAACTTGGATTTTCATACAAAATGCAATGAATTTTAAACGTTGGTAATACATCTAGTTTTTGTTTGTTTGTTTGTTTTTTGTTTTTTGGAGACGTAGTCTTGCTCTGTTGCCCAGGCTGGAGTGCAATACCGCAATCTCGGCTCACTGCAAGCTCCGCCTCCCAGGTTTAGGCCATTCTCCTGCTTCAGCCTCCCGAGTAGCTGGGACTGCAGGAGCCCACCACCACGCCTAGCTAATTTTTTTGTATTTTTAGTAGAGACGGGGTTTCACCGTGTTAGCCCAGATGGTCTCGATTTCCTGACCTCGTGATCCGCCCACCTCGGCCTCCCAAAGTGCTGGGATTACAGGCGTGAGCCACTGCGACCGGCCTTTTTTTTTTTTTTTTTTTTTGAGACGGAGTCTCACTCTGTCGCCCAGGCTGGAGTGCAGTGGCACAATCTCCGCTCACACTGCAAGCTCCAACTCCCGGGTTCATGCCATTCTCCTGCCTCAGCCTCTTGAGTAGCTGGGACTACAGGCGCCCACCACCACGCCCAGCTAAGTTTTTTGTGTTTTTAGTAGAGACAGGGTTTCACTATGTGAGCCAGGATAGTCTCGATCTCCTGACCTCATGATCCACCCGTCTTGGCCTCCCAAAGTGCTGGGATTACAGGCATGAGCCACCGCACCCGGCCAAGCATGCTATTTTTATCTTGATGTTTGACATCTTGTAGTTAAAGGTGAGCAGGGTATGAGAAGCACTGGTTGGCATTGAGGAAATTTGGTTTCTTGTCCTGTGTCTATCCCTATCCATTTGTGTGCCCTTGGACTGGTCACTTGTGATGCCCCCTTTTCACAGCCCGTAAAATGAAGAACTTTCATTGAATGATCTCTGATAGTTTTTCAGCTCTAAAAACATTCTATGATATTAAAGGCTTAGCGTCATGTGGGTTGTGAGTCTTAGCTGAAGCTTCTTTAGTTGTTTGGCTATTTGTGGATTGTGTATTCACATGCATTCCATTTAAATCACATGCTATGTGCTCATTTACTTGAAGTTTAATAATAATACTTAAGCATTTATATATTGCTTCTCATCTTCGAAGCACTTAACATGCTTATGAATCCTTCCAGCAACACTTTGAGATAGCTAAGTACTATTAAAACAGGGAGAGAGAGAAGGGGAGAGAGAGAGAAGGAGAGAGAGGGATTTTATGTGATTTAGTGATTTAAGTCTTCCCCTGGCTAAAGGATCTATCTTCCTTTGGCTAAAGGAAATTAATATAACAGGGCCACACAATTAAAAATAAAATAATTATTTAAAAAAAGAGAGAGAGAGAATATACCCAGGCCGGAATTAAATCTGATTGCCTGTGTTATATAAGACCTTGGTGTCAAAACCTTCCTTCCTCTGACATTCTAAGGGTTAAATTTAGCTTCTCCTCTCTGCTCTACTCCAGGATTTTTTCTGTTCTTCATAGGATGAAGGCATTTTAGTGTTGTCTTCCGCCTTAAAAGACAGCAACCACATCTTGCACCAGCATAGTGCTCAGTTCATAACTGAAGTTTGTTGTTGGTGATGGTGACATGATCCCTTTTCTATTTAAGCTGATCTAATCGTAATCAGAAAAAATGTATCTATTGTGAAAAAGTGAAGGTTTCTGTTGCAAGAAAGCAGCAAATCCATGGTAGTCTATGTTTTTGGCTGCTGGCTCACAGGTTTCCAGTCTTACAATTTTTCTGTAGCTTACCAAAGAGGAAGGCCTTTTAAAAATAATGCCAAACACATGTTGAACTTTGGTAACCTTTGCTCTTTAACGCAAATGTAACTGTGAACAGGGTCTGTAATCAGAGCCCAAATAATAAAGCTATTACTTTAAAATGTCAAGTTTAGCTTGAGAATTCATAACCCTGACACTGAAAGAACGGTGTAGATGGAGTGAGAGGCTGTGGCGGAGGGATGGCAGGGAGGAAAGGGTGAAGGGTAAGAAAAGGAACATGAGTTCTCTGGAAGAGACTTGTAACTGCATAGGAATTCCACCTGAGGGGGTATCCATCTATCACCCCAGTGTCCTCCAGAAACTTTCAGAGATAGGAAGACTAGTACTGACAGAAGAACGGCAGAAGTACCTACTATATGAGTGAACGTCTTTTTCTAAATTAGGTCACCGTTACCGTAATATCATATATATTATACTATATATGTATATATACACACACTATGTATGTATATATACATATAGTATATGTATATGATATATATATACACACTATATATACACATATATAGTGTATGTATAATACCATATATATGGTATTATGGTAACAATATTATATATTTATATTTATATATAAATACGTAAAATATTAAGTATTTAATAATTAATATAAAAACATTAAGTATATATACTTAATATACACTATATATAATATATACACTATATATACTATTTATTTTTATTACTATATATAGTGTGTAATATTAAGTGTATATAGTGTGTGTGTATATATACAATATTTTTACATTTTTATATGTATTAGAGATGGGGTCTTGCTCTCCCACTCAGGCTGGTGTGCAGTGGCCCCATCATAGATCACTGTCACCTCGAACTCCTGAGCTTAACTGGTTCTTCTGTTTGGGATTACAGGCATGTGCTACCATGCCCGGCTGAACATTTTACTTTAAAATTTAGTTCAGATTAGTTTTTTTTCCTTGCTATCTGCTTCAATTCAAGAATTCATTTCTCTGTAATTTCCTAACTCAGCATATTACAATTTTAGAGGTGTTTTAGGTCATGGAAATTTATGAAATGGCTGCTTATGCTAGAAAATATTTATATATAAGGTTATGTGTTCTGATTAATAAAAAAAAAGATGACGGTCTGAAACTGGCTCATCAGTATTTAATAATTGGCTGGGAAAATCTAGGTTTGCCTACCTATGTTTTCAAGTTGTACAGTCTTTTCCTAGCATATATTTTATTTCATTTATTTATTTTTGAGATGGAGTCTCACTCTGTCTTGCCCAGGCTGGAGTGCAGTGGTGCAATCTTGGCTCACTGCAGCATCTACGTCCCAGGTTCAAGCAATTCTCCTGTCTCAGCCTCCCAAGTAGCCGGGACTACAGGTGTGTGCCACCACATCCGGCTAATTTTGTATTTTTTTTTTTTTTTTTTTTTTTTTTTTTGAGACGGAGTCTCGCTCTGTCGCCCAGGCCGGACTGCGGACTGCAGTGGCGCAATCTCGGCTCACTGCAAGCTCCGCTTCCCGGGTTCACGCCATTCTCCTGCCTCAGCCTCCCGAGTAGCTGGGACTACAGGCGCCCGCCACCGCGCCCGGCTAATTTTTTGTATTTTTAGTAGAGACGGGGTTTCACCTTGTTAGCCAGGATGGTCTCGATCTCCTGACCTCATGATCCACCCGCCTCGGCCTCCCAAAGTGCTGGGATTACAGGCGTGAGCCACCGCGCCCGGCCTAATTTTGTATTTTTAGTAGAGATGGGGGTTTCACCATGTTGGCCAGGCCGGTCTTGAACTCCTGACCGCAGGTGATCCAACCGCCTGAGCCTCCCAAAGTGCTGGGATTACAGGCGTGAGCCACCGCACTCTGCCAAGATTCCAATTTTGAATTAATAAAGAGGAGTTAACTCCTCATAATACAAGCCTAGTTAATCATTAGTATAATTCAGCCTTAATTATACTGAGTGCCTTTAAAAGTCCACAGCACTAGACACAATGAAGTATTTAGTTTGAGTTCAACATTCAAAATTGTGATAGTCTGATATGATAACACGACTTAGAATCATCCAAAAGTGAATATAGAACAAACGTTGAATTGGATATAGAAAATCTATGCCACATACTTCAAATGAGGTACACAGGTCAAAAGGAAAACATAATCTGTAGGTAGAGGGTTCTATTTTAAGTGACAGGGCTTATTGAAGATAGACATTTTGACATGACTTCAGGAAGAAAATGACTAAAGGAGCACGTGAAACTGGCATGAAGTGGTTCAGCAGTAGATTGAGCTTCTTGAAGCTACTGGACAGATTTTTACTGGAGAGAATACAAAACAGGTGGAGATGTTGACAGAATTTGCCATCACTTTTAAAGGCCTACTTAGGGAAACCAAATGTGAAAGAGTCCATATGTTCCTAAGATAAGACTACACAATGGAGCTGTTGCTAGAATCCTCTATCTCACTCAAGATAACAGGCACTTGAAGATGACCAGGCCAACAAGAGCGGATGAAAAGTGCAAGCCTCATGTAATTTCCAAGTGCACTTCACCCATTTCACATTGGGAAGGACTGCTGCTAGCCAATACGGTCAGTAATGACCACAATGAGTAAAAGAGTTTCGTAAATTATTTGTAGCCTGTGAGTTGCCTTCAGCATATGGGCAATTAAGGAAAAATTAATTGGACAAACCTTTAGTCATGTAGTTAATTGCTTTCGGGGATGTTCTAAGTATCACAGTAAAATATACTGTGTAGATGTTTACACTGGTCACTTAAAGAGCTCTAAAAATATGGAAAGAATACTGGACTGGATGTCAAAAGAACTGAGATTTAACTCTGGTTCTGCCATTTAGCTATGTACATGTGTAAACTTGTACAAATCACTTATTCTTTCTGGCTTGCATTCTAAATTATTCAGCTTTGCTCTAGCAATGAGAACTATAAAATCTCAGTGGCTTACAAGGGTGAAGAATAAAAAAGTCTGTTTTTCACTTTCTTCACATGTGAGAAGATGGATCAGTCATGTCTGCTCCAAGTGCCCTCTTCATTCCCTGCTGAAGGAGGTGTCCCCTCCAGGACATGTGAGATTGTGTCAGAGGGAATAGAATAGGAAGTTAGTAAACTACATGATGGCTGTTAAAGTTTATGCAAGACCATGGCAGATGCAATGTCCCCTCACATGCCAATGGCCAAACAAAGCTCATGGCCAAGCCCAATGTCAATAGGATGGAGGTATATACAACTACTGTAAGAGACACTGCATGTTATGTGGCAATGAGTGAAATGAATTAATCCTTTTATAGGAAAGGAGAGTGAATATTTGGGAACAGTAATACAATTGACCCTAGGTTCTAATCACAATTTAGTCACTAGTCCCTGACTTGCAATGCAGTACTCTCTGATCTTCAGCTATTAAAGATCAGATTTGGTCTAGGCGTGGTGGCTCATATCTGTAATCCTCACAGTTTGGGAGTCTGAGGCCGGAGGATCACTTGAGCTCAGGAGCTTGAGACCAGCCTGGGCAACAGAGTGAGAGCTTGTCTCTATTATTTATTTATTTATTTGTTTGTTTATTATTTTTTGAGACAGAGTCTCACTCTGTCGCCTGGGCTGGAGTACAGTGGCGCAATCTAGGCCCACTGCAGCCTCTTCCTCCTGGGTTCAAGCAATTCTCCTGCCTCAGCCCCCTGAGTAGCTGGGATTACAGGCACCTGCCACCACACCCGGCTAATTTTTATATTTTTAGTAGAGATGGGGTTTCCCCATGTTGGCCAGGCTGGTATGGAACTCCTGACCTCAAGTGATTCACCCACCTCGGCCTCCCAAAGTGCTGGGATTACAGGCATGAACTACTGCACCCGGGCTCTACTTTATTTTTTAAATAAAATAAAATAAAGATCAGACTTGGATGTTCATCATTCTTTCTGTTCAGAAGTTCTATGATTCTGGAGAATGCAGAACATTTTGATTTTTTGTCAGAATGTGGTTAGAAGAAATGAATGCTGCCCCTGGACTGTGATTACCTAAAGAAAATGTTCGCTTTTTATCTCTATTTCTATCAGTACCTAAGGTATGATGAATTACAACTATGCTGTCAATAGATAATGTAATTAACTATAACCAGCAATAGTTGTCATTGAGTGATGGTGTTTGGCTTAGAACCCAAGTTTGTTGGATTCTCCAGCACAAATGGTCATGTATATATAAATCTCAATTTCCCAAATTCATTTGGCAGTACCATACTTTAAAATTAAAACATATTAATGAGACAGCAATTAGAGCTCATGAGAAATAAGATAGGCATAGGTGAACAGAAATCATAAAGGGGTCTCATGAAAAAATTTCTTGCAATGAGAAAAGATCAAAATTTGATTCATATGCAAATATACAATTGATATTGGATAACATTATATATAAATGCTGAAATGGTAAAATAAGCCCTTGAACACAGACCAACAATCATAATAGAATATACAGTGCAGCACCTGTTATTGGATAAAGCTTGTACAGCAATGGTAGGTCTTATGTCATACAGTCTCTGTTGTATCATCCCTCATGACTATTTGACATTCTCACCATACCCTTTTAAAAGAAAAATTACCACAAAAATAAAAACAGCTACATGTATGTGTTCGATATTCCTCTCATACATGCTATAGAGTAATTTTAGAGACAATATTCCTAATCCTGAGAGGATTTCATTTTGTTTTGTTCTGTGGAACACCTGTTATATCTCATGGAACACTAGTGAGGTTTTACTTTAAGTAGAATTTTGTTTTAAATAAAACTCTGAAAGTCACTAGTCTAAAGCTGTAATCAATCAGCCCCTGAATGACTAGAATCAATAACTGATTAGTTAAAACCTTAGACTATGAGTTTTGAAACTTATGTGCCCAATTCCGTGTACAGGCTTGGAAGAGTGACAAAGACCACCTGGGACCCAGTGCATTTTGGCACATTCTGTTGAACATGTCTATTCACATCAATACCTGTCCCACTTTAGACTCTGCACTTGTAGAGGGGGGCACGATTCTTCGTATATAGTTATTGCTTAATAGATGTTGGTATGAACTGAACAGAATTCTATCTACCTTGAAAGTACAATTTGGTTGATTAAAAAAGATTTATGTACATAAAACATTCAGGGAGATGCTTTTAATAAAGTACTCACATGGTTAGGATAATAGGTGTTTTTTGTGTTTATGAAGAAATTGTCCTTTAGGGAATTTTATCCTGAATAGGGCCTATAAAAACTGATAGTCACAGAGGAGAAGGGAAGTCAATTTTAGGTAGGCAAAATAGTAGTGTTAGAATTTTATGAAATTTAGTTCAAATCACTTAATTCAACATTTTTTTTTTAAATAGAGACAAGGTCTTGCTCTGTTGCCCAGGCTGGAGTGCAGTGGCCTGATCACAACTCACTGCAACCTTGAGCTCCTGGGCTCAAGCAATCCTCCCACGTCAGCCTCTTGAGTAGCTAGGACTATAAGTAGCCACCACCATGCCTGGCTAATTTTTTAATGTTTTGTAGATACAAGGTCTCGCTATGTTGCCAGGCTGGTTTCAAACTCCTGGCCTCAAGCCATCCTCCTACTTTGGCCTCCTAAAGTGCTGGGATTACAGGCATGAGCCGCAGCACCCTGCCAGTTGTACATCTTTAATTCTACAGAAAGATGCTTTTGTGCTCAAAAGACAATCATTTATCTTTGACCAACAGCTGGACTTTTCTGGCCGGTCTCCATTTTTCAAGCTTGCTGAGGTTACAAGATGACCACAGTGATTTTCATCTCCTGGTATTCTTACCCTTTTGTATCCCTTCCTGAAGGCCTGATAATATATGACTTCTGAGGCTAGGTCATAAAAGATATTGTGGCTCCCCCTTGCTCTCTTGGATTACTTCCTCTGGGGGACCAGGAACCATATTGTCAGGACACCTGAGCAGCCCTATGGAGAGATCTACATGGTGAATAACTGAGGCTTCCTGCCAACAATGAGGCATGTGAATGAGCCATTTTGGAAGTGAGCGTTGAGTCCATAAAACCTTCAGATGACTTCAGCCCTGGTTGACATCCTGAATGGCAGATTCCGAGCCAAAACCACTCAGATTTCTGATCCTCAAAACCTGTGTAAGTTAATAAATATTTACTGTTGTTTAAGATGCTAAGTTTGGAGCGATTAATTAGTCAGCAATAGATAACTGATACAGGCTATTGATACAGAATATCCAGATCCCTGAGGATCTTGTGTTTAAAATACATATTCTATAAAAAAAACAAATTTTTTTGGTCTTAATTAATCTCATGCCATGCCTTACCAACCAAATCCTTTGCCTCTTTGGGTTTTCTTTCTAGTTTTGTTCATGACTGTACACCTGGAATCCCCTTTCCATATTCCTTATCTGGCAAACTCTATCAGACTTTAAGACTCAACTTAAAGAAGCCTTCTCAGTCACTTAGGATTGGCTGCATGTGACTAAGGAACTCCAATTAGCAATGACTTAAACAAGAAAGAAGATTTATTGTAGTTGCCTTTATGTAAAAGAATATTGGTGGCAAGCAATTCACTCTGTTAGAATATATTACAAAATATCTTGTAGACACGGTTTTTTCTAGCTTATAGCTCTGAATTTAGGTCCCTTTTTCATGTTCCAAGATGTCAGCCAGAGCACCAACCTTCACAACTGATTTTCTGTGACAAAATGGAGGTTGGAGGAAAAAAGAAGAAAAGTATGTTCATTGGCTGTTTAAAAATAAATTTTGTTGAAACTGACACTCAATTTTTTTTATATCTCCCTAACTAGTCACATGGTCACACCTCATTTACAAGGGAAGCTGGGAAATGAATTCTACTCAGGGTGGCCCCACCCCTGGCTAAATATTGGGCATTCTATTACTAAAAGAGAGGTGGGCAGGTTCAACCTGGCATGGATGTAATATCTTCCATGACTAACAGCAATCTTAGTCATATCTTCCCTGTATCCCCCGAGGTTCAATGCATCTTTCATTGGGTTCCCATTAGCCTATAAATGCTTCAGTGGGGAGACTACTTGCCTTTAATGAGTAAAAGAAATGGTAGGTTTGTCTTTGTTTGGACTACTATAAGAAAATACTATTTTCTGGCTTATTAACAACAGAAATCTATCTCTCACAGTTCTGGAGGCTGGAAAGTCCAAGATCATGGAAACAGTAGCCTCTGATGAGGGCTTGCTGTCACATAGATGGTGCCTTCTAGCTGTGTCCTCACATGGTGAAAGGGAACAATGAGTTTTTTGGGGGTCTCTTTTATAAGGGCACTAATCCCACTCATGAGAGCTCTGCTCTCACGATCTAACCATCTCCCAAAGTCTTCACCTGTTAATATTATCACAGCCGGGATTAGATTTCAACACACTGATGTGGAACACAAACATTAAGACTATAGCAAAATGTTTAATAAATGTGTTTCATGATTGCATAACTAAATGAAAGCTGTGCTTCGCAGGAGGCTGAGGCAGGAGAATTGCTTGAATCTGGGAGGCGGAGGTTGCAGTGAGTTGAGATCTTGCCACTGCACTCCAGCCTGGGTGACAGAGCGAGACTCCACCTCAAAAAAAACAAAAAACCAAAAACAAACAAACAAAAAAACTAAACTAAATGAATGCTGTGTCAACTAAGGATTTTGATTCTTAACTTCTCAATTCTTTGAACTTCTAAGCAGAGGTAATCACTATTAATCTCTCTTTCTCTAAACATCCCAGAGAGCAGTCCAACAAAATGCCCTGTTCTCAACTAGTTAATCACTAATCTAGGACCTTATTTATGGTGAATTTCCCAGGACACTTGCTTTTGACTTAGGGAACATGTCAAACTTGTTGCAACACAAAATATTGTTGCAAATGTCCATTCTGCTAAATCAGATTACTTAGGTAATATTTAATCATTAAAAACCCTTAATTCAGGAGGTGAACTTCATCTGAGATAAGGTAGTACAACACTACAAGATTCTCATAATCTGTTCAAGGCATGCTAAATAAGTATAGCTGTTTTGGATAACAATAATAGTATATAAAAATCATCATATAAATGTTCTTTCCCTTTTGCTCAGTTATTCCAATCCTAGAAATTCATTTTAAAACAAATAATTCAATAGAAAAAAATTAATCTGTGCACTAGACTGTCCTTTGCTATATTTTTATAGTTATTAGCAATCAATTGAAAAATATACACACACACACACACATATATATATATATACCTTCATTAGGACTTATATGCTGTAAATGCAGTAAGTATTTTGAGTCAACTTGACTAAAATTATTTTCTTTCTTTTACCCAAATAATGGTTTATATTTGTGAATATTTCATTAAAGAGTGGCTAGGATAAAAGATAGCATGTTTGATATTACTCTAAATGTTGATAGGATGTTAAAATGCTGCCAGGAATTAGCAGTTGGTTGCCTGTGGGCAGGTAAATGATCTATCAAGATTTTCTCTGATTCTCTGTTCTCTGATGTTGCTTATAGGAGATAAGATTTCATATCATGACTTTTTTTTCTCCCCTAGTAACAGCTTAATTGAGCTATAATTTACATACATAAAATCTACATCTTTTAAAGTGTACAATTCAGTGGATTTCAGTATATTTACAGAATTGTACAACCATCAACACTATCTAATTTAAAACATTGTCATCATCCCAGAAAGAAACCCCAAACCCATTGGTAGTTACTCCTCATTCTCCCCAACCCCCACCCTTAGCCATCACTTATCTACTTTCTGTCTCTTTGGAATAGCTATGCATTAGCCACTGGATTAATTTATTTTTATTTTTTTGAGACCAAGTTTCGCTCTTGTCACCTAGGCTGGAGTTCAATGGCGCAATCTCGGCTCACTGCAACCTCCACCTCCCAGGTTCAAGCAATTTTCCTATCTCAGCCTTCCAAGTAGCTGGGATTACAGGTGCACACCACCATGCCTGGCTAATTGCCACTGGATTGATTCTCTCTCTCTCTCTCTCTCTCTCTCTCTCTCTCTATATATATATATATATATATATATATATGTGTGTATGTATATACATGTGTGTGTATATATATATCTTTCTATATAAGCATTCAAACATACATGCACATACACATATGTATGTATGTATTAAAGTGTTGCACGAGAGAAGTGTCTCAGATTGCAAAAACAGCGACATATGCAGGCATTCAGAAGACTTCAGGCATTAGAAATGTATTATAAAGGCAAATGTGGAAGTAAGAAAGAACAGGAAATCTTTATTGCAGGGCATGTAAAGAACTGAAAAGTCTCTGGGGGACACACATGGAGTAGTTAAGTTGTGGATCTTGGACCCAGCCTGCCTGAGATTGAATCCTGGCATCTTCATTTACTCTGTGTGTGATCTTTGGCAAGTCACTGAACTACTTTGCTCCTGTGTTTTCCGATTTTTAAAATGAGGATGACTGGAGAAGCTACATGGTAGGATTGATAGGAAGATTAGTTGAAATAATATAAGTAGACAAGAGAATAATGCCTGAACATAGTAAGTACTGTTAATGTGTTAACTAATATTACTGAAGATTTCAGTGCATCTCTTCTGATTCAATTATTTGATCCTTTCTTGGAAGCAGCTGACTTTTTAATTGGCTCTGTTGGTGGTTTACACATCAGGGTGACTCAGCTTAATCTCAATGATCCAGTTTTTCTCTACTTCACTTTCTATTGCCTGAGTTCTATTGCCTCGTGGTTCCTGCTTTATCACTTTTTTTGTGGCTTTCCCTCAGCTTCTTCATCACTCCACTAATGACTACGTCTTTCCTTCCACAAGCTCTGACAGAAAATCTGATGAATTTGACAAGTCCTAATAAAATAGAGAGTGTCTGTGTTGAATAATGTCTACACACAGATATTATTCACAGACACACAGACTGATGAGGACCAGTCATAGGCTGGTTCTCAATCAGCCTATGGTAGCAGGGCTACATGGCACAGAATGTGGGCGCACACACACACACACGGAGGAAGAGGTATGGGCTTGGTGAAAACTGTGGCTTCTTAAAAGAGGGAGGTGGCTGGGTATGGTGGCTCAAACCTGTAATCCCAACATTTTGGGAGGCCTAGATGGGAGGATGGTTTGAGACCAGGAGTTTCAGACCAGCCTGGTTAAAATAGTGAGGCCCCATTTCTACAAAAAAAAAAAAAAGAAGAAGAAGAAAATTTAAAAAGTTAGCTGGGCAATATAGCTTGAGCTTATAATCCCAAGTACTTGGGAGGCCGAGGCAAAATAATGGCTTGAGCCCAGGAGTTAGAGGTGCAGTGAGCTGATTGTACCATTGCACTCTAGCCTGGGAGACAAAGTAAGACCCTGTCTTTAAAAATAAATAAATAAATTTAAAAATTAATTTAAAATTGAAAATAAAAAATAAAAAGAAGGAAGTATAGTTTTCAGTACTTTGCATGGAATGTCCAATACACTGTCAGGACACAGGAATACATTTGCTATATTAAGTGAGAAAAGCAGAATACAAATTTATATAACAGAATTAAAACAGTGGAAGAAGGCCAGGCACGGTGGCTCACGCCTGTAATCCCAGCACTTTTGTGAGCCCAAGGCGGGTGGATCACAAGGTCAGGAAATCGAGACCATCTGGGCTAACACGGTGAAACCCCGTCTCTACTAAAAATACAAAAAATTAGCCAGGCATGGTGGCGGGCACCTGTAGTCCCAGCTATTCGGGAGGCTGAGGCAGGAGAATGGCTGAATCCGGGAGGCAGAGCTTGCAGTGAGCCAAGATCGCGCCACTGCACTCCAGCCTGGGTGACAGAGCGAGACTCCATCTCAAAAAAAAAAAAAAAAAAAAAAAAAAAAAAAAAAAAAAAACAGTGGAAGAACAGAAGAAAATATACAACTGAAGTTCAAGACCAATTAGCCGGCCATGATGACGCATGGCTGCAATCCCAGCTACCTGGGAGGCTGAGGCAGGAGAATCACTTGAACCAGGGAGGCGGAGGTTGCAGTGAGCCAAAATCGTGCCATTGCACTCCAGCCTGGGCGACAGAGCAAAACTCCGTTTCATAAAAAAAAAAAAAAAAAGTAACCATTTCTCTACACTAGGCACACAAAAAAGCAGAGAGTTATAGTATTACTTAGATAATTTAGGTTGGGGATTTTATAACAGAAAGAAAAAAAGTTTTGGACAGGATTTCTTATGTTGTTTAGTCCTCCCCCTTTGCATAACTGACACAGTTATATAGTCTTCCCCATATTTATTTTCATGAATATGGAGACCATATAAAGTCCTTGGTTCACCCTACCTGTTCTGGACATGCTGACTCTTCAAAATAGGGTTTTCTTTTTTTTAAACTCTACGTACTTGGAGAAATCTATGACACATGGCTCGTAGTTTATGTCCCAGCTGTTTTCTCTTAACCTTGACTCTGGGAATTTTTCCCCCAAACTAATTTATATATCAAGGCAGGATGCAGGTCAGTGGGGAGTTGTATTTTGGATGCAAGGATGTTAAGGCACAGAGCATGAAAAGACAACAGGATAATCGTTGCAAATTATATATTAGTAGCTTCATAATTTTCAATTCTTTCTCACTGTCCCATAGTTTTTCTTCTCTCTTTCCTCTTTTGCCTTTATCAAACTTTCACAGATGCTGTTTTGCCCCAACTTTGTAGTTTGGATGTGAGGATATTAAGGCACAGAGCATGAAAACACAACAGGATAATCTTTGCAAATTATATATTAGTAGCTTCATAATTTTCAACTCTTTCTCACTATCCCATACTTTTTCTTCTCTCTTTCCTCTTTTGCCTTTTTCAAACTTTCACAGATGCTGTTTTGCCCCCAACTAAATGACTTATGTTTCTGAAGTAATTCTAAACCTCTATGGGCAAGAGCGGCACTCCTTTTAAAGTCATAGGATCACAGGAACAATTAATTAAAAACAGCAGGCTCTTACCTGATGTCTTCAGGATGACTTTTAATTATGCTAAATGCCCTACTTTTTTCTAATGAGGATGTTCTGTAAACCCTGCACATGGTTTTCCCATCCTGCCTGTGCAGACAAACCCTGTGTCCAGCAGGACTGCTGTTGCTTGCCAGACCAAATCCTTTCTCTGCGACAAAGCCTGCCATTGTGTCTCCCATGCAGCCCCACTGATTTTTCCCAAAGGGCCTTTTAGAACATGTGCGCACTTATTTCCATTCCCTGATGTGCTGAACGCAATAATAGCCAGAGAACCATGGTAACTTGCCTTCACCCCGGACTGGGACTCAGCACTGTCTGGTGTTCCCTGAAAGCCATATCTGACAGCTGGACTCTGTGTATGTGTGTGTGCTAGTGGGGGAGGGCAATCTCTGCTGCTTTTGTTGGAGGGTGAGGGAGGAATAAAGAGCTGAAGAAGTGACATGGTGTCAGTGTCCTCATTGACTCAGCTGTTCAGGAGCCTAATCCTGGCTCACAACTGGATGTCCAAGGGATTGAAGGAGAACTTTCCTCCTGGCTACCTTCCAAGTGTTTCCAAATGCACTTGAGAAAGTTCCATGTGATTTTTTTTTTTCATGTAGCACCTGCTCTAACAATCCAAAAGCAACTTTTTTTCTCCTCTATTATACTTGTACATCTGTTATTTTGCTGACATGGAAGCTAACATAACAATCAGATTCATTACTTGCCCAATAAGTCGATTCCAACTAAGCTTAAAAGACCTCCGTGTATTCTTTGAGCATTTATCCAATGAGAGAACAAATTAAGAAATCCTGTCTTTAAAGGATTTTGGGGGTTAGATCAGTAACATATCATTCATACAAGTTTGTTTCATTTCATGGTGGTATTGAGATGAAAGTAGAATGTCTGAATGATGAATAAGACAGTGAGAGATACCTGGAAATCTTTTTTTTCACTTTTCCTTAAGAAAAAACAAATTTTTGGAAAGAACTTTAAAAATTCCTCAACTTCCTGTCCACAGAACAATTTTAACAGATGAAGACCTTAATGGAATGACAGTTCCTTTTTTAAAAAACTTATTCTTAATAATAAAAAGAAAGAAATAGCTTCTTTTCTAGAGCTATTTTTTTCCCTTAGAATTACAACAACACATACAACTTCACACCCTCAAAAAAGTAAGAAAAATAATTAAAAATAAAATCTACTTGTATGTCCTTCAGTGGCGTGGAGGTGAGTGATGAAAAAAGGCAATTAGAAAACAACCTCCCCTGTTGAAGCACACGCCTTGGTTCAGCCCTAGACAACTTTCTTTGTGTGAGGCTGGGTGGTGCCTCACACTAAAGGGAAACATAAAATAAAGTTTCACTAAACAGAGTATGTTTGGAGAGAAAGAGAGCAAATAAACTAGTTAAAAAAGGTGCTATGGCTGGACACACCAAGCTGGCCGAAGACATGCTGGTGTTGGAGTTGTAGATAGTTATTATTCTCAGTAGGAAAATTTAAATCAACAGGATAAACTTTATGTATGCTCACATACAGCCAGTTTATATAATGTGGACTTTATCTAAATTAGAAATGAATTCTGCTGCTGGGCGAGGTGGCTCACACCTGTAATCCCAGCACTTTGGGAGGCCGAGGCGGGCAGATCACGAGGTCAGGAGATTGAGACCATCCTGGCTAACATGGTGAAACCCCGTCTCTACTAAAAATACAAAAAATTAGCCGGACGTGGTGGCGGGCGCCTGTAGTCCCAGCTGGCCTCTTTTTTTTTTTTTTTTTTTTTTTTTTTTTTGAGATAGGGTCTCTTTCTTTTCCTCAGACTAGAGTGTGACTATACTCAGTGGCATGATCACGGCTCACTGCAGCCTCAATTTTCCAGGCTCAAGCAATCCTCCCACCTCAGCCTCATGAGTAGCTGGGACTACAGGCACAGACAACTATGTCTGTTATTGTTAATCTTAAATTCCATCCAGCAAACATAATTGAGTGCCTGTTACATAAAGAGTTGTGCTACAGGCTGCAGGGAATAAAAGCTGAATAAAACGTAACCCTCCTGAGGTGTTACAGGCTAATTGCAAAAAATGGAGGTAGGAAAGAATAGGAACATTTCTTAAACGTCTAGGACTAGGAAAAATAAAATAAGTCACATAGTTACTATGTATTTTTAAAAAAGATTTGAGGGCTGGGCACAGTGGCTCACACCTATAATCCCAGCACTTTGGGAGGCTGAGGTGGTTGGATCACTTGAGCCCAGAAGTTCAAGACCAGCCTGGACAACATGGTAAAACCCCACCTCTAAAAAAAACTAAAATAAAAAATAAAATAAAAATAGAGAAAATAAAAAAGATGTGGAGCTTCAGCATACAGTAAAGTTACTGTTTGATTAAGGGTTAGGTATAATTTCTTTTTCTATTTTTTATTTTACTTTAAAAATGTATTTAATTTATTTATTTATTATTATTATTTTTGAGACAGAGTCTCACTCTGTTACCCACGCTGGAGTGCAGTGGTGCGATCTCGGCTCACTGCAACCTCCACCTCCCTGGTTCAAGCGATTCTCCTGCCTCAGCCTCCCAAGTAGCTGAGATTACAGGCATGTGCCACCACACCCGGCTAATTTTTTTTGTATTTTTAGTAGAGATGGAGTTTCACCATGTTGGCCAGGTTGGTCTTGAACTCCTGACCTCAGGTGATTCACCCGCTTCAGCCTCTCAAAGTCCTGGGATTACAGGCATGAGCCACCAGGCTTGGCCTATCATTAATTTTTTTTAGAGATGGGGCTTTTCTGTGTTGCCCAGGCTGGTCCCTAACTCCTGGTTGAATTCCAACCCATAAGAAGGAGTATTCCAGGTCTAGTTAACCGGATGAGTTAAGGCTGCAAAGTTCAAGTTGTGTTATTTTTTCCAACTAACCCACAGATATTTACCATATAACTGTAACAGTACAATTATGTATGTGTGTATACATATATATGTGCATGTATGTGCAGGTGATCTGCCTGCCTCAGCTTCCCAAAGTGCTGGGATTACAGGCATGAGCCACCGTGACTGGCCAACAAATATCTATTGAGCACCTCTGATATAAGCCATGTCTAGGCACTGAGGAAACAACAATGAAGAAAGCAAAATCTTCACAATCATGGAGCTAATGTTCTAATAGTAAGAAATGACAAAAAAAAAAAACAACCAAAAAACAAGTGAGTATTTATGTCCTATGCCAATAAAATCTATGGAGAAAACCTAATTAGGTAAAGAGGAGAGGGCATACTTTATATAGGTGGTCAAAGAAGACATGACATTTGAATAGAGACTTGAAGTCAGTAAAGGAACAAGCCAAACAAATATTTGGAGAAAGGACATTGCATGCAACTGGAACAGCAAGTGCAAAAGCCCTGAGGGAGATGTGTGCCTGGGAGTGTAAGAGGCAACGTGGAGACCAGACGGACTGGAGCAGAGTGAGCCAGAGGAGAGCATTAGGAGTCTGAGGTGTGAGAACTTGGGGGATGGGAGTTGGATAGGCCTTCAAAGCCATTGTAAGCACTTCGGCTTTTAGTCTAAGTGCAATGGAAACATTGGTTGATTCTATACAGAAGAGTGACGTGATCTGACTTATATTTATGGAGGTGTGGGAGATGTGGGCCAAAGTGGCAGTGGCAGAGTGAGAAATGGGTATAATCTGGAATAATCTGAAGAAAGAGCTTTACCAATTAATTAGAACTGGAGAGTGAGAGAAAAAGAAGAGTCAAGTACAACTTGAAAATTTTTGCGTTAAGCACCAGGAAGGAGGCCCGAAAGAAAGGGAACAATGTGGAAGCCATAAACCAAAGCTGAACCACAGTCTACAATGTTGACCCCAAAGTTTCCTAGATACTCCGTTGGAAGGGACAGTTCTTTCAAGGAATGATGATGGCCCAACTCTACAGCACATGTCACTTGTGCAACTGCTGCACTATCACCCACGTGAGTGAAACCCACAATTCCTAAAGAACAAAGACTGAAATGGCCTTCATACAAAGCTTTGCTCATAATGAAGGAGGCCAGATGCATTTTGGGTTTTCAGTTATTTCATACACTGTGGGTTAACAGCCCATAAAATTTTATTTACAGAAACCTTATTTTCCAGTGGGGAAAGAGAAAGATAATAAATAAGCAAGTAAATATATGATGTGTCAGGTGTTACATGGCCACTGGAGATCTTTGCCCAGCTAGCCCCATCTACTCTAAAATAAGAAAACATTCCTTTTTCATGACTGAACTAACATCTACACTAGATATCTAGATATAAATATATATAATGAAAGCCACAAGTATAAGCTACATATGCATTAAGAAGGAATAAGAAACAGGTGAAATTAATTTTATTCATATATTTTATTTTACCCAATACACCCAAAATATTTTCATTTCAGCATGTAATTAATATAAAAATTATTAAACGATATTATTAAATGATAATATAAAAATTATTAAACGATATCATACTAAATCTTCAAAGTCCACTTGTATTTAATACTTAAAGTGTGTATTTTATACTTACTCAGACAAATGGTCAGTAGCCAACTATGGCTAATGGCCACCATACTAAGTAGAATAGATTTAGATAATTCACAGATTTGGGGCCATTTTTTCCACATTCAGGAACTACCAAAAATGATCCAAATCTTCTTGGATCTAAATAGGTTTTCATCAGGTCATACATATATAAAACTATATAATGTGCCAAGTTTAAATATGTTTAGATAGAACTACACACAGCATTCTATTGGCCTGTCAAAGGCATCGTTCATTTGAAAATCACTAGAAAACAATCAAATGGAAAAAAAAAGTTTTCCTTTCTCCAACTTACAGGAATATATCTTGCAGATGGAAGAGGATGGAGGACGTCTTATTTTGGCGTCTCTGTGTGTGTGTGTTTATGTGTGTACATGAGTGTGTGTCGTGTGTCTATGTGTCTGTGTTCTCTGAGAGGTGGGTGGCCCTGTAGTTTAAGAGAAGTCATAGTGCCATGGAAGTAGCTGCAAAATTCCTGGCCCAAGGACATCACAGGATGCAGCTTCCTGCCTGTCATTCCAGTGTGGAGGGACCAGGATAATTTATCTACTTTAAATAAAAGCTATATGGGGATAGATTCTTTCTGTCCCCATATAAGGACCTCTCAGATAAGGGATTTAGATTTCAGATAAGGGATACTCTGAGGCTCAGAAAGTTGAAGTAACTAGTGCAGGCTACACAATTTGAAAGTGGTAGAGTCAGTTTTCAAACAAAGGAGAGAATGAGTCTCGAATTCTGTAACTATAATCATTAGCTATAAAAATTATTTCTGGCCAAGAATAAATTTATTTTGGGCACAGGGGATATTTAGTACAAAGGAATTGTGAGTCTTAAAAACACACAAACTTGTAATCATTAGTTTGATAGGTAAATGTGAAAATACAGAATCTAGGGGAGTGGGTGGAGTGAATGGGGAAGAAAAACGCAAATGTAGTCCAGCGTGGTGGCTCACGCCCTGTAATCCCAGTACTTTGGGAGGCCAAGGCAGGCGGATCACTTGAGGTTGGGAGTTCAAGACCACCCTGGCCAATATGGTGAAACCCCATCTCTACTCAAAATACAAAAATTAGCCGGGCATGATGGCGGGCGCCTGTAGTTTCACCTGCTCAGGAGGCTGAGGCAGGAGAATGGCTTGAACCCAGGAGGCAGAGATCACACCACTGTACTCTAGCCTGGGCTACAGAGCAAGACTCCTTAAAAAAAAAAAAAAAGAAAGAAAGGAAAAGGAAAAGAAACAAAAATGCAAATGCAAATGTGGGAAGGATAGCATAGATTCAGAGAGGGAAATGAGAGGACACAAAAGGCAAACTTACCTTCCTTTGCTATTTGGCTCCAGATCAACCTTATCCCAGTGCGCCCTCCCCATGAGCAAGGGGCCTATATCTCCCCAGCCTCTGCAAGTGGGTGGGTAAGAGGAAATGAGGATGAGCTTATTTCTCACACATTCCACCAACCAGCAAGTCAGGAATGATGGACATTCTTATTTTAGGACAACATACTGTAGTGAAGCTTATTAGTCTTGTGAATTGCACAAACTTCCTGGGGGAAGGAGGAGAGCAGACATTTGGGGTCTACTCTGTACCAGGTACTTCACATGTGCCATTTTAACTAATTGTCACTTATTTATATTTGTTTTGGAATGTTTTTAATTGCACGTGCTCATTATAAAAAGCAATTATATATGACTCCAGTTTACAGATGAAATCACTGAGATTCAAAGAGAGTGAGCAATTTGGTATGTGGTAGAAATTGGATTGGAAACTGAGCTTGACTTCTTTATCAGAAGAATCTCCTAAGTGACTTAGATAAGCTATGGATATTTTAACTTAAGGTGAAAGGAAGGTGTGGACTGAGAGCTCCTTTTGTAGAATGGGAACAATATGAGGCAGAGCAAAGGGCAGTGGAGGAATGGGGACCCCATTGCCCTTAGTCCTTGTGCTGATGGCCAGATGCTACCATCTTCCTGCCTCTTGGCTTTCTTGTGTGTCTGCCCCAGTAACAATGCTTGATTGTTTTGTGGAGTCAAAAAGATAATAGAAAGGGCCTTTTAAAACTGTTAAGTAGGCCAGGCGCAGTGGCTCATGCCTGTAATCCCAGCACTTTGGGGGGCCAAAGTGGGCGGATCATGAGGTCAGGAGTTTGAGACCAGCCTGGCCAACATGGTGAAACCCCGTCTCTACTAAAAATACAAAAATTAGCCAGGCGTGGTGGTGTGCACCTGTAATCCCAGCTACTTGGGAGGCTGAGGCAGGAGAATTGCTTGAACTTGGGAGGCAGAGGTTGCAGTGAGCTGAGATAATGCAACTGCACTCCAGCCTGGGCGACAGAGCAAGACTCTGTCTCGGGAAAAACAAAACAAAACAAAACAAAACAAAACAAAACAAAACAAAACTGTAAATTAGTATATGCTCATACTGCTAGTAATAATGTATAGTGTTTGATGTGTTTAGAGTGCCTAGCAAAAGTGGATGCTTTGGACACCTATTGGGCAGTATGTAATTGATATCTCAAGGGGAGAAAAAAACCCTCAAAAAATAGAGCAGGGGCCAGGTGAGGGGGCTCACACCTGTAGTCCCAGCACTTTGGGAGGCCAAGATGAGAGAACTGCTTGAGGCCAAGTGTTTGAGATCAGCCTGGGCAGCATAGCAAGACCTCCAGAGTCTCTACAAAAAAAATTTGTTTAATTAGCTGGGCATGGTGGTGCATACCTGTAATCCCAGCTATTCGGAAGGTTGAGGCAGGAGATTTTCTTGAGTTCAGGAGTTCGAGGCTGCAGTGAGCTATGATGGCACCACTGCACTCCAGCCTGGGCAACAGAGCAAGCAAAACCCTCTCTCTCTAAAACAAACAAACAAACAAACAAACAAACACAAACAACAATTAAATCAAGCAGTACAATGAAGGGAGCTGGAAGTTGCCAAAGATTTGGATTCCCATACTTACCCGTGTTTCTCTAGTCCTGAATCATCTATCTTTCAATTTGTTCACCAGGTTTTGATGGGATGCTTCTGATGTCAGATGCTAAGTAGGCACTGGCAAGGTGGTACGAAGATCAACAATAGTGATCTCTATCTCAGGATTAGTGAGACAGCCTGCTGGCCAGGAAGGGGTTTTGTGCTTCCCAGGAAGATCTGGGAAGCAGGATCTGGGCCCGGTGGAGCAGGTACCGTAAAATCTTAATCACTGTAAAATCCAAATCAACCACAAAAATGAGTACGTGCAAATAATTCACACCAGGAAAATTCAGTAAGCTTTTAAAAAGACACAGATGATCCCTTTTAAAACAAAGCATTCTTATCCTCAAAAACTGAGATGAAAAAGAAAACAAAGCAACAAAACAAACATACAATGTGGAGCATGTAAGCAGAGCTTCCAAAAGAGTACAATAGGGCAGGAATTGTTTATCTTTGCTTTACTTAAAAGATTTCAACAAAGTTTCTTTGAATATGGAACTGTTTCAATGCTCTTAAACATATGTTCATAGATGAGGAACCACTTGATTGAGAGCATTGTGGGGAAACAGCTAACAATGAGGCACTAGGATTCACTATTAAAAGAAGATCAATCAGTCAAGAAGATAAAGGATTTCTGAGAAGACAATTGAAGTCAATGGGGACAACTGCAATTCCATTCAATGTGTAACAATACAACTTTAGTCAAGTTTCAGTAATTCATTCTTCATTGAAAATGAATTTTCTTGGCTCTGTATAGATGTGAGGGTACATATACGGCAAGCTGGAAGAACTTTCACAAAAATGTTAATATATGTAATTATGGTTTCCCCTAGTTTTAAGTACACAACCACCTCTATAGAATTCTTCATATATTAAAAACCTTTCATATATTGCAACAGATATTTTTGATTCTTGGAATTTGAATTAGTCCCTCCAATTTAAGTTACTGTCTCCTGTTTCCAGCCTTGTGTCATTCCTTCATTTTTGAAGAAATATATCAGATTTCAAAATCTTGCCACTGGGTTGGGAAAGTCGACATGGTCAACTAGAAGGACACTCAATAGGACAATGTTGGTCTTGTTCCACTTGTTCCAGCTCTACCACTATCCAGCTATTTTGGTAATTAATTTATCCTTCTTTCTCTCTCTCTCCCTTTTTTTTTTTTTTTTTTTTTTTTTTTGAGACAGGTTATCACTCTGTCATCCACGCTGGAGTGTAGTGGCACGATCTTGGCTCACTGCAACCTCCACCTCCTGGGCTCAAGTGATCCTCCCACTTTAGCCTCCAGAGTAGCTGCAACTGCAGGCAGGTGCCACCACTCCTGGCTAATTTTCTGTATTTTTTGTAGAGATAGGGTTTCACCATTTGGTCCAGGCTGGTCTCAAGCTCCTGAGCTCAAGCAATATGCCCGCCTAGGCCTCCCAAAGTGTTGGGATTACAGGCATGAGTGCCAGTGCCCGGCCCTTTTCCTCTTAATTAAAATGATAGTATAGGATTTCATAATTTCTAACCATCTGATGTGTTCCAAAATTCTATTCAGTTTACTGTTTCTGTTTTAAAACAATCTATGCTTAGGTATAAATATTAAGCAATTGTGGGTTGCTTAGTATTTATACGTAAGCATAGAACCCTCTTCTTCCAAACAAGTTTCCTAGGAAATACAAATTGAAATAGACAAATAGTAACAGAAGTGGAGTTTTAGGGCTTGCTTCTCTTCTCTTACATTGCTATTTTGCCTATTTTGATTTTTTAACTTCACTCTGCTTTCTCTGAGGCAATGTTATTGTTCTTGCTGCCATGAAATACTTACCATGAGTTCCTTCGTTATTTTACCGGAAAAAAAATACTGAGTACTTGTGTGCCTTCCAAAACCTCTCTGACAGGACTCTAGAAAATTTTACCTTGTTGTCCGCATTGCAAATGGTGCTGTTCAAGGCTCCAGATCTTCGCATGTACTATTGCCTTTCCTGGATATTCTCTGCAACACTCTTCATCCTTAAAGTCAATGGCAAATATCTCTTCTATAAAGCCTGCTGCCGAGAACTTCCACTTTTGCATTCATCACATTGCACTGTAATTGTTTGTTTACACATCTGTTTCCTTAACTAGACATAGAGTTCCCTGAAGTCGGAAATCTTGTCTTGTTCAACTTTGCAGTTTCCTGCTGGCTGCGGAGAAGTCCAGAGCCAGAAAGGTGATCCACCCTAAGAAGTATGTAGGGGAGCTCAAGAGAAGGAGTTTCCTGCTCCACGTTTGCTCCTTCTTCTCCCTCCCTTGGCTTTATCTTTATCTACTTCTAATTCCTGTTATCTGGAAGCATTGTTTATATCTTTGTAAGTCATCTGAAAAAAATATTTAAACAACTTGGAGAGTTTAATAAGAAAAATATTCATCCATGTATTCCTGGGGCTTAACACAGTACTGGTACCTGGATGGTATTAAGATATTAAATAAATGAATGTTTGATAAATGATATGACAAATAGCAACATTTTAATACTACACACTGTCCTGTGAAGTTCATATGTATTAACTCATTTAACATTCCTAACTTAGAAGCAGAAATTATTCTCATTTTCATTGTATGTACAGGTTGAATATTCCTGATCTGAAAATCCGAAATCTGAAATGGTCTAAATTCCAAAACCTTTTGAGCACCAACATGATGCTACCAGTGAAAATTTTCACACATAACTACTTTTTTTTTTTTTTTTTTTTTTTTTTTTTGAGACAGAGTCTCACTCTGTTGCCCAGGCTGGAGTGTGATGGTGCAGTCTTGGCTCACTGGAATCTCTGCCTCCCAGGTTCAAGCAATTCTGCCTCAGCCTCCCAATTAGCTGGGATTACGGGCACTCACCACCACGCCCAGCTAATTTTTTGTATTTGTGGTACAGACGAGTTTTCGCCATGTTGACCAGGCTGGTCTTGAACTCCTGACCTCAGGTGATCCTCCTGCCTTGGCCTCCCAAAGTTCTGGGAATACAGGCGTAAGCCACCACACCCGGCCATAACTACTTAATATAAACTTTGTTTATATATATATATATTATATATATATATATATTATATATATATATTATATATATATATTATATATATATATAATATATATATAATGCACAAAATTATATAAAAATATTGTATGAAATTACTTTCAGGCTATGTATATAAGGTGTATATGAAACTTAAATGAATTTTGTGTTTGGGCTTGAGTCCTGGCTGGTAGCAGTGGCTTACACCTTTCATCCCAGCGCTTTGGGAGGCTGAGGCAGGAGGATCATTTGAACCCAGGAGTTTGAGACCAGCCTGTGCAACATAACAAGATCCTTTCTCTACAAAAAATAATTATTTAAAAATTAGTTGGGTGTAGTGGAGTGTGCCTATCGTTCCAGTTACTTGGGAGGCTGAGGTGGGAGGACTGCTTGAGTCCAGGAGGTCAAAGCTTCAGTGAGCCAGGATCACACCACTTCACTGCAACCTGGGCGACAGAGCAAGATTCTTTCTAACATAATAATAATAATAATAATAATAATAATGGCTTGGGTCCCATCCCCAAGATATCACATTATGTATATGCAAATATTCCAAAATCCAAAACAATCCAAAATCAGAACTATTTCTGGTCCCAAGCATTTCAGATAAGGAATGCTCAATCTGTATAAGAAAACTGAAGCTCAGAAAGTTTAAGTAACTAGCACAGGCTACACAATTTGAAAGTGGTAGAATCAGCTTTCAAAGAAAGGTAGTATGATGGGAAGAAGCAAATTTATTTCTCAGTTGAATCATCCCCAGGGTTTAATAGATTAAATTTATCCTTGTTAACTTAATATTTAAGGACCACGGATCAGGTGCAATTTTGGTTTCACATACAAGTTGATGTGTTGTGTTTTCTTCTTTAATTTATAAATCTATATTTTATGGGAGTTCATTTGGGAAAGTATCACCAAGGTCTGCTATATTCCTTATATCTCCACGTAATACTTACTGCAGGAGGCACATAACTGTAATTGAACAGCACGTAGCTCTGTCTCCTATGATAAATGTGCCAAAGGCAGCATCTGAAACTCTTTGATAATGCAAGAAAAATAAATAAATAAAAAGTAGAATCAGCCTCGAATTTCCTAATCTTCATTTTAAATTGGGTTGTGAAATAAAAGATGTTCCTCCCATAATTTATTTTTTTAAAAATTAAGATTTTTCATTGACAAATTAAAATTGTATATATTTATCATGTAGAAAATGAAGTTTTGAAATAAGGTATACATTGTGGAATGGATAAATTGAGTTAATTAACATATACATTGCCTCACATGCTTATTTTTTATGGTGAGAACAACCTCCAATGATCTTTCTTTTTTTTTTGACATATACATTACCTCACATACTTATTTTTTATGATGAGAACAACCTCCAATTCTTTCTTTTTTTTTTTCTTCACTTTTTAAATTAAGACAGGGTCTTGTTCTGTCACCCAGGCTAGAGTTCAGTGGCGTGATTACAGCTCACTGCAGCCTTGACCTCCTGGGCTCAAACAGTCCTCCCACCTCACCTTCCCAAGTAGCTGGGACTACAGGTGTGAGCCACCACACCTGGCTAATTTTTTTTTTTTTAAATTTTTTGTAGAGATCGGATCTTATTATGTTGCCCAGGCTGCTCTTGAACTCCTGGGCTCAAGCGATCCTCCCACCTTGGCCTGCCAAAATGCTGAGATTACAGGTGAGCTACCTCGCCTGGCTCCAATGACTTCTTAACTGAGTCTTTTCAAGAATACTATGAAGGCATAAAAAGGAATGAGATCATGTCCTTTGCAGGGATATGGGTGGAGTTGAAAGGCATTATCCTTAGCAAACTAACAGAGGAACAGAAAACCAAACACCACATGTAAGTGGGAGCTAAGTGATGAGAACACATGGACACATGGGGTGGGAGCAACACACACGAGGGCCTGTCGGAGGGGCATGAGTCAGGGGAGGGAGAGCATCAGGAAGAACAGCTAACGGACTCTGGGCTTAATACCTAGCTGATGGGATGATCTATGCAGCAAACCATCATCACACACATTTGTTTACCTATGTAACAAATCTGCACATCCTGCACACGTATCCTTGAGCTAAAAATAAAAGTTGAAGAAAAAATAAAAAAGAATCTTGAGTTCCAGGTCTTTAGGTAAAGTGGGCCTTTGCTGGAGGAAAAACAAGAGGAAGAAAGTGTCCTTCCCGTTTCTTGCTTTTTGGGATAGCTTCTTTAAGTATTTCTTGCTCTTCACAGCCTCATCAACCCCTTCTTTCACTTCTAAAGGCGTACTCTTGTTTAAACCAATATCACTAGACTGGCTCTTTGCTGCAGTTTCCTCCTCTGTAAAATGAGGGTAATAGTAACTACCTCACAAGGGAGAAATGGGGAGGCAGAGGGTGTAATGTAAACTGTGCAGGTAGGAAGAGGCAACCAGGGAAGACAGGACCAGATAGGGACACTAGTGGGGAAGCTCAGAAGATGAATATAAGTGATGGAGATGATAGGTAGGGAAGGGGTGGGACAGAAGTAGGCTATTTGAAGTAAGGATCCTACTCAAAATGGAAAAAGGGTGGGCTAATTGCAGAGTTCATGCTCCTTATTAAGAAGAAAATGGAGGATGTGGCTGCTATGCTCCTGATGCAATTGGACCTTGCCAAGGTGGTACTGGGGAAAGAGAAGGTGGCCATGATCCCCATTCTCAGCTAACAACCAGATTGTTACCCCTTCTGCATAAACATTTTGAATGTGCTACTAATACAATGACATCATTATGTGATGTTACACAAGTCTGAATCATGCATTGGACATTTTTTTCTATGATGATCATAAGTTTTTATTTTTTTTTTTTTTTTGAGCTGGGGTTTCGCTTTTGTTGCCCAGGCTGGAGTGCAATGGTGCGATCTCGGCTCACTGCAACCTCCACCTCTCGGGTTCAAGAGATTCTCCTGCCTCAGCCTCCCAGTAGCTGGGATTACAGGCATGTGCCACTACGCCCGGCTAATTTTGTATTTTTAGTAGAGATGGGGTTTCCCCATGTTGGTCAGGCTGGTCTCGAACTTCCGACCTCAGGTGATCCACTTGCCTCTGCCTCCCAAAGTGCTGGTATTAGAGGCGACAGCCACCACACCTGGCAGATCATAAGATTTTAATCTGTGCCTTTGTATATTAAATGTTGTCCTCAGAAGAGAGACAATTGACCCTATCACTCCAGATAAAAACAGCAGAATGTCCCTGAGTCACCCTTAGGTGGGGCAATGTTGGCTAATTTGTCACTATTCTGATGAAACTTTCCCTGCAGTCAAATCCCTACAGTCATAAACCTAGGAGGGGCCTTAGGAGCCATATAATCTCTTTCTTAGCTTCTCAACCATCACAAGCAGATAAGGAGATCAAGCCTTGGTACTAATTAAAGGATTTGAATAAGGAGAGTTAGAGTTAGTTTCCATTTCCAGCTCTGTTATTTGTTATTAGTTGACCAGTTAACCGTGGTCAAGTCTCTTAACCTTGGAAACACTAAAGTGGTGCTTTCTGAGTTAAATGAATTTAAAAACTTTTGACCTCCTATCCTTGTTTGGTAAACAGTGAAGGATATGGACACATGCTTTACAAAAGGCTTTGCTGTTTCTCCAGTGACAGAAATTTTCTAAATGACCATCTTCAGGCCTATCAGGCAGTTTGTAGACAAGGTTGGATACATCATACATCGTCCATCTTAGTGGTGTCCTCATAAAATGAAAGATTGAAACTCCAAAGGAAAGATAGATGGTGATGGCTTCAGACACAGACGTAGTTTATTGTGGTTACGTTTGAGGTAGATGGAAAATCCCATCTGACCAAAATTAATTTGGACAAATCCAGCCCCACCACTACAGACCCTCCTGCCCCCAAGATTTATCCGTTTGAATTAATGAGCAAACCCTTCCAAACAGGACCATCTCTGGGAATGTTAACTCATTGTAACCCTTCTAGTCCCTCATACCTTAGTGTGACATTGTTGAATGCAGGTAACAAGAACACCCTGACTGAGGTAAGCACTGAACTAACTGGGGAGCCCACACAAAAGCTCTGTTCTCCTCCCCAGGAGCATCTCAAGAAAGACCCTTATTATTCCAGGGAAGAGAGTGCAAGAGGAAGGGAAAAAAGAGATTGAAGAACAATGATGGAATCGAGTTATTTCACTATTTTCTAAAAACAAAGGTAGGATTATTAAGCTAGATAGAAAGAAACACTTCATAATTATATATTTATTTTTAGTTTCTCCTTCTCCTTTTTTTTTTTTTTTTTTTTTTTTTTGAGACAGAGTCTCACTTTGTAGCCCAGGCTGGAGTGTAGTGGTGTGATCTCAGCTCACTGCAACCTCTGCCTCCTGGGTTCAAGCAATTCTCCTGCTTCAGCCTCTCAAGGAGCTGGGATTACAGGCACCCGCCACCCCACCTGGCTAATTTTTGTATTTTTAGTAGAGACGGGGTTTCACCATCTTGGCCAGGCTGGTCTTGAACTCCTGACCTCAAGCGATCTGCCCACATCGGCCTCTCAAAGTGCTGGGATTACAGGCATGAGCCACAGTGCCTGGTCTCTTTTCCTTAGGAGACCTAAATCAGTGTTTTCTAAAGAAAATCTCTGAGTCTCAAGTGACCAAAAGTTTTGCTTTGACTGAAAATACTTAGAGAGAAAGGAATGGGCTGTATCCACTAAGAATAAGGACATTTGTTGTGACCCCTTTTGTGCAAATAGAATTGAAAATTTTTCCCTATTTTGAATGGAGAGTCTTTTACACGCTTTATTGAGATATAATTCACATACCATACAATGCAGCCATTTGAAGTATGCCTAGGCTAAATGCGGTGGCTCATGGCTGTGATCCTAGCACTTTGGGAGGCCGAGGTGGGCACATTGCTTGAGTCCAGGAGTTCAAGACCAGCCTGGGCAACAGGGTGAAACCCTGTCTCTAATAAAAATACAAAAAAAATTAGTCAGGCATGGATGTGTGTGCCTGTGGTCCCAGCTACTCAGGAATCTGAGGTGGGAGAATCACCTGGGAAGTCAAGGCTGCAGTGAGCCCAGATCATACCACTGCACTCCAGTCCCTGGATAACAGAGTGAGACCCTGTCTTAAAATAAAATAAAATAAAATAAAATAAAATAAAATAGTGTGTCACTATCTGGTTTAAAGAGTATTAAAAAATAAAAGATAAAGAAATAAAGTATGCCTCATTTTTGCTGGCTGTGGTGGCATGAGCCTGTGGTCCCAGCTGCTTGGGAGGCTGAGGCAGGAGGATCCCTTGAGCCCAGGAGTTCGAGTCCAGCCTGGGCAACATAGCAAGATTCCTGTCTCTAAAAATTTTGTGTAAAAGTTTAATAAAATGTACTTTGTTTTTGGTATATTACATTTTTAATTTTTAAAAATTGTGATAACAAAAATTACCATTTTAACTGTTTTTAAGTGTACATTGAATGGAGTTTTTAAATAATTTAATTTTTAAATTTAATTTACTTAATTTTAAATAATGTTTCACAGGGAGCTCTCTGACTTACCTATTGATTATAAGTATGAATCTGAAAAAAATTAATGTATTGAAATATAATAGGTCAACTGAAAAGACCACAGAAATGGACACTTGTAAACCAGCAGCAACTCATTAACTGGTCTTAGGAGGCTGTCAGCAGCCATGTGCCCTGTGACTCCAGACTCCCTCAGCATCATCTTCCCAGAAATACTGCTTCCAGGTCATTACCACAGAGTGATAACTTTTCAAAATAACTTTCCCTCAGGCAGGTTACCCAGCAAATTCTGAGTGTCAAGTACCTAGGAAGTAAAGTGCAATTAGAAGCAACAGAATGGAAGTTAGGAGCCAGGACAGGAAGGATCTAATCTATACTAAGATGGGTAGGAAGGGAGAGGTAGCAAAGTATTGTTCTCAGACGTTTGGCGCTTCCAGATGACCTAGCCAAGGATCAAGAAAGAGCTGCATTTCTTAAATTGTGGCTTGAAAATGGCACTGTTATTAGCAAATATTTCAAATAAAGGGGCTCTTGCTGTTTTAGGACTTGGAGGACTCCACCTCTCCATCACCTGAATCTCCATCTCCTTTCCACCGCCTGAAATGTATCTCAAGGCCCCTGGGCTTCTCTCGCACTTGACCCTTCTGGGAGGGGATCTGTCCCCCTCTCCTTTCTGTCCTGTTCTGCCAGGATATTAACATCATTACTTGGCTCTTTGTCATGTGTAGCAGTGGTATTGCTTTTTTTTTTTTTTCCTTAACTTTTTATGTAAATGCCTTGGTCACCTGATAGGATCATGGACCCATCAATAGAAGGTACCCCTTTTGCAGTTTCGGTACCCTCACAGTCCTTAGCAGGGTGCCATGCTTATAATACTTGAGTAGTTCTTAACTGGGAGTTTTTTTTTTTTTGAGATGGAGTCTTGCTCTGTCACCCAGGCTGGAGTGCAATGGTGCGATCTTGGCTCACTGCAACCTCCACCTCCCAGGTTCAAGCAATTCTCCTGCCTTAGCCTCCGGAGTATCTGGCATTCTGCCACTATGTCTGGCTAATTTTTGTATTTTTACTAGAGCCAGGTTTTCACCATGTTGGTCAGGCTGGTCTTGAACTCCCAACCTCAGGTGATCCGCCTACCTCGGCCTCCCAAAGTGCTTGGAATACAGGCGTGAGCCACTGCACCTGGCTGAGTTTTTTTTGACAGAATCTTGTTCTGTTGCCCAGGCTGGAGTGTAGTGGTGACATCTTGGCTCACTGCAACCTCTGTCTCCCAGGTTCAAGTGATTCTTGTGCCTCAGTCTCCTGAGTAGCTGGGTTTACAGGCATGCGCCATGACACCCAGTTAATTTTTGTATTTTTAGTAGAGATGGGGTTTCGCCATGTTGGCCAGGCTGGTCTCTAACTCTTGGCCTCAAGTGATCCACCGACCTCGGCCTCCCAAAGTGCTGGGATTGCAGGCATAAGCCACTGCGCCTGGCCAATATTTGAGTAGTTCTTAACCAGGAGTTTCTTTCTTTCCTTCTTTTCTTTCTTTCTTCCTTTTCTTTCTTCTTTTTTTGGGGGGGGACAGAGTCTTGCTCTGTTGCCCACGCTGGGGTACAGTGGTGACATCTCTGCTCACTGCAATCTCCATCTCCCAGGTTCAAGTGATTCTTATGCCTAAGCCTCCTGAGTAGCTAGGATTACAGGTGTGTGCCACCACACTCAACTAATTTTTGTATTTTTAGTAGAGACGGAGTTTCACTGTGTTGGCCAGGCTGGTCTTGGACTCCTGACCTCAAGTGATCTGCCCGCCTCAGCCTCCCAAAGTGCTGGGATTACAGGCGCGAGCCACCACGCCTGGCTTAACCAGGAGTTTTTCATCAAAATTATGTGGTGAGCTTTTAAAAAAACATTTGTGCCCAGTCTGCATCACAAGGACTCTGGCTTAGAATGTTGCAAAAGCTCTCCAGGTGATTCTGATGAGTGACGCTGGCTCAGAGCCGCTCTTTTACGTGGCTCTAATACTCAAGTCATTGAATGCCACTGAACAACCATTATCCAAGGCTTCCTTGGTTCAAGATTTCATAGTTGCGTAATTTTTATGTTTTATCCAAGTTGTTGGCTGAAAATAATAATAGCTAATAATTCCTGAGCACTTCCCAGGTGCAGTCTTAAGTGCTTAACATACACAATCTCTTGTAATTCCCACAACAAATCTAAGAGGAAGGTATCATTCTCTTATATAGTGAGAGAAATGGAGCTTTGAAAATATTGATAACTAGATTGCCCAATGTCATACAGTTGGTGAGTAGCAAAGTCAGGACTCCAACCCAGGCATCAGCCACCTGGTTAGCTGAGATGGTGAGCTACGAGGGCAGATTTGAAGTGAGCACCTCTAGTCATTCCACTTAAGCCCCTGCTGTGGGTCACTAACCTCAAGAGGTGTATTAATAAAGGTCTAAAGCAGACCAGCCCTGAAAGCCTGAATCCGGAGGAAGAGAGTGGCCTACTAACTATAACATAAGGTAGGCTCCAACAAGTTCCGTAATAAAACTGCCAACTCCGGGAGTGGTGGCTCACGCCTGTAATCCCAGCACTTTGGGAGGCCGAGGCGGGTGGATCACCTGAAGTCAGGAGTTCAAGACCACCCTGGGCAACATGGTAAAACCCCCTCTCTACTAAAAATACAAAAATTAGCTGGGCATGGTGGTGCGCGTCTGTAATCCCAGCTACTCAGGAGGCTGAGGCAGAAGAATTGCTTGAACCCGGGAGGCAGAGTTTGCAGGGAGCCGAGATCGCGCCACTGCACTGCAGCCTGGGTGACAGACCAAGACTGTCTCAAAAAAGAAAACAAACAAACAAAAAAAGAAACCCAAAAACACCAAAAAACTGCCAATAAAGCAAATTGGAAGAAATCTTTACAATTTAAACTTCTTAACAATTGGATGAATTTGTCTCAGATATAATGATATGCATTAGAAAACAGACTAGGGTAAAAGGATACACATTATGAAAATCTATCTTTTAAAAGAAAAGCTTATTTTGTAATTTCTGATGTTTCATACTGAGTAGCTGCTGAACTAGGAGGCCTTCAAGGTCTCCCATGGTAGCGTGGAGGAAACAAGGCTTATCCCATACCTCAGAGCAAATGACACTTGGCCTCCTAGTACTATTGTAGTTAGTTTGTTTACTCAGAACACTTGAAACCAAGTTAACATGGCCTAACTAAAGTGTGGTTCACTTAAGTGCTATGCATTTCTCTGTGAGAGATGTCAGTGACCGCTTTGCAAATTCTATCAGTTTCTTGACAAAATGGCAGGCATCTGTTAATGTGAACACAAGATGAGCCACATAACTCCAGAAAGGCAGAGGTGTTTGCAAAAGTAAAGCTTCAAGGAGTTTAACAAGCCTTAGGTTGCTTCATCTTTCACATCAGCAAAGTTCATAAGGCTCAAGAAAGATACTAACCCTTTTTAGGTCTCATGATCTGTATATATCTTTCCAAGCCACCCCCATCCCTTTTTTTGTTTAACATGGTTTTCCTCTATCTTCAAAAAGTGCTAAACCATAAATGGCATTTTAAAACTTGTTACTTGTGAAAATACTTTAAAAATTATTTTTGCTACTCAAAGTAAACTTAAAAAATGAATCTTTAAAATGTCATTTAAGATGGATTCAGGTAGCTGGGTGCAGTGGTTCACACCTGTAATCCCAGCACTTTGGGAGGCCGAGGCAGCAGGATCACTTGATGTCAGGAGTTCGAGATCACCCCGGCCAACATGGCAAAACCCCATCTCTACTAAAAATGCAAAAGAATTAGCCAGGCCTGGTAGTGCACACCTGTAATCCCAGCTACTTTAGAGGCTGAGGCAGGAGGATCACTTGAACCTGGGAGGGGGAGGCTGTAGTGAGCCAAAGTTGCCCAACTGTGCTCCAGCCTGGGCGACAGAGACTCTGTCTCAAAAAAAAAAAAAGAAAAAAAAGAAAAGAAAAGAAAAATGATATATTCAGAAGCCAGAAATGAAGAAGAAATATTCAGGATAGGTGATTATATATGAACTAAAAATGGTTAAATTAGCAGAACATTCATATCAACATTTCTCAAAATGTGGGCCTCAAACTATTTGTTTCAAAATTGCTTTAAAAAGAAAAACCTGGCCGGGCGCGGTAGCTCACGCCTGTAATCCCAGCACTTTGGGAGTCAGAGGCGGACAGATCACTTGAGGTCAGGAGTTCGAGACCAGCTGATCAACATGGTGAAACCTTATCTCTACTAAAAATACAAAAATTAGCCAGATGTGGTGGTGCATACCTGTAATCCTAGGTACTTGGGAGGCTAAGGCAGGACAGTCGCTTGAACCCAGGAGTCAGAAGTTGCAGTGAGCCAAGACCTTGCCACTGCACTCCGGCCTGGGCAACATAGTGAGCCTATCTCTAAATAATAAAATAAATAAATAAATAAATAAATAATAAAACCCCCCAAAACACCAACAAAGAACTTTACCCAAGACTCCCTGAACTCAACTCTCATGTTTTTAAGTAGCTTCCAATGATTCAGTAGTGTATTATAGATCTTTCTGTTGTCTTCTTATTATAAAAAATGTGCTGGGATATCTGAAGTTCTGGGTAGCCACACTTCCCCCATGGCTATTCTTTGACCACATCCGAGGCTCCTAATCTTTTGTGTGCCACCATGCCAACCAGAGCTGGTAAGCTTAGGAATCCCTTTTCACAGCAATGCTTGTAAATGCATGAATAAAACACATAGGATTACCAAAGAAACTATATTGAGATGCTTTTTTTTTTTTTTTTTTGAGACAGTCTCACTCTGTCACCCAGGCTGGAGTGTAGTGGCCCGATTGTGGCTCACTGCAATCTCTGCCTCCCGGGTTCAAGCGATTCTCCTGCCTCAGCATCCTGAGTAGCTGGGATTACAGGCGTGGGCCACCACGCCCGGCTAATTTTTGTATTTTAGTAGAGACAGGGTTTCATCATGTTGGTCAGGCTGGTCTCAAACTCCGGACGTTGTGATCTGCCCACCTCAGCCTCCCAAAGTGCTGAGATTACAGGCGTGAGCTACCATGCCCGGCCTAAGATGCATTTATCATAAAATGTAATGTACTAATATCTACCTTTTTGATGATGTATTACATAATAATAATAGTCATTAAATAATAATGACTACTAACATTCCAAAGAAGTGATGAGCGCCGGGCGTGGTGGCTCACGCCTGTAATCCCAGCACTCTGGGAGGCCGAGGCAGGTGGATCACGAGGTCAGGAGATCGAGAACATCCTGGCTAACATGGTGAAACCCCGTCTCTACTAAAAATACAAAAATTAGCCTGGTGTGGTGTTACGTGCCTGTAGTCCCAGCTACTCGGGAGGCTAAGGCAGGAGAATTGCTTGAACCCAGGAGGTGGAGGTTGCAACGAGCCAAGATTGCGCCACTGCACTCCAGCCTAGTGACAGAGCTAGACTCCGTCTCAAAACAAAACAAAACAAAACAAAAAAAAAGTGATGAGCACAAATGAGCATTATATCTTCAATAACTGATATATCTGTGATTTCTATTAATGAAATTATTTCTATTTCTGTCATTGATATTGCTGGTAACACTGGTTTATTACCTACATTCAAAATAGAAGGAAATGCTAAATGTTAGTTAGAGGTTAGTAGAAATAAAGATGTGGGGTTTTTTTCCCCTCATCTGAGTTCCCAAGCTCCCTGAATTCTAACCCCAGGTTAAGATTTTCATTCTAGAAAGTGGTAGATGGTACAGTCATGTGGAAACTTCTGTTGCTTCCTAGTTCAAATAGGTTACTCCTAAGAAACTTCTGTTAAATATAATATGTGGCAGGGCAGCAGACTCACAGAGGTGCTAATCTTACTTGCTCTGGAACTGTGTCAGGGGCCTGATTTCTTAGAGATAGTTTACCTCTCTGCCTTGCAGATGTGTGATGTCAGGCAGGTGTTGAATGAGAGATCTGTACACCTTTCAGGCAGCTTTTCCTCTTGAACCACTTGTTTTCAAGATCCCTGAGACATGGCTGGGTGAGGTGGCTCATGCCTGTAATCTCAACACTTTGGGAAGTCGAGGAGATAGCTTGCATTCAGGATTTTGAGACCAGCCTGGGCAACATGGCAAGATCCTGTTTCTATAAAAAAAAAAATTAAAAAAAAATTTTAACAATTATGATGGTGTGTGCCTGTAGTCCCAGTTACTCAGGAGGTCGAGACAGGAGAATCACTTGAGCCCAGGAATTCAAGGTTATAGGGGTTGGGGGTGGGGGGAACAATTTCACCCCTAATAGTGATCTTTCCAAACTCCTTTATATTATATGGTCTTAGACAATTGCTCACATTTCCTAAAGGTATAGAAATCAATTCAATTCTGAAATTTTTCTACAAGGAAGCAGCCAGAGTATTGATTTCCAAGGTGCTAAAAGGACATGGCCAGTCATTGGCAGCTCTTTGCAGTGACCAGACATACATATTCCTAACCCCACAAAGAGGTTAGAAAAATGTGACATTCTCTCTTGGGAAATCACAGAGCAGACAGGAGTCAGGAGCCATCACTGTTGAAGGCAAACTGAGAAAATCTTCCCTGTGACAAATCCAATTCCAGGTTGGTTTAGACTTGCTGCGCATGGGGAGAGGCAGAAGGGTAAAGAGTAGTTTTCCCATCCAAGGGAGAGTCGTGGTCCCACCTGACCCTCGCCCTTTCAGCCCCACCTTAAACATACACAGCCAAGCAATTCTCAGTTGTGGAGCCGACACTAGCTTTTACACGCTTACCCTGGATTTTAGCAGTTAAATTGCTGGGTGTTTTTATAGTGTGTTATTTACTCTACAGCACTTTGTCTGTGTATATTGCATATAAACCATCTACTTAGTTTTCCTGCCAACTTCAGTGTGAGATAATTAAAATTTAAAAAAAGAAAAAAAGAAACCAAATGCCAATGTCTGAATTCTCATCCATAAAACAAAAAGGAAAAAAAAACCCCACACAACCGATTGTATAAACTAAAACATGTTCTATCTGGTGTAGAACATTTCTTCTTTTTTTTTTTTTAAAGAAAAGGTCTTGCTCTGTCACCCAGGCTAGAGTGTGGTGGCACCATCATGGCTCACTGTAGCCTTGACCTCCCTGGGATGTAGTGATCCTCCCATCTCAGCCCCCCACTCCAGCTGAGACTACAGGTGTGAGCCACCATGCCCAACTAATTTTTTTATTTTTTGTAGAGATGGGGTCTCCCTATGTTGCCCAGTCTAAACATTTCTAAAATAGCTTTTGAAACAAAATCAGAACAATAAAATATATTTTAATTACCAAGGAATTTTGCACAATTGATGGAACATAACTGCATAAAATCTTATGGTCATTTGATTTCATTGATGTTTCTTATTTATTTACCATATTACGTTACACCACAATCTATGAACTTGAACAATTAACTGTGATGTAAGATTGCATTATAGTACAATTAGGTAAAAAGAAGTTTTAAATGTATTTGACTGGTGAATTTTCAACTTTTAAATTTTTACCATAAAATCTGTGTAAAACTCTTGTGTCGAGCATTCCATATTTCCCCCACCCCTCCTACAATAAGATCATGTCACTCTTCTACCTGACATGCTTCTTTAAATTACTTCTTTTTCCAAGTTGCATTCCATGAGTTTGTTTTCATTTAAGCTCTGCACAATCTATAATCTGGCTTGATCTATTTTATTTCTTAGTTTTTTTCCTCATGTCTGCTTTTGGGAATTTTTTCCTTTTTATATATTATTTTCTTCACAGTTTATTTTTATATTACTTCTATAAAAGATAGCTATAATTTGTATGTCCCATAGTCTCTTTTTCAGATCTTTCCAATGCTCATCCCCTCAACAGTTTTCTGCAGCTCTGCTCTGCTTGCTAGGCATTCTAGCTTTTGTCTGGCCTAGACTGTGTAAGCTCCTCAGGGCAGCGTTCTTGTCGCTTGGTGCTTTGTAATGTGTTCTAGGTACTTCTTACCAGATTTTGAATAATCATAACATGCAAACTGGTATAATCAGATTGTGAATGATAGTATATCCTGCAGATAACATTCTATAGCTAGGTTAGGGCGTGGTCACGTAGCACCGATGGCCTGAGGTAGAGAAAATAACTAAGCATAGGGAAAGTTAGAAATAAGTTTATTTGGCCAGGTGCAGTGGCTCACGCCTATAATCCTAGCACTTGGGAGGCCAAGGTGGGCAGATTGCCTGAGCTTAGGAGTTTGAAAGCAGCCTGGGCAAATGGCAAAACCCTGTCTCTACTAAAAATACAAAAAACTATCTTGGCATGATGGCACGTACCTGTAATCCCAGCTACTGGGGAGGCTGAGGCAGGAGAATCGCTTGAACCCAGGAGGTGGAGGTTGCAGTGAGCCAAGATGGTGCCACTTCACTCCCGTTTGGGTGACAGAGTAAGACTCTGTCTCAACCAACAACAAAACAAAAAAAAAAAAAAGAAAAGAAAAGAAAGAAGTTTATTAAAAGAAAGAAGTTTATTAAAAGGGTATAGGAACTCAAACCTCTTGCCATGGGCCTATTAGTGCCAAAGAGAAGTTTCAGGCAAACTCTTGAGCCCTGGAGAAGATTTAACACTGTCAAAGGTGTGCAGTATAAGCTAAACAAACAAAAAATAAATAAGAAAGCCTCTTTCTGCTCATCTGGGCCTTGCTGGAAACCGTAAAAGAAAAACTATTCCGCCTGGCGTGGTGGCTCATGTCTGTAATCCCAGTACTTTGGGAGGCTGATGCGGGTGGATTACCTGAGGTCGGGAGTTCAAGACCAGACTGACCAACATGGAGAGACCCAGTATCTACCAAAAATACAAAATTAGCCTGGTGTGGTGGTGCATGCCTGTAATCCCAGCTACTGAGGAGGCTGAGGCAGGAGAATTGCTTGAACCAGGAGGCAGAAGTTGTGGTGAGCCCAGATAGCGCCATTGCCCTTATGGGCAATAAGAGCGAAACTCTGTCTTAAAAACCAAAAACAAAACAAAACAAAAAAACAATGAAACAACAACAACAAAAAGAAAACTATTCCTTGGGTACAGAAAGTCAACGAATGTTGAAAAACACAGTGGTAATACACTGCCCCACTTGGAAACTGATCTGACTATTCTGTGGTCCAAATGAACTTCTTTCTTGTCTCTTTACAGTTATGGCTATAATCGCCATGTCTACTAAGATCATGGAACGTGACCAGTTAGAATCAGAAATTTGGAGACATTCCTCTTATCTAGTGTCAGGTCATTTCTGGTCACTTCCTCACAGACTTTATTAAGTCTAGTGAACAGCTATCCCCCAAATCCTTATTAGGTATCTGGGGATCAATATTTATAAATATCCAAAGAAGCCATCTTCATTCCCCCTCAAAAAAACTAAGTAAGGTGAATGAATACAAAATAGTCAAAATTTTAGAAAAATAAAGGGAAGAAATTTAAAAATTAATAATGTTTATGGGAGGAAAAAAAGCTCTCCCATGGAGGTTGCTTATGGGACTCAAGGGACCTGTGGCTTCTGGGAAGCCACTTTCTCTGTGCTGTTGCTGCAGCCACTCCCTGTGGAGTGTGGATCTATATCAAATCCCCATGGCTCTGAGGGAGCCCTGAGGTTAAAAGAGCTATTCCTGCACTGGGGCTCTGATGCCAGGCAAAGCTATGTGCTCATTGTTCGGCTGTGAAGGGCTCCTGAATTTCAGTCTCTCCTGGGGGTTTCATGCTCACAAGGAATTAAAGGGGTGACATCACAGGGTCTGGAGGGGCTGTTACCTGGGCTGACTTGGGCGCAGAAGTTAGCGACCCCTCTCAGAACAATGTGAACTCAGTGGGAGGGTGTTTGCAGCTCTGCCAAGGTGTGGAGAAGATGCCTTTCTGGAGGAAGTAAAGGTGGCAAAATGAAGGATGTTAACTTTTTCAGCTTTCCTGGCAAGCTTTCTGAGGTGACAGGGTTAGATGAGATTCATCAGGCCTGTCTGGCAAATCTCCATGATGCTAGCTCATGAAGGGCTTTGGTCCACTTTTCAATATAGCCTAAAATAAAATAACATAAAATAAAAACAATGGCCAGAACTCTGGGAAAATGTTATACTTTTTGGTGGTTCAGGAAAAGGTGGGAAGCTAGCTTTAATATCTTTCAGGACAAAATGAGTGTGTTTCAGTACAAACATTAAACTAAGGATTAAAACCAAGGAAATACTGATTTAATATCTTTCCTATTTATTGTCTTTATGTGAATCCTACCTTTTTTTTTTTTTTTTTTTTTTAGGAGTCTTGCTGTCACCGAGGCTGGAGTGCAGTGGTGCAATCTTGGCTCACTGCAATCTCTGCCTCCCTGGTTCAAGCAATTCTCCTGCCTCAGCTTCTCAAGTGGCTGGGATTACAATTACAGGCATGTGCCACCAAGCCTGGCTAATTTTTGTATTTTTAGTAGAGAAGGGGTTTTGCCATACTGGCCAGACTGGTCTCAAACTCCTGGCCTCAAGTGATCTGCCTGTCTCGGCCTCCCAAAGTGCTGGGATTACAGGTGTGAGTCACTGCACCCGGCTTTACCTATTGTTTAAAAAAGTCTCCATAACAAACTATAGAAATGATCCCTGAGTTAATGGGTGCAGCACACCAACATGGCACATGTATACATATGTAACAAACCTGCAGGTTGTGCACATGTACCCTAGAACTTAAAGTATAATAAAATATATATATATATGTATATATATACATATAAAATGCATCTATGACCCTAAACTAAAAAATAAATAAATAAAAAATAAAAAGGTCTCTATAAAAAAAATAAGAAGGTCCTTAATAAACTAATCAGTGAATTCATGCTTTTAAAACATTGCTTGGGATTAGTAATTCTGTCATTGTTTCTGACTGAGTGATATATATGATAAGGAGAACATCAAGAGTGTCAGAAAAACAGAACAGTTTTCTCTCATTATAGTCTTTATCCTCTCATATCAAATATTGCTAGTTTAAAATTTTTTTCTTGGCGGTTTTATATTATTGTTTGTTACATACTGTAATTTATTTCTTGTAAAACAAACCACAAAATGCATGACTAAGTTGCTACTACTTTATGTCTTTGAAGTGAAGTCTAAGCAATTGTATTTTAAAGTTCTAAAACATAAGTATTAAAATTGAGATTAAAGCCACTGATCTCAAGTGACCTTAGGTTTGAAGTGTTGAAGTGATACTTATGTGCAGGATTGTCACCTGTGAGCTAAAGTACATGTAGATGTTTATGTATACTGTATAAATGTACATATACATATACATACACATGCAGTACCATACATTTTCTTCTTTATCTACTTAATTTTTTTTTTGTTTTTTGAGGCAAGATCTCACTCTGTTGCCCATTCTTGATGTTCTCCTTATCACATATATCACTGAGTCAGAAACAATGATAGAGTTACTAATCCCATGTAATGTTTCAGAGCATGAATTCACTGGTTAGTTTATTAAGGATCTTCTTCTTTTTTTTTTTTTTATACAGACCTTTTTAAATTATAGCTAAGGCTGGGTGCAGTGACTTGCACCTGTAATCCCAGCACTTTGGGAGGCCAAGTAGGCAGATCACTTGAGGCTGTAGTGCAGTGGTATGATCTCGGCCCACTGCAACCTCTGCCTCCCAGGTTCAAGTGATCCTCCTGCCTCAGCCTCCCAAGTAGCTGGGACCACAGGTGCGTGCCACAACACCCGGCTAATTTTTGTATTTTTTTTTTTTTTTTTGTAGAGATAGGATTTTTTCATGTTTCCTAGGCTGGTCTCAAACTCCTGGGCTCAAGCAATTCTCCTGCCTCTGCATCCTAAATTGCTGGGATTACAGATGTGAGCCACCGTGCCGGCCCTCCATTTTTCTTAATTCTCTCCATACACATGTTGTGAACCTGACCACATGTTCCTTTCTTGGGATTCCATGGAATATAAAATGTGTAAGAATTGAGGAGGAAGATTTTTGGTCTTACATTTGATGATGGATCCTTGGGGAAAACCCAGTACTTTTGATATATCTGGAGTCCCTCAGTTGTACAGAACCAGCAAAATTCCCAGATTACCTTTAAAATTAATGTTAAGATTTTTTTTTCCCCTCTCAACTCAGCTTTTCCTAACTTGGGGAAGAACTGAGAAGAGAAGGCTTATGTCAAGATCTTACCTAGGGGTCAAGATGCCATAAATCTATGCTTCCCCAGGCCTACTCCAGTAGGAAGCCTGCTTTGACTAGGTTCACCCCTTGGAAATAACTTGTTCTTTTTCATCCCCTCAGCACATATAAACAGTTTCAACTTGGATTTGGCTTTTTCGACATAGTCATTTCTTAACCATCATGATATGGTTTTGTCTCCACGACTCCCCTAAAATTGTTATTTTCATGGTTACAATCATCCATTTTCTTGTCAGTAAATCCAATAAACATCTGTCAGTCAATATCTTGTCTGTCCACAAGTCACCAGTATTGTTGATCACTCACTCAATCCTCTTGTCTCCTGTTTAACATTCAGTGTTTTTCACCTCTTATCCCCATGGATTTTCCTTTTTCTTCAACCCTTCTATGTAAAGCGGCCTCCCAAACCTGCTCTATATTCAAAATTTGCTATCGTAATTAGCGACAGGCCCCATCTGCCCAGGAGGTATGATGTTATTGCCTGAAAGATAAGGTAATTAGACATAGCTACCTCTAAACCCTGTCTTTGCCATTTTGAGTGCTCTTGTAAAAATGACTTCTCTGACTGTAAGCTTCTTCATCTACAGTTGAAGTAATAACAACTATGTCATGGGTTTATTATAAAGATTAAAAAATTTCATGAATATATACAATGAGCATAATGCCCAGTGCGTAGGATGTATTTAATAAGTGTTGGGTTCCTTTGTCTTAATTTTTTCCCAGTTGCTTCATCCTAGTTGGAGTCATCCTAGGCTCTTCTCTAACTACTGCTGAACTCATTGAGTCTCACGAAGTGTTCACAAAGTGCTGCTGATTCAACTTTCCAAAATGTTCTAAATGTCATGATATACCAATTCTCATGGTCTCATTATTCATTGACTGGATCATTGCCACCATTTTCCTGGTCTGGTTAAATAAGCCCCTACAGCCAGGCACGGTGGCTCACGCCTGTAATCCCAGCACTTTGGGAGGCCGAGGCAGGTGGATCACCTGAGGTCGGGAGTTCGAGACCAGCCTGACCAACATGGAGAAACCTTGTCTCTACTAAAAATACAAAATCAGCTGGGCATGGTGGTGCATGCCTGTAATCCCAGCTACTCGGGAGGCTGAAGCAGGAGAATCGCTTGAACCTGGGAGGCGGAGGTTGCGGTGAGCCGAGATCGCGCCAATGCACTCCATCCTGGGCAAGAAGAGCAAAACTCCATCTCAAAAAACAAATGAATAAATAAAATAAAATAACCCCCTACAATGCAGCTAAAATAAAGTTTAAAAAATGCAAATTTGGGCCAAGCGTGGTGGCTCATGCCCATAAACCCAGCACCTCGGGAGGCCAAGGTGGGCGAATCAACTGATGTTGGGAGTTCAAGACCAGCCTGACCTACATGGAGAAACCCCGTCTCTACTGAAAATACAAAATTAGCCAGGCATGATGGTGCATGCCTGTAGTCCCAACTAGTTGGAAGGCTGCGGCAGAAGAATCGCTTGAACCCAGAAGGCAGAGGTTGCGGTGAGCCGAGGTCACGCCACTGCACTCCAGCCTGGGCAAGAAGAGCAAAACTCCATCTCAAAAAAAAAAAAAAAAAAAGCAAATTTGATTTTTTTTTTTTTTTGAGACAGAGTCTCGCTCTGTCGCCCAGGCTGGAGTGCAGTGGTGCAATCTCTGCTCACTGCAAGCTCACCCCATTCTCCTGCCTCAGCCTCCCCAGTAGCTGGGACGACAGGCGCCCGCCACCATGCCCGGCTCATTTTTTGTATTTTTAGTAGAGACGGCGTTTCACCGTGTTAGCCAGGATGGTCTCGATCTCCTGACCTCATGATCCGCCCGCCTCGGCCTCCCAAAGTGCTGGGATTACAGGCATGAGCCACCGTGCCCGGCGCAAATTTGATTTTGACTGAACCCAGTCTAGACACTTCAGTGGCTCCCTGCAGAAGTCACAGTCAAGAATGTCTCCATAGCATGGTGGATGGAATACTTCCTGTCTGGGTTCTACACTGTGTCTTCAGACTTAAATCCTGCTACTCTCTACCGCTAATCATACCTGGATTTTCTTGAAAGACCCTTACTCTATATACCTTACCTCATATGGTTCTCATGCCTTAAACTCTTCTTTCCATTCCCCTCTTCTGATTTAATTGCTTAACCCCTGGACTTCCTTCAATGTCAGCTCAGGCTTTGTCTCCTCCAGGGAGGTTTCCTGATGAGCCAGCCTGGTTTAAATGCCCCTCCTTATTCTGTGCTTCCCATCACTATGTGCGTATTGTGCTGGTAACATGGATTACATAATTTTTTTTTGCATTAATGATCTAGCTTTCCCACTAGACTGGAAGCCCCTTGGGACCATGTTATATCCAGAAGATATAACATGTATTTTATTTATACTATCTCTCAATGCATGTATGTTGAAGGAATGGAATGTTAAATAATTCATTAGAATGAAATGGATAATGTTCAAGAGCTATGATTAACAACAGAAGGAAAACCCAAATGTATTGAGATCAAAGTAATTGTTTCATCTGAGTGATGTTTTGTCTTAGCTGAGATACTACTTCTTTTTTCCTTCTTTTCTTTCTTTCATTAAATCTTTGTTTCAAATCCTTTTTTTCTATCATATTAAAAGGAAGCTTCTAGACAAAGGCCTTCTTTGGGTGGTTACTGGCCTCACCCGGACAAGTTCCCACCTTATCTTTCATATTCCTTTTGTAGTATAGACAAATAAAACAGATGGAGAACAATGTTGTGAGCCAAAGAACACAGTGCAGTTGGAAATACTTGCCTCATGTAGCCAGAGCTGTGTTTATTGTTTTCCTAGATAACAGATGTGAACGCACTACAGAATGGAAGATAGGGTCCCCTGAACACACTGCCCTCTTTCTCACATCCACACCTTTGGTCCTGCTGAGACCTCTGTATGGACTACCCTTCCCCTTTCTCTGCTTTGTGAGTGCCTCTTCATTTTTAAAATTTTCACTCCTCTAGGAAACCCTTTTTTATTGGCCCCCACAAAGGAAGTTGCTTTCTCTTTTGAGGAGCACACTTTGGATATAACTCACAGAGGTACTCACCACCCTGCATGATAGCGTTTCTTTGCTGTCTCATTAGGTTGTGAACTCAATAGCCTGTGATTATTTCACAACTGAATTCTCAGCACTAAGTTCAAGTTAAACCTGGCACACGTAGTTATTCAAATTTTTGTTGAATAAATATTGAATAAATGTGAAGATTTGCCCCTAGTCTGGGATAATGTAATATTTGTAATCATTGAGTCAGATGATAATGTCCTAAGCAGATCAATTTGGTAACATTAAGAAAAATGGTAGGCCGGGCGCGGTGGCTCACATCTGTAATCTCAGCACTTTGGGAGGCTGAGGTGGGCAGATCACAAGGTCGGGAGTTCGAGATTAGCCTGGCCAACACGGTGAAACCCTGTCTCTACCAAAAATACAAAAATTAGCAGACTTGGTGGCTCACGCCTGTAATCCTAGCTACTCAGGAGGCTGAGGCAGGAGAATTGCTTGAACCCAGGAGGTAGAGGTTGCAGTGAGCTGAGATTGCACCACTGCACTCCAGCCTGGGGGATAGAATGAGACTCCATCTCAGGAAAAAAAGAAAAGAAAAGAGAAGAGAAGAGAAGAAAAGAGAAAAGAAAAGAAAAGAAAAGAAAGGAAAAATGGCTATGGCTGGGTGTGGTGTCTCATGCCTGTAATCCCACACTTTGGGAGGCCAAGGTGGGCGGATCACTTGAGGACAGGAAACACACACACATCTATACATAGTTTGTTTTTCATAATTTCAACTTTTATTTTAGATTCAAGGGGTACATGTCAGGTTTGTTACATGAGTGTATTGTGTGACACTGAGGTTTGGGGTATGAATGACCTTGTCACCCAGTTAGTGAGAGTAGCACCCAATAGGTAGTGTCTTCAGCCCATGCTGGCCTCCCATTCTCCCCCATGTAAGACACTCTCCCCAGTGTCTATTGTTCATGTCTTTATGTTCATGTGTACACCCCTGCCCCCCTTTTTTTTGGAGATAGGGTCTCTCTATGTTGCTTAGGCCAGTTTCAAACTCTTGGGTTCAAGGAATTCTCCCATCTTAGCCTCCCGAGTAGCTGGAACTAGGGGCATGTGACACTGCACCTGACATCCAAAGTGTATTGAATAGAATTGTTTAAAAGTCCGGATAAGCCAGATAAGCACTTGGATTGAAATGTGTTAGCTCTATGGAACAGGTTGGAGGTATGGAATGGTATACTCGCTGAGGATGGGACCTTTGGAATCAATACTACTGTATTCAAATTCTATAATAGTTTTGTCACTTAGTGAGATTTGAATCTCTCTTGCCTACTTCTATAATCTGTAAAATGAGTACAATAATGCCTGCCACACAGTTAATTAAAAAATCAGAATATGGGCCAGGGGCGGTGGCTCACGCCTGTAATCCCAGAACTTTGGGAGGTCGAGGCAGGCAGATCAGGAGGTCAGGAGTTTGAGACCAGCCTGGCCAATATGGTGAAACCCCATCTCTACTAAAAATACAAAAATTAGCTGGGCATGGTGGTGCGCACCTGTAGTCCCAGCTACTCAGGAGGCTGAGGCAGAAGAATCGCTTGAACCCGGGAGGCAGAGGTTGCAGTGAGCCGAGATCACACCACTGCACTCCAGCCTGGGTAACAGAGCGAGACTCCGTTCCACCCCCTCCCCACCTAAAAAAATCAGAATATGTCAACAAAACTCTCTGCAGATATTAAACAATAAATAAATAGTTTCCATTATTAGTAGGCCATGTGTTTCTGAAGTTCATCTTTGTTATAATACTGTAGTGTGATTTCGGTCTGAATGTTTTGTTTTGTAATTTTCCCTAGTGTATCCCTGGTTTGTAGGTGCTGAGATCTGACCTTATCCTCTCTGACATGGAGCCCCACAGGGGCCATTTAAAATGAGAATACAATTGATATTTTAAAATCCAGGCTTTTTCACTATCTTCTTCCCTTTTAATCCACTTCTTTCCCTGCTTTCTTCCTATTGCAAGACTTTTATCATAATATTTGAAGTTGAGGACAGGAGAGTGAATAGATGACCACGTGTTCATATCCAAACTTTGTTCCAGATATTGGATTAGGCTTGTGTCCTAGGAGCTTTAACAGGAGAATCTCTGGTGTGAAAGTTGTCAGAATCAAAATAGAGTCACTTGTGTTAAAAATAACTGACAAATACAACTGGAGAAGCCCATGAAGACAGAGTTCTCATGCATAAATGCTTGACAACAAAAACTATCACAAAAGACTGCAAAAAACACAACACTGCACAAAAGCCATTACAACCTTACATACACACACAAATATTTCTGTGTGAGGACATCTGCTCAGCAACTGCCTGTCCAACCTTGGACTAGTGTCACCTTTGTTATTGATTCTTGTAGCCAAGGATAATTATCTCAAAAGCAATTATGTAACCCTCTTCATTTTTCCTTTACAAACCTTTGTCTTCCATTACCTCCCTAATATACACATAGCTGACTATGGTGCACACATTCCCATTGAAAGGCCCTATTCCTAAATACTTTTGTGTGTGTGTATACATATATACATACATACATACATATATATATAATATATGTATATTTATTTAGAATTCCTCTCTGTTATTTATATTGACAATGGCATAGTATTTAGAGAAGAAGTTGATATAGAAAACTAGGTAGACAGTTGAACCAGAATATCAATTCAAAGGCAATCGGCATAGGAGCAGAATTATCTGAAGTAACATGATAAAAACTGGGAAAGGCAGAGCTGAGAAATAAGGTTAAAGGAGAACAGAATTGTGTGTCTGGAGAGATTCTCTAATCCATGGGTCAAAATCACAGGAAGGTAGCATGGAATAGTGGAAAGGGCAGAGGCTTTGAGACCAAACAGGGTGTATGATCCTGAAGCAACCAGTCTCACCCTTTTGAACCCCATTTGCTACATCTATAAAATGAGGACACTAGTGATCACCTTATTGGTTTGTTCTGATGGTTGAGGAGGAAAATGTGCCTAAAGCATCCAGTGCTTCCCAAGTACCCAACCTTCAACTTTGACTGTGGGAAAGGAGGGAACCATTAGGTAGCTAAACCCAACAGAGCTCAGGGTGAAAGCAGGCTTTTCATCTGCATAGTCTCTGGTCATTTCTTTTGACTCATGTTTGTTTTCAAGAGATAAAATGAAAAATCAGATGAAGCATTGTCAATGTTTTTTTTAATTTCTTTTTTTTCTTTTTATTATTATTATACTTTAAGTTTTAGGATACATGTGCACAACGTGTAGGTTTGTTACATATGTATACATATGCCATGTTGGTGTGCTGCATTGTTAATGTTTAAGACAAAAGGTGTCAACGAGTTTAGAATTTGCATTTGTTAATAACCACTAAGAGAAGAATTGGTTCTGATTGGGTGCTGCAGATCTCATTCTCTGATCCAATTCCTGGTTCTAATTGAGGTCAGAAAAATGGCAACTATGGGGCTGTAGAGAAAACATTGCCTCGGGATACACCTGCTCTTTCCTTAGAGGCCTTGTGTCCACTTTTTCTGATGCAGTGAGAAACTCTAGTTTGTCTATTTTGAAGAAACCACAAAGTTTGCAATACTCACATTCCCTTCATGTGCAGGAATGACCACAGACACTTAGTCATGAGTATTTAATCAAAGCACACGGAACACATGTTGAGAATACGGTTGAGTAATTTGGATATATAAATAATTGGCAATACTTGTATAAAATAGCATTATATGAATGATAATGTAAAATTCAGTTGTTACTGATTTTATTTAATGGCGTATATCTCCTTTCTTGGAAATAAATTCAATTTGCTTCAACCTAATTGAGGACACTTCATTGCTGTGCTTAATTCTTGACTTACTTTAGTACTCAGCTAGGTGCATGCTGAAAAAGGCAAAATAAAACTGATAATAAACAGTAACTGCACTGTCTATACATGTGCATAAAGCAGAAATGTCTTACTGCTTTTTCATTAGTCACTCATCTTTTTAACTGTAGGAAATACTGAGGACTACATGTAGAAAGAGGAAGTAGATATTGATAACTCAGAAATGATCCCAATTCTTGAGAAACAAATGTTTGCTTGCTTGTTTCTTGCTTGTATTTTTAGAGGCATTTGCCAGACTATTAACTGGGGTCTTTATAGGAAGGGTTTCATATGAGAGAAACAATAAAATGGGAACAGTTAATGATCAAAATTCAGCAGAGTTCTTTTAATTTATTCTTTTTCATTGAGTCCTACAGAAGGCATGATAGTGAATCAAGGGAAAAATATTTTTAAAATGTGTTCCTCACACCTTTTCCTTAACAAATGGTTGTTTTGGCTATTTTTGCACCTTGACTTTCTTCCCACTCTGCTCTAGTTTCATATGTTTGAGTACTGAAAATCTGTCTGCTTTTTATTGTCTTTCTAGCATGATATAACTCTTCTAAGTCAACATTGTTTTTATCTGAAATAATTTACTTACATAAAAAAATATTTGAGGTAGTTATTAGAATAAACTGCTTTAACCCAATTGTAGAGAGAACCTTAGACTATGAGTCTAAACATCTGTGCTGGAGTTTTGACTCAGCCTCTCATTCTGTGATCTTGGGAAACTGAGTTGTCCTCTTTGAACCTCAGGTTTCATATCCATAAAATAAGATGATGACACTTCATAATGATGATGAGGACTAAATGAGATAATGCACAAAAGCAGAACTGCTTGCAAATCCAATTGTAAAGGTTTTAGATTTTTTTCCTTCCAGAGTGCAGGGATAGTCTCAATAATCTTTTCAATCCTCAGCATGTAGCAGTGAGCAGGTCCACAGTAGGCCCACAAAAATCTGTGTTGAAGGAGTTACTGATATTTTCACAGGGGCTTGTGTTTATTTAAAGGCTTCCTAACCCATCTGTGAGCTCCTTAGGGCCCAAGGTTGAACTTGGATATTCCTTCCAAATCCTGACTCTGTGCCTGGCATATAGACAACAGTTGCCTCCTAAGAATTCCAGAATGAGCTGGGCGTGGTGACTCATGCCTGTAATCCCAGCACTTTGGGAGGCCGAGGCAGGCAGATCACGGGGTCAGGAGTTCGAGACCAGTCTGGCCAACATAGTGAAACCCTATCTCTATTAAAAATTAGCCTGGTGTGGTGGTGTGCGCCTTTAATCCCAGCTACTCAGGAGGCTAAGGCAGGAGAATCACGTGAACCTGGGAGGCAGAGGTTGCAGTGAGCCGAGATTGCGCCATTGCACTCCAGGCCGGCGACAGTGTGAGACTCCATCTAAAAAAAAAATAAAAATAAAAAAAAATTTCCAGAATGAAAAATTGTGGCCCATGTTGGCAGCATGCTCTGCTTCTGAGGGAAGTAAAAAAATCTGCTTTATCATATATATTTGGGAATTCTTGTTTGTAGCTTGGTCAGTGAAGAGAGAGGTCTTTAAACTTCTTTAATGACATGGAAACCTAGACAAGCATTCATAATAAAAGAATCATGCATAACGTTGGGAATCATAAATACTCCCAAAGAGATCACAGATGTTCTTCAATAAATTTATAAAACTGTGTCCAGAATAAAACCATATTCTCTAACAGCAGTAATTAGAATTATTAAACACAAACAAAAAAAACAAATAATTGGAAGAGATCATTGATTGTGGATAAACACACTAGTGGCATTTGCCTAGCTGCGTTTTCCACAGTTTTGTAAAAGACATATGAGCCAGGGTCATGGCACAGGAGAAAACTGTGCTGTATTCTTAAACCAAGCCCTGCAGAGGTCACCTAATTAGTTTCTCTGTTGATCTAAAGTCCAGAGCAAGGGGCTAGAGATGCAGATTCTAATTCTTTTTCTGCCAGCAATTTATAAAGTGAAAAAAAGCAAGTCATTAACCCCTGTAGTTTCCCAAACTCTAAATGGGTATTACAATGTTTGCCATATGTATCTCTCAGGGTGGCTGTAAGAATTAAATGAGGAGGAAATATATGAAAGTATTTGGAAAACTAACATAAAACTCTCTTTACCCAGACATTTTGCAATGACTCTGGATACAGCTATTGCCATTTACAAGCTGCTATGTATTCTTTCATAATCTTCGGTTAGGACATTCCAACAACTGACATGCCTTCAACTTCAGTTGCTGCGTTTTCTTCCTTAATAACCACATTGTTTCAGTGGTAAAAGTCTGTTATGAAAACCACCTCTTTATCTTCTTGTGAAAGTTGGAGCTTGGCTGTTGAAAACCATGGTAATAATGTTTATTTTTTATTTATTTATTTTTATTTTTATTTTTTTTTGAGACGGAGTCTTGCAAGGCCCACAGAAATCTGTGTTGAAGGGATTAGGCTGTCACCAGGCTGGAGTGCAGGGGCATGATCTCGGCTCAGTGCAACCTCTGCCTCCTGGGTTCAAGCGAATCTCCTGCCTCAGCCTCCAGAGTAGCTGTGACTACAGGCGCATGCCACCACGCCCAGCTAATTTTTGTATTTTTAGTAGAGACGGGGTTTCACCATGTTGGCCAGGATGGTTTTGATCTCTTGACCTCATGATCTGCCCGCCTTAGCCTCCTGAAGTGCTGGGATTACAGGTGTGAACCACCGTGCCCAGCCTTTTTTTTTTTTTTTTGTAGCCCTTATTTAAAGTTTTCATTCTCCTAGTAAAGAAAGCATCTGTCTTGTTCATTACTTTTTTCTTATCTTCTATCACAGGGCTGCTCACATAACACATACCTAGTCAATAGTTCTTAAATAAATGAATGAACAAACTCTATATTGTTAAGTGATTTTTCCAAAGGAGTTTAGTATTTGGAAGTTTCTTTGAAACTGCAAGTTTCTTTGGAAAGTCAACAATTTAGAAGAAAAATGTTTTAGAGGATGTAATCCAGTCATGAGAGAAATACTCAAACTAGTAGGTTAAGAACATACACATGAATTGCTGATTTGACAGATACCACCTGAACTGACATTGCTGGTGGCTCTGTTGTAGACAGGCCAACAAGGCCTGGAGTTGAAACTGAGATCAGATGGCACAATGGCTCATAAGTGAAGTTTTTTGGGTTCATGAGAGCTCACTAAATTTACTGTTTTTTTTTTTTTTTCCTCTTTTACTTTTTCCTTTCTAGTGAATGACATTTTCACAAGATTTTAAGAAATGTGGTTGTATGTTAAGTGGTGGCCTCCCAAAGTGCTGGGATTACAGGCATGAGTCACCACGCCCAGCTCATTCTGGAATTCTTAGGAGGCAACTGTTGTCTATATGCCAGGCACAGAGTCAGGATTTGGAAGGAATATCCAAGTTCAACCTTGGGCCCTAAGGAGCTCACAATGGGTTAGGAAGCCTTTAAATAAACACAAGCACCTGTGAAAATATCAGTAACTCCTTTTGATGTATGAGTCTTCATTTATTTAACAATATTTGAGTGCCTCATGAATCACGAGTCAGGCTACATATTCATGGTCAAAGGTGACTGAGACATGCTTTCTGTCTTTGTTGTTTTATTGTAAACATGTGATGCAGATAAATAAATAGACAAAAAAAAACCCTTCGTGACAAGGACAATGGGGACACATAATAGGGTCCTCTTATGGAGACTAGGATAAGAGAGAGTGTCAAAATAGGCCTTCTAGAGGAGATAATGTCTAAGCAGAAAATGGAGAAAAAAGATTGCCAAGTGTCATGAAAAGTGAACAGTGAGGCTGGTTCATGAAGGGGTGTTGGGGTGGGTGGGGTAAGAATTATTCCTGTAAGAGTCACCTGGGCTAGGTCACACACTGCCTTGAAAGCAGTATCGCATTTCATTGGACTGGATTTCATTGGACAGCCAATAGCAAGCCTTTGTAGGAATTTAAGCAGGGGAGTGACACAATCAGATTTGGCTCCTTAAAGATTCTCTTGACAGGCAATATAGATAATGGATTAGAGGGTGAGACTAAAGAGAAGGCTGTTATAGTTATCTAGGAAGAAATGATGATGTTTGGAAATGGAGTATTGGCAGTGTTGACAAAGAGAAGCGTAGGAATCTCAAAGATCTCAAGGGGTGGAATCTAAGGCTAGCCACAAATCCAGGCAAGGATCATGGCTGTAGCTGTAAGTACAGTGCAAGAAGGACCCTGGGATTAGGGTCTATGAGACAATACATACTAGCAAAAAGTAGGCTGGGAGAACTTTGAGGACAGAGCCTATGCAAGGCTGGCTTCATAGTTAGATATAGAACCTGTGCAGTCACACAGAACCCTATACTTGCAAGGGCCCTGTATTTGGTTGAATGCTCTGTTGTAGCCATTTTGAAATTCTTAATAATTTTTGGACAAAGGGATTCTGCATTTTCATTTGCACTGGGCCCTACAAATTATACACCCTGTCAGGACACTAGCACAGTAGTGAAAACATAGAAGCTGCTCATAAAAGTCAGTTGAATGAAGACATTCTTCTACTTGTAGGAAACACTCTCAGTGGGCTTGGGAGTCATGGGGCAAGGAGGTGCTAACAGGCTCTGCAAGACAAGAAGTTCCTCAACAGCAGCAAGGTCTTCTGTGTTCTGTTGGGTAGAACAGCATAGAGAGGCCTGGAAAGAGTGTGTTGGCAGCTAAAACTGAGCAGATGGACCTCAAGGATTTGTAAGCTAGGTTTGCCTAACCAACCAACTCATTCAGCTTCTCAGATGGTCTTTTTAATTACTTATAGACATCAGTCTTTATTTTTATTTTATTTTAGAGATGGGGTCTAAATAGGTTGCCCAGGCTGGTCTTGAACTCCTGGCCTCAAGTGATCCTCCCGCCTCTCAGTCTTTATTTAATACTTATTTAGATCATCCAGCAGCAACTTTTTTTCCCTACCGTAGTGACTTCCACTTTTGTTTATAGGTTACTCAGATCTTCTCCGAGTTGATTTTCTTTTGTCCTCTTTTCCATGCTGAGCATTATTTCTCTACGTCCAATTGTCATGTTGTGTAATTATTTTTAAATGAAGTATACTTACTGCTACAATTCCTGGGGGCAAATTATGTACTATATATCTTGTGAGCCTGTTTTTAGACTTAGAAATTATAGAATTATTGTTAACAAAATGTAATGACTGTTTGTGTTAACTCTTGAATTTTCCTCTTCCAGGTGACTTCTGCAGCCACTTTAATCATAACCTTCATTGACCTGTGTCCTTCTGAGGAATCTTATTCCTTCTAGGTCCTTTCCATTTAAAACTTTGCTGCAGGCCTGTCACTGGATAAACATGGCAACCAAGAAGCCAAATAATGCCTTTGCCCTGCTTTTATTTATTTTTATTTATTTATTTATTTACAAACTCACTCTGTCATCTAAGATGGAGTGCAGTGGTATGATCATAGCTCAGCACAGTCTCAAACTTCTGGGCGCAAGTTATACTCTCACCTCAGCCCTCAGCCTCCCAAGTAGCTGAGACTATAGACGTATGCCACCACACCTGCCCGCCTTCCCCTGCTTTTAGAACCTGGGAGGTAGGTGCCCCAAATGGAAAGAGCTTGGACTTTGGAGTCACTGAAAACTTGATTTGAATTTCGGTTCTACCAGAACAAGCTGTGTGAATTTGGGCAAGTTATTTACCTTCTTTGACCCTCAGTCTCCTTATCTGCAAAAGAGGGGTAATAATGCCTATCTCACAGGGCAATTGAGAAGAGTGATATAAAAAATGACCAATACACACTAAGAACTCAGAAATGGCAGCTACAGCCAGGTGCAGTGGCTCCCAGCCTGTAATTCTAGTACTTTGGGAGGCTTAGGTGGGCAGATCACTTGAGGCCAGGAGTTCGAGGCCAGCCTGGCCAACATGGTGAAACCCTGTCTCTACAAAAAATACAAAAAAATTAGCCAGATGTAGCGGTGTGTGCCTGTGGTCCCAGCTATTTGGGAGGCTGAGGTCGGAGGATCTCTTGAGCCCAGGAGGTGGAGGTTGCAGTGGGCCATGTGCATACCTCTGCACTCCGTCCTAGGTAATAGAGTGAGACCCTGTCTTCAAACAAACAAACAAACAAAGAAAAGACTACTACTATTCTAAATATATTCTGCATTTTCTTTTTGAAACGTGTTTTTTATTTTTATTTTAAAACTTGCTATAGAGATGGAGTCTTGCTATATTGCCCAGGCTGGCCCTGAATTCCTGGCCTCGAGTGATCCTTCCTCTTCTACCTCCCAAAGTGCTGGGATTACAGTCATGAAACCTGCACCCTGGCTTAAATTTCCTGTAGACAGCCTGTTCCTGACATATTTCTCTTAATCTTCCAGATAAAGGCTGTGCTTCTTCCGTATCTCTTTGCTTACTCACCATGCTCACCTGTACTTCCCGCCTCCATTCCTGATTCGAATGTCTTTCTTATTCCTCCTGTGGGAACTCTACCTCACCTTCAGATTTTTACTTCATCTCTGGACTTCCCTGAAGACATCACGTGACACTTATATCAGCATTCTCTGAATTGTTGCTGTACCTCTTGTATAAATCATTTATTGAGCATTATCTTACATTGTTGTTTTCAAATTATCTTATATTATTCTTATGAAACAAGATGTAGGCTCCATTTGGGCAAGGACAACACTTTGAGAGCATAATGGGTGCCTGACAAATATTTATTAATTGTATAATTTAATGAATTAAAGCATATAAAAATATTAGTCAAGCACACATTATTCTCTCGAGAGTAATTAATATAAATTTATTAATTTACTAATTGATGATTCCATTTACAGCTGTGTGTGTCTTTGAGTAACAGTGACATTGTGCTGACTCTGTCTTTTCACTAATCCAGGTTTTGTCAATTAAAAAAATCACTTTTTACAACTAACATATGTCCATCAGTTGCACTCACGGTTACCTAGTATCATTGGTTCGTCTTTGTCAAAAGATACAGATTCACTATTTAAGTCAATATCAGGAGAAGCAGTTTCAATTAGGCAGAGGTTTCAAAGCCAGCTGGATGCCAGGTACCATGACATCATTCAGGCTGCTCTGTGGTTTTTATGATTCAGATGTTTAAGTAATTGAAATAACTGGATTGTCACATGGTTGGTTTTGTTATTTAAACTGTATTATTGTTTGACTTGTAGAGACAGTATACTCCCTCAACTGTTTTACTTCTGGAATTGATATTGTGTAAAGAATGAATTGATATTCTAATAAATTGAACTGGGCTAAATATACTGGGTCTGTTAACAGACATAAATTTCTCAAAATTGTAGATCTTCCATATGATACTGTTGTTTAGCTAGCCATCATACATTTCTTAAAACTTTTAATAAGACTTGCTTCCCTTTTTACGGAAACTGGGGACATTTTAGCCTATTCATACAATATTTTTTAAATGCCAAGAAAATTTTCAGTCTTCCCAGACAGCACAATTTGTATAGTCATAAAAAGATTCCATTTTGGCTACAAAATTTTGGTTACAATAACAGGAGGTGGTTTTCTTCAACTCAGTCTGTTTTTTTTTTTTTTTTTTTGAGGCAGAGTTTCACTCTTGTTGCCCAAACTGGAGTGCAATGTTGTGACCTCGGCTCACCACAACCTCCACCTCCTGGTTCAAGCGATTCTCCTGCCTCAGCCTCCGGAGTAGCTGGGATAACAGGCATGCACCACCACACCCGGCTAATTTTGTATTTTTAGTACAGATGGGGTTTCTCCATGTTGGTCACGCTGGTCTTGAACTCCCGACCTCAGGTGTTCAGCCACCTCGGCTTCCCAAAGTGCTGGGATTACAGGCATGAGCCACCGCACACGGCAACTCAGTCTGTTTTTAAGTATGCCCTTGAAGGGAGTTTGTTGTTTTTTTTCCCCCAAGTTTTGATGTTCTTTTGATTGATGTATTTTCAGAAATCACAAATAAATTAGTTCCCAGAGGTTGAGAGAACCCCTATTAGCAGCATTCAGAGAATGCATGTCTTGCTTTCCACATGCCAGTGCTGTGGCAGGTGGATGTTTGAGTCACCAGGTGACCTCTTTGGAGCCAGCACCTCCTAGCTGTAGATCTTAGTACACTCTTTTTTCTTTCTTTTCTTTTGTTTTTTGAGATAGAGTCTTGCTCTGTTGCCCAGGCTGGAGTGCAGTGGCTCGAGCTTGGCTCACTGCAACCTCTGCTTCCTGGGTTCAAGTGATTCTCCTGCCTCAGCCTCCAGAGTAGCTGGGATTACAGGCGCACGCCACCACACCCGGCTAATTTGTTTTGTATTTTTAGTAGAGACGGGGTTTTGCCATGTTGGCCAGGCTGGTCTCAAACTCCTGACCTCAGGTGATCCGCTCGCCTTGGCCTCCCAAACTGCTGGGATTACAGGCGTGAGCCACCGTGCCTGGCCGACCTTACTGCACTCTTGCTCTCTGTATCGAGGAAGTCTGCAGTATTCTGCACACATGAAGCTGATGTTGAAACATATAAATTGCATTTGATTTTTTTCCTACACCCACCTAAATTCAAATTCCACCAAATTTGGTTTAAAAAAAAAAAGCAAACAAATATTATGGTTTTAAGCCAGTCAAGTTCATTAATTTTATCTAAGTAACAGTCACAAATAATTAGTTTGACTAAAGTTATCATGGTTCAACCAGTTTTTTTTTTTGTGAATCTCATCCTGTCGCCCAGGCTGGAGTGCAGTGACACAATCTTGGCTCACTGCAACCTCTGCCTCCCAAGTTCAAGCGATTCTCCTGCCTCAGCCTCCCGAATAGCTGGGATTACAGGCGCACACCATCACACCCTGCTAATTTTTGTATTTTTAGTAGAGACAGGGTTTCACCATGTTGGCCAGGCTGGTCTCAAACGCTTGACCTCAGGTGATCCACCCGCTTTGGCCTCCCATAGTGCTGGGATTACAGGTGTGAGTCACCATGCCCGGCCTTTTTTTTTTTTTTTTTTTTTTGAGACAGAGTCTCGCACTGTCGCCCATGCTGGAGTGCAGTGGCTTGAGCTTGGCTCACTGCAACCTCTGCCTCCCAGCTTCAAGCAATTCTTGTGTCTCAGCCTCCCAAGTAGCTGGGATTACAGGCATGTGCCACCATGCCTGGCTATTTTTTGTATTTTTAGTAGAGATGTGGTTTCACCATGTTGGCCAGGATGGTCTTGAACTCCTGGTCTCAAGTTATCCGCCCACTTGGCTTCCCAAAGTGTTGGGATTACAGGCGTGAGTCACCGCGCCTGGCCGTGACTTCACTTTCATGTTGATGTTAATACCAGGAAGTAATAAGGTTGCGTTTGCATACCTTTTGGGGACTTCAGTTTTCATGCTGAAAACTGTTCTTGTAACACTTAAATTGTGGTGAGCAGTTTAAATTATGTGAGCAGTTTAGCTTTTAAAAATTCCCTGAAATGCTTTGATATGGAACTTAGACTCAAATAAGACATACTAGGCAGAGAGAAAATTGGAATACTTGAAATACAAATTAATCAAAATTTACTGAACAAATATACTTTAATATAAGGTACAATAACAGAAGAAAGGTAATACTTTATTTTCTTAGTGATTATTTGAAAATTGTTCATTTCTTCTTTCCCTTGACATTCTTTGCCTTTTCTAAATCACCTTCAGTGAAAAAAGTAATTTACTTCTTAGAACAATCAATTATGTATGCTTTTTCAGCTAAGGATTAAAACATGGGCATTCTTATACCAAAATTATTTTTTTTCTTTTCTTTTGCCTACCTGTCTCAAGTCATCCAAGCCGTAATGCAGTGGTACAAGCTCAGCTCACTGCAATCCCCGCCTCCCAGGTTCAAGTGATTCTCCTGCCTCAGTCTCTTCAGTAGCTGGGATTACAGGCATGCACCACCACGCCCAGCTGATTTTTGTATTTTTAGTAAAGACATGGTTTCACTATGTTGGCCAGGCTGGTCTCTAACTTTTGACCTCAAGTGATCCGCCCGACATGGCCTCCCAAAGTGCTGGGATTACAGGTGTGAGCCACAGTGCCTGGCCTTTTTTTTTGAGATGGAGTTTCGCTCTTGTTGCCTAGGCTGGAGTGCAATGGTACAATCTCGCCTCACCGCGACCTCTGCCTCCCAGATTCAAGCAATTCTCCTGCCTCAGCCTCCCGAGTACCTGGGATTACAGGCGTGCACCCCCATGCCCAGCTAATTTTGTATTTTTAGTAGAGACAGGGTTTCTTCATGTACGTCAGACTGTTCTCAAACTCTCGGCCTCCCAAAGTGCTGGGATTACAGGTGTGAGCCACTGCGCCTGGCCCCTTCCATACATTTTCATTCTTATTTCCGTAATTTTGGGTTTTTCTCACTCAATCCCCCTCCCTATTTGACAATAGTCTGTCCATATATTTTTCATTATCTTTATCATTATCTACATCTTCATAACCACTTATTGATACCTACATACCAGGCATGGTTTTAGGCCCTCTCTCTGTGGCATGGTGATTCTTACAGCAGCCTACAAAGTTTCACAGGTTAGGAAATTGAAGCTAAGATAGGGTGGTAGGGAGAATAATGGCCCCCAAAGATAGTCACACTCTACTCTCCAAAACCTGTGAATATGTTACCTTACCTGGCAAAAAGGATTTTGCAGATGTGATTGATGTTCAAACTTTGAGACAAGGAGATTGTCCCAGATTATTTGGGTGGGCCCAGTCTAATCACATTAGTCCTTAAATGGAGAGAATATTTCCTGGCTAAGTTATAGTGCAATGTGAAAATGAAGGAAGATGGCTGGCTTTGAAGCCAGAGGAAGGGGCCACAGCAAAAATGCAGGCAGCCTCTAGAAGCTGTAAAAGGCAAGGGAATATGGCCAGGTACAGCAGCTCATGCCTGTAATCCCAGGGTTGGAGGCCCTGGATTGGAGTTCAAAATCAGCTTAGGCAAAATGGTGAGACCCCTGTCTCTACAAAAGCATTAAAGAATAGCTAGGTGTGGTGGCATGTGCCTGTAGTCCCATCTACTTGGGGGATTGAGACGAGAGGATTGCTTGAGACCAGGAGTTCCAGGCTGCAGTGAACTGTGATCACACCACTGAACTCCAGCCCTGTCCCTAAAAACGACATAAAAAGCAAAAAGAATTTGAGCCAAAATGTCATTTGCTGATTGAATTATGTGGCTTTCTTCTATGCCATTCTGCACTCTTAGTAGTATCTAGAAGAGAATTGGTGTTTCTCTCAGCAAGTCAATGAATCTAAGCAAATTCTTTTTCTTGATTCTTCTTTCCAGTCTCTGGGCTACTAATTCATCTTTGCTCTGTATCTGTATCTAGCGCAGTGTGTCTGCTTCTCAATAGAACCCACATTATGAATGACAGTGGAAAATTTCTCAGTCTATGTGAATGTCCTGTAGTCCTCCATTAACAGTGAGTTTGAGAAGCAAAAGATGAAAACTGAAAAACATAAGCAGATCCTATGACACCTATGTGGTATTTGCTAATTATAAAAAGCCCTTTGGTTCTATGTAGTTATAAGAAAAGACATATTCCATTCTATTATGACCAGCTTGAGGTTAAAATGCAAGTTAAATTAGTATCCAATTTATTTCAAAAGGCTGTAGCTAAATTTCATACCCACGCACCATCTACCACTCTTATCATTTCACTGTCTCTCTATTGTTCTATTTACAGAACAAAAACAAAGAAGGTGATTTGTAAATATTGACTAAACAAAGGACATTTTAGAAAGGATTCCAAGAACTCTCTGTACTTTCATTACCCTTACACTGAAGTTATCTTCTAAAGAAGCAAATAATGTAGCTGAAAACATTCCCTCAGCATATATGCCTTGAGAGATTAGATTGCTATAAGTTGAAATTCAAGACAGAAAATGCAGTGAAGTAGTGGAAGGCAGAAAAGGATTAGATGACTGAAATTATTGTTAAAATAGTACTGAACATCTTGTTTTGCACAAATATTTATGGAATAAAATATCTTCTTTTCCATTATAGGTATCCCTGAAAATTATATATGAAGGCTGAATAAATGCTTTGAGGTAAAGGATTAACAGAGACATAAATATCAAATAGTTTTTCTTCTCTAAGAAAAAAGATTGCTAAATACCAGGATGGAATACTTAAGGAAATTATGAACTACCTCTTTACTTAAGTGTTCTTTTAAAACAAGATATATTCTTTAATCATCAGTGATTATTAAAGTGAGGCCAATTCTGAATTTTGGAGAATGGCCTGGTTGAGTCCTCAAGATTTTATTTCTGTCTCATTATTCCATGATCACTTGTGGGGTACTGCAATTGGATAAGGAGCTATCCTGACCTTGAGAATTAAGAAGGTTGTCTTCTTCATGTGTAAAGGTGTCTTCCTATCAGCATAAGCCTTTAAAAAGAGCAACATTTTTTTTTTAAAGTCAACTAGTTTATTAAAAAAAAAAAGTCTGGTCCCAATAATTCATTACATAAAACCTGTCATCTAAACTTTTCTGATGTTAGCTGCTCACTTTTTCCAATTTATGGTACCAACACACGAAACATGATGCCAGGCAAGAGATTTGCCATGGTTTTCAGGTGAGAGTGGAGGTTACAGTAGTGGCGATGATGATCTTCTCTTGGTTTTGCCAACCTTTATAAACTCTGTGGCAAAAGTTTAGACTTAAGATTGACCTGAGGACTCTTTAACCCCTGATCCATTTGTAATTTAACATTTTACGGCTGGAGCAAAGAGAAAGCAACATAGAAGTAAACATCTGGATTAGTCCAAAACCTTCTTTATTCTCAGATAACTCTGAATGAATTGATTTACCTTGAATAAATGCCTGTTGTCATTATGTATTTTAACTTGAAAATAATTATTTATTATACATTTTTAAATCAAACTACATATCTTCTTTCCTATACAAGGTTGAGGTTTGGGGTCTTCGCTTTCTTTCTATCTATAATTAGCTTTAATAAATATAAGAAAAATGTATTCTATTTCTGGGCACTTGAATGGCAGCAACTTCCTCTTTTAAAACAAAAGAGTTGATTTCTTTTCAAAACACTTCATGGTGCCAGTTCCACTGCATTCCCATTGTGCTGACTTTTTGCTCCTAGGGTTGATGAGCCAATCAATGATGCAGCTATGCAGATTAGGCTGACTAACATGTTCTACTACTGCTCTCTTCTCACCTGTTAAGTAGGACGACCTTGGGGTATAAATGTCCTGTTTTGGCTTCCGTGTTTACATTCTTCTTTCTTCTGCTAGCCACATCCTGATTATTCTTTGGATAGTCACCCTTGTCCTAAATGGTGTTGTTCACATAGAGCAAATTTCACTTTCTAGTGTCAGTAAGGGCCTATTTTTCAGGTGGGGGCATTGTGTGTTGTCCATCTTCCTGGTTGTAGTGATTATTCTAGCAATGGTTATGTGATCCAAGATATCCAGTATGTCTGCTCTAAGCTACTTGGTGCTATAATTGGGATAAGAGACAACCTTCTTGCTGGTTGCTAAGCCAGCAGGCCATAAGCCTAAAACCTGTGAGAACAATCTTACTACCACAAAGATGGTACTGCTTTAAAATAAAGCCCCACGTCTATCAGAGCTGAGGATGAAGGCAATTCTTAATGAAACTATCACAGAACATGGATCCAGACATTCATTTTCCCTGGACTTCTGAGTTACGTGAACCAAAAGTTGTCTTATTTCCTATGTCTCTTGCAGTAGCATTTCTCTCACTTGCAACTGAGTGAAGTCTTATTTGATGATTACAAGGGTAATGAATCACAGAGGCATTTTAGGTATATCACAAAGATCCCAAGGCAGACCAGGAATCAAACAATTTCCTTGTTTATTTCAGGAAATAGGCTGGGCACGGTGGCTCATACCTGTAATCCCAGTATTTTGGGAGGCCAAGGGTGGGGGAGTGTATCACCTGAGGTCAGGAGTTCAAGACCATCCTGACCAATATGATGAAACCCCATCTCTACTAAAATTACCAAAAAAAAAAAAAAAAAATCAGCTGGGCATGATGGCCTGTGCCTACAGTCCCAGCTACTCGGGAGACTGAGACAGGAAAATTGCTTGAACCCAGGAGGTGGAGGTTGCAGTGAGCCAAGATCATGCCACTGCACTCCAGCCTGGGTGACAGAGTGAGATCCCGTCTCAAAAAAAAAAAAACAAATTTTTTTCAGGAAATAAACTCTGGTATAGCGTCAAGAATGTTATACTACTCTTGTACCCACAGTAGACATTGCTAATCAGTTGAGCTCTGCTCTGAGTCCTGCATGGAGCCTCATCATCATGATTCAAGAAGTTGGAACAGCATATAAAATGATGCCATCGTGGTTCTAGTGTCTTCCCGGTCAGAAAGAAAGAGGCACAACTTAGGCAACGGTCGCCTATACCACCAAGGTGCCACTTGTTTGCACCAAGTGGTCAACACAGTCTGATGTCACGGACTGTGGAAGATCCTAAAGTCTTCTCCTCCCAGATCTCCCTCTGCTTCTTCTGTGCTCTCTGACTTTTGAAATTTTAAATTCGGGCTTACATTCATTGTCTTTACATCTCAATGGCTGTTTATAATACATGCATAGAGTTTTTTGTTTCTTTGGCAGGAAACATGAGAAGCCGTGGCTTCCTTTGGGGGAAAAGTTCTAGAGAAAATGAAATGGCTGGCTTTTATTTCTCATTTTGTCATTTTTCTTAGGTTCAACTTACTAAATGCACTAAAATTAAAGTGTAATAAGTTGAATTTTTTTTTTTTTTTGAGGTGGAGTCTCGCTCTGTCACCCAGGCTGAAGTGCAGTGGTGTGATCTTGGCTCACTGCAGCCTTCGCCTCTCAGGTTCAAGTGATTCTCTGCCTCGGCCTCCTGAGTAGCTGGGATTCCAGGTGTGCCACCACACCTGGCTAATTTTTGTATTTTTAGTAGAGAAAGGGTTTTGCCGTTTTGGCCAGGCTGATTTCAAACTCCTGTCCTCGAGTGATCTGCCCGCCTCCGCCTCCCAAAGTGCTGGGATTACAGGTATGAGCCACTGTGCCAGGCTAATAAGTTGAATTTTTAAACTTTATGAATGAGGTCTTTGAATGAGGCCTTTTTTGCCAGCTTTATTAAGGTATAATGGACAAATAAAAACCGTGTATATTTAAGATGTGCAACATGACATTTCAATATACATGCACATTGTGAAATGATTACCTAAGTAACATATCCATCAGCTCACATAGCTTTTTGAATGTGTGCTGAAAACATTTAATATGTACACTCTTAGCAATCTTAAGTATACAATATAGTATTACAACTATAGCAATACAACTATATAGTAATACAACGATAGTCACCATACTTCGTATTAGATCTCCAGAACTTACTCATCCTGCATAACTGAAGCGTTGTACTCTTTAACCAAGATCTCCCCATTTTCTTCACCTCTTGGACTGTGACAATTACCATTCTACTCTCTGCTTCTGTGAATTTGACTGTTTTAGATTTCTTTTTTTTTTCTTTTCTTTTTTTGAGAGAGAGTCTCGCTCTGTCACCCAGGCTGGAGTGCAGTGGTATGATTTTGGCTCACTGCCACCTCCGCCTCCCTGGGTTCAGCGATTCTCCTGCCTCAGCCTCCCAAGTGGCTGGGATTACAGGCACACATCACCATGCCCGGCTCATTTTTGTATTTTTAGTAGAAACGGGGTTTCACCATATTGGCCAGGCTGGTCTCAAACTCCTGACCTTGTGATCCGCCTGCCTTGGCCTCCCAAAGTGCTGGGATTACAGGCGTGAGCCACCGCACCCAGCCTAGATTTCATATACAAGTGAATCATGCAGTATTTGTCTTTTTGTGCCTAGCTTATTTCACTTAGCATAATGTCTTCCGGGTTCATCCACATTGTTGCAAATAACAGGATTTCCTTCTTTTTTAAGGTGGATAAGATTTCACTACACACATACATGCACACACTTTATTTATTAATTGGTAAACACTTGGGTTAATTGCATATCTTATCTATTGTGAATAATGCTGCAATGAACATGGGAGTGTACATATCTCCTTGAAATACTAATTTAGCTTTCTTTCGATACATATTCCTAAGTGGAATTGCTGGATTATATGGTAGCGTTATTTTCAATGTGTTAAGGAAACTTCATACTATTTTCTGTAGCGGCTGTACCAATTTATATTCCTGCCAAAGGTGTACAAGGGTTTTCTTTTTTTCCACATGCTTACCAACACTTGATATCTTTTGTCTTTTTGATAACAGCCATTCTAACAGGTGTGAAGTATAGATATCTCATTGTGGTTTTAATTTGCATTTCCTTGATGATTGGTGATGCTGAGCATTTCTCCACATATTTGTTTGCTATTTGTATGTCTTCTTTTGAGAAATACCTATTCAGATCGTTTGCCCAGTTAAAAATTGGGTTATTTGGTTTTTTTTTTTTTTTGCTATCAAATTGCTTGAGTTCCTTATATATTTCAGATATTGACCCTTCACCAGATGTATCCTCTGCAAATACTTTTTCCCATTCCATAGGTTGTCTCTCCATTCTGTTGATGGTTTCCCTTGCTGTAGAGAAGGTTTTAGTTTGATGCAATCACATTTGTCTATTTTTTTTTCTGTTGCCTGAATTTTGGGGGCTATAGCCAAAAAAATCATTGCCCAGACCAATGTCAAGAAGATTTTCCTGCATGTTTTTGTCTGGTAGTTTTACAGTTTCAGGTCTTATGTTTAGTCTTTAATCTATTTTGAGTTGATTTTTGTATATGGTATGAGATAAGGATTCAGTTTTACTCTTCTGCATGTGGATACACAATTTTCCCAGCACCATTTATTGAAGAGACTATCCTTTCCCTATTGTGAGTTCTTGGCACCTTTGTCAAGAATTAACTGACCATAAATACTGAGCTCTCTATTCTGTTCTGTCTGTTCTGGTCTTTTTATCTCCTTCCTTCTGTTAACTTTGGGTTTAGTTCATTCTTCTTTTTCTAGTTCCTTGAGTTGTCAAGTTAGATTGTTTATTTGAAACCATTTTTTTCTTAACGTAAGCCTTTATCACCATAAACTTCCATCTTAGAACTGCTTTTGCTGAATTCCATAAATTTTGGCATGTTGTGTTTCCATTTATTTGTCTCAAGATATCTCTTGCTTTCTTCTTTTTCTTGCTTCCTTTTGATTTCTTCTTTGATCCACTGGTTGTTCATGAGTGCGCTGTTTAATTTCCACATATTTGTGAATTTTTCAAGTTTCCTTCTGTTATTAATTTCTAGTTCCATACCATTGTGCGCTGTGGGCAGAAAAGATACTTGATATGATTTCAATTTTCTTAAATTTGTTAACATTTGTTTTGAAGCCAAGCATATGATCTCTACTGGAAAATGTTCTATGTGCACTTAAAAAGAATGTGTATTCTAGGCCAGTAGCAGTGGCTCATGCCTGTAATGCCTGTAATCCCAGCACTTTGGGAGGACAAGGAGGGCAGATTGCTTGAGCTTGGGAGTTGGAGATCAGCTTGGGAACTATGGTGAAACCCCATCTCCACAAAAAAATAAAAATAAAAAAATTAGCTGGGCATGGTGATGTGTGCCTGTAGTCCCAGCTGCTTCAGGGATTGCGGTGGGAAGATTGTTTGAGCCCAGGAGGTCAAGGCTGCAGTGAGCCAAGATCTGCTACTGCACTTCAGCCTGGGTGACAGAGTGAGACCCTGTCTCAAAAAAAAAAAAAAAAAAAAAAAGAACGTGTATTCTGCTACTGTTAGATTTGTTAGATGGAATGTTCTATACATGTCTGTTAGGTCCATTTGGTCTGTAATATTCAAGTCTGCTGTTTCCTCATTGATTTTCTGCCTGTATCATCTACCTATTGTTGAAAGTCAGGTATTAAAGTCTACTACTATTACTGTAATGCTATCTCTTCTTTCAGTTCTGTTAATATTTACTTTACATTTAGGTGCTCCCATGAGTTTTTTTTTTTTTTTTTAATTAAAAAAAGACAAGTAGATAATCTGTGTTCTTATTTGTATATCTTTGTAATAAAAAGCCTAATACATTGCCAGGCACAGTGGCTCATGCTTGTAATCCCAGCACTTCGGGAGATTGAGGTGGGAGGATTGCTTGAGCCAGGATTTTGAGAACAAACAGCCTGGGCGACATGGTGAAATCCCGTCTCTACAAAAAAAAAAAAAAAAAAAAGCCTAATAAATATTTTAGTTTCTATATGCATATAACATACTCATTCATTTATTTTTATTTTTTATTTTTTTAGAAACAGCGAAACAGTGACTCCCTTTGTTGCCTAGGCTGGAGTGCAGTGGTGCAGTGGTAGCTCACCACAGCCTTGAACTCCTGGGCTCCAGTGATCCTCCTGCCTTGGCCTCCCAAAGCACCAGGATTTTAAGTGTGAGCCATTGCACCTGGCCTCATTCATTTATTCAACAAGTATTTGAACCTGTACTTCATATTGGGCCCCGTTCCAGGTTGTAAGGCACAGCCAAAAGCGTGGCAGTCTCTGTGTTCAAGTGGCTTACATGCCAATGTCTATACTTTAGAGCTTTTCTAAGAATGTTACCTAGATTTTCTCATTTTATCTTTGCCACATGCTTAGATGTTTTTATTTTACTAATGAGGAAGCTGTAAATGTCGAGGTGCTAAGTCCTTTGCCCCAGTCACACGGTAGTAAGTGGAACAGGTGGCATTTGAGTAGTGGCAGTCTGACTCTAGAGCTTACAGATGGCATCAGGACACATAAATGTCTCACAGTATCTGGGACAAAAAGTCTCATTAATACTTGTTAATGCATAAATGTGTTTGGGAAAAGCATAGTTACAGTTGTTATTCAATCACTTGAATTTGGCCAAAGAATGTGAGAGCAGATTTTTCTTTTTTTTCCTTGAGACAGAGTCTCACTCTGTCGCCCAGGCTGGAGTGCAGGGGCGCGATCTCTGCTTACTGCAACCTCCGCCTCCTGGGTCCAAGCGATTCTCATGCCTCAGCCTCCCAAGTAGCTGGGACTACAGGTGCCCACCACCTTGCCCGGGTAATTTTAGTACCTTTTGGTAGAGACAGGATTTCACCATGTTGGCCAGGCTGGTCTTGAACTCCTGACCTTAGGTGATCCGCCCACCTTGTCTTCCCAAAGTGCTGGGATTACTGGTGTGAGCCACTGTGCCTGGACAGAGAGCAGATTTTTCTGAGCATAGAAAGCAAAGAGCAAGAGGACTAGAACCAGGGTGGTGGTGACTGGCGGAGGGAAGAGGGAGGAGGATGAAGCAGCCACCTCACTGAAGGGAATGGTGGTGTAACCAACACTGGTTCAGCATCTTTTTGGTGTCTGCTAGCTTGGCCATTGGCATGAAACACATTATATAGTTTAATCTTCACCACAGCTCAGTCTGGCTCCAAAGCCCATGTTCTTGGAGCTTACCTCCAGCTCCATCACAATTTTGTCTGAACTTATTTCTAGGGTAAACCATTCTAGCAGGCCCCAAAGTGAGAATATGAGAATTCAGAGGCATAAAATCCAGAGAGTCCATGCCCTCAAATAAAAAGAATATCTGCTTTGAAACTTTATTTATTTATTTATTTATTTAATTTATTTCTTGAGACAGGTTCTCACTCTGTCATCTAGGCTGGAGTGCAGTGGTGCAATCATGGCTCATTACAGCCTTGACCTCCCTGGCTCAAGCAATACTCCCGCCTTAGCCTCCTGAGTAGCTGGGACTACAGGCGCATGACACCCATGCCCAGCTCATTTTGAAATTTTTTTTGTAGGTCTCATTATTTTGCCCAGGCTGATCTCAAACTCCTGGCCTCAAGCAGTCCTCCCACCTCAGCCTCCGAAAGTGCTAAGATTACAGTCATGAGCCACCATGCTCAGCCTGAAACTTTAGTATTATTTGATGATGACATTCTGGGTACAAAATTGTGGTGAGTTCCAAGTCTGGATTCTGTCTTTTCTCTATGACAATAGCAGATAATTAGGTCTGCTGCCTGAAAAAGTACCTCCTGATTAGAGAGGCTAATGGGAAATAGAGGAGGACTCCCTTGAATCAAGGCTTCCTGGACACACTCAGCCCTTAGGAGTCAAAAGCAGTTTTTTGGTCGTTTCTGATTTAATGTTGGGTATAAGCGTGTGTGTGTGTGTGTGTGCGCGCGCACATGCACGTGTGTGAACTATATGGTATTTCAGGGAAATTGTTCCCCAGGGAAGTATTAGTTCCCTCCTGGGCTGAAAAGTCTGTTGTCAAGCTGTTTCTTAGACAGTAGCATGAGAAACCAGACAAACTCTATTTAAGCAGTTGTTTTCTCCTGATCTCAGGTTAGCTATAGAAAAGTTCTTCTGCAACTATTTTTGAATTACCAGGACAAGAATTCCAGGCATATCCAGGCCATCCTTAAAAGCCTAATTCTACTTTATAGTTATGATATTTGCCTATGAGACTAAGCATGACCTTACTTAACTATTAATTCTATCAGAAAGGAGTCTAGTGTCCACGATGATTATTTTCAAGTGGATTACTTTAGAAATTGGGTTTTTATGGATTTTTAGCAGGAAATATACAACCTTTTGTCTGAACCACAAATTATAGCTCTGTATTAATTATCTACTACTATAACAAATCACCCCCAAAACCTTAGAGGTTAAAGCAATAAACATTTATTATTTCAATGGTCTGTGTTGGGAATCCAGGAGTAGCTTCTCTGGGTGATTTTGGCTCCAGGACTCTCACAGCCTGCGACTGAGGTCCTGGCCAGGGCTGCAGTCATCTCAAGCCTCAGCTGGTTAGAGGATCTCCTTTCAAGTTAATTTCTGTAGCTGTTGAGAGGCTTTAGGAGATCTGCTTCCAAGTTCACTGGCATGAGTCTCTCAACAGGGAGGCCTTAAGAAGCACAACTGGCTTCCCCCAGATCCTAGAGAGAGCAAGGGAGAGCCCTGAGACAGAAGCAGCAGACATTCTACAACCTGCTCAGAGAAGTGGCACCCCATTAATTCTACCATATTCTAGAAGCAAGTTTCTAGGTCCAGCCTACACTGAAGGGGATGGACTGCCCAAGGGGTGAATACCAGGAGAGACCAGGGGAGACCATCTTAGGGTCTGCCTACCACAAGCCCCTTATGGAAACCTTCCTGTCTGTAGATATTCTTGTTCACCAAATACAGGTATTTAGGTTCATTCCATTAAATAGTTGATGAGGGCTGGGCACGGTGGCTCAAGCCTGTAATCCCAGCAGTTTGGGAAGCTGACGGGGGTGTATCATTTGAGGCCAGGGGTTTGAGACCAGCCTGGCCAACATGACGAAACCCTGTTTCTACTAAAAATACAAAAAAAATTAGCCAGGTGTGGTGGCATATGCTTGTAATCCTTGCTACTCGGGAGGTTGAGGCATGAGAATCTTTTGAACCCAAGAGCAGAGCCTGCAGTGAGCCAAGATTGTGCCACTGTACTCCAGCCTGGGCAACAAAGCAAGACCCTATCTCGAAAAAAAAAAGTTGGTGAGACTGAAAAAATGCTCTTAGTAATGTAAAGCAGAGCTAACTTGTATTGTTACTAAGCAGACAAAAGTAAACAATGGGAGGTGTGTGTGAGAGACCCAAATTCTGAGAAATTTGCTTTTGAGAACATAAAGATAACAGAGCCAGTTCAATTAAATCAACACTTTTTGATACCTACCGTCTTAGTTCGTTTGGACTGTGATAACAAAATACCTTACACTGTGTAATGTATAAACAATGGAAACTTATTGCTCACAGGCTGGAGGCTGGGAAGTCAAGTATCGGGGTGCCAGCAGATTTCATGTCTGGTGAGGACCCGTTCTTCACAGACAGTGCCTTCCCTGGGTTTTTAAATGGCAAAAAGGGCAAACAAGCTTCCTCAGGCCTCTTTTCTAAGGCAATTTACCCATTCATGAGGGTGAAGCCCTCAGGACCTTTTCACTTCCCAAAAGGCTCCTCCTCTTACATGGAGGATTACATTTTAACATATGAATTTTGAGGAGCACAAACATTCAGACCACACTACAGCTAATTCTATGTGTACTGCAGGCTCTGCCCTATCTGAAGTCTTCTGATCTCCCCTCACAAAAAATGTGCATTGTCTTATTAGGAAAGCAAGGCATATAGGAAATGAAATAATAGTATAAACCTTTACATTAATATAAAGCACTCTTGATAGTATGAAGGCATAGTGCTCTAGAATGTAGCCAGCAAACTTTTACTGATTTTTTTTTTTTTGAGACGCAGTCTCGCTGTTGTTGGCCCGGGCTGGAGTGCAATGGCGTGATGTCGGCTCATTGAAACCTCTGCCTCCCAGGTTCCAGCAATTCTCCTGCCTCAGCATCCTGAGTTGCTGAGGTTACCCGCCACCACACCTGGCTAATTTTTATATTTTTAGTAGAGATGGGATTTCACCATGTTGGCCAGGCTGGTCTTGAACTCCTGACCTCAGGTGATCCACCCTCCTGGGCCTCCCAAAGTGCTGGGATTACAGGCATGAGCGCCCGGCCGTTTTTTTTTTTTTTTAAAGACAGGATCTTGCTCTGTCACCCAGGTTGGGATTCAGTGGTGTGACCACAGCTCACTGCAGCCTTGGCCTCCTGGGCTCAAGTGCTCTTCTCACCTTAGCCTCCCGAGTAGCTAGTACCACATGTGTATACCACCACATGTGTATACCACCATGCCAGGCCAGTTTTTTTTTTTTTTTTTTTTAAGAGATGGGGTCTCACTCCGTTGCCCAAGTTGGTCTTGAACTCCTGGGCTCAAGTGATCCTCCTGCCTCAGCCTCCCAAAGTGCTGGGATTACAGGCATGAGCCACGATGACCAGCCAAACATTTCCTGTAAAAGTGGAAGCCACATAGGATATACTTTTGGTTGTGTGGCCACACATGTTCTCTGTTACATATTATTCAATTTTTTATTCTTGTACAACTTTTTGAAAGTGTAAAAACCATGACAGTGCATGGCCTAGTACTCTTCTGCAGACTACTCTTTAGGTAGCGCAGCTCTAGGAAGTCAGATAGACCCTGAGAAATAGCCATGTGTTGTCTTACAGAGAAGCTCAGACTGAGATGGCATGTGGGTGTGAGCACATGCACACACTTGTGTGTGAAACTGATGTTCTGGAGTCAAGTGCTTATTTAGGGAGTTATTGAAATAAGGTGAGTTAGGTTAAACAGTGAACTCTTTTCAATAAAAAGAGAGGCGCTTGGGTTGGGTGTGGTGGCTCATACCCATAATACTAGCCCTTTGGGAGGCCAAGGCAGGAAGATCTCTTTAGCCCAGGAGTTTGAGACCAGCCTGGGCAATACAATGAGACCCCATCTCAATAACAATTGAAGAAATTGAATTTCTGTTTTTAAAAAGAGAGAGGGGCTGACCTTAAATCTGTAGGCAGTGAGGGGTCACTGTATGTTTTCGAGCAAGGTAGTTATCAATAAGATGAAAACACTGTTGTTTTAGGAATATTAATCAGAGGCAATGCATAGGGTTTCTAGGTTGATTGGTGTCGCATTCTTGGGCATTGGGTGGGTGGATAGTGAGCGAGGACACTGGAAATGTAAAGGGTGGCCATATCATGAAGCTAAGGAGTTATAAAAAGGTTTTTTAAAGTAGAGCCTATCTTGACCCATTAAGATCAATGAAAAGGATTTTAATCCAGGCATAGTGCAATAATGAGGACTTGGACTGGGCTGGCAGCCAGGGCTCTATTCGTGTTGTTTAGTCAGGTCTCGCTTAATAAATAATTAAATGGCTCCAAGTGGTGATAAATGAATACTTCAGACCTGGAGATAGTTGAGTGTCTTGTCTTAGACTGGCTTGCATCTGAGTAATAATGCATATCTGTAAGTTGCATATTATATACATGATAGTGTTTAGGGCTGATAATCTTTATATATCGGCCCCAAAGATATAAAATATTTTTTATATCTTCTGATATTCAAAAGGGCCCCCTGGACAATCCTCTTTTGGTGCTTAGATCTATTATGCAAATGCTATTTTATAACTAGATTTTATCCCTTTGATTAACAGACTGCCTCTTAGACTAGTTAGAATCTATAGGCCTCAAGATATGAACTAGATGATGTAATTTAGTTATGATCCAGAAATTCAAATTTATTTGAAAATGTTTGAAATACAAGATTATGATTGACTTGTGTAATGTAATTTGGAAAAAATGCTCCATAACTTGTGTTTGGAAAACCAGCTCCTTACTCTTCTAATAACCATTACCGAAGTTTCTCGGAGTTCTCTTTTCCAGTCTGTGTGGTACCTAATACACTGGAGCCCACTGGCAACAATGCTCAGACATGGCCTTCCCAGCTCCTCCAGGGGCCCCTCCTTCCACTAGGTTCTCCATCCATCTTTCCTGGATTCATGGGAGCTGTCATTTCCTACTCTTTGCTGGAAAGGGAACAGTCCACTCTCTTTCTCTTCGTCTGAGTTTAAGAGTGCCTGGGCTGGTGCATTAAAGCCAGCTTTTTCTGTGCACACCTGCTGAGTTTTTGCACTCAGCATGACAGCCAATTTGTTTAGAACAGTAGTTCTCAAAGTGTGGTCTCCAGACCAGTAGCATCAACATTACCTGAGGACTTGCGAGTGAGGCAAATTCCGGGGCCCCATACCAGATCAACCAAATCAGAAGCTGTGGGGGTGGGGCTCAGCTATCTGTGTTTTAACAAGCTTTCCTGATGATTTTTATGCCTGCTAGTTTGATCATCACTGAGCTAGAGGAAATCTTCCTTCTGAGTGTTTGAACCTGAGATTTAGTCTTAAACCAGATCTCTGCATTTGTTGTAGCAAGAAAGAAAGCAATGCAATCATAAAGGAGTCAGTTACAAGCAATGTCTAAGAGAGATTGAAAGGATGATTGGGTATAATAATGAGGGAATCTGCTCACTGGGAATTCCTACTCAAAGCTGTTTGGGGATACTTCCAAAATAAGCTTTTGCATGCCATACGGGAATATTTTGCACATTGGAAAAGAATGCGCATCTGATAAGCAATAATGTGTTTACTTATCAACAAACGCAATCTGTGGCTCCCAAGGTGCATGCAGCCAGCTGTAGCTGGTCAGCCTTGCCTGTCTAGGGACACCAAGAGGAGGGGTGCCTGTATCTGGATGGGCTGGCCTGGCAGGAAGCCCTGGGCACACTAGTGGACCCATGTTTGTTTCGGTTTGCTGATGGCACTCCTCCTTCTTCCTATGTCGTAATGCTTTTGAGAATAGGCTGTTTAAAATGAGATATTGGCCAAATCCAAATGCAGGGAGAAAAAAATATCTTGCCTCTTTCTCCAAAAAAACGTTATTGAGGCAGATTTTCCCAGGATTTAAGCTGTTCTTTGGCTGCAAATGTACCTTTGGAAGACGCACAGTGGGGTCTCCAGGCACAGAAAGTAAACCAGCTGGGTGTGCTCCACACAACAGACAGATTTCCACCGCTTGAAAAATCATACTTTTGTAAATCAAATTGCATTTTAAATTCAGCAGAGAAATTGCCATCTAAAAGGAATTACCCGGCAGATCTTTTGCCAAGAATGTAATTATTTCATTTTTTATTTCTTCAAAAAAAAAAAAAGATTTCCATGTGCAATAAAATTCAGTTAAGTAGAATTTTCAAGGAATTGGGGGATTCTTGTTATTTATCTTACTATCTCCCTCCCTCCCTCCCTCCCTCCTTCCCTCCCTGCCTCCCTCCCTTCCTTTCTTTCTTCTTTCCTCCCTTCCTTCCTTTTTCTTTCCTTCCTTTTCTTTCTCTCTTGACAAAGGCTTAGCTGAAAACCAATCCTGTTCCCAATGCATAAAATTGATTTTTAAAAGCAGTGGGCAGTGGAAATAATCACATTGTTCTTGATGATTACAGATTTTGCAGCACATTTATATCAGCTGGATAATGATAAACAGAGATTAGGTTGAATTTGTGCTGAAGCTAAAAGGAGACATTGAAAATGTATAATTACTGAAATATTAAATTAAACTCCTAATTTTAGTTCTTTTCACTTAGCATTTTACTTAAAAACTCAGCAGAGAAGAATATTGCTTTACTTAGAAACTTTTGCTGTTGGGTCCTGCAAAGTTTAACTCAACGGGTTTACCTGATGAGAGTATATCTGTATTTAGAAACACTAATAAATAGGAAGTGAACTGAGTTAAAACATCTGTAGGTTTAACATGCAATCATATTCTCACTACAAAAGCAAACATACAAACAAACAAACAAACAAACAAACAAAAAACAGCTCTTTAAGCCAGATTGCCTTTTCTTTAACATTTTATGTTGTTTAGATAAAAGGAGAAGTGGCTCACAAGCAGGCTCTGTTCAAACATGTGACTCAGGGCAGCCCTCCGTTGATGGATGGGATGGGAAGGAAAGACAAGTTCAGAGCTTAGTTCACTTACTTACACTGGGATCAGTTTAAATTCAGCAAAGTTTATTATACACTTACTGTAACTATGAATCCCTAACTGATGGTGCCACTGAGTATACAAAAATAAACAAGAGACAACCTGAGCCTTCAAAGAGCTCACAGTGTAAGGTGGGAAAACTCCTCTGAGATACTTGGGTGGGGTAGACATGTGTGGAGTCCAACCAAGACAGAGTTAGTTCAGGAATCCTCAAAGCTGTGTAGGTGGTAGAGGGTGTTGTTGATGCTACTGAGGAACACTATGAGATGCTAATATATTTTATTTCACCACAAAAAGTAGACTTGATCTTACAAACAGAAAGTAGGACTGCTTAAATATATATTGTACTGTAAAATTACAACTGTGAACACCCAGGCCAAAAAATAACTCCTCGCTGTTGAGCTAAACAGGATCAACTGTTTCTCCATTTTTCTGCTAATGTTAATATACCACTAGTTAATTCATTTTGTCATCTGCTAGCACGTGTCACCAGACAAGCAGTAACAGGTGCCAAAAGTGTAAGGAAAATGAAGACTTGAGAAAATTCTATTCATTAATTTAATTTAAAAATGTGATTTGGGAAATGATGTTTCCACAATTTCTATAGCAGGTTAGTGACCCCAAGAGTTCTGTTGGAAGGGTGTGGGAGCATCTGGGGTGGAGAGAGAGCAAGCACTGATGTCCAGAAGGACTTATTGCCATTCCAGTCAAAGCTGGAAGCCCCTCCAGCAAACCCCCACTCTGCTCTTTGGGGTGGGGCAGGGATAGAAGTTCCTACATGGTAGAGACTGCACCTGCTTAGCTTTATACCTGCCCTTGGCATTATTAATATTGCTTTAGAAAGTAGCTGCTTGGTGGCCAGGCATGGTGGCTCACACCTGTAATCCTGGCACTTTGGGAGGCCAAGGCAGGTGGATCACTTGAGGCCAGGAGTTTGAGACCAGTCTGGCCAACATGGCGAAACCCTCTCTCTACTGAAAATATAAAAATCAGCCAGGCCTGGTGGTGCATGCTTGTAGTCCCAGCTACTCAGGAGGCTGAGGCAGGAGAATCGCTTCAGCCTGGGAGGCAGAAGCTACAGTGAGCCGAGATCGCGCCACTGCACTCCTGCCTGGGGGACAGAGCAAGACTCCATCTCAGAAAAAAAAAAAAAGAGAAAAAAAAAAGAAAATAGCTGCTCAAGCCAGAAGCTACAGTTGGGAACAGATTTCTCTCTAAAAACAATGTTATAATGACTATTAGGCTTAAATGAGGTAGTGTTAAAATAATAACTAAAAAAGATAAGAATGGGTTAAATAGGTTTGTGGGTTTATCTTGGAAGTTCTCCCCCTATTTATGACATTATTTATATGGAGTAGTGCTTTCTTACTTTTACGAATTCAATTAGCAAATATTTCTCACCAGAGCACTTTCTAGACACTGTGGGTTTCAGTTTTCTCTTCTGCTAAATGGGGATAAAAAGTGTTCTTAATTCAATAGAGTTGTTATGAAGATTAAATGATTTATAATACATCAACTGCTTTGATGGGTGCCTGACATACAGAAAGGGCTTAATAAATATTAGCTGGTCATTCTGAGTATTATTGTACACCAATATGACAGACACAAACACAAACACAAACAACTTTCTAGAACAGAATATGCTGGTAGCCTGGACCGTGTTGAGTTTCTTGGTGTTCTGGTCTTTAAGGGAGCAGCTGCTATCCTGCAGTTGGGGCTGGAGTACATGATGAGCAGTTGTTATTTGTCAGTGTAGTTTGTCTGGTAAGCAGAGCCTTTTCCACTTTTTCCGAGGCTGGAAGACAACAGCAGAGCAGGGAAGTGGTAGAGACCCCTGGCTGCTTCTGGAAACTCTCACCAGTGGTCTTGCCTCCTGGGAATTTGCAACCCCAGCCCCCTGCATGTTTACTTTAGGAGCTAGGGAAGGGCTGCAGGCCAAAGATGTGAGGGCTCCTGGCCTGTGCACCTATTTTCAGGGGCTCCTAGCTTTGTGAACAGGTGGGTCTTTTACGTCCTGGGCAAACCTAGCAAAGGCAAAGACTGACAATTTGATATAAAGACTTTCTGGCCTAATCCAGAGGAAGCAGGGAAGAGGAAACTTTTGACTTCTTTCCTTTTCAAAAATATGTCAAAGTCTTGCAGTTAGCTTCTTCATTTATGAAGTTCCAGAATTGTTAGATATCCGAAAGTAAACACACCAGCTTCTGAAGCTGCCAAAAATTGGGATGAAATTTTTACATGCTTCCTGCTACTAAGCCCTGCATTGCTCAAATTAGTCCCAAGTGGATTGAGGGGTGAAAGAACTACACTTTCATGCTGTTGAAAATTTTGGTAAAATAAAGCTTATTAATGCCTAAGTAAACAGTGAGGTACACAGCTCTGAAATGTTTATGACAACTGTGACCAGGGTAAATAGAAACTGTCCTTTGTACAAAACAATGGGGGACTGTCTTCTACAACTGATATTTGCTCCACCAGTTGGAGGCCACTTTTACCTTATTTGTCATATGAAAGACAAATATGAAAATAATGAAATGAGCCCCTCACCTTTCAGGGGCCCTGTGTTCACTTTGGATGGGGTTTCCCTATATGCCCACTGTTTGTCTTACCTCATGGTAGAATGATTTGTATTCATTCAACATATATATATATACCTCTATATATTTTCACTTTTCTTTAGTTTACTTTACCCATAAGAACTGGCAAAGAGAAAGTGTAGGGGAAAAAAGAGTATTTAACTTAACTGCTGAGATCATGCTTTCTGTATTAGTTCTGTCTCAGTGTCAAACATCTCAAAAGACTATAGGATGAAAATAGAGAACTTCTCTATTTTCTCAGTGGTAGCAGAGTATTCATAGGGTTCTGGAGCAAGAATCTCAGTAGAAAAAGAAGGAGGCACATGGGGCACACTCCAGTGGAATCTTACTTCCACTGGCTAGATTGTGTTTAGCAAGAACAGGTCAGCTGTCATGGTAAAGTGACTATTGGGTATATTTGGGTCATCATAAAGTGACTATTGGGTATAAAGTGACTATTGGGTATATATATATTGGTATATACCCAATATATAAATATTGGGTATATTTGGGAAGTGCTTGAACTCTGTGAGATACTCAATTGAGCAGATTAAGGAAGAAGTCCAATTACCTCTACTCAAGATTGATGACCTTCATTCATTGAAGAAAAGTTTACCTGCCTTGAGTTGAAATGATTGAGAATGAGAGTGAGAGGCTGTATTGTGCCATGGATTCACTGTGCATTTGGGATCTGTCCCATTCTAATCCTAGCTGTGCAACACTGGGCAAGTTTCTTAACCTTTCTGACCGTATTTTCCTCACTGTACAATGAGGAAATATATATATATATGCTGATACCTATATAAGTGATACATATATAAGCTGCTTGTAAAATAAAATGATAAACATGTAAAGGCCTCACATCAGTGCCTAGAACATTTCAAATACTCAATAACTGTCGGTCATATTCTTCATAGTTTTACTGATATTTCAAAAATAAGAACAAACATGAAACAGCAATTTTTTTTTTCTTTTTTTTTTTGAGACAAAGTTTCGCTCTTGTAGCCCAGGCTGGAGTGCAATGGCACGATCTCGGCTCACTGCAACCTTCGCCTTCCTGGTTCAAGCGATTCTCCTGCCTCAGCCTCCCGAGTAGCTGGGATTACAGGGGTGCACCACCACGCCCGGCTAATTTTGAACTTTTAGTAGAGATGGGGTTTCTTCATGTTGGCCAGGCTGGTCTCAAACTCCCAACCTCAGGTGATCCGCCCACCTTGGCCTCCCAAAGTGCTGGGATTACAGGCGTGAGCCATCATGCCCAGTGAAACAGCAATTTTAACAACAGGGAAGGAAGGAAATAAGTACATTTTTCTCTATTAAGATGTAAAATTAAGATGACTAATAACATCGTACATGGAAATCATTTAAGATTTTGATTGGTATCTTTTAAGGAAAATGCCTGTTACTTTTACTTTCTTAAAATACAGTTTCATACATCAAAGTCGTTTTATTTTCAGGAGTCTAAGGAGATGAGGAAATTAGAAAGGAAATAGCATATGAGCGTGACTGTATTATAAAACAAGTAGCAATCATGAATGTGGGAATGCATTTACCTTCTTAGTTTTTGTGGATATATGAAGATTTTATGAATACAAAATAGAAAACTCAATAACCCTACTGTTTAATTCTTTGACATAAAGAAAGATATTGTTATAATTAAGCTATAATTTTCAATGATGTTATATTCCTTTTTAAATGTTAAAGCTAGATGGCTAATTATGTTATAATATTTATTTTTTAACTCTAGCATTGGCAAAGTGCTTTTAAGATATTTTGAAGCACTTTTATGAGCCCCAGAATAATTGATCCCCAGAATAATTTTGTAAGGTAGTCAGAGCAGGTATAGTACTATTTTTTACATTCTACAAGTGGCAAACAAGCAAATGAGGTTGAATGACACAGAAGGTGGGGGTTGGATTGACATTCAATAATCCTTATGTTCAGAACTTAAATTTCTTTGGTTATTTGCAGTTTAAATCAGATAGTTTAGATTGATCCACCCAGCAATCTTTCAGGGGAGGCAATCATTTTTTAAATCTCCATTTTACTCTTTAATCTCAATCAGTGGCTCTTCCCACTACTAAATCATAGTGCTTCAGTATCAGTGTTATGTATACATTATATTTTTTTTAAAAATGATGTCTTAATCTTCAATTTGATTATGTGGCAACTGTATTCTTTCTTTCTTTCCTTTCTTTCTTTCTTCCTTCCTTCCTTCCTTCCTTCCTTCCTTCCTTCCTTTCTTTCTTTCTTTTTCTTTCTTTCTTTCTTTCTTTCCTTTCTTTCTTTCCTTTCTTTCCTTTCTTTCTTTCTTTCTTTCTTTCTTTCTTTCTTTCTTTCTTTCTTTCTTTCTTCTTTCTTTCTCCTCCCTCCCTCCCTCCCTCCCTTCCTTCCTTCCTTCCGTCCTTCCCTCCTTCCTCCCTTCCTTCCTTCCTCCCTTCCTTCCTTCCTTCTTTCTCTCTCTCTCTCTTCTTTCTTTCTTTCTTCTTTTTTTTTTTTTTTTTTTGACATAGTCTTGCTCTGTTGCCCAGGCTCGACTGCAGTGGCGTGATCTCAGCTCACTGCATCCTTTGCCTCCCAGGTTCGAGTGATTCTTGTCCCTCAGCTTCCCAAGTAGCTGGGATTACAGGCGCCCACCACCACACCCAGCTAAATTTTGTATTTTTGGTAGAGATGGGGTTTCACCATGTTGGCCAGGCTGGTCTTGAACTCTTGACCTCAAGCTATCCACCTGCCTCAGCCTCCCAAGTGCTGGGATTACAGGCATGAGCCACCATGCCCGGCCAACTGTATACCATTTCTAATAAATACTTCATACTGTCAAATTGAAGCCAGACCCCAAAAGTGTCAAATTTACTGACTAGTTGAGTAGATACTATAAACTTCAAACCAACATTTGAGTGAAAACTGAAAATTTCAGTCATCCAGATATTTGTAAACACTAGGTGGTAGAAATATATTTACTTTAATTTTTATCTAAACATATACTTTTATGTACATGTGACATGAGTGACAACAGTCTGGGAAATGTTTCTGAGTGCCCTATTGTGAGTCCGTTGGTTTTGGATGTTTTCCTATGCTTAAGTTCCTTTTGAGGGAGCTTTCCTTTACTCTTCAGAGTCTGGCCATGCTTGGGACCTGCTGTAAGACATATCTGTCTGCTGGCCCCTAGTGGGGTCCCAGCTGGCATGACTTTCACAAGTTCCTAGAGAGAACCCATCCACAGGATGTGGGGAAAACTGTGGTGGGAGAAAAAGTCCAAAATCAAGGCAGCAGCTTTCTTGCCCTAGGCAGACTGAAGATAAGCCCTTTAAAAAATATTCTTGTGGCTGGGCACGGTGGCTCACGCCTGTAATCCCAGCACTTTGGAAGGCCAAGGTGGGCGGATCACGATGTCAGGAGTTCGAGACCAGCCTGACCAACATGGTGAAACCCCATCTCTACTAAAAATACAAAAATTAGCTGGGCATGGTGGCATGCGCCTGTAGTCCCAGCTACTTGGTAGTCTGAGACAGGAGAATCGCTTGAACCTGGTAGGCGGAGGTTGCAGTGAGCTGAGATTGCGCCATTGTACTCCAGCCTGGGCGACAGAGCGAGACTTCATCTCAAAAAAAAAAAAAAAAAAAAAAAAATTCTTGTAAGTTTGTCAATCAGAAATAAAGGGTAATCACCTGTTATATTTATACTACTTCAGAAATGCTCTTCTCCCTTCTTACCCCCACCTGGCCTAAATCTGTTGAGTTACTTAAGTGATGGAAATTAAATATTGTGGAAACTGGAATAAACATTTAAAAGAGTTTGGGAGACCTTACAGCCTCCTTGACTCAAGGTAAATATGAAAACAGTCAGCTCTTCAGCCTTTGGTGACATCTGGCTTTTATGAACACCTGTAACTTTATAGCCTGTGACAATTACTTTGAGTTTGGTTACCTTGTATTGTGTCATTTCTGCGCTTATATTTTTTATGCACACAACTTACTTTCTGAATTATGTTGAGGAATAGGACACATTTTATAGTTGTCTATCTTTTTGGTTCTTACATATTTACCCTGGCAATTATGCGGAGGAGATACTCAACTCCATAGTTATTGCTGATAATAATTGCAGATTCCCTCTTGGAGGTCCTAATACTTACCATCCCACAGGCTGGGAATGAGGGTGGCATATCACATTTCTAAAAAGACTGTATGATTTTTGTACATTGATACAGGAGTGTATAAACATGGTTGAGTTGAAAAACAGGAGTCAGAAATTATTTTTAAAAATCAATTCAAGTTAAATATCAAAGAGTTATATTATTCCCCAGCTGGAGAGATCCAGTGAGATTCATCAGTAACATACATCCCAAACTGAGTTCAATCATGAAAGATAGTTGGATTTTTTTTTCTTTGTTGTTAGTTCACTATATTTTGGCCAGATACTTAGAATAAGAAACTTTTTTGGGAATTAAGATAAATTGCATAGCTGCAGTATTTTTTCATTTGGAAAGAAAGATGGAGAGTTCTATTACTCAAAAGACCAAGAAGCACTGAGGCCAAGAGATCCACACAAACTTCACTCAGTAGCCTAAGTAAATAGTATCTTACTTATTTCTCAAAACAAGCCATACTTGTTTTGTATATAATCACACACACTTACCATGCTTGTATGATAATCACACATAGGAAGTTGCTTTAGCTACCAGCACTAAATACAGTACTTTTAACAGCTTTTTACCTCCATTTCTCTTGTGTCCCTCTTCAAATTCTGGATTTACTTCCATCTTTACGGGAGGGGCATCTTGACTTTTGTCAGCTAAAAGTTCACTGAAAGCAGCCATTCTGGGAAGCAGCAAGGGAGAAGGTCCTACAGAAAGTGGAGATTCTCCCTGCACGGGTTAAGCTTTGAATCCAGCTGCAACATTTCTTCTCTTTTTCCTTGCTCAGGCAAAGAGGGGGATTTGGCTGCACTAAATCTTTTGTGTGTGTGTGTGTGTGTGTGTGTGTGTGTGTGTGTGTGTAGCGTATGAAATCACCAAGATAGCAGCACAGACAGTTCCAGGGATTTTTCTTTTTTTTTAAGAGACAGGGTCTTTCTCTGTTGCCCAGGCTGAGTGCAGAGGTGTGATCATGGCTCACTGCAGCCTCAGCTTCCTGAGCTCAAGAGATTTTCTTGCTTCAGCTTCCCAAGTAACTGGGACTGCAGGCACATACCACCACACCCAGCTTATTTTATAAAATTGTTTTTGTAGAGATAGGGTCTGGCTATGTTGCATGAGCTGGTCTCGAACTCATGGCCTTAAGAGATCTTCCTACCTTGGCCTCCCAAAATGCTGGGATTGCAGGTGTGAGGCACTGTGCGTGGCTAGTTCCAGGGATTTTTAAAGACTATAGCAATCAAGTGGCCAATGGACTTAATTACTATATTTGGATAATATGGGCCAACTTTCTCTTGAACTGTATAGATAGTATATATATATATTTTTGAACAATTGTCTTATTTTGCCAAGGCAGCTTGTCTACACAACGCATACAATCTTAGCAAACCTAAGGAATGCTACATATCAGAATACTACCTGTTTCCCCGTTATGTTCATAATGGCATTTAGGGATAGTTATATGGATTTTGAATGTTGAGATATGTTTGCATACTCTACATACCCTGAAAACAACTTCACTACATGTATAAACACACTGTGTTTTGAAGGACATTGGAATTTCTGCCTTTCCCAAAATATCTCTGCTAAACCTCCCATCACCTTGGGTGGAAATCCCTTTCATTAGTGATGAGTCTAATTCCTCAGATACCAATTTGCTGAGAGCACTGCTGTATAATTTAAATGGTCTCAGACTCACTTCCTCATTTGTAAATTAAGGGGGTTGTATAGACTCTACTTTCTCTGGTCTGATTTTCTGTGGTGCCGTCCCTCCCTTCTCTCTCCCAACTAGAGAAGTTTTGTGTTTAGTGTTTTCCTGTATTCAACTTGCAAAGTGTTACAGATAATTGTAATTACACTGCAATCAAAATGTCAACTTCTAATCTTAGGAAAACAGATTCTAATCGACTAGGATTGCTCCTAAGCACTTTCTTATCAAGAAATTTTTCTCTATGCAAATCTCTGATAACCTTTCTCCTGTTGTACACAGAAGTTCTTAGCCTCCACTTGAACTTCTTTTCTTCTTTTAGACCTTTACATCTTCATTACATTCTATGCTTCCACTAGGCAAGCTAAAGTCTACCAAAGTCTAGTTGATAGAGCAATGCAGTTCTTCTCTCAAGACTGCAGAAACTTGGTTGAAAAGTTTGGAAAGCAACAGCAGTATAAATTTACACAAGTGCTCAGCTGATAGTTTTAAAGAAAGCATTGAGGTCTCATTGGAAATAACTGCTGAATTAAGGATGGTACCTGACTTGGGTTTAGCTCAAAATCATCTGTTTCTAAATTGTCACTTCTAAAAGTGACAAGACTAAACTTGGCACTTTTTGCCTGGATTGTATACAGTCACACATTCTAAAAGTGAATCATATCTGCCCCTCACCCAGAGTCACCTTCCCTTAACCCCACAGACTTTATCTTCCCCTCCCTGTCCCTGCCACACCTCCGCCACAAAAAGTGAAGCACAAAGTGGAGAAGTTTTGATGATTTCTTGGACTGTCTCTAATATACATTTCATAATATGTAGTTTCATTCTGATTAATAAAGAAAGTGCACAATTGGGAGGAGGGCTTCTTCTGGAAATTCCAACAGATTATACTAATATTTATAGCCGTTATAAGGAAGGAAGTGGGAGCGGGAGAGGGACAAAGGGAGGAAATGTTCTTTTTTTTTTGGCAATCATCTTCAATTTGGATAGTGATTTGAAGCTTTCTCTCTCCAAAGTCTTTGTCTGGGTGTCCATTTAATTACTTTTCTAAGCTCATGCTTGAACTGATCAGAGCTTTCTCAAGACTTACTTACCTTTCATTGAGCCTGGAACTTGTGGTATTTGTATGAACACCAAGTTCTAAGTAAACCTGAGGCTATTTAAAATTTCAGGTGGAAATTATGTGCTCTTCAAGACTGAACTTGGCACTTTTTGCCTGGATTGTTACAGTCACACATTGCTTGACAGTGATACATTCTGAGAAATGAATCTTCATGTGAGTATCATAGAGTGAACTTACACAAACCTTGATGGTACAGTCTACTACACACGTAGTATATATGGCACAGCCTATTGCTTCTACACTATGAACCCACACAGCATGTTACTGGACTGAATTCTGCAGACAATTGTTACACAATGGTAAGGTTTGTGTATCTAAACATAGAAAAGGTACGGTAAATGTATGGCATAAAGAAAAAAAATGGCCGGGCTTGGTAACTCACACCTGTAATCCCAGCAGTTTGGGAGGCCAAGGTGAGAGGATCGATTGAGGCCAGGAATTCAAGACCAGCCCGGGCAACATAGCAATACCACATCTCTATAAATAAAAAACAAAAAAATATAAATACATTAATTAAAGATTAAAAAATGCTACATTTGTATAGGGCACTTACCTTGAATGAAGCTTGCAGAACTGGAGCAGCTCTGGATGAGTTAGTGAGTGAGTGTAAAAGCCAAGGACATCGTAGCACACTACTACAGATTTTATAAACACTGTACACTTAGACTACATTACATTTACCAAGAGAAGTATTTCTCCAAAACCAAATTACTGTAACTACTTTACTTTAAAAATTTTATTCTTTTTAACTTTTTGACTTCTGTGCCCACAGTGGTGGGCATGAAAGGTAGGCTTTTGCTAAAAAGCTTCCTCTAAAACTGAATATCTCTCTCTTATATAAGTATGTGCCTACCAGCTCAAGATAATATAAGAAAGTAGAAAATATATTACCATACCTTACAAAAGATTAGCCAGGCATGGTGAAAGGCACCTGTAATCTCAGCTACTCAGGAAGCTGAGGCAGGAGAATTGCTTGAACTGAGGAGGTGGAGGTTGCAGTGAGCAAAGGTTGCAGTGAGCAGTGCCATTACACTCCGGCCTGGGCAACAAGAGTGAAATTTAGTCAAAAAAAAAAAAAAAAAAAGAAGGAAGGAAGAAAAGAAAGACAGACAGACAGACGCAGACAGACAGACAGAAAGAAAATATATTACCATACTCAATCTGCTCCAGCTTAAAAAAGAAGTGAGACCTGGGCCAGGCACTGTGACTCATGCCTGTAATCCCAGCACTCTGGGAGGCTGAGGCGGGCGGATCACAAGGTCAGGAGATCGAGACCATCCTGGCTAACACAGTGAAACCCTGTCTCTACTAAAATATACAAAAAATTAGCTGGGCTTGGTGGTGGGTGTCTGTAGTCCCAGCTACTCAGAAGGCTGAGGCAGGAGAATGGTGTGAACCTAGGAGGTGGAACTTGCAGTGAGCTGAGATTGCGCCACTGCACTCCAGCCCTGGTGACAGGGTGAGACTCCATCTCAAAAAAAAAAAAAAAAAAAAAAAAGAAAAAACTGAGACCTGATAAAATTGAGGTCATCGCTGTATGAACTACTGGTAGCCTTTAGCTTGCCTAGTGGAAGCATAGAGTGTAATGAAGATGTAAAGGCCTAAAAGAAGAAAGAACTTTCTATCTAGCAAGGGTTTCTCCTCTGCTTTCCACTAGAAGTGTAGTTGTGCATCTACTTGGTATTTTGCTAATTTGTTTCTCTTTACTATTTCTCCTGAATTTAGAAAACCATTGATAACACCCTGAAGGGTGTATTAACAAATAGGACAGCGAGCTTTACACTAAAAGTCCATGTGTTGACCTCTTTCTACAGAGACTGAGGAAGAGGATAAGCTGGTTTTGGAGCTTATCACCACTTGTGACCTTTGGCTTAGACAGGTGATCTGTTGTGATTTCTAGATATCAGAGAAATAAAATTCAGATCCTTGTGACATTCTCGTTATTATTCTTGATTCCAATGGATGTTTGTAACATTGATTCAGTTGTTTCAGTTCAGCCTGTTACAGATATGTAGTTCATGTGCCCAGACAAACAGCAATAACCTGTATTTTCTGAGGCTGTAGAAATGTTATGTTTGCAGAAAGAAAACACATTCCTCCCAATTTTGTCAGCATGATCAAACACGGAAGATGTGTATCTGCGGAAAATTGTTCTGAGAAAATTGAGAATATCATCTTACCAACACTATTATTAAAAAGATGAGAAGAAGAAACAGAAAATCTTTTCCTAGATTTTTTCAATCTCCTAAAAACATTAGAACTTTAAACTCCCCACAAACGATCATTTTAGCTACACTAATGACTTACAAAGATTACACAACTTTGAACAGTTTCACTCACTGAGACAGTTGACAAAATAAAATGAGCTGGGTGATAGTAAGGTTGCAGTAATTAGCATTTGACTCAGTAGGACTTTGTGGTAAATATATGGTGTGTGTGTGTGTGTGTGTGTGTGTGTGTGTGTGCGTGCGCGTGAGAAAGAGAGAGAGAGGAAGAGAGAGAGGTGACTCTTGGATTCAGACTTGAGCAATTGGCTGGGTGTGATGCCCTGTATTGAGATAAACTCCAGAGTGAACCCATGGGGAAGAAGAGGGGGTGACTTCTGTTTGGGGTCTATATTGAGTTTGGGGTGCTTAGAGATATGGATCTGAAGTCCATAGAAGAGTTTGAGATTAAAGATTTGGGGGATTTTGGAATCCTAGGAATGAGGAAAATAATCCAGAGAAAGTATGTAAAGCAAGAAATGCTAATACTTACTCTCTAAGGGAGAAGGATAGGAAGGGAAACTTGTAAAGGAGACTTCACAGGAACAATCAGAAAGGTGAGTAGTAAACCCGCAGACTGGGGAGCAAGAGAAACCACAAAAAGAGTATTTTAAAGAGTGACCTGCAGTGTCAAATGCTGAAGAAAAAGCCACTGAGAAAATGACTAAAATTACCCAATGCATTTAGTCTTTTATAGACTTTGGTGGTCTTCCTGCAAGAAATTCTGGTAGAATCATGACAGAGAAACCTCTAGACTATGATAGATTCAGGAGGATGACTGGGAAGTGAGGCAACAAAGTAGGTACAGTCAAGTTTTTCAAGAAGTTCAATTATGAAGAGTAGAAGTGCTATAGGGCATGAGACAGAAGGGATTTGGAAAAAAAGGAGGTCCCCTCCAGTTCCTCACCATTAGATTTGAGCTTGTTTAATTACTGATCAGAAGAAATAAGAAAGAGAGAAAGTTGAATATATAGAGGGAGGGATTAATTAGAGATCTGTGTCCCTGAGAACATTGGGACAGGAATTTATAGTACACATTGAGGGATTGGCTTTAGATAAAAATGATAGATATTATTATTTTTTCCTTATGAGAAGAGAAAAGGAGAGTTGAAAAAGAAAGTAGATTTGGTACTCAGAAGCTGACAAGTTCCCTTATTACGACTTCCATTTGTTAGTGGAGTAGAAAGAAGGGTTATCGGATTAAAGTGCAAGGTATAGTGTAGTTGTCAGAGACTTGAGGGGAGGGGAGAGAATTTACAGCAATTGTGGAAAATGGGAGCATGCTAGGTAATCACGGTAAGAATTACAACTAGGTTGGAGAGCCCAGCTGAGACTACTAATCACAGATTTATGATACCAAATTGCCCAAATTTTATTTCTCTCCTGCATCATGCAACACTGAACCAAACCTGATTAAGTTACATGGAAAAAGCAAACAGGTTTATCTAGGGTTGGGGTTTTGCCATGTATATGCTATGTAAAGATAATGGGAAAGAGGAATTTAGAGTATTGGTAAAAGAGGAGTAAGAAGGTGCAACCATGAATCTAAGCAGCATAATTATGGAAGTGAAGATAGGAAGGAGCGGTTGAGAAAAGAACAAATGAAAGAGGACTGGAGGCCCTGATAAAGTCCAAACACTCATTCTAGATATAGTATGCTTTTGATAGACACTCAGTTGATAGTGTGGATACACAGTTAACTAGTTCCAAGTTCAAACACCAAAGCTCACTGGTCCCCTGCCCACGTATTCCATTCCTCCATTACCAACACCTGTATTCCAACTGAAAAGGTCAATTTATTAAATCTTTTGAAATATGCCACCCTACCTCTATGCCTTGTGTCCCACCAATATCCTGTCTCAATGTTTATCCATTCTTTTTTTTTTCTTTTAGAATGTTATGCATCATTTAAAGCTTAGTTCTCACCATATTCATGAAACTTCCAGCTGAATAAAGCAAGGAGAATAAATCTCCTGAAATTTATTGCGTACCTATTATGTACCAGGAAATGCAAATGTACTTGTACTTCTCACATGCAGTTCTAATTCAATTCAGGTATTGAAGCTCTCATCTTCCTTTTAAATGTGAGGTATCTTTATTGTCTTTAGTACTATGTAGCATTCCTTTTTGTTTACTTGTATTGGGAGATTTTTGTGTCTATGTCTTAACCTCATACTCAATGGTAATTTTTGATGGCTTAATTATGCATTTTCCATAGCACCTTTCAGAATGTATTAGACGTGGTAGGCATAAATTCTTGGTTAATTATGAACATGAAAATACAGATCACAGAGTAAGGAATATGGAAAAAGGAAAAGAAATGTAAATGCCAACTATCATTTTTTTGTAAATTCATGATAAGTGCTGAGGATTGGGAAAAATGGAGAAATATTGTCCCAGTGTCCCAAAATAATTAATATTCCTTTTAAAAGTAAATAGTTTGCTACTCTACTCAGACCTGTTATACTTTTTTTGGTTGTTGTTTAAATTTCTTTCTTTTTTTTTTTTTTGAGATGGAGTCTTGCTCTGTCACCCAGGCTGGAGTGCAGTGGTGTGATCTCAGCTCACTGCAAGCTCCACCTGCCGGGTTCACACCATTCTCCTGCCTCAGCCTCCCAAGTAGCTAGGACTAAAGGTGCCCGCCACCACACCTGGCTAATTTTTTGTATTTTTTAGTAGAGATGGGGTTTCACCGTGTTAGCCAGGATGGTCTCGATCTCCTGACCTCGTGATCCGCCTGCCTCAGCCTCCCAAAGTGCCGGGATTACAGGCGTGAGCCACCACGCCCGGCCCTTAAATTTCTTTTATTTATTTTAGAATGAGACACTGAGGCCAGGTATAGCGGTTCATGCCTGTAATTCTAGGACTTTGGGAGGTTGAGGCAGGTAAATCACTTGAGCTCAGGAGTTCAAGACCAGCCTGGGCAACATGATGAAACCCCATCTCTACAAAAAATACAAAAATTAGTCAGGTGTGGTGGTGTGTGCCTGTAGTCCCAGCTACTTGGGAGGCTGAGGCAGGAAGATCACTTGAACCTGGGAGGTCAAGGCTGCAGTGAGCTGAGATCACACCACTGCACTTCAGCCTGGGTGACAAAGTGAGATCCTGTCTCAAAAATAAATCAATAAATAGAATAAATAAAATGATACATGCTCTTGCTATATTGCCCAGGCTGGTCTTAAACTCCTGGGCTCAAGTGATCCTTCTGCCTTAGCCTCTCAAGTAGCTGGTTTTACAGGCAAATGTGATACAATGGTAATGAGTAGAGACAATGATTGATTTTTATTGGTTGTGTTTCTATATATTTACATGCGCCAATAATTCAATAAAATATAATTCAGTATTTGGCTTAATTTTGAAAAATTAATACTATATATTTAGAGTAGCTTTATATTAGAAGTTTATGTATTATTTAGAAAAATGATATTTAAATTAAAGTTAGCTACAAATTTCTTAAGAAGACTTGACCCAAATAAAAAATAGTGGTGTTTGTAAGTCAGCCTTGAATGCCAGTAGTTTAAATTTTAGCAGCAGCAGCATAGTAACTTGTTGGAGTTAAAGCACGGGAATTGGCTCATTAAATAAGTTTTGTAGTATCTAATTAAGAAACAGCTAGGAAATTCTGTTCAATAAACCATCAAAGCGTATTTCTCTTCCTTTTCCAAATTCTGCTCCTTCTCCATTTTTAAGAGGTTCATAAGAATTGTATGTACATACGTTAAACTTCGTTTTAAGGCTTTGCCAACATGATGTTCACTTCATAGACAAATTAAATCAAGTACAGACAAGCTATACATGTCTGAGGTACTGTAGATAGTTTCTGCTGGAACCAGTAACAGAGCTAGAGTTTCTTATTTGCAAATGTAGTAAGTATTTGAGAACACTGTATGACATATTTGTAGGTGAAAACTATCAAGCTTGTTATACAAAGATAAATGTATCTCTTTTACAATATTCATCACCCTCTGCATAGATATCATAATTTTCAACCTCAATTAAATTTACTAAAAGAATGTTCATTTTAATGAAGCTTTACAAACTATTTCAGTATTTAAATGTTTAGTAGTCTCTTGCCATGGAAAAAGGAGAAGCTTTATCAATTTTTCAATCACAAATTTATAGTGACAAATATACCATTGAGACAACAAAGGCTAGGCCATTTCATAATTTACATGAATATATAATATCTAGATCCCTAGATATGCCATAAGGGTAGTCTACAGAAGCTACCAGAACATAATAGTACCTTGCACTTGTAAAACAATTACTACAACATGTTTTCATGTAATGTATCTTACTTTTTATATGTAAATGTATTTTTCTTTATTACAATAAAAATACCCACACAATATAAGAAAATTGGAAAACAGACACATAAACAGAAGAAAAATAAAACAACATTACTTTGAGTTAAACCTTTTGGGCCTCTTGGTGAGTATAATTCCATACTCCCACCTCTTCTCTCTCTATGTAAGTGTGTGTGTGTGTCATTATATATACACATTTGTGATTTGTTTGTATATTTAATAACTACATTTTGTACATCACATAACAATAGCTATATTCTTTATTTTTACATTATTTTTATAGCTGTATAGTACTCTGCTATGTAGGTATATTCTAATTTATTTACCCAAATTCTATTATTAGACACTTTGTTATTTCTAATATTTGGTTATTACAAATAGCACATTGGTAAACATCCTTTTATATACATATTTCTGCACTTTCTTAATTATTTCCTGAGGCTAAATTTCCAGAAAAGGAATAACTAGGCCACAGGTCTGGACATTTTTATGTTTAATAATTACTGCCAAAAAGTATTGTAATCTATACTCTGACTAATGGCATATGAGAATATCTCTTTTCCCTCACTAACTAAAATTAAATATTTAGTTTTCATTGTCTCATTCTGGTTCTTATAATAATTCTATGAGGTAGACAGAGCAGATTAGGAGAAATGCTAATGGTCACACCTCCAGAAAGTAAGACTGGGAGTCAAGTTTCCTGACTTGTCTTACTATATACTTTCCTATCACATACTTCTTGCCATCATACTGTCAATGGTGGCAATTCCAAGTGAACTGTCAGGAAAGAACCTAGACCAGGAATTCTTACACAAGCCACAGCCTGACTCATGTCTGTGCTGCTGGCAGTGCCCTGGCCTCCAGCCATGGGACTGTGGGTGGCACAATTCTTGTATTCTGAGAAAAAGGCAGTGTTGGCACACTGCTTGTCCAGGCCAGTGCTTAAGCCAATGGAGAAGGGAGGAGGTAAGGAAGTTGGAGTCAAAGAGGCAGTCTTGGGTGAGCAAATTATAGACCTTGTAAGAACATGTCCTTAAAACTTTTCAATTCTTGCTCTGTATTATAAGTAAAATAATTCAGGCTATCTATCTTACTGAATATTTTAAAGATGAGTCTGTTTTTATTATGTTTTAATTGTTCGATTCATTTATATCATTTAATTGGTAGAATTCTGTTTTTATTTTTACTTATACAAAACACACAGAGTCAAGTTCTCCTAAGTCAAAACAGAAGAGAGAGTGAGAAAAAATTCCCTTTTGAATAGAAAAACAAGAGTTTTTTCTTTCTTTCTTTGCATATCATATGGTTTAATAAATTTTATTCAAGTACTTAAACAATTGAAAAGAAATAGCATTGAGTGCAATCATGTAGGTGTTTGCAAAGTTCTGAAAACTATTTGGCTATAGTATTGTGTAAGAAAACTGTCATGCAAAAGTGAAAGCAATATTTTTTAAGGGTAAATAAACCAGGTATCATAGCAGACACCGTGGATCACTAAGATGAAACAGTTATAGGTTCTGTTTTAGGAACATTCGTCTTGTAGAGGTAAGAAGACTGCTTCAAGAATCTTCCTGACCACTAACCTTGGTTGGATCACTCTCTTCTCTGCTTGAACATCACTGTTTTCCCCCCTTCATTAAATCTGCTTCATAAATTGAAGCAATCCATTTATTTGTCTGTTGTACCCACTAGACCATAAACCCCTTGAAGGCAGGAATGATGCCCTACTCCTTACAAGAGACTATGTGAAAGGCAGGACATAGAAACTTAACAGGCAGAGTATAATTATACCATAGGAAATTTGTCGCATTTTATCATTCAGAGGTACTGATACGGTTTGGCTCTGTGTTCCCACCCAATGTGGAATTTTAATCCGCATATGTCAGGGGAGGGACCTGGTGGGAGATGATTAGATCATGGAGGAGGATTTCCCCCATGCTGTTCTCATGATAGTGAGTGAGTTCTCATGAAATCTGATGGTTTAAAAGTGTGGTGCTTCCCTTCTCTCTCTCTCTCTCTCTCTCTCTTGCCACCATGTAACACATGCCTTGCTTCCCCTTTGCCTTCTGCCATGATTGTAAGTTTCCTGAGCCCTCCCCAGCCATGCAGAACTGTGAGTCAAATAAGCCTATTTCTTAATAATTTACCCAGTCTCAGGCAGTTCTTTACAGCAGTGTGAAAATGGACTAATACAGGGAGAAATTATTTTTCGATTATTGTATTCATTGTCTTTCAAAAATATTGGAATATGCTTTTCAAATTGATTAAGGTAAGTTGATATAACATATAATCAATTTCAGGTTTTTATTAATTTTGTAAACTTAGGCAAATCACTTAATTTGTGGCTTCAATTTTTCTCATCTGTAAAGTAAGAGTGTTAGACCAGACCAATAATTCTCAACTGATATTGAGGAGACCTACCCTGATATTCAGGGATGTAATAGAATACATTAGAGTCTTCATTAGAGTATTTGTGATTTGAAAAAATTTATTCAGTATAATTATACAATTTTATAGTTGGGAAGAAAAAAGAAAGTTACTACTTCTGTAATATTAAACAGTAGAAAGAGAGGTCCAGGAAAATGTTGGCTCCTGTGTTTCTCAGAGGTTGAAGGCTAAACCGTTCCAGGAGGTTGTGTAAAATCTTTGGGGTAGCTGTGGTAGGGACTCTGACTTACTCTCTTTTATGTTATTCATTGAACTAAATAAAGGTGAAAGAACTGCGTTAATTCCCCTCCCATCACCTAACATTTTTTCATGGCTCACATATACCTTGTTTTTCTTTGGATATATTGGAAGAACTCCGTAACCCTTTTTATTTTATTTTATTTTTTTTGAGATGGAGTTTTGCTCTTGTTGCCCAGGCTGGAGTACAATGGCATGATCTCAGTTCACCACAACCCCCACCTCCCAGGTTCAAGCTATTCTCCTGCCTCAGCCTCCCAAGTAGCTGGGGTTACAGGCATGTGCCACCACGCCAGGCTAATTTTGTAATTTTAGTAGAGAGACGGGGTTTCTCCATGTTGGTTGGGCTGGTCTCGAACTCCTGACCTCAGGTGATCTTCCTGCCTCAGCCTCCCAAAGTGCTGGGATTACAGGCATGAGCCACTGTGCCCAGCCTCAGTAAACTTTTTTATTGTTTCTTTAAATTTGTCTTATTTTGAAGAATGGCAAAATTATAAATCACATTAATATTAGGTTCAGAAATACCACAAAGATAAGTAAACCAGACATTGTAATTTATCCAAGTGTCTCCGTGTAGACCTGTTGTTACTTAATTTACCTGCTCACATGATCAAAGAGAGGCTGATAGTTTAGTTTAGGTGTGGCTTAGAAGATTCTGTGAAAGAAGTGAAACTCAGCCTAGCATGTTTGGGTGACTGAGTGCTCTATTTTTAAGGAACTAGAGGTTTTGTTCTCATGGAGCTTGGGGTCTTTATGTGAAGGAGGTTTTTTAAAGGGTTAATTAACTATTTGCTGTTTGGCATCTCAAAGATTTCCCCATACAATAAAATGCTTCCAAGTCACAACCCTCATATTTACATACATTTCTGGTATGAATATCCACAAACACAACAAACGTATAAAGTGGTTTGAAATACCCAATTAAAAAAAAAAAAATATATATATATATATATATATTTTTTTTTTCGAGATGGATTCTCGCTCTGTCCCCCAGGCTGGAGTTCAGTGGTGTGATCTTGGCTCACGGCAACCTCCGCCTCCTGGGTTCAGGTGATTCTCCTGCCTCAGCCTCCCAAGTAGCTGGGATTACAGGCATGTGCCACCACACCAGGCTAATTTCTGAATTTTTAGTAGAGACAGGGTTTCGCAATGTTGGCCAGGCTGGTCTCGAATCCCTGACCTCAGGTGATCTGCCAGCTTGGCCTCCCAAAGTGCTAGGATTACAGGCATGAGCCACCACACCCGGCCAAAATACCAAATTAAAATTTTAAAAACAAGGTAACAATGGAAGTGTTAGTCCATTTCAGGGGCTGATGCGCAAGTTAATTCTTGCCCTCTCCTCTTCTCTGTGGCTCTCCTCAGCTGGCTAGTGGCGGAGGCAGCTGTGTTATTTATATTCTGTGGCTGTCAGAGGCCTGCTCCGTGCTCCTCAACCCATGTGGTACCCCGATGACTTGGCCACAGTCCAGTTGTCACAGGATTCCACAGCAGCCTGATCCTTCTTGCACCAGTGGCAGGCCAGCCTGGGCTCCTTTGCCCCTCCACTTTGCCTGTGTGTACCTCAGATGTGCAGAAGCAGAACCTATTTTTCTATCTTGTATTTTAAGCTCTAACTCTAAACTACTACACAGCTCAAGACTAAGTAGGGCATTGTTAAATTCTGGATAGTGGTCTACAGATTTTGAGTGGCATTTAAAAAATACACTTTTAGCCCTAAATCTTGAAGTATCTCTGTCAGTCTGGGTCCTCTAAAAAGGACCCAGTCAAAATGGGATTAGATGAGCAAGAGATTTATTAGGAAAAACGGGCAGGGAGCATGAGGTGTCGGGGATGGCCTTCAGCCCCTGATGCGGGTCTGAGAAAGGAGAGCAAGAAGGAAGGACGGAGTTGGGAGGAGCCTCAGACCACAGTGCAGCTCTAAGAATGTCTCTGCCAGGCCAGTGAGGATCCCCCGGCTCCAAGACCTGAAGCTTCTCATTAGAGGAGTTCTGTGTCAGGCAGAGGTGGCCTGGTCCTATTATCCCCACTGCACTATGCCATTATCTGGGAGCAGCCCGTGGAAAGTAGCATCTGGTTTGAACGCTGCAACCAGCTTAAAGGTGGGGCATCAGAAGGCTGTTAGTCAGCTCTCTTCTCTGCTGCGGGTCCTCTGGAAGGAAGATTTGAATGGGGCACCTCCATGGTCACCACAGTACCCACAGGTGTACCCTTATATCCTAGGACCCTTGGCCTCACTCCGTCTGTTCTACTCCCCTCTCTAGACCAACTCATGGCAACGTGTAAAAGGAGGTGACTCATTCCCTTCCTAGGTTCTCAGTCCCCACAGAGAAAGTTTGGATAGGGAAGTTACACCTCTGGAGGCTCACCTTTGTTTGCCGCTATTTCCTAGCCAATAAAACCATTGCTTATTAAATCCTAATTCCACAGACATTTCAGTGCTGAAATTCCCTGCACTGAGTTAAATACAGAGGACGCAAGATAAATAAGAAACGTAAATGGGCTCATATCCTATAGAGGGTTATGTACACTTTAGCAGAAATTTTAATAATTTGATAAGAAGAGAAATAGACTGGATCAGAAGAGGACTCTCCTGACCAGCCTGGGAAAAGTCTGAGCAGAGTCTGCAGGGGCAAATACAACTTACTCAGACAAAAAAGGCTGTCAGCAGCAAGTCTAGGCAGAAGCCAGGAGGAGTTAGGAACAGACTATAAGAAATGGTTGGTCTGGAGGAAAAAGGGTAAAACTTATGAGGTAAGCAGTATACAAATTTATGCTTGCAAATTTCTTTTTTCTTTTTCCTTCCTATTCAAAGGTCAATGCTTCGAAACTTGTACTTAGTTTTGTCAATAGTGTCTCATGTGCATTTTCTGAGTGTGAAGAGGATTTGGGTAGGCAAGACTAGAGAACAGCAGGAAGTCATTGCCTATTAAATTTTTATTTCCAGCCATTCACTGATGTATTGGTAAGAGGACAGGAGTCCTGGGGAAAGACTGCCTCATTTACACTCCAAAGACTTGGGTTCTGATCTCCATGTCGTGGCTTATCATAGTGTAAGCCAGTTATGTACCTCTAGAAATGGAAGTTTCTGCTGTTTATAAACTGGAAATAATGATACATGTCCTGACTCCTATTGGGTTGTTGCAAAGGAATCAATTGAAATAAGACAAGACTTTCTGAAGGCACTTTGCCAACTTTCAGAACTGTAAAGATTAAGGGACTGCTACTATGTGCTGCTCAGGAAATAACAGGCACCTGGGAAAACCCACGAAGTAAGGTTTTGTAAGAAGTTGCTCTGCTCCCTGGGAGAAAACGCGGAGCTCAACACTGCCAAGAGGAACAAGTCTGGGAAATTACGACATGAGGTAAAGCAAATAGGGCTTTTCGTTTTGTTTTTGGATACCACAATTTCTTACATGTCGTTCTTATTGTTTACCCTTCCTCACCATTGGTGGTTTTGAAATGAAAGGAAATTGGGTTAGAGAGTATTAATAAAGCAAGGGAGATGGCTAAAATTTACTTGATGTAAAAATAAACCGAACCACTTTAGTGTGGGGAGAATCAAATACTACACATTCATTATGTGGAAAACAAATTCATCTTTGTGGTGAATCAGAAAACTTTTCTACTTTCATGGAACACTATCGGCTCCCCATCCTCTCACACTCCCTGGGAGAAATAGTAGTACATGATCAGATAAATATAACTTGCCCTAATGCTTCTCTGCTGAAAGATTTTAAAAAATCCCTCTCTTATTAGCTTTACTTTGTTGATGGTTTGCTGGACTCGCTATGAGAAGACCACTGAGAATATTATCAATCTACTCAATACTGATGAGAACCAGAGGCCACAGGCATTCTTATCAACATGTGTGTAAGGTCATGGAAAGTCTCCATGTCAACAGTCCTGCTAAAGTGGCCACTCCTGGAGTAGCAGTAATCTCCTAAATTGTCTATTCTCTAAGCATTTTTTAATAGAGAAATCAGCAGGAATATTTATATGAGTTCACCCAACTGGTTGATGCATACAAGGAAATTGCTGATAGCAATGTTAATTACTTTTTCTTGAATACTCATTCACAGGACAGGTTGATCTTTGCCATTTTACACAAACAAAAAATGAAATGACATCTTTTAGCCTATCATATAGGCTGTAAAAGATATTTTGGAAAATAATTTTCAAAAAAAGTGGGTGGACGACACTAGGGATTGACTCACTTAATATAAACAACAACCACTTCTGACTTGTCTTATTGAATTTTAGAGTATGGAAAGCTAACAATGTAATTCTCCCAAAGCTCTTGCAGTTTGAATTTGAGGAGTAAACTGGGCTCCATCATGCAAAGGCAAATATTAATTTTCTATTGCTGCACGCTCAGATTAAGCAACTTAAAATAACATCATTGTCTGGCTCACAGTTTCTGCAAATCAGGAGTATGGGCATGGATTAGCCGATCCTCTGCTCAAGCTCTCACAAGGCTTAAATCAAGATATTGGCCAGGGATGGGCCAGGCGCGGTGGCTCATGCCTGTAATCCCAGCACTTTGGGAGGCCAAGGCAGGCGGATCATGAGGTCAGGAGGTTGAGACCAGCCTGGCCAACATGGCTTAAACCCGTCTCTACTAAAAATACAAAAAGTTAGCTGGGTGTGGTGGAGGGCACCTGTAATCCCAGCTACTTGGGAGGCTGAGGCAGGAGAATTGCTTGAACCCAGGAGGCGGAGGTTGCAGTGAGCTGACATCACACCATTGCACTCCAGCCCAGGCAACAGTGTGAGACTCCATCTCAAAAAAAAAAAAAAAAAAAAAAAAAAAAAAAAGTTGGCCAGGGCTACAATCTTATCAGTTATCATTTTCAGGCTTTTTGGTTGTTGGCAGAATTCCGTTTCTGTGGTTGTAGGACTGAAGTCTTTGCTTTCTTGCTGGCTATCAATGAGGGATCATTCACAGCTCCTAGAGGCTTCTTGCCATTTTCTGCTACGTGGCCCTCTCCACAACATGGCAGTTTTCTCCTTCAAAGCCAACAGGAAAGTGACTTTGGCTTTGAATCTCTATTTTGTTTTAACTGCTCACCTGATTAAGTCAGGCTCACCCCAACATAATCTCACTCTTGATTAATTCACAGCCAACTAACTGGACACCTTAATTATATTTTCAAAACCCTTTTTTGCCATATAATAGAATGTAATTATGGGAGTGACATCCCATTGTATTCACATGTCCTGCTCACATTCAAGGAGAGAGTACTGTAGAGGGTGTGTACGTCAGGAAGCAGGAATCTTGGGGAGCATCTCAGAATTCTGCCTACCACAATGTGCTGCTTGGGGCAGAAGTAAGCAAGGTTAGGTAGCATACACACACGGGGGAAATTGTAGCTTTCAGCAAGCACAGTGGCATGGGTAGTACTTCCAGGGGTGCTTTAGTGGAGTTTTCACTTCTGTTTTCTAGTGCCATGTGAGCCAAAAAGTCAGCAGCAACAGCAGAGGTGTTTTTGGTAGGAAAACTGATGTGGTTGGGCATTTTTCCTGGGTTTTCCTTGGTAGCATTCAAGACTAGTTTTTTGGTCTTCAATTACATGGTATAAGCTACTGGTTATAAGTACTCTTCTGCTTAAACTATCTATAGTGAATACGTTTATATGCAATATAAATCCTTTATTGCTACAATAAGATCATCAACTGGACCTCTTTTTATATCTCCATTAAAGTGTGTAATTCTGCATTGTTTTTGTAAATTCATAGAACTTTAGAGCAGGAAGAAAACTTCTGCTTCTAGAAAGAGGTCTTTTGAACTATATTCTATGGAAACTTATAGCTCAAGTTATAATAATAGGCTTTTATTGGGGTGGGGGAGTATTCAATAGTCATGCTAACTTGGGATACATTATACACACTTAGAACTTACAATAATACCCATTAGCATATTAAAGACTCAGAGATCCTACAGAGAAAAAAATAACAAAAAACTAAACTCAACTATCTAGGCTGGGTGCAGTGGCTCACGCCTGTAATTCCAGCACTTTGGGAGGCCAAGGTGGGTGCGTCGCTTGAGGTCATGAGTTCGAGACCAGCCTGGCCAACATGGTGAAACCCCCTGTCTCTACCAAAAATACAAATTTAGCTGAGCATGGTAGCGCATACCTGTAATCCCAGCTACTCAGGAGGCTGAGGCAGGAGAATTGCTTGAACCTTGGAGGCAGAGGTTGCAGTGAGCTGAGATCATGCCATTGCACTCCAGTCTGGGCGACAGAGCAAGACTCTATCTCAAAAAAAAAAAAAAAAAAAAAAAATATATATATATATATATATGTAGGGTGAAGGCTTTAAACCATGCTAACTAGACTTCCTGACTCCTAGGAACATAAAGCTTATTTGTTACTCCCTACATTTGCCTGAGAAGTAAGCTTCAGTGAATACAAACACAGCCTCAGGAGGAAGCACAATATATTAATATAACTAGTTCTGGCAAATCTATCCATGATGTATCCATGAGACCTGTCTTATCTCTTTGAGGAGCTTGCGACCCCATGTATGTTCACCCACACACCACTCAGCAGAAGATAACTGCCCAGAGAGTAGGCCAAGGGGGATGTTCTCATGACTCAGTTACTCACATGAGCGCCCTTCCTAGGTACCAAGGCCAAGGGCCCCCTGACCGCAGGAAAATGAGACTTGTGAAATTAGGCTCCAGGACATTTTGCTTACTGTAGTGCAATTATCTTCCATGTAGACATTCTAGGCTTAGGATTTGATAGAAAATAAATTGCTCTAAAATAAGTCCAAAATTAAAAAGAAAAAAATGTATTAAGGTCACCGCAGAAGGCAATACAAATGGAGTACATAATAGAAACCTGATTCCTGAATCAGAATGCTTGTGAGCACATGTCCCCTGCATTCCATGATGTAAATCACATCACACACATCAGACCAAGAAAGATGAGCTTCCAGGAGGTGCATATTTTCAGCATGAAAACAAGGAGTCATTCGTGTGATAAGCACAGTTTATGGTCAGCTGGCTGGCCTGACACACCTCGGCTTTTACTGTTCCCCAAGGCCACATGGTTGCATCTTGCAGAGGCCAGGGGTGAATGTGAACGTGCCCAAGCAGCTTTAGACCTTGAGGCCCCCCTTTGCTGTTCTTGGAAGGAACTTCAACTGAATAAAGAATCTGGGCTCCACCACATTTTTATTACTGGGAAGAAAATTTCCCCTTCAGGGCAGAGAGGTACAATCACAAGTTAGACTTCTGCTGGTCTCCTCCCTGCTCCGCAGTTTTCTCGTCCTTTCTTTGGGAGACACATTTCTAAAAGGACTGGTACACTGGTCAGAAACGGAAACCAAAACCCCACAAACAGTCCTCATGGCAATGTTTTGTAGCCACTGAGACCCGTAAAAGAAATGAAATCTTGGTCAGGCGTGGTGGCCCACGCCTGTAAACCCAATACTTTGAGAGGCCGAGGTGGGCAGATCACCTGAGGTCAGGAGTTCGAGATCAGCCTGACCAACATGGTGAAACCTCTTTTCTACTAAAAATACAAAAATTAGCCTGACGTGGTGGCCGGCGCCTGATATCCTCAGGAGGCTGAGGAAGGGAGAATTGCTTGAACCAGGGAGGATTGCGCCACAGCATTCCAGCCTGGGCAACAGAGCAAGACTCCATCTCAAAAAAAAAAAAAAAAAAAAAAGAAATGAAATCGTAAACAAATCAGCCACTACATTAGTCATAAAGGGACTTAAACCACAACACACACCTACTACAATTCTATGGGAAAAGTTTCCACATATGTGCAATTCTCTGAGGTTTGTGGTATTTCCCATGGCTCCAACTGAGGAATGACTACAGTCATGCACTATGAAAGTCTCTCAGGCTTTGTGGAGTTGCATTTATTGCTTTTAAATAGTTAGGAAAAGATAATTTAGGAGTTTTGGTAATGGCATAAAGCAGTTTTGTTTTATTCTTACATGCCTCAGTCTGTTGAATAGACCATTCTCTGGCTTTTTTGTTTCAGCTGTTGAGCCTTGACTCAGAGGCTTGCAAAGCTATCAGGCCAGTTGAAGTTGGTTGTAGGGATACTCTTGAGGACTATAAAAAAAAAATCCTGCTTTTTTGAAAACTTGGTAATGTAAGCCTCCAAGAAATGGGACATATTTCAGCTTTTAACTATCCTGTGATATGTTTAGAGAGGAATAAAATAATTGGCAAAATACTTTCCAAGCCCTAAATATTGGCTTGTTATTTATCAAAAAGTAAAATCAGATTATAAATGATATTTTTCTTTATTATTAATCCTCAAAACTTGGCTGAAACTATATTTAGTCTATAATTGAGGAAATGCTATGAATATTTAAAGCACAAAGTTTTAAAACATAGTCAATTTTGCTTTGTTAGATTGTATACAACCAGTAGACACACACTAGATTTGTAGACACATATTTTTCTGTTTAGGTGATATGTCTGATATGTACATCAGGAAAGCCCAGAAAACTCTGAAAGTGTAAGTTGCCCAGTGCCTGTATAATGCTTCTTTTTTCAGTATTACACAAAAATTCACCAGCAAGTGTCTGGTACCTACTCCGCATTCTAGCATGACATGAAGTTCCACTAGTTACAATATTCTTTTTTTTTTTTGAGACGGAGTCTCGCGCTGTTGCCTAGGCTGGAGTGCAGTGGCATGATCTTGGCTCACTGCAAGCTCTGCCTCCCGGGTTCACGCCATTCTCCTGCCTCAGCCTCTCGAGTAGCTGGGACTACTGGTGACTGCCACCATGCCCAGCTAATTTTTTGTATTTTTAGTAGAGACGGGGTTTCACCATGTTAGCCAGGATGGTCTCCATCTCTTGACGTCGTGATCTGCCTGCCTTGGCCTCTGAAAGTGCTGAGATTACAGGCGTGAGCCACTGCGCCGGGCCTTACAATATTCTTTATTGGAAGAAATGTGGGTTTATTTTTCACTGGGAATTATTTGTGCTAAACTTATATTTAAAACGAATTTTATTTTTCAAGAGTAATGTTTCCAGACTTGGGGTAGTATAGGATGAGTACATTTCCACTCCTTCTCTTTCTTTCATCTAATGGCCTAAATTAATTTCAATCTACCAAAACCAAAATGAAGTTACTCCCTTTAAAATCCTGATTCATAATGATCCAAAGAATGAAAGAAAGATGTGGTGGGGGTTCCCAGAAGAATGTCCGGGTATTTTCCGAGTTATTACTGCATACTAGGGTTTTCAGTTCAAATTCTGGGAAGGAAACAAGAGGTGTTGATGGTGTGGATAAGGGTCCTCAATTATTTTTCTTCTTTTGTCAGTCTGTAACTTTAAATGTCTTCCTGGAGCAAAGCAGGAATGGCTGCTTTGGATTTCAAATGAGCACTCAAACAATTTTATCTGGCCCAGAAATGGACATGTTTTTGATAAGTGAATGAGGAGAGCTGATATCTCCATTTCAAAGGAGCTGGCAGAAGGCCAAGAGTCAGCTCTTAGGAACCTGGAGGGAAACACTCATAAAGCTTGCTGATAGCCCTCCATGGTTGCCTTGAGCCTGGACTTTGAACTCTTCACTGCTGTTCTAACAGGTAAAGCCCCAGATGCAAATATTTGGTTTGACTCTTTGTTACTGTAAACACTGCAGCCCTCAGGATGATGTGATCTGTAGAATTTGCAGCTGTTTGCACAGATGTTATCAAAACAATTTCAAATTCTACTTCCTTGTTATTTTTCAAGAATTACTAGCTTAGCTGGTATTTTGGGGAAGAGTTTTGGTAAGGATAGGTGAGCAAGGAGGTTAGGGAAGGAAAAATGACAACAATACATGGGGAGCCCAGGACTCTGTATACACATTCAGAAACAAGGTCAAAGAGAGCGTGGAGCAATCATCCAATGAATCCAAATTCCACATCAGCCCAGGAAAGGTAAATATCAATGAGCTCAAGGGGGAAACATCAAAGCTCACCTCCATCCAACACAGGTTGTTCCTCTTCTTTGCTTTTTGTCCATGGCCATGCGTTATGTTTCTTGACCACCTTCCTTGTTGCATTTTATTGTATCCTATCTTGTATTTGCTGGTTTCCTTTTTTAAGTAGACCTTTTTCCCCCTTATCAATGTAAATCTATCCTCCCCCTATGGATTTTCAGCATCTTCTGGGTGGTGCCATTTGGCATGAGAGCAGAGTTCAGCAAGTAGAAAGCATGAACTGTGGAATCAGCCCAGCTGCTTTCAAATTCTGGGTCTTTCACTTAGTAGCTACGACAATGTTGGAAAGTTAATTAACTTCTCCGAGTCTCTGTTTATCTCTCAGAGATAGTCATACCTACTTTACAGTTTTGTTTTAGACATTAAATGAGATAGTGCCTATAAGGCTCACAGCTCAGATCCAGTTCCTTAAATACATTTCTTTCCTTTCTTTTATTTCTTTTATTCCCTTACTCCAGAACTCTCTGCTCCCACTTAGTATATATACTTAGTTAAATATAAATCTATATGCTTTTAACGAGTAGATTGGAAGGTTTAGAAATGATGTAGTATCAGCTTGCATCATTTTGGAGAGACTCAGTGCTTAAAAAGCCCCAGCCATCTTCCCTGGATCAGGAAGTTGTGATTTCTTGCTGAATGTTTCTCAATATATTTCCTTTAGCTCCCCCGCTTTTTTTTTTTTTTTTTTTTTTTTTGAGACAGATCTCGCCCTGTGGCCCATGCTGGAGTGCAATGGCATGATCTTGGCTCACTGCAACCTCCGCCTCCTGGGTTCAAGCGATTCTCCTGCCTCAGCCTCCTGAGTAGCTGGGATTACAGGTGCCCACCACCACATCCAGCTAATTTTTTGTATCTTTAGTAGAGACAGGTTTCACTATGTTGGCCAGGCTGGTCTTGAACTCCTGACCACGTGATCCACCCGCCTCAGCCTCCCAAAGTGCTGAGATTACAGGCATGAGCCACTGCACCTGGCCTTAGCTCCCCTCTTTATGGATATGTTTACATCTAGATATAGGTTTGTTGAGAGACATAGTAAAGTGAAGAGTGGAGAAAGAAGACAAAGAGGAAGATGCTAGGCAAAATATCAATGAAAATAGAAAGCAAAGCCCTAAAAAACACACCAAATGGAATACACTTAAAATAACAAAATTTCATTTAACAATGTGATTCTCATAGCATAGAACCCAGGTGGAAGACTTGGGCAGACATGATCAAGTCTAGTGCGTGCTTGGGTGCTGAAGAATATCTGCAAATGTAGATTCCCAGTGATCAGAAAGCTGAGGGATAGGCCAGAAAGTTTAATAAATATTTTTAATTAATCCTGTGAACTAAAAATATGTACCTGCATGGCTGAGTCAGGAGTGTAAAGGACTTGTTGAAGCAGATTTTAATAAGCAGCATGGAGAAGCAGTGTTTTTTGAGTTAATGACTGAAATCTTCAGATAAGGTCTTATTTAGAAGATTTGTATATGATAGGTGTTTATATTCTATATATTTCAATAATGCTATGTATGTATATAGGTACTGTAATCCTTTTTATCAGCTCTATATGTTATTCAGTTTTTATTTTTTTCAAAGTTTTTTTTTCCCAATTAAAACAACATAAATAGCCTTTTTTTTTTTTTTTTTTTTTGAGATGGAGGCTCGCTCTTGTCACCCAGGATGGAGCGCAATGGCGTGATCTCGGCTCACTGCAACCTCCGCCTCCCGGGTTCAAGCGATTTTCCTGCTCCATTCTCCTGAGTAGCTGGAATTACAGGCGCCCACCATCATGCCCCGCTAATTTTTTGTATTTTTAGTAGAGATGGGGTTTCACCATGTTAGTCAGGCTGGTCAAAAACTCTTGACCTCAGGTGATCCACCTGCCTTGGCCTCCCAAAGTGCTGGGATTACAGGAGTGAGTCACCTCATCTGGCCCCTTTTTTTTATTTTTAATTTTTTTTAGAGATGGGGTCTCACTTTGTTGCCCAGGCTGGAACGCTGCAGTGGTGTGATCATAGCTCACTGCAACCTCCAATTCCTGGACTCAAGGAATCCTCCCACCTCAGCCTCCTGAGTAGAACTACAGGTGCATGCCACCACACCCAGCTAATTTTTAATTTTTTTGTAGAGATGGGTTCTTGTTATGTTACCCAGACTAGCCTTGAACTCATGACCTTGTGATCCTCCTGCCTTGACCTCCCAAAGCATGAGTGACTGTGCCCAGCCTATAAACATCTTTTTATTTAAAAAAAAACTTTAATAGTTAATTTTCCTAAAAATTTGAGAAAAACATTGGAAATATATCCAACCTGCTCACTGAAAACTCCCAAGGACTGAATGAATAAACTGCCCATTAGACAATTTTCCCTTCTCTTGTTCCCACTGGTCCTTGCTTACTAACCCTGTTAATTTTAAGTGTTGAGAATATAGAGTCAGAGATGGAAGGAAGGTGTATTAAGGTCCTTAAAAAAGAAGAAAAGACATAGGCCCATCAAACATGATAACAGCCAGGTGCCTATTACTATGGACTTTTGTCCCCAGAAATGGTTGCTAAGCTGCATTTCCAAGGAAACCACAAGGTATTTTGGCTCACATTTATCTGGCCAAGGAATAAAGTGCTGGTTGCTCAGGTAGGAGACCAGGCAGACAACTCAGAGACTTCTACTGGGATCTACTTCTCAAGGATACTGTTTGTCAAATAACCAGCATGAATATTTCCCTCAGTGAAACCCTTCCTAACTATTCCACAATTTGGCATTTCCTCTTCTGTGATTATGTGCTTCCCAAGCAATTTGTATATTTGTGCATCGAAACACTTACTATATTGCAGTGATTACCTGTATAATGTCAGCTCCCTACAACACGATACCAGGCTCATATTAGGGAATTGACTAGATGAGTAAATAATCTAAAGAAAATACCTTTTTGAGTAACCAACTTTGATTACCCTAGGATGTAAGAGATCTCCCAGTCAACCTAGGCTATCAATAGCAACTGGATGCTTATTGTTTACTCACTAGGCAAATGTATTGAGTGTTCCCAGTGTTAATTTGCTTTTGCTTTTTATGATTTGCCATTTTATCAAGGCTCTCTTGACCTCGAATTTCTCTAAAATATAATTCATTAATGTGAGAAGAAATGAGATCATTGCCTACGAGGTCCTGACTTTTTAAGATAAATTTATGAAATGTAAATTCTGTACAATAAATTTATATTAGAGGTAATATTTTGATACTTATGTCCCTAAAAATAGTAGTTGGAAAAGTATTTTTTAATAGTCTTTTAAGGCTGTTTAGATATTGGTGAAACATAAGGAGAAGAAAATTCCACGCTAAACGCTTAGTAATTGTATATGCATTTTATTGTGTCCTAACTTAGACCATGCTATGGAACAAAATAGACAACTATTCTGTATTATTTAAATTTGGTTCCTATTTTAGTGTTCAAAGAATAACTTTACATATGCATTTAAACTTTTTTTTTTTTTTTTTTGGAAATGGAGCCTTGCTCTGTCACCCAGACTGGAGTGCAGTGGCGGGATCTTGGCTCAATGAAATTCCTGCCTCCCAGATTCAAGCGATTCTCATGCCACAGCCTCCCAAGTAGCTGGGATTACAGGCATGCACCACCACACTCAGCTAATTTTTGTATTTTTAGTAGAGAAAGGGTTTTTCCATGTTAGCCAGGATGGTCTTGAACTCTTGACCTCAGGTGATCTGCCTGCCTCGGCCTCCCAAATAGGTGGGATTACAGGCGTGAGCCACCACACCTGGCCTTAAACTTTTTTTGTTATTAAAAAAAATTCAACCCATCTTTATGTATTACTTCATTTTTTTTTGAATTACAATATATGTAGTAAAAATTACACAATTTATGTCTTAATTATGTATTATGTTTCAAAAATTTTATCCTAACTTTTAAATAATATCCTAAGCTCTTTGAAGAAAGGAATAAAATTGGACCTCTTTTGAATCCTAAACTTTGCCTAGGACTTAATAAGTACTGTTTGACTGATAAGCAGTGGCTTCCATTTACTGAGTCCTATGCTATACACTGTGTGTGTATGTAAGAGTGTATGTATTATACGGATCATGTATAACTATGTATATAACTATATATATGTGTATGTGTATATAGTAGGTGTATGTAAATATCATTTAATCCCCATGACCACCTGATGAGAGTATATTCTGTCTTCATGTTACAGATCAGGAAAACAAGGCTTCTGGAGGAAATATAGCTCAGATAATCTATTTAAGAAGCAGCATTTGAACTCATGTGTATTTTGGGTTTGAAGTGTTAATTTTTCAGTACACAATCTCATAGTCCTCTCCTTTCTTTCTTAAGAATTAATTAGTTGCTGACTCTTTGGGGAAGGTAGAAGGAAGTTTAAAATGGCATATAACATTTTGACCTGGTATGTTCTGGAAATTAGGACTGGAATGTGTCCCTTTAGAGGAGAACATATCAGAATTGACATCTGTTTAATGGCTTGCAGAGAAAAGAGGTAGAGCTTGTTATATTCCTATCTCTATTTCTATGCAGCTGAAATTGATCAGTACAAGTTCAAAAAATGTATTTATCCTGCAGGAAAGCAAATAGAAGGGATGGATCTAGAGATTCACATTGATGGATAGCCATGGGCCCTGCTCCTAGCCTGCTCTCCTTATGGGCATTGGGAGTGTTTGAAAATAGCTCTAGTATCTGGATTAACCTGTAGTGACCACCCCTGCCTGGCTCTGCAGGGAGGTGGTCATGCAAGCACTCCCCACCATCAGGAAATGTATTTTGATTATGGCATGAAAATGAATGCCAACAGTTGTCTTCTGTGTTTTTATTAGGAGCTCTGCCTAGGCACAGACTCTGAATAATAAGTGAATATTAAATAATATGCTTAACAAACTTTTGAATATTTAAGCACTTAAAAATCAGTGGCCAGACATTAAGAATCAGTAGTTGCCTGTCCAGGTTATAACATGGGCTAAAACAGAAGAGAAAAAAATAATTCTAAGCTGCTTTTACAGTAATTTGGGAAATAAAATTAAAAGTCTAAAGATGGGCGCAATGGCACATCTGTAATCCCAGCTATTCTGGAGGCAGAGGCAGGAGGATCCCTTGGCCCTAGGAGTTTAAGACCAGCCTGGACCCGGGCAACATAATAAGAACCCGTCTCGGGCTGGGTGTGGTGGCTCACGCTTGTAATCCTGGCACTTTGGGAGGCCAAGGTGGGCGGATCAGTTGAGGTCAGGAGTTTGAGACCAGCCTGGCCAATACAGTGAAACCCCGTCTCTACTAAAAATACAAAAATTGACTGGGTGTGGTGGCAGGCACCTGTAATCCTAGCTACTTGGGAGGCTGAGGTAGGTGAATTGCTGGAACCTGGGAGGCAGAGGTTGTAGTGAGCCGAGATTGTGCCACTGCACTCCAGCCTGGGCAGCAAGAGCGAGACTCTGTGTCAAAAAAAAAAAAAAAAAAAAAAAAAAGAACCCATCAAAAAAAAGAAAGAAAAAAGCAAAAGTGAGAAAGAGAGAAAGAAAGAAAGGAAGGAAGAAAGAAAGAAAGAAAGAAAGAAAGAAAGAAAGAAAGAAAGAAAGAAAGAAAGAAAGACAAGAAAAAAAGTCTATGCCCAAGGTTCATGTTTGTTTTTTCTTCCTGTGTCTTTTTTATCTTTAATCTAACAAATGACTAAATAGGTTTGTCTAGAGGCAGTGACAAGGTGGGGAGTGAGAAAGAAGTGTAGAAAAGCTGGCAGGTAATCAACTTGAGGGAAAACAAAAAGGAAAGTCATAATAAACAAGCTGAACTACACACATGTAGAGCAATAAAACTGCATTGAAGTTATGTTAATATTGAAAGAACCAATGAAATCAAAGTTGTAGATGAAACTTGTTTGCTTAAGTCTAGAAGCGAATGTACCATTAATTAAGATGCAAATGATCTGACATGCTTTCTGAACTCTAGCAAAACTCTTCTATTTTTATTTATTTAGTTTTTGAGACAGGGTCTCTCTGTGTTGCCCAGGCTGCAGTGTAGTTGGGTGATCATAGCTCACTGCAACCTTTAACTCCTGGATTCAAGCTATCCTTCCACCTCAGCCTCCCATGTAGCTGGGATGACTGGTATGCACCATCACACCTGGCTAATTTTTAAACTTTTTTGTAGAGACAGAGTCTTGTTATCTTTCCGTGTTGCCCAGGCTGGTGTCAAATTCCTGGCTTCAAGTGATCTTCTCACATTGGCCTCCCTAAGTGCTGGGATTATAGGTGTGTGCCACTGTGCTCAGCCAGAACTGTTAATTTTGTATCCATTTTAGATCTAGTTTAGTTTAATAAACATTAGTTGAGCTCCTGCTGTTTTCCAGACATGGCCAGAGGCTGATGACCTCATGTAAGCTGTGGAAGAATTCCAGTGTAGCTGGGGAGATAATAAGTAAGCAGGTCCTTTCACTGTAATAAAACAGGATGCAATAAGATAAAATGTTATTACAGAAATGATTTCTAATGTAAAAAAAAAACTTTTTAAAACCAATTAAAACTATGTAAATGGCCAGTTGTAGGATGAGCTAGGATTCTGGAAACAGGTAAGTATAGTTCTGAGTCCTGCCTCTGCCTTTGTGTGACTGAGCAAATCACTTTATTTGTAAAAGACTCATGTACAAAATACAGGCACTAAAAATACATACATCATACAGTTATTTGGAAACTCAGTCACTGTTACATGTTAATTATTATTATAGTTAGTTATCAGTTATTGAACTATCACTATTTTACCATGATTACACAAAGTCATGGAAAATAATTACATCCAGGAAGATCATAAAATGCCTTGACTTTATATACTGTGGTTTTATCAAATATATATTTAGTCTTCCAAAATATACAAATGTTTGGGCTTTGCAGAAAAAGATGCTTATTTTTCTTTTTCCATTCAGATGTTTTGACATCATGTAGACTCTAATGTTTATGTTTTGTTGTCAAGGTGCAATTAGAACCTTCCAAATTACCATCTAAGGTGTTCAAAGTTTTTTATGCTCACATTAGGTTTGACATTACACATTTATTAGTCACTTCAGTGCTGTTATGATTTTTGTATCATACAAAATTTGATGCCAAAGCCTTTATAGCAGATGTGTTCAACAGGAAAAAACTTTACAAGAAATTTTCATCTATGTTAGTCTCCCATAAATGTACTTCTTCTCGGTACACTTAATCTCTGTCTCCTTCAGCCTCTACCATCAAAATACCTCTGGCAAGGTCATCTCTCCTGCCCTGGAGACATTGTGCTACCCTGCTGATTCTGTAAGGAATTTGGTATTACAGTGTCTGGCCCTGTCCTCAGGCTCTCTGGTTACCTCTTCTCTCCAACTTTGGACCTGTCTTAGCATTCCTTAAATCCATCCAGGTATGGTTGGCTCTTCCTTGGTCCCAGCTGACTCAGTCCCAAGATCCTTCCCCAACATTGCCTCTGGCCTCAGAACCAGCATCTTTGCTCTTGCTTTTTTCACTTCCAACCAGGCATTCTTCTTGCATCAGTCTTTGTTTCCAAGAATTTCTCATTTAGTGTTCATTCTCATGTTCTATGGGAAATACACCTGTATCTTCCAAACTTGTTAACTCCATTTGGTTCTCTCCAATTTTGTAAAGACCCATTTTGTCTGAGAAAACCCTACAGCCTCCCTTGTCCCTTAGATATGATTCATCAATGGAATCTCCCTGCTTTTCCTTGTTTAAGTAAGTGCTAGAGTCTAATGTAACCCCACTGGGAATTTTCATAACTTCTTGTCAACTCTGAGGTTTACAAAATTGTTGAGCTCACTTCCTCATTTCAGTGATTGTGGAACTAACCCAACATAGAACCAAAATTTAGGGTGGCTGTCATTAGAATGATTTCTAAACAAAAGTGTGAATGATGTTGCTTGCCTGTCAGATAATTTATTCACTACTTTCCCCCACCCCAGCATTACCCCCTTAGAAATCAATAGGCTTTCTAAACGGGTTTCTCCCTTTCATCCTTCCTTCTCTGCCACACCCCCATCACCAACATTTCAGATCCTCTTAGCACATTTATTAGTCCATGAGGCCTCTTCCTGAAGGTCACACTAAGTGTTAATAGTGGTTTAGTGAGTTTCCCCAACCCACTAGGAATCTTTAGAAAAGCAAACAAATACACTTTTAAATGGGAAGTGAATTGAGTGGGGAGTGTACGCTCTTCAAGTAGGGGAATTTTGTGATTTGGGGCATGTAGGTGTAGAGTGAGTGTGAGAGGTTTAGTGCTTTCCTGTACCCATTTAACACCCGGACCCAGGCCCATATTTCTTTCACTGATTGTGCCAGACGTTTTATGTGTTCTTCCAACAGTACCAGTACTGAGTAATAGTACTCAAGTTTATCTAGAAACTCAAGTTATCACCATGTCCAAGTAAAAGAACCATCATCTCTGTTCAGCCTTGTCTCTCTTCTGTGGAATCTTCCCCATGTTGCATAACTATCTTGGAGGGAGACATGTTCTCTCCCATTTATATAACCTTGTTCTCTTCTAGAGAAACAGCTCTGTGTTAAAGACACTTGAGGGAAAATGGCATTACTGATGAGATGATATTTAGTTGTCCCTTCAGAGCCAAAGGGCAGTGATTCAAAAACATTTAGGGAAATAGAAGTAACTCTTTGTAAGCTAACCAAACAGTGACCTGAACTCTTTTACCTTGTGATTTCTTATGAGTGCTTAGTTTAGTCGCCTGAAGATCAATCTTGAAATTAACAGGCTATTTTGGATTATAACAAGATTATTTAGAGACTCAAACATTCCAGAGTTCCTTTAGTAGATGACTTCTATCATGACAAGCAAGCTAAAAGGTCAGTGGTCCCAAAGTGGGGTGCACATGATCTATTGAGGTACAGAAAAAGAGAATAATAAAAATATATAAATGTATCATTATTAATAAATATAATCTTTAAAAAGATGAATTTTTATGAATGATTTATATTATTCACAATAAATTAATAATGATTATGTCATTCATAAATAAAAACATAGATATATGGTAGTACATGCTTAAATTTTATTTAAACTAGTAAGAAGGTGGGATCAAATACAGTGAAAGTCTAATGGTTAGGTAACACTTTGGCTGTAATACCCTCTTCCCTCTAATCAATGCAGTATAATAAAGACAGGTTCTAATATCTCCTCCTGAAACTGGGAGGAATTTTAAACATTCTCCCTTCTACATCATCAGAACAATATAGTTTTACTTTCACTACCTTTAAAAACATTAAGGAAAGTAGAGAACAATATTCAGATTAGTTATAAGATCAATTTTCCTATCTCCTTCTATAAGTTTCTAGGATTTTGTATATTTGGTGTGTAACATACTAACTATGTTGTATTTTTCTGTGCTTTTAGTCACAAAAAGATCCTTGCTTAAAACAAACATTTTCTAAAGACATCAAAGGCCATGTAGAAAAACATAATATAAAAAGTATTTGCAAGCTGGGTGTGGTAGCTCCCATGTCTGTAATCCTAGCACTTTGGGAGGCAGAGGTGGGAGGATCACTGCTCCTCACCCACCTACAGGTGGCTCCCATGCTTGTAATCCCAACACTTTGGGAGGCAGAGGTGGGAGGATCGCTTGAGCCCAGGAGTTTGAGACCAGCCTGAGTAACATAGTGAGACCCTGACTCAAAAATTAGCTGGGCATGGCGGCTCATGCCTGTAGTGCTAGCTATTTGGTCTTGAACTCCTGGCTTCAAGCAATCCTCCCACCTCAGACTCCCAAAGTGCTGGGATTACAGGCATGAGCCACCACACCTGCCCTATCCTACCTATTTGGGAGGCCAAGGTGGGAGGATTGCTTGAGCCTGAAAGGTCGAGGCTTCAGTGAGCCATTATTGTGCCACTGCACTCTAGCCTGCATGGCAGAGCAAGATCCTGTATCAAAAAAAAAAAAAAAAAAAAAGAATTTACAGTTGTGTGCCATAGCTTATTAGCAACAGTAGAGAAATTATAGCACAATATTTGCTGATACCACAAGGGAACACATATTTGTGGTGTCTATCTTTCATGTGTTTTTATTTTAGGAAATGAATGCTGATGTTAGGCAACTTAATCCCTTCCTTGTGACTTTTGCTCCTATTTCCAAGCTGGGTATCTCTTACACAGGCATTAACAAGTAGGTTGACTGTCGGGACAAGCCCAGGGATGGCATTGTTTCTATTTGCTGATAAATGACTCTGGGGCTGTGAAGACTCAGACCCAAGGAGTGACTCAGAAAGTCAGGGGCCCATGTCATTCTGCTCTGGGTTCAGACGTGCACTGCAGCAGCACCGGGACTTGACAGCCCTACGGCTCGATCAGCTTTCTGTTTTCATTGCCTTACGATGCCATGAGTGGAACTATTGTCAAATCAGAGTTCACTCCCCAGCTTTTCAGTCTTTCCCCTAATTCTTGCTCTATCAGAGGTCGAGGACAACAGTATAATGATTCATAGGTTCTACTTCCTGGCAAGTAATCATTTTCCCACGGTGAGTAATGATTTATGCTGAGAGGGGTAAAGAATTGTGATTTGCTTTTTTCTGTGTGGCCTTTCTGCTGACAGAGGGTTGGCTAGGAATACTTTTTTTTTCCATTTGTAAGGCCATCTAGAAAATGTTTTAAAGCATTTTAATTTTTTAAACATAGGCTCTTTAAATATATATATTATTCATAGAGAACTGGAATAATCCCCTCATATACTTTGTTAAAAAACAAAGACAATTTTGAAATTTCCTTTTTTATGTTGGCATGTGAGGACTCGGTGTGCCTCATAGAAGTCAAGAGCTGTAGAGGCCCACTACAACCCCACTTTTTAGATGGGAACACTGAGACCTGGAGAAGTTACTTGAGTTGTCCATTTCCACAGAACTGGCTAGTGACAGAGACAGATTGAAGCTTAAATTAGCTCATCATAGGCTATGATTTTATCTAACTTTAGGCTTACTTGTACCATGTCATAAGGGGAAATCTAGGTTTAAAGAAGTCCATGACTTTCACAGTGAACCACATGAATTAATGACAGAAGGGCCAAGGCAGAAGCATAGTAATTGGTATCGGATGGACCTTGGCTTGAATCGTGGCCCTGGAACTGGATGATGTTGGCTAATTTACTTAATTTATCTGAGTATGTTTTCTCACTTTACAGATGAGAATGGGGATAATAATGTCAATTTCATATCATCTGATGTAAGAGTAAGAGATAAGGCATGCAAGGCTCCTGACACATGGTAGGCTTTCAATAAACAGAAGCTCTAATTATTTTTTAAAACTAAGCGACACCTGTCCTTGCTCTCTGGGTTTCCTTTTCAAAGCAGCCCTAGTTATACTTCGCACTATCTTAGAACTTTGCTTTGTCAGACTCAACAGTTAGTTTTCTCAAGCCACTACTGAAATTTTTCCCTTAGTACTCTGCATCTGAGTTGTCTCATTTCCTGGAGGCCCTGTCACAGGCCAGTAGGCTGTTACAGAACATGATCTGAAACCTCACTGGCAAGGGAAGTCCCCTTCAAAAGAGGCATTTTTTTCCCCTTCTGGAGTTTCACGCTTCTCTTTCAGATTATGTAGGCAACCCCTCAACCGGAGGACACAGATGAAGGTCCTGCCCCGATTGTCCTGTGGACAGTGTGGGTGCAGTGGGGAGGCTGAGGGTCTGGGCATATTTGCCCCATATGTCGTCACTGCCACCATTTCTGCCTCTGTACCTCCATGTCCTTTCAGCTTCCCCACAAATGGCCTTTGTTTTTTTTTTTCTCTTCCCTTTGGTCTCCCCCTCCCACCTCACCAGGACCAACTCTTGAAACACCCAGTGGGAAATTTAGAGGAGTCTGTGATACGTGGGGGAGTATTGGAGCTTTGCATTTCTGTGTTTTCTTACTTCCTTTAGAGCTCACAGGGATTTCCTAAGCAGTCTCTTCTGTGCCCAGTGGCCAAGACTGGCTCCCTCCCCCTGTGATGGGGAATTGCCACCTAGGTGCAGGTGGTTCTTCTTTTACTTCTTCTTTTCTAAAAAACACAGTTACAAAAATATACACCTTATGTTCAGGTCTTGCAATGAAAAAAATTGCTCTAGTGATTTTTGTAGTATTTTTTCTATAACTGAAATGCTATTTACATATCATGATAAGAGATAGTCCATTTCATTAAATGGGCTCATTCCTTTAATTGAAGTGTGTGTGTGTGTGTGTGTGTGTTTATTGGCATACTTTCTAGATATTTTGTCACCAGGGAATTTCCCACTTGAGTATATGTTGTAACATAAGTGAATAGTCTGCAATATTTTTTTTGAGACAGAGCCTTGCTATGTTGCCTAGGCTGCAATATTTTTTAAACATTAATATTTACATAGAGATTTGTACTAAGTGTTTTGAAAATCCTTTAAATCACATTAAATATCATAAAAGAGATTTTTCATAATTAGAAAATATAGCCTCAATCCCATCCTTTTATTGTAATGATTGGTTTCATTTTCATATATTAACTTTCATTTTTTATTCATGTATTATAGTTTCATTAGGGTAGGGTCTAAAATTTGTGCTATCAAAATGAAACTAGCTATTGCTTCACGTTTACTGCAATAAGCCCACCTGCTTTTCTGATTTTGTGTGCACTGTCCTCTGTGAACTGTAATGGACCAAGTAACTATGAAACCAACATCTTCTTCCCTAGAGGATGGTCCCCTGGGAAGCCCCTGGATCAAGCTCCAATTCTGGCAGCTTCTCTTTCTTTTAAGAACAACAGATAAAGTTCCAGCATGGCTTATTTTATTTATTCCACCAATATGTATTCAGAGTGTACTAAATATTGAATGCTACTATGTTAATTGGGGACACAGGATGTATAATCACTTTGACATATTGAATATGGAGGGAAAACACAGGGAGGAAACTATTTTGGTGCTTTTGTGATTCTGTAAGTGGCTCAGAGTCAATTAGAGGAAAACATGATCTCTGTTTTTGGGTTCTGCAAGGTTGGAAGAAGTGGATGTGGAGATAAAGTAAAATGAGGGGCATGGTAAACTGTGGCCTGGTGGTGGGGTGGAGTTTGTATTTCAGGATACATAAAGTAATGAGCCCTATGATTAATAAAGCTAAGTTGAATACCTAACCCATGGGTTGGATAGCTTAGTATCTGGGACAATAAACTAGGAGTTTTGTTTATTTGTTGGTGAGTGGGGGAGGTGGGTATGGGAGATTTAAACTGAATTAGCAGGATTGAATCTCACTGAAAAGGAGGGAAAGAAAATTCTAACAGATTTCAGGAAGACAGAACTTTATTGCTTATGTAACCAAAAAGTCCCAGGCTGGAATTGACCTCAATTTTAGCTGAAATTAACTCTTTCAACAAAAGTTCTGTAAGTTTGCCTTTTTTCAGCTTTTGACTTAGCTTTCTTCCTTATTCTATTTTAGGCAGCCTTCCTCACATGATGGCAAAGATGGCTATAAACATTTATGGCTTAAATTCTACAAGTTTTGAAGCTTTGTTGGGAAGTATATGTCCTTTTTGCTTTGTTTGGCCCAGCTTGGCCAGTCTCAATCCATATGGTTTGGATGGGGGCTAATCTTGGAGGCAGGTGGTGGGATTGGCCCTTATCCAAACCATATCAATTGAGAATGGCAAATGGTACTTCTTCAAGGGGAAGGAATGTGTTGTGTTATCAGGAGAGGCGTGCTGGGTAGGTGAAAACCAAGAATGACCACAATGCAGATCCCTTTGAGGATCTGTTGAAAGAAATGGACCTTCTCTCTTTAGAAAAGTACTCTTGGCTGGGTGTGGGGGCTCATGCCTATGATCCCAGCACATTGGGAGGCTGAGGCAGGAGGATCACTTGAGCCCAGGAGCTTGAGACAATTCTGGGCAACATAGCAAAACCTGACCTTTATTGAAAAGATTAAAAAAATATATTAGCCAGGTGTGGTGGCACAATCCTATAGTCCTGGCTACTCAGGAGACTAAGATGGGCGCATCTCTTGAGCCCAGGAATTCAAGGCTGTGGTGAACTGTAATCATGCTACTGCACTCCTGTCTGGCCAGCAGAGTGAGACCCTGTCTAAAAAAATAATGATAATTATAAAATAAAACATAAAGCACATATAAACATAACATTATTCTGCTCACAATTTCAGAAGTTCACAGACCTTCTGAAGTTATATATATCCATACCCTAGAGTTCCATAGATTCTAGCTCAAAAACTCTGCTCTGTAGTGTGGAATAATTGTGGATAAGCACTGTGACTTTTTGGTCATAATATCTCCCACACCTAGTGGAAAGACTTACTTGTACATTAAGTGATTACATGAATGAATGAACCAAGTAACATTTTTTTTGTGTGATCTAGTATACTGGTATTATGCTCATGTTTTACATATTTACCTTATTCATTCTTGTAACATTATTTTATGAATAAAGAAACAGAAACTAAGCTAGGGAATAAAGTGAGCTGAAAACCTAGAATTGACAAACCTGGAAAGGAGATGAGAGCAGCTGTGAAGTTCAAGGGCAGAAAGTCTGTAGGAGCAGGGGGTTAGTCCGGGGTGTCAGAGAATGTTGTGGGATTCACTGTTGTGGCTCAGCTGATCCTAGTTCACAGCCACAGCCAAAGAGGCCATCCCCTCCGAGGCCTCAGGCCACTATGTGGCTGCTAACCCCCATGTAGTTCTTGACAGAGGCAAAAAAATTTTACCATTTTCTCCCTGTAATAGCCCCTTAAAATAATACTTTAGTCTCATATTTTTAGTTTCTACTTCAGAACCTGCCTCGAGCTAAAACTGTATTGTTGTGGTTGAAATTTATTTTCAACTCAATTATTGGATTCATTCATGGGATAATTAGAAGCCCCATAGACAGTTGCTCAAGTTAGTTTAAACTCACCATTGGAAGATCCCAGAATTGTCAAGGTTGTACTTCTGAAAAAATGATGAAAACTATAGGTAAATGGCTGGAGAGCAAGCAAATTGAACAGCAGATAAAAGAGAATGTCTTCAATCTTATGGCGTATTAAGTATTGGGTCAGCAGAAGAAAGTGGTTGAAACAATTATCATGAAGTCACCAAGTTTGGCAGATTTGAGAGATCACATGTTTAAAGAGAGATTTTTGTTCTGTTTTCTCACCTCAGGGCCCTTGTGAATTGATGAATATGAAGACACTAAGAAAGCAGAAATAGAACTGAGAAGAATGAAATAACTGTCTCTACCTTTCTCGAATTGTCTAATATGGAAAGAATGAAAGACAGCTAATAAGCAACTCTCTGCAAGAAGACATATGGCTTAGGTTCTGCTGAGCTATTGGTGATTTGATTCCATGCATATGTATTCACTACTGGTATAAGTATATACAATATATGTGTTTCTGCAAAGAATCGTAGACTTGATGCATTTTTTAATATTTCTTAAGGACTTACTACTGAGTGTCAGTATGAGAGGATCGTTTACTTCCTTTTCCCATTAATTTTGATAGCCTGGATTGAGCAACTTTCTTACCTAGTTTTGTTTTATGAGGTGCATTAGCTTTTTCTTTGTGTGTATGTTTGTGTGTGTGTAGCTTTATTAACCATATTGTTTGGGCTTTTGATAAAGCAGAGATTCTGATATGGTATACATTTTGAACTAAGCATTCATTTATTCAGCAGGGATGTATGTTTAAGACACTGTGTTAGCCAAGGGTGAGAAGGCGTGTGGAATGGTAGAGGAGCAAGGTGAGGTAAGATGATTAAAAGACACCAGCTGAGAGTGTTATTTTATATGGCAGAAGGATGTTTGCAGATGCAATTAAGTTAAGGACCTTGAGATGGGGTATGTTATCCTGGTAGGCCCAATGTATACATCAGGGTCCTTATGAAAGGGAGGCAGGAGAACAGAATGAGTAGTGAGAAGAGTGAATGGACAATACTGAGGACATGCTTAGGGACCCAAAGAAGCTTGCTATGGTAGGGCTTGGTGGACTCTGTACTGATGAGAAAGGCTAGGCCATGCTATGGAAGCAAATAAATCTGTTGTAAAGTGACAGAGTTTCTCTCTTGCTCATGCAAAGTCTGCTAAATGGCTGAGTGATTCTCAAGGGCATCCCTCACTCATGTGATGGCTCTGCTGTGTGTGCATCCCTGCTAGCCAGGCAGGTCAGGAGAATGTTAGAAATGAAACACTTCCTTCTGGTGGCCAAAAGAAGTCACATGGCTACATCTGTTAATAATTCGAAGGTTGTAGACAGTATAATATTCCCTTGTCCTAAAAGAGGGAAGCTAGAAATATTGGTAAGCAGCACATATATCTTCCCCATGATCCCAACTTTGTTGGGTAGAGAAGCATTTTAAATAACTTTGGAATTTACATATATTCCTCAAATATCTAGTGGTAACTCCATGTCTAAATCCAGGGTACCCACTTTCTTCCCTAAACATGTTTGAAAGTCCTGCATTCTCTCAGTATTGTTACAGAGCCACATTTCAGTTGAATTGGTAGTGCTGAGAAAAGCGTTATTTATTTTATTTTTATTTTAGTTTTTTTTAGAGACTGGGTTTTGCTGTGTTGCCCCGGCTGATCTTGCACTCCTGGTCTCAAGTGCTCCTCCTATCTCAGCCATCCGAATAGCTGGTATTACATGTGCACACCATAATGAGAAAAGCATTATGATTAACCTAGTAAATTGATTTTTAATACTGCATTATTTGATTTTCAAGGACTTAAAAAACCACTTCCAGAGAGCTAGACACAATGAATACAAGCAAGCTAATAATGAAAGTGAGAAACCACATGCTGCTGAATTGAGTATGTAGCAACATTTGTAAAGAAATGGCAAATCATATCTAATTATTTCATTGTGCTTACCTTTCTTCAGTCAGAAAGCCTTCGGCATCTAGTGCATTTCTACAGATATTCCGTGGTGATTTAATATCAATTAATATCAACCTGCAGCAAAGTGTTGACAGTGTTTCTAAATTCACAAGCCCAACATTTTGCAGTATTGGGCATAAGTGAAGGAGCTTTCCAGGTTGCTGCTAAAAGCAACTCAAAAAGATGCGAAGTAGATGTGAAACCTTCATATTTGGTACTTCTATAGCAGATTGTCTTCTCTCCTAGAAGAGAGGCCAGGAGACAGACTAACCCATTTCTCTAATCCATATGTTGTTCGCTGAGGCTCCCAAAGCTCTGGGAAGTAATTTACTTGCAGTTCTCTAGAGATGGAGGCAGGGAGCTTGAGTGTGAGTCCAGTGGAGACTGTCTTTGGAATTTCATCTGATCACAGGGTCACTGTCCATTTCTCTTCTCAGCAGGCCTAGGAAAACACCAGGACTAACCCCCTGGAGGGAGCCTAGCTTCAGGATTAATTAGGGCTTGATTAATTAATTAAGGTATGAATCGAGGGCTTAAACAGTAGTTAACTAAGAAATATGTATTTGTTTTACAAAAGTTAAAATTTATGGAACAGTATATTAAGAATTGCTTTTATTTTATAATATAATGTGTTAATGTTAAGTTCTTTCCATACATTCTTTCGTTTAAAGCACACACAAAAATGCAGATGTGGCCAGGTGCAGTGGCTCACGTCTGTAATCCTAGCACTTTGGGAGGCTGAGGAAGGCGGATCACCTGAGGTCAGGAGTTCGAGACCAGCCTGGCCAACATGGTGAAACCCCATCTCCATTAAAAATACAAAAATTAGCCGGGCATGGTGGCATGCACCTGTAATCCCAGCTACTTGGGAGGCTGAGGCAGGAGAATCACTTGAACCTAGGAGGGGGAGGTTGCAGTGAGCCAAGATCGCACCACTGCACTCCAGCCTGGGCGACAGAGCGAGAATCCATCTAAAGAAAAAAATGCAGATGAAGGGCCTGCCTTGATTGTCCTGTGAACAGTTTGTGTGCAGTGGGGAGGCTGAAGGTCTGGCCTCCTTTGCTTCTGGTGTCTTCACCGCCACCACTTCTGCCCCTGTGTCTCTATATAGTGTAAGGGATTGGTATTAATTATTTCCCATTTTACAGATGAGGAAACTGAAATCCAGAGAAATGGAGTGAGTTGGCCAAGTGCACACAGCTCATTTCTTACCTAGTATTTACTGTTCACACACTGTATAGACCCTTTAATAAGCTAATCTAAAAGATTAATCTAAAAGATTAGATACATTACCTCGTTTCAGTGCCACTATAGCCTGGCATTGTACATATCACTATCTTCCTGTCGAATAGGAAGGTTCTTAAATTCTGAGACATTTGGTAACATGCCTGAGTTATGTGTAAAAGCTTAGATTTGAATTTGAGCCTCCTGACTTGAATCTTGCGTTTGACCATACCACATCTGCACCTAGCTGTTGGAGGAATCAGAACGCCCAAGACCCAGATAACTCTAAATAAGGCCCAGTCTGAGTCGTGCTTCATGGTTAGGTTCATAAGTTCAGTGCTGAAAAGGCTGATTTTTCCTGTTTTTCTAGGGTCTGTTTGCTGGATTTAAGATACGCTCTCTCCAGAAATATGACAAAACAATTGTTTTGTTTGCTCATTTTTTGTTTTGTTTTGTTTTTCGTTCTTACAAGGTAACTAGTATCCCTAGCACACCAGAAATAATTGGCACTGATGTTCCTGACAAGAGGAGTCTGCTAAAAGTGACCTTTAAATGCCTTTTGGTGGAGTGATTATTTAATTTAGGCAGTTTCTTTTCTCAGAAAGGAATTAACAGTTTCTACGGGCTTTGCTAGCTGAGACCTTTAGTTTTAATCACCTCCTTGAAAACATTCTCCTTAATCTATTCTGAGTAAGATGGTGGGTTTCTTTGTACTTTGGCCTTTAACTTTTTTTTTTTTTTGAGACAAGCTCTATCACCCAGGCTGGAGTATAATGTCACGATCATAGCTCACTATAAACTTAAACTCCAGGGTTCAGCCGTGGAACACAGGTGATCTTCTTGACTCAGCCTTTTGAGTAGCTGGGACTACAGGCCCACCACACTGTCTAATTTTTTATTTATTTATTTTTGTAGAGATGGGATCTTGCTATGTGGCCCAGGCTGGCCTCAAACTCCTGGCCTCAAGATATTTCCCCCTGCCTTGGCCTCTCAAAGTGGTAGGATTACAGATGGGTCTTTAATTTTGAAATGCACAGATTAAGGAGTTTACTAACCACTGAATAGACCACTCTTTTTCTTATCTTACTCAGAATCTACTTGGAGAGAGTCAAACACAGAATCCCTTTGAATTTAATGGCCATTCCAGGTGATTTGAACAGCCAAATAAGAAACAGGTCCTCTTCAATGTACAATCTGCCAAGTATGAAGTCTGAATGACCATCATTATTATGTATTTAATGTGCATAGAAAATCTATCTGCAACCTTCCAGAGTGTACCAGAAGTTTGGAATGTACATTATTATTGGCTCCATCTCAAACCACTCATAAATCAAAGAAAATAGCAGTTCCAGAGGAATCATCATAGAGGCTTCTAGGCCCCCATGCTGTGTGAACCTGGTGAGAAAGGGAAGTCTGCTCTCACTGGACACTGGAACTGTTTGTCTCTGTCTCTGCTGTACTTTCCCTGCCTCTACCTCACTTAGTAAAGAAATCATCTTTGCTTGATAACTAAAACAACCAATAAGGCTGAGAAAGGGGAAAACCCACATCTGGATTTAAATACAAGGTAAGAAATATTTTTCTCTTTAGAATATCCCACTCACTTTGGGAAAGTGATTTCATGTGATGTATTATTCAAGACTCTCATCAGCAAATATTTTCTGAATGTATACTATGTTCTAGGTATTGGGCCAGCTGCTGGGGATTAAACTTTGAACAAAACAGATAGAATCTATGTCCTCATGGGAGTGGCTAATGGGAGAGTCGGAACAAAAAAATAGCCAAGGATAATCCAGCAAATGATTTGGTGAATGCTATCAAAGAGAGAAATACACATGCTCTGGGAACACCAAGTAGGTACCTAATACCTAACCTGTACCTGGGGGGCTGGAAAGGGCTTCTTGGAAGAGGCAGAGACTAAAATGAAGAATAAGCATAAGTTAAGACAAAGCTGGGGTGGGGTCAGAAAGAGTGTGATAGGCCAACGCAGCAACATGAGCCAAGACTCAAAAATAAGAGACAGTGTGGCACATTTGATGTAGGAAAGACATTTAGCTGGGATAGAAAGAAGGCTAGTGTTGGGGCTGAATGAGGTTGCATAAAAGTTTGTAAGCCAAGTTAAGGAATTGATCAAATTTATATTTTAGAATGATCACTCTGACCTCAGCATTACATGACCTGAAGGGGTTAAGCCCATACATCTGTAGAGAGACCCGTTAGAATAGGACTGCAGTAATATGGTGAGAGACACTGGTGCCTAACTAGGCTGGTGATCATAGAGATAAAGGGATATATGGGAGAGGTAGAGCCGACAGCCATTGATAACTGGTGGTCGGCCAGGTCAAGGGGACAGTGTCTGCTTTAGGTAATTGGCTTGATGATAATCTCATTTTCAAAGATCAGGAACACAGGCCTGAGAGTACATTTGGAGAGGAAGATGATTCGGGTTTGCATCATGTAGGGTTCGAGGTGTCTATGGGACACTATATGCAGAAGTCCAGTAGGCAATTGGTTCTGTGGGCCTAGCACTCAGAGGAGAGTGCGAGTCTAATGACAGAAAATTGGCAGTCACCATCGTGTAGATGGTAATGGATGGTATGATTTGGGGTGATTGCTGAGGCAGGAACATGGGCACAATGCTGAGGAGTGCAAATGGCTAAGGGATGGGACACAGCAGGAACCTGCAAAGGAGCCCAGAAAACAAGAAATAGGGAGAAAGCCTGGGAACACTGTGATTCTACGGAATCACAGAATTGAAGACAAACAATGTGAAACTAAGTACAGGCCCATTTACTAACATATGTGTGTGTATATATATATATATATATATATATATACACACACACACATATATATACTTATATATATATACACACACATATATATACTTATATATATATACACTTATATATATATACTTATATATACTTATATATATATACACTTATATATATATACTTATATATACTTATATATATATACACTTATATATATATACTTATATATACTTATATATATATATATAAAATTTATTTATTTATTTTTATTTTATTTTATTTATTTATTTTTGAGACAGAGTCTCCCTCTCTGACCCAGGCTGGAGTGCCGTGGTATGATCTCGGCTCACTGCAACTTCTGCCTCCCAGCTTCAAGCAATTCTCCTGTCTTAGCTTCCCAAGTAGCTGGGATTACAGGCGTGCACCACCACACCAGGCTAATTTTGTATTTTTAGTAGAGACGGGGTTTTGCCATGTTGGCCAGGCTGGTCTCGAACCCCTGACCTCAGGTGATCTGCCCACCTCAACCTCCCAAAGTGCTGGGATTACAGGTGTGAGCCACTGCATCTGGCCTCATATATTTTACTATAACAAATCAGTGTAGGCCAAATAAAGTTAGAAATGGAAGCTAATGGAAATAAAGAATAGGCTTTCCTGTTAGTATCTATAGGTGTGTGTGTGTGTGTTCGTTATTTAGGGAAAGAAACAGGGAACTTGGGGCATATAATATTTATGTTCCCTTAGCTTAGGCATATATGGTATATTTAGTTACTTAATTAATTTTTTATTTAGAAGTTATGTATAGAGCATTTTTCCTAGGCCAGTGGGGGATTAAACCAGAAATATAAGAAGTGTCTGCCTTCTGGAAGCTTGTGATCTAGTTAGGGGTATCACAAGTGCACAGCGTTCACCAGTGGCAGAGAAGCATGTGATGAGTACCCAGAGCTTATATTGAGAATAAGGTATACAAGAATTTAGAGGAGGCCAATGTTGATTTTCACCAAGAGTATGGGACAGAGAGACAAGACAGGGTTGGTCATCTAGTTCTGTGCACTGAATATAATTTTGCAGGTTTAGGAGTGTTTGAAAACTACAAGGAAGATAGAATCTTGGTCTTGTTCTCCAGCATGCCCTTTCTTGAACTCACCAGGGTAATGCTGCATCTTTTCAGAAATGCCTCTGGCTTCTCAAAGCAACTTTCATCCTGGAGAGGAACAATTAGTCTTTGTCTTTCATTAGTAAAAGATTTAACGGCTCAGAAGGAGAAGCTAGTGGTGACTTTTCAATCACCCCTTCTACCTCCCAGGTTTTTCTGAGAAGTCCCCAAATTTCTTGTGGGAGAACACGCAATATATTTAGCAACAAGTTCCTCCTTGCCCTGAGGTATGCCAGAAACAAACTTTGAAAGCTCATGGAAAATACAGAGAACTTGTGGGTTTTGTTACTTGGCAACTGAGATCTGAGCTGTTAAACTAAGACATTTGCATTATTTTTTAATTCTAAAAATGCAGTGAGTATTATTTTCTTTTCTAGAGGGGTAACATAAAATTATTGTAGCTTGATTGTTTCAAAATCTCACACTTATTAGACTTGCTTTCCTATTCTGTTGAGTTGTGATCACACAGAGTGGATACCTCCTGGACTGCAGGTAAAGCAGCAAGTCTAGCTAGAGTTCCCAGAAACGTCACTAGAGAGCCAAGCAAATATCCAGAGAATCAGAATAATTTTTATCAGGGAATTAGGAAAACTCCCTTGCATATAGTGGAGGTAGAAGAGAACCCTGGAGAGACAGAGATCAGAGGAATGACATCAGGCTGCGATGAAAGGAGGGACTCTTGCACCTGCTCCACTCCTGCTCCAATCCTACCTTCCCTCTTGCTGCTTGTCCCCACCTCCTTAGCTGCTGCCCCTTCACTTCTGAGGTTGCCTCTGACTCTATCTCCAATGTAGAAGGAAGTGTCAGCGTGACACCCATATTTCCCAAACTACACCTTGGGAATAGCGCTCTGACAAGAGTGAATGAATTGTGAGGAAAGAGGATAGAATAGTTTACATAAGTTTGTGGAGAAAATGTGATGGAGCCTAGCTTTCTTTATGAATCAGACTTGGCAGGGCCAGGTGCAGTGGCTTACACCTGTAACCCCAGCACTTTGGGAGGCCGAGGTGGGTGGATCACCTGAGGTCAGGAGATTGAGGCCAGCCTGGCCAACATGGTGAAACCCCATCTCTACTAAAAATACAAAAATTAGCTGGGCATGGTGGCGGGCACCTATAGTCCCAGCTACCTGGGAGGCTGAGGCAGGAGAATTGCCTGAACCTGGGAGGCAGAGATTGCAGTGAGCTGAGACCATGCCACTGCATTCCAGCCTGGGTGACAGAGCAAGACTCTGTCTCAAAAAAAAAAAAAAAAAAAAAAAAAGAAGAAGAAGAAAAGAAAATCAGACTTGGCAGAATGATTGATTTTGGGTCACCTGAAACTCAAGTGTGTATGTATTAGGTGTTTGGGGCACTTCTGGACCCAACAGTGCATCTTATTCCATCCCAGGGTTGTTATACAAGGTTTGGGCTCCTGCAGTCAGTTTGTACATCAGTGAGTACACAGGAGGGAAGCTCCTGGGGTAAAATGTTCTCGCCAATCCCAGCCACCAGCTTACTGCAACGTTATGGTGTGGTGGGGGCTCATTCATCAGAGTTTAGAAAGTGAAGAAGCTGAATAATGACATTGGAATTTTGGTAATATAAGCTCAACAAGGAAATGTTGTTTTCTGCCTTTATTGAGTACATAATAAAAAGTGTTTTCTTCTAAATTACCTTACGATGATCCTGTAGCAAATTCAAGAGGATGTACTTTTACGATATTGACACATAGGCTAGAATGTAAGCTTTATTGTTATGTTCACTGATACAGCTGCAAGAATGGTTTTTGGAACATAATGGGTTGGAAATAAATATTTGTCAAATAAATGGCTTAACTGAGTATACTATATATATAGATAGCATAAAGTTGAGTTACTTTTCTGATATTATATGAGGTTCAATTCTCACTCAAGTAAATGGACTATTTTTCTAGATGAAGTTTTCAGATTATGGCCATTTGTAAATCACAAATTCTGCAACATTAGGTATGGGTTATAAAGTTTTCTTATCTGTTATCAGTTCAACAAAATGTTTTCTAAGGATTCTTTTCATTTTAAAAGCCAACAGACCTATGAATGTAGGTTATTTCTCAAGCCTCTTTCACTTATAACATTCTGTAATTCTTACAAAAACATACAAAAGAAGTACTACTTCTATTGGTTACTTGATACCTTGGGATAAGGTTTTAGAAAATTCTGGAAAAGCAATACCAACTTATGTTTGGTGGTTATCCCGAACATCACGACATAGAGGAGAAATGTTCATTGTTGACCTCTGAAAAGCTAATTGTTCAGATGATTCATTAATGAGGAGCTATCATTTATTAATCACCTTCCAGACACTGTGATAGTACTATGTCAGTGGCAGTTAGAGTATAGTTGAGAAGACAGAGAAAAACCAGTAACTAATAATTACAAATTGTGGAAAATGATATGAAAGCCCAGGGTCCAGATTACCAGGACAAAATGTAGCTGGACTCAGGTAGAAGGTGAGCTATTTTAGATAGGGAGACCAGGGAAGATCTTTCTGAAAAGGTCGCACCTGAAAGATGAGAAGGAACCAGCCATATAAAGAGCAAGAGATAAACATTTCAGGCAGAGGACACAGTGCGAGCAAATGAATCCAATTTCAGAGCTTCTTGCATTTACAGATGAAATGATATGACCCCCCGGGATTTGCTTTAAAATAATTCAATGGGAGGCAGGGAGAGGGGTGTATAGGGATGTAGATAAACATACAGTGATGACTCTTGAAGCTACATGACGGGTACATAAAAATTTATTATACTATACTCTCTTCTTGCATATGTTTGTAATTTTCCATAATAAAATATTTTTTTAAAAGCCTTTGGAACTTTGTTTATTTGTGGGCATAGTCATCATCTAATTCAGTTAGTAGTTTTAGAAATATTACCCTCTTTCACTACTCACCATCTTAAGAATATCAGAACTGACGTTCTGGGGAGACAAGTACTTGGAACATCAAGAGGGGAGCTCAGTAGAATCTATACCCTCATGCAGACTAATCTCTGTTCTAGACATGTATTTGCATACATTTTTATAAAGTGAGAGAAAAAGATTACTTATGGAAGTTTGACCAAGGTCGGTTTTTGAAAAAAATCAACCAAATATATAAATCAAATAATGAAATATAATGTACATGCAATAAAATTCATATATTTTAAATATTCAAGTTTATGACACTGTAGAACATCACCCAGAACAAGACACAGAATAATTTTGACCTCCCCAGAAAGCTTCCTTAGGCCACTTGTGGTCAATTACCTTTTTCCCCTACTTAGGAAACTGCTGATTTGATTTTTATTATCATAAATTAACTCTGCCTTTTCTTTTCTTCTTCTTTTTTTGTTTTTTTTTTTTTTTTTTTTTTTTTTTTTTAGACAGAGTCTTGCTCTTGTTGCCCAGGCTGGAGTATGATGGTGCGATCTCAGTTCACTGCAACCCCTGCCTCCCAGGTTCAAGTGATTCTCCTACCTCAGCCTCCTGAGTAGCAGGGATTATAGGTACAAGCCACCACACCCGGCTAATTTTTATATTTTTAGTAGAGACGGGGTTTCACCACATTGGCCAGGCTGGTCTCGAACTCCTGACCTCAGGTAATCTGCCCCTCGGCCTCCCAAAATGCTGGGATTAACAGGCATGAGCCACAGCACCTGGCTGACTTTGCCTGTTTTATAATTTCACACAATAAAATCATGCACTGTGCATTTCTTTGTATTGTCTCCTTTCACTCAGCATAATGTCTGTGTGATTCAACCCTGTGGTGATGTGTCATTTTTTTAAAAAAAATTAAGATATTTTATTATATGAACATACCATAATTTGTTTATTCATTTGGTGAACATTGTGTTGATGCCAGGTTTGGGCCATTATGAATAAAGCTGCTTTGAATGTTTATGTACAAGTCTTTTGTGTACACATGTGTTTTTATTTCTCTTGAGTAAACACCTGGGAGTGGGATTGCTGGGTTTTATGCTTAGGTATGTTTTTGACTTTGTCAGAAACTGCTAAACTGCTTTTCAAAGTAGTTGTACCATTTTACACTCTCACAGGCAACGCATGAAAATTCCCTTGGCAACGTTTGATATTGCCAATCTTTAATTTTAGTTATTCTAGTGGGTATAGAGTAATATCACATTGGTTTTAATTTATATTCCCAAAATGACTAATGTTTAACATCTTGGATATTCACATGTCTTTGTGAAGAGTCTACTAAAATCTTTTGCCCTTTTAAATAAATTGTATTAATTGCCTTCCTATTGAGTTGGAGATATGCTTTATGTATTCTGGATATACTCCTGTATCCATTAAGGTGTTGCAAATATTTTCTTCCAGTCCGCTTTTTCATTTAAAAAAATTTTTTTTTGAAGACAGCAGAAGGATTTACTGTTGAAAAAGTCCAATTTAAGCACTTTAAAATTTTTAATTAAAAAATTATTTTTAGTGATTTTTCCTTTTTTATCTAAAAAATCTTTGCCTACCACAGGGTCATCATACATGTTTGAATCTATTTCAGAACTTTCTATTCTATTCCACCATCTTGATTGCTATAGCTTCACAGTTAAGTTTTAAAATCGAGTAGTGTAAGTTATCTTTCTAAACATTGTTTTTCCCCCTTAGATTCTTTTCTTTTTCATGTATAATTTAAAATAAGCTTGTGAATTTCTTTAAAAAAAAGCTTGCCAGGATTTTGATTGGGATTACATCAAATCTGTAGATTAATTTGCTAAGAATGGAGAACAATACTGAGTCTTCCAATCCATAAACATAGTATTATCTCCATTTTTCAATTCTTTAAAAATTTCCCTAGCAATGTCTTACAGATTTCTGTGTAAAAGTCTTGCATATTTTTTGTCTAAATTTATTTCTAAATTTCTATGTCTTCTGAGACCTTTGTACCTGGCGTTCTTTTGAAATTTTATTTTCCAATTTTTAAATTTAGTTTCCAGAGGATCATTTCTGATTATTATGTTGAGATTATCTAGCACCTTTGCCAGCCTAAACCATATCTCTACCAGTTTCATGAATTATCTATCACAAAAAAGACACAATTAAATTGACTCTACACTGCAGCTGAAAATGGAGGCACCTCAAGCTGAAATCATTTGCATCATACCAATACGATGTGCACAGCGCCTCCCAGACTTTTGGCCATGCCTCTTTTCTTAGGTGGAAGAGAAGTGGATAGATGTCACCCTGTTCGTAACACTTCTTGGAAATGGGAAGGGGATACTTTTCTCTTCTATGCTGAGAATGTCCCTAGAAGGGAGCATAACCTGAGGATGGTTGGGGGAGAAAAGAAGCAAAATCCTTTGCTGTGATGGCTCAGGGAGTGCATACTGAATGTCCTGTGCTATGTTTTTTACAACAGTCATGTGCACTACAGCCCAGTCTGGGCACTTTCTGCTACTTTCCCAGAAATATCTTAATTCTCTAGGTTTAAGACAAAGCTTTGTAACTTAGTAGTTGAGTAAGTTTGTATAATTTGTTCGAGGGCACTCAAAATGTTGTTTCATTTTTCTCTTGTAAAATAAATAGGATAATAATCCTTGCTCGGATAACTTTATGGAACTTTTTCTGAGGATTAATGCTAAGACTTGTAAAAGCCCTTTGTAAATAGCAAATCTTTAATTATACATTAAATATCAATATAGTTGTAACCTTTTTGGAATGGCTATACAGAGAAATTTGTTCCTTTTTTTAATTTAAGGAGGCCAGTACCTTATCTATTAGGTGACTGCAGTTTTTTTGTTGTTGTTGTTTGTTTTTTTGTTTTTTTTTACAGGAATAAACGAGAGAAAGGGACATTAATATATATTGAATATCTGCTGTGTCAGGCACCTTACATATATTGATTGCTTCTTCACTTCTTTTAATCTTTACTACACCACATGAGGCTGTCATAGAGATTCTGAGGTAAGAATCATTATCATTCCTTTGTAAATAAGAAACTGAGGCTCAGAGAGACTGATTAATTTGCTCAAGGTTCCTCAGTTGTTAACTGTCTGACTCTAAAACTTTGCATTTCCACAGAACAAATTGTCTAATTGAGAAACTGCTGAGCATTGGAAATGAGCTTGCCAGGGGAACAGAGGGATACCTGAATAGCGAATGCAAGGCAGTTCAAAACTCAAACTCAGGCCACTGGATTTGCTGCCCACTGCTCCTTGTATGATCGCCCTTGGGCACCACATCCATGTAGAGTCTTCTTCTAAGAGGCAAGGAAGGTCAAAGCTGAAACCACACATCCCAGATTATGATTGAGGTGTTTTTATAGAACTTGTTTATTTACAGCGTCTATACTAAAACTTATTTTTGGAAGCTGTAGTCAAATAATGTTTCTTAAGTGCCTTCACAGGATAGACCAGCAATAGATGCTGTGGAAGAAGTGCATGATGTAGCTCCTGACCTCAAGACACTTTTCCACTGGATACGGATACAGGGCATATCTCCAGGGAGATCATTCAGGATAATGCCCAGTCATCAGCAGGCAGTGCCATATGAATGCATAGCAAGTTATGCTCCAGGAAGCAGAGGAAGCAGAGCACATGAGGAATGGGCTTCTATGTGTAGCTGGAGTCTCACCTGGGTTTTGAATTCATAAATAGTGTTCAAGGAGGAAGCAGGGAGGGTATAGCTCTTGATAGGAAGTGATGGGATGGCGATACGAATATATGTTCCTTGTTTGAAATACCACATGAAGGGCATGTGGCTGTGAAACCAACTTTGCAAAGATGATGACAGTGAGAGAAATCTAGCATGGCTGACTCCATCTTGCTTCTAGCCTCGCAGGCTGGCTACCCTCACTCACTCTTGGGCATAGGCCCAGCTAACCATGGGAGTCATTTGATTTATAGATTAACTTTGAAACAAGAATGATAAGAGTCTCTCCCTAAAACTGACCCCTTCCTTGTTCAGGAGCTGAAACTGCCTTTGTAAGACTAATGAAAGGCCACAAGATTAGGATTATGGGAGAGGCCTGGATTCTGCTAAAATGTAGGTGTAGTAAATGATAAACAGACATTGATCTCCAGTTGGCTTTTCTATAATCCCTTCCTGCTCCGGGGTCAGGTGGCCAGAGGCACAAGATTTGTGGCTTCCGCAAATTCTCCTGTAGGTAACATCACTATTGTAGAATTTGAGATTGGTCTTTTGAGATGTTTTTCAGGCTTTTGCATTCTGGCAACTCACTGACCCCATGACTCATGACTCAACCTGTTCTGTGGCCCCCACACAGAGGCTAGTTCAGTGCACAAGAACCATTTTCCACACCCCTATGTTGTCATTCCCAACCAATCAGCAACACCCACCCCTGAGCTCCCTGCCTGCCCAATTATCCATAAAACTCTAGCCTCTGAGTTCTTGGGATGGCTGATTTGAGCAATTATTCCCATCCTTCCATTCAACTAGCCCTGCCATTATTAAACTCTTTCTCTACTGCAATACATCTGTCTCAGTGAACTGATTTTATCTGTGCAGTGGGCAACAATTAGCCATTGGGTGATTATAGCTGGAAAAGTGCCTACCTTGTGGCAGTTAAACATGAGGTTTGGAGGGAGACTACCTACATCTAACCACCACTGACCACCATTGTAGTTGAGGTTCTGGTCAACTTATTAACCCTTTGTGCGCACATGTGCATGCGTGCACACACACAGACACACACAGACACATTTTCTCATGTGTGAAATGGGGACCATAATGTTGGATCTCCCAGTGTTGCAGGAAGGACTCATTGTAACAGAACATGAAAATATTTAATGTGCTGCCTAATGTATAACAGACACTGAATAAAATAACCACTGTTTTCATTAGTAATGGTCTTAGATACCTAGCTAAGGCAAAAATTTACTCGATTTCCTGTCCCTCATCTTTCAAACTTACTTGGGTTTGTAACCATCCTTGCTTCCTTCCCCTCTTTTCAAAGTGTTATTTCCTTTCAAAGTTAATCCTTTCACTTGATTCTCATTCCATCACGTATTGTCTTCCTTCTCTCTTTGTGAGTGTCTTGATATTTGGGGTTTTATGTCATATCTCCTTCTGCTATTCATTTATTTAAACATTTTTCTTTGAAGAAAGAGGTAGATAAATATAAATTTTCCTTCCTGTCTCACATACTTACTATTGTAGAGATAGAAAGAATTTTTTCCTTTTCTTAAATTGAGAAAAGACCCTTTGTTTTAAGATTTTTACACAGATTTTACACAGTGCAGGATAGGTAGCAGCAAGTGACATATTATGAGTGCATATGTGTACATACAGCTTTTAGCCTGAAAATATGGAAATCCTAACTCACATTTAGACAATTTCTAAAATGTGTGCCGTCCAGTTAAATAATATACCCCAAATGGGAAAAGCAACAGAAAAAAAAAAAAGGACTCATGAAAATATCAATGCTGGCCGATTGCAGTGGCTCACACCTGTAATTCCAGCACTTTGGGAGGCTGAGGTGAGAGAACTGCCTAAGCCCAGGAGTTTGAGATCAGCCTGGGCAACATGGTGAGATCCTGCCTCTATTTATTTAAAAAGAAAATCAGTGTTAAGGAAGATTGCTTGTCTGTATTCAAAATGCCAATCACCACTTTTAAATAGAAAAGGAAAAGGTACATTTTAAAAATGCATATTTTAAAAGTCCTGTCAAATAAATAAGCACAAATATGTAATTTAAAGTTCTGATGTGAAAGAATAATTTAGAGCTTTCCTAGCAATAGGAGCTTTGTTAAACAGTCGTGTGGCCAGTGGTGCCTAAGCCCTCTGCCATCTCAGCTGCCTGCCAGTGTCACTGAATCTCTGCCATTTCAGACACACTGTAGATGTGGTGTTAACTTAAATGGTGCTCAGGGGAAAAAAAATACACATGTTGTGTATGGAGAAAAGCCCAAGTTCTTCCTCTTTTTTTTAAATAAGCTGCCAAATCTTGCTGCTGGTGTTTACATTAACAGAGGAATGTGATATTAATATTTAGCTCACTCTGCAGAAATATGTATTTAAATGGGAGACATTTCAGCATGCAGGCTCCAGAGCAAGATTTCTGTCTCTCTGTATCTTTTTACACACACACACACACACACACACACACACACACACACACACACGCACACACGAAGAATGTTTTCCAGCTCACATGGCTAGGAGCCCTCAATGAAATGCAAAGACTAACACATGGCCAGCAGAAGGAGGCGATCTAGCAGAATGGCAGTGTTTACAGCTACAGGGGATGCCCAGTGTGCATGAGGGCTTTGTGAGCCCTGTTGGAGATGGAAGTCCCACATGGACAGCTGCAGCATCACATAATCCTGGTGACCTAGATTCAGCTATAGATTGTGGACTGCTTTGGCCTGTGCTGCTATCACTACGCCAGTAGCCTGCTTGCAGTTTCATAGGCTGCCTGGCAAACAGCGTTGACCCATTTCACCATGACAACCTAGGCTGCTCTACTAAAGGCTGTGCATAAGGAAATGCTCACTGTTGGCATTTTAAAGATTCCAAAATTAAGTTTACTCAGAGTTTTGAAAAGCACATTTAGAAGACCAAACTAAAAGCTGATTTTTTTTTGACAATGGTAGAAGAGATGGAGAAGAGAAATGTGGAAAAGTTGCTGTTAGCCTTTTCCATGTTCTCAACTCTCAGGAAAACTATTCATTTGATGTTTTACTCAGCCAAGAGCATTGTAATAAATATGTTACTAACCAAAATAAATTGATAGACAATAAGTAAGCCAAAAGGCTAGTGGATTAACTTCTACTGCCATATATATTCTGGTCTATTAAAACAGAATCTACAGAATAAAATAATTTAAAATCTTATGATAAATAAATGGAAGTGTTTAGAGGTGGATTTATTACAGCCTTGGGTCAACCTTGAACTGTACAGAATCAAGTTTCATTGGAGAACTAGAATAGTATGCCCCTTGGGGCAAAAGTGGGTCTGTACTTTGGTAAAGGAATTCTATTTAGTAAGTGCAATTTAGGAAAATCAGGACCTGGTATCGGCATGTGATCGCATTAAAATGCAGCCTCTGCTTTTTTGACAAAAACCACAGTGCAGAATTGAAAGCATTTGCAGGTCTTTAAATTGAAATCCATGCATCATTCTCAGCAACACTTTTTTGCTGTTGTTAAATTAGCTCAGGAAGTTAACTCTTAGAATTTCCTGACTGATCCTGTCTATTGCCTACACAGAGAAAGCAAAGTCAAAAGAGGCCAAAGGATTGCTCCACATGATGCACAGTCTGTTCTCACTGACAGATTCTGTCCTTGGGCCATAAAGGTTTTTACTTGGGAATGATAAAATCACACAGAGCCTGTACTTTTTGAGGAGATAAACTGGAAGAGCAGTGTGTTAATCTGTTCCCACGCTGCTAATACAGACATAACCGAGACTGGGTAATTTATAAAGGAAAGAGGTATAATTGACTCACAGTTCAGAATGACTAGGGAGGCCTCAGGAAACTTACAATCATGGTGGAAGGAAAAGCAAACATGTCCTTCTTCACATGGCAGCAGCAAAGAGAAGTGCAGAGCAAAGGGGATGAAAAGCCCCTTATAAAACCATCAGATCTCATGAGAACTCACTCACTATCACAAGAACAGCATGGAAGTAACTCCCCCCATGATTCAATTACCTCCCACCGAGTCCCTCTCATGAAACATGGGGATTATGGGAACTACAATTCAAGATGAGATCTGGGCAGGGCCACATCCAAACCACATCAAGCAGCCATAGCTTGACATTATGGGAATCAACCCAGTGCAAAGTATGGAAATATAGAAATAAAACTAAAGCATATCTTTTAAAAATCAGCCATTCACTCTTTTTTTTCCAGAGATTTCAGAGACTTTTTAATTCTCTCTAACTCAGCATTTTCCTTCAGATCCTAAAACAATTTTTATTCCTTCTGCAATGACTTAGCCTCCTTTCCAGATCCTTCCTGTCTTAGAGCCTTCCAGGAACAATGTCTATCCTGTGTTAAAGAACTGGCTTCTGGTCGGGCACGGTGGCTCATGCCTGTAATCTCAACAGTTTGGGAGGCTGAGGCAGGCAGATCACGTGAAGTCGGGAGTTTGAGACCAGCCTGGCCAACATGTTGAAACCCTGTCTCTACTAAAAATACAAAAATTAGCTGGGTGTGGTGGTGCACACCTGTAATCCCATGTACTCTGGAGGCTGAGGCATGAGAATCGCTTGAAGCCGGGAGGCGGAGGTTGCAGTGAGCCGAGATTGCACCACTGCACTCCAGCCTGGGAGACAGAGCAAGACTCTGTTTCAAAAAAAAGAAAAGAAAAAGAAAAAAACTGGCTTCCTTTTGGAGAAGCTTCTAACTCTCTTTGCAACTGTGTATGCCTGCCACTTTTCAAGCTAGAGACAGCTGTGAAGAATTTATTAGACTAACTAAGCATCTAAGCATCTAACACATTGCTGAAAATTAGATCAGGAATTAGAAAACAAATATTTATAAACAGTAGTAGGTATGGAATCAATCATTCAACTCTCAAAACAAAGATAAAAATCAATTATCCAATACACCAGAAAGACAGTAATAGTTTTTCATGGCCAAACATGGATTTGTAAATAGGATAACCATACATTCTAGTTGACATGTCTGCCTGTAGACCTGATGTAATTATAAATAATGCCCCCTTTGTATCCTCATTTGCATGATAAATTGCATGGTTTTCCTAATAATATTTTCAGTGCTTGAAACACCTTCCTTTAGTGCCTTTCCACAGTTAAGTTTACTGTGTTTGAATAGCTTTATCAGCAAGAGGGCTATTCTTAAGAAGCTGAGGCCACCATCTCTTGGCAGAAGTGCCACCACTTTCACAGTATGATTGATGATAAATTTGAACTGATTACTGAGTGAGTGAATGAATTAATGAAACCAATAAACGTAAAAGTAGAACTATAATAAAAGGAGTGTATCAGGGGCAACGATAGTCAAAGCTGGGAAGTAGGCAAGGTTTAGATTCGTGTCTAGGTCTCTCCAGGATAACCTTATATACCTTTCTTTCCTCATTAATATGCTGTCTTCTAAACTTGGCTCTCTTCATCCCACTTCTCCCCTCGCTCCTCTTCCCTTTCCAAGGTTTTGGGTTTTCAAATCCTCCACTAGCACCAACATACATGTGACTGATAAAAGCTTTAAAATTTGTTTGCTTCCATTTTTGCAATTTGCTATTTTAAAAGGAGAAAAGACTTGAAAAACTAAATGAAACCTTCCTTAGTACAATTTCTGGCATCCATTCATAAAGTCACACACTCACCCTCTTCATTTATCCTTCTTCCTGTGTCACCAGCCACTGATGGTACTTGGGTATCCAAGAAGTCAACAGATTTCTCTAGGGGATTCCCTAGTATAAATAACCTGACACACAAGGTAAAACTGCCTTTTGGTTCTAACTGCTTTTCATTCCTTGGTCTATGAATATGAAACGATGTTATTTATATGCTTCTAAAAATGGCATTTATGGGAAAGCACACATAGAACCAAAGTTTGTATTATTTCATACTTAGAAGACAGGAAATATTTTAGGTCTGTGTAATGTCAGGTCTTTTGATGTAAAAGAACAATGTATCTATGGCATATTTAAGTCATTTCCTTAATTAAATTGGCATTCAACTGGCAGTCTAGTGTTATGATAATTACTTTTTATTGTGTGAGGAATAAAGCCTTACAGTATCAATAAATTCTGAAGGATTGTTTCCCATATAATATTTTATATATAGGGTAGGGCATTTTATTAGATCATTCAAAATCCTTCCAATGGTTGTGATATGGTCTCCCTTCCACCCTTCAATCACTAATTTATTAACTTTTATGGTTTGCCTTGCCAGGGTATTCAAAGACTCGTGTAAACATTATCTTTGTAAATGCTTTCAGATTTCCAGCTCTGAACTCCTGCATAGTATTAATGGAATTCATTATTCAGACATGTGCTATCTTGTAGACAGAATCATTTTTGTTAATTGATCATGAGTCCATTGATGTTTATAACTACCAGGCATTTAATAATATAAGTTACCAGTCCATTTCTAGAATATTAGAGCATCCACTGATGGTAAAGATTCACTTGCTTTGACCTGCAAAAGCATGGTGTTGGGTTGAGAGTATTTAGTTCTAATGCAGGTAGGATACATGTAAGCATTTATTCTTGATACAAAGTTATCTTCCATTTGGAATTTTCATAACAAATAGTTTATTACATGTTTTGCTTATATTCTATGTTGGTCATTTTACTGACAGATAATTTCTTTTAAAAATTACTTTTTTGTTTTTTTCTTGTAAATTTGTTTGAGTTCATTGTAGATTCTGGATATTAGCCCTTTGTCAGATGAGTAGGTTGCGAAAATTTTCTCCCATGTTGTAGGTTGCCTGTTCACTCTGATGGTAGTTTCTTTTGCTGTGCAGAAGCTCTTTAGTTTAATTAGATCCCATTTGTCAATTTTGTCTTTTGTTGCCATTGCTTTTGGTGTTTTGGACATGAAGTCCTTGCCCACGCCTATGTCCTGAATGGTAATGCCTAGGTTTTCTTCTAGGGTTTTTATGGTTTTAGGTTTAACGTTTAAATCTTTAATCCATCTTGAATTGATTTTTGTATAAGGTGTAAGGAAGGGATCCAGTTTCAGCTTTCTACATATGGCTAGCCAGTTTTCCCAGCACCATTTATTAAATAGGGAATCCTTTCCCCATTGCTTGTTTTTCTCAGGTTTGTCAAAGATCAGATAGTTGTAGATATGCGGCATTATTTCTGAGTGCTCTGTTCTGTTCCATTGATCTATATCTCTGTTTTGGTACCAGTACCATGCTGTTTTGGTTACTGTAGCCTTGTAGTATAGTTTGAAGTCAGGTAGTGTGATGCCTCCAGCTTTGTTCTTTTGGCTTAGGATTGACTTGGCAATGCGGGCTCTTTTTTGGTTCCATATGAACTTTAAAGTAGTTTTTTCCAATTCTGTGAAGAAAGTCATTGGTAGCTTGATGGGGATGGCATTGAATCTGTAAATTACCTTGGGCAGTATGGCCATTTTCACGATATTGATTCTTCCTACCCATGAGCATGGAATGTTCTTCCATTTGTTTGTCTCCTCTTTTATTTCCTTGAGCAGTGGTTTGTAGTTCTCCTTGAAGAGGTCCTTCACATCCCTTGTAAGTTGGATTCCTAGGTATTTTATTCTCTTTGAAGCAATTGTGAATGAACCCCATCAAAAAGTGGGCGAAGGACATGAACAGACACTTCTCAAAAGAAGACATTTATGCAGCCAAAAAACACATGAAGAAATGCTCATCATCACTGGCCATCAGAGAAATGCAAATCAAAACCACTATGAGATATCATCTCACACCAGTTAGAATGGCAATCATTAAAAAGTCAGGAAACAACAGGTGCTGGAGAGGATGCGGAGAAATAGGAACACTTTTACACTGTTGGTGGGACTGTAAACTAGTTCAACCATTGTGGAAGTCAGTGTGGCGATTCCTCAGGGATCTAGAACTAGAAATACCATTTGACCCAGCCATCCCATTACTGGGTATATACCCAAATGAGTATAAATCATGCTGCTATAAAGACACATGCACACGTATGTTTATTGCGGCACTATTCACAATAGCAAAGACTTGGAACCAACCCAAATGTCCAACAATGATAGACTGGATTAAGAAAATGTGGCACATATACACCATGGAATACTATGCAGCCATAAAAAATGATGAGTTCATATCCTTTGTAGGGACATGGATGAAATTGGAAACCATCATTCTCAGTAAACTATCGCAAGAACAAAAAACCAAACACCGCATATTCTCACTCATAGGTGGGAATTGAACAATGAGATCACATGGACACAGGAAGGGGAATATCACACTCTGGGGACTGTGGTGGGGTCGGGGGAGGGGGGAGGGATAGCATTGGGAGATATACCTAATGCTAGATGACACATTAGTGGGTGCAGCGCACCAGCATGGCACATGTATACATATGTAACTAACCTGCACAATGTGCACATGTACCCTAAAACTTAGAGTATAAAAAAAAAAAAAAAAATTACTTTTTTTAAAAAATTATAGCTCTGCATTTATGTTTATTGGTTTCATTAATTCATTCACTCAATGAATATTCAGTTAATTACACCTCCCTCCCCTAACAAGGCAATGTGTTAGGTACTGTGCCCTGCAAGATATGACTTCTGCTTTCCATTGAGTTTCAGTCTGGTGGGAAAGCTAAGACTTGTACCTGTACATATAATATTCCAGGCAGTGATGATATGCCATTGCTGTGATGCAGACCCTGTGCTCCAGCAAATTTGAATGGAAGTATTCCAACTATGGTGGGGATAAGGTCTGGAGCTGAAGGATAGACTTCATTATGATAAAGATTGAAGGGCAGTGCTATGCAGTGTTGCAGAACCTATAACATGGAGGCTAGAAGGACAGATTGTGATCAGAAAATACTTCAAAATAAATTGTATTTTGTGTTCAACCTTGAAGAGTAGTAGTGCTTGAGACTGAAAGATTCATTAAGAGCCAGATTTGTTGGGCTAAGGGGTTTGGACTTAATTCCATCGATACTGAACTCGAAGATATTGAGTAGGAGCTTGGCAACTTCTCCATTTTATTATATACTCTTCTTTTCTTCTATATATTATTTTCTTTTCTTCTATATATTATTATAAACTCTTCTTTATTTATTAAGAAAATAAAGTTGGAGGGTAATCTGCAGGATAAACCAGAGGAGAGAGGGGCAAGAGAAGGAGGAAGGTCAGTTGGGAGGCTGTTGCAATACTCAAGGTGTGGTGTAATAAGAGTTGGAAATGAAGTGGGAGCAGTATAAATAAAAGAGAGAGAAGATATATCATGTGGAAGTGCTATTTCCCCAGAGAATTAAGTTTGCCTTGATTAGTGAACCAATAAAATTAGTTATGCTTACGCTAAGCTTTCCAGGAATGTAACAACTTATTTTGCAGGAATTTTGCCTAAGATTTACCTATGAGTGTTATGAAAAGGATTCAGTCAGTGACTTGAAAGACATATGTCAAATGATGTTTATCATAATCTTAAATCCAATATGCTTTCTTTTCCAACCCCCCACTGCCCATGATATTACCTATCCAATGCTCATCAATCCCTCTGAGACTGATGAGTCATTCTTGCTTGAAGATGGGGAAACTGCAGCCCAAAAGTTTAAGTATACAAAGTGACACAAAAGCCATATTCCCATTGCACCAGTTTTCTTTAGCAAGAGACAGGTCAGTACCCCTAACAATGGCTACTCAACAGTGAAGTGGTTTAATCAGGGCAAACTTGTGATGACCAGGCTAATTTGGAGATAATTAAAGCTGAGCATATTTGGAGGACAGAGGTTTCTTCCTAACAAAGGATGGTCCTTGATTGCTGAAGCTGGCATGGATAATTTAGGAAATTTAGGAGAATGAGATTGGATTGTTGTCATGAATTATCTGACATTTTTTTGGTCCAAATTAAGAAAAAAAATAGAATTGCTCATTCTTTACTTTGTGTATGTCCCAATCCACTTGTATTGATTCACCAATGGTAAGAGAAAATTGAAATACTGGACAGAACATAGAGTTCAGTTGAATACAAGGTTTGGCAGCATTGCTGAATATACATCCCAGTAAATGACATCAGAAAGCATGATTTAGTTAAACAATTATTATGAAAGTGCATTGGCTATGCATTATGTATTTATGTGTCTACTTGGGAACATAGAACTTTGAATTTTTCGTGTGTAAATGATGAGGTAGAAACAAGAAGAGGGAAGGAAGTTAGAGATTTTATCTAAAAGCAGAATTTTCTAAGTATTTATGCTTAAACAATTTTTTCCTTAAATTACTTAAACACTTACTCTTTAGTTGTGTGAAATGAAAATTATCCTTTTAGAGTTCTATTTTATTACTCAGTTTTGTTCGTACAGTGTTGTCCAAGAAGGCTGCACTGTAATGGGCTATGATTTACTTTTCTATCACAAACAAAAGAAGAATTATGGGACTTTGAAAGCTGACATGGGAGAAAAAGGAGGAAAAAAAGAAAATGTTTATACCTCCTCTTTTTGACATGGCTCCTTCAGAAATCGGATACTAAATATCTTCCTGCATCTGGAGGAGGGAAGAAAGAGACCATACAGGCAGTCTGTACATAATGTTGAAATAAAACCCTCTATTGTCCACCAAGACAATAGAACTAGCCTATAATAATGTAGTACAAGTAGAGCATAAATGACATAAGCCAGCAATGCAATCTTTGTTCCAGTGTAATCTTCCATATCAACCATCTACAATCTCCAGAGGTAAGAGAAAGGCCTTTCTTCCATTTCCTATAACTGGCCACCATTTCTCTCTCTCTCTCTCTCCCTCTCTCTCCTTGCTGGTTTTCCTTTGGGATGGCTAATCATGTTTGACAGCATAGGAACTGTCCTGAATCTTGGCTCAAACTGTTTGTATGCATGAGAAAAATTAGTTAGCTTCATTGTTTCAAAATTTACACGAGGTGTTTACTTTGGTGTGAAGAGATATAGGAATACTGAGAAATAAGGTATGGGTGCCCACAGAAAAAGCACTGCTGGGGAAGATTTCATTTCAATTTCTATCAAAAACATTAACACCTTTTCATAAAAATAGGAGATAAAGACACAGGCCATTACTGAAATAAAATATATATATATATACATACTCTATATATACACATATATACATATATGTACATACATATATATGTGTATATATATACATATTCGATATATATATAGAATATGTATATATATATACGTAATATGTGTGTGTGTGTGTGTGTGTGTGTGTGTGTGTATATATATATATACACACACACACACACACACACACACACACACATAGAAGAATAAAGCCAGAAGCACTGACTGGGCACACTGAAGCTGACAACAGATTCACTACTACCTGCTACTATGTGAGGCACTGGTGGGTCCTGCAATGATGAATAAGGCTGGCATACTGCTGTCTTAATGGAGATTACATGCATAGTGGGCTTTCTGCTCAAATGCAAAGATGAGCATTTGAGAAATATTGCAACCCTTGGAATGTTTTCTGAGCCTAACCAAATTTGAGCTCCTAACCTTGCATGAGTTTGTTCGTTACTAATCTTGCTGAAACCTATGACTTTAGGTTATATGCAGAAGTCAAAAATAATAAATTCTCAAGATATGTCATGTCTTTTTACAATAAAATTAACCTTTTGCCTAAGAGAAAATTCAATCTGTTAAAAATAGATAATGAATGGAAGGTATTAGTCTGTAAATGTAAAGAGAAGATCATTAAGAATTGAAAAAGCAGGCCAGGAGCAGTGGCTCACATCTGTAATCCCATAACTTTGGGAGGCCAAAGTGGGTGGATTACCTGAGCTCAGAAGTTCAAGATCAGCTTGGCTAACATGGCAAAACCCCATCTCTACTAAAAATACAAAAATTACCCTGGTGTGGTGGTACATACCTGTAGTCCCAACTACTTGGGAGGCTGAGGCAGGAGAATCGCTTGAACGTGGGTGGTGGAGGTTGCAGTGAGCTGAGATCACTCCACCGCATTCCAGCCTGGGAGACAGAGTAAGACCTTGCCTCAAAAAAAAGAAAAAAAAAAAAAAGAATGTCAAAAGCAACCAAAACAACAAGAAGAAATTTGTGTATTTAAAAAATTGAAAGGGCTCTGGAAGAGAAAAGTGTATGCTGTTGTCTTTGTTTTGCTTAAGAACAGGAGAGAAAGGAAAGAATTACAACACTCATAGCCCTCAACGGGCTACTCTCCTCAGAATGGAAAAGGCTGGTTTAACATCTCTTTGGTGCACCTTTGGTTTTGGCATGTGTCTCAGTGTCTGTTATATAGACATGTTCAATAATACTTATTGAATGAACAAATGTTCACCTATTGCTGTAGGGGATATAACAATGTCTTAGTTTGTTTTGTGCTCCTATAACAGACTACCATAAACTGGGAAATTTATGGTAAATAGAAATTTATTTCTCACACTTCTAGAGGCTGGGAATGCTGAGATCAAGGTGTCGACATCTGGTAAGGGCCATCATGCTGCATCATAACATGGCGAAAGGCATCACATAGCAAAAGGGGAAAGAAAGGAAGAAAGAGAGAGAAAGGGAGATATAAAATGGGGCCAAAGTCATTCTTTCATAGGGAATCCACTCCTGCAATAACAAACAGATTTTCCTGATAATGGCATTGATCCATTATGAGGGCAAAGCTCTCATGGCCTAATCACCTCTAAAAGTTTCCACCTTTTAATATTATTACACTGAAAATTAAATTTCAACATGGTTTGGGAAAGGACAAACATTCAAATCATAGCAATCAGTGAACAAAAACAAAGACCTTGATCTCACAAACCTTATAAACCATAGTTGGAAACATATATTAGATACATAAATATTTTGGGTTAAAAATATTAATAAGGAAAAATGAAGCAGTTAAATGTAGAATTATGGAGTAGTTTTTATATAGAACTATCATGAAAGACCTCTTTGGTTGGGGGATATTTAGTAGAAATCTGATGTGAGGGAACATGCTGGGCAGATATCTAGGAACAAGGTCTCTAGAGAGAAAGAATGGCAAGTGCAAAGGCCTTGGGGCAAGCATGTGTCTGGTATTTTTATAGCTATGAGGTCAGTGTGCCTGAAAGAGTAAGCAGTGGCAGAGTAGGAGGTCATGAGATCAGAGAGGTGAAGAGTGAGTGAGTAGGCAAGTCATAGATGAATCTTTTAGGCAACATTAAAGAGTTTGAATTTTATTGCAAACAAGATGGGTATATTAGTCTGTAATACTCTTTATTAATAAAGAGTATTTATTATTTATTATATCAATACATTGCTATAAAGAACTACCTGAGACTGGGTAATTTATAAAGAAGAGAGGTTTAATTGACTCAGAGTTTCACAGGCTGTACAGGAAGCATAGCTGGGGAGGCTTCAGGAAACTTACAATCATAATGGAAGGCAAAGAGGAAGCAGGAATATCTTACATGGCAGGAGAAAGAGGAAGAGTGCAAAGGGGAAGGTGCTACACACAACAACCAGATCTCGTGAGAACTCACTCACTATCACAAGAACGGCAAGGGGAAGTTCAAACCCATGAGACAATCACCTCCCATCAGGCCTCTTCTCCAACATTGGGGATTACAATTCCACATGAGATTTGAGTGGAGACACAAATCCAAACCATATCAACAGGTAGTTTATTCAGGGTCATAAATGAAGCTGTGAGGACTCCCTATTTCAGAAGTGATCTCAAACAAAGGGAAAATAAGTCTACATTTCACCAAGAAAATTTAGGTAAAATGTGCAAAATAATGTTTGGATTTTAAGGCATTTAGTCATTGGAAAAGTTTATTAAAGAGCAAGAATAAATCTCATTTCCTAGAGATCCTTAGAAAAATACAATGTTTATTTGACATAAAATACCACCTAGAGAAAAGAATCAATGTGCTTTTTTCCTCCAGCCACTTAAGCTAATCAACAATCAATTTGATTGACCATGTAATCATACTGACTTACTAATTAAGACCACTAGGAAAGCTGGAATATATTCAACCCCTGTGTCTATTGTTTTTCATCAGTAGGCACTTCCCAGGGGATATATCCTTTTGACTGTCTCCAGGACAGTGATTCTGCCATTATTTGACCCATGAACAACTTCAGTAGATCTTCAGTTATTTGTTCTAGAATTTGTCAGAATTCAGCTATCTGTGATCATAATTTTCAGTTGATGGCCACCACTATTTCCCCAAAAAATACTCAATAGAAGTGAGTTTGCCCTAGTGAAGAGTATTTTCTTTTTTTTTCTCAAGGGCACTAGGAATGAGATCAGTGCACATTGATTCCTGTAACATTTTGGTGACCTTTATAGATTAGTGACAATTAGTTGCCCAGCTGGCTGGTCCTACTCTTTTGTATTTATTTATTTATTTATTTATTTTTAATCCTGCTCCTTCTATAATGACTCTACTCTTAATGTGGTCATATAAACATGTTGTAAACAATAATGCTGCATAGCACTTGCCCAGGAGCCATGTAAGGGCTTCACAGGCCAGCTAAGACTCAGGCAGAGTGGCCAGGGGCATTTTGAAGAAGTGTGGGACTTGTGGTCTCAGACTCCTCCCCTACCTCCTTTATCATTCCCATGGAGACTGTAACATTCTCTTCTCTTTCCTGTGAATCATTGCTTGAGAGGCTTATCTTATTCCCTTTGCAAAGCACAGTGCCTGCAAAAGTAAGGGATTCATATTTGTTTGTTGGTTTTTGGTTTCTGTTTGTTTTAAAGAATGATGATGGATGCTCTAGTTGCTTTTAAAGAGTTAAATGATGTTTGCACTTGCTAAGAGGTCACAGTCTCCAGATGGTAATCTTTTCCACAGGGCTCAGGCTGAAGAGCCACACAGCCGGGCCCACCCTTTTCTTCCCTTCTATTCCCAAACTCCTCTGACAGCATGTTTTGTTAAGATTGGGACCATTAACATAGATTCTTTCCAACAGCAAACCAAAATTTCATGTTGGCAAAGTGTGAACTCAGTTCCGGGAAGGAAAAGTGAAGGATGTCTTGCTCTAGTTCACCTCCAGGAATTTCTGGTAGATCTATAAGCTACGTGAGACAAAGAACAGGTAAAAATTCCCTATTGTCGTGAAGAGATCAGGGATGCTTGTGTAATTCTAAACTACCTATTTTTGGTTCTAAGCACTCTATCTGTCTAAGTCTCTCCACACATGTTTTTCCCCACCTTCCTGTTCATGGACCTGCCATTACACACTCAGTCCATGTGTCATCCAGCATTAAAAGCAATTTATTTATTCATGCATCTTATCTGTGGTATGTGAGAAGTTCTGTATGAGATCAGGCAGAAGAGCGGTGCCAAAACATAACATCCATCATTATAACATCAAGACTTTTAAAAAATACTGTTGTGTGGTATCAGTGATAATTGGGCCTAATGATAATAACAAGTATTACATGGCAGTAGAGATATAGTATTCTATATGCAGAAAAGAATTTGGAAACGGGATTGAGGCAAGATGGTATGCATCTCTGGTTGGGATACGCTGGACAGACAATTACCATACATGCAATTACAAGTAAGGATGCTGGGTTCACACCTGGGCCTTGGGTGTAAGAATTGCCCCTTTCTGGTCTGCCTTTAGGGCAGCCTTGAAGCTAGTAAGGAAACAAGTCTTAAAAAAAGCCATTCTGTTATCATCTAGCGTTCAGCTTCAGAGGGGTTTCTATTGGGTAGCTTCTGATGTCCTTTCAAGGTCACAGCCTTCAACTGCCTTTGCCCATCACTACTTCCCAGAAAAGCTGAGTCTCCCATTCTTTCCCCAGATGCTATTTTCCTGATGCAACGTGGAAGGTAGAGTGGGATGGTAGGAAGGAGATGGCAAGAAGCAATCCCTCAGACTTTTTTTTTTGAGACAGAGTCTCGCTGTCACCCAGGCTGGAGTGCAGTGGCACAGTCTCAGCTCACTGCAACTTCTGCCTCCTGAGCAGCTGGGATTACGGGTGCCTACCACCACGTCTTGCTAATTTTTGTATTTTTAGTAGAGACGAGGTTTCACCATGTTGACCAGGCTAGTCTCCCGACCTCAGGTGATCCACCCACCTGGGACTCCCAAAGTGCTGGAATTATAGGCATGAACTACCACATCTAGCCCCTCAGATTGTTTTTTGAAATCATTTTCACCGAAAGTTTTATTTAGACACTGATATATGCAATGGGAGCAACCAGATTTATTCATTTGGAAAGGAGGAGGCAGCACTGTAGCTCTGGAGGAGAATCCACCCCAGATGCTGCTATTGAACTCGAAGACCTTACAATGGGGAGGGAGGTAAAGGCTTCTCTGAAAAGCACATTTCCTGTTCATAAAAGCTTCCTTGTATTGAGTGCCTATCAGGAGTTATCTAATTTAATCTGCATAATCGTTCTGTGATGTAGCTATTATTATCTCTATTTTATATATTGGGAAACTGAGATGCAGAATTCTTAAATAACTCACCCAAGATCTCATAACTAGTAAGTGGAAGAACTGGTATTCAAACCAAGAGCCCTTTATGTTCAAAGTGCATGTTTTTTTTCCAGAAAATAAACTGCCTCTTGGCTCATACTTCTTTGGGGGAAATGTTAGAATAATTTAATAAAACTGATTCTAAGCTTTGAGGCACTAAGAGAGTGATCTTTCCACAGTGTGCACAATTTGGATGTATTGGCCATGGGTAGGCCTGTTGGTGATAAAAAGAGGGTGCTGATTAATTCTTTCTCTAAACCCCATGAATCTGTAAGTTGGTCCATTTCACCCTTGCCCTTCTGGGGAAGTTAGGAACGAGGTAGTGTTGGTCACTGTTTTGTGGTGATGTACCCATGGTAAATGCAGAACTCTGAGGTTAGCCTGGCTGAGGGGTAACTCCTCTGGGATTCAGCCTCTTACTCATTACATAAATACAAAAGTTTGAGCAAGTCCCCATGTCTCTCCAGATGGGGCCAGGGGTGATGGCCCAACCTGAGTCTGGAATCCCACCTGCCCAAGAGTGACACCTGGGACGTTGATGAATACATTCTCTGTGCCAACGGCAAAGGCTGCACAGTGAGAAAAATAATCATTCTTCCCTAAGCAGTTGAAACCTGAGCTTTTCATTTCATGATACTAATCACCAAGTAAACAGCTCTTTTATGCTAACATCTGTGTGAGGGCTGCTTCCCACACCAGCCTCCTTCCGGCCTGCCTGTTCTCACTGAAATACCAGCAGCATCATGGGGACACTTAACCCTAAAGGTTATCCCTGGGCTCTCCCAGGGCCTATGACATGTTCCAGAGAGGCTTGGTCTTAGGGACTTTTCATTTCCTCAAGAGGGTAAGTGACTCCTTTGGTGTGCAAGATGTGTGAGCTGCCTTGGCAGCTGCTGAGACCCATTCAGAGACCTCTGTGCCATTTGCCTGGATTCTGGAGTTTCATACTCCTGAAAGTGCCTGGTTAATTTGCTGGGAGAACTGACTGCTTGAGCATAGCTCTTGGTTTGCTTTAACTTTCTTATTTGCCTGATATCAGCCAGTTCATGAAGCAGTTCACATATACCGTGCCAGATTTATAAAGTGTGAATTCAAGTCTGTCCTTGGCCTTCTCTGCCCAACCCCCACCATTTCCTTATTGTAGTTTCTCTTAAAACAGCCATGTTTCCCTTCTAAAACCCTTAGTAAATCCTGCCAGATTAATGAATGGGGGAAAAACGACAATTGCTTATACAATTTCATATGTAGGCTATAAGCAGTCCCTGTTCTCTGAGATCCTCCTCACCGTGTTCCTAACAGTCCAGGGCAGTTATTATGCTCCAGGTTTTATAAGAGGAAAAACAGAGAACATTCCTTTTCTTTTTCACTGCCAAAGGGGCGGGGTGGGGGGGATCCAACCCTGAAATTAAGTGAATTGAAAATGAAGTCAAAGGAACGGAGGCCTTCCGTTCTCTAAGCTCAACACTTTGTGATTTGCTTGATTACACTTCCCTCAGCCCCTCCCTCAAATCTCATAGGCACAGACTCATTACCCCATTAGGATTTGGCTGGGGAGGCCTAAGGGACAATGAGAACATACAAGAATCTGGCTGGGCTGCCAGAGTTAACAACTTCTCATGTGCAATAAAATCAGACAGCATTTTTGATGGACCACATTCTCATTGCATTCAAAGAGCCTTGGAAAGCTTCCATGGCTGCTAATTTCAAATAAGCAAACATCCCGGAGGGATGTGAGGCAAAGATGTGTCCTTTCGGCTCGCCCCTAACATTTGCAGGGCCCAGGGCAAGAGTACAAACGGAGGCCCACAAGCCATATGCCTAAATACTTAAAAGTTATGATGCAAGCTTGAACATTCTTAAGTAAAACATAAAATATGTTCTACCCTCCCTTCATGACAAATGTATTTTCATTAACTATCTAGAGGCTGGATTTGAATTTAGAGTTCCCTGACTCCTTGGAGTTTCATCCTGGAATTGGATGGCCAGGGAAATCGGGCCTCTCACTGCCTGGCCCACTGCCCTAGGTCCTGGGTCTACCCCCATCTTTTCAGACCCTACCCCCATCCTACAATGCATGGGACCTCTCAAACTCCACCACACGTGTCCAAGCTGCATTAACACCCTCATCAACAGCCACCTCTGGGACATCCCTTGGCCTAAAGGTGTGCCTAGTCAGGTCCTAAGAAGTTGGTTTTAGTTGATTGGGAAGGGAATTTTAGGGTCCTGGGAACTCAAAGCATGATTAAGGATGTGTTTGGGGTGGGGTGGGGGTATCGCTTTGGCCCCGTGGACTCTCCTTTTCATGAAGAGAAGTGCTGTTGAAAGAAGGCCAGGTTGCTTGCTCCCTTATAAGATGCAGAGCAGCATCCTCTCTTGCTTGGATTTATGGATGGTACATACACAGTAGGTCTTTCATTTTTTATTTTTTTGAGACAGAGTTTCACTCTTGTTGCCCAGGCTGGAGTGCAACGGTGTGACCTCAGCGCACTGTAACCTCCGGCTCCCAGGTTCAAGTGATTTTCCTGCCTTAGCCTCTGAAGTAGCTGGGATTACAGGCACCCACCACCACCCCCGGCTAATTTTTTGTATTTTTAGCAGAGGCGGGGTTTAACCATGTTGTCTGGGCTGGTCTTGAACTCCTGATCTCAAGTGATCCACCCGCCCCAGCCTCCCAAACTGCTGGGATTACAGGTGTGAGCCACCTACTGGCCTACAGTAGGTCTTTTATAAGGAAAGTTTCATCTAGAAAGTGGACACCTGCCACAATGTCTGCTGGTAGAGGAGCTGTAGGGCCAGGTACTTGCTTCATGCACTGAATGAGAATAGATGTCTAGCTGCAGTGATTCTATTCTGGATGGACAGTGACATCACCTGGGGAAGATTTCCCATGACTCTGCACAGATAGATTCTGATTTCTTTGGTTTAGGGTAGGGTGCAGGCACAAGTGTTTTCAAAAGGCTCCCCAGGTGTGATGGTTAATACTGAGTGTCAACTTGATTGGATTGAAGGATACAAAGTATTGATCCTGGGTGTGTCTGTGAGGGTGTTGCCAAAGGAGACTAACATCTGAGTCAGTGGGCTGGGAAAGTCAGACTCATCCTTAATCTGAGTGGCACAATCTAATCAGTTGCCACCACAGCTAGAATATAAGCAGGCAGAAAAATGTAAAAAGGGAGACTGGAGGCCGGGCATGGTGGCTCACGCCAGTAATCCCAGCGCTTTGGGAGGACAAGGTGGGCAGATCACCTGAGGTCAGGAGTTCGAGACCACCCTGGCCAACATGGTGAAACCCTATCTCTACTAAAAAGTACAAAAATTAGCTGGGTATAGTCGTGGGCACCTGTAATCCCAGCAATTTGGGAGACTGAGGCAGGAGAATCACTTGAACCCAGGAAGTGGATGCTGCAGTGAGCCAAGATCACGCCACTGCACTCCAGCCTGAGCAACAGAGCGAGACTCAATCTCAAAAAAAAACGAGAGAGGGACTGGCCTAGCTTCCCAGCCTACATCTTTCTCCCGTGCTGGATGCTTCCTGCCCTCAAACATCGAACTGCAAGTTTTTCAGTTTTGGAACTCGGACTGGCTCTCCTTGCTCCTCAGCCTTCAGATGGCCTATTTTGGGACCTTGTGGTCATGTGAGTTAATACTTAATAAACTCCCCTTTATTAAGTTTATTAATACTTAATAAACTCCCTTTTATATATATATATTCCATTAGTTCTGTACCGCTAGAGAACCCTGACTAATACACCAGGTGATTCTATGTGCAGCCAGGACTGAGAACCACTGGGCCCAACCTAATGACTTTGCTTCTCATACAGCATGGCATTAAATCTTTGTACCTACTTGAAAAGAACTCAAAGCCATTATGACCCCAGAAAGGTTCATTTCTAGAATAACATCTTCCATATTGTAACCAACAATTAAATCTGTGCTTACAGCAGCAAGACTTGTCTGCAAAGGTTCTGCTAGTGGTAGGCAGAAATCTTAACTGGCATCTCCTTTGTGCTTCATGCAAGGTAAAACTCAAAATATTTAATATTTAACAATCATTATAGCAATCAATCAATACAAACAGACTCCAACTATAAAATACAGGTTGCTGATATGGTTTGGCTGTGTCCCCACCTAAACCTCGTCTTGAATTGTAGCTCCCATAATTCCTATGGGTTATGGGAGGGACCCATTGTGAGATGATTGAATCATGGGGGCAGTTTCCCCCATACTATTCTTATGGTAGTGAATAAGTTTCATGAGGTCTGATGGTTTTATAAGAGGTTTCCCCTTTTGCTCTGATCTCTCATTTTCTCTTGTCTGCCACCATGTAAGACATGCCTTTTGCCTTCTGCCATGATTGTGAGACCTCCCCAGTCATGTGAAACTGTGAGTCCATTAAGCCTCTTTCCTTTATAAATTACCCAGTCTGGAGTAGGTTTTTATCAGCAGCATGAAAACGGACTAATACAGTTGGCTTTACCATTGCCTGATAAATTAATCTAGTTACTCCTCCCAGAAATCCTTTAAGATGTGCCTGTACCAGGTGACTTATAAGAAGGTGGGAGATCTGGGACTCAAACCCAGGTCTTTTGACTCCAAATCCTGAGTTCTGTCAACTCTACCAGACAGCTTTGCATAGCACTTCCGGTTGGCACAAACTGAGTTCTTTAGTCTAAAACATTGGCCTAAACCAGAAAACTTTAGAGAACTGTATTATCAGCCTCATTAAAAAAAAATACCACCCTCAAAATGTATCACCCAGTCTAAATCCATACAAACACAAAGGGGAAAACAACAGTTCAGAGCCTCTAGTTGAATGACAATTGTTTCTGGGACTAAGAAGTGGCTCTTTCATTCTGAAGTTGATACATATATTATGACATATACTTAGAACTGTGCTATCCCTTAGCAATGGCTCACACTCAAGACCTGCAACATGCAGGATCTGTGGTCATAAGCTTGTAGGTACACTGTGACCCGTGTAAGTATAATACTTTGAAATCACAAAATCACAAGGCGGAGTGGGATCTTTCATGGTCATTAAGTCCACCTCTGTTTCTGGGAAAGTCTGCATTTAAGCCATCCCAGAGAGACAAACCTCCCCCACTTGGAATACAATTTCTTTCTCTCCTCAGCAGGGGAGCCTTCTATTCAAAGCTCAGGTCAAGACCTACCTTCCTGGCAAAGTAATTCATTGTGGATCTCTCCTCAGCAGGGCAGATTCAGGTTCTGGGGAATGGAATTTTATACAATTTGAGGGGTTTTCTTTATGATAAAGAATACAAAATCAGGTACAAAAGTGAATATTTATTTAGCATGAGAAAATGAAACACAATAAATTACTGGAGACTTTGAGCTTCAGGTCCTTTTCATATAACACCCCTGGCAACTTTCCAGACATGCTTGCTTAGAATGCTTCCTGACTGCAGCCTGGCTTTCCTGTTACACCTCTGAAAGTCCTCAAAGCCTAGCAGATTCCAACATGCTCAAGGCCTGGTAAATCTGCTTCTGCTTTTCAGCAAACATGTATGGGGATTATTTATTTGTTGGTTTATCTATTTAGGTGTTTCATCATTTTAAAAGAATTTGAAGCAGAGAATCTAGCTCTTTACACTCCTGCAATGCAGCACACATTGATTTTGCACACACCATGCTGTCATACTGTTCCTCACTTCTGCCATTTCTCACTTCCCCTGCCCCAACAGTACTTGTAACCTGGCAAAGCTCCATTCATTAATACTTTTCTGAATGTTTCTAGACCAATTATTCTCAACTGGGGGCCATTTTGTTGCTCAGAAGACATTTGGTAATATAGGGAGACATTTTTGAGTTGAGTACCCTTCCTCTGTGAGTTGGGTACCCTTCCTCTGTGCTCTCAGAGCCAAATACACAGATTCTGTCTTTGTACTCAACATATTGATTATAACCATCTGTATATGTGTCTATTTCTCCCTTTGGATGGTGAGTCTTACAACAGCCACTTTTGCATTTTAGCAACCTTAGTATCCCCAGAACCTAACAGGGAGCGCACAGGAGGTGATATCATGGTCACTGAAAAGACAGAACACTTCTACTTTTATCTGAACCATACAGTTCAGCATGTTTACCATATATTGTCTTGTTTTAAAATATTTCACTTGTGTAAATACTGTCTCATGAGAAAGACTATAAACTTCATATGGGAAAAGATCATGTCTTTCTTAAACTTTTTTTCGATTTTCCCACAATACTTTTGCAGTGCTAAGAATGTAATAGAGACTCAATAATTATTTGTGGATTACCGATTGGTTTCTTGCAAATCTCTATAAAGTGTTAAGTAATAGATGGATCAAGATAGGGTGGAGTAAATCAAGGAAGGTTTCTGATAGAGGGGTGCTCAAAACTGATTTTTGAAGCAAAAGAAAGAACATTTGATTGGAAAAGAGGGATTCCACATGGGAGACAGAAAATTAGAGGTATTTAGTGATGTTTTTTAATTTAAGAAAAATCTGAGTTTATGACGAATATTTTTGTGAGATTTAATCTACTAAGTACAGGAACATCTTGAGGTTTGTTGAATAAACTTTTTTTTTTTTTTTGGTAAGAGTTTCAAAGCCAATGTTGTGGTTTTAAAGTAATTAAAGTAGTATCTGATTGTCAGGGGTTACGCTTCCAAATGTTTCAATATATAGAACAACCTGATGGACAAGTGATTGCTGTAAATTGAAATTACAGAAATATTTTAAGGCCCTGAGAAATCTCCAAATAGCAGTGCTCTTTTTGTGTGCATAGGCCCTTTTGTGGGTAACAGAATCACTTATGGGCTCACCCACGAAGGAGAGGTTTTAGATTTTCTTTTTTTTTTTCTTTTTTTAAGTTTTTTATTTTGAAAAAAAATAGAGACAAGTTCTCACTATGTTGTTCAGACTGGTCTCGAACTCCTGAGCTTAAGCAATCCTCCCACCTTGGACCCCTAAGGTGCTGGGATTACAGGTATGAGCCACCACACCCAGCCATGGGTTTTAGATTTTCACATTCATGACTCCCATTCATTTCTCTTGGCATGGTGACTGGGAGGGCGATGAGATGCCTTCAGATGGTAATAAGCACCCTTTACATAGCACCTTTTTCCAAGATGCTTTGTACGTGAGAATCACAAGAACTTGGAGGCTGCAGAGAACTAATAGTTTCAAAAATTACATGAACACTTGGACATCTGTCTCACACTTTGTGGAATGGTAACTCACACCTTGTGGAATAGTAACAAGCAGGTAGGAGACACTCATGGCTTTTTAGAAATTCCTTATGCCAATCCCAGTTAAGCCCAAATCCCACACTTTGCTTCTGCTACTACAGGGGTTTGCAGGATATCAAAGAACCCAGGGATGTTGGTGGGTAGTAGGGAGGAGACATCCCTGAGGCTTGAGGCTTCCATTAGTTAGACAAAGGCTAACTCTCTGCCTTATCACTTTCTTATTGATTTTTCTGGTGGATAAGAAGGAATTTTATTTTTCAGTTTACCCTCTAGGCTGTGTGTTGAGTAATTATAGTGTTACCTCTATCATCTGATAGCCAGTGGGCCTCTCATCTTTTTTCTCCCTGTGCATAAAACACACTGTGGATCTCATGGTAGGAACTAAGTAAATATGTCTTGATTGATTGATTTGTATTTTTTAAAGTGCTTCCTCTCAATACAGTTGAGCCTCTGCTATGTCTCCTTAACACTGGCTCATTCTAACTTGTCCGAGACTTCACATTGCATAGATGCCAGGTAAAATTTTGGCTGAAGGACTTTTTTTTTTTTTTTTTTTTTTTTTTTTTGGTATGTGGTCTCACTCTGTTGCCCAGGCTGGAGTGCAGTGGTGTGATTTCAGCTCACTGCAACCTCTGCCTCCCTGGTTCAAGTGATTCTCCTGCCTCAGCCTCCCATGTAGCTGGGATTACAGGTGGATGACACCAGGCACGGCTAATTTTTGTATTTTTAGTAGAGTTGGGGTTTCACCATGTTGGCCAGGCTGGTCGCAGACTCCTGACTTCAAATGATCTGCTCTCCTTGGCCTCCTAAAGTGCAGGGATTACAAGCATGAGGCACCACACCCGTCCTGAAGGACATTTTAATATTATTTCCTTTTCAAGGTAGTAGACACACCTCTATTAATCTCATTAGTTTAGGTAATTACAGAAGCTGGTTATTAGAAGCCCTGATTTAACTTGAGTTATATTTTATTTCAAACATTGAGTAGTAAGTCCTCCATGGAGTAAACATGGAGGAGTGGATTATAGGTAGCTATTGGTTTTATCCATCATCCCCTGAAGGCTTTCTCATCTTCCTCTTTGTGTAACAGACATTGCACCTCCAAACATCTAAGTAGGCAGTAACAAGAACTGGCCAAATATTTCCCTGGTCATGGAGATGCAGTTAAAATTTGGGCCTATGAGCCAAACAAAGTGAGTTAGAATCTTTCTCTGCTTTTGCTACATGGGAACCAGGAGAAAGGAGTGACCTCTTTCTGATGGGGTTACTAAACAAAGGGGAGGTAAATCTAGAACTTCCTTCAGCCACTTTCTTGGGCTGCTCAGAGGGAGTCGTCATTGTTTTCTAGCATAAGGGTTACTAATCAAAGGGGAGGTAAATCCAGAACTTCCTTCAGCCACTTTCTTGGGCTGCTCAGAGGGAACCGTCATTGTTTTCTAGCATAACGGAGCTCAACTACAAAAGTAGGGCTGAAAGATGAAGGAATGACAGATGGGAAAGAAGAAGGAAAAAAAAGGGTCAAATATTGGACACTTGACATTTATACATTTATCCTCAGATTTAGCCATGCTTTAAGCCAGTGCCTCCCTTGGATTTTCATTTCCAGAGTCAATAACTATCCTCCTCCTTTGTTTTCTTGCTTATTCACTTAAATTGGTTATTTGCCACTAACCACTGAAGGAATTCTGATTAATACCATCTGTGGACTATATAGGTGGCTTATCCAAACCAACGTGGTCACATTTGGACAGAAGTATATTTCACTAGAATTTTGTTCCATAAAAGAACTTTCACAATTGAGTGTAGTAAGTCCTCAAATTGAAGAAGTGATCAACTTTTGTTCTTATGATGTTCTGACTATTAGATCTATCAATCACCTAATGCTCTTAACAGCACATGGCTCTAATTATTTGCTAACTATCATCATTATCATCATCACCATCATCATCATCATCACCATCATACTAGGTGTTTATTAAAGGTTATTGAGATGGGGACTAGGTTGAGAAATTTCCTGGAAGCCAGATAGTGTTACATTTATATGCTGTGCAAGAATATTTTTGCAGGTGGTACAACGGGTTTTGTCTATATTACTGTAGAATATGGAGTATAGTGTGCTTCATGAGATTTTTGTTGTGTTTGTTGTTTTAAGAAAGTCTTCTCTTGGCCAGGTGTGGTGACTCACACCTGTAATTCTAGCACTTTGGAAGGCTGAGGTGGGAGGATCACTTGAGCTCAGAAGTCTGAGACCAGCCTGTGCAACATAGTGAGACCTGTGTCTCATTAAACAACAACAACAACAAAAAAACAAAAACAAAAAAGGAGAAGTCTCCTCTTTATTTGGCAACATTCTTAGAGCCTTTTCAAGTTAGTTACATAAGTGTATTTGGGAGGAGTTGGCAAGATTTATTTTTACACAGAAAAACAATGCATTATTTTGACCCTATATATACAAGGTGAGACAAAACGTAGCTTATAAACATGGGCTAAGACAACTTCAGAAACCAAACACATGCCTATTCTTTTTCATGAGTTGTAGTTTACATAACCTATAAGATCACTTTAAAGAAAAAGAGAATTTTCTGTCACTTATGAACTAAAAATTTTGAAGAAATTTAGAAGTTATTTTTAAGAAAACATGAGAATTGATTATTGAAATTAATCCCAAATTAAGCAAAAGTTGTCATAATACGTTGAGAAGCACACATATCTGTCCTCTGACTGATGAGGCAATTAAAACCAATTTTGGTGAATAAGGTCAATTATAACAGGGTAGGAGACTACAGTTGCCAAAATCTGGGGAAGCTCAGTAAAAAGACAGAAACTGAGAAAATTCTAACTCTTTAAAAATCAGCCATTTTTGCCCGAGAGGATGCAAGTTGAAAACGTCTTTGTTTTTTCACTCACAATTTTATTTCTGTTCTCACACCCCACCCTCCTTTACATGAATATTAAGGACTAAGGCTTTAGCAACAGGCTTTTGGTTGTGGGGGAGCGAGGGGTAAAGGGAAAAGTGTTGTGTATGGCTTTTCATATGCTAATAAGTTGATTCCATGACAACCATTGAAAAAAGAAGGGCTGGAAACAAAAGCTGCAGCCAGAGAGAGGATCAGGGCTCTTTCAGGGACGCTGTAAGAATAACAGCCAAGACTCCCTCCTCTGAAAGGTATCTGATGGCTGCTTGTCAATGGGCTTTGTTTTAATAGTGCAGAGTCAGTATATAATTAATGCAGACTTTTATGAATCCAGATTTTACCCTCAATGTTGCTTCTATTTTAAAAAGTAGTGAATAAGAATCTGAAACCAAGAGGATGTCAAATCACTTCTCTCATTCAGGACCTGGAAGGGAGTCCATCCAGGGTAGGTTCGTAGACTATCAGTTCCAATGATCATACACTTCAGTTTTACGTAAAAAGGTCAAGGGCTTTTATCTTTGAGTCTAAGAAGGTGTTTAGAGATGGTTTAGAGGAAGTGCAATGGGAAAGGCTTGCTCTCCTCTTCAGGCAGCCTTTGAACAGCATAACATGTTATTTCCAGTGACATGTTGAAATTGTCCAGGATGCAGACAAGAGCAAGCTGTAGAATGCTGATGGCATCCTAGGTTTCCCTGACCTATGAAAGAAATCATGATTGGCTGTTTATCTTTCCAGAAACATAAAGTGACATCTTCGTGCCAGATACCCTAATGTCTAGTACAGCTAAGTTTTTGCTTGAAATCTAGTAGTCACACATATGAATTAGCTGTTGTATCATGCTAATACAATGCATTCCTTCTAGCTGGTTCTTAAATACCATAAAGTATTGCACTCAGTTATAATGCTGACTTTACTAATATTCTGTCCAGCCTTGTTTTTCTCTCATGTGCATTCCCCTGTCTTTGATTGAATTATATTAAATTCCTCTATTTTGTCCCCTTTAAGTAGCTGCCAAAAACTTGCCATGAGTAACTTGTGATACAGTGTTTTCTCTGTTTGGATGGACACAAGAGCTTTCATCACAATGGAATGCTTATGGAATCACATATTTCAAAGGACACTAACACGAAAATACAACTTCATTCAGAGACAGGTTACAATGATGAATAGTAATGCAGCAATTACTAAAAGAATTTGCAATTTGCTTTTAAAGTATTGGCTTTGGTCTTCAGTGATTATAAAATGCAATTCATGTTTTGTCCTTATAAACTTTATGAACCTAAATGAATCTCACTTTCATGCTATTTGTGACTGTAGTAGTGTTGTTTGATGAAAAGAAAAGAGATATTGTAGCTATGATGAATCAGAATTTAAGATCTGACCAATATTGTTACCAAGATTGTATAATAAAATTTGCTGGTTTTCTTGAAATAATCTTATTTTTCAAATGCATATTTTACTCAATATCTGCAGTGTGGAATTTATCATCTTCTAATATTTGGTAAAAATCATTGAACCATTCATTCACTCAACAAATTTTTAATAAGTACTCATTGTGACTAGAACTGGGATGAATTATATAGACACAAGTGTAATGCTATGACTGCTTTTTTCTTGAAAAATATAGTTTAGTGAATGAATAATTATGTTAATAAATAATTATAGCTTTTGTCTTTTTTTTTTTGAGATGAAGTCTTGCTCTGTCGCCCAGGCTGGAGTGCAGTGGCTGATCTCGGCTCACTGCAACCTCTGCCACCCGGGTTCAAGCTATTCTCCTGCCTCAGCCTCCCGAGTAATTGGGATTACAGGCACTCACCACCACGCTTGGCTAGTTTTTGTATTTTTAGTAGAGATGGGGTTTCACTATGTTGGCCAGGCTGGTCTCAAACTCCTGACCTTGTGATCCACCCGCCTTGGCCTCCCAAAGTGCTGGGATTACAGGCATGAGCCACTGCTCCTGGCCAGCTTTGGTCATTTTTAATATCTTATCTCATCTAAAATTAAGATTTGCTGTGGCTTAAGTAGATACATATCATAAAATATAAAAATAAAATAAATGAGAATAAATAGGTGAAATAAAATCAAAACAGGAAAATGAAATAAAGTAAAAGTAGGAATAGGCTGAGCTCTAGACGCCGACCACAAAATTCTGTATTGTTGCCAGAGGTGAACCACAAATGTAACCCTGATTTGCTCCAATGGGTATTTACAAATTTAATCTTTTACATAAGAGCAAAACCAACCAGAAACTCATGATAAGCAAAGCTTTTATTTGCATCAGGATGTAAGAGAAATTTATCTCTTAGACCTGTGAAAACTGTATTCAGTGAGATGTAGTTGTACATTCTCAACAACATAACTAAAATAAATGCAATACAAGTCTCTATAAATATTTTGTGTACTATTCCTCAGTGCAAACCAGGACAAACTAAAATTTAAAGTGCTTACAATAGCCACAGATCACTAAGGAGAGGAAATTAGCCATAGCTGGCTGGCCTACAAGTAGCTGTGCTCTGTACCCTATAGCTCCCCTTCTAACACACAAACACACACACACACGCACACACACACACACACACACACACACACACACTTGCGCAGATAACAAATGCCCCAATTATAAACATTATGGCCACAGCTAATTGGCCTGGGGATGGGAGGGGCACTTGACTGAAGAGTAACTGGTGTTTACAGACTTGCTAGTGGCCTACAAGGCCATCTGACAAAAAAGCTTTGCTTAGAAAGCATGACTGAAGTTGAGAGAAAACAACTGGATGTTTTCTTTTAGGGTGTTTGAAGACAATAGGTACAAAGCGGAGGCAATTATTTGGAAGCGTGGGCAGGAACTGAAGGGCCAAGGAGAAAAGTTAGGTTGCAGAGGCCAAGAGGCAGTTGAGACAATACATAGGCACAAAATGAAAAGGACACACAGAGGTGATGATTTTGTTGGGCTAGCAATGGTGTAATCCATAAGCCCTGATGCTGAGCTGAGGTTTGAGACAGCTGATCATGGGGACTGTGGAAATTTCTGAATGACATAGCAGGTTTCCCTGGAACCTCACTCTATTGTGGTTCTGCTCTTCCTGCAAGACACGGGTTTGTGTTTATTACTTGAACTAACCTGACAGAATCACTGATTTTTGTCATTGTGAGAAGAAGCCAAGTGTCTGATGGCACAACCTAAAGTGTAATTCAGCGAAAAAAATCCTTCAGGAGTCAGGCAATCTGGTTCACATAGGCAACCTCTGAAGATCTAGCTTGATCCAAGATAAAATTTATAGTATATATGAGGTATTTTTCCCAGAGTCCAGAAACCCAAAGCTTGGTACCATAAAGCAGAACTTCCATGATGTTTACCTATAAACATTTGAAAGTACTATGGGCAATGATTGTCCCCCATGGCCGTAATAAATTTCCATTATGTTCACATAGAACATCTTGCCTGGTATGGCATTCTTAGAAAGAACCAACGGAGTATTGGAGTTCAACTTCTCAAAATAATGGCTTCAGTTTTAGCAATAATATAAATATTAGGGTCTGTTACTTATTGGAGTACATCTTGGTCATCACATTGATCCGAATGGGAGAGGAATGGAACATTTTCAAAATATGTATGTCCAGGCCCTATCCTTGAGGAATCAGACCATAGGACCAGGATGAGCTCTGGGCCAGTGAAATTGGATCAAGTTTCCCAAGTCGTCCTGACCTGCTTCTCTGATTAAAGATCAAAACCAATGCTTGGTGAGAGACCAACTTCTAGATGTAAATGTCAGAACTACTTTGGGATCTTATCTCCATGTTAGTTGGGATTTACTTTGAATGCACTCTTGCTTAATTTAATTGTTTGGCCAATTATACATTTCAAAGTACATTTCAAAGTTAAGTTTAGACCTTTATTAAGTTTCTGATTCAAAAAGTCTATACAAAAACTAGACTCATTTCACTACATGATGGTATTATTTACTTGTATCTAGTGCAAAATGGGAATAACAACAACCATCTGTTGGATACAATTGATTTTGTGAATGTAAGTATTCTCAAATATGATTTTATTATCTTTTCTTATTTTTTTCCTCTTGGATCTTGCTGAGCCAAACTAATTGACTTCCAGAAGTAATTAAGAATTCTAATTTACTAGCAAGATATCAAGGGGCAAAAGTGAACAAAAGAGTTCATTTTTAATATTACTAATTTAGAGGAGATTTTCTATTTTTTAAAGAGATTGTTACGCTAAAAGCAGTAAACACCTCAAAAGGTACTGCCTTTCAGTTCCCCGATTAAAAATTTTTCTATCATCCGTGTCTCCATGGTGGATGGAATACTGAGGTTCATATCAAAAGAATTATCTGGTTCTTCCAGTACGTACTAAGAGTGTTCTGTTGGGCAAAGTTCTTATATTTAAAAAAATCTTGACTTTGCCTGTTTCATTTCTCTGCAAAATGGAATGTTATCTGCTACTTAGACAATGTTTCTAAAAAGAAGGAAATAAAATAAACTCTATTAATACACTGCCATAGTTTCTGACATAGTAGGTGTTTAATAATTATTTTTCTTTGCCGAACTTTGGAAAGTTGAATAAAAACAGAGCATTGTCAAGGCTAACTAGGATTCAAGTAAGTCATTCTAATTAGAGACTGAGGGATTTATTTCTGGTTATTGTAGAACAATCTCTCCCTTGAGATGACTTCTCTAGTTTAACAAGTTTCATGTTTTGAATAAAATGTGGAACTCTGCATTTACAATTGCAACTATGGTTTGTCCTTTTACTTTGGGTCGTCTCTATGGATGGAAAGTGAAGGGGAAAATTGAGGCAGCTGTCTGAATAATTCCAGCCAAACCAATAGAGACTATAATTGTGTGGGTTGTTATCAGCGAAAGTGGTCTGTAGCTTAAACTATCTAGATAATTGCCTCAATTCTTTCTCTATTTTGCGTACAAATACATAACCTTAGTATTGGAGAAACGTGAGGAATAGTATTCTGGCCAAATTTCAATTCCAAATTATTCATTAATGAGCTTCCTCGCTTCATTGGGTTAATACCCTCATGGAGCTACCTTATTCCTTTTTCTACCATTTGCTGTACCTCGTTGGAGAACGATATAATATTCATAATCCAAAAACATACTTTTTAATGCTGAGTTTCAAAACAAAAGATGACTAGTGTTTTAAAAATAATTCCCAAGGGACCAAACTGTTTACATTTCTCTGAGAAGCTAAGTATATTCTAGGTGTTGAGAGGAGTTTGAGACCTTCATTCCTGGGTTTCATGAATCTCAACATAATACTCAAAAGAAAGAAAAGGAAGGAAGGAAGGAAGGAGAGAAAGAAAGAAAGAATGAAAGAAAGAAAGAAAGAAAGAAAGAAAGAAAGAAAGAAAGAAAGAAAGAAAGAATCATTCTGAAATTAGAAACTATTACATCTAGAGAACCCAAATATTAGATTAGTACTTCAATAGTTTGTTTTGTAGGAGATATCTGCCAAAAATAAGGGTATCTCAGGAAGTTAGGCTCTGTGGAAGGTTCTAATTAGATACGTTTTAAAGTTTTTATATGATGTAGATGCCTAACATAGGAAGGCAGTTGGATGTACAGAGAAAATGTTTTTGTTGTTGTTGTTGTTGTTAGTTCATGTCTTTTATTAACTCATACAATTACTTGTCTTCTGGTTTGTTAAGCAGTAAGTCAGACAACATTTGCCACAATAATGTCTGTCAAAGTGGCTTGCCATAAACACCTCAGCACCACATTCATCAGAAGGTCACTCTCGACGAAGGCAACTAATTTTGCCATTCTCATCCACCTTATAATATTTCAGGACAGCCAGCTTAACCTTCTTTCTCTTGTGCTTATTCTTCTTGGGAGTGGTGTAAGACTTCTTCCTTTTCTTATCACCACCACGAAGTCTCAACACAAGATGAAGAGTAGACTCCTTTTGAATACTGTAGTCAGACAAAGTACATCCATCTTCCAGTTGCTTTCCAGCAAAGATCAGTCTTTGCTGATCAGGAGGAATTCCTTCCTTATCCTGGATCTTGGCCTTTACATTTTCTATCGTATCCAAGGGTTCAGCCTCGAGGGTGATGGTCTTCTCCGTAAGGGTTTTCAAGAAAATCTGCATTTTGGTGGTGGCTCCACCACAGATGGTGGATCGAAAAGCGAAAATGTTTGTTTTATTGGAACAAACCTTCTACTATAACTCTTAAAACATTGAGTTCTCCACTAGGAAGTGGTGGGACTTTGGAAATGACATTTCTCCAAAGGGGCTGTGAGAGAGGGCTCTGGAGTCAGACTGGAGCCTACTTGCCTGGGTTTGAATCTCAGCTCTTCAGCTTACTAGCTGTCTGACTTTCAGCAACTTACCTAAACACTTTCCACTTCAGTTTCTTCATCTATTAAATGGGACAATAATAGGACCAATCTCATAGATTTGTTTTGAGTGTGTTATGATCAGGCATCATTGTACATGCTTATATATATATATAATTTCTTTGTGTATTTTATATATATATAAAGTGATATATATATATCAGTAATAGGATCAACCTCATAGATTTGTTTTGAGTTTATATAAAGTTTCCCTCCTGCCACCCTCAACCCTCAAGGAGACCCCAGTGTCTGTGTTTCCTTTCTTTGTGTTCATGAGTTCTCATCATTTAGTTCCCACTTGTAAGTGAGAACACCTGCATAATGGTTTAAATTGCTGTTGATAACTGTATGAGTTAGTGTAGACTAAACAGGTATAACCGACAGACTCAAAATACAATGTGGCTAAACCACAATTGAAGTTGGTTTTTCACTCGGTCCAGATTACAATGTGGCTCAACCACAATTGAAATTGATGTTTCACTCAGTCCAGATAGGATGCTCCTATGTTCCAGGTATGGAGGTAGCAGAAGGACTCTTTTCTTATATAAACTTACAGCAAATCTATGAGATTGATCCTATTATATAGATTATATATATATATATATTTATATATATAATACACATATAAATTATATATATGTGAAAGCATTTAAAATGATGCCTGATCCATAGACATTCTCTCTACCCCCAAAAGTCACCTGATAGTGTATGGAAAACAATAATGTTAGCATAAGATGTATAATGTCATGAAGGGGGGATGATGTGACAATTGGCCTATTTGGACAGACTGGCACCTTTTAGAAAGAACTACATTGAAACATCTATTGAAAAATATCATTTCATTTTAACCATTTGTCAGAGAAAAGTTTCTAGCAGTGTAAATTAATACATTGCAAAGAAAAGCAAACAGGGAGAGAAGAAAAGTGAAGACAGGAGAGGCCTTGTATAATTGTCTGCATATGAATTATAGGTACCTCATTTCCCTCTCAATGTTGCTATGTTCTCAATCCCCATCAGATTAAGAAAACATTCTCCTGTAGGTCAATTCATTTGAAAATATTTATTGGTGCTGAGAACTATGAGGCCAGGGTATGGGTATAAGTTGTAAAAAAAAAAAAAATGGCCAGGTGTGGTGGCTTACCCCTGTAATCCCAGCACTTTGAGAAGCCGAGGTGAGTGGATCACTTGAGGCCAGGAGTTCAAGACCAACCTGGCCAACATGGTGAAACCCTGTCTCTACTAAAAATACAAAAATTAGCCAGTTATGGTGGCATGCATCTGTACTTCCAGCTACTCGGGAGGCTGAGACAGGAGAATTGCTTGAACCCAGGAGAAAGAGGTTGCAGTGAGCCGAGATTGCGCCACTGTACTCCAGCCTGGACAACAAAGTGAGACCTTGTCTCAAATAAATAAATAAATAAATATAAAAATAAAATAAATAAAATAAAAAATGGAGGTGTCAAGAAAATAAAAACGGTGGGAATAGAGATATAATAAATTTAGAGACACACACACACACATTTTTGTACCTGCACAAAAATGAAAGCTAAAGAAAAAACTAAAAGAAAAAGCTAAAGACTAGGGAAAAATAAAGAAAAAAGATAGAATAGGGTAGGGTAAAATGGAAAAAAGGAAAGAAAGAAGCAACTATTAGTTTATCATTTTCTTCTTTAAAAAGGACTATGCAAAAATAGAGACTCAGAAGGAAGAAAAAGAATAAAAGAATTCCCTGCATTTTCTGAATGGAGAAATGAAACTAAAAAGATCCTTAAAGGCAGTTTCCAAGGCATGGGCTCAAAGGACAGAATCCTGCCCTGCATACTGGTAATATGCCAGTATGATGGTAATAGCTGTTTTTTCTGCTCCTCTCGCTCCTCACACCCTCAACCCTCAAGTAGACCCCAGTGTCTGTTATTCCCTTCCTTGTGCTCATGAGTTCTCATCATTTAGCTCTCAATTATAAGTGAGAACACCTGCATAATATTTTAATTGCTGTTGGTAGCTCTATTAGTTAGTGTAGACCAAACAGGTATAACCAATAGACTCAAAATACAATGTGGCTAAACCACAATTGAAGTTGATGTTTCACTCAGTCTAGATTGCATGTTCCTGTGTTCCAGGTAAGGAGGTAGCAGGAGGACTCTCTTCCTGCAGTTTTCCAGGGACCTGTGGTGAAGGCAACTCTATCATCCTCAATTTGTGCCTTACATGGATACATGGAACACCTGATCATCAACATCTCAGGCAGTGGAAGGGGAAAAGAGCACATGAGGTTTCATACTCTAGGCCTGGAAATAGAACACATTAATCACTTCTACACACTTGCCATTGGCTGGAACCTAGTCATGCGGCCCTAACTAAATGCAGAGGAGCTTGCAAAATGTGGTCTAGTTGTGTGCTCGAGAAGAAGAGGAGGAAGTATTTGATAGCTGTGTGACCAAGAAGAGGAGAATATATTTTGATAGATGGCGAGTAGTCTCTGACACAGTTGCTGACATTTAAAACCAACAGATTTCACTCTCTCTCTCTCTCAGACACACACACACACACACACACACACACACACACACACACACACTTAAGTTTCTAGCTCCAAAGGGGGGGGAAATGAATGAAGTAAAAAAGGGAAAGGAAGGAAGGGAGAGAAAGAAAGAAAAGAAAGAAAAAGAAGGAAAGGAAGGGAGGAAGGGAGGAAGGAAGGAAGGGAAAGAAAAGAAAGAAAGAAAGAAAGAAAGAAAGAAAGAAAGAAAGAAAGAAAGAAAAGAAAAGAAAGAAAGAAAGAAAGAAAAGAAAAGAAAGAAAGAAAGAAAGAAAGAAAGAAAGAAAGAAAGAAAGAAAAGAAAAGAAAAGAAAGAAAGAAAGAAAGAAAGAAAGAAAGAAAGAAAGAAAGAAAAGAAAGAAACCGAGTTTGGTAATCCCAGCACTTTGGGAGGCCGAGGCAGGCGGATCACCTGAGGTCAGGAGTTTGAGACCAGCCTGACCAATATGATGGTCTCTACTAAAAACACAAAATTAGCCGGGCATGGTAGCATGCGCCTGTAATCCCAGCTTTTTGGGAGGCTGAGACAGGAAAATCACTTGAACCCGGGAGGCGGAGGTTGCAGTGAGCCGAAATTGTGCCACTGCACTCCAGCTTGGGCAACAAGAGTGAAACTCTGTCCAGAAAAAAAAAAAAAGAGAAAAAGAGAGAGAGAAAAGGAGGGAGGGAGTGAGGGAGGGAGGGAGTGAGGGAGGGAAGGAGTGAGGGAAGGAGGGAGGCAGGGAGGAAGGAAGGAAGGAAAGAAGGAAGGAAGGGAGGGGGAAGGGAAAGATCTGGAAATTTTAGCTGCATTCCACATCTAATCTACTGATTAGAGTTCAGATTACTTTTCTTTTATAAATCTCATATATAACATCACCCCTATAATGTTAAATTTTGTCCAGTAAAGGAATATATATATATTATAAATTATATATATTATAAAATTATACATATATAAAAAATATTTTAGATTTGGAGTCTGGCTCTGTCACCCCCAAGCTGGAGTGCAGTTGGCTCAGTCATAGCTCACTGCAGCCTCAAACTCCTGGCCTCAAACAATGATCCCATCTCAGCCTCCTACTACTACAGGTGTGTGCCACCATGCCTGACTAAGCTTTATTTCTTTTTAGAAATGAAGACTTGCTATGTTGCATAGGCTGGTCTCGAACTCCTGGCCTCAAGCAATCATCCCAACTCAGCTTCCCAAAGTCCTGGGATTACAGGCATGAGCCACTGCACCCAAGTAAAGGAGGAATTTATAGAAACTTGTGAAACATTCTGAGGGAAGAATCTTTTAAGTTTTGGTGATATCCCCCCAATCATTCACAGTTGTTTTTTCGTTTGTTTTCTTTTTCTTTTTGAGACGGGTCCTCATTGTATTGCCCAGGCTGGAGTGCAGTAGTGTGATCATGGGTCACTGCAGCCTTGCACTCCTGGGCTCAAGCAACCCTTCTGCATTGGCTTCCCAAAGCGCTGGGATTATAGGCATGAGCCAGTGTGCCCAGCCCCCAGTTGTCTTAATCACACTTGATTTTTAGTGACTTGCCTTTACTGAATTGTTCCAAAGTATTCAAGTTAGTATTCATAGAAACAATAACTTCCTTTTAACTTGTACTCATATTTCACTGGGTGAAATAATATTTTGAAAAATCATGTACTTATAATAACAAATATATGTGATATAAGTAAGTCTGAAGACACACACCACTGATTTTCAGTAAATACATTAATTACAGGCTAAGTTATTGTAATAATTAAAATTCAATACAGAGGTACTATAATATGGTAGAAATTTGTTTTCACATAGCAGTCCAAATTCAGGTGAGTAGTCTAGGGTGGGTAAAAAATAACCCCCGTGTGTTTTTTCTCCTTTAAAGTTAGAGGTTAGCTATGCCATGTCTGCATTTCAATCCAAGAAAGAGGAGAGGAGGAGAGTCAAATAAAAGCAGCATTGTATTTAAGGGGATGACCATGACATTGTCCTGAATTATTACTGTTCACATTCTACTGGCTCCAGCCTACACATAGCCTTACATAGCTGCAAGATGGCTGGAAAAATAAAGTCCATAGCTGGCCATTTATCCAGATAAATATGGAACTTCACTTAAAGGAAGAAGGGGGAAATTACTTCTAAGCACCAGCAGTCTGATCCCATAAACAAAGAAAGTAATTAATGGAGATAGAAATGAGTCCTATGTGATATTGTATCAGTTAGCTTTTGCTGTGTAACAAGTCATCCCATACTTAGTTGCTTAAGACAACAATCACACATTGTGATCCTGTGGGTTAACTGAGCAGTTCTTATCTTGATGGGTTAACTGCTGCTGCATGATCTAGGAATTCTCACTAGGATTTCTCATTTTTGATACATATGATTTTTTTCTTCTTATAGGCTAGTCCAGGTGTCCTTTCATAGATATATCAGAGTTTCATAAAGCAGCAAGAATGTAAGTTTCAAATGTATAAGCAATTTTCAGGCCGCTGCTTGCAAACATTTGCTAAAGTGCTGTTGGATAAGGCATGTCTCATGGTCATCTCCAGGTTCAAGAAATGGAAGGATAGGCACCACCTCATGGTGGGAAGGCTGCAGTGTCACATTGCAAAGAGGAGCACACATAAAAAAGGGAGGAATTTGTGGCTGCTTTTGAAATATACCACAACTAAGAAACAATCTATTAACTTTGAGGGTTCAATTTTTAATACAGAAAAGGGAGAGTGTTGATTATCCAGGCTAGTCTGCTAAATGAAATTCAGTCAATAAAGCTTCTATCTATTTATTATGAGATTTGATTCTTGAAGGAAAAATAGCGGCTTACCTTTGCCCCTACTTAAAAATAAGAAAGGATTTCTTGGATAGAAGGACTTCTCTCTAATAAGAATTTTTTAGAAAGCGAAAACCACAACAAAAAGGTTGATAAATTGAAATTGAATACACTGGAATTAAAACTATCTCCTTAGAAGATACAAATAACATAAAAAGCTAACCACAAATTGACTGCTAATGCAGCATGAATAACCAAATAGGTTTGGTACTCAGAATATTTTTTTAAACTTCTGAAAATCAATAAAAAAAGATAAACAACTCAGTGGAAAATTGAAAAAAACTACAGGGTCATTTTATAGAAGAGGAAACTTGAAGGGCAATTGGCATATAAAAAGAATCTCAGCTGTATTTAATATCAAGGAAGTGCCAAGTAGAAATCTCTATCAGACACCATCAGGCTCAAAAGATGGGCAAAAATGAAAAAGCCAGACACTAATGAATGCTGTCCAGTGAGTAGCAAAAGAGAATAACTGTGACTCAGAAATTAATTTCCTGATTGGCTATTATTGCTCTCAGAGTCACCAGTCCAAATTTATGCTTGGCCTCTCATTCCAACTTCAACACGGCAGTGGCCATCTTTCTCCTACCACCCTATAATACTTTAAAAAATTCCTAGGCCAGGCGAGGTGGCTTATGCCTGTAATCCCAGCACTTCGGGAAGCCAAGGCAGGTGGATCACTTGAGGTCAGCAGCTTGAGATCACCCTGGCAAACATGGTGAAATCCCGTCTCTACCAAAAATACAAAAATTAACTGGGCATGGTGGTGAGTGCCTGTAATCCCACCTACTTGGGAGGCTGAGGCAGGAGAATCACTTGAACCTGGGAGGTGGAGGTTGCAGTGAGCTGAGATCACACCACTGCACTCCTGCCTGGGGGACAGAGCAAGACCCCTTTTCAAAATAAAAATTAAAATTAAAAAATAAAATAAAATAAAAATACCTAGACTCTAGGCTCAAGAGAATGTGGTTGCAGAAAGAGAAAGGAATCCAGCTTATTCACTGCCAGTTCTGCCATTGAAGTCATAATTTTTAGTCTTATGACCTACATCATTTTGGTACAATTAACAAAGACCATCTTTTTTCTTCAGTGAGTACCAGCTTCAAAAAGGCAATGACATAGGAACAAAAATGTTAGCATAAGGGAAAAGAGATAGATACATTTGGTGGATAGGAGGAGTTGGAGTGGAACATGAGTAGTGGGGGATGGGCCCTTTCCTTAAAGGTAGCTAAATAACTCTTTCTTGAAGAAGTGAATAAAGGGCCGGTGAGAATTCTTAGAGTATACTGTGATGGGAAGAAGATGCAAAAGAAAACTAAGAAATGAAAACATAGGAAGTGGAAAAATAAGCAAATCCATTCTTAGAAACCAGAATAAGATTGATCAAATGGTTTTTGTTGCCAATTTTTTTTTGAACTTTAGTTGAGTGTAACTCCAGTAATGGGGTGTGCCAACCTTCTGATGGGGTCCATTTTCATGACCTAATGAAACAACATTGCAAATGGAAAGGCAGCTCACAATGTTTGCCAAGGGAAAGGGAAATTCTAGGCACACCAATTTGGATGCCTTTCAAGTTCAATGCATGTGTTTACTTTGAAAGTCCGAACACCGAACAATTAAGAGAACACTCCTCTGATTCGGCCTGCTTATGTCAAATGACTAGTGAAATAAATGATTACATGACTTAAAAATATTAGTTTTCGTTTTTTTTTTTAAACAGGAAGGGGGAACTAAAGAAATCTGGGTTAAAGAATAATTTATTCATCCAGCAAACATTTATTGTCCATTTCCGTAGAGATACTCTGATGGCTTATATGAATACAAAGAGTATTTAAACACATTCCACGATTCCTAGTAGCCTAGCATCTAATGGAGATAAAAAGTAATATAGATTATGTAGTCTAGTGTGAAGATAAAGGACCTCAAGTGGGTAACAAAACAGCAAAAACAAGCAAAAACCACAGGAATGTACTATGGTAAGATCTATCAAATCCGATTAGTAGTTATAAAATAGAAAGGGACTTGAAGATAAATGGACTTGCCAATTATAATGATTGGCAATTGGTTTTAAGAATTAGAACAAAATAGTTGTTAATGGAACTGCTTATGTAACAACTCCGGATAAAAACTGTGTAGAATTCTAAGGTTGAGAGACAATATCTTTCTGGAGCAGGGTAGAGGAAGGAAAGAAGGATCACAGTAAAGTCTATTTTCTCATGCCACCTTATTGAAGTAGGATCCAGAAAACGGAGACAGTTGGAAATGGAGAGAGGAGGAGGAAAGAGTAGCCTATAGCTACCAAGGAAGAGTTTACAATAACTTATCCTTACTGGTATCAGGAATAACAAGGGTAATGATTTCCTGTAAAAACAGCAAAGTCCAAGTATATACATAGATGGAAGGGTCAAGAGAACTGGTAAGCAGAATAAAGTGCAGATAAAAAGTGAGAGTGAGACAGGTAAGGGGCGAACAATAAACATTAGTAGAAATTTTATTTAAATTTGAACTCTAAAGTCAGTGGGCGTGTTGTTTGTTCCGCTAGTGTAATGATTATACCTACTTATGATTAATATGCAAATAAATACCTTTTGTAATTTAACTTTGAAAGTTGAAATTGGGGCTGGGTGCCTGAGCTCAGGAGTTTGAGACCAGCTTGGTTAACACAGTGAGACCCCATCTCTATTAAAAATACAAAAAATTAGCTGGGTGTGGTGGTGGGTGCCTGTAATCCCAGCTACTTGGAAGGCTGAGGCAGGAGGATTGCTTGAACCTGGGAGGCAGAGCTGAGATCACAGAGCTCGTGGGACACTGGCTCAAAAAAAAAAAAAAAAAAAAAAGCAAAAAAAAGCTGGGCACAGCGGCTCACACCTGTAATCCCAGCACTTTGGGAGGCCGAGGTGGGCTGATCACTTGAGGTCAAGAGTTCAAGACCAGGCTGACCAAAATGGTGAAACCTGGTCTCAACTAAAAATACAAAAATTAACCAGTCATGGTGGCACGTACCTGTAATCCCAGCTACTTGGGAGGCTGAGTCAGGAGAATTGCTTAAACCCAGGAGGCAGAGGCTGCAGTGAGCTGAGATCTCGCCACTGCACTCCAGTCTGGGTGACAGAGTGAGACTCCGTTTCAAAAAACAAAAACAAAAGTTGAAACTGGAATGTGGCAGAAAGTACTTCAGGCTAAAAGTTATTCCCATGTAAGGAATTATTATTATATGCCGTTTGTAAAGGGTTTTATTCCCAAAGTGTAGAGCAGAAAAAAAACCAACCAAACAAAAACTGATCTTTTGAAAAGTGAAGAAAACACTTATTCATTCATTTCATACAGATTTATTAAATGCTTGTTAAGTATGTATTGTTTGGGATTAGAAAACCAGTATAATATTATATTATTTTAATTATTTGTAAGTGTTTTCTTTTATTTTTGAGTTGAAGTTTTGCTCTTTTTGCCCAGACTGGAGTGCAGTGGCATGACCTGGGCTGACTGCAACCTCTGCCTCCCAGGTTAAAGCAATTCTCCTGCCTCAGCCTCCTGAGTAGGTGGGATTACAGGCGTGCATCACCACGCCCGGCTAATTTTTATGTTATTAGTAGAGACGAGGTTTCCCTATGTTGGCCAGGCTGGTCTTGAACTCTTAACCTCAGGTGATCTGCCTGCCTCACCTCTCAAAGTGTTGGGATTACAGGCGTCAGCCACTGCGCCCGGCCTGTAAGCATTTTCATCTTTCATTTGTTTTTACTTTGCAGCTAACACTTTCTGTGACGACGAGGATGTACATTTTATTAGTAGCATTATTTAAGACAGGGTTCCCCAGCCCCCTGGCCATGGACTGATAATGGTCAGTGGCCTGTTAGGAACCTGGCCGCACAGCAGGAGTGAGTGGCGGTGGCGAGCATTACCACCTGAGCTCGGCCTCCTGTCAATCAATAGGCTGGCATTAAATTCTTGAGCCCTATTGTGAACTGCACAGGCAAGGGATCTAGGTTGCATGTTCCTATGAGAACCTAATGTCTGATGATCTGAGGTGGAAGTTTCATCCCGAAATTACCCCCATCCCCTGCCCCCATCACTAGCTATGGAAAAACTGTCTTCCACGAAACTAGTCCCTGGTGCCGAAAAGGTTGGAGACCACTGATCTAAGAGATCTGTTTAATTTTCAGTGAAACCCTACCCAATTACATTAGATAAAAATAAAACAAGAACTATAACCTTCCATGTACATGAGGCAATCATGTTACCTCATACTTTTAAACCTTTGGGGCCCCAGAGTGGTAGCAAGTAGACCCTGTTTCTTCTTTTTTTAGCCATTTTCTTTCTTTCTTTTTTAAATTGAGAAAACCCCAGTATAATCAGAGAAACAATGTTTCCAGTTACAATATACTACTCTCCTCAGTTTCCTTTGAAATTAGGGTTGGTTGTATAACCTAGTGTTTATCAGTAAGATGTAAGAAGAAATCTACATATAGCCCATAATAGGGCTATATGTAGCCCATAAAACGGGCTGACTCCTTCATGATGTCTGTTGCCCTTTGTTCATCTCCTGCTTTTTCCCTGGGGACGTGGTCATGATGCAGCAGCCATCTTGTAAGCACAAGGATGTGATGGAACCTGAGCTGTGGCAGAGTGAAGAACAGCTGTATGGATCTGGGATGGGATCCCTCCAGGATGGATCCACATGGAATCCTGATGCCACCGTAATTGTAACCCTTCAATTTCAAGACCTCCTTGTTATGTGGGGAAACTATACCCTTATTTGGCTTGGCTACTGTCATCAGGTTTCTGTTTCATGGAATTTTAGGGAGTCAAGGACAAAACAATAATCTTAGAAGAAGAAAAACTAAGGATTAAAAAAATTGAAAAACATGGGACAAAGTGCAAAAACCGCAGAAAAGTATCTTAACTCTCAAATTCATTTCAACTTCTATGAAGTAGTAAAATAGTTCTATCTAATGTGGTATAGCTCGTGCAATAGGCACAGCATTTCATGATTCTAGATATACATTTTTTCATATTTTTATGTCTGGGTGTTTTACAATTGCTGTTGGCTAGGTGGCAGTCATATTGTGGATGCTATTGTTTGCATAGGTGCATACAAACTTGCAGAAAGAGTGTCAGTGGCTTGGAAAAAAATTATAGACACAATCATAGAGTGAGAAATGCTGCTCTTGATGGCATAAATGATGAAGTTATGTAGAAAAACACAGATATTAACAATTATTCTATATGACATGTTTTAGTAGAGTTGAACTCGAAATATGAGAAAGCTTTGCAAATACATTACCCTATTTATTTTGCTTATTTTCCTTTTTATATATGCATAAGCGATATATAATCCCAAATAAACCTAAATGGGCTCTTTTAATACATATAACATTAAAATTCTAAGAGATAAAAAATGATATCATAATTTAGTTGGCAGCTTCTTAATCTTTCCTAGTGGTATGTAAAATAATGATGTGTTTTACAAGATGTGATATTCCAGATTTGATGAAATACCATAAAGCTCCTTTCTGCCAGGAGTAAATGTCAGCCTTCTTTTTCACAGCATGATGTTGTAATAGAACACAGGCCTTGGGGAAAGAGGCCAAGGAATCTACCCCAAAGTAATGTTTTATGGATTCTGTGCAAAATGCCTGGTAGAGTGCCTGGCAGTTATATTGCCTTAGGGACACATCCTATGAATTGCTCCCATAGGTAGCTATGAACTCTGGTCTGAATCTGCATAGGCAAGCCAGATCATAAACTTGGCAGATACACAAAATATGTATTTGTAGAATAAATTAATTTCTACAAATTCCAATTAGCTTCATATATCGTGCAGGTTTGTTTGGGATTTTAAGTATTTCTTTTAGTAGAATGTTTTAATGTAATTTATTTATACTTTTGCCTTTCAAAACTTTTATATTTCAAATAAATTTCAGGTACTGTGATGACTTCTCTTCTATAAAGGCAGGTTCTTATATACCTATTTTAAAATAGAAGAATCTGAGGTTTCAAGAGATTAAGTAAATTGCCTAAGTCACAGAGCTAATATGTGGTATAATTAGGATTAAAATTCACATTTACCTGTTTCAAAAGTTCATGTTCTTTATAGTATATGTAAATTAAAGTAAGCCCCTCATTCCCTAAATCACTCCCAAAACAAGACACTGGAAACACAGCATAAGTTGCTAACAGAAGCAGCCAACTATCATGGCCAAACTGTGGACGGTTCAACTATAAAAATAGAAATAAAGAACTAACCAGTTTATATCAAGTTGGCATTATTCAGAAAAAAGAAAAATCTATAATGGGATAAAATTTTCTAAATAACAAACTGAGAATAAAGAAGCAGCAATTACAAATGACAAAATATTCTTTCCTAATTTTATCTTTAACATGAAGACAAGGGTAACAATGGTGACTTGATTGCCAAGATGCTTTTTAAAAGAAATAAGACTTTATAAAAGAATTCAGCAGGACAGATCATGTTTTGGACATTTAGGAAATTTCTTCTTAAGAGTCTAATTTCTCATGCACTATCAACTTAAATGTGAAGATGTAAAATCATTGGCCATACCTATACTAGCAACAGAATTGGGTATGACAAAGACTTGTTGACTTGTTTTAATCCGATTGGCTAGAATTTATTAAGGTGATCCCTGCAATTTATGATGTATAATAGTCATAGCTAAATGCCTAAACCTGTCTTTGAAAAGTGGTTTCGTTTGAGACTCACAAACTGATTTTCTACATATGAAAAGTTGTCTAATGAACAAGAAATTCATTCTTAGGGTCTTGACAAAAACATAAGAAATGTTCTCTTTTTTTTTTTTTTTTTTGTGACAGAGTCTCTCTCTGTCGGCTCACTGCAACCTCCACCTCCAGGGTTCAAGCGATTCTCCTGCCTCAGCCTCCCAAAGTGCTGGGATTACAGGCTTGAGCCACTGCACCTGGCCTACTATATATATTTCAACCTAATACATTGTAATGGTTTGTTGGCCAAAGACACAAAATGCAACTTGGGTCTGAAATAAAATATTAAATTGCCTATGAGAAGATCAAAGTTGAATGAAAGTGACTCTGTCAAGGTTCTCAAAGTGGCTCCCTGGGCCAGCAGCATCAGCATCACTTGGAAACTTGTGAGAAATGCAGACTTCGGAGCCTGGCTGCAAACTCACTGAATCAGACATTTTGAGATGTGTCCCCAAAATCTGTGTTTTAATAAGCCACCAGGTGATTTTGATGCAGGCTAACATTTAAGAATCACTGGAGTATGTTTTCTAGCATAAACTATGTATGTCCTCAATACCACTGAAAATGAAATCGAGTTGTATTGGACTTGTATTTACTTTTTGTGCGAGCTGGTACAGAAAACACAACAGCAGCATAATCATTCCATTTTACCCATTTACAACATTTCATTTCACAAGAAATACTAGATATAATAAAGCTATATGAAAAAAATCTATAGCAAGATCATCTTTAATGGAGGAGTTCTAGACCCAGTCCATTCATGGATAGACAAGGATGTTCATTTTCAACCCTGATGACATTATAAGAGCTTCTAGCCAATTAAATAAGGAAAATAGATTTTAAAAAAGTAATAGAGATATAACCTTAAATTCAAGGGCCTCAATAAACTATTAACATAATAAAAAGACAAAGAAACTTGAATAAAAGGAAAGATATATTTAATATTCTGTATACATATTTTAAATTTCCATTACTTAATTTATTAATTCTAACAAATCCAGTCAAAATCCCAGCAGAACTTTTGAGTAACTTAAAAAATTGATTCTAAAATTTATGTAGAAAGATAAAGGCCCATGAATAGTTAAAATGTTTTTTAAAAAGAGCCAAGAGAGACTTACCCAAACAGAAATTAAGACATTTAAAAAACTATTGTTTAAACATGTGGTACCGGCACAGGAACACACGGGTAGATAATAGAATAGAATAGAGTCCAGAGAGTAGAGAAAATAATACATGAGATTGAGATGATAATCACAAATAGCAAGGGACTAGGAGTAGTGGCTCATGCCTGTAATCCCAGCACTTTGGGAGGCTAAGGCAAGAGGATTCTGCTTGAGGCCAAGACTTTGGGATCAGCCTGGACAACATAGCGAGATACCATTTCTATAAAAAAAAAAAATTAAAAAAGCAGCCAGGTGTGGTGGTGCATTCCTCTAGTCCCAGCTACTCAGGAGGCTGAAATGGGAGGATGGCTTGAACCTAGGAGAGCAAGGCTGCAGTGAGCTATGGTCGTGCCACTGCATTCCAGCCTGGGTAGACTGAGTAAGAAACCATCTCGAAAAAAGAAAAAAGGAAGAAAAGAGAAGAAGTTAGCAAGGAAAGAGTGGATTCCTTATTAAGGAATAGATTAATTGGGTCACCATATGAAGAAAAATAAATTGGGAATTCATACATCATAGCATATATAAAAAGAAAAGAAGAAAAAAGAAAAAGAAATCCATTTAAATTAGATTAAAGGGCTAAAGTTGAAAGGCGAAAATCTAAAGCTGTTATGGAAGAAATAGAGAAATTTATCTTTGTGATCTCATGTGGAGGAAGCTCCAACAGAAACCCAAAGCACAAATGAGAAGAAGAAAAATGAATGTGTTTTGCAATATCCAAATATAAACATTCTGTTTAACAAAGGACTACATAACCAAAGTTAATAGGCAGATATAGATTGAAGGAAGGTATTTATAATGTGAAAACTAACAAGAAATTATCTTACATACACATAAATGTATAATTGGTTTTTGGAAAATAAGCAAGAAAGACTGTAAACCAAATAAAATATGGACAAAATACATGAATAATAATTCACAAAAGCTTAGGGTGGGAATCAAATAGTTAACAAGCATATGAGCAGGTGCTTCCTAATATATTTATGCATTTATTTTTTTGAGACAGGGTCTTGCTCTGTTGCCCAGGCTGGAGCACCGAGGTACAATCTCAGCACACTGCAACCTCCGCTTCCCGTGTTCAAGCAATTCTTCCACCTCAGACTCCTGAGTAGCTGGGATTACAGGTGCATGCCACCACGCTCGGCTAATTTTTGTATTTTTAGTAGAGACAGGGTTTCACCATGTTGGCCAGGCTGGTCTCAAACGCCTTACCTCAAGTGATCAGCCTACCTCGGCCTCCTAAAGTGCTGGGATTACAGGTGTAAGCCACCTCACCGACCAATGTTTACTAATTTGAACAGTCATGAGCTACCATTATCAGGCTGGCAAAAGTGAGGTAGCTTCAGAATATCCACTGCTCATAATATCAACTGTTGTTGGAGGTAAGGATGATGCAGTCACTATGGGCAGTAATATGGCAGTATTTAGTAAAATTAAATATTCATGTAACTGTGATCCAACAATCCTCCTCCTGGTGTACACTCCAGAGAATCTCCCCCCCACGTCCACAGGCAGACTTGGTTACCACAGTGCTAGTCCTGTCAGCAAAGGGGAGGAGGCAATTGTATGTGTTTATCACCAGTGGAATATGTAAATATCATGTGTAAATGCAAACCATGAAACCTAGTTGACTAAAGACTCCTGGGGTCTCCCAGAAGACTACCAACAAAGGATAATTATCTTCCTTATCTGGATTCTGAACAAATTAAGAAATAAAAGCAAAAATGAATGGAGATCTAAATATTGCTTTTATTGTTGATAACATAGCATTCGAAGATGTTTAGTGTGGGTGAAAAAGGACCCGAACACTGAAAACCAGAGTAGACAGAATCTCCACCTTGGGCCAGGTGCCCACATGGGGCGCCACATCTAAGCAGGAGAAAAAGTGGACTCTCTGAAAGTCGCCAGGACCCATGAAGAAGAAGGGGAAGACAGAGAAGAGCATGCCCAGCCATTCTTCTCAAATTTACCCATTAATGCAAGTCATGGAGTAAAAAATGGAATAGAACGAGACGCTTCATGGGAAAGTAACATCTGTGTGAGGAAGAATGACAATGGAATAGACCTCAAAGGATAAGAATGGTGAAAAAGTCAGGACTGATACAATCACAGTTCAATCTATGTACATTAAAATAAACACATGTAAAAGACAAATGTAGAATATTTTTCAGGAATATCCATCTAAGGAAATGTATGAAAGGTAGATTTGAAAGGCAGAGATTACATTTTAGGGATGTCTATGTCTATGGGGAATTAATACTAAATGTTTTAAAAAATAAAATGGGAGATTTGCACAGATAAAGGAAGATAGAATGACCTGAGGTGAGGCATATGAACAACTTTCTGGGGTTAAAAAGAAAACATTAAAAACGCAGATATGACATGGCATATTATTATTGCTTGCATTTGTATTTGTATATATAACTATCCCACAAAAATCCAACAGCAACAACAAGAAAAAATAGTTATTGAATGACTGCACGGATGGTCTCGGAGTTCAAAGATGGACAAGATATTGAGCCTTCTCCAGAGCTTAGAGTCTTTTGGCGACAGCTTTCGTTTGTACAGAACGTTTTTAGGTCTTATGAGAGTTCATCATTAATCAGGAGACATAACATCAGTGGGAGAGAAGAGAACACAAACCCGAAATCACGCTGATGTTATGGGCGACCTTTTAACTTCAAGGCTGTGCTTTTCACATCCGGAGTGTGCTCCTTAACCAGTTATCTTCTATTCACATTTCTCACTAGTGATGGAGACACGTTGCTAACTCAGTTCATCTTGTTTCTTTCCCAGAATCTAAAGGGAGAAACACAATCGTTTTCCTATTCTTGTTACATAACTATCTTATGAGAAATCTGCTAGCAAAACGCCCCGGCTCGGCCCTGGATGAGGGGCCAGGCCCAGGAGGCGTGGAAGAAGAGAACTGCCAGCACCGGACGGGGTCCTCCCTGGCTCAAGGAGAGGCAACTCCTGTTTGGACCGTGCGCACAGCGCAGGGCTGCTGAGCGGCACTGACTAGAAGGGACTTGGAAAGAACCGCTCAGCCCCACAGGCGACAGATGGTGTTTCTTCTGCATTTGTGTGGAGGGGGTGGGGGAGTGTTGGTAACAATAAGCAGCAGTAGCCACTTGACAGGCTCCCTGCTGCCAAGAATTTGCATGACGAGCGCTTGCTGCCATCTGGAGAACTTCAGCTCATTGAGGAAGAATCGGTGTTTCAGCTTCCATGCTCTGTGGGCCCCAGTCCATGCTGAGGATATCCTCTCCCAGGGGAAGAAGAGCGCAAAAGGGAAACCAATCAGATGAACCTGGCTTGGGGGAGGTCCAAGTCCACTGCACCATCCCTTAGGCAAAGTCAGGGTGAGCTGGCCATGCTGGCCTAATCCCGAGGACGTGTGGACAGATCTGGCACTTCAGAGTGGATTAGGTCAATGGAGCCCAGCACCTTTTGAACATGAGTCTGTTTACACAGCAGTAGTCGATAGAGGAAATGTGGACCCGAGGAGAAAACTCAAACAAGTACCCTGTTTCCCATGGCCTCCAGAGGAGAGTTCAGTGAGGCAAAAGGCTGACCATACACCCCGGGGATTCCAGGATTCCGTTCACAGACCACAGTGCTGTGCATTACAAACACATGTGTGGGCCATTTAATTAAACACATAACAGGCTTCCAGCTGCTAAGATTTTGTGTGTTTAAAGCAAGATGTATTTTCAAAGTGCAAAAAAAAAAATCACTTAAATCTTAAGTTTTACTTTTAAAGTATTTCCTTCCTTTCTTGTTAACTATCTGGGAAATTTGTTACTTTTTTTCTCGTATATATATGTAAATATATATGTATATATAAATATATGTATATATAAAAATATATATACATGTATATATAAAAATATATATATACATGTAATATATACATGTATATATAAAAATTATATATATACATGTATATATAAAAATATATATATATATATATTTTTTAGCCAGGCTCAGTGGCTGTAATCTCAGCACTTTGGGAGGCTGAGGTGGAGAACTGTTTGAGGCCACGAGTTTCAGACTGGCCTGGGCAACATGGCAAGACATTGTCTCTAAAAATTTTTTTTAAAAAATTAGCTAAGCATGGTGGTGAGCACCTTCAGTACCAGCTACTCGGAGGCTGAGGTGTGAGGATCACTTGAGCCCAGGAGGTTGAGGCTGCAGTGAGCCATGATCACACCACTGCACTCCAGCCTGGGGGACTGAGTGAGACCCTGTCTCAAAAACAAACAAAAGAATTTTTTTTTTTCTAAAATGTCTCTAATTGGTATTTAAATTTTACTGGATCAAATGATATTTTAAATATAACATCAGGAGATTATATCCTATAGTTAAAAACAAGTTACCAGTAGCAGTTAAAAGGTCTGTATTTAATACACATAACCACAAAGCTTGATAAACGCTCTGTCTTGCCAGAATTTCCAGTGTCAAACTGCATGAACAGTGTTCCTCATAGGAGAAAAGACATGTGCTCAAATATATTAATTATGGATTAATCAAATAAGTGAGAGTAAGACCACATTTACTATTGATGCTCTGTGAGATTTTTGAAGGCGGAAACTATTATTAATATATCTATCTTCATTACCCCAGCAGGTAGCACAATTCCTGCCATGGGGTAGGAGTCTGTGTTTGTTTCAGCATTGGGAGTTACAAGGAACAGAATATTGGTAAAGTTAAACCAAAAGAGAGATTTATGGGAAAGTTGCTTCTCTCTCCTATGGACTAAGAGGTGAACAGCCAACACTAGAAAGGAAGTGCCAGTCTCACAAACTGCAGGAATGGGTGGTCTTTAGTCTCCACAACTTGATGATAAATGTGCTGACATTCTGGTGACCTCTGTATCTAAATTTCAAATTCTCTGAAGGTTGATTTTGGTAGGCCTAGGTTGGGTTGGTGTTGGGTGACTGCTCTGACCCATCAGAGAAGGATGAAGGTGGCAGGCACGAGGAATGCAGTGGTGGCTGTAGGAGCCTGACTCTGGCTATCAGAGGCAGTTTTCGAACAGGGGGAAAGGTATGTTCACATGTAATGTGCAAAGAGTAGTGTGCAGTCATTTTCAGAACGTCATGAAGCATCATCAGGTATGAAGCATTCTGGTTGAACTGGATTATTTCGGAGAATGTAAGCTTAATGCTCTGTTTGTCCAAACTTAACATTTAAATTACTTAAAACTTTTAAGTGCATTTCCCTGACTTATTAGGTTGAATTATTGAAGTGATTTAGTGCTTCCATGGTTCAGAATAATAATTATGCACATTAGTTATTATGCAATACTGTAACATAGTGATTCCCTTAAGAACTACTGAAGGTTAAGAGAGGCAGGCCGGGTCTAGGGTGGTAGAGGGAGGCACCTGGGACGAGCCGTTTATGAAGGCAGCCCAGCATGAGAATCACCTGTAGAGTATTTTATTAGCTGCTTCCTCCTGTGTGCCTCCCTTGCTGCACCCTACTCTGGACCCTGATGAGATTACTATTTATCCTTATGCAAAAATGGCTCTATATTATTCACCCTGAAAGTTTGACAGCTCTCCCTTCTCAGGAAACTTTACTACAATCATTCTCACTTCCCCACCCATTCAAACTCTCCTAATCTTGTGTTTGCCACAACCATGGTGTCCTAATTGCTCTTTCCCCCACCCCATCCCCCAATCTAGGGCAATCCTTATTTTAAATATTCCATCATATGTTTCCATTGCCAACACACCACCACACATGTGAATGAAATACTCATAGATATAGGCATGGATATGTGTATCCAAGCAGACTTAATGCATTCAGAAAAGGGTCATTTGAAAAAATACTAAATAAGTGATTTTTTTTTTTTTTTTGAGACAGAGTCTCACTCTGCGACCCAGGCTGGAGTACAATGGCGCAATCTCAGCTCACTGCGATCTCTGCCTCCTGAGTTCAAGCGATTCTCCTGCCTCAGCCTTCCGAGTAGCTGGGATTACGGGTGGACGCCACCACTCTCGGCTAATTTTTGTATTTTTAGTAGAGACAGGGTTTCACTGTGTTGGCCAGGCTGGTCTTGAACTCCTAATCTCGTAATCTGCCCACCTCAGCCTCCCAAAGTGCTGGGATTACAGGCATGAGCCACCGCGCCCAGCCATGAGTGATATTATGTGCAAACACATTGGGATAAACACATTTCCTATCAGAACATGCGTCCTGATATTTAGATTTGAAAATGTGGTTGTTATAACCATAATCTAGGAAGAACTAAAGATTTAAAGGAGAAAGCAGACAACTACACTAGTAAAATTATATACTACATTTTAAGTAAATCTCTAAGACATCACAATTTTTGTTTGAGCCCTTGAGGGTGGTGGCAGTACTGCCCTGAGAAAACAATAGTGCATGACCTCTGCAACAGATTCTAAACTTACTTCTAGTCTCTGTGTGGCCATTGGGGGCCTAATTTTGGGTAACATAGGTGATTTCCAGACAAGGGTGATATGATGGCTATCCTGTAGCAGAACATCATTAATTTAGAGGGGACGCCAGGTCTCAGATTATTTTTCTGGCTCTACTGCAATTTGCTAAATTACCTTGGGCAAGTCACTTAAGGAATCTCTCAGGAACACAGTTTTCAAGTCTATAATGTTAAAGAGTTGGACTAGACAATTTTGAAGGTGCTTTTCAGTTATAATATTTTATATTCTCATTATTATCAAAATAAGTTGACCAATATAAAACTTGGAAAAAATTTCTATTGTTTCTGAAAGCACCTGAGGCAGTCTACACACATCAGACAAAGAAACCACACATTTTTAAGGGGTTTTTTTTTATAACACCCACTTGATACTCATCATAAGAATAAAATGTTGTGCCTTTGTGACTTGTGATTATAGCTCTGAGTCATTCCAGTGGTATGGCATTTGTTTTTGCTGTGTCTATATGATATCTGTCCAACCTTATGAAAATTGAATTTTAAAAAGTTAACCAACAGTTGGTTGCTTCCAAAACACTAGACAATGAGCCAGCTCAGAGGACAGAATTAAAATGTCTGATTTTACAGAGACCTAGTCTTTGTATAAGGAATAAAGTAATATAGACATCTAGTCTGGTTAAGTATGTTTGCTTGCTTTTACCCTATGTAATTATTCTTTCGGGGGAGTATGCTATGGGTTGAAATGTGTTACCCCCTAATAAAGAAGGATATATTGGCATCCTAAGCCCCAGGACTTTAGAATATGACTTTGTTTGGAGATACAGTCTTCGCAGAGGTAATCAAACTAAAATGAGGTCTTCAGGTGGGTCCTAATCCAATAGGATTGGTGTCCTTACAAAAAGATAAAACTTAGATACAGGCATGCATCTAGAGAGTCTGCCATGTAAAGATGAAAGCATAGATAAGATGATGCTTCTTCAAGCAAATGAATGCCAAAGATTGTCAGCAAACCACCAGAAGCCAGGGAAGTGGCATGAAATAGCTTCTTTCCCTTGGCCTCAGAAAGAGTGAACTCTGCTGATACTTTGATCTTGGACTTCTAGGTCTAGAACTGTGAGACAATAAATTTCTGTTGTTTAAGTCACCCAATTTGTGATACCTTGTTGTGGCAGCTCTAGCAGACTAATAGGGGGTTCTTGTTGTAATAGTGTCTAAATAAGGATCCCTTATTAATTTCAGCGCTGGTTTTGGACACATTCACATGCACATACATTCCAAAATTACACTTTTTTTTTGTATCATAGTAAAACAAAAAAGTGTGCTTTAAAGAGGCCCTAAAGAATTAGTACTTTATACATATGCTTACCCGTGGCCTGGAAACCCAATTGCTTTCTGGATCTAATTTTATTAGTGGAATAGTAACTATTAGTACAATTTTCAGAATCATCTTGCTACTCAAATGTACACATAGAATTAGGAATTTATTCTAGCACATTTATGAACCATCACTAGGCATAGATCTTGTGTGACAAAGAGTGGTCCCTCCCTTCATGAAAAAAGTCCATCGTTCTGCCATTAGCAAGTTTTTGGGCTATACGAGCATTTGTATCTTTCTTCCTCTAGGAAATATGTTATTGAGGGATTATCCTTAAAAATTCTTACTATCTTCCTTATAATCTCATGAAAAAGAAAATTGTATAACCTTCCTGGTTTCCTCTTTCAGCATTCCAGAGTCCCCTAAAGGAAGAGAATTGTTCCTAATATCTAAGTAAGGTTATCCTTTTTAGAATTTATGCTTGAACTTATTTGCATTTAGTAAGAAATAAAGAGCCTAATACAGCAACTGCCGCATATTGTATGCTTTCACTTGGAGGTAATGAATATGGAACCAAGGCTATAACATTTTTAGTCCCTTCTACTTGCTTTGCCAGTTTTAAAGTAAGATTATATGCTTATAGAAATGTTGTTTTCCTTTCTGGCTAACTAGGCTGCATTTTTTCTCTCTCTCTTTGATATGCAGGGAGCAAAAGTAGGGCAATTTAAATATATCTTTTGAGCCAGGGAAGCTAGCAAGAAACAATCATAATTTTAAGGAAAAATTAAGAAATGGTGACAGTGTTTAAGTAGAAGATTACATTGTGTTTGGATTCTGTTAATTACTGCTACCCCCACAAGCAGTTGCAAAGGCCTCCTGGACATTATTTCCAATCTATTTATGGATCTTCAGAGGAGAAGTTATGAGAATGTCTTTTTATTATATTCTCTTTAAACTTTCATTTTCAATAGCTCACAGTTAGTTGTCTGGAATGAGGATGTGTATTAGACTAAATATGCAGGGGTCATAATTTTGTGACCCACTTCCTTCTTCATGCCCAAATACATTTGCAAATAACTCTTTCCAGATTCTGTTTGTCTGTTGTGTTAATTTACAATGACATCTTTTCAACTGTCTTGGTTTCAAAGTGTCCTGTCTCTTTAAAGTAGCAATTTCCTATTTGAAGGGATCCATTACCATGCCTACAAGAATGTGGGTAGATTAGAAAAGCTGTTCCACACTAGTCAGTGACTTGTAGAGGAAGCTTAGAACTGAGATGAGCAGACAGAATAAAGATGGGAGAAAATTAGTGCTGAGAACAGGAGGTAGATTGTAAAGAGAAGCTGGGTGTATCTGTCTTGAAAAATGGGCTTCACTGCTGGGGTTTATTTAGGTAGTTTCTTCTTTCTTCAGATTTCAATGGAAGTTTTTATCTTCTTTATTAGAAAATCATAATTGATAATTCCATTTATTTATATTCTCTTCTAAGTAAGAGAGAAATATTTTGATTTTATTCATTGGTTTCCACATAATAGAATTTTATACCTTCCTCTTTGACACCATATGTCCATTTGAGAAATGCAGGGCTTTGTTAGTCCCCTAAAATGAGCTGCATGTGTGCCAGGGGCAGCATGTGACACTCTCCCATCTGGCATACAAGTTGCCACTTGGCTGCCACCTGTGCTGCCACCCAGGACCCTTGCCATTCCCCCCATCCAGTGCTGTAGACCATAGTCCCTGCAGCCTCTTACTGGTTGCTGTCTCTCCTGCAGTGGCAGATGTTGGGGTGGGAAACACTGAGGGCCAAGCATTTGCTATTGCCAGTCTGGCTAGACTCAAACCCTTCTCCACTGACAAAACATAAGAACCTGGATTATGCTTGCCTCTAAGTGTACAATCACTTCTCTTCTTTTCCCTCTCCTTAGCTCTTTCCAGGATGTTTAACGCCCCTTAATTTGACCCTTTGCTCTAACTTGGGGTGTATCTGATTGCACTCACATGCGCACTGTGCTTCCCATTCCCTTTCTTCACTGAAGAGATCTTTTGTGGGCCTTCCCTTGGGTGAGGAGGACTGAATCATGCTTTCTTTAATCAGCTGAGCTCAGGTCTCTTGCTGAAGTGCTCCTGGACCTTGGACGTGCACATCCCAGACCATTACGTTTTGTGGTCTGCGTATGATTAGGGCACTGCTGGAAGTGCTACAGAGACCATCAGAAGAGATTGGAGGTGCCAATACATTGGACCACTTTGACGATAAAAGAGCAACTCTCGAATCATAAACTCATGTTATTTTTAGAGGTGGAAGTAATCTTGGAATCATTCATTTATTTTACAAATGACAGAACTAAAAGTGTTCTGTAGCTTAGTTACACACTGTTTATACATTGATGCCGTTCCTATTAATTGATATTCTATAAAAACATGTCATGAAATTTATTGTTGTAAGTATTTTGGATTTATATTTATTGTTTATACACATACCCTTTCAATCTGGGAAATCTGAGGAACAAAGCATTTCATTTTAATGAGACCATATGGATGCTAAGATTCCTTCTTGGTCACAAGCTTGGGATATTTTACACACTGAGAAAATGTTTTCCTCTCAGTAGTTGAAAGTCAATGGCAATATCTTTAGGGAAAAAAATTACTCAAGGCCATAACTATTCACTCATTCGACATGTACTTATTGAATATTTATTATTATTATTAATTATTTCCTCCTACCACTTCCCAGTGAATATTTATTGAAAAATGCCAGGCGCTAAACCAGGTACTGGGGATACAATGAGGAACAAAACAAATAAAATTCCAGATGTTAAAATCGAGTGGTTTATATTTTGATTTAATGGACTAGTGAATATGGATGGACTTAAGAACATTAACCTATTTCTATTTGTTTTTACTTTTTTCTTTTCTCTGATGTCGCCATCATTACAAAGTGTTTGTTAGGTACCCAAGTGTTTCAGTTAGAATGCATTTGGCTGTGAGTGAAAGAAAAGTCAATTAAATCTAAAGTGGCTTAAATAATAAAGGGAATTTATTGGCTCAGTAACTTGAAAGTCCAGCTGGTGGGTGGGCTTCCAGCATGGTTTAATTAGGGTTCCAGGTCAATTGCTGTATGGCTTTTTCAGCTCTGTCCAATTCTATGCATGTATCATGTTAGTCCCTGCCAGGCTTCTCTCATGGTTGCAAGATAAACACCAGGAGAAAACAGGGTATGATGCTTCTCACTCTTACATAGGAAAGAATAAGAGTATTCCTAGCTTAGGATTCCAAGAAAGACTCTTGAGATTACTGTGCCTGAATTTGATTAGATCATATCTGGACAGCTAACCCAATTATTGTGGCCAAGAGAATGAAATGTGTAATTAGATTTAAACCAATCCACAGCCTAAAATTGGAGATGGAGGTAGGATCAGTTTCCCTCAAAGTAATTTAGCCAAAGGGGCAATAGCAGATACTTGAACCAAATCTTGAGTGTTACTAAAATGTAGAAAGTAGATAATGGATACCAGATAGAAAATCATCAAATATTTGTTGTATAAGTTTTGGGGTAGAACCACATCAGGTTCTATGATCTTGCTGGTTACCACTCGCGGACAGTTGTTAAATGAGTTCAAAATGAATTTACATGAAAAGCAATGTTTGAAGTGATAAAGAAGAGAAAGCATCAGAATCGGATTAAATACTCAACCAAGGAAGCAAAAAAAAAAAAAAAAACCTATAATAAAACAAACCAAAGAAAAGTAGAACAAAGGAGTTAATAAAGCCAAAAGCAAAAATTATTTAGAAAAGAGAATAGACTTTTTCATTTTGTGATCATGTTAGACTATTTACTTTCAAACCCACTCTACACACTGAGAAAGACAAAATAAGCTGAACAACAGCAACAATAACAACAAAATCTGTTTGAAGGCACTGAAGAGCTACCAAAGTAGCAAGGACTTGAGAGTCAAGATCCTGGAAAAGAGAGCACAGAGAGATGAACCCTACCTTTACCATCACTTTTCATCTTAAGTTATTTGCAGGTTAGAAGGATGGGTGAAGGCTGAGAGGCCAAGAAGGTTTGCAGAAAGTTGTGGTTGAGAGGGTAAGGAGTTGAGCAGAGTTTGGGTCGGTCTTATGAAGCTGGGGATGACCCAAACTAGAGTACAGAGCCCACTAAAGAGGCATTGCCCTGGTAAATACCCAGGGCTTTCAGCTGAGACTGAAAAAAGTTATCTTAGGAGTGTGGGCTAATTATCCAGCTCTCAAAAGAAAAAAAAAAAAGAAACAAATCCCAGTTTTGAGTCAGCTCAATCAACTTTAATAAAATGGATCAAAAAGATATACCTTTGGCTTACTTCATTGCCAGAGAAAAGTTGATCCTCTGTGGAAGAGACAAAACCATCGAGAACTTCAAATTATTTTTTAATATATAATGTCCCACATTACATTAAAAATTAGTCTGTCATTTTGACAAAAACTAAGAGAAAAAAATTTGAAACAGGCAAATAAAATCAAACACATAGGAAATCCAGATATTGGAGTTATCAGGCATGGATATTAAAATATCTGTGGTTAATTTAGTAAAAGATGGATAATTTCAGCAGAGAACCAGAAAATATAACTATATTAAAAGGAAATTTTATAACTAAAAAATGTAATAATTACAAGTAAGAACTGAATAGATTGATTTTACTAAAACAGAATTCATGAACTGGAAGATAGGTAATAAGAAAATATTCAGATATCCAGACCAATGTATCAAGAGGCAAAAAGACAAAATACATAAACAACCATCAGAGACCAATGTGTTACGGTGACAAGGTTTCAGATATGTGCACCTGGAGTCTCAAAAATAAAAAATAAAAATAAATAAAATAAAAGAATGTGGCAGAAGCAATGAAGAGGTAATGTCCTAGGATTCTCCAGAAGAGATAATGTTCTAGGATTCTCCAGAAAACAGGTGGCAATAGAAGAAAGACCCAAGCACAATTTTTTAGAACAAAACAAAGCAAACAGTAATAACACCAAAAAAGTGACAAACCTTTAGCTAATCTAATCAAGAAAGGAAGGAAAAAACACAAAATAAAAATGTGAAAATAAACATAACTATAGATACAAGGGAGATTAAAATTATGTTTATATTTCTGCATTCCAAACTTTTAATGCAGTAAATAAATGTCTAGAAAAATATAATTTAATGACATTGACTTAAGAAAAAATATAAGTAGTCCAATAATTATTTAAAAAAAAATCCACTAAAAGTTGTTGATAAATCAGCTCCAGAAAAGCATGGCTTGATACTTTCATGGATGAGTTTCTATAAACCTTCAAGGAATAATTGATTCTCACAATGTATAATATTTCAGAGCAGGGGAAAAATGTGTAAAAATTTCTAATTCACTTTCAAAGTTAATGATGTTAACCAAATGAAAATCTGCCCCCAAATGGCATAGAAATCTATAATAGGTTCTCATTTATAAATAGAGATATCAAAAGTTTTGAAACCTCTCTCTGATACTGTATTCAGAGATGTCTGGGCCAGGTGCAGTGGCTCACGCCTGTAATCCCAGCAATTTGGGAGGCTGAGCCAGATAGATCACCTGAGGTCAGGAGTTTGAGACCAGCCTGGCCAAAATGGTGAAACCCTGTCTCTACTAAAAATACAAAAATTAGCTGGACATGGTGGCAGGCGCCTGTAATCCCAGCTACTTGGGAGGCTGAGGCTGGAGAATCACTTGAATCTGGGAGACAGAGGTTGCCACGAGCCGAGATCACGCCACTGCACTCCTGCCTGGGCAGTATGAGCCGAGATCACGCCACTGCACTCCTGCCTGGGCAGTAAGAGCAGAGAGAGCTCATGCTCAAATAAATTAAAAAAAAAATGTCTAGCATATTTCAGCAATACAAGGAAGGTTTAATATTAGAAATACTATCAATACATTTTTATCACTTCTATAGATAAAAAGAGAAAAAAATGTATAGTATTCTCTACTCAGTGGTTGTCAATTGTTTTTGTTTTCTCAGTTGAACTTTATTACCCTAGGAGATAACACATTTTATTAGAAAATTGGCTTACACAATCAGTGATTCTAAAATAGGGGCAATCCACATCACCCCTCCAACCTTCAGAAAGGAAGAGAGAGTGGGATTCAGCAGATTCTCATGTATATGAGAATATAGTCTAGTTTGGGAAAGCTCTGCAGTTGATTGGCTAAAACCACCAATGGAGAATTTTCCTTCTTTTTCCTCAATAAGATCACTGAAATAGAAAGTTCCATTTTTTTTTAAAATAAAGTTAAAACATTCATGTTTAATTTAAGAACAAACAAAAAGAGCAACCACCACAAAGTCTTAAAAAAATTATGGAAGAATATTTCTGTAACTTGATGAGTAAGTCTATCAAGCCAGTGTCCAATGAATATGCAGTATCTCTTATTACTATTTAACATTATTTGGGACATAATGACCCACACAGTAAGGCAAGACAAAAAAGCAGCTATAAATATTGGAATTATCATGATTTTTATATAAAATCCCCAAAATCTCAATAAATTCAACTGACAGTCTATTCAAAATGAAAAGAGTTTAGTGGCCTGGAAGAAAATAATATATGCAGGCCAGGTGCGGTGGCTCATGCCTGTAATCCCAACAATTTGGGAGGCTGAGGCGGGTGGATCACTTGAGGTCAGGAGTTCAAAACCAGCCTGGCCAACATGGTGAAAACCTATCTTTACTAAAAATACAAAAATTAGCTGGGTGTGGTGGCAGGTACCTGTAATCCCAGCTACTTAGGAGGTTGAGTCAGAAGAATCACTTGAACCTGGGAGACGGAAGTTGCAGTGAGCCAAGATTGCACCACTGCACTCCAGCCTGGGTGACAGAGCGAGACTCCAACAAAAAAATAAAAATAAATAAATAAATGAAAATAATGTATGTATAAGTAATTAATTTTCCTATGTATCAGCCACAGCCAGTTCCATGTTATGATATAGGGTGACCGCCCATCCCAGTTTCAGTATTAAGAGTCCTGTGTCCCGGGAAGTCTCACAGTTTTGGGTAAAGTGGGAAGATTAGTCACCCCAAAATGGGAAATAACAAACTTAGCAAGTATATTTGTTAAAGCTGTAGAGGAACTTAGCGGGGAAAACCATACAATTTTACTGAGCACTATAAACACAAACTAATGGAACTTTCTATTAATAGCATGACCTTAGATGAAAAAAATTAACATTGCAAATACATAAATTTTCCTAAATTTATTTTTTAAATTTGGAGACAAAGTCTTCCTCTGTTGCCCGGGCTGGAGTGCAGAGATATGATCACGACTCACTGTGGCCTCAAACTCCTTGACTTGAGCAATCCTCCAGCTTCAGCCTCCCAAGTAGCTGGGACTACAGGCACATGCCATCATGCCCAGCTAATTTCATTTTGTTTTGTAGAGATGAGATCTTGCTATGTTGCCCAGGCTGGTCTTGAACTCCTCGGCTCAAGCAATCCTCCTGCGTTGGCCTCCTACAGGGCTGGGATTATAGGCATAAGCCACTTTGCCTAGCCAATTTTTCTAAATTAATTTACAATTTTAATGGAACTCTAATAAAAATCCAGCAAATTTTTAAAAACTTCTGCAAAATGACTAAAATGTTTATGTGAAAAAAATCCAAATAACTTACATAATACAATTATGAAACAGATAATGAAGGGAGGGACATTTAGATTATTGACTATGAAAATATGTTAAACAGTGAAAATAATTCCAATTGTTGTGTATGTGCAAAAAATAGAAAATTCAAAGGAGTAGAAATCCTACAGAGTAAAAGATGAAGAAACAGGAACAGGCTTAAGTATATGTAAGTACTTAGCATAAAAATAAGATTGCTTTTTTTTTTTTTTTGAGACAGGGTCTCACTCTGTTACCCAGACTGGAATGCGGTGGTATGATCATGGCTCACTGCAGCTTCAACCTCCTGGGCTCAAGCAATCTCTCACCTCAGCCTCCCAAGTACCTGGGACCACAGTTGTGCACCACCACACCCAGCTAACTTTAAAAAAATATTTTTTAATTTTTGTAGAGATGGGGTTTCACTATGTTGCCTAGGCTGGTCATGGCCTCCTAGGCTCAAGCAATCCTCCCACCTTGCCCTCCCAAAGTGCTGGGATTATAGGTGTTAGCCACTGCATCCAGACTAAGACTGCATTTCAATTTAGGAGAAAAAAAATCAATGAGTTAAAAATGATGCTGGACCAATTTGTTACAATTTGGAATAGAATAATGTTAGATCCCTACCTTAAACTAAGCCATAAGATCAGTGGCAGTCTGATTACTTAAATGTAATCAAAGAACAACCCTATCTCCCACACTCCAAAAAAGAACTTGAAGAAAATAGAGGTAGATCAAAATGATCATCTTTTTTGCTTATTTTTAATTGACATAATATAATTGTACTTATTTATGTGGTACAATGTGATGTTTTGATACATAAATACATTGGAATGATTAAATCAGGCTATTTAGCATATCCATCATCTGAAACATTTACTATTTCCTTGTGGTAAGGACATTCAAAACCTTCTCTTTTAGTTTTTTGAAATATACAATACAATATTCTTAGCTCTAGTTATCCTACTGTGCAAAAGAACACCAGAAATTATTTCTCTTATCTAATTACAATTTTGTACTGTTAACCAATCCCCCTCAACACACACATAGCCTCCCCAGCCTCTGGTAGCCGTTACTCTACTCGGTACAGTATTTCTATGAGATCAACTTTTTTAGTTTCCACAAGTGAGTGAGATCATGCTCTATCTGTCTTTCTGTGCCTGGTTTATTTTACCTAACATTGTGTCCTCTAGGTTCATCTACATTGCACAAATGACAGGATTTCAATTTTTTATGGCTGTATAGTATTCCATTGTGTATATATACCACATTTTCTTTATCCATTCATCTGTTGATGGACACTTAGGTTGATTCCATATCTTGGCTATTGTGACTAGTCCTGCAAAGAACCTGGGGCTACAGATAGCTCTTCAACATACTGATTGCATTTCCTTTGGAAACATACCCAGTAATGGGATTGCTGGATTACACAGTAGTTCTATCTTTAATATTCTGAGGAACCTCTATACCATTTCCATAATGGCTATACTAGTTTGTATTCCCACCAATGGTGTGTAAGAGTTCCCATCTCTCTATACCCATGTAAGACTTGTTATTTTTGTCTTTTTGATAATAACCATTCTAATTGGGCTGAGGTGTTACCTCGTTGTGGTTTTTATTTTTTATTTTATTTTTTTTATTTTATTATTATTATACTTTAAGTTTTAGGGTACATGTGCACAATGTGCAGGTTAGTTATATATGTATACATGTGCCATTCTGGTGTGCTGCACCCATTAACTTGTCATTTAGCATTAGGTATATTTCCTCCCCCCTCCCCACACCCCGCAACAGTCCCCAGAGTGTGATGTTCCCCTTCCTGTGTCCATGTGATCTCATTGTTCAATTCCCACCTATGAGTGAGAATATGCGGTGTTTGGATTTTTGTTCTTGCAATAGTTTACTGAGAATGATGATTTCCAATTTCATCCATGTCCCTACAAAGGACATGAACTCATCATTTTTTATGGCTGCATAATATTCCATGGTGTATATGTGCCACATTTTCTTAATCCAGTCTATCATTGTTGGACATTTGGGTTGGTTCCAAGTCTTTGCTATTGTGAATAGTGCCACAATAAACATATGTGTGCATGTGTCTTTATAGCAGCATGATTTATAGTCCTTTGGGTATATACCCAGTAATGGGATGGCTGGGTCAAATGGTATTTCTAGTTCCAGATCCCTGAGGAATTGCCACACTGACTTCCACAATGGTTGAACTAGTTTACAGTCCCACCAACAGTGTAAAAGTGTTCCTATTTCTCTACATCCTCTCCAGCACCTGTTGTTTCCTGACTTTTTAATGATCGCCATTCTAACTGGTGTTAGAATTCTCATTGTGGTTTTGATTTGCATTTCTCTGATGGCCAGTGATGGTGAGCATTTTTTCATGTGTTTTTTGGCTGTATAAATGTCTTCTTTTGAGAAGTGTCTGTTCATGTCCTTCGCTCACTTTTTGATGGGGTTGTTTGTTTTTTTCTTGTAAATGTGTTTGAGTTCATCGTAGATTCTGGATATTAGCCCTTTGTCAGATGAGTAGGTTGCGAAAATTTTCTCCCATTTTGTAGGTTGCCTGTTCACTCTGATGGTAGTTTCTTTTGCTGTGCAGAAGCTCTTTAGTTTAATTAGATCCCATTTGTCAATTTTGTCTTTTGTTGCCATTGCTTTTGGTGTTTTAGACATGAAGTCCTTGCCCATGCCTATGTCCTGAATGGTAATGCCTAGGTTTTCTTCTAGGGTTTTTATGGTTTTAGGTCTAACGTTTAAGTCTTTAATCCATCTTGAATTGATTTTTGTATAAGGTGTAAGGAAGGGATCCAATTTCAGCTTTCTACATATGGCTAGCCAGTTTTCCCAGCACCATTTATTAAATGGGGAATCCTTTCCCCATTGCTTGTTTTTCTCAGGTTTGTCAAAGATCAGATAGTTGTCAGAAATAACGCCTCATTGTGGTTTTGATTTGCATTTCCCTGATTAGTGATGTTGAGCATTTACAAAAATATTCTTTGCCATTTGTATGTATTCTTTGGAGAAATGTCTATTCAGGTCTTTTAATTATTTAAAAAATCATATTATTTTTTTTTTTGCTGTTGAGATTTTGAGTTCCTTATGTATTCAGGATATTAACCCCTTGTTAGATCCATAGTGTACCAATATTTCTCTAATTCTTTAGATTATTCCTCTACTTGTTTATTGTTTCCTTTGTTGTGCAGAAACTTTTTAGTTGGATATAATCTCACTTGTCCGTTTTTGCTTTTGTTGTCAGTGATTTTGAGTTCTTATCCAAAAAATTATTGCCCAGATCAATGTCATGACACATTTTCTCATATTTTCTTCTAGAAGTTTTATAGTTTTGAGGCTTACATGTAAGTCCTTAATCCATTTTGAGTTGATTTTTCTAAATGGTAAAAGATAGGGGTTTAGTTTTATTCTTCTGCATATGGATATCCAGTTTTCCCACCACCATTTAAAGACTGTCCTTTCCCCAATGTGTGTTCCTAGCACCTTTGTTAAAAATCAATTGGCTGTGTGTGAATTTATTTCTGTGTTCTATATTCTGCTCCATTGGTTTACATATCTATTCTTATGTCAATGCCATTCTGTTTTGTTTACATTTCTGCTTTGTAGTATATTTTGATGTCTGGTAGTGTGATGTCTCTCACTTTGCTCTTTTCACTCAAAATTGCTTTGGCTATTTGGGATCTTTTGTGTTTACATACAAATTTTAGGATTTTTTTTTCCTATTTTGGTAAAGAATGTTCTTAGCATTTTCATAGGTATTGCATTAAATCTGTAGATTGCTTTGGGTAGTATGAACATTTTAACAATATTAATTATCCCAATCCATAAACAAAGACCATCTTCCCATTTATTCATAGTATCTTCAATTCATTTTATCAAAGTTTTATAACTTTTATTGAAAAGATCTTTCTTCTCTTTGGTTAAATTTACTACTAGACATTTTATTTTTTTGGTAGCAATTGTAAAGGGGATTGCTTTTTTAGTTCTTTTTCAGGTTCACTATTAGGGTATAGAAATACTACTGATTTTGTGTGTCGACTGGTATCTTGTAACTCTACTGAATTCACTTATTAGTTCTAACAGTTTTTTTGGTGGAAGCTTTAGGTTTTTTTCTGTATATAAGATCATGTCATCTTCAACCAGGGAAAATTTGATTTCCTCCTCCCCAATTTGAATGCCCTCTATTTCTCTCTTGCTTTGGCTAGGCCTTCCAGTACTATGTTGAATAAAAGTGGTGAAAGGGGGCATCCTTGTCTTGTTCCAGATTTCAGAGGAAAAGTGTTCAACCTTTTCCCATTCAGTATGATGTTAGCTGTGGTTTGTCATATCCAGCTTTTATTGTGTTGAGATAGGTTCCTTCTACACCTAATTTGTTGAGAGTTTTTATTATGAAGTAATGTTGAATTTTATTAAATGTCTTTTCTGCATCTATTCAATTGATCATTTGGTTTTTGTCTTTGATTCTGTTAATGTGATGTATTTTGTTTACTAATTTGCATGTGCTGAACCATCCTTGTATCCTTATGGATGAATTCCACTTGATCATTGCAAAAAACTTTTTTATGTACTGTTAAATTTAGTTTGCAAGTATTTTGTTGAGAACTATTTGCATCTATGTTCATCAGCGATATTGGCCTGAGGTTTTCTTTTTTTTGTTGTTGTGTCCTTGTCTGTTATTTTTTTTTGTTTTTATCAGGGTGAAGCTGGCCTCATGGAGGGAGTTTGGAAAAATTTCCTCCTCTTTAATTTTTTGGAATCATTTGCAACAGCTAAGTATTCAAGTACTGGGCTTTTCTTTGATGAGCGTCTTTCATTACTGATTTAATATTGTTGCTATTGGTCTGTTCAGATTTTCTATTTTTTTATGATTTGATTTTGGTAGGTTGTGTGTGTCCAAGAATATATCCATTTCTTCTAGGTTTTCTAATTTGTTGCCATATAGTTGTTTCTCATAGTCTCTTGTGATCCTTTGTATTTCTGTGGAATCAATTGTAATATGTTCTTTTTTTAATCTCTGGTTTTATTTATTTGAATCTTCTCTCTTTTTTTTCTTAGTCTAGTGAAAGGTTTGTTAATTTTGTTTATTTTTCAGCAAAACTCGGTTTTGTTGATATTTTGTATTTTTAGTCTCTAATTTATGCTTTGATCTTTATTATTTCTTTTTTTCTACCACTTTTGAGTTTAGTGTTTTTCTTGTTTTTCTAATTTTTTTTTTGATGCAACATTAGGTTGTTTGAGATCTTTCTAATTTTTTTGATTCAGGAATTTTGATTCAGAAATTCACTGAAAACTTCCCTTTTATAACTGCCTTTTTTCAGTATCCTGTAGGTTTTGGTATATTTCATTTCTATTTTTTATCTCAAGAAATATTTAAATTTCCTTTTAAATTTCTTTATTGACTCATTTGTCATCCAGGAGTATGTTGTTTAATTTCCATATATTTGTGTAGTTTCCAAAGTTCTTCCTGTTATTGACTCCTAGTTTTATTCCATATGGGTCGGAAAAGATGCTTTACATGATTTTGATTTTTAAAAATTTGTTGAGACTTTTTTATGGCCTAATATATTATCTGTCCTGGAGAAAGTAGCATGTGCTGATAAGAAGAATGTGTATTGTGCAGCTCTTTAGTGGAATACTCAGTGAATGTCTCAGGTCCATTTAATCTACAGTGAAGTTTAAATCTGATGCTTCCTTGTTGATTTTCTGTCTAAATGATCTGGCCATTGCTGAAAGTAAGGCGTTGAAAACCCCTACTGTTTTTGTATGGCAGTCTATCTCTCCCTTTAGATCTAATAATATTTGCTTTATATGTTTGGTGCTGTCTTGTTGAGTGCATATATATTTATAATTGTTATATCCTCCTGCTGAATTGACTCCTTTATCATTATATAATGATCTTCTCCATCTTTGTCTCCTTTTGTAGTTCTTTTTACTTAATGTCTGTTATATCAGATGTAAGTATAGCTACGTCTGCTGTCTTTTGGTTTCCATTTATATGGAAAATCATTTTCCATTCCTTTACTTTCAGTCTATGTGTGTCCTTAGAGATGAAGTAAGCCTCCTGTAGACTGCATATAGTCAGGTCTTGATTTTTTTAAAATTCAGCCGCTCTATATCTCTTTTTTTTTTTTTTTTTTCCCCTGGAGATGGAGTCTTGCTCTTGTCGCCCAGGCTGGAATGCAGTGGCAAAATCTCAGCTCACTACAACCTCTGCCTCCCGGATTCAAGCGATTTTCATGCCTCAGCTTCCTGAGTAACTGGGTTTACAGGCATCTGCCACCACGGCTGGCTAATTTTTGTACTTTTAGTAGAACAGGGTTTCGCCATGTTGGCCAGGCTGGTCTCGAACTCCTGACCTCAGGAGATCCACCCGCCTTGGCCTCCCAAAGTGCTGGGATTACAGGTGTGAGTGACCATGCCCGGCCCAGTCTATATCTTTTAATTGTAGAATTTCATCCATTTATATTCAAGGTTATTATTAATAGGTAAGGGTTTGCTTCTGCTATTCTGTTAATTATTTCCTGGTTACTTTATAAGTCTTTTTGTTTATTTCTTTCTCTCTTGTTTATCTTTGTAATTTGGTGATTTTCTATAGTGAAAAGTTTTGATTTTTTTCTCGTTCTCATTTATGTATCTGCTATAGTTTTTTTTTTTTCTTTATGGTTACTCTGGGAATCACAAAACAATCTTAGAGCCATAAAAGTCTACTTTAAGCTGATAACAACTTAACTTTGGTCACATATAAATATACCAGACTTTTATTCTTCTACCAATTTGTAATTTTGTTGCCTTAGTTAATATATCTTTATGTTGTGTATTTCTTAACTTATTGTACCTATGGTTATCATTAACCATACTGACTTTTAACCTTCATTCTAGAGATTTGAAGATTATATACTGCTATTACAGTAATGAAGTATTCTGAATTTGATTATGAGTTTACCTCTACCAGTGAGTTTTTATAGTTTCATATGATTTCACGGTACTAATTAACATCCTTATGGTTCCGGTTGAAGCACTTAAGGATTTCTTTTAAGGCTGGTTTAAGGTTGATGAATTCTCTCAGCTTTTGCTTGTTTGGAACTTTATTTCTCCCTCATTTCTGAAGAATATCTTTGCTGGGCATAATATTCTTGAATGGCAAGTTCTTTCTTTCAGCATTTTGAATATATTATCCCATTCTCTCTTGGCATGCAAGGTTTCTACTGAGAAATCTGTTAATAGTCAAGTGGGACATCCATTATATGTGACTTAGGGCCATCTTCTAAGTAATGAGTCAAAGAAAAGTCTTGAAGACAGCATTGAGGTATGTATTAGTCCATTCTCACATTGCTATAAAGAAATGCCAGAGACTGTGAAATTTATAAAGAAAAGAGGTTTAATTGGCTCACGGTTCCATGAGGTGTACAAGAAGCATGACTGGGGAAGCCTCAGGAGACTTACAATCATGGCAGAAGGCAAAAAGGAAGCAGGTGCATCTTACATGACTGGAGCAAGATGAAGAGAGCGAGAAGGGGAGGTGCCGCACGCTTTTAAACAACCAGATCTTGCGAGAATTCTATCATGAGACAGCATTAAGGGGATGATGCTAAGTCATTAGAAACCATCCCCATGATCCAATCACTTTCCACCAGGTCTAACAATTTGACATGAGATTTGGGCGGGGACACAGAGCCAAATCATATCAAGATATTTGAATATATACATGAAAATTAAAAATGTCTGCAGATCCATTATAAAAAAAACAACATAAAACCTAAAGACATTTAGCCAACTAGGTATTTTTATTCACATCAACTATAATGGTTTTTATATTCTGAATATGTAAGTAGCATTTATAACTCAATAAACAAATTATGCACATTCCAACATAATACAGACAAAATACATGAATTGAAAATTCACAAAGAACCTCAGTGGCCAAAACACTTATGGAAATGGGCTCACCATTGCTAGCAATCAAAGATATGAGAAATAAAGCATCAATGAGATTATATGGCTTTCATATACTTGACTAGGCATGACATTGATATTCCTAAATTATCTTTATTATATTTAATGTGAACATTCACATGGTAAAATAATATTTTTAAATGTGGTAGGTTGGTGCTGCTAGTCTGCCAATATGTATTTCAGTTTCAGCAGTGCTTCTATCTCTCTCAACATAGTAATGTATATGAAATTATTTGAATGTTTCATCATATTTTGTCCTTTTCATTTCACAAAAGTGAGTAGAAATGAAAAAAATAAGAATTACTTATGTTACTGATAAGCAATATATGAATCAAATTTGAAACAATGGAGACACAGATGGAAATCATTTGTCATTTTGAGAGCCTTCATAGTATTTTAGTCTCAATTAGTTGTTTGTCACACTTAGGCCAAACTGTCAAATTCAGTGTACCCTTAATAAAGACATTATATTATAAAGAAAAGACATACTATTTAGGAAGATGTCCAAAAAAGTGACTTACAATTAGTAATTGTGCAATTAGTAAATATTTTTTGCTTTTTTTGGAATCTGTAATGATGTGTTACTCTATTATTTAATTTTTGCACACATGAATTTTATATTAATTGGCAGAAGTACATGTGAAAGTAATGCAGAGGATACATTTCAACTCATTAAATGTGTAGATATAAAATAACTTACTCTATTTTATTTAAGTTTTGAGCAAACTGATCCTTTAACACATTTTCGGTGGTGGTGTAACTTGGTATGGTCTTTTTGTGGGCAGCATGGCAGGATGTATCGGAGGTATTAAATATTAATTTCTTATGTTTGACTAATTCTATTCTAGGTATTTATGTCAAGGAAATAACTGTGTTGTGTAAAATTATTTATATACCAGGATATCCTTCTTGTTGTAGCATTACTTTGATAGTGAAAAATTGGAAACTACTTAATTGTGAACAAGGGGAGATTAAGTAGATTATGATGCAGACATGTGATTAGATATTACATCTTAAAATAATATTTTAATAGCATAAAAAATATTAGTTATGCACTGATTTAAAAAATAAGGTTACAACTTTCTAAACTCTTGCAAAATGCAAGTTGTACATATAAAGACAGCAGGGATATAAAACAAAATGATAATAGGCATTTTTCTAAGTACTGTAGTTGCAAGAGATTTTCATTGTTTTCCTTTGGGCTTTTCTGTAATTTCACATTTCCAAAATTTTCATGAGAAACATGTCCTGTTTTTGTAATCAGAGAAATATTATTTTTAAAATTGTGCTTGAAATAAGTTAGGCAAAAAATGGAGGTTACTTCTTTTAAGGAGAGTTAGAAAGTTTTCAATAGTATCCAACATTACATCTATGACTGAGAAATGGTGTATTATTTCCTTTTCCCTCTGTTTTAGGACTGCTTACGTACTATTTTTGGTTTTTAATATCTAACATTCAAAGGTTATTATTACTATTGTCCAGAGTGTTACCACCTGATAAATATTGACAGTGGAATGACCCTTTGAGAACATGTCTATCATAAATAAAACATTTTTGAGATCCCTTTTCAAAGGCTAGACCAGATAACTACATTCCTTAAAATCATAAATCAGTATTCAATATAATGGATACATACTTTAAAATAATATTTTTAATGTCATGAGAATAAATTATAAATGAGAGCCACTTGTACTATTGTCCTCTGAGCCTAAATCTATCACATGATACTGTAAGATGAGGAGACAGGAAAAACTAGAAAGCAGAATAAAATGTTATGAAAAATGATTTAATGAGAGGAGGTTTACTTGGGTATGCTTGCAAATTTAGGAATTCTACAGAAATGTGTTTAGTAAGAAAAATTCTAAAGAAACCATAATATCTTTGGGGGGAATGAGCATGTAGGAAGGAAGAACAGGATGGAATAAAATCAGCAATTAGAGAACAGAAAATAACTTGTAGATATTGAAAATACAATCCTGAAAAAATTTAATGTGAGGTTTAGAATGTGGGTTTGTTGCAATTTCCCAGAAGGCAGGATTAAAGGCAAATAAATTTATATGATTTATCAAGGATACCTCACATCTAGAGTTCTAGAAGGTAAGAAGAAAGAGAAAAGATATAAAGGTGTTTTCCAAGAAATAAGTTGATAAAATTCCCCATAAAGAAAGAACCTGAGTCTGTAGGCTGAAAGGACTTGCTACCCAGCCCAAAGCCAAGAGAATCACACGAAATCCTACACTCAGCTATTGCAAAGTTGTCCCTCCCAGACTAATGAGACCAAATTAAAAGCAGAGAGAGTGAGATCACCCATGCATAACAAAACAATAACAAAATAGGTAAGGAAAAATAGAAATGGAAGGATAATTTTTAACAGCAACTGGAAGCAGAAAGCAACATTGGGAAAAAATGCTTTTAAAATTCTGAGAATTTTTAACCTGGGATTTTCCACCCAGTCAAATTATTAATCAAGTTAAGGTAATGGCAATCCCTTAATTCAGTGGCCGAAGACAATAGAAGTTTATTTCTCACTCAATAGTTCAATACAATGGAGAGTTGGTGAGGGCTCTGAGCCACATAATCACTCAGGGACCCAGACTGATGGAGTCCCCAACTGCAATACATGCCTTCCTTTCCAGCAAAAGGGAAAAAAGATGGACAGGCCCACGTGCTTCTTATAGGCTCCAGCCCAGAGCATCACCATCAATTCTGCTCATATCTCTGTTGTGAAGAACTGGTTGTGTGGATTTACCTGAATATGAAGGCCTGAGGCATAAAGTCCTTGGCTGGGTAGACACAGGTAGCAACAACTCCAAACTGTAGAAAGAGAAGTACAAATTTTGGTGAACAGTTATCAAAATTTTGTCTTTCATTCAGTTATTTTGAGGAAGTCACCAATAGATGTGTCCCATCAAGATAAGAAAGAAATTAAGAAAGATGAAGCTGCAGGATCGTGGAAACAGGAGAGTGAGCCATCACAGGAGGGTAAAGAGATGTTTCTGAGCAACAAAAAAAGCTATGCAGCAGGCCTAAAAGAGCAGCCAGTTTAGATTAGAGAGGGAGTGATAGAGGACTTAACAGAGAGAGATGTTCCCAGGAAAAAAAAATACAGAACTAGGAGACTATCTGTTGCATTTGGCCATGTGGAAAATAGTATTATGAAACATTTTCATACATGTTGTGTTTCAACGTTTGAGAAAAACTAGGCGTAGGTATTTAGAAGCCTAAGTAAATTAAAAATTTGGACAATTAATTAATTAATTTATTTTTGAGACAGAGTCTTGCTCTGTAGCCCAGGCTGGAGTGCAGTGGTTCAATCTCAGCTCCCTGCAACCTCCACCTCCTGGGTTTAAGCTATTCTCGTGTCTCAGCCTCCCAAGTAGCTGGGTTTACAGGTGTCGGCCACCGCACCCAGCTAATTTTTGTATTTTTAATAGAGACAGGGTTTTACTATGTTGGCCAGGCTGATTTCAAACAATTAGCCTAACGTGATCCGCCCGGCTCAGCCTACCAAAGTACTGGGATTACAGACATGAGTAACCATGCCCGGCAGAATTTAGACAACTATTAACTTCAAGAAATAATAGAAGTACTATGGGAATGGAAACATAATCATACTATACTATGTGGCTAAGTAACTTACGCTAGTTATGAAGTTATAATGAAGTATAGTCATGTGCCACATAGTGACGTTTTGGTCAATGATCGACAACTTATATGACAATGGTCCCATAAGAATATAATACCATATTTTTATTGTACCCTTTCTATGTTTAGAGTTACAAATACTTCCCATTGTGTTACAATTGCCTGCAGTGTTTAGTACAGTAACATGGTGTATAGGTTTGCAGCCTAGGACACTAGGCTGTAGCCTATAGCCTAGGTATGTAGCAGGCTATACCATCTAGGTTGGTGTAAGTGCACTCTATGATGTTTACATAATGATGAAATAGTCTAGTGATATATTTCTCAGAATGCATTCCTGTCATTAAGTGATGCATGACTGTACCTCTAAATAGGAATTTAACTAAAAACAGATGTATAAATATACTGGGAGGATGGTGGAGATTAAAATTAAATGCTAATGTATGAGGGGTTTCATGTAAGAAAAATTTTAAAAAATCTGCCATAATTGGAAGTCAGTAGATGATGTATAGTCAACCCTCAGTTGGAGACTGGTTCTAAAACTTCCACGGATACCCAAATCTGCAGATGCTCAAATCCCTGATATAAAATGGTACAGTATTTGCATATAGCCAATGCACATCCTCCTGTATACTTTAGTTCATCTTTAGATTACTTATAATACCTAATGCATTGTAATAGTATGCAAAAAGTTGTTATACTGTATTGTTTAGGGAATATTGCCAAGAAAAAAGTCTGCACAAGTTCAGTATAGATGCATTTTTCTTCAAATATTTTAGATACATGGTTGGTTGAATCTGCAGATATGGAATCCAAAGATATGGAGGGCCAACTATTTAGACATATTAGTTAGAAACATAGAGGAAAATACCAGACAAAATGGCTTAAACATTTTCGAAAACTTTTGCCCTTTAGGAAACAGGAGCTGGTGTGGGGAGGTGGGGCAGTGGATGTTGGTTTTTATGATAAGTATAACATTTTAGAACTATTTGGCTTTTGCAAACAAATGTATGAATTACTTTGACAAATTAAAAATCAATGACTTTTAGGAGATAATATAGCTATTAAGGGGCAAAATTAAAACTGCAGAAGAAAATGAAGATTGTCAACTTTTATTTCTAGGCTTATATCCAGAAACAAGAGAATGAGTCAGCCCCAAGTTCTTTTAACATCAGAACTTCTGTGATCCTATTCTGTGCTCTTCAAATTTTATAAATTTGTCACTTTACATGTCATCTTAAAATCATTTGGTACATTGGATGATGTAAAAGCAACTTGACTCCAATTATTCTTCTAGATTATTTTGTTTCTCTTAGTAATGAAGGTAAGACTTGTGGGCTCTTCCAGAACTGGTATGGTATTAAACAGGCCACCCAGTCAACAAAATTGAAAAGGAAGTGTCTTTCTGTACCTCAGGTTTCAAGGAACAGTCTTTGCTCTGGCTAGATATACTACACTGGTAGACTGTCAACCCTTTAGTGTGTGGTTTTGATTCTAAAATGCGGGGACACAGGAGGAATAACTCAATATGATTATCAGCCATTGTCACAGAAAATGTTAACAAGGATTCAAGGGCAGACTTAGAGTGTGTTTATTTGTGGGGTTGGTTTGGAAGATAGAGTGGCATGAAAGGAATTTGAAAGCACTGATTGAGGGCAGACACTGGAGAGAGGATTTAGGGCGCAAACTGCAGCCTCTGCTGTTTTGCTTACACTTGGAGTAAGGGCTCTTTGAAATTTCTTTATATTTGTGATAATGGGAAAGTTAAAAGAAAAGCATATCATTGTTTTTGACTTAGATTCTTATTTACAACAGAGAAAGTGATCGCTGGTTTGCAAATCATTTATTCTCAAGGAAAGGAGTTCCTATTGTTAATGAGCTCCTGAGCTGAAGCTGAATACTCTGGGATTTTACCCAGGGCTCTTTGCCTTGATGAGAGGGAAGCTTAGGTGTACTTCAGACCCTAAGGCAAGTTTTCTAGGGAAGACTGCTTTGGTGTATTATAAAAGCATCTAACTTATCACTTCTCTTTTTCCTCAGCCCTTCACGGTAGAATTCAGAACGAATTGGAACTTTGTTCCATTTCATGCCAGATAAATTACTGAAAGTTAACATGCATCTAAAGGCAAAATGATTAGAGAACTATTTGCCACAGCCCAAATCTCCCAGCTTCCTCAGAAAATAAAAAATATGGCAAGATATTGTAATAGTTGAACAGTCCAGATTTGCTCTGGTCAGCCGCAGATGGAAATGAGTGATTGCAGACGTGACTTCTCCTGGCCATTGAGAACTAAAGAAAGCAAATAATTATGGGACATTATTTAATTAATTATCATCTTAACATATTTCTTTGTGATCTGAGTTGTGTCCAATCTTGCCCATCCCTCTCTCCCAATTTGATTTCAAAGAGACAACATTCTACCAAACTCAATTTTCTTCCAACTCTAATTTTTACACACATGACAAGCAAAGAAGGGGATACATTTATTTGTGGGAAAATGAAAATATTTATGTGATTATGTATTTCATTTTTACTTTGGCTGGTGACATAACATTTCTAGAGTCTTTTTCTTTTTTTTTTTTTAGATGCGTTCTGGCTGTGTTGCCTAGGCTGGAGTGCAGTGGCGTAATCTTGGCTCACTGCAACGTCTGCCTCCCAGGTTCTAGTGATTCTCCTGCCTTAGCCTCCCGAGTAGTTGGGACTACAGGCGTGGGCCACCATGCCAAACTAATTTTTGTATTTTTAGTAGAGACGGGGTTTCACAGTTTTGGCCAGGCTGGTCCTGAAGTTCTGACCTCAAATGATCCACCTGCCTTGGCCTCCCAAAGTGCTGGGATTATAGGTGTGAGCCACTGTGCCCGGCCTAGAGTCTTGTAAGATTACTTTGTTTCAAAAGAATCAATACTATGTTCCAGTCTCCATTCATTTTCTTAATAACCACAGGCTACTCTACCTTACCACTCAGATCTCTCCTCCTAGTGCTGATGGCATTTGCTACCTAATGATCTGTGACTTTAGAGCTGAGCTAAAAATCATGGGGTGAAGGGCACTTGTCATATTTACTACAAAAGTATGTGCCATTTTGTAAAGCTCATTTTTCCTTAATTGTTAGAGTTTCTCTGTTTCAAAATAAAAAATGACATTGACATTGTATATGCTTACAGTAGTACATAAGCATTAAGTTTACATATAACTTTCTTCAATGACTTTTACTATTCTATTAATAATAGCCAAAGCTTTGTAGCATATTGCCATGCTTTCTATAAAATATATATATACATATATATATATACACGTATATACATGCATAAACACACACACACACACACACACACACACACACACACGTATATGTAAATGGTGAGAGTAGGGGTGGTAGGGGAGTAAGTGGGCTTTAGCCCCGAAAGAACCGATGCAAAGATGTTTTAAATTGGCTGTGTGTGGAAGTTATTCTACTTTCTCCTTTTTATTCTCCTTCTCACATCTACCCCAGCTATATGTATGTATGTACATGTAAACACACACACACATTCACACACACACAGACACATACACACACTCATTTCCATTCCCTTCATTGTATCTTATACCACAAATGTCTAATAAAATGCAAAGACAGAAACAATGCTGGGAAGCTGTAGGGTAAAGGACTAGAATTGCAACTATCCCTTCTTTTCTCATCAGGAAATTGTCAACATTTGCTTTTCTGAGGCAAATTCATTTTGGCTTTCCTTAAATAAAGTAAAAAGGAATGGTTATCTACAATCTTTTTCATACTGGACTCAAAGTTTCTCTCTTTTTTGGCCTTATCTGGTGTCAACTGCTCTTTTGAATGGATGTATATTTTCTTTTTATTTTTCTTCTTTTTTTTATTATACTTTAAGTTTTAGGGTACATGTGCACATTGTGCAGGTTAGTTACATATGTATACATGTGCCATGCTGGTGTGCTGCACCCACTAACTCGTCATCTAGCATTAGGTATATCTCCCAATGCTATCCCTCCCCCCTCCCCCCACCCCACCACAGTCCCCAGAGTGTGATATTCCCCTTCCTGTGTCCATGTGATGCCATTGTTCAATTCCCACCTATGAGTGAGTATATGCGGTGTTTGGTTTTTTGTTCTTGCAATAGTTTACTGAGAATGATGATTTCCAATTTCATCCATGTCCCTACAAAGGACATGAACTCATCATTTTTTATGGCTGCATAATATTCCATGGTGTATATGTGCCACATTTTCTTAATCCAGTCTATCATTGTTGGACATTTGGGTTGGTTCCAAGTCTTTGCTATTGTGAATACTGCCTCAATAAACATATGTGTGCATGTGTCTTTATAGCAGCATGATTTATAGTCCTTTGGGTATATACCCAGTAATGGGATGGCTGGGTCAAATGGTATTTCTAGTTCTAGATCCCTGAGGAATTGCCACACTGACTTCCACAATGGTTGAACTAGTTTACAGTCCCACCAACAGTGTAAAAGTGTTCCTATTTCTCCACATCCTCTCCAGCACCTGTTGTTTCCTGACTTTTTAATGATCGCCATTCTAACTGGTGTGAGATGGTATCTCATTGTGGTTTTGATTTGCATTTCTCTGATGGCCAGTGATGATGAGCATTTTTTCATGTGTTTTTTGGCTGCATAAATGTCTTCTTTTGAGAAGTGTCTGTTCATGTCCTTCGCCCACTTTTTGATGGGGTTGTTTGTTTTTTTTTTGTAAATGTGTTTGAGTTCATTGTAGATTCTGGATATTAGCCCTTTGTCAGATGAGTAGGTTGCGAAAATTTTCTCCCATTTTGTAGGTTGCCTGTTCACTCTGATGGTAGTTTCTTTTGCTGTGCAGAAGCTCTTTAGTTTAATTAGATCCCATTTGTCAATTTTGTCTTTTGTTGCCATTGCTTTTGGTGTTTTGGACATGAAGTCCTTGCCCATGCCTATGTCCTGAATGGTAATGCCTAGGTTTTCTTCTAGGGTTTTTATGGTTTTAGGTCTAACGTTTAAGTCCTTAATCCATCTTGAATTGATTTTTGTATAAGGTGTAAGGAAGGGATCCAGTTTCAGCTTTCTACATATGGCTAGCCAGTTTTCCCAGCACCATTTATTAAATAGGGAATCCTTTCCCCATTGCTTGTTTTTCTCAGGTTTGTCAAAGATCAGATAGTTGTAGATATGCGGTGTTATTTCTGAGTGCTCTGTTCTGTTCCATTGATCTATATCTCTGTTTTGGTACCAGTACCATGCTGTTTTGGTTACTGTAGCCTTGTAGTATAGTTTGAAGTCAGGTAGTGTGATGTCTGCAGCTTTGTTCTTTTGGCTTAGGATTGACTTGGCGATGCGGGCTCTTTTTTGGTTCCATATGAACTTTAAAGTAGTTTTTTCCAATTCTGTGAAGAAAGTCATTGGTAGCTTGATGGGGATGGCATTGAATCTGTAAATTACCTTGGGCAGTATGGCCATTTTCACGATATTGATTCTTCCTACCCATGAGCATGGAATGTTCTTCCGTTTGTTTGTATCCTCTTTTATTTCCTTGAGCAGTGGTTTGTAGTTCTCCTTGAAGAGGTCCTTCACATCCCTTGTAAGTTGGATTCCTAGGTATTTTATTCTCTTTGAAGCAATTGTGAATGGGAGTTCACTCATGATTTGGCTCTCTGTTTGTCTGTTATTGGTGTATAAGAATGCTTGTGATTTTTGTACATTGATTTTGTATCCTGAGATTTTGCTGAAGTTGCTTATCAGCTTAAGGAGATTTTGGGCTGAGACAATGGGGTTTTCTAGATATACAATCATGTCGTCTGCAAACAGGGACAATTTGACTTCCTCTTTTCCTAATTGAATACCCTTTATTTCCTTCTCCTACCTAATTGCCCTGGCCAGAACTTCCAACACTATGTTGAATAGGAGTGGTGAGAGAGGGCATCCCTGTCTTGTGCCAGTTTTCAAAGGGAATGCTTCCAGTTTTTGCCCATTCAGTATGATATTGGCTGTGGGTTTGTCATAGATAGCTCTTATTATTTTGAAATATGTCCCATCAATACCGAATTTATTGAGAATTTTTAGCATGAAGGGTTGTTGAATTTTGTCAAAGGCTTTTTCTGCATCTATTGAGATAATCATGTGGTTTTTGTCTTTGGCTCTGTTTATATGCTGGATTACATTTATTGATTTGCATATATTGAACCAGCCTTGCATCCCAGGGATGAAGCCCACTTGATCATGGTGGATAAGCTTTTTGATGTGCTGCTGGATTCGTTTTGCCAGTATTTTATTGAGGATTTTTGCATCAATGTTCATCAAGGATATTGGTCTAAAATTCTCTTTTTTGGTTGTGTCTCTGCCTGGCTTTGGTAACAGAATGATGCTGGCCTCATAAAATGAGTTAGGGAGGATTCCCTCTTTTTCTATTGATTGGAATAGTTTCAGAAGGAATGGTACCAGTTCCTCCTTGTACCTCTGGTAGAATTTGGCTGTGAATCCATCTGGTCCTGGACTCTTTTTGGTTGGTAAACTATTGATTATTGCCACAATTTCACCTCCCATTATTGGTCTATTCAGAGATTCAACTTCTTCCTGGTTTAGTCTTGGGAGAGTGTATGTATCGAGGAATTTATCCATTTCTTCTAGATTTTCTAGTTTATTTGCGTAGAGGTGTTTGTAGTAGTCTCTGATGGTAGTTTGTATTTCTGTGGGATGGGTGGTGATATCCCCTTTATCATTTTTTATTGTGTCTATTTGATTCTTCTCTCTTTTTTTCTTTATTAGTCTTGCTAGCAGTCTACCAATTTTGTTGATCCTTTCAAAAAACCAGCTCCTGGATTCATTAATTTTTTGAAGGGTTTTTTGTGTCTCTATTTCCTTCAGTTCTGCTCTGATTTTAGTTATTTCTTGCCTTCTGCTAGCTTTAGAATGTGTTTGCTCTTGCTTTTCTAGTTCTTTTAATTGTGATGTTAGGGTGTCAATTTTGGATCTTTCCTGCTTTCTCTTGTGGGCATTTAGTGCTATAAATTTCCCTCTACACACTGCTTTGAATGCGTCCCAGAGATTCTGGTATGTGGTGTCTTTGTTCTCATTGGTTTCAAAGAACATCTTTATTTCTGCCTTCATTTCGTTATGTACCCAGTAGTCATTCAGGAGCAGGTTGTTCAGTTTCCATGTAGTTGAGCGGTTTTGAGTGAGATTCTTAATCCTGAGTTCTAGTTTGATTGCACTGTGGTCTGAAAGATAGTTTGTTATAATCTCTGTTCTTTTACATTTGCTGAGGAGAGCTTTACTTCCAAGTATGTGGTCAATTTTGGAATAGGTGTGGTGTGGTGCTGAAAAAAATGTATATTCTGTTGATTTGGGGTGGAGAGTTCTGTAGTTGTCTATTAGGTCTGCTTGGTGCAGAGCTGAGTTCAATTCCTGGGTATCCTTGTTGACTTTCTGTCTCGTTGATCTGTCTAATGTTGACAGTGGGGTGTTAAAGTCTCCCATTATTAATGTGTGGGAGTCTAAGTCTCTTTGTAGGTCACTCAGGACTTGCTTTATGAATCTGGGTGCTCCTGTATTGGGTACATATATATTTAGGATAGTTAGCTCTTTTTGTTGAATTGATCCCTTTACCATTATGTAATGGCCTTCTTTGTCTCTTTTGATCTTTGTTGGTTTAAAGTCTGTTTTATCAGAGACTAGGATTGCAACCCCTGCCTTTTTTTGTTTTCCATTTGCTTGGTAGATCTTCCTCCATCCTTTTATTTTGAGCCTATGTGTGTCTCTGCCCGTGAGATAGGTTTCCTGAATACAGCACACTGATGGGTCTTGACTCTTTATCCAATTTGCCAATCTGTGTCTTTTAATTGGAGCATTTAGTCCATTTACATTTAAAGTTAATATTGTTATGTGTGAATTTGATCCTGTCATTATGATGTTAGCTGGTTATTTTGCTCGTTAGTTGATGCAGTTTCTTCCTAGTCTCGATGGTCTTTACATTTTGGCATGATTTTGCAGCGGCTGGTACCGGTTGTTCCTTTCCATGTTTAGCGCTTCCTTCAGGAGTTCTTTTAGGGCAGGCCTGGTGGTGACAAAATCTCTCAGCATTTGCTTGTCTGTAAAGGATTTTATTTCTCCTTCACTTATGAATCTTAGTTTGGCTGGATATGAAATTCTGGGTTGAAAATTCTTTTCTTTAAGAATGTTGAATATTGGCCCCCACTCTCTTCTGGCTTGTAGGGTTTCTGCCGAGAGATCCGCTGTTAGTCTGATGGGCTTCCCTTTGAGGGTAACCCGACCTTTCTCTCTGGCTGCCCTTAACATTTTTTCCTTCATTTCGACTTTGGTGAATCTGACAGTTATGTGTCTTGGAGTTGCTCTTCTCGAGGAGTATCTTTGTGGCGTTCTCTGTATTTCCTGAATCTGAATGTTGGCCTGCCTTGCTAGATTGGGGAAGTTCTCCTGGATAATATCCTGCAGAGTGTTCTCCAACTTGGTTCCATTCTCCCCATCACTTTCAGGTACACCAATCAGACGTAGATTTGGTCTTTTCACATAGTCCCATATTTCTTGGAGGCTTTGCTCATTTCTTTTTATTCTTTTTTCTCTAAATTTCCCTTCTCGCTTCATTTCATTCATTTCATCTTCCATTGCTGATACCCTTTCTTCCAGTTGATCACATCGGCTCCTGAGGCTTCTGCATTCTTCACGTAGTTCTTGAGCCTTGGTTTTCAGCTCCATCAGCTCCTTTAAACACTTCTCTGTATTGGTTATTCTAGTTATACATTCTTCTAAATTTTTTTCAAAGTTTTCAACTTCTTTGCCTTTGGTTTGAATGTCCTCCCGTAGCTCAGAGTAATTTGATCGTCTGAAGCCTTCTTCTCTCAGCTTGTCAAAGTCATTCTCCATCCAGCTTTGTTCCGTTGCTGGTGAGGAACTGCGTTCCTTTGGAGGAGGAGAGGAGCTCTGCATTTTAGAGTTTCCAGTTTTTCTGTTCTGTTTTTTCCCCATCTTTGTGGTTTTATCTACTTTTGGTCTTTGATGATGGTGATGTACAGATGGGTTTTTGGTGTGGATGTCCTTTCTGTTTGTTAGTTTTCCTTCTAACATAGAGGACCCTCAGCTGCAGGTCTGTTGGAATACCCTGCCGTGTGAGGTGTCAGTGTGCCCCTGCTGGGGGGTGCCTCCCAGTTAGGCTGCTCGGGGGTCAGGGGTCAGGGACCCACTTGAGGAGGCAGTCTGCCCGTTCTCAGATCTCCAGCTGCATGCTGGGAGAACCACTGCTCTCTTCAAAGCTGTCAGACAGGGACATTTAAGTCTGCAGAGGTTACTGCTGTCTTTTTGTTTGTCTGTGCCCTGCCCCCAGAGGTGGAGCCTACAGAGGCAGGCAGGCCTCCTTGAGCTGTGGTGGGCTCCACCCAGTTCGAGCTTCCAGGCTGCTTTGTTTACCTAAGCAAGCCTGGGCAATGGCGGGTGCCCCTCCCCCAGCCTCGCTGCTGCCTTGCAGTTTGATCTCAGACTGCTGTGCTAGCAATCAGCGAGACTCCGTGGGCGTAGGACCCTCCCAGCCAGGTGTGGGATATAATCTTGTGGTGCACCATTTTTTAAGCCGGTCCGAAAAGTGCAATATTCGGGTGGGAGTGACCCGATTTTCCATGTGCCCTCTGTCACCCCTTTCTTTGACTCGGAAAGGGAACTCCCTGGCCCCTTGCGCTTCCCAAGTGAGGCAATGCCTCGCCCTGCTTCGGCTCGCGCACGGTGCACGCACCCACTGACCTGCGCCCACTGTCTGACACTCCCTAGTGAGATGAACCCGGTACCTCAGATGGAAATGCAGAAATCACCCGTCTTCTGGGTCGCTCACGCTGGGAGCTGTAGACCGGAGCTGTTCCTATTCGGCCATCTTGGCTCCCCTCCGGATGTATATTTTCTTAGTCCACAAATACAGACAAAGCTTCTACTTTTCTGATTTGCCCAAGGCAACATGGTCTGAGTCTCAGAGCAGTGCTGTAATGCTTTTGTATGAATAACAGTATGCTTGGGTGAGTCACTCTACCTCCTACAGACCCATGTGCAAGCACATGCACATGTAGTTTGAAAGCACTGGTCAAAGGCTGAGGGTCAGATCTGACCCAGTCTGAGCTCACTGTGACCTTGCAAACAATATCAGTGCCTGGGGTTACTTTAAATTTCAGCATCTTAGCGTCCAACTATTCTTTTTCACTACTATGAGCAATTTAATGAGGGTTAGTTTTTACAGACTTAGATATTGAAGAGCCTTTTATATTTATGAATGAGCTATTTAAAATATACTCCATCTTTAAAGCAAGCAATTATCTTTTTCTCCTAAAGATAATTTCCAAATTCAGAGATTTTAATATACATTTTAACTTTTTTGAACACTATTTAATGAGTACCATTTTGGAAACAAATACTTATTTCCAAAAGGAAAAATAATAAAGCAAAGCAAGAAGTGTTTTTTTTGAAACAGGGTGTCACTCTGTCACCCAGGCTGGAGTGCAGTGGTGCGATCTTGGCTCACTGCAAACTCTGCCTCTAGGGTTCAAGAGATTCTCCCACCTCAACCTCCCAAGTAGCTGGAACTACAGGCATGTGCCACCATGTCTGGCTAATTTTTGTATTTTTTGGTAGAGACAAGGTTTCACCATGTTGGCCAGGCTGGTCTCAAACTCTGACCTCAAGGGTTCCACCCGCCTCAGCCTCCTAAAATGCTTTGAAGTTATTTTTTATTCATCCACTTGTTAAGAGTTTCTACCACTGAGTATGTACACCCTATATTAATAGAGCATTTAAACTCAATTTCAAGTGGGATATCCTTAAAATATATATTTGGTTTGAGTGGCTGTTAACACATTTCTAACAGTAATTAAATGTTTTCATTAAAAATTATGCACCACTGTACTTTTTCCTCAATACAAATTGGAACTGTAATATGTTTTTCATTTACTAATTATAGATAACCATTTTTGAACATCTGTTGTGTGTAAGATATTGGATTATTAATTTAGATTCCAAAAAGAAACTATCACTATCTCTGCATAGTGGTAATGTAGCAAAATAAACAAGGCTGTAGCTCCCAATGGGCTGATTATTTGGTTTAACACTGCGAGTCCAGAGAAGTGACAACCAATTTTGTTCGGGCTTTAAAAACAGAAATAATTTAGATAAAAAGAGAGAGGGTACCGCAGAAACTGATAACAGAGTAAGAAAAAGTATGGGGGCAAGAAATAGGAAGAAGCAAATGTGACTTAAGGGTATAGTCTAATTTGAGGATTTTATTATTCATCTATTGCTGTGTAACAATATTAACAGAAACAACACACATTTATTCTCTCTTATTTTGTGGGTCAGAATTTGGCCTTGAGGAGCTCTGCGTGTCTCGCAAGGCTGCGATCAGTGTTGGCCAGGGCTGGAGGTCTCATCTGAGGCTTGACTGTAGAAGGATCTGATTCTAAGTCAGGGGGTTGTTGGCAACATTTTGTTTCTTGTGCACTGTCAGCCTGAGGGTCTCAGCTCTTTGCTGACTGTTGGCCAGCCCTCAGCTATTTCCATGTTGGCCATCTTCCAAATGTGGCTGCATGCTTCCTAATGCCAGGAAACAAGGTAGAGTCTTTTAGCAAGAAGGACACTATAATTTTATGTGATATAATCATGTACATTCCATCACTGTTGCTGTATTCTTTTGGTAAGATGTGAGTCACAAATCCTACTTACACACATGGGATTGCCTACCTTAATGTCCAAGGAGAAGAAAACTCAGGAAAGAAATAAGTGTCATTCTTTTAATGAAGAAATGGGTGAATATAAATGATTATCTTCATGTTGAGCGAAAAAGCATCCAATTTCTTATCTCTTACTGATTCCTAACTTGAACTTTCCACCATACTATATGTTAGTGATAGTATTCTGAATGTATAAATAGTTACTGTCCAACTCTATGTAGGCAGTTTGATAAGTGGTGCTTCAGTATTTCAGGCCCTTCCTTTGCATTGTATGTAGTATAGCCATGGGGAGTTAGACTATATGGGGAGGAAGTATGGTGAGGTTTCCAGAGAGACTCTGGTGACTAGAGAAGAGAAGGGCCACTGGGAAAAGATTCACTACACATGAATCCTGAACAGGGTTTGATAGACATGAAGGCCATATCTGAGGAGAGAATAAAGAACAACTTGCAGAAATTACAGCAGGACAGTGGGAGAGCCAAGAGTCAAAACAAAGCAGCTTGACCCCAGAGGCTGCACTCTTAACCATCCTCTCCTAGTGCCTCTGAACTGGTTCTTGGTGAAAGTGATCTTAGAAGTCATTCAGTCCTATCTCATCAGCTTTCATATTAGAAAGCTAAGGAGCCTTCATAGCCTATGTGTCAGCCCCAAATCATGAAACAAGTCCTCTGACATAGTCAGAACCAAAAGTTAAAACAAAACAAAGCTCAAAGTACTGCTTTAAGAGTTTCACGGACTCCTTTCCTTATAATTCTTATTTTGTAGGAGGACAGCCCTCAGAATAGCATTGATTATCTCTTAAGTTTTCTAAAGAAGAGGCATCCCACATTGTTGAAAGGGACTGACTATCTGAAGAACTCCTTCAGGCTTCTACTACTTAGGGGATTAGGATATAAAGAAATTCCGTTAAAGAAATGTTTTAAGAGCAGCAGCAATATGTCTCTGGAAAAAAAGGATATATATGAAGCAGATTATTTCTCAATATATTTTTTCCTTCATTCTTCCACCTCTTCAGTATAAATCCAACATAAGCCTTCTGAAAGCAACTTGGAAGGAGGATCGGTGAGAAGCTTAAATACGTTTAATCAAGCATTCTTGTCTGCTAACTTCAAAAGGGAGCCAAACATGGAGGACATTTGTGGAGATTCAGCATGCAGGAGGCTTAAGATATCTTATGACAGTTTGCTTGAGTGTGTAGCATTCCTAAATGTTAGGAGTATCTAATGAAGTCTGAAGAAGCCTGGAGGAAAAATGGATGCTACCTTAATTTAATCACCAACAAGGTTCAGGTGTGTTAATAGTAATCAAATCAGGTTGATAGCTGTTCTGAAAACTCTGTGTGAAGTGTATGCTATTCAAAACAATGATCTGATTATGTTTTATTGATCTGATCAATCAATTGCTGTCTCATTAATGTTTATTTCCACTAGATCAACAGATTGAAAGATTGGTTGCAAAGACCAGATACAGAACAGAAGATGAAAACTGCACAAATAGAACACACATTTGAATTGCAGTGCAGGTGTTTGCTATTTAATGTTCCTTTCAGTCTGAATCTGTTTGTATCTACCTGCCTACAGATGCTTTAACCATTAACACCAGTGCCCTCAAGGGTCTTTACATGTGCACAGTCTGAAGCCCATAAAGGTAAAGTGACTTGTCTTGGCCACGAGTCCAGGTGACTGTAAAGCCAGGGCTTGGTCCTAGGTCCCTAAGAGTATGTTTACTGTGTCAAGGCTCTCAGCTCCCAACACAATTCATGTACCATTGACCTCAAAAAGAAAAAAAATGTTAAAATGAGATGATCACATGTACCTGAAAAGCAGAATGGTCTTCAATGAATTATATTTCACATCCAGACATTGCCCTTTAGCTTTAAAGTTCTGCAACTTCTCAAAAATTTAGGCGGCTCTCTTGGTGCTATAAAACTTAATTATTGACTAAAAAATATTTGAAATCCTTAGACGAAAGGTGCTGCATTAAATATTAAAATATTCTTATTACAGAGTAGCTGCATGGAGCTGGTATGGGTTTGAATTGGATGTGCGTCACCTAGTTAGCTGGCAGCCTGGTTATTTTAGGAGATTACATATATCTGTTGCAATAGCAGGGACAGAGGGAGTGTTAGCTCTGGCACTGTCTTCTTAGAATAAGCCCAGGGATAAGCCCAATCCAGACCTCTTCTCCCACTAATTGTTAAGTTTTACTTTTTTCCCCTTTTATTAAATATCTTTGTGATTCAAGGTGATAATATCAGATCAGAGCACATTACAGTTAACAAAACATTCAGATTGATTATCTCTTTTGAAAATCTCAAAGTCTGTGAGGTAGACAGGTGGGTATCACCACCTTCTCTTTATGCATAAGTACAGCCAAGTATTGTAAATACTACATCAGAAAAGGAAGTTCCTTAGCAGAACAAGGCTGCTTTCCTACCTAAGGTTACAGTCCTAATACAGAGGGTAATAATGATGTCACCCTTCCAGGGCATGCTGGAGCATCACCACTGAGTGGGAGGTTGGCAGTCCTGGGAGGATTACTGAGAGGGATTCAGGTTATTCTGGTCCTAAGTGCCAGGAAGTTAGATCTCTCCCTTTGGTTTTACCACCACGTGTTAACAAGACTTTATGGAGAAATTGCTTCACTCTTCTGGGCCTCAGGTCCTTGCTTTACCTTCTCTAGGTGAATGTGCACTAGAGTTGAGGGAGAAAGGCACCAGGTACAACTTCCAAGGGGTGCTGTGCATGGTTGTACAGGCTGTACACTGCACAACTCTAAGGGCGCCGTTCACATCAAAGATGTAGATGTTCATGTTTGTTATGAGATTGAACAATGGAAGCCAGTTGAAGCCAGGTGTTGAGGAAGAGGCACTTTTTCTAATTTACACAAAAGTTCAAGGCAAATAGTAGCCTTGAATTAGAATGATTTGTGAAAAAAAAGATAAGAATTAAGCCAACAGGAGCTAATAAGATGTTAAAATAGAATAACTTTATTTTTTGGTCAGTTCACTTAGAAGGCAATTCATGAAAATATAATCCAGTTTGTATTTAAGAATAAAAAGGGAGTAAACTCTGCCGTATTATATATATCCCATCAGACAACACTGTGAATGTAGAAATTTCAGGTGTCAGGCCTGATTTTCAAAACATTTAGAATTAATTAGAAAATAAGTCTTTAGGTAGAGTGAAATTTTTCCCAGTTTCACAGGAACTAAGTTACCTAGTTGTAAATTTCGTAGATTATTGGAAAAACTTGCCCAAAAGATATTTCTATTTTTCCCATCTCTGTAATCTAATTATGAAATTACGAGACTTCTTTCATACTCAATGCTTCCTCAAATTATGTCAAAGTGAAAAATTAATTTAGTCACAAAAGAGTACTATTTTAAAATATTTTTGTTAGCCTGGATGGGATTCGATTGAACTGAAAGTTGACTAATAGGAGTGGGGTCAAAATTGAGCATAAGTTATACATTAGTAAACCAAGGAGAGCCCAAAGCTACCAAGATTGATGGTGTCAAAAAGAGGTGAAAAGAAATGAGTTTTGTATATTGAAATCAACAATTAAAAAATACAGCAGAAGAACAGCCATCAAGCATGTTTCTCCAAAATTTCATAACATCTGTATTTTCCAATTATAGTTTTAATCAATTTCTTACATCATGTGCAAAATATTGCAGCTATTTCTCAAAGGGCTGCAATCTCTCTCATTTTTTACCACCACATACACAAAAAAATTGATCTCTGACTTTAATTACTCTTTATCATTTTCCTCTCTGAGTCCCTGTTAACTTAGTTTTTGTGTTTAATGAGACATCTTGGTGATGTCACCCAAGGCAAATATATTGTCTTGTTCTCCTCCTTTCTCAGCCTGGACACTGTGTTAACACCACCAACCACTTTGTCATCTCGGACGCTCTTGACTTCTCAGTTGCTAGGCTCCTTTAGCCATCCTCAGAACTGTCTTATTTCACCTTCCTTTCTACTTTCTTGGATTCTTCTAATTCCCCATATCGTATTCTGTATACACACCCACATTTTTCACACATGCACTTCTTGAGCATCTTTATCTGTGTTGACAATTCCCCAGATTCTTTTCTTGAATGCTTTCCCCATTCCCTACATTGTTGGTCCTAGCACTGTATCACTTTGCTTGACTGCCCAGCCATCGGTTTACTATCTATCCTGTGTTTCTTTCCCTCAAATGTTTCCTAAGTCCACTCTTGGCACCTTTTCATTCTACAGACACAGAATCTTGAACTTACTGCCTTAAACAACTTCCTTGCCAATTTCTCTGCCTTTAGTCTATCTTCATCTGATCAGCTGCATTCACACAGCAAATATTTTCTTTATCTTATGTGACCTCTTTTGTGGTAGTTTTCAATAGCCTGTCACATCAAATTTAAACACCTTCTCAAGAGATTTCAGTGTTTCCACTGCCCTCTTCCTTCTTCTCTCATTACCCTCTGCTCTTTGTAAAATAATTATATATTCTAGTTCGCCCAGGAGAGTCCTAAGCAATTAGTAATTGTGCCCCTCTTATTCTCAAAAGTGTCCTATTTGGGTAGTAAATTACAGGGCCACTCTATCTATCTGGGACTTTGGTTCTGACTGTGCCTGCTGTACAACAACTGCGATTCTCCATATTTGAGTTGCCCTCATGCTTATCAGTACTCACACACATCATTCCTTCTGTAATCTTTTTTTCTCATGCTCTTCTTATAACTCTCATATCTATTAAACTATGCTATATTCTATATGGCCATGTAGAGTCAGAGTACATTTTTTAAGTTGGGACTGTGATCACTACCTGTTTATCGCTCAAAACTGTTTTATTTTTAAAATTGGGTCTATGACTACAACTTCTTTATGACCCATTATTAAATCATTGCTTATACAATTCTTAACATCAAAAATGTAAATTAGTTCAACCACTGTGGAAGACAGTGTGGTGATTCCTCAAAGATTAAGAACCAGAAATACCATTTGGCCCAGCAATCCCATTACTGGGTATATATCCAAAGGAACATAAAACATTCTATTATAAAGATATATACACACGTATGTTTATTGCAGCACTATTCACAATAGCAAAGACATAAAGTCAACCCAAATGACCATCAATGATAAACTGGATAAAGAAAACTTGGTACATATACCCCATGCAACACTATGCAGCCATAAAAAGTAATGAGATCTCCTCCTTTGCAGGGACATGGATGGAGCTGGAGCCATTATCCTCAGCAAACTAATGCAGGAACAGAAAACCAAACATCGCGTGTTCTTACTTATAATAGGGGCTAAACAATGGGAGTACATGGACACAGGGAGGGAACAACCACTCACTGGGGCCTGTCGGGGGAGGGCAGGGTGGGGAGAGCATTAGAAAAAAGAAATAACACATGCTGGGCTTAATTACTAGGTGATGGGTTGACAGGTGCAGCAAACCACCATGGCACAAGTTTACCTATGAAACAAACCTGCATATCCTGTGCATGTACCCTGAAACTTAAACAAAAATAAAATAAATTTAAAAAATTAAGGGTGGAGGCCAGGAGTGGTGGCTCATGCCTGTAAATCCACCACTTTGGGAGGCCGAGGCAGACGGATCACCTGAGGTCAGGAGTTTGAGGCCAGCCTGGCCAACATGGTGAAACCCCGTCTCTACTTAAAATACCAAAAATTAGCTGGGCGTGGTGGTACACACCTGTAATCCCAGCTACTTGGGAGGCTGAGGCAGGAGAATTGCTTGAATCCGGGAGGCGGAGGTTGCAGTGAGCCGAGATCATGCCATTGCACTCCAGACTGGGGGACAAGAGCGAGACTTCATCTCAAAAAAAAAAAAAAAAAGGTGGAAATAATCTTAAAACAAAACAAAAATAATATTTTCATCTTATTTAGTTCATTTCTGACCTAATAATACAAATATTTAGGAGTCATTTTTGACCTGTGTCTCAATTTGTAATGTTACCTGGAATATTTCTGTGTGAAATAATGTATGTCTGAGCTCTTTTATTTCCTCCGGAGAAGAGTTCTGTACCCTCTGCAGTTAAACAGTATCACAGCTATAAAGAAGTGTAAAACAAACCTGCATTTTTGCCATTTCTTTCTTTTTTCTTTTTCTGAAACAGGGTCTTGCTCTGCCACCCAAGGTGGAGTACAGTGGCATGATCACAGCTCACTACAGCTTTGACCTCCTGGGCTGAAATAATCCTCCCAACCTCAGCCTCCTGAATAGCTGGGACCACAGATGTATGCCACCATGCCCTGCTAATTAAAAAAAAAACATTTTTTTATAGAGGTTGGGGGTCTTACCTTGTTGCCCAGGCTGGTCTCAAACTCATGGGCTCAAGTGATTCTCTCACCTCGGTTTCCCAAAGTGCTGGGTTTACAGGTATGACCCACTGTGCCTAGCCCATTTTTGCCATTTCTAATAAAAGAAGTTGAAATTGTTCCTTATACAAAATTTTGGGATTTTAGCACCTTTAATTTTTGCACATTGGTTTGAAGATCAAACATGATCTGGAAGTGCTCTTCTTTTCCTCTTGAGTTCTTGCCTTTATAAAATAGCAAGGACGCCAAGCACTTAGAGGAGATGCATAGACTTATCATTATCTACAAAATATTTCAGTGGAATTCAGGACAAGTGTTAGTTGGTGTTAGGGAGGGACAGATGACTGAAAGCAACAATTTCTGTCTCTTTTCTTGTTCCTAAAGGAATTCTCCAGGGACTTATCAGAGTTGCTGGAAGAAAACAGCTGAGGATTGAGCACAGTGAACTAATTTCCTCACATCTTTGAATAAGCAGAAGTTGGTGAAAAGGAATGTAAATATTCTTATGGTAAAATGAGTTCAAAAAGAATCCTTAAATCCTTAAAATTAATAAACCAATAAAACAAAACATAAGACTGCACAATTATTTGCATGGCTGATAAGAAGAAGGAAAATAATTCCAGATATCTTTTTGAAGAAAGGAACAATAAAACAGGCATATTAAAAAATAAAACCACATTAAAAATTATTCAATAGAAAAAAATATAGAAGTCACCAAATACGAGAAAGTAAACTTTGTTTTATTGACACAGAATACTTTTAAGAGCGATGATTTGAGGTGTTAACTTCCTTTACTTCCTGATCCATTGTCCAGAACTTCTGAAGTTGTTCCTTTCTACATTTTCTACCTTCTCATGTACCTTTCACCTTCCCTGTTCAGCAGGGCTTGTCAGAAAACTTAATTTTTGGTGAGGGATGGAAGGTGGAGTTGGAACAGGTTCTTTCTCTGTCGGCCCAGCTGGAGTGCAGTGGTGTGATCACAGCTTACTGCAGCCTTAAACTCCTGGGCTCAATAGATCCTCCCACCACAGCCTCCTGAATAGCTGGAATTATAGGTGTGAGCCATCGTGTCCAGCTAGAAAGCTTCATTTTCTGAATTATTTACTTCTTATATTCTGCATCTATGGTTACATATTTTTCAGTTGTCAGAACTGGCACTGAACTTTCAGAGGCACATTTTTAAAATATAAAGTTATCCTTCATTTTACAAAGATGATACTACTGATTGGCTATCAATATTAGGTGCTTCAGGTTGTTTTCTTGAAGTGAGGATGGATTTACATTGCCTACTCACATTTTCCAACATGGTTCCCTGGCAACTACGGGCATTAATTTAGGTGAGGGTTTTTCAGGACTGCAGATGCAGATTAGGGTCATGGAATAGGATAGTGGTTCTTAAATTTTGTTGCAGATAAGAATCATCTAGGGAGTTCTTTAAAAATCTTGATATCGGCCGGGTGTGGTGGCTCTCGCCTGTAATCCCAGCACTTTGGAAGGCCGAGGCGGGCGGATCACAAGGTCAGGAGATCGAGACCATCCTGGCCAACATGGTGAAACCCCGTCTCTACTAAAAATACAAAAAAATTAGCTGGGCGTGGTGGCGGGTGCCTGTAGTCCAAGCTACTTGTGAAGCTGAGGCAGGAGAATGGTGTGAACCTGGGAGGCGGAGCTTGCAGTGAGCTGAGATCGCGCCACTGCACTGTAAAACAACAACAACAACAACAACAACAAAACCTTGATATCTAGGTCACACCACTTATCAATGAAATCCAAATTTCTGGATAAGAGTTCCAGGCATTAGATTTATTGTTTTAAAATCTATATTCATTATATATGTGGGTGTATGGTTTTGATTTTTTATAATTTTTAAAACAGCTTTATTGAGATGTCATTAACATACAGTAAATTTTGACATATGTATACACTTATGAAACCATCATCACAATCAAGATAATAAATATATCCATACATTTTTTGCAAGCTCCTTGATAATCTCTTCCTCCTGCCCCTCCTTGCCCTTTCCAGGAAACAATTCATCTGCTTTCTGCCACTATAGATTGGCCTGCACTTTCTACAATTGTATATAAATAGAATCATGCAGTATATACTCTATTTGGTCTCTCTTCTTTCATCAGAAAGAAGTTACATGTATCAAAAGCTCATTTAAAAAATATTGCTGAGTAGTATCCCATTGTGTGGAAAAAACATAATTTATCAGTTCACTTATTAATGGACACTTGAGTTGTGACTATTACAAATAAAGCTGCTATGAACATTCATGTACAATATTTGTAGAGACAGACATGCCTTCCTTATGTTTTTGCATAAATATGTAAAAATAGAATTAAGTAAATGGATGCTTCAGTTTTAAGAATCTGACAAACATTTTTCCAAAGTGGCTAACCCTTTTACATTTTTATCAGCATTAAATATTATTTCAGTTCCTCCACATCCTTGCCAACATTTGGTGTGGTTAGTCTTTTAAATTTTAGCCATTTCTAATAGGTACATACTGGTGTCTTATTATAGTTTTAATATGTATTTTGTTAATGACAAATGATGTTGAGCATATTTTCATGTGTTTCTTTGCTAATCGTATATATTCTTTGGTAAAGTGTCTGTTCAATTTTTTAAAGATTGGATCATTTGTCCTTTTATTTTTGAGTAGGAAGGGTTTTTCAATGTAATTCTAGATAAAAGTTTATTGTCAGCTATATGTCTTGCAAATAGTTTCTCCCACTCTGTTAAAAGTTTTTAACTTTGCTGAAGTCCAGTTTATTGAATTTTTCTTTTATGATTTGTGCTTTTGCCAAGCTCAAGGACACTAGGAGTTTCTTCTGTTTTTTTTTTTTTTAATACTAGAAGTTGAATAATTTTGCTCCTTTATGTAGTTCTATGATGTATTTGAATTAATTGTCAGGAAAGGGTCAAGGTGTATTTATTTTTTTCTGTATTGATATCTAGTTTTTCCAGAACCATTTGCCAAAAAGATTATCCTTTCTCTTGCTGAATTATATTGGTCACTTGGTTGAACATCAATTAATTATAAACATGTGGGTTAATTTCTAAACTCTTTTCTGTTGCATTGATCTATTTGCCTACTTTTGTACCAATGCCACACTGTCTTGATTGCCATAGCTTTATAATAAACCTTGAAATCTGGTAGCATAAGTCCTCCATCTTTATTTTTCTTAAAAAAATTTTGCCTTTCAGGGGTCTTTGAATTTTCATATACATTTTAGAGTCTGCTTGTTAAAGAAAAGGGCTTCTAGAATTTTGATTAGCATTGTATTGAACATATAGATCAAATATTAACAATATTAAGTCTTTAAATATATAAATGTGGTATGTGGTATGAGTCTCCATTTATTTACAATTTCTTTAATTTTTTTCAGCAGTGTTTTATCATTTTCAATGTTCAAGTCTCACATATCATTTGTTAAATTTATTCCAAAATATTTCATATTTGTGATGTTACTGTAAATACTGTTTTTCTGAATTTCAATTTCTGATTATTCACTGTTAGTATATGCAAATTATAATTTATTTTTGTATTCTGATCTTTTAGTCTGTAACCTTGCTAAAATAATTTATTAATTCTACCAGTTTTTTTTATAGGTTTTGTAGGATTTTCTACATAGAAATTATGTTGTTTTCTAATAAAGACAGCTTTAACTTCCTTCACTCCAATATTGATGCCATTTGTCTTTTTCTTGCCTTATTATGCTGGAAAGAATCTTTAGTACAATTTTGAATAGAAATGATGACACCCTTGTTACTGACCCTAGAGGGAAAGCTTTTCGTTTTTTACCATTTAAGTATTAAGTAATCTTTTTTTTCTTCAATTGTCCCTTTTTAGTTAGGTTGAGAAAGTTCCTTTCTAGTCATAGTTTTCTGAGACTTTTTATCAGAAATAGATGTTGAATTTTGTCAAATTCTTTCTCTGCATCTATTGAGATGATAATATTATTTTTCTAATAATGTAATGAATTACATTGACTGAATTTTCCTGTTAAGCCAACCTCACATTCCTGAGGTAATGCCTAGTTGGCTATGTTGCATTATTCTTTTTACATAATTTTGGATACCCAATTTGCTAAAATTTTAAGACTTTTAATATTTATGCTGATGACTGATGCTGGTCTGTAGTTTTCCTGTAATTTCCTTGTCTGGTTTTAGTATCAGAGTGGTGCTAAACTTATAATAATAGAATAAGTTGTTAAAGTAGTGCTTCCTCCTCTGTTTTTCTGGAAGCATTTATATTGAATTTATATTATTGCAGCTGCTCAATGGGTTCACCTTGCCCACTGCCTAGACACAGTCGATTTGTCAAGACAGGGGAATTGCAATAGAGAAAGAGTAATCCACATAGAGCTGGCTGTGACGGACACCACCCACATCAGTCTCCTGGAGCATTAGGGGATCAGAGTTTTTAAGGACAACTCGGTCAGTGGGGAGAAGCCAGTGAGCCAGGACTGCTGATGGGTCAGGAATTAAATCATGGGGAGTCCAAGCTGTCTTGCACTGAGTCAGTTTCTGGGTGGGGGCAACAATATCAGATGAGCCATTTAATCCACCTGGGTGGTGCCAGCTTGTCCATCAAGTGCAGGGGCTGCAAAACACCGCAAGCACTAATGTCAAGAACAGTTGAGGGAGGGTCAGAATCTTGTAGCCTCCAGCTGCCTGACTCCTAAACCACAATTTCTAATCTTGTGGCTAATGTTAGTCCTATAAAGGCAATCTAGTCCCCAGGCAAGAAGGAGATCTGCTTTGGGAAAAGGCTGTTATCATCTTTGTTTTAAACTATAAACTGTAAACTAAGTTTCTCCCAAAGTTAGTTCAGCCTATGTCCAGGAATGAACAAGGACAGCTTGGAGGTTAGAAGCAAGATGGAGTCAATTAAATTAGATCTGTTTCACTGTCTCAGTCATAATTTTGCAAAGGCGGTTTCATTATTTCTTCCTTGAATGTCTGGTAGAATTGGCCTGTGAAATCATAAGCCTGGAATTTTTTTAGTGAGAAAAGAGAGATTTCTTTTTACTACAAATTAAAATTCTTTCATAGATATAAGGCTATCAGGTTATTTATAACTTGAATGAACTTTGGTAGTTTTGTGTTTTTCGAGGCATTTGTTCATTTCATTGAATTTGTTGAATGTATTAATGTAAAATTGGTTACAATATTTTCTTATCATCCTCATAATATCTGTAGAAATCATAGAGATATCACCTTTCTCATTTCTGTTTTTTGGTGAGGTGTGTCTTCTCTTTTTTGTCCCTGATCAGTCTGGTGTGAGGTTTATCAATGTCTAATCAATCTAGTCAGAGGTTTCTGTTCTCAATAAATTAGCTTTTGGTTTTATTGATTTTTCTCTATTTTTTTTCTTCTTTTATATTTTGTTGATTTCGGCTCTAATCTTTATCGTTTTGTTTCTTTTGACTATTTTTAGATTTAATTTATTCTTCTTTTTCTAGTTTTTTTTTTTTTTTTTTTTTCAGATGGAAACCAGGAACTTTGATTTGAAGCATTTCTTCTTTTCTAGTATAGGGGTTCAGTACCATACATTTCCCTTTTAGTATTGCTTTTCTTGAATCTTACAAGTTTTGATCTATTGTGTCTTTGTTTTCCTTTACTTTAAACTAGTTTCTCTTTTATTTCATGGGTTATATATGTGTGGATTTGGTTTCTAAACATTAGGGAATTTTCTGAATTTGTTTTCTGTTAGTGGTTTCTCATTCAATTATACTGTGGGCAGAGAACATGTTTTGTATGATGTAAATTCTTTTGAATTTCTCGAGACTTGTTTTATGGCTTAGAATATGATCTATCTTGGTAAATAGTCAACACTTAAAGTGAACATGGCTTGTGTTCACTTTAAAGAATCTCTTGGTAAAAGAACCAGGCATCAGTGTTTTTTTTTTTGTTTCTTTGTTTTGTTTTGTAAAAATGCTTCCTAGGTGATTCTAATGTACAGTCAAGTATGAGACCAATGGATTAGACCAATGTTCTCAAATTTAGCAAGCATCGTAATCGTCTGACAGTCTTATTGGCTTGTTAAAACATAGATTACTGACTGCCACTCCCAGAACTTTTGATCCAGTAGTTCTGGGAATTAGCCCAAGAATTTACATTTTTAAAATTTCTCAGATGATGCTGAAGATGCTATTCCAGATGACACTTTGGGAGTGACTGGACCAGATTTTTGCATTCTATGTGTGGGTCAGGGACCAGCAGCATCACCTCAATATCTAGCCCCAATTCCATACCTAATACCAAAATCTGTATTTCAGTAAGATCCCCTGGTTATTCATATATATATATATAAGCTTGTGAATTATTGGCGTGACACACCAATTTCTATTTTGATTCAGTAGGTTTGGGGTGGGTCCTGAGATTCTGCATTGCTAACAAGCATCCAGGTGATGCTAATACATTGGTCTTTGAGTAGCACACTTTGAGTAGCAAGGGAATAGAACATCTACTAAATGCAGTGCAGTGAAGAACAGATAACAAGGGTAATGATACAAAAATATCTCTATACAAGAAGCACCAAATTTCATAATATCTTGTGATGCTAGGGAATGTAAGATGGAAATTATTAACCAACACAACTGATTGGCTAAGAGGCTAGTGAATATCAAAAGGAGGTGGCACGGTATGTTTGGGGTGCAGGTATTATAGGATTTGAGTTCATGCTGAAATCAAAGCTTACTTTAGTAAATGTGAGGTAGTCTAGGTAAACAGCTATGAATTTGTGGTTAGACCCAGAAATTTAGAGGTACAAGTGTTCTGGCTTATGATATTTTAGGGTGTGGCGAAGTTTATCTGTGGCAGAGGAGAGATGCACTCAGTTAACTATAGAAACAGGTAATATAAATAACACATATTGAAAAAAAAACAAAACAAAACAAGACCATTGTGTTACCAGACAGAGTAGAGACACCACATCATGAACTAGGTTCAAAGACCACTTAGCAGTGGTTTTCAATCTTGAGAATAAATTAGAATCACCTTGGAGCTATAAAAATTTGATCCGTATGTCCATACTGACATAAATAATTAAACAAATGAGAGAGAAGAGAAAGTATTCCCTCATAGAAGGTTCCAATTAATAAACATGGAAGAAATGAAGGAAATAGAAAATCACCATTAGAGCACAATGGTAAGAGTTTTTGCATGCAAGATCTACTGATACAGGCTCAAGTCAGTTTTAATGTTTGAGGAGGAAAAGGATATTTGTATAGTCTCAAAGTATTTTCTGTAAGATATTTATTAATTACAAAGGTGAAACTAGTATTGTTGCAGTGGAGAAACCTAGCAGACACCACTTTAACCAAGTCATCAAAATTAGTATCACCAATAATAAGACATATTGACATAAGGTATCCACTGATAGAATGTACCAAGAAGGGCACATCATTTCTGTAGTATTCTAGCAAAAAATTAGAAACTTTAATATAATAGTAAGAGAACATTAGAGAAACCCAAATCAAGGAACATTCTACAAAACAAGTGACAGGAGCTCTTCAAAAGTACAATGTCATGAAAGACAAGGAAAGAACGAGAGCTGTCATGGATTGGAAAGAGCAAGAAGAAACTAAATGCAACGTGGGATCGCAGATTAGACCCTGGAACAGAAAAAGGTCATTCCCGGAAAAACTGGTGAAATATGAATAACCATCTGTAGTTTTGTTAAGGGTTCTGTACCAATGTTTATTTCTTTGTTTTAACAAGTGTACTACATTTTTGTAAGATGTTACAAAACAAAACAAAGGATTGGGCCACACTACAGGCCAATTAAAATTAGGTTTCCTGGGATTGGGAGCTGGAATTTTCTAGGGCCTTCAATGTGCCTCAGGATTGAAAACCACTTATCTATTAGATTGATGCAAAAGTAATTGCTGTTTTTGCCATTACTTTTATGGCAAAAACAGCAATTACTTTTGCACCAACACTGTAGGTTTACAAATTCATTGGAAAATCTGGAAACTTGTAGTCAGCATTCTTTTAAATAAAGAATGTATATGTATAACTTTCTAAAGACTTCAGAACACTGCTTTTACAAGGAAAAATAAATAATAAAATATTCCAATGTTTTTAAAGCATCTTCTATGTTCCAGCCATCAGAGATGAAAAGATAACTAAAGCTCAATTTCTGCCACCATGTAAATTTATGATTTAGTAGGAGAGAGAGATAAATACATGAATTAGTTTACAATATTTTCATATTTGAACCACATAAAGGATAAGTGGGGCAGGAAAGGCGGTATGGAGTTTCTTCTTGATGGAAGTAAATTTTAGCAATGTCCCCACACTTAGAAGTTTCACTGAAAAGACCATGTATTCACCTTACTGAAAATCCTCAGTATACTCAAGTGCCTGGTCTGCCTGGGAAAAAAAGCTCTGATTAGCTTCCATCTCCTCTCAGTCCTCCACTCACAATGACATTTGAGTACCTTACACATTACAAAAAGGAAGAGATGCCCTGAAATAACCTTTGGATGGTCAGGAGCCAAAAGATTTCATTATTTTGTAATTAATAGAATAGAACGCTCTTTGAAAAATTTGTTTGATGGGTGGTGTCAAAATGTTAATCAAACCTTGGCTTAGAATCAAATTTATTAGTTGAATTATGCATACAGACTTCTCAGTCTCTGTGAAACAATGTTAAAGCCAATAAAAAAATTTTAAATTCCCTCCGTACTATCCAGGTGAAAATAGCCAAAATACCCTTGAACTTTTTTCCCTGAGAACTGAAAATGTTTGCTTTAAACCAACAACTAAATCTTGTACTTTCAAAAACTTTACATTTCAGGGCCAGGCGCGGTGGCTCACGCCTGTAATCCCAGCACTTTGGGAGGCCGAGGCAGGCGGATCACGAGGTCAGGAGATCGAGACCATCCTGGCTAACATGGTGAAACCCCGTCTCTACGAAAAACACAAAAAAATTAGTTGGGTGTGGTGGCGGGCGCCTGTAGTCCCAGCTACTCGGGAGGCTGAGGCAGGAGAATGGCGTGAACCCGGGAGGCGGAGCTTGCAGTGAGCGGAGATCGTGCCACTGCACTCCAGCCTGGGAGACAGAGCGAGACTCCATCTCAAACAAACAAACAAACAAAACCTTTACATTTCAGTCAGGATTTTTACAGGGAGCGGAGATCGTGCCACTGCACTCCAGCCTGGGCGACAGAGCGAGACTCCATCTCAAACAAACAAACAAACAAACAAACAAAACCTTTACATTTCAGTCAGGATTTTTACAGGGTAATGTAATTTCAGAAGTTTTCTTGTGCGTGTGTGTCGGGGGGTGGGTGGGGGGTATTTAGTGTACAGGGAAGAAGAAAGATAATTTCATTATAATTATAATAAGTGAATTACAATGTGGCGGTTTTAAAACATGACTTCACATTTTTGGACATTCCTCCCATGGAAAGGTGGGGATCTGTGTCCTGTCCTGTCCTATGCAACCTGGCCCAACCTTAGTAACTACCTTGCAACCAACAATGCAGTGGCAGCAACAATGGTGCCTTTTGAGGCTAGTTCAAAAAAGGCCATGCAACTTCCTCCAGCTTTACTTGGGATGTTTGCTCTGGGGGAAGCAGACACCATGTAAGCCTCTAGCGAGAACTCCACACTGGAGAGGCTACATGTAGGTGCTGTGGTCAGCTCCAGCGGAATGCCCAGCAACAGCCAGCTTCAACCACAAGCCCTAGGAGGAAGCCATCTTGGATGACCAGCGCAGGAGAGCCTTCAGCTGAGTCCCAGCTACACCCCACTCTCACTACGCCCTCCTGAGAGACCCCAAGTGAGAGCTGCCCAGCCAAGCCCTCCCTCCATTTCCACTGCACACAATACTGCCCAAGATAAAACAGTTGTTTAAAGGTACTAAGTTTTGTGACAATTTGTGACATAGCAAATGTAACTAGAAAAGTGTCAGAAAATGTGTATGAAACTATTTCTGGAACAATTTGTAGGTTCACAGATCTTCCCCAATTAGGCTCACCTACAGTCTACCAAAATTGATTTACTGACCAATCATTGTCTAATTTTAATTGTGTATTCTAGGTTTTACATGCATTTATGTAAAAGCAGTCACTTTGATTAATTGTATCGTATGTGGGAAGGATTCACAGTTTAAATATGCTCAGAAGGGCAGCTGCTGCCAGGGAGGAAATGTGTTTCAATGGACTGGAGACTTAGGCACAGTTTTTCTGACTCCAGCCACCTGTTTCAACTGAACTAAAATAGCCTGCATGCAGAGATTTTTGGAGGAGTCATTGGGAAAGAAAATAAGCTATATTCATTATGAAAACTTGATTTTGTGGAGAGAAATTCAAAGGTCCAATTTAGCGGATAGTTATGAAAGCAATTTGCAAATGAGTTAGGATTTCTTAGTGGAGAATTTTGTATAAAATTGGCAAAATGTTTGGCACTGTTGGTTGCAGCAAGAAAATGAGGCTCTATTGAGAAAGAAGCTTGGTGAGAGCTGATTTCTTGAAGCTGTATTCTTGAAAGTGATGTACTCTAAGTCACTGTGGATAGATGGCATATAGTTCTTCTGTTCTCGGGGAATGCCTTCCTTCAAGCAAGGCACAAGATATAGAAATCAAACGAGTTCATCGTTGCATGAAAATGTTTCCATAGGTGGGTTATTATAACAGCCACACTCTAAGAATTTAGAAATTATACTATTTTTTTCTGAAGCTTACATATTCCTGTCTCTGTTATTTGCCCCCTCACCCCACTTTTTTCTTTTACTCTGATTAAACAAATTAGAAAAAGGGAAGTTGAAAAATAAGAGCATCTGGAAAAGAGGAAGAAAGAGGGTATAAGAGGGAAGGTCAATTATTATCTGAGAAAGGGAAAAATTAAGGTGTGAGATGACATTATCAATTTAATTTTTAATTAAAACATCTTGTAAGTGTTCTGAAACAAATGAGGGTACCTTATTTTTATTTTTTTAGAGACGAGGTTTTGCTCTGTTGCCCAGGCTGGAGGGTAGTAGTGCAATCATAGCTTACTGCAGCCTCAAACTCCTGAGCTCAAGCCATCCACCTTTCTCAGCCTCCTGACTAGTTGAGACTGCAGGTGTGCACCACCATGCCTGGCTAATTTGTTTTACATGTTTGTAGAGATAGGGTCTTTCTATGTTGCGCAGGCTGGTCTTGAACTCCTGGGCTCAAGTGGTCCTCCTCCCTCAGCCTCCCGAAACACTGGGATTATAGGCTTGAGCCACTGTGCCCAGCCAGTACTTTATATTACTAGGTATCTCATGCTTTTTTTTTTTTTTTTTTTTGGAGGAGGAAAGGTGTTTTGTTTTGTTTTCCATTTGGAATAAAAATTCTTAAAGTTATATAAAAGATTTATTGAATTGGCTGGACCAGAGAGGGTACAAATCAGGAAAAACCATTATTTTCCCCACCATCTGTTAGATGTCCCTTCCCAGGACCCAAAGATCCCATTGCTTTTGTGGTCACTTTTAGTATTAGAACAGTCTTTTTTTTTCAGCTATGAAAATGTTTAATTAAAATTAAAAAATGAAACCATCACTGAATTCAAAGGCACAACCCTGCTCCCTAGGTGAGGCCTGAACCAGGCTTGGCTTATGCCCTTCAGACAGAGGAAAAGGAGCATGGGCGTCCTGCCTGCCTGCTGTGAACTGACTGGTCAGGCTGCCTGCATCCTCTCTGTGGCAGATGCTCACTGCTTGCTGTTGCCAGGTGCGTGTGTGGGTTCTCTGGAGAGGCCTCTCTGAAGGCATCCTCACTGCAACTCCCTCACACAGGCAAAGCATCCTCTTGTTCACCTCTCTGAAACTTCCTCCTTTCCTGTAACAGAGATCTACCTTTGGGGTTTCCTCCAGCTGGTGGGAAACCGTCTCCAATGGGATCCCTTCAAGATGGCTAGAGCCTAGCTACCTTCTGCAGTTTCTGCTTGGTCTGAAGGAAAGCTGTGGAAGAGTTTGTCACCTCCACTGCTGCCCTCTTTCCTCACCCCCTGCTGTAGCTGCCTGTAGCCAGTGTCCCACCCTCAGACTTCTCTGAGGCAAGGCAGCCATCAGTGTCTATCTTCATGTATAGTTGCAACCCATGGGGACACATGCCAACATGTTAGGCTCTCCCAAGGCTTTTTTTTTTTGCTTTTTTTTTTTTTAAGAGATGGTAGTCTTGCTGTGTTGTCCAGGCTCATCTCAAACTCTTGACTTCAAGTGATCCTCCCACCTTGACCTCCCAAGTACTGAGATTACAGGCATGAGCCACCATGCCCAGCCTCCAAGACTTCTTTAAAAGGGCAGGTTACCCAATATTCAAACCTTAGCCAATATCCAGCTGGGGGCAGAGGTACCAATCTCCTCTTCTAGAAAGTAACCCTGATCTCTATGAGAGCTTCCCTCTGAGCCTTCTTGTCTTGGTTTGGGGTGTGTGTGTGTGTGTGTGTGTGTGTGTGTGTGTGTGTGTATGTGTGTATGTATTAGTCTGTTCTTGCAGTGCTGTAAAGAAATACCTGAGACTGGGTAACTTTTAAAGAAAAGAGGCTTAATTGGCTCACGGTTCCACAAGCTGTACAGGAAGCATGATGGTGGCATCTGCTCTGTTTCTAGGGGTGGGCCTCAGGAAACTTACAATCATGGCAGAGGGCGAAGGAAAGCTGGCACTTCTTATGGCCAGAACAGGAGGAAGGGACCGGGGGAAGGTGCCACACACCCAGATGTCAGGAGAACTCACTAATGCGACAATAGCACCAAGAGGAATAGCATTAAACTATGATCAAATCACCTCCCACCAGGCCTCCAACACTGGGAATTATGACATGAGATTTGGAGGGGGCACAGATTGAAACCATATCAGTGCGTGTAAGAGAAGCACCACATGGAAAAAGTGAGAGAAAACACTAATGTGCCCTCTACTCTTCCTAGCGTCTTTCAAGAAAACTCTCCTCCATTGCATTTTCAGCTGCTCCAGATTGGTGTTGGCTGATGGACTTGGTAGTCAAAGATCCAGTTTGACAACCTCTTAGTAAGTCCTGTAGGGATGTAGCAAGAACATTTTTTTGAAAGGAGAGGGGAATAATAGTCAAATTTAGTCCTTAGATTTGAGGCTTTAGCCAAGCTTTTGAGAAAACAGGGAAAACTTCACTCCATCTCTTGTCACATTTATACTTGGATATAGTTTAATAGCAATAGACAGTGAACAGTGCAGTTGGAGAGCAGGTCTCAGATTTTAGCTTTGAAATGATTTTTATATTAAATCCAGCCTATAATAATTTATACTTTCTTTTCTATGGACACCTCACTATTTGAATTCTGGAGACTTTCCTTTTAGCTTCTTATCACAAGCTTAGGGCCTTTTCCCTTCCTTGTCTTACTCTTTCCCTTTCTTATTTTCTCCCTCCCTCCTTTCCTTCCTTCTTTCCTATTCTCCCTTTACCCCTGATCGGTGTCACATTTCTGCTTTCTCCTTTCTCTCTTTACCTGACAGTCTCTTTCAATGCCAACTGAGATATTTTACAATAAGATATAATGTAAATTATAAGTAGGCAAAGAAAGAGAAGACAAGCTGGAGAGGAGTATGACATGGCGTTAAGAACGCAATGAATGTAAAAACGTTCAATAAAAGCCTATGGTGTTTGTGCAAAGGGACTATAGATTTGTACTAATTGGTTTCTTACCAGCCAAAAAGAAAGAGAAAGCCACTTGATCACTTCCACAACTTACGGCATCTATGACATAGAAAGAGACTAATTGGGTAGGGAAAACTTAACTATTGCTTGTAATAAGGACAGATAGGAATTTCTCCCGAGGGTGTAATGATATGAACAAACCCAACAACTACCTCCTAGTATCTGCAAGAATAGGTTTTGTGGGATTGTTTCATGGAGTGATCCTTGGCATAAGTAGATAGTATTTTGCTAGTTTTGCTATTGTAATTCAATAGCAACAATTTGATAAGCCCTAGTTATTACCCTGCCTCTTCGTATCTACGGGTAGAAAAAAACAAAACAAAAAAATCCTTCTACATAGACTTAAAAATGACTTAAAAAGCCCAGAAGAGGAAGAGAAGGTAAACAGTATTGACATCCCAGTTTGAATGTAGGCAAACATCTAGATCCCAATATACTTAACTTATGTTAAATGTAAACTAAGAGCCATATTCCACTGAGAGGGAAAGCAAATGTAATCTATAAAATTGATTAAGTTCCAGAGAAGATAAAGTGTGCACTCTTTAACCAAGACCAGCCCATCATGGTAGTAAACAATCTCTGAGTATAGTTAGGCTCCTAGGAAGTGTGGAAAAGCCAGGTCTGGAATGGCATACCATTTGCTAATGCGTAATTCTGCACAGAAAATGGCAAGAAATACAAAACTACTGTTGACCTACGATTGAATTCAAAGAGTGTAATTTTAATTTAAGATCATCAAGAAGATTTTCCAAGAAATTATGTTTTCTGTGGTAACTGTTAGGCAAGAGAGAGTTTCTAAAATGTTTTAGATGTTTTGTTTATTTTTAAAATCTCTATAGGATGTCTCATGACTCAGAGCCCCATACTCCTGAGTGCAACATCTTTCTCTGATATTTCATTTAGAGTCTCTGTCTTCAGGTATCTTGTACTCGACCTGTTTCTTACTTTTAGTTGAGAATTGGGCAGTGCTTTTCAAAAGATCTGTGGCAAGGACCTCAGTATGACCACCCTCTCTCCATCTGTCATGGACTCACATTTTTATACAATTCAACAAAAATGAATGACTAGAAAGATGATCATGTGTTTTGATGTTGTGATGATATCTCTTGTTAAAATGTTTCTAAACACTCACTCTAAGTTTCTGTATTTATCTCCCTGAAAATGTGTAACAATTTGCAGATGGGCATGCAATATGCAGGCCATACTTGGAGGATATATCACCAAGGTACCTGGTGCTGTTCAAAGTCAAATTCTAGTTAGTCTGTGATCAAGTTGAGATGCTGTTTGGCTTAACATCTTCTGACAGTTTTGGCTCACCTTCTTGTCCATTTAGAAGGTATTATGCTGGCTAGCAGACAAGAGATACAAGGCAGACACTGGGGCCAGCACAGACCACATAATTTTTGGGGCTCAATGCAAGATGAAAATACAAGTCTTCTTATTCAAAGATTATTGAGAATTCCAAGACAAGGACAGCAGAGCATAAAGCCAACGGTGGGGCCCCTCTGAGGCCAGGACCCTGTGCAATTGCATAGATCACGTGATTATGAAGCTGTCCCAGACTGGGGTGCTCAAATTTCTTTTACAAAACATACTTTAGCAAGATGCTATCTGCCTGTACCAAGGATGCTCTAAGAGACATTCTGGTGTCTACTCAAGCCCTTGTATCTGAGTGCTGCTACTGCTAACACTGTTGTTCCTTGACGTGTGCATAATCAAAAATAAAAAAGAAATTGCGAAAAACAACAGTCTTTTTCATACTGCATTAAGATACAGCCAGGTATGTGTTAGAGCCTATTGTAAGTATAATTCAAGCTTCTTAGCCCTTTAGCGAATTTTTTCTTATAATTGGCTTTCTCCAATTTCTGAATGCCTGGGTGACAAGGTTAAATACAATGGCCTTTGTGGTGGTTAGTGCCAGAATTATTCTAGGGAACAAACTGGTTTTTTCTTTCTTTATGAACAAAGTTAAATGGACTATTAGGGTGTGAAAAAATAGGCCCCAGGTTCAATCTGGAAGGTGAAGACAGAAAAAAAGGAAAGTATTTAGGCACATAATTTTGAGTTGTTTTAATTGCCATAAGGCAGACTTGCTCTATCCATCATCTCAAATCTTTAATAGAGTTTACTACACACAAAATACCTTGTGTGATAATTTTTTTTTCTTTTAAAAAAATAAATCAAAGGAATGGGCTATTTCACTTACTTCACCTTGGGGTTCATAAAGTGCAGAATAGAAATAGCACATATATGATGGAACAACATTCACTCAGCAAAGCTCAGTGAACAAGAACTTGGGGTCTGAGGCCAAACTGCCTGCACTTGAATCTCAGTTCTAACCCTTATCAGCTCTGTTATCTTGGGAGTTATTTTCTTCTTTGTGCTTCAGTTTCCTCTAATAGTAATATCTATCTCTTATAAGGCTATTATCAATATTAAGTCAGTTATTATCTTTAAAGCTCTGAGGACAGTGCCGGGTTCAGAGCAAAATACACACAAGTGTTAGCCATTATTATTATTCCATAAACTACATTAATTTCGATAAAGACCATGAGAGCATAGGTCTACCAGAAAGGCAGGGAAACCTTGGGAAGAGCATTGAGCACAGAAATGGCTTATATCAATCTGATCTAGACCTTGAGTCCAGGCAACTGCACTGGACATTGTGGTTGTTCTAGGTTAAGCTTTTCCTTACTCTGTCCTACTTGGGTCCATACTGTTTTGTCATGGCCATTTTGATGAGACCATTTTGATAAGGCTGTTTTGGCATTGACTAAAACAAATTACTAAATGTCCCCACTTTTTAAAGGTACTGAAGTTAAGGGACCATCTTCAATCTCTGCCATGCATTCTTTCATCCCCGATTGGCATTCCTTCGTTTCTTCATTATTCCTTCAGCTGTAGAAAGCATTCTGTTTGGGTGTCCACAGCTAGCCCATACACTTAAATTTGTTTTTCTACACAGTTTATTTCTTCAGTGTCTTTACAACATTTTCCTCAGCTTGTTTGTCATCCACTTCTCCATTCCCCAATAATTCAGTGCCTGTTTACGAGGTCTGCCATTCTTCACCTGCTCTCAGCATCTCGTCCAGGGAGGCTGATGCATCAGTATCAGTCTCATGCTCCACACCTGCTGAGAAGATGTCATTATTAGTGGCCCTGTTGTGCTAGTCAGTGAGAACCTGTGTGTGGTAAATATCAATGCGACAAGTACAAATACTTTCCCACAAGAAAGACTTTAAGAGCAGTTAATAAAATCAAAGTTAAGTTGTCCCAAAGTAGTTTATGAATTATATTCTTGAACCATTTCAAAAAGCTAGGTTATTATAATGGTAGCCATAAATACCTTGGTGACAATGATAATGATAATAGCTAGTACTTCTTGGGCGTCTATATGCCAGGCTCTCAGTACTTTATATGAACTCACTAGTTAATGTCATAGCAGTCTTGTGAAGTAGGTAATGTTTTTCCATTTCTACAGATGATTGAACTCTGAGATTCGTGAAATTTGGTTCCATGCTTGTGAAATGAGAGAGCTGGCTTTCTACAGTCCCTCTCAACTCTAAGGGTAAGAATGATTTAGCAAGAGAATGCAGTGGTGTTGCACTTTTAAACAGTGGTCCTCAGATTTTGGCATGCATTAGAATTACCCAGAACGCTTATTAACACACAGATTGCCAGGCCCTAGTCTCAGAGTTTCTTGTGGGACCGGATAGTGCTTGAGAATTTGCATTTCTACCAAGTTCCCAGGAGATGCTGATGCTGCACTGGGCTGAGCCCAGTCATGGGAGGTTGTGATGTTATTCAGGACTGGAGAGGGCCTAAGGCAGAAATCTATGGCAATGAGATTGTTTCTCATATAAATAATGTAAATTTCAAGGCCATAGATTTTTGTATATGCAGTCATGCACTCCATAATGACATTTTGGTCATCAATGGACTGCATATAGGATGGTGGTCCTATAAGATTATAATGGAGATGAATGATTCCAATCACCTAGTGACATCATGGCCATTGTAACATCTTAGCAGAACACATTACTCACATGTTTGTGGTGATGCTGCTGTAAGCAAACCTACTGCATTGCCAGCTGTACAAAATTATAGCACATATGTTCAGTACATAATACTTGATAATGATAATAAACAACTATGTTACTTTTTTATGTGTTTACTCTGCAATATGTTTTATCAGTATTTTAGAGTGTACTCCTTCTATTTATTTAAAAAAAAATTCACTATGAAACAGCCTCAGGCAGGCCCTTCAAAAGAGGGTATTCCAGAAGAAAGCATTGTTTTCATGGAAGATGACAGCCTTATGCATGTTATTACCCCTGAAGACCTTCCAATGGGACAAGATGTGAAGGTGGAAGACAGTGATATCAATTATCGATGATCTTCACCCTATATAGACCTAAGCTAGTATGTGTGTTTGTGCCTTAGTTTTTAAGAAAAAAAGTTTAAAAAGTAAAAGTAAATAAATCAGTAAATAAATCTAAAAATAGAAAAGAGCTTATAGGATAAGTATATAAAGAAAGAAAATATTTTTGTACAGCTGTACAATGTGTTTGTGTTTTAAGCTAAGTGTTATTCAAAAAAGTCAAAAAGTTAAAATATTAAAATATTTGCAAAGTAATGTTACAGTAAGATAGATGACATTAATTTACTATTGAAAAAGAAAAAATACTAAAAAAATAAATTTAATGTAGCCTAAGTGTACAGTGTTTATAAAGACTGCAGTTGTGTACAGTAATGTCCAAGAGGCCTTCACATTCACTTGCCATTCACTCATTGACTCGCCCAGAGCAACTTCCAGTACTGCAAGCTGGATTCATGGTAAGTGCTCTAGACAGGTGTAGCATTTTTAATCTTTTATGTCATATTTTGCTGTACTCTTCTATGTCTAGACATATTTTGACACATAAGTACTTACCATTGTGTTATAATTGTCTACAGTATTGAGTACAGTAACATGCTATAGAGGTTTGTAACCTAGGAGCAAGAGAGTGACCATAGAGCCTAGGTGTGTAGTTGGTTATACCAGCTATGTTTGTGTACCCTTTATGATGTTCACACAATGAAAAAATTTTAATGTTTTAAATGCAAATTTAATGATCTAAAGTTTATGATCATTAGATTAAAATCTAATGATGCATTTTTCAGAAAATATTTATTAAGTAGTACATTACTGTATATGTCTATTTTTGTTTATTCCACTGGAATAAGAAAAACATCTTTTACTTCTTTATCAAATTAAGAAAGTATACTTATCTACGTCATGCCAATTCTCCTTTTTTTTTCATTAGGGTAGTTTAAGATTCATGCAAAATTGAGCAGAAAATCCAGAGTTCCTACACACCCCTGTCCCCACACATGCACAGCCTCCTGGTTATCAACATCCTGCTCAGAGCAGTGCTGTATTTGTTACAATCTATGAACCTACATTGTCACATCATTATTATCCAAAGTCCACAGAGTAGGGTTCCTACTTGCTGTTGTACATTCTATGGGTTTGAATAAATGTATAATGACATGTGTCTAAAATCCTACTAAAAAATAAATTAGTTATTATAAGTAATCAAATTTTCATATTTTTCTTTGTTTTTGTAGAACATGTAGTTTTTCCTCAGAGGTAAAATAATATTCATTTTGCTGAAAGGATCCATCTGCTCCTGCTTTCACCCCTCCCCCTTCAACTCACACACACTTTTTTCTTTTTTGAAAGTTAAGGAAGAGATGAGATCTTATTGGCTAATTTAAATTTTTTTTCAAAGTTAGGAAATTCCCTATAAAAGATGCTCTGCTTCAGATTTCAGTGGCAAATCAACCATGGGATTAAGTGGATTAGTGTAAAAAGCTTTCTCAAAAAGAAAAAGAAAATCCATTCTTATTTTCTTCTGAGTGAATGTGTCTGTGATTTCAATGGCCCTGACGGTACCAATATGAAACAGCCACCACACAAATGGATGGTAGCAGCTGTACTGTAACACCAGGGCACTCAGTGACTGGACGTCCAGCACAGACCTCTGAAGCTGTCTTGTCTTTATGTGATTCCCTTTACTGCAGGTGGGGGCATGTCCTTTAAACAAAGCTCCATTTCAACATATCAGCAATATTTGAAAGGCAGTGTTATGGTGGAAACAGCTATAGGCTTTTGGATTCAGTTAGATCTGGGTTTGAATTCTGGCTCCAAAAGTTGGCAGGTTCTTTAATTTCCCAGAGACCATTAAAATGACGGAGATATGTGATAAAACCTACCTTCTTGGGTTACTGTGATGCTTAGTAATGAGCTAAAAAAAAAAAAAATGCCAGTATGCCAGTAAATGACTACTGTTATCATCATTGTTGCCAAAACTGCTTCATTAAAGCAACCATCCAACTTTCATTCATTCATGTATTCCTTCTTCATTTGTATTATGTACTTGTGTAGGTGCCCCATATGTGGCACGACGGAGTAGCAATAGCTGTTTTTTTTTTGTTGTTGTTGCAGCTGTCTTCTCCATAATGATTTCACTAAGCAAGGTATCAACATGAAATATTTTAGGTGGTTATAGAAACATAAGTATAGTATATTTTATTTTTAATTTTTTAGAGAGAAATAAGGACCATCTCTAAACGTCAACAGTAAATTTTCTAGAGAAATGAGATTATGCGTGTTTTGTATTTTTTCCTTGTGCTTATTTTCATTTACTAAAAATTTTCAAATGAGTTTAGATGATTCAGAGATAAGACAAAAAACAATATTTATTAAGATTTAAAAAAGTGTTTGGCTAACCATGATGACAAGGGTCATCCTTGCTAACTAATTAGTGGATTCTCCCTTAGATAATTAATTAGTGGATTCTCCCTTAGATAATTAATTAGCGGATTCTCCCTGTGTATAAGGCTTTGCATTACACATTGGGAGACAGAGGGAGGATGAAAAGATAAAACTTGTGCTTAAGAGTCTTTTAACAAAGTTATAAAGAGAGAACCTTCTCATATATTTTCTTGGTTAATATGGTTACAGAATCTAAATGTTACCTCATGAATCAGTTGTATTATTATTTTTGTTGGCTTGCCACATTTAATTTGATCAGATATCCCACTATCTTATCAATTTTTAAAACAATAAAGAATAAAGCTTCAAGTTTAGAAATAAAGGACTATCAAAATAAAGAGAAATGATAATAAATATCTTGCCTAGGAAAACAGTAAACTTATTTTTAAAAATCTTAGAAGAGTTTCTCAAGCTTCACAGTCAAATACCACTTTATTTGCTCTCTTAGGATAAGGAGTTTTAAAAATTATTTCTATTTTAGTTTTTTTCTAATTCTGGCCTACTATACCTCATATTGGCTCTAATTACCCAGATTAATGTGAGCACTAATAGGTTGTCCATTCTAAAAATATTTACCACGTGACTGATAATGTCATTTGCCACATCTTGGTGATTATGGGAGGGAATTCAAAGTAGATGGAAGATGAAATTTTGTCAGAACTCTCCACTGTCACCAAATCTAGGACAAATGGAAACTTGTTCTTTGTATAAACTATCTTTACTATTTTCTATAAGATGTCAAATGTCAATTCTTCTGAGATTACAAATATAAAAACAATATGAATTTAACAATAGCATTTTCTTTGGTATAAACCGATTCATCAGCCAAATTCATAGAATATCTCGGAATACTGAGATGTGTCAAGGGATTGGGATTTCTTGGCAGGGCTGTGGATTATGGAAACAATATATTATAAGTGTGATATTTACCAATAGCCAGAATATTTCTATTTATTCCGTGATAATGGAGACCTGAATGGCAGCTGCTTTGCAGTGCTGCAAAGGTCTCGTAAGTTATGTTTGTAGTTGAGACCTGAGAGGTCTGATAACAGCTTATAATTTTTTCCCAGCATGAAACCCAATTATACTTTAAGGACTTATACAAGCTAAAATAATTATTTCTCTTTCAAACTTGATTCAAATCATTATCACAGCTGTCAGGCTTGAAGTGAAAAACACTGCATGAGGTATTATTTTTTAAAAGAAAAACAAAATGTAATGAATACTATTTACCCCCCAATTCTCTACCTTGAAGAATTTTTTTTTTCCAAAAAGTATCATTCTTATCAACTTAAAGTGATTTTTATCAGGAATTTGATTAGTCAATTTAAAAAAGAGGAAAATGTCTTCTATTGAGTGCATATATGGTTGTGGTTGGTAAAGTTCAGCTGCACTTAAAATAGTCAGCAGATGACCAGTTAAGTCATTCCTGGTAGTCAAATGAGGGCATGTTAGTGGACACCCATATACTTGAGCTCAGGGATGCAGTCAGTAAGGGAGCAGTAAGTGGTGATTCCAACAGTGGGTGCCAGAAAAGCTTGAGGCCCACCTATCACAGTCATTCCATAAATATATTTGGAATTCTCTCCTCTAGGCACCATACTTTATTGGGCATATAGAGCCATTCAGGCAAATCTCTACCCTCAAGAAGCTCACAGCACCAGTGGCACAGTCAGATAATGTCAACACTCTGATAGAGGGTCCTGTAAATCTTGAGTAGGGTGTTCCTAAGGCCCCTGCGTGGTGCTGAAGGTTGTCTGTTTTTCAGAGAGGGTTCTGAGGCTTAGTGAGGCCATATAACCAAAAAATGATGTCCCTGGGATTCGAAGCCCATGTCTTTTCCTCATGCTATGTCAACTCTTCTGGGGCATTGCTGGAGCAATAGAAGATGGAGGCAGTGGGACAGACAATGACTGACAAGATTTGAAGAGATAAAATGGGGGTGACTAAATGTTGAGTGTGACTAAGAGGAACAAGTTTGGATGCCTCCAGGGGTAGAAATCTGGGTCTCACAACTAGGGAGATAGCAGCACTATTTGCTGAGAAAGGGAAACAACGAGTGGGAAACAATGAGTAGGAAACAGTATGCAAGATGATGACCTCAGTTTTGGATCTATTGTGTTACTATTGCTTAAGATTCTATTACTACTGCTATTACAATTCTATTCTGTTTCTATTACTCTTGCTTGTAATTCTGGCTGATTCTAGCACCTTTTTGGAGCTCATAAGAGAGGAGTCTAAACAGGCAAATGGGATTTTGGAAGAGAGGCAGTGGTTGATGCTGTGTGTGAGGATGACATTTCCCAGCAAGGGTGTGGAAAGAGAAGTAATTTGAGGTCAGGATCCTAAGTTACACAGGAGTAGAAAAGGGAAAAGCAGCCAAAAATGGATTAGAGAATAAATGAAATGCAACAGAGATAGAGAACTAAGAGTGTACAGTAGTGTAGAAGTAGGGGTCTGGGCACGGTGGCTCATGCCTGTAATCCCAGCACTTTGGGAGGCCAAGGCAGGAGGATAACCTGAGATCGGGAGTTTGAGACCTGCTGGCGAACACGGTGAAACACCATCTCCACTAAAAATACAAAATTAGCCGGGCATGGTGGTGCACATTTGTAATCCCAGCTACTTGCGAGGCTGAGGCAGGAGAATCACTTGAACCTGGGAGGCGGAGGTTTCAGTGAGTCAAGATCACTCCATAGCACTCCAGCATGGGCAACAGAGTGAGACTCTGTCTCAAAAAAAAAAAAAAAAAAAAAAAAAGGAAGAAGAAGAAGAAGGAGTAGAGGACGATGATTTCAAGAATGATAATAGTTGGTAATAAAGGCTAATAGTTGCGCATTGCATGCCAGGCACTATTCTAAACACTTTACACAATCAACTTCTTTGACATTCACAACAACCCCATGAGGTAGGTGTCATTATTATTATCATTTTATAGCTGTAACTTGACTAGGGTCACACAGTTGGAAGATCACAAAGCTGGAATTTGAACCCAGGCAATTTGACTCAAGAGCCTGTGCATTCCGTTGCATTATAGCAAGTGTTTAATCTATATAATGTCCAAGAAAGCTCCAAGATGTGATAGTCTTTTTATCCTACTGCTATGGTCTGAATGTTTGTGTCCTCCAAAATTCATTTATTGAAACCTAATCTCCAATGCAGTGGTATTGGGTGGTGAGTACATCATGAAGGTAGAGCCCTCAGAAATGGGATTACTGGCCTTATAAAAGAGGACTGAGGAACTTGTTTGTCCCTTCCTCTATGTGAGGATGCATCGAGAAGGTGCCATCTATGAAGCAGAGAGCAAGCCAGACACCAAATCTGCTGGTACTTTGATCTGGAATCTTCCAGCCTCCAGAACTGTAAGCAATAAATTTCTGTTGTTTGTAAATTATCCAGTATATGTTGTTTTTATTATGGTCACCCATATGAATGAGATACCTACTTTTTGCTTTTTGTATATATATATTTTCTTTTTTTTTCTTTTAAGGTTAAACATGAAATTCTTTTAGGTCTTATTTCTCCTATGTAAACTCCTGGGAAAGTGACTTGTTAGAGTGCCCGTTGCTTTAAGGACTGCTCTGCTGTCATTATTCTCCAGATACAAGCTCAAATAGGAGTCCTTAACATGATATCAACAACAAAGGCTTGTTCGATGAATAAATGAATGTCTCTCACTTGGACACCTACTGCAGTGTTTTCAGCGCATTGCATCAGTAACCATACCACATCATACCAAACCATACCACATCATGCTATGCCATGCCATACCATACTATCCCATACCACACCATGCCATGCCATGCCATGCCATACCATGGTAGCTGGTTTCCATGATGTCCATAATGATCTTTTTTTCCTAGTATTCATGCCCTCATAATCTGACCTTCAAGTGTGGGTTTGGCTTATCGTCTTTTTTTAAGTGAATAGACTAAGGCAGAAGAGTTGGTTTATGGCCTGGAGATTTAGCCATGTAAGGCAGTGTGGCATGTCTTTTCTTTCCCTTGGATCAGTCTCTGAGAGAAGTCATGCCGTGAGCTTGTCCTTGGAGATGTACACATAGCAAAGAACTGAAGCCTCCTGCCAGCAACTACCTGGAAGAGCTTGGAAGTGGGTCCTCCAATCCCAATCAAGTCTTCAGAGATTGTAGCCCCAACTGATACTTGATTTAGGAGGACAAACTATGTCATCTGTCCAGAGACATTCCCAGTTTTAGCACTGAAATCCATTTCTGGGAAGATCCTCTGTCATAGGCAAACTGGGATGGTTGGTCACCCTAGCTTGACTGCAACCCGTGATATCTCTCCTGAGCCAGAATCACCCAGCTAAGCTGCTCCCGGATCTATGATTTTCCAGAAACTGTGTGAGATACTAAGTTTTTGTAGTAATTTGCCACTCAGCAATAAATAACTCACACATATTCCATATCACACTGTACCAAGACACTAGATTCTGTCTCTACTAAAAAGGTGTTGAAGAAAGAAAATGTAAAGGGTAGGTTGTAATTTTCTTCACAAATGCTTAGGAGATTTCTGCAGATTCAACTTTCCCATATAGCAGAGCATCTTGCTGTTCTTGCCCCTTCATTTTAATTGCAACTGGGATGGAGAAATGTTACACGAAGCCTTTCTCATTACGATAGTGGGGAGTCATACATGAAAATTAATGCAATTACTGCCCATGAACAACCCCAAATAACACAGAAATCCCTGAAACAAATAAGATATAAAATGCTGATGCTTTTTCTTCTTTCACTCCTGTTTCAGTATAAGTCATGGAGAGCAGTCTGGAGTAATGTTTCATGTTAAGAGTTAGCATTAGGCATCCGTAAGATGTTATATTTGTCACATTTACAGGCATGTTTATAGTTTAGAAAAAAACTCAAAATTTTCTTAATAAGTAAATGAATTTAATGTTCCAAAATGCAGTAATATATTTGACTTCTCAGTATCATTCCCCACCCCCCTTTTTTTCCTGTTTGACCTAAAACATTTATGCATTGTTTTATGTGGGGCTTTGGCTTCCAGTATATAAAATAGTTTTGTGATACTAAACTTTAAAAATATTGTTTAAATATTCTGAATATATAGCTGTTGTAAGAGTGCTACATATGTATTGTGCTACTGCAAAATATTGTATAACTGTATATTATATAATATTTATATAACTCTATAACTTTTCAAGCTCAGATCAAACACAACTTAATCAAAGACAATATAAATACATATTTTTCCATAATTTCATTTTACCAAGAGGGACAAAAATGAACTCTGTACCTATGATTGTCGACTTGTATAAACTTTATTCTATTATGGGAACCTGAATATTTAGAAACTGTTACTTAAAATGGTAATCTTGATGGCTAAGCCAGGAGTCTAATGCTTTGGAGCAAAGACATGGGAGATAAAGAGCAAGTCTGAATCCTTCTGTCATTTGAAGGGACACATGAACCTGGAGAGTTTGGAGGTTAGGTTTCATGAAGGTACTTTGAATGAAATATACCTAGTGGATAAGACAAAATATAAATCTCCAAATGCTAATATTGCAAATTATAAAATAAATCAGTATAGGTGAAACAATGTACTCTATGTCTTACCAGAATGAAATATTTAAATCAATTTTTTGTGAATTTTTTATTTTTAAAGTTCAAATGAAAATTAGTGATGTTTAACATAAACTTTTTTTAAAAAAACCATGTGCAGGTAAAACAGTCGATAAATTCTCTTGTCCATAAAGCTAGACAACGTGCTGATAAAAAGGACTATTCTTCCCCCGCCGGTATTTCCTTGTTCTCCACCATCTCTCAAACAAAGGATGTTAGATTTAGTCATCCACAGATGCTGCTGCATTTCTTCTGTCATTTTTTGAGTTAAAAGCTCAGCCTCTCAATTTTTCCCTTTCTGTTGTTTTTATCCAGTGAGTAGTAATTATTTGACGTATTTTGTTTTTATCTCTTGAAGCCTCTTGGTTTCTTTTTCAGATCTCTTCCCATAGTTCTTCCGTTGTCTGTGCTTCTTTGCTATTGTCTTCCATTGTCTTAAAAAGTATTCACATCCTATACCCTGAAACTTCCAGTTTCCGCACACTTACTCCTTCCCTGTGAAACATACCCATTGTAACCTTCATCACCCCTGACCTGCAGCATCCCAGATGTTTCCTGTGAGACAAATTCCAGGCTCCGACTTGTGAGTTACAGGAAGCAGTGTTCTATTTTTCTAGAGTTTAAAATGCTAAAATAGTGTAAAAATGCACTATGCTATCTCTTGATTATGGAAGGGGATTTTTCTCTTTTTCTCTTTGTGGACTAACTTTCTGTCCATTCACATCACTTGCACTACTCTACTGGAGAAGACATACAGATGAGACACAAAGGTAAAACTTTGTCTGGCTTTTTGGCATCTCCAGTGACAAATTTGGAATGGAAGAACATGAAAATGATAAGGCTGTCTTTGATTGCATCTTCTATTGGAGAAAACTTGTCACAATTTTCCACAATTGAAACTACTTTAATATTCATTTTCCAACATAATTTGTGAGCACATGTAGATCTGGATGTGGTTGAAATTCTTCAAATCTATAATACTTCAAACAAAATCATGAGGCTCAGTAGGAAATAGTGATAAAAATCATTAGTCACAGTCCCCTGCTCAATGGAGAGAAATGACATCATATCTTAGACTGATACATTGCTAAAAGCCCAGTCAGCAGGAAGCCATCCTGCTATTCTACACTCACCCATTCAACACATATTCATGAAAGCCAACAGTATATGGGGCACTATGCTGAAGGCTGAGGATGAGTATTCAGGAAAGAGATACGCAAGGCACTGTGAGGTCATGCAGAACAGATATTTAACTCAGCCTGGGGGGTGGTGGGTGTTACATGTCAAAAAAATCTATAGGAGATTCTCAAAGAATGAGTAGGAGTTAGGCAGGTAAGGTGTGTTGGCCGAGGTGAGGAGAAGACAAGAAGAGATAGGAAGAGAGACAGGCTGTGAGCAAAGAATGAAGGCAAGAAATTGAATGCTGTACGGGAAACTGCAGGCATTTAGAGGTTTCTGAAATATGAAGTATGAGATTCAGAGGTGAAAAATAAAAGGCATGAGACTGAGTGGCAAAAAATAATGGCATAGAAATGGGCAAGGGGCCATGTTCCTTGTCTAGGAGCTTTATTCTGAGTAGTTAGGGAGCTAAAAAGACATAGACATTATAGCTATAACTCTCGTGGCTAGTAGAAGATACAATGGTTCTAAGTGAGACTTTTGAGAAGGTTGCCACAGTGTCTCAAGTCAAGAGCCTTAGTTATGACAGCAGTAGCTGGGGTAATAAGAAGAATAGATTTTATAATTACTTAGAAGTAAAATAACAAAGACTCTGCGATTTGATTGATTACATGCAAGGATTGAGGGAGGTGGTAACATTAATAATGGGATCCTCGTTTCTACTTGAAATATTTGTTTGAATGGCAGTATCATAAACTAGAGAATATAGGAATAGGAACAAACTTAAGGGAGAAATTAATGATTTCAGCTTTGGACACATTGAATTTGAAGTCTTACTGTTTATTCTGGTGCATTTAGTGAGACTGTAGTTTAATGTACAAATCAGCATTTCTAGTGGGAGGTTTGGACCAAGGATTTGAACTTGGAAGCCATTAGTAACTATGTGGTTCTTGAACTACAGGTGTACATAAAACTACAATGTGAGAGAACATAGGGATTGATAAGATAAAGCTGGGCAATATGGGATGGCTGTGCAAAGAAAACAGGGAATAGCTAGACTCATCAAAATTTAAGAAAAACCAGGAGGATGTGGTGGAATAGAAACCAAGTTAGGAGAGTTTTAAGAAGCAGAGGGTGATCAATGTCGGGGACAGGCTGAACTTCTGAGAAATTTGGAGATGGGCATAAGAAATTTAAGTGATAAGACAGAGAGTCAAGACAAAAGAGAAGGGTTTTTAAAATATGTTTATTGGGAGAGTCTTGTATATATTTAAATACCATTGGGGAGAGAAGACACAGAGAAAGGAACGAGACACGGATCCCGTCCTTCAGTGTCTCCTGTATACTGTGTGATCTGGTGGAACATCACAGAGGACAGAAACTCAGAAACCTGGACCTTGACAGAGCAGAATCAGGTTGATCCGGTTTTACCTACCATAGATGACACTGACCCTGTCCTTCAGTGTCTCCTGTATACTGTGTGATCTGGTGGAACTTCACAGAGGATAGAAACTCAGAAACCTGGACCTTGACAGAGCAGAATCAGGTTGATCTGGTTTTACCTACCATAGATACTCACCAATAAAATATGTTGTCTTTCTGGTTAGCATGTTGCTTAGGGGTGAGTTGGGTAATTAATTGGATTAGTGGAAGAGGTATGATCTAACTCAAGTCTATAGAATACATGCTAGGGTCTTGGGAAACAAAGATCATGTAGAGATTTAGAGATTTAGGAAGGAGAGGCCGGGCAGGGTGGCTCATGCCTGTAATCCCAGCACTTTGGGAGGCCGACGCAGGTGGATCACAAGGTCAGGAGTTCAAGACGAGACTGGCCAAGATGGTGAAACCCCATTTCTACTAAAAATACAAAAAAAATTTAGCAGGGAGTGGTGGCAGCTGTAATCCCAACTACTCAGGAGGCTGAGGCAGGAGAATCGCTTGAACTCAGGTGGCAGCGGTTGCAGTGAGCTGAGATTGCTCCATTGCACTCCAGCCTGGACGATAAAGCGAAATTCCCACTCAAAAAAAAAAAAAAGAAAAGGAAAAAAAGGGATTTAGGAAGGAGACTAGGCAAAGGTATTGATAAAATACTAAAAGCTATGTTTATCATGAATGAATTAATTTTAAAACTAAATATGTTGTCTAAAACAACACATTGTGTTAAAATTTTTGAATTAAGCAAACTAGTCTTGCTCTTTACTAACATAGATAATTGAGGGCTACTTCTTTTACTCCATATACTTTCATCTGATTCTCAAAATAAATGTTCAAGCATATGACTTTCTCTGAGCACTACTTTCTTTCCTTTCCTTTATGGAAAGAAAAGGACGTTGATATTTAAAAAAATAATAAGTCTGGACACATTTAGGTGTCAAGCCCAAGCAAGTAGAGCGCAAAGGACATTGGGTAATGGGGAACCCATGTGTAGATAGAGCCTTAAGATAATTTAAAAACAATGGGGCCATATTTTTCTTTGTGCCTAAGACTAATATTTAATGTTTTTTTTTGGTTGTTGCTATGCTATTGAGGCAGGACTTTAAGCCTTTAAGGGTACTCTTTCTGTGTTATTTTTATGCAGGAGTATTACTCTTTACTTGTGGCGGATGTGTTCCTGAAAATTGGTAAATCAAATCTTATTTAAAAGCAGTAAAAAAGTGATTTAAAGAAATCCTATATTAAATCTATTTGTAAATCCAAGAGACATTTTTAAAAGGGTCTGTTTAGGATGTATTCATTTTTGCAAATCAGGTTTTGTCAAATGGGAGTGGAGATACATCCACAGTAGACAAACTTCTGCCGTAGACAGAAATAAGAAAACTTTATCAGAGCTGCTTCCAAATTCACTTCATTTGGTCAAGCCCTGATTATCAGTAATAGGTCCTGAAGATCAGAGCTGAAGTCTGCCAAGCTGTTGGAAGATAAAGAAACCAAGTGTTCCCACGCCATTTGTAAGGTGAATTAAACTTGGGCAAATATAGCTGGAGTATAGATGAGCCTCAAACATAATGGCCTGGAGGTAGATGATAAACAACTAGCACACGGTCAGCCTGAAGCACAGTCATAAGAAGGGCTTTTGGGCAAAGGTTTAGGATGATCCCATAATACAAGGGCAGAGTAGAAAATAGGGATAGGCTTTGCAAACATCAGGATACCTGAAAAAATAACTGATAGAGTTCTTTGATTTCTACCATCTCTAAATTCCACTTTCAATGTGTATCTTAGTGAAGTTGGTCATCATATACTTTAATAGATATTTTGCTAAATTTAATGAGCATAGTTGTACTTCATTTGTCTGTTATTGCCTTTATCCACTCTTCTCTCAGTTGTTTCCAGTTGATCTCCTTTTCTCTGCTTTTATTGTTTGCATTAGTATTGCCTCCTGTCAGACATCATTATGACATGGTTCTTTTTTGAATATGACTTATTTCCTCCTCTGACCTAAAATATACACTTTAAGAGAAATGACACACATCTTTTTTATACATTCATATGTATACTTTTAGCAATACCCTGATCTAGGTGCTCATTTTGACTTCATTTTGAGTTTCCTGTTTTTAAAGAATAATAAAGAGTATTTTTCCCATGCCTTAAAATTAATGAAGGATTTTCTCATCCACTAGCCTCTTTGTTTTCACAACTATCCAAAGAGGAATTTATGTGAATTTTGATTTTCAGAGGAGAAAATGGATGCTCTAGAAGGTCATATAACACTGAGCAGGTAGACCATCAACCCGTAGGTCCTTTGAATGTTCTAGGACCTACATATTTAGGAGAAAAAATACTTCAAGTACTCGTACAAGCATTCTGTTTTTCACTTTCAGTACAGTATTCAATAAATTAAGATATTCAACACTTTATTATAATATGCGCTTTGTGTTAGATGATTGTGCCCAACTTTAGGCTAATGTAAGGGTTCTGAGCACATTTAAAATAGGCTAGGCTAAGCTATGATGTGTTAGGAAATCCTATGAATAGGATATACCTTCAAGTACATTTAGCAAATTCCCATGGTTAGTTTGAGACAGCCCGGAAATTGGGAAAAGAAAGTGACTAAAGGAAGAAAAAAAGCAACAGTAGCAGTACTAGTAGTAGCATCTTAGGCTACTGATCAGATCCCTGGAAAAATGCCTGTTGATTGCAAGACATCAACAATTTCCCAGTCTTTACCAGGAGCTATTTTTAAAGAGTCAGACATCATCAAAGCGTGATAAATAAATAAAGAGTCTGACATTGCAAAGAGGAGAATAAATGTCCTGAGTTTATTTAGACTTGGGCAGGGCAAACGTGGTTCATCCTGGCTTATGTGGCATTTGGCAGCTTTAAGGCTTCTGATTTAATTAACTGTAAGTCTTGCAATTGTGCTTGCACACACACATATATAAACACATATATACAGATGGTTCCAAACTTACAATGGTTCAACTTACAAGTTTTTACTTTATGATGGTGTGAACACATTACATGTTCAGGAGAAAAAATACTTCAAGTACCCATACAAGCATTCTGCTTTTCACTTTCCGTACAGAACTCAATAAATTGAGTAAGATATTCAACCCTTTATTATAATACAGGCTTTGTGTTAGGTGATTGTGCCCAACTTTAGGCTAATGTAAGGGTTCTGAGCACATTTAATATAGGCTATGCTAAGCTATGATGTGTTGTAGGGTAGGTTTATGAAATACATTTTCAACTTATGATATTTGCAACTTACAATGGGTTTATCAGGGAATAATCCCATCGTGAGTTGAGGCGCATCTGTATATAAACACAGGTCTATAGATGAACACATCTATTTAGTGAAAATAAGACTTAGAGATAGTATTGGTTATTTTCAGTCCATTAATTAAGGTTATCTAACAATTACATTATATGTACCTAATTCTCTTCTTCCAAATACTTAATTTAAATATTAATCTCTTACGCTGGATTAATCTAGGTTAAATATTGGTAAAATCATGCACTAATTATATTGCTTGAATTCAATCAATATGAAAATAGCAGAGTAAAAGAAAACCTAGGATATACTTTTCTGGTACATGAAGATTTCCAGTGGAGAAGGAGTGGTATTGTTTAATTAATTATGAAACAAATTCTCAGGAAGTTATTATCTCTTTAACTCCCACTGCCTTGTAACTGTTGATATTGGCCCCAGTTGAGTTGGTTATGAAATACCTGATGTTTACTTCTAGGCTGAAAGTAAATAGCCCATGGCAGCCATGTACTCATTAGTCAACATCCATGAAATAATTGAGGGATGCTGAGGGGCAGTGGGATCTCTTGATTACATCTCCAGGTGTAAAATATCTTTAGCTCTAATTCTAGTGCTGATCTGAAACATAGTTCCAGCTCAAGCAAAACTGAGCTTCATGTCTAGGCACCTCCTCTGGGAAACATTACTGTGTCTAGCATCTCTGCTAAGCCCCCATTGCCAACCATGGAGTTCCAGGCAGGATGACAACACTTTTATCTCCCTAACTTACAAGGGTTGCAAGGAGAGAGCCAACAGACATATAAATTCACAAAATACCCTTCAAAGATGAGGAATTCTGAAAATGAGCAATCAGGTAATAAAAACATCAAGATAAAATTAATAACTTTTCCTTCAAGCATGCACAACAATAGCAGCCTACATAGAAAAATTCCACTTGGATGAAAGATTCCAGGTTTATGTTGTAATTCTTTTATTCTGATCTCTGAAAAGGAAGCTGTGTCTTGGGCTTCCAGTTATTTAACCTGAACACAGGAACTAATAAGTTGTGTTTGCCACAGGACTAGACTAGATTGGCCGATGGACTTTCCGGAACCCCTAAGAAGGATAATAAAAAAACACTATTGCTATAAGCTGTAAGCAGTTAGTAACTAACTTTCAGTTTGTACATACCCTCCTGTACATGGTGCAACTGGAACTTTCATTTTTATTGCTGGAGGAATATAAAATGATAGACCACTTTGAAAGCTGTTTGGCAGTTTCTAATAAAAAGACACTCTATGATTATTTCATTCCACTTTTAGATATACTTCTATCAAAACACTTCTATGAGAACAATCATAGCAGCTTTATTCATAATGGCCCCTAAATGGAAACAACCAAATTAGCCAGAGAGGATATGAACACAGCTCTGTTTCAGTGTCTCGAGGGCCATATTACTTCACGTTTCTTTTGTTCCTTTTTACAATCAGCAATGGTTTTGGATTCAAATATATAATTTCAATACATCAGGAGACAGCACCTTTAGCAAAGTAGCGTCCTCTAGAGGCCATTGAAGTAATGATGAGCACAGAGTATGCACATGGGCATGGTGGCTGTTCAGTATAAGCCTGGGAAAAGTTATATTAGGCCTAGTGGCTTAAGACTTGTTCTAGAACCCATGTGAGACCCTTTCTAGGGCTATCCTCCAAATATATCTATGGGACAGGGAGTTCATTTTAAAGAAGGCTTAAATTCTACATGAAAAAATGAGAGGATGAGTCAGAAACATTGAGTATAAAAATTATTGTTACTTCAGATGTTCTCAAGACTGGTGAGTCTGGGTGCTTTGGGTTATATTGAAAAGAAGGTGGCATGTGTATAATTATATATATGTGTGTGCTACTGGGCCCCAAAGCCAAGGTTTAATGAGTTTGACTAGGTGTGACAATCAATTTTATTGCTATAACCTGTAAGCAGTTAGCAACAAACTTTCAGTTTCTAGGGTTTCAAAATAGCAGAGGTGAGCCTGCCAGGAATTTTGTAAATTCCCATAGAAAGTCCAGCACTGGCTGCCAAGAGATTGAGTCTCCATGGCATCAAATGGCTATGCTCAGTAGAAGGGTGTCCCGAAGTAGAGGAAGACTTTCTTTATAAAGGCTTTGTGATATTCTCTGAGCTATCTAGAATGCCTGTACTGAAAGGTTTCCACTCATGGAGTGGCCTAATAGCACCTTGTCAAGATAAAAACATAAAATCAGAAGCCTTCAAAAAGCCTACTTTCCCATCACTGGAATGGCTGGCAAATAAGAGGTGACACGCACCCATCAGTTCAATTAAACTTTCCAAAGGAAAAGGACAGAGGATTTGCCCGAATATGGGTTTTCTGACTACCAGCTAATAAAGCATATCCAATAAATGAAAATTTAGCTTGGCATCAGTCTGAAAGCATGGGTGACAATTTCTAGGGTATTAGATTCAAAACATAAAAATTACTTATAATAGGAGATATAAGGTCAAACCAGGGAGGCAAGTACTATTTATTTCAATTTACATTTAGAATGTATTCCTGATTCACAAAAGCTATTGTTTTACGGTATATTCTTTCTCAACATAAAAGTAAATTTTATCAAGACAATTGAAAACATGAAAGAAGATAGTCTAATATGGTAGACAGATCATGGATATTGGAGCCAAACAGATCCAGGTTAGAATTTTGCCCTCACCCATTGCTAGTCCCTTTTAATCAGCATGGGTTAGGTTAGGATGTACAGCTGCTAGTTCCCAGTAGGTGACACCAAATGTTTATTTCTCACTCATATTACATGTCTTATTAGGTTGGCTATGGCTTCTCTGTGTCTTCTTTATTCCAGAACCCAAAATGAAGAAGCAGCTTATCTCTTTTTGTGGTTGAGAGCATTGTTGGCCTCAGAGGAGAGAGAGAAAAGGGGGCTCGTAGTGGACAATGTGATTCTGTTCATCACACTGTGTTGATTTTAATAAGGTAGATTAAATTAATGTGTGTTCATCACCTCTTCACTTCTTCAGATTGTCCTCACTGAGAACTCAGCACAAATTTGCCTTATAATCCCCTATTCCCTTACAATATATTATGTGTCCACACATGTGTGTGGACAATGTGTTTCTGTTCATCACTCTAAACAAGCTGCATGGCTAAGCCTGAGTCAATGGGTTAGGATTGTATAGACTTTACATAAGGAGAGACTCACAGAAAATGACAGAGAATATTCTGAATATAATATATTTCAGTAATCTTGGTAAAGTTGCTTCTTTAAATCTCGACATTCTTGAATTGTAAAACAAAGCTAATACTCTCTGATTCATAGAGCAGTCCCCCAGTAAACAGATGTAAATTTTCTGAATTGAATATGCTCTGAACAAATTTAGCTCTTTTTTATTCTGTGGTGTGTGTGTGTGTGGAGGGGGTGGTGGTAATAAGGGTTATGATATTGCATAACTAGGATCACAATGCATATAGGTTTTTTAAAATGTGTGGTTTCTTCGTTTAATAGTATGCTTTACTTTTCTGTCCACTAAACATCATTTTTTGAAGTATGCTTAATATCCTTCTATCATATATCATATATTCATACATATGAAGCTTCTATAGTTGGACATTTCATGAATTACTTAGTCTTGTCCTCCTGATTATTTATGTTGTTCCATTATAGGTTTTTTGTTGTTTTTGTTTTGTTTTGCAATTAATGTAACACAGTACTGAACATCTTTGCATGTGTATATTTGTTTGCATGTGGAATTATTTATTAAGGCTAAGGTTCTAAAAGAATAATTAGGTCAAAGAATGTTTCTTTTTAAAGTACTGGATCTATATTACCAGTTGTTTTTTTATTTTTTTTCTGAAAGTTTTGACTATTTTGACAAACATTTCTTATTTTCTTATTTCCTTTTTTTTTTTTTTTGAGACAGTCGCACTCTGTTGCCAGGTTGCAGTGCAGTGGCACAATCTCGGCTCACTGCAACTCCACCTCCCGGGTTCAAGCAATTCTCCTGTCTCAGCTTCCTGAGTAGCTGGGACTATAGGCACTTGCCACCACGCCCAGGTAATTTTTGTATTTTTAGTAGAGACGGGGTTTCACCATGTTGGCCAGGATGGTCTCAATCTCTTGACCTCGTGATCCGCCCGCCTCGGCCTTCCAAAGTGCTGGGATTACAGGTGTGAGCCACCGTGCCCGGCCACATTTCTTATTTCTTCCCATATGCGTAATAGTAGTGGATGGGGTTAGGAGTAGGTAGGGATGAGGTACTGATGATGTGATGTAAGCATGAACAAAACCCTTAAAGAAGATCTGACCTAGAGAAGAAAAGAAGACAGACAATTAATAAAGGGCGTTGTGGCAAGAATGGAGGGTAGGCTAAAGCTAACAGCAGTCAGATTACTAAATGGAAACAGTAGTATTCTAAAATCCTAGCCCAGAGGGATCATGCCTGGCTTTGTGTGGTGGTTGGTTTGGAGGGCAGGAAACAGACTAGTCCATGGGTTTAGGCATGTGTGGGTCTTTCCCAAGATCACAGAGCTAGTCCAGGACCTAGTATTTGAGTCTGCTGATCTCATAGTAAATGCACTTTGCACCACACTACAGTGCTTCTCAAGTCAAGGCATATTCATGGACATTAAAGAGTCAAAATACCACTCCGGGCATGGTGCAATGAAGTGATGAAATGCATGACACAGGTACGTGCTTCCTGAGGCAATGGCTGTCTACCTAGGCACTCAGAGTCAGATCAGGTGGATTTCAAAACAATTACTGAAAATTAGTTCTTTCTCAGTCCCCATGACTTCCTGCCAGTTGGTTCACTGTCTTCTGCTAACCTTCTCCAAATTATCCCTGTGGGGGTTCTAGTAGGCCACTGTATTCTCAAAACTGATATTTTTCTTGATGTTTGCTTCCCGCTGCCCTCCAACAAGTGTTTTGGATATGCCTTCTCATGCCCAATGAACATTTGGCATTTATTAGTTTTTTTAAATGAGCATTACCTTGCACTAGCACTATTCTAGCTCCTGGAATAGAGCTGTGAGCATAAAGGCAGGAATCTTTTCACAGGGTGTTTACATTTTAGTGAGGAAAGACAGATAAAAATCAGGAAAATTAATAAACACAGTAATTTCAGAGAAGGATATATATTATAAAGATAGTATAGCAGGATGATGTGATAGTGATGGGAGATGGACCATATTTTGGTTGATAGACAAGGAAGGACTTTTTGAGGCTATATCTTTTTTTGATGCTGAGAAAACATTTGCTGAATTAATTTATTACATAAGCCTATTAAATATATCTATAAAATCTGGAAACAGAGGCAAAACGATATAACAGCTGGTTTGTTGATTCTACACAATGATACCGACTAATACAAAATAATGCAATATATAATAAAAATATGCAATATGTAACATGTATCAGTGTGCTGCTTCTCCTTAGCAGTGCATGATTCCATGTATCATACAAAATTGCAATGAATATGGCACATTAAAGCAGAATTTCCATCTATTCCTGCATACAATTAGTATTAGTCTGTGATATTGCCTCCTATGATTTTTTGTTTTTCTTTTCTTTTTTTTAATTTGTATAAATTGAAGGGGTATAAGCAGGGTTTTGTTACATGTATATATTGCACAGTGGTGAAGCCTGACCTTTTGGTGCAAACATTACCTGAATAGTGTACATTGTACCCATTAAGTAATTTCTCATCCCTTACCTTGCTTCTGCCCAGGCCATACCTTTGAGCTGACTGGAACTGCAAGAAAGAACTAACCTTAGGAAGACTGGGATAGAATGTTCTGTACAGTGGAAACAACAAGTAGAAAGGTTCTGAATCAGGAAAAAGGTTGGTGTGTTTAAGAAATAGCAAGAATGGCCAGGCACGGTGGCTCACGCCTATACTCCCAGCACTTTGGGAAGCTGAGGCAGGTGGATCACCTGAGATCAGGAGTTTGAGATCAGCCTGGCAAACATCGCAAAACCCCATCTCTACTAAAAATACAAAAATTAGCTGGGTGTGGTGGCGCATGCCTGTAATCCTAGCTACTTGGGAGGATGAGACAGGAGAATCGCTTGAACCTGGGAGGTGGAGGTTACAGTGAGCCGAGATCATGCCACTGCACTCTAGCCTGGGCGACAGAGCATGACTCTGTCTCAAAAAAAAAAAAAAAAAAAAAAAGAGACCGGGCGCAGTGGCTCATGCCTGTAATGGCAGCACTTTGGGAGGCTGAGTTGGGTGGATCACGAGGAGTTCAAGACCAGCCTGGCCAAGATGGTGAAAACTGTCTCCACTAAAAATACAAAAATTATCTGGCCGTGGTGGCGGGCTCCTGTCATCCCAGCTACTTGGGAGGTTGAGGCAGGAGAATCTCTTGAACCCGGGTGGCAGAGGTTGCAGTGAGCCAAGATCACACCAATGCACTCCAGCCTGTGTGACAGAGCAAGACTCTGACTCCCAAAAAAAAGAATGAAAGAAATAGCAAGAAGGCCTCTGTGGCTGGAAGCTGGTAAGGGACAAAAGATAACCTTAGAAGCACAGGGGCCAGGCCGGGCACGGTGGCTCACGCCTGTAATCCCAGCACTTCGGGAGGCCGAGGCAGGTGGATCACGAGGTCAGGAGATCGAGACCATCCTGGCTAATACGGTGAAACCCCGTCTCTACTAAAAAAATACAAAAAATTAGCTGGGTGTGGTCGTGGGCGCCTGTAGTCCCAGCTACTCGGGAGGCTGAGGCAGGAGAATGGCATGAGCCCAGGAGGCGGAGCTTGCAGTGAGCTGAGATTGTGCCACTGCACTCCAGCCTGGGCAACGGAGCGAGACTCTGCCTCAAAAAAAAAAAAAAAAAAAAAAAAAAGAAACACAGGGGGCAGATCCTATGGGATCAAGTTGGTTATGATAAGGAGTTTCGATTTTATATTCATTTCAATAGGAAGATAATAGAATGCTAAGAAGATCTCCACAAATGTACTTGTTTGAAAAGTAATAATAATGGTAGTAATAATAGCAACAATTCAAAAATAACAGTGGTTTGGATTTTCTCTCACCAGCCCTCACTCTCCTCCAAATGAGATGAGATAGTCATCACAGTGCCAGGGAAGTATAATAATATCAGAAGGGGTGAAACCTGTGCAGAGCCCTGAAGCATTGGCAGAGGCTGGCCTGGTGGCCAGCAAGAGGCTAAAGGTGCCAATTACCAAAAGAGGGAGCCTGGAGATGGAGCAGACTCCTGGAATATGATGATGGAGGAGACTGACTCATTTTTGGGTATTTTATGAGTAGTCTATTGGAACATCCAGGTGGATTTTTCAGCAGACCTTTGGTAGGACAGTCTGACATTATTATAAAGAATTTAAGATAGAACTATAGATTTGGGAGCCCTAAACATACACAGTGCTCAGCATGTACTTTTTTTTGTATGCTGTGAATTGAACATGGTTTAAAAACATTGAGTAAAATTCCTATGAGGCAGTATTTTAGAAGATATTTACAATCTAGGTTGTAGTAACCAACAGAGTATATACTGGCTACTACAACTTGCAAGACTCTCTTTTTTTTGAGACAGAGTCTTGCTCTGTTGCCCAGGCTGGAATGCAGTGTCATGATCTTGGCTCACTGTAACCTCCGCCTCCTGAGTAGTTGGGATTACAGGCATGCACCACCATGCCTGGCAAATTTTTGTATTTCTAGTAGAGACGGGGTTTCACCATATTGGCCAGGCTGGTCTTGAACTACTGGCCTCAAGTGATCCGCCCGCCTCAGCCTCCCAAAGTGCTGGGATTACAGGTGTGAGCCACCGTGCCTGGCCAGGAGCCTTTCTTCTTACCGATTGGACACGAGGCTACAATATTGACAGGGAATATGTTCCTTTCTGTTGGTGTGAGCTCAAATTGCAAATCACACTTTTGGAGGCCAGAAAGTTGTTTCTTAAAAAAAAAAAGAGTGAATATTTTGACTATGTGAACTCAGGTCTGAGACTTTAGGAAAAGAAAACATTCTGAGGTGAAGAAAAGAAAAATGATAGTGATAGTGAAGTTCAGGGGTCAACCAGCAAACGTGAGCTCCCCCATGGAGTTGAACTTTATGCTGCTGACAGTTGGCCGGGCCATTAAAAAGGTGAAGAGGGGATTTTTCTCAGAGTGAAACAGATTGTGTGATGTTTTTGTTCTAATACGTGAAAACAAGCAGAGCTCAGCTATGAGATAGCAATATGATAAAGACAGCTTTGAAAACTTTTGAATGATTTTCCTTTAAATACTATATGCAATGCTACCTTTCTGAAACATTAATTTTTTATACTCTTGAGTGATGTCTCTAGAGTAGTAAATATGTCCCTACATACTGAAAATAACTTTTACTAAATAAATTGGTTTTAAAACCATTTTGTACCATGTTTTGTCTATTTTCTCTCTATAAACTTGTGATTATCCATGATTTCCTTCTCTCTGTTACACTGGCTAAGCTAAAGCTAACAGTGGATATAGTAATCTTAGTTATGGAAATGAATAGAATTACTCAGGGCAACTCTAAAGAGTAGTGGTTCTTAGCCATGGCTGTGCACTAGCATCACCAGTGAGAGATTTATTTTATTTCATTTTATTATTTTATTTTAATACTGATGTCTAAGCCCATCCCAGATCAATGGAATCAAAATCTCTGGGAATGGGGACCAGGAATCAGTACTTTAAAAACAGTCTCTGAAGTCATTCCAATGTGAAATTAGGATTTGAAACTATAAAGTAAGATTGGAACAGAATTGAGGACATGATCCTGAGAAATGTCCAGGAAAAGAGGGAAGAATGAACCCAAATGGAACAAATTCCAGTAGATCTTAAGGCCTGAGAAGAATCCTCTTTGGTTCTGCATCCTGCCTTCTAGGCCCATTGTAGTGGCATCATCACCTTCAGGGCTCTGCAGAGTGGCCCTGCCCCTTTGGCTTGGTGGGGTTCCCCCACCCACAATATTCTCAATACTGGACTGTAAGCAGGGTAATGACATAGATAAATATGTTCCTACAATAGCTTTTTTCCTCCCATAATTAATTGACTCAGGAATCATCTTTGGTAACTACCTGGAACTCTGACATCCTCCAGGGCCCAAATTTTCCATGAAGCAGCTTCCACTTGTCTCCTCTGCCTTGCTTTCTTACCCCCGACCCCACCAATTTGCCACACTCCACCTCAGTCCCCACATGTTTCTCAGTGAATCGAACCTCAGCCCCTCGCAGTCAGGCTCACAACAAAAGTGTTGCTCTCAATGGATTAGAAGGATCTCTTAGCAACTCCTGCCCATGGGGTTGTAAATTTTAATTACCCGCTTCTGGTCACAAGGCTCTCACCTTCCTCATATCACCCAAGGAAGGATTGCAACAGTGCAGCCTTCAAGATGCTCCCTCCTTTAAGATGACTCAGACATTTCAATGTTCTCTGTGAAACATTCTCTGCATCTTCCTGCAGGAGATGCAGGGAGAAGGCCCTCAGCTTCCTCTCCCTCACCCAAAATATGCAGTTGCATTTGCACTCACCGAAGGCCTTTCCCACCTCTCTCAGGAGGAGTGTCCTTCTCTCTGAGGCCAATTTCTTTCCCTATATCCTCTTAGCCCACTCTCTCCTGTCTTCATAGAGAACCCACTTCATCTATTATTTCCTCCCATTTGTGTTTTTCAATCTATATTTCCATGCTCCTTTCTTCTCTGCAAATAAATAAACATCTTCCATCTTAAAATAATGCAATAAAAGCAGCTTGGCTGAGTCTCCTCTTCTGGTGGATTCTATTTATTGTCTCCTCTCCCGCTCATGGTCTAGCTTCATTGCCCATATCTCTGCTTTTCATCCTCAACATCGTTAATTCATCCCTAAATCTTTATTTATTTATTTTGAGGCAAGATCTCACTCTGTCACTCAAGCTGGAGTGGAGTGGTGTGATCTAAGCTCACTGCAGCTTTGAACTCCTGGGCTCAAGCGATCCTCCCACCTCAGCCTCCTGAGTAGCTGAGACAACAGATGCTCCACCATGTCCGGCTAAGTTTTTGTTTTTTTTTTGGAGAGATGGAGTTTTTCTGTGTTTCCCAGGATGGTCTTGAACTCCTGATCTCAAGCGATTCTTCTTCTGCCTTGGCCTACCGAAGTGCTGGGATTACAGGAGTGAGCCACTGCATCCTAAATCCTAAATCATGATTCTAGACACTAATCTGGCTGCTGCTCATATGATCCTTGGAATTCCTCTTACTAAAGTCACTAATGAATCCCTCGTTACTATTTTTAGTGAATGTTGTTCAGGCCTTACTTCTCCCTCAAGTTCTCCCAGTTTATTCCCTTGTGTGAGTGGTTTTCCTTGATCCTCCCTTATATGATGGTTTTTCTCAGAGTTCTGTTCTTAGGTTACCTCCTTTCTCACTGACACCTTTCCAAGTTGATCTTATTTTCTCTGATATCTTCAAAGGACACCTGCGTGTGGAAGCTTCCCAGATCGGCATCTCCAGTTCCTGGCTGTCTTCTGAGTCCAGACTCATGCTCCCACTGAACAACCACCTCTCCAGAGCTTCCATAAGCACCCCCAACCTAGCATGAAAAAAACTGAACTCAGCATCTTCCCCTTCTCTACAACCCTCATGCCTTTACTTCGTCCTGTTGTATTTAGTGAAAGTGCCACCATCCATGTAGTTTCCTCCAACTGGAAACCTGCCAGGAATCCGTGATTTCTCCCTCCCTTACATTTTTCTCCTCAAATTGGTTACCTCAAACCTCAAATCCATCTCCCCTTTATTCCTATTGGTAGTCCCCTTTCGTAAGCCCTTATTACTAAGTCTGTCTGGATAGAAATAGCCTTCTAACCCTCTTTCTTAACTTCAGATTTCCTCACTTTAATGTATCCCATACTGCTAGTGGAGGGAAATTTCTAAAATTCAGCCTGACTGTACCCTTAGCTTTTAGGTAACAGGCAAAAGCCTTTTCAAAGCAAATAAATCCTCTCCTTATCTGGCCCAGCCTCAATTCTTACCACATTCTTCTCTTCCTTTCACATTCTTCTCTCTTTATTCTCCCAACTCATATTTACTTTTCTTCAAAACATTCAGAGCTACTTGACCCAAACTGGCCATGCTTGTTTTTGCATTTGCACTAATACTTTTCCTCTGCCACGCACAGGGATTCTCTCTATGCTCCTCTTCATATGCTTCTGAGCTCCTATGCTACCATGAGAGATGGAACTCACTGCCTTCCCTGATGCCCTGGCACTCCGCACCGGCAACTGTTGTAGGTTCTATCACACACTTACAATTTTTCACATGTCCATCTCCGTCACTAGTATGGGAGATCCTGGAGGAAGAGGCTAAATCTGATTTTCCTCTCTGTCTCCAGAGCTAGGATGACGGCAGTGTTGGGCACAGAGGAGGTGCTGTATGAGTGTGGGAAAGTGCTGCACATCCATGTGGGTTCTAGTAGGGGATGTATTTGACCAGGAGGGGCCTTGAGGTGCTTCTGGGCCCTCCTCTTATTCGGAGGGCTGTGACAACTATGTAGTCTTGGAAAAACTACTTTAAAAATGGTTCTCGTGTTGATCTTGGTTTATATAGAAGATACTAAGAATCTCCCAGTACCAAGTCTTCTAGCACATATTAGAAAATAAATAAATATTTGATTAAAATTAATGAATGAAGAATGTTGTGACTTGAAATATTAGTTCTGTTTTACAATAGCCCTGGCAAGAATGCTTCATTAAAGAATGAAACAGCTGCATTATGCTGGAGTGCAAAGGATCAAAGGAGAAATATATTTATTCAAGGTTTTTCTTTTCCTTTTCATTTCTCTCTCTCTCTTTATTTATTTATTTATTTTTGCTGAGACAGGGTCTTGCTCTGTCACCCAGACTGGAGTGCGGTGGTGCAATCATGGCTCACGGCAGCCTTGACTTCCTGGGCTCAAGTGATCCTCCCACATCAGCCCCACAAGTAGCTGGGAGCACAGATGTGTGCCACTATGCCTGGCTAATTTTTTTTTGTTTGTTTTTTGTAGAGATGGGGTCTCACTATATTGCCCAGGCTGGTCTCTATCCTCCCACCTTGGCCTCCCAAAGTGCTGGGATTACAGGTGTGAGCCACCATGCCCAGCCCCAGGTTTTTGTTATAGTAGAGTTAAAATTTATTTGATGTTGGGAAATTTCCCATCTTACCTGAAGCAATCATTTGCTTAAAATTTTTTTTCAGAGGCGTTCTCATGTTGATCCTAAGTGCATTTTTTTTGTCTGTGTGACTTGTTTGTTTTCTTATATTTGTGGAAAGGAAATATTATGTTTACTTCTTACTTCGGCTTTCTCAGTACTCCCTACAGTACTCAAGAACACGCAACATGCAGAAGTTAACTATTTCTTGACAAATCCCAGAGCACATGCTCACACAGACAAGAAGGAAGTCAGAATGACAAAACAACTTCAGGTAAACATGTCTGTGGTTGAAATTTCATTTCCTTGGAACCCAGGCTTTCTGTGTGGCTAATTTGATCACATCTAAATGAATGAACTTTTAAAAATTAAAATATTGGCTAATCTAAGAGAAACATTTTGAGAAAAATTAAGACTAAAGCTGATTATTGATTCATAAATTTAAGAACTTGATCAAATATAGCAATATACAAAAAAGTGATCACAAAAAAGAGCAGATGTACTACATATGTATTAGACATAATTGATACTGAGTTATTTATCATTATCATATTTTTTAAGATTCTAGAGTTGTTTTGAAGAAAATCAATGACTGAAAACATGTGAAGAATGCTTTTATTCTTATTGTGACTTGGATGTTAGGTGAAAATTTCAGAGTTATGACTAGTTCTCTGAAACTGGCAGAATAAAGATGATATGTGCTGCACATATTAACCATAATTCTCATTAAATGAATACTTCTTTGCATAAAACATTCAAATATTTGGTGATTGTGGTGTTTCTTTGTCTCCGATACTTTAGTATCAGAAAATATGTAGTATGTTTTCTGGATACATATTTCCAAACCAAGATCTCTCGGCATGGAGATATGTAAAATTATTGATTATCATTAAATAATATTGATCAAAAGAAAACAGACACATCCAAGACTGGAAAGTGGAAAAAGGTAAAGACAATAAAAATTCTAAAAATATAAATTCATGAGCCCCATTAAATACCATAAAAGTGGGCCCAGGAATCTATATTTTTATGAGCTTTCCAGGTAATGCTGAAGCATGACCAGGTTTTGGAAGCATAGGCAAGAACCCAGCTCTTTGTCTAGAATTAATTTCAGCATCTGCCAGGATCCTTTACAGCACCAGGTATGGGTTCTAAACGACGTCCCTGGCCAGCAACAAGGGAGAAGGGAGCAGGTGTTTCCCTCTTCCTTCCCTCATATGATGATAAATGAGTCTGCAGTAGGTAAGCATTAGCCGGCTGTACCACCTAGCTTGCCCCACTTGGAAATGTCAGCTGGCAGCTGGTGGGAAACATGGAAATTCTTTTAATGTAATTTATTATTTCAGAGTTGAGGAAATATTTATAGAGATATTAAGTTACTTGGCAAGGTCACACAGATAGTTCTGGTAAGATTTGGAAATAGAACTCAGGTCTCCTGAGACCTTATCCAGTGCTTTTCTCATTAAAAAAAAAAAGGCTCTTTGCAATCAAACTTTACCCTAATTTTCCAGCCTCATTTCCTATCACTTAACTCTGAATACATTGTTAACTTTTCCTCAGAACGCCGGGCACTTCATTATATAGTTGTAATGGCAGCCCACAGCCCCTTCTTTCTTTTGGTAAAAGGCTTTGACTTTTCCTTATGAAGCCATTTATCTTGGTTTGAGTGAGAGTCACCCCAGTCCCTGACCTGATGAACAAGGCATGACCCAAACCAGGATGTGTGAAGACTGAATGAATAGTTCAGGGAGGCCATGGACTCATCTAGGCCAGTGAGTCAGTCAAGGCATTTTGTTGGAACCACTGGGATAGAGGCATTTTTTTTTTTTTTTTTCCATCATGGTCCTTGTGGGCAGAAGGTAACCTGTTCTTGCTGGAGGCCAGATTTGGCAGCAGTTGGGGAGAACATATCAGAGATTAAAGCCATTACAGAAGAAAAAGTCATGTTGAGAAGAGACACTGATTTCTGTTGTCACCACTAGAGTATCTGAATCCAGTTACACCGTTTTCGGAACTATTCCTGAATTTTTCAGTTAATGCACGCAATAAATTGACTTACAGCTTAAGCCAATTTGATTGAATTTTTATTATTTGCAGATGAAAGAGATCTTTAGTAAAATGCTTGATTCTGTCACTTTGCAGCCTCTCTACCATTGCATGATAATACCAATTCTCTATTTTTCCTCCTAGGAAGCTATCTGCTAGAAAAACAATAAAAGAGTTACTTGACTTGTTATGTTTATTATTCATGAAAACCAATTGCTTGGTTATGAATAGACCTTTCCTGAGGACCATTAAGTTAAGCATGTGGGAAATTGATTTTTAACTGCTATAACACTGGCATAGGCTCCTGAAATGTCACTGAACAAACAAGAATTTTTGCCTTTGTGGAGTTTAACTTTTTATGCTGAAGGAGATCATTGAAAAAACACCATGAAATAGGCCAGGCGCGGTGGCTAAAGCCTGTAATCTCAGCACTTTGGGAAGACAAGGTGGGGGGATCACTTGAGGTCAGGAGTTTGAGACCAGCCTGTCCAACATGGGGAAACCCCGTATCTACTAAAATTACAAAAATTAGCCAGGTATGGTGGCATGCACCTGTAATCCCAGCTCCTTGGAAGGCTGAGGCAGGAGAATTGCTTGAACCTGGAAGGCAGAGCTGAGATCTCACCACTGTGGTCAAGCCTGGGAGACAGAGTGAGACTTCATCTAAAAAAAAAAAGAAAGAGAAATAAAAAAACCCATGAGTAACTAAGCATTGAATTTATTCTGTGGGTTAGAAGATGAAATGAGCTATGTTAAACAAAACAAAACATAACAAAACAAAAACAAAACAGGCAGGTTTCAGGCTCCAGGCTGGTCCCCACAGTCCTAGGTTGCAGTGAACCCAGAGTCCAAACCTGCTTTAGTGGATCCAGGGTCCAACCCTTCCAATGTTTACTCTGGTGCCTGAGATTTCCAGGACTGCCTCAGTAGATCCAGGATCCAGGCTGGCACTCATGGTCCCAAGACCCAAGCCTGCCCCCAAAGACTCAGGCTCCTGGCTGGTTCCTGAGAATCCAGGTGCCAGGCCCATCTCAGTGCCAGGCAAGTCCTTGTGAAATCAAGCTTGAAGCTTACACCAGCACTAGCTTGGCCCTCATGAATATAAGCCCTAGGCCCACCCCATAGACCCAGGCTCCTGGCCTGCTCCCATAGACCCAATCAACATGTCTACCTTAGTGGATCCTGGCACAAGGCCAGCCCCCATGTACCCAGGATCCAGGCCCAGTATTTCAAAATCAGGTTCCAGGCTGGCTTCTGTGGACGCAGGCACCAAGCCTGCACAGCTGCTGACCTAGTCACCAGGCCAGCCTGCCTGAGGACTTGAGCAGCAAGATCTCTCACAGATCCTGTCAGAGGGCACACAGAATCTCAGCCAGCTGACTGTTAAGGGCTTTCTCTAATGAAGCCAATCTATAAGGACTGGAATAGATGGCTACTTCTTCAAATGCATAGACACCAACACATGGCCACAAAGATCGTGAGCAATCAGGGAAACTTGACACTATCAAAGAAATAAAATAAACCATCAGTAACTGACCATAGAGAAATAGAGATTTGCAAACCACCTGAGAAAGAATTGAAAATAATCATCTTAAAGAAGTTCAGTAAGCTACAAGAGAACACAGACAACTAAATACGATCTGGAAAATAACACATGAGGAAACTGAGAAGTTCAACAAAGAGATAGAAACCATAAAAAGAACCAAATAGATATTCTAGAGCTAAGGATACAAAGACTTAACTAAACCATTCTATTGAGAGCATCCACAGCAGATTCAATTACACAGAAGAAAATAATGAGAGCTCAAACACAGGTCATTTGAAATTACCCTGTTAGTGAAGAAAAAATAATTAAAAATAGTGAAGAAAGCCTATAGGAATTATGGAGCAACATCAAGTGAACCAACATACACATTATGGGATTTCCAGAAGGTGTAGAGAAAGTAGAAGAAAGTTTATTTAAAGAAATAATGGCAGAGAACTTCCAAGATCTGGAGAGGAAAATGAACATTCAGGTCCATGAACTAAAAAGACCCCCAAATAGATTAAATATAATAATCAAAACAGTATAGTACTGGCATAAAAGCAGGCATATATTCCAATGGAACATAACAGAGAGCTTTGTTGTGCAGAGAAATAAATCCAAACATTTGTTGTTAAATGATCCAAGACAAAAGTGCCAAGAATACACAATGTGGAAAGGACAATCTCTTCAATAAATTATGTTAGGAAAATTGGATATTCACATTCAGGAGAAAGAAATTGAACCCTTGTTTTACCACTCATACAAAAATCACTCAAAATGAATTAAAGACTTAAACATAAGACATGAAATTGTAAAACTACTGGAAAAAATACAGGAAAAAAAGCTTTTTGATATTGGGCTGGGTAATAAATTTTGGGTATGACTCCCAAAGCACAGATAACAAAAACAAAAATAGATAAATGGAATTGCTTCAAACTGAAAAGTTTCTGTGTAGCAAAGGGAATAATCAACAGAGTGAAGAGCTAACCTATGGAATGGGAGAAAATATTTTTAAAACATACATCTAATAAGTTATATGAAAAGCTCAAACAACTCAACGACAAGAAAATAAATAACCTCCAATTTAAAAAGTGGACAAATGATCTGAATAGAAATTTCTCAAAAGATACACACAAATGACCAACAGATATATTTTTAATGCTCAATATCATTAATCATTAGAGAAATGCAAATTAAAACCACAATGGTCTATCACCTCACAACTGTTAGAATGGCTACTACCAAAAATATGAATAACTAGTGTTGGAGAGGATGTGGAGAAAAGGGAACACTTGTACAGTGTTGATGGGAATGTAAATTAGTACAGCCAGTATGGAAGCAGTATGGAGGTTTCTCAAAAATTAAAAATTGAACTATTATATGATCTGCTTCTGGGTACGTATCAAAAAAATGAAATCAGTATATTGAAGAGGTATCTGCACTGCCATGTTTTTTACAGCAATATTCACAATAGCTAAGATATGGAATCAACCTAAATGTCCATTAAAGGGTGAATTAATAAAGAAAATTTAATATACACCCATACACACACAGACACACACACACACAGCAAAATGCTATTGAGCCTTCGCAAAAAAGATTAATTCTGTCATTTGCAACAACAAGAATAAACCTGGAGGACAGTATATTAAACTAAATAAGCCAGGTACAGAAAGACCAATACTGCTTGATCTCACTTACTATGTGGAATCTAAGAAAGTCAAACTCATAGAATCAGAGTAGAATGGTGGTTCCCTGGAGCTGGGGGGTGGTTTGGGCCTGGGGTAGATGTTGGTAAAAGGGTTTAAAGTTTCAGTTAAATAGGACAAATATGTTCTAGAGGTCTATTGTACAATACAGTAAGTATAATTAATAGTAATGTATTATATACTTTAAAAAATGATTAAAAATAAAGACATTATTTAAACAGTGATGAAAGAGAAATTACTGAAATATTATTACTATTTTGAGAAAGAGTCTCACACTCTTGCCCAAGCTGGAGTGCAGTGGCACTATCTCGGCTCACTGCAAGCTCTGCCTCCCGGGTTCATGCCATTCTCCCGCCTCAGCCTCCTGAGTAGCTGGGACTACAGGCGCCCACCACCATGCCAGGCTAATTTTTTATATTTTTAGTATAGATGGGTTTTCACCGTGTTAGCCAGGATGGTCTCTATCTCCTGACCTCGTGATCTGCCCCCTTGGCCTTCCAAAGTGCTGGGATTAGAGGTGTGAGCCACTGTGCCTGGCCTATTGAAGTATTATTGAATGAATTTACATATCACAAAACTAAATAATAATTACACAGTAGCCTCATAAAAATAGTATTATGGAAAAAGTCATTACAGTTAAAGGTCAACAGACAATAAAGAAATTAAATAAGCTATAGTGTACATGAAAATGATTTGTAAAACTAAAACATATAAGGAAATATTACTAAAGTTGTATTTTTCCAGGATTGCCTTTTTATGTAAGTCTGATTTTCTTAGAGCTTAAGCTGTTTAATATTCACTTCTAATCTTTCTGTTTGTATATGTATTATGTAATGGCTAATAAAAAAATAAAACACATGCTAATTTCTAAAAGCAACAACAAAGTAATAGAACGGGGTATTGAAAATGTTGGGGGTGCAGAGGATTATAATTTAAAATAGGCCTAACTAGCAAAATAACAACTGAGCAAAGACTTAGTGGTAAGGGAGTTATGCAAATGGTCACCTAGGGAGAATGTTTTAGGGTTTCCGAACAACCAGTGTCAAGGGCAAAAGGGATTGTGCCTGTATTCCTGGAACAGCAAGGAGGCTCCTATAGCTGCTAGTGTAGAGCTAACAATGGAGAGAGAAAGATCACAGGAGTCAGATCACATATCGTTTACAGACAACAGTTAAGTACATTGTCTTTAACCAGTAAAATGTAAAATGAAGAGCAAGTGAGGTTTATTTTATTTTATTTTAGCAGAGGAGTGACACAATCTGATTTGCATTTAAAAAATGCCTCTGACTGGATGTGGAGAAATAGGAACACTTCTACACTGTTGGTGGGAGTGTAAATTAGTTCAACCATTGTGGAAGGCAGTGAGGCAATTCCTCAAGGATCTAGAACTAGAAGTACCATTTGACCCAGCCATCCCATTACTGGGTATATACACAAAGGATTATAAATCATGCTACTATAAAGACACATGCACATGCATGTTTATTGCAGCACTGTTCACAATAGCAAAGACTTGGAACCAACCCAAATGTCCATCAATGATAGACTGGGTTAAGAAAATGTGGCACATATACACCATGGAATACTATGCAGCCATAAAAAAGGATGAGTTCATGTCCTTTGCAGGGACATGGATGAAGCTGGAAACCATCATTCTCAGCAAACTATCACAAGGACATAAAACCAAACACCGCATGTTCTCACTCATAGGTGGGAATTGAACAATGATATCACTTGGACACAGGGCAGGGAACATCACACACCAGGGCCTGTTGTGGGGTGGGGGGCTGGGGGAGGGATAGCATTAGGAGAAATACCTAATGTAAATGATGAGTTGATGAGTGCAGCAAACCAACTGGCACATGTATACCTATGTCTCAAACCTGCATGTTGTGCACATGTACCCTGGAACTTAAAGTATATATATATATAAATTCCTACAAGAAAAAAAATGCTTCTGAGTGCAGTGTTGAGATAGACTAGGGATAAGGGTGGAAATAGAGAGGCAAATTAGAAGGTTACAGCAGATAATGGCTGCAGGTGTTTGGCTCCACTCACCCATTCTAAACTCTCCTCTTTACCAAGGAGCTGGAAGCTTGCAAACTACTATGCCCAGATTCTTTTGCCAACTGGTTTCCAGATAGGATCTGCCAATGGAAAAACGTGATGGAACAATATAAATTCAAGAAAGGGAGAAGCCATTTGTCTTGCATCTGGTGGTACCTCCAGTTGTGCTGGTGGTAGGAATAGCAACTACCTGAGCATCTAGAGGATTGGAAACCACCAAGTGATATGGAGAGAAGTGCAAATGGAATGTCTTTGGACCAGAAGGGGGGTTGTGCATGGGGAGAAGGTAGGAATTCAAGTTTGGAAGTGTTAAGTTTGAGATGACTGTTGGATATCCAAGTAGGGATGTCAGTAAGTACTGGATAGTCTAGAATTCAGGAGTGATGTTAGGCTGCAGGTATACCTTTGAAGTTAGTGATGTCATTTAAAGCCATGAGAGTGAGTGAAATCATTGAAGAAAAAAGAACTCCACCACTCAAATCCTGAGGACCCCTGACATTCGAAACTCAGGGAGAAAAGGAACCAGCAAAAGAGCTTGAAAAGAGTGAACAATGAGGTAAGAAGTAGACCATCAAACAAGAGTCAGTGATTAACCTTGTCAAATCAGTGGATGAGTCAAATATGATAAGGACTGAGAATTGACAGCTGTATTTAGCAATGGAGGTTATGGGTAGCCTTGACAAAAGCAATTTTTATACAGAGTGAAAGAGAATGTGAGAGTAAAAATCCTGGCAATAGTTTATTAATTCACTAATTTATTAAAAAATACTCAGCATCTGCTTTGTGCCAAGCACTGGGGATTTGAGGTGCATAAAAAAGACATTACCCCTGTCCTCTTGTAGCTTAGGATATTTTACTATAATAATAGGCTGTGATTTCATACAGGGATAAACTTCAAAACACTTATGTGTGTGCGTGCACATACACATGCACACACTTGAAAAAATAAAGCAAGAAAGAAATACATAGGCTAAAGAAAGTTTGTTGTGAGGGCTGTAGGATACACTAGAGAAGGCACTGCCTCTATGAGCTAGAACTTGTTAAATGCTGTTTATATTTATCTTAAGAGTTGAAGCATCTGGCATCTTTAAAAAGGGAATATTGAGTCTCTTCTTGTTTTTATTTGGAGAAGTAGTTGACCAGGTGCCATAATTTGATTTTAATCTGATTTTATCTCTGTAGTGCTTAGATAGTTTAATTGCTGGTTTGATCAGAATATGAATTGTCAGAAAAATAACACGTTGCATTCTTGTAGGCAGAATTGTTTCCATGGTTCTCTCTCCTGAATACAAGGGGTTACTCATGGCTCTCCAGGGACTAGGACATGCAAAACAGTATTTTGTTCATCTAAATATTGTTTGATAGAAATCATGTAAAGCAATATCTGAAACCCTAATATTTTCTTGGATAAGTTTTGGCATGAAGTTCTGTGCAAATTAAAACAATTGAAATTGAAACAAAATGTAAGTGGTAGATACTCTAATGTGTTTCATTTTAATTTGGTCCCTAAATGTAAGAAATAAGAGCCCTCATAAAGTACAGAAAAACTTTATTCTCATATGTATTTTGAGACAGATGCCCAGGCTGGAGTGCAGTGGCATGATCTCGGCTCACTGCAACCTCCGCCTCCTGGTTCAAGCTATTCTCCTACTTCAGCCTTCTGAGTAGCTGGGATTACAGTTGTGCACCACCATGCCTGGCTAATTTTTGTATTTTTTCTAGAGATTGGGTTTTGCTATGTTGTCCAGGGTGGTCTCAAACTCCTGACCTCAAGTGATCCACCTGCCTCATCTTCCCAAAGTGCTGGGATTACATGTGTGAGCCACCATGCCTGGCCTCACAGATATATTTATTTTTATTTACTTATTTACATTTTACTTTTTTAAAAAAATTATACTTTAAGTTCTAGGGTACATATGCACAATATGCAGGTTTGTTACATATGTATACATGTGCCATGTTGGTGTGCTGCACCCATTAACTCCATTTACATTAGGTATATCTCCTAATGCTATCCCTCCCTGCTCCCCCAACCCCACAACAGGCCCCAGTGTGTGATGTTCCCCTTCCTGCGTCCAAGTGTTCTCATTATTCAATTCCCACCTATGAGTGACAACATGCAGTGTTTGGTTTTCTGTCCTTGTGATAGTTTGCTGAGAATGATGGTTTCCAGCTTTATCCATGTCCCTGCAAAGGACATGAACTCATCCTTTTTTATGGCTGCATAGTATTCCATGGTGTATATGTGTCACATTTTCTTAATCCAGTCTATCACTGATGGACATTTGGGTTGGTTCCAAGTCTTTGCTATTGTGAACAGTGCTGCAATAAACATGCGTGTGCATGTGTCTTTATAGTAGCATGATTTATAATCCTTTGGGTATATACCCAGCAATAGGATGGCTAGGTCAAATGGTACTTCTAGTTCTAGATCTTTGAGGAATCGTCACACTGTCTTCCACAATGGTTGAACTAGTTTACCATCCAACCAACAGTGTAAAAGTGTTCCTATTTCTCCACATCCTCTCCAGTACCTGTTGTTTGCTGACTTTTTAATGATCACCATTCTAACTGTTGTGAGATGGTATCTCATTGTGGTTTTGATTTGCATTTCTCTGATGGCCAGTGATGATGAGCATTTTTTCATGTGTCTGTTGGCTACATAAATGTCTTCTTTTGAGAAGTGTCTGTTCATATCTTTCGCCCACTTTTTGATGGGGCACAAATATATTTAAAGTGCATCAATATTTTGAATTTTCTATATGCAAACAGGTAATCTTATAAAGACACTATTAATAACTTATAAAAAATGCTCTTAGGCCATTATGAAGTCACATTATAATAAAGCTCTTGTATTTTGTTAATTCAGGTAATGAGGTCATCCTGCAGAGAACTCCCTTGATAAGCATTGACATAACCCATTTTGAACTCAGTCTAGGAGTTTTATTAACTAGTAGATGAATACAACTTACTCCCACATTCACAATCTGAAGCAAAATGATTTGTATTACACATGTGGGCATTTCAAGAAGAGATTTCCTCACCAGAAACGTTTTATCAGGCAATAGGGGAATAAATGAGAAACTATGGCATGATTCCTTAAAAAGAAGCAATTAAATATTTTGAAAACTGTCTATAATCAAAATGATTAATTCTATTATGTTACATATCTAGAATAAAATATAAGCTCCAAGTGGTAACAACACAAAAATTACTTGATGAAATCAGAAAACCCCAAACTTCATGGCCTTGTTTTGGCTCAGATGACTTGAAATAACCAGAGACATAGCCCCAAGCAGTCAAGGTATTTGCCATGTTTTCTTAGATTTCAGTAATTGAGGCTATAGAATTAGTGGCTGAAATGAATATTTCTTAATTTTTGTTTGTTTGCTTGTTTGAGCTCTATTGACTTTTCTATTGGGAATTGTTTTATTTTTTTCCTCTCTATTCTTTTTTTTTTAAATTAAACCCAATCAAACTTACAGCATCCCCCTCTATTCTTGAATGAATAAGAAAAGTTGTTTCCAAGAGTATCAGGCATTAATTTGAACTCATTTCTGTCCTTACATGTAACCCCAATCCAGACAGTTTATTAGCTAATGAGATGTAACATTATTCCATTTGTCAAGATTAGATTTGTGGGGAAAATTGCAGAAATAACCTCCTTCTTCACTCTTTGCATCAACGTGGTGATTAACTCATGCTTGGCAAGGTGTTCTGCAAAGCCAGAAGCCCTCTCAGGCTGGGAAATGGCTCTGAACTCATATCCATGGGTGTGCACTTTGCTGACAGGATGAATGTAAACCAGGATTTGAAAAGGTCTTTTCATTATTTAAGTAGGAGAGAATGATTTTCACCAATTATATTTGACTGCCTAGAAAGCATAGTATATTCTTTTTTTTATAATAAACACTGTGAGAGCAGTTTCCAAATTTTATTTCTCAAAATCAAGGGGTTCCCACAAAGTGAGATGGGGACAGGGAGAGGGGAGGGTCAGATGCATATTCTGACAGCTTACTTCCTAATTTCCAGCCTAGTTGCTCTGCTTTTAGCTCTTTTTAAATAGCAACATGTTACATTTGAAAACAACGCTATAAAGTGGACTTGCTGCTTTAAAAATTAATTTGCTACCTGAAGAAGAAAAGTTGTACGGTATAAGGAGCAGCAGGGTGAGGAGAGAATCTGAATCCAGATGTGGTAGAATCTGCTAATTGTTCTAAACTTCTTTTTAGTAATTAACCTTGATCTTCCAGCTCCCCTTCAATTTTAGCTGGCCACAGGCCATCCAGCTAGAAGCTGTATTTCCCAGCCTTCCTTGAGGTGGTCCTGAGTCATATAACTAAGTCCTGATCAGTAAAGTGTGAGCAGAAGTGGCGATTGTATATTCTGTATCCCTTCTCAAAAAAAGGAAGCTACACCTGCCCTCCATATCCCAATTGCTGGCACTGCCACCTTAGTCCCTAAGATGGAAGCCGTAAGTTGAGGATGTCAGAGCTATCTCACCAGACTGTAACAGCTCCTTTTGAACAAGCATGTGAGTGAAAAATAAAATTCCATGTTGTTGAACCTTTGGATTTTGGGTTTTTGCTTTTTTTTTTCTTTTTTAAACAGCATCTCAGCTTTTATCCAAAGTAATGTAACAAAGGCCATGCAATGAAGTTGTGAAGTCTGTTTCATTGGAAAGGCTGACTTAATGGAATTTAATCTTCAATGTAATTGAGTTTAATCTCATGTTTACCTCGAAATAACATGGTATAAATGTATATCACCTCGATCAGTGCTGTATAGGCTAAAGTGGACAGATTCCAATCTTTATTGTCCTTATTATTTGAGATGGCACGAAGTAGAGCAGGATTAAAGGTATAAACGTAGCTATACAAACAAATGGGCAGAAATTAGGAAGTGGAGGTAGTATTATGACATCCATGCCTAGTAGTTAGTGCCTTACAGGGGAAAGCATGAAAAGAAGAGCCATTTCAGTAAAGAAGCAGCTAGGCAGAATTTTCTCATCATTTACCATTTTGTACTTTTGCTGTCTCTTTCCTATAAGCAACTTCTGAGGCTTTACAAAGAACCAACAGTTATCCTACCTACACTGGAGGCTTCTCATGCTTAACTGCTTCCCCAGCATCTACCTATGATCTCTTATCCAAGGTTTTCTCAATGCTTATGGTAAACCTATCCTCAGATATCCTATAATCATCTCAAACTGAACACATTAAAACCCAAGCTCTCGTTCTCCTCATAGAGGTTGCTTGCCCTGTCTGTTGTCTGCTTATCAATTACATTATTTTGGTCTGCCTCTGAGATTCCCTTTGACTTTTTTTTTCTCCTTCATCTGTCTAGCCAATGTCAACATTTCCTTATTTTCTTCCTTTAAACTCATTTTTAGATTCAATAATTGCTCTTTGTTTTCATGGCCAACCCCTTGGTTGAAAACCAAAGCATATCCAATCCTGGACAGAGCTCACAATCTTCTATTTGGTCCAACAAACGTGGTCACAAACAAATTCTATTTCCCCTCACTGTCAAGATCAGAGAAATGCTGTTAGCATTTCATTTGCTTCCTCAAGAATACATAATGTGTGGCTCCCATTTGGCTGTTGCCTATAGCCCATATTTGCCTTCCTTGACAGACTTTCCATGATAAGATCCTAATGAAATGTGGTCTAGGGTAGTGGTTAAGAACAGAAGCTTTAATGTCATACAGGCTTGGCATTAAATTCTAGCTTTACTACTACAGGCTCTTGTATGGCCATTTTAAGTCTCAATATATTATCTGTGAAATGATGCTAATGCTTCCTTGATAAGGCTTTTCGAGGCATACAAAGCAGGAGGCCATCTGTAACATGTAGAAAAGTACACAGCACACAGTAGGCACTCAATTCATGTGCTTACTGTTATCTTCCAGCCAGCATTTCCTCTGCTCCCATCCTCTGCCTTACATCTCTTGTTCTCATGGACAGCATCCTCCCTTTTCTTTACTTGGCACTTGTAGTGGCTTCCATTCTTAATTCCCATTTAAGGTCCTACTTCCCTCACATAGTCTTCTCGGAGTCCCCTCATTTCTCTAAGGTTGAATATGTTTTCATTTATTGTCTCTAGCTACAAGGGGGCAGAAATCATTCTTATGATTCTTCTCCATTCTCTCCAGCACCTGGCAAGTTTTGGTCACATATAATCTGCTCAACATCTATTAATGGAAGTATTTAAAATAGATGGCTTTGCAAACATTATAACAAACTTTTCAAATTTACTATTTTAAGAAAAATTTTGGAACTCATGCCCTCAGGTGGCTGTGATATTGTTATGACCTCCCTTTGCCCCTTCCTTACAATATTTCCTGTGTGACATGACTCAAGAGTGATTCATCACGTGATGGTGAAACAGCTAAGCTAAGAGAGGAGCTTGAGTACTACAGGGAGAAGAGGTCAGTGGGGAGAAGAAATGAAGCAAAATTGAGAGAGAAAATGGAGATAAGGAAAAGGATACGAAGACTTATTGAGCAAACATCAGACACTACACTGAATCCTTGATATCGTCATTAAATTCCAATAATAAGCCTGAGAGGCAGGCATTATCACTATATCAAGAAGTCTTCAATAAGTGAAATATAACACACATATGAAAGTGTGTATTAAATATAAAGTCTGTATTGTGAAGGAACACTTGTTGAGCCACCGTTGATCCAGACATGCAGTGCTCCCAGGAGCCTCCGAGAATCTCTTGATTCTAGTTCAAGGCCTGATGTTCTCTGGACCACCCGGAACACTGCAGATCTGTGGGAGAGCTGGGTAACTTCCAAGCTTTCTTGCCCAGAGGCTATGAGGTTTCAGGTTAACTGGGTGCTATGGACTGAATTATATCTCCCCTCTCCTTCCCCATCAATTCATAAGTTGAACCCCTAACCTTCACTGTGACTGTATTTGGTGTAAGGATGTAATTAAGATCATAAGGGTGGGACACCAATCTGATAGGATTACTGCCCCTAATCCTATCATAAAGAGCTCTCTCTCTCTCTCTCTGCCATGTGAAAACACAGCAAGAAGGCAACCACATACAAGCAAGAAAGAGGGCCCTCAACAGAAACTAAATCCTATCAGGACTTTGATCTTGGACTTCCAGCCCCCTAGAACTGTAAGAAATCAATTTCTGTTATTCAAGCCTCCCAGTCTGTGATACTTGGTTATGGCAGTCTGAGCTGACTAATACACTGAGGATGGTTTATCAGAGTCCCCACCTTTGATACACCTTGGGATTAAAGTTTTCACTTTCTAGCCTCTAAATCTGCCAAAAACTCAACTCAGTTTTGTCACAGTTTTATTTTTAATAAATCAGAAGATGACTTCAGAGCAAAAGTAGCTTTGAGTCCTGGCCTTACTCTCTAGGATCTCATCTTCCAGATTTTCACCCAATAATTCCTCAGTATCTCATTATCTCTTAGATGCTTTTAAGATAAAAATATTATTATCATTTTAAATATTTTGTCTGACTGCTTGTTCTCAATAGGAGTGTAGGTCTGAATTACTTAGACTGTAATTATAAGAAGGAAGCTTGTCATTGCATTTTGCAGATAAAGATGGAGCATTTGGTCATCACTTCTGCAGATAAAGAAATTGAAGTTCAAAGAGATGTCCATCCAGTAGATCTTATTCCAATTTGATCTACTTTGGAATTTTTTTCTCATTCTGTTTTGTTACATAGACTGACAAATGAATTTGGTGGAATTTGGCTATAAGGTTAATGTATTCAGTAAAAATGATAGAAATCAATTTCTTTTCTGCCTTCTTAGTTATCTGCCTTTTCTTCCTTTTTTTTTTTAAGATTTCTTGGTTTTAGCCTTGGTTCAAAACCCCTCCTATAACAGCATTAGTTAATAAAAAAAAAAAAAAAAGAAAGAAGATTAATGAAGGCTGCTGGCGTTACTCACTATACATTGCACATGAAAGAAAACTGGGTTTTTAAAAATCATGTACCCAGGTGGTAAATTATGTAGTTATCTCTAAAGGAGCACTTAGCCAATGTGATCTCATTAATCCTCACAACACAGTCTCGATGTCTCTATTTTGTAATTGTTGCAATTTACCAGTAGGAAGTAAATAACTTGACTAGAATCTTGATTTTAGAAACTCTTCTTTTTTGGAAGCTCTGACTGTTATGCACATGTCTGGTCTGCCTCTCCATATTGAAATCTTTGTAATTTATCTAGTGTATTAGTTTCCTAGGGCTGTCATAACAAAATACCACACATTGGCTGATTTGAACAACAGAAATTTATATTCTCACAATTCTGGAGGCTAGAAGTTCAAGATCAACGCATTGGCAGGTTTGTTTTTTTTTTCAGAGTCTCACTCTGTCACCCAGGCTGGAGTCCAGTGGCACGATCTCGGCTCACCGCAACCTCTCCCTCCCAGGTTCAAGCAATTTTCCTGCCACAGACTCGTGAGTAGCTAGGATTACAGGAGCGTGTCACCATGCCCGGCTAATTTTTTTTTTTTTTTTTTTAGTAGAGACAGGGTTTCTCCCTGTTGGCCAGGCTGGTCTTGAACTCCTGACCTCATGATCTTCCTGCCTCGGCTTCCCAAAGTGCTGGGACTACAGTCGTGAGCCACCATGCCCTGCTAGCAGTTTGTTTTTTTCCCGAGGCCTCTCTCCTTGGCTTGAAGATAGCCACCTTCTAACTGTGGCCTCACATGGTCATCCCTCTCAAGTGTGGTCTGTGTCCTAACCTCTTATTACAATGTTCTGTCATACGGCATTATGACCCACCCTAATGACCTCATTTTAATTTAGTTACTTCTTTCAAGACTCCATCTCCAAATACCAAATACAATCAGACTCTGAGGCACTGGGGGTTAGGGCTTTCACATATGAATTTTTGGGGGGACACAATTCAATCCATACCATTCAGTATGACATTCAAAAGTAAAACTGCATGTGAACACTTTATAAGAACTAAAGGAAAGGACATAAGCTGTAAAATGGGAGTAAAGGAATGGCACAGGGATGGTGTTAAAGGGGTGGGGTTAGGATGGTGGTTAAAGAGTTGGGCTAGAATTTTCCCTTGGTCTAATATAAAATGAAATGTAGAAATAGAGGCAACTCACTCATAAAACCAGGGCAATACTACAGCACGATCTTTTGATAAATATAAATAATTATAAGAGTATTCTGCTTCATTTGTGTGGACAATTAACTGTACACTATCACTTTTCAGTAATAAATAAGTGGTTAAATGGCAAGTTGTATTATATGCTTTTGTGTACTATGATTTGAAACTGAAAGAATTGAACACTGTAATATTATTTCTTATAACTATATGAAGGAGAATAGGCGCTCAATCCAAGATTGACGGAGTTTCTGTAAGCCCAGACAGTTTCTCACACTCCTAAAAAATAAAAATATTTTTATCAAAAACACACATCCTTTTGTTTTAAGGGCTGCTTACATGTCTGGTATCTGCACACCAGAAATGATGCATACTGGAGCTATACCTTTACCCCTGAACCCCCTGAACTTTGGATGGAAAAGTTCACAGATACAAAGCATGCAGAAGCAGGAAGCTCAAATTGCCTTTCTGCCCATCTTGATAGTTGCGGAGTGAATTTTTTTGTTTGGAAAGCTGAGATGATCACAGTGGGGCAACATGTTAACTTCATCACACTCATACAGCAAGAAAAAATGACTGCTGAACGAGATGAGGACAACTCTGACAAAGTCCATCTGAGAGTTAATTATAGGGAAAAAAACCTAGGATAGCATGAAACATATTAGCCAAATATTTTTTCCATAGCCGGAGTCCAAGAGAGTCACATGCTTTTTGTATTGGAAGAAGCGAAGAACTATGTCAGAGCAAGTCTTCATGGGGAATGAAGAGCAGGTCATGGTGATTTATAGTTGCATTGTCAAATTGCCTGACAATTTTTACTTTTGCTTGTTATCAGGGTTATGAGATAGTTCAGTTTCTAAGGAATGTCTGTGTTACTATAAGACATTTCAGACTTCAGACAAAAACCTTCCAGTGGCTACCCAAAGACCCATACCCAGAGAAAAGACCACTTGGTATCAAGACAAAATTTGGAAATAAGCTGAAATCACTTCATGTTTCCATATTAATGAGAAGAAGCAGCTGAACATTAACAAATGGAAGCATGAAAGGTGGCTGGTGAGACCACTAGGGGCTCTGCAGGGCCCAAACAATTTACTATTAAGTACAAGCTAATGAAGTGGTGCATTAGATTCTACCAGACATCAGTGATCCATAGGAAGCTAAGAGCGAGAAGTACTCTTTTTCTTTCCTCTTTATAATATGCCAGCTTACATTATAATGGTAATCAGTGATGGGGTTATTAAAGAGAGGTATTGTTAATTTCAGCATAAAGCAATATAACTGTAAGAAGTTGCTAAATTACTCATAAATATTTTGATTTTAACGTAGTTTTGTGTCTGAATAATATTGTCAAGAGCAGAGGGTTAAAGAACACAGGCTGTGGAGTCAAACAACCTGGGTTCACACTGTTCTCTACTTACCAGCCCTGGTATTGTGGGCAAGTTACTTACCCTTTCTGAGACTCAGTTCTCTCAGCTGTAAAGTGGGAGTAATGTAGCATTCCTCTCATTGTTGTAGTATGATGTTATGTTAAAAGAAAAACCTTAAACAAATTAAACTTAACAGAGTGTAATAGACCAAAGAACAATTCACGTATTGGGCAGTCCCCTGAACCAGAATGGGCTAAGAGGGCTCTGGAGCTGCCACATGGTCAAGTTGTATTTATGGACAATAAATGGAAATGAGGTACAGAAACTGCTGGATTGGCTACAGCTTGGGTTTTCCCTTATTGGCACATGATTTAATCAGTCGGCTGCCTGTGATTGGCCAAAACTCTGTGATGGGTACAAGAACAGGTTACAGTTTGTTAACATGTCCAGTTAGGTTGCAGTTCACTATGTACAGAGAAATTTTTAGGCTGAAGTTAAAATATGTAAGGAGCTTTCGGCTAAACTTGATTTAATAGTAATTTAGTGTTGTAAGCAAAGCAGATAGATTAAAATCGGTGTTAAAATGATAATGTTGCCCAAGGATTTCTAGTTTCTGCCTTTTCAGTAGCAGTTTTCTGGTACATATAAAATATTCTCTAATTGATGCAAATTGTGACATAGGTATGTTTTGGAAAACTACACATAGTCATGTAAAGAATTTTTCCTGGTCCCTAGGTCTGGATTTTGTCCTCCATTTTGTCCTAACCAGAAGCCTTAGCTAATAGCTGGGAGTTTGTAAAGGTGAACACTCAGTCACTGGGGCAGAGGGGTATATTTTGGCAGTGGAAATTCTTCAGCCCCTTGCAGCTGGCTCCCTGCAAGTCAATGTGGAAAAGGTGTGACCTCAAGGGTGTGTGGCATTAGGAGTTGATGAAACTGTAAGGTAGGCATGGGCCATCCCACTGAAATTTTAATAGCATTCATTGAAATTTAATGAATCGGCCATTCTTTGATAAGAAAATGGTGAGAATCTATTGCAGGGGAGAATTCAAGATTCACATAAAGACTTTAAAGGAATTTGGTGTTTAAGATGGGGATAGGATAAAAGTATTTCCCCCTAACATTAAAGCAATGCAAGGGAATTTCAGAAAACCTTCATTCTACAATCCCTGGGTCAGTGACCTCATCTCCTACCATGGAGGAGGACTCTTAGCTTTTGTAAGACTCATCTTAAATAATTAAGTAGTCTTTGTTTGATTACATTTTTGTGATGAGAAAGAAAGTTTTTACCTTTGATTGTGCCTTTTAAAAGCTCATCTGTTCAGCTAAATGGTTATTAATTATTAGTCTTTACGCTTGTTAATTATATCGGTTATTGGTGGTTATTATATTGTCTTAGTTTTTCTCATCCTCTTCCTCCTTTCTTATAGCCAAACCAAGAATTAACATTATCCTGGCATTTATGAGAAATATATAACTGGCAGTCCTCAGACTATATTAGGCAGCTATGGTCTCTTACGACATATTTCATGGATTTTAGACAAATAGATAAAGAAGAGTAAATTTTCTATTTTTGAAGTCCAAAACTTTAATTAGACGCTACAATCACCTTTTTAAGTTTAATTTTTTTTGGGGGGGGGGTTGGGGGAAAAAAACAAAAACTCACAAATAAATCTGTCTCTTTGACTTAACACCTTGGATTATTATTATTATTTTATTTTCATTTTTTGAGATGGAGTCTGGCTCTGTCACCCAGGCTGTAGTGCAGTGGTGTGATCTCAGTTCACTGCAACCTCCGCTTCCTGGGTTCAAGCAATTCTTCTGCCTCGGCCTCCCAAGTAGCTGGGATTACAGGCCCCCAGCACCACATTCACCCAATTTTTGTATTTTTAGTAGAGACGGGCTTTCACCATGTTGGCTAGGCTGGTCTTAAACTCTTGACCTTAAGTGATCTGCCCACCTTGGCCTCTCAAAGTGCTGGGATTACAGGCATGAGCCACTGTGCCTGGCCCACCCTGGATTATATTTTAACAATCCAAAAGTTTTCTCATATTTGACCCATGACCTGATTGAGCTATTTTTAAACAACTAGACATCTTTATTTCTGAATCTTTTTTTTTTTTTTTTTTAAAAAAGGTCAATTTTAATGGCTGTGTGTAAATGGACTAAAGCAGGGTTCACAAACTACAGTTCATTGGCCCAGTCTGGCATGCGTCTTGTTTGTGTTTGGTCTAAAAATTAAAAATAGCTTTTATCTTTTAAAGCATTCTAAGAAAAACAAGCAAACAAAGAACAATTGGCTACAGAGATTGTATGTAGTCCACACAGCCTAAAATATTTGCTCTCTGGCTTTTGACAGGAAAAGATTGCTGCCTCCTGAGCTGAGGGATTGATTACATATTATATTTTCTGTTAATTCCTCTTAATGCACTCTCTTCTCCCTGCCCCTGTCCAACTACCCACATCCTTTCCAGGTCTCATTGCTGTCTGATGATCCAGCCCCTTCCTGAACTACGGCTTGTGTTAACAAATAAACAAACACAATATATCACTACCCATAGAGAAAATCTGTGGTTTTCCTGGTTGTTTCATGGCTTATTACAGTAGCTTTTCAAATTCAATCTCTAACCTTTATGCTAATTAGAATTAACCTATCTTGAACTTGAATGGAATCTTGCTCTCTGGAGCCATAATTAATGCACAATGTTATTCAAGAATAATTCTCATTAGTGTGTGGTAAAGAAAAGCAAGAATACTGAAGTTTGAAATACTAGTTAGTCCTCAAAATACATAAACATGTGCTGGGAAGAAATCCTTCCATAGTGAGGAAGAAGACAAGACAGAAGCTCAGGAATTAACCGGTTATAGAAAAAGACTTTCGCTTTTAAAATGGAGATAAAGAAGGGTAATTCAGAGTGTTGGAATACTGTAATCTGCTATGTGTTTATTTTTTCCTTAAGTGGAAATGGACATGTGAATAACACAATTATCTTCCTGCAGGAAAACAGAAAACCAAGACCCAATTACTCTCTCTCTCTCTTTTTCTTTGTGACCAGTGGTAATTTACCCCTTACAGTCCAGAACATGGGCTCCTGCTGACACTCTGGCCCCAGATATCTGACCTTTGTTTGTATCATTTCATGCAGGAAAATTCCTTCGTTAACTGAAGAAAGGCAAACAGTCTAGTGCAAAGCAAACGCACCAATTAAAGATGGTATGATCTAGAGCAAGCCCAAGTTGTAACAAGTAAAAAAAAAAATAGGTCAGATTAATATTTTAAACTGTTATCAGACTCCTGCATGTCTGTGAGAGGCTTTCTTTTGAGTTTTTCTCTTGACATTTTCTGAGAATTTCCTTGGTTATTTTCAAAAACTAAAAATACTTGTATGAATGTAAACGATTAAGTAATAGGTTTTATTTATGAATGGGTTACATCTCAGTTCATTGCTTTTGCAATGCTGCTAACTGCCCAATTATGTTTCATTTTGACATCAGTCTTAATGTAGAAAATGAAGAAACAAAGAATGCAAGTAAAGTTTTTACATAGACAGGCAGAGTTTGGGCAGGTCCCTTAAAAATTCTCTTAGGACTTTGTGCAAATGTCCAGCCAACCACAAAGCCATTCCCGGAATATTTCCTCTTGTCCAGCTCTAGAGGATTCTTGGTTGTCACGTGGTCTTGGAGAAATGCACGGCCATGTTTCCTTACTAAGAGGCCCCTTTCCATGATGCTGGTTGTAGCCCTCCACTGACCTTTTGTGGCGGTGACACCCACTTCCTGGCTGCCAGCTAACATCATCCTCCATCCTTCTTTTAAGAAAACAAATCTCAGGGAATGGATAACCAACCAAAGGAAGTCAGGAAGAAAGCAGAAGATTGTAACAAAATAAAAACATAAATCAACCTTGGTAACTTCAGGGAGAAGACTATAAAAGATGCAGCTTCTGGTCTATCCCTTTCCTACCAGATAAAAGTTTTAGATATGAATGGATCTTGTTACAGAATGTGTGATTAGCAAATTAGCCATTCTTTTTCTTTAATACACATTGCCACAACAGAACTGGCAAAGCACTAGACCTGGAATTGGAGATCTGGATCTGAGCCATTCAGTGGTTGTTGAAATGATGTTCCATGTGTCTGAAGATGTGAGGAATTGTGTCTTTTTTCTCGTTTTCAAGTTCATCCTTCTCATCCTTTTACCACTATCTCTTCTAGGCCCCTTTGCTGCAGGTATTGGTGTGAGATTGGAAGTGTGGGAGTTGGAGGGAGGAGAAAAAGAAGCTGCACCATCCATGTATTGCCATATATTGTCCTGGAGCCACCCGTATCAGCACACGTGCACATGCACACAAGCACACACAAGCACAGCCTCTGGCAGCCCCTTCAGTATTATTGACCTATGACTGTGTTTAGAATAATGCCTGTGGCATAGAATGTTCTTTATGGTTTTTAGCTATTCTTATTATTGTTTTATGAACAAAAGTGTTCCAGCATCAGATTAATTTGGGAAGGCTTTCATTCCTATGAGATTTACAATAAAAGTGATAAAAAGTTTTTAATTAGAGAAATCTGTTTAACTTTAGTTATTCTAGCATTCCAAAACTGTTTATTTCGAAACTCACCAGATATTATCTTGTAAAAGTGAGGTCTGTAAAAGTATTTTAGAAAATGCTCACCTAGTCGGACATCTGGAGTTTCCAGACAGTATTGCCTGGTATTGTCTCTTTACTTGTTGTGTGACGTAAGTGGGCTTCCAAGCTTCAATGAATCCCCTTTTGGTTTCTCTATTACATTGTTATTGCTGTGGCAGACACACCTTAGGATGACCCCCTTGGAATACTAGTTAGTGATCCACGCCCTTGTATGATCCCCTCTCCTAACATGTCAACGTGTTTCTAAACAAAGGAATATGGCAAAGGCTGTGAGATGTCACCCCCTTGATTAGATGATGTTATGCTGTAAAGGTGATGGGTTGTCACTACCATGATTATGTTTCGTTATATGAGACTTCATCTTAGCCTATGTATTAGTTCATTTCCACACTGCTGATAAAGACATAGCAGAGACTGGGTAATTTTTAAAGAAAAGAGGTTTAATTGACTCACAGTTCCACATGGCTGAGGAGGCCCACAATGATGGTGGAAGGCAAGGAGGAACAAAGCGACATGTTACATGGTGGCAGGCAAACAGAGAAAATGAGAGCCAAGCAAATGGGAAAACTCTTTATATAAAAGCATCAGATCTCGTGAGATTTACTCACTACTATGAGAACAGTATGGGGGAAACTCCCCCTATGATTCAATTATCTCCCACTGGCTCCCTCTCACAACACGTGGGAATTATGGGAGCCACAGTTCAAGATGAGATTTGGGTAGAGACACAGCCAAACCATATCAGCAGATGAGAGTGAGAGAGACAGAGAGAAAGAGAGGAGAGAGATAGACAGATGGAAAGAGAGAGAGGCTCTGCTGCTGAGCTTAAAGCAAGCTGCTGTGAAGTGAATGGTGTGAAGAGAGAGGGCAACATGGCAGGATACTGTGGGCAGCTCAAAGGACCTGAGGACATTGGTGATACAGCAGCATGGAAATGAATTCTGTCAATGACCACCTGAGCTTGGAAGAGGACTTCAACTCTGGAAAGGAACACAGCTCATCTGACACTTGATTGTAGCCTTCTCAGATCCTGAGCAGAGGACCCAGCTAAGCCATCCCCAAGCTCCACACTCACAGAAACTGGGCTATAGTAAGTGTGTGTTGTATTTGGGAAGGCTCTCTTTTCTATTACGTTGTTTTGAGTTGCTACATTTGTGGTAATTTTCTATCATTGCATTAGAAAACTATTGCCTACTAAAAATCTATTCACCCTTTTTTTTTCATTACTAACAAAACCTAGATTTCATTCAGAATGCCAAGCTGACCAGAAAAAGGAGTTGTTTTCCTGAATCTTTTTGCTGAAAAGTAGACAAGGTGATACATTTCTAACCAATGAGTTCCAAGTGGAAATCTGATGAGAATTCTTGAAGACTTGCTTTCCTGAGAAGGTAGAAAGACACATTGGTTCTCTCTTTTTCTTCATTTTTTTCCCTCTGAATATGGACCTTAGGTAGGAAACTGAAGCCGCTATGCTATAAAGCAGACTCATAAAGTTGCCAGCCTTGTTGAGCCACTAAACTAACACCAGTCTTCACCTGCCTACATAGACCTTGTTACCTTGAACACGTAGGAAAGAGTGATTGATGCACACATCTGTATAACAGAAGACTATTTGTTATGATGACTACAAGGATGTGTAGAAGTCCTAGTATTATGTGCATGGATTTTAGAGGATTCAGCACCAACTATTGCTTTTCCCTCACCTGAATTCAGAATCTATTGAGAGACACACATATCCACAGAAGTCAGGCAGTTGGAGAGGAAAATAATCCCCTATTTGTTTAAGCTGCTGTGTGCTGGATTTTCTGCTATGAGAAGCTGAACATATTCTTTAATAGTTTACATACATGACTGTTGTAAAAATTAATGGAAAAATACAAAGCACCTGGAAAAATCCGTGTCACGATGGGCCAGCCATTCTCCTTTCATCTGTGTCCACGCACACACTTTTACTCTCTTGCTTCCCTGCTTTTTCACAGCACCCCCCATCAACCCTCTCTCTATCTTGCCCCATTTCCATTCCTTCCTTGACTTCTTCATGCAACAAATATTTATCTAGCACATGCTAATTCCCGATGCTGTGCTAGGTACTGAGGATACAAATGTAACCAGTGCATGCATATCTTCATCTTCATATTTCAGTCTTTGCCTCATTAGAATGAGGAGTTTAATGATGGATTAGCTGCCTACATTTTATTGTGATTGAGTTTCATTCGTGATGTCAATACATATTTGAATTTAATGATTCTTCATCTGACTTTTTATAAATACCTTCACTTGCAGATAAAGGAATTCCAGGCATTAGTAAGCAAGTGATGAAGGATGTGTGGGAGTTTAAAGGTACATGTGAAAGCAGGTGGCTGGCTATGGACAAAGGAAGTTATGTCCCTTTTTGCCGATAATTTCTGGAGCCTGGTATTTGTTTTCTGACAGTGTCTTCCTATCTCCCACCTACCTGGTCTCAGGTCATTCTCTCTCCTCTCTGTCAAGTGCACTCCAATTCTGCCCCTTTCCTCTTCTCTTCAGGCATCAAAATTTTGAAAAACATCGCTTATTATTTTGTGCACATTTAATTGTTCTTACTGCATAAAACTACTGTTGTATCATGCCCCTCTTCTCTGGGAATGCCACTATTATGGGTCCCCGTCTTATTTCTACCTTGTGAAATAAAGACTCAAATCAGGACATGTAGCAATAGAATTCATTTTCTTTATGAAGAAGATATTTCTGTGCCCTTAATTAATTATTCAATACATTTTCCATTTTCCATGCAGCCTATATGATTTGGTTTGGCCTATTTTAGACTACAAGCCAATTGAAGACAGAGTTTGATGCAATTCATATTGTGTTATGTTTGGGAAGTCAACAACTAGTGACAATTGGTGGCAGTGATGGGCTCTGTCTGAAGGTCATGAGAAGTAGGCCTAAGATCATTTAGGGTCTAACTAAAATATGCCTAGTTCTTCTTTCAAGTATTCTCTACAGAATGAAACAGAAGCAAACCCAGAGGAAATAAAGAATATTTTTAGTTTATTTCTGGTGAACTTAAGATACAGGAATTTGAATGGCCCTACCACTATCATCCTAAAACACATAGGAAAGAGTGACTGATGCACAGCATCTGTATAACATAAGACTATTTGTTATGATGACTACAAGAATGTGCAGGAGTTCCAGTATTATATGACTGGATGTTAGAGGATTCAGAACGAACTACCCCTTTTCACTTGCCTGAATTCAGAATCTATTAAGAGACATACACATCCACAAAAGTTAGGCAGATGGAGAGGAAAATGTTGCTGTTTTCACCAAGACTGTTGGGGAACCTGATGCTTGGTCTCTAAACAAGGTGGGCTTGCTAATATAGTCATGTGCCACATAATAATGTTTCAGTCGATGACAGACAGTGTATATACCATTGGTCCCATGAGATTCTAATGGAGCTGAAAAATTTCCATTGCTTTTGACATTGTAGCCATCATAAAGTCATAGTGCAATGCATTACTCCCATGTTTGTGCTGATATTGGTGTAAATAAACCTACTGCCTTGCCAATCTTATAAAGGTATATATAACACATACAATTATGTGCAGTCCATAATACTTGGTAATGATAATAAATGACTATGTTACTGGTTTATGTATTTACTAAACATATTTGTTATTGGTATTTTAGAGTATACTCCTTCTAGTTATTTTTTTTAAGTGTTAGCTATAAAACAGCCTCAGGCAGATCCTTCAGGAGGTGTTCCAGTAGGCATTGTTGTCATAGGAGATAACAGCTCCATGTATGCTATTGTTCCTGAAGACCTTCCAGTGGGACAAGATATGGATGTGGAAGACAATGATATTGATGATCCTGACCCTGTGTTGGCCAAGGCTAATGTGTGTGTTTGTGTCTTAGTTTTTAACAAAAATGTTTAAAAAGTACAGTTTTTTAAATGGAAAAAACTTTATACAATAAAGATATAAGGAAATAAAATTTTGTGCAGCTGTACAATGTGTTTGTGTTTTAAACTAAGTGCTTTGACAAAAGAATAAACAAATTTTAAAAATAAAAAAGTTTATAAAATAAAAAAGTTATAGTAAGCTAGGGTTAATTTATTATTGAAGAAAGAAAAATATTTTAAAATAAACTTAGTTTAGCCTAGGTGTACAATGTTTATAAAGTCTACAGTAGTGTACAGTAATGTCCTAGGCCTTCACATTAACTCACCACTCATTTGTTACCAAAACATCAGGGGTGCAGTCTAGGTTAGGTCCTGCTGCTCACCGCACAGAAAGCTAATCGCTGAGACAATGGATATCGCCAAGGAAGAAGACTTCAATTAAGTGCTACAGCCAAGGAGATGGAAGATCAGTCTCAAATCCACCTCTCTGGACCAGTAAAATTAGGGGTTATATAGCAGGGAAGAAATGTAATCCTGTGTGGGAAAACAGGAATTGGGGAGGGATAAGTAAGAGGAATTGGTCAATGGAAAGCAGGTGGTCAGTTAGGCAATCATGATGGGGGTGAGGGGTCTGACATCTCACTGTCCAAATGAAGTGATTTGGTGAGTTTCAACTCCTTGCTACTATCTGGGAGGTCTGATGGTTGGTTTCCAGAGAAAGGAACTCAGACAAAACAAGTATAATTTTCTCAAGTTTTAAAACTGGGTGGATCCATTTCTATGTTTAGTCCAGGAAACCATAAACGTCAGCTCTATGGGACAACTGGGTCAGTTTCACACTAACATTGACCCAGAGCAACTTCCAGTACTGCAAACTCCATTCATGGTAAGTGTCCTATATAAGCACACAAATTTTTATCTTTTATACCATATTTTTACTGTACCTTTTCTATGTTTAGATATGCTTATATACACAATTCTTCCCCATTATGTTACAATTGCCTAGAGAATTCAGGACGGTAACATGCTATACAGCTTGGTAGCCTAGGAGCAATAGGCTATCCCATATAGCCTAGATACATAGTAGGCTATACAACTAGGTTTCTGTAAGTACACTGATGTTTACTTATGTTTGTACAATAACGAAATCACCTAATGATGCACTCCTCAGAAAGTGTCGCTTTTGTTGAAAGACATATGATTGTACTTTAGAGACAATGGCAGCTCTGGCCAGCTGCAAGCCCTCCCATAGTGGGGGCCTAACCAGATGGTGCTCACAGTATAGAGGAACAGAGCAGGTTGCTCAACTCTGAAGGAAGAGCACACCGCTTGATTCCTTGTCTGCAATCCACCCACAGACCATTCACTCTTCCCTCCAAAGCAGGGGGTTGAACAGAGCTAGGTCTAGGGTGAAGGAGTTGAGGCAGAGTTGTGCAGGGTCACATTTTGTCTTTATTTAAAGTTTTGTTATTTTTTTCATCATATTTTTTTGCATTAATTTTGATTTTTAAAAAATGTTGTATTAGAAACATTATTTTTCTTGATTATTGAGTTTTTTGATGCCTCCTCAAATTTTGCACCTGAAGTGAATGCTTCACTTACCTCACCCTACCCCCAGCCCTGAGAACCAACTCAAAGGGTAACACTAACAAAAGCCCTTCCAGTTAGGAATATAAGTAGCAGGGGACATATACCTATCTGGCTGGATGTTTAGTAGCTTAATAAACCATACTTAATTAAAATTGTTCTAAGATACTTAAGTAGTTTGGGAAGCATTTCTCTTTTTAGTCATTGTGTTGTATCTCTCTTGTTAAAAAAACAAAAAGCAAGACAGGCGTCAGAGATGTTAGAAGGTGATGTAATATTCAGTGATGCTACCAAATAAGATTGGTTCTAATGATCCACAAAACAAAGTTCTTTAAAATAAACACTTGCTATGCCTTAAGATCCAGAAAATATTTGAATATATATATATATATATATATATATGTAAACATTATAAAAATGTAAATGCATGGTTGGATTTGTGGAATTTATGCATGAATGTATTCCACTTCAGTCCATATCCATCATAGGACGTTCTGTTCTTTTGACAAGTGTGTGCCTGCCTTTGGAATTCACAACACATTCCAGGAAAATCATATTCTAACTGGCTTGGTTGTTTACTTGGAAGAGAGCATATTTGCACCTCATTTTTCAACTCTTTAGTTTGTTTACATTGAAGCAAAACATTCTCACACAGGAAGAGACTAGATACTGTTTCTCAGTGGAGGGAGGCATTCTCTTTTCAGGGTCAGGAATTTCATGTCTGCAAAGCTAATTATAAGGAGATTGGAGACCAGTCCTTGAGGCTCCATGTCTGTGTCTCTGACCTTTGCCAAGGGCAAAGTGTTACCACAGACATGTCACAAGATATGCAAATGATACATTCTGACTTCAATAGCATTGTTAGCTTGTTTTCTGCTGCTGGTATAGAGATTCTCATCATAAGTCATTTTGGTGGATTTGAGACAGCTCTGTTCATAAAGTGAAATAGCCCAGTATCAAAATCCTTACCCAATTAATCGTGACATCTTAAATTCTCATAGCTACAGTTTTTTGAAATGGAAAACCTTTCACATTTGGACAAAATCTAAGCAAGTCATTGACCCAAGTTCATCAATTATACAATTCTGTAAGCTTTGATGATTCAAAAACATTATTTCAGGTCAACAGTTTGCTTGCCTCTAAACAAGATCTAATGGCATGGCTATTGGACCATGTTTAGTCAATTACAAAAGTTTAACAATTCAAAAGAATTATTCTAAGTCTATAGCTTTGTTTTGGGTGGCTTTCACTAACTAAACAGAGACTGTGCTGTCCAATGTGGTAGCCATTAGGCCCACGTGGCTATTGAGCACTTGAGACGTGACTTGGCTGAACTGAGATGTACTGTAAGCGTAAAATACACACGGGATTTTAAAGACTTAATTGAAACGATAAAATTTTGAACATAATAAGTTAAATTAAATGTGTTACTGAAATTTATTTTACCTGTTTCATTTTACTATGTTAAATGGTGCTACTAAAAAATTAAATATTGCATGTGTAGCTCACATTCTATTTCTGTTGGACAGTGCTGGTCTAGATGCTTGGGAAGTAAACACCTTGGAGAGAGACTCTGATATGATTTGTGCATTTATACTTCCTTTGATGTATTCCAGAAGCAGCATTAATTTACACAAAACCTCTCTGAGAAGCCTAGGACATGCCTCTTGCTAATACTTCAAGAAAAATAACTTCAAAGAGTATTGTCATCTTAAATATGATTCATAAGTCAGAGAAAACCTTGGGTTCATGCTTCAGAGGGTGAGACATTCAGGGTCAGCTGTTTCCCTTATTACTAACTCTTCCTCATGTCTAATTTAAAAGCAAAAAATCTTGGGGAGGGGAGTGGTTGTGAATTTGGGGGCTAGGTGCAGGTAGTCATTTTCACAGAGCATCTAGCATAGAGGAGGGCCTCAGCAAGTTTGCTAAATTGAAATCATGGAATACGAATTTAAATTAAAGCCTCATGGTGCCAAATTACTGCTGGCTTTATAGGGAGCCATGGTGCAATAGAACTAAAGTCCTTGTTGCAGTGACAATGATTCCTTTTTTACCATGGCACAGCCACAGAGTATGGGGTCACTGGGAAAAAAGCCAGGAAAAAGTAGTCTCAGAAATAAATAGTATAGGGAGGATTCTGAAAGATTAGAAAAGGTTAGAGGTCCAAATAATTGGGAAAGCATGCAAAATGTCTGTTGTTACCAGAGTTCTAAAGTGTTGGGAGGAAAAGATCCAAGCTGACGAACTCTGGGTTGACAGAAGAGAAATTCCCAGAGGTCAATGTAGGCACAATGTACCTAGTCCTGATGGACGTATAAGTGATGGTGCCATGGTTTCAGCCTCATGAAGCAAAGCTTGGCTCAACTACGGGCCTCTGATCCACTTTCTGCCTGGGTGATGACTGGTTCTGGGTTCTGTGTAGGTCTGAGCCTCCACGGGCCAATAGAAACTGACTTCACTTGATTGCAGATAGGATGAGAATAGTAGCTGAACTTAAATTCAGACAAACTTTGCATGGGTTTGGAGTTTTGCCGTATAAAATTTGAGCTAAGCTTCTTTAGTTGCTCAGTTGTGGTTCTGGATTGGAGGAAAAGGACCAGAAATGAGGGAATTCTATCCTCTTATGGCTTTTCGTACCACTAATTAAGACCTCAAAATTATCTTTTCTAACATTACTACAGCTACTAGGTGATCTAGATGTATAATTAAATACTCCTCTATTCTTTATGTTTTTTGTTCACTTTGAGGAACAGAAATAAAATAAACGTTTAGGCATATGGGAAGTTATATGAAAGGACTACCTGCTTCCACTGTAATAATCTATAAAATAAAAATTGGGAAGCTGTTGTCTCAAAAAGACTGTAATATATCAGACTTAAAAGCTGTTCTTTTTAGCCTTGATATTGTATAGATGATGCGCAGCAGCGTAAATAGTTTTATGTATCTGATCCTGTGCCTCAAATTGGGTTGAAATACTGGCTTTGGTGCCGTACTGATTTTGAAAAAAGTGGCAAAATTAACAGCTTAAGTAGTAACTGCTTAAGAGATGTGATTGCTCTGTTGCTCTGTGTGAGCCTTTGGGAACTTTTGTGCTATTACCGTTAGTGTGAAATCAAATTGGTGACCAATATGTAGTCTAACAGTTGCTCTGTGACCATCAGTAATAATTTAGTGATGGAGTTCAAATCATAAGTGAAAACATTTTTCCCCCTCCAAGAACGTGAACCATACCTTCTTTCTTAACTTCTGAGCAGACTTGGTCTGTCTTACAAGAAAGACCTGTCTTTACTAGAGATGTGACTCATTAAAATAGAAACAGCTCTCCAATATGACAATTTAACACTCTTCCTCAGTACTGGATTTACTTGGAAAATGTACATCTTCAAATTCTTGGTCATGGAACATCTGAACAAGCACAAACACTTCTACAACCCATAATTGTTAGTTTAGACCATTAAAAAAAAGTGCATTTTTTTTTGTGGATTAAAGACTTAGACCTCAGGCATTGAGTCCCTTAAACCCCCACCACCAATCTAGCAGTCTTATATACAACATAAATTCTCATGCACTATAATTATTGTGGTCAATGATGCTAAACCAAGCACATAGTTTTTCCTCAAACACGTTCATAGGCAAGGAAAAAGTTGCCTTCATGACTCACTTTTAGAGACGAAGCAACAAGTTTGGGTCATGTGAGAGCTGACTCACTCTTTTTCTTCCCTTCCACATTTAAGATGGGTTCATAATAGGGGAAACTAAGTTAACTCTCCATTACCTTGATTGGGACTACATAAAGAGAAACCAAAAATTCGGCCAGAATTTTAAAATTCTGGGGATGTCTTTAAAATCAGTAGACTTCTTGCTTATCAAGTAGTTTATGTCCAGATACCTTCCAATGTAATGTAGTTTTTTGTTATTAACAGCTTTATGGAAGTATAATTTATGTATCTTAAAGTCTACCTATTATAAGTATACAATTCAATAATTTGTAATAAATTTATACAGCAGAGCTATCATCATCACATTCCAGTTTTAGGACATCTCCATTACCTCTAAAGTTTTCTTGTACTCATTTATAGTTAATCACTGCTTCCACATTCACCTCTAGGCTAATACTGATTTCTCTTCTTTTTATAAATTTGCTTTTTCTGAACATTTTATATAAATGAATTACAGAGTAATTATGCTTTTTGCACCTGACTTCTTCTTTGAGGTTAATTTACACTGTAGCATGTATGGTAGTGCTATCATTTTTATTGCTGAATAACCTTCCATTGTATGGATATGGCACTTAAAAAAGTCCATTTCCCAATTGATGGACATTTGAATTATTTCCAGTTTTTGGCTATTATGAATAATGCTGCTGTGAATATTTACCTACATGTCTCTGTGACAGGTTTTTATTTTTCTTACACATATTCCTAGGTATTGCTATGTCATATAGTAAGTGTGCATTTAAATTTTTAAAGTTTTATTTATTTTATAATTAATTTTAATTTGTATTTTAAGTTCCAGGGTACATGTTCAGGATATGCAGGTTCATTACATAGGTAGATGTGTGTAATGGCGTTTTGCTGTACCTGTCAAGACATCATCTAGGTATTAAGCCCAGCATGCATTAGCTATTTCCTGATACTTTCCCTCCCCTGACCCTACCCCCCAACAGGCCCCAATGTGTGTTGTCCCCCTCCCTGTGTCCATGTGTTCTCATTGTTCTGCTCCAGCTTATATGTGAGAACATGTGGTGTTTAGTTTTTTGTTCCTGCATTAATTTGCTGAGGATAACAGCTTCCAGCTCCATCCATGTCCCTGGAAAGGACATGATCTCGATCCTTTTTATGGCTGCATAGTATTCCATGGTGTATATGTACCACATTTTCTTTTTTTCTTTTCTTTTCTTTTCTTTTCTTTTTTTTCTTTTTCTTTTTTTTTTTTTTTGAGATGGAGTCTTACTCTGTCATCCAGGCTGGAGTGCAATGGCATGATCTTGGCTCACTGCAACCTCCACCTCCCAGGTTCAAGTGATTCTCCTACCTCAGCCCCCTGAGTAGCTGGGATTACAGGCATGTGCTACTGCACCTGGCTAATTTTTGTATTTTTAGTAGAGACGGGGTTTCACCATGTTGGCCAGGCTGGCCTTGAACTCCTGACCTCAGGTGATCTACCCATCTTGGCCTCTCAAAGTGTTGGGATTACAGGTATGAGCCACTGCACCCAGCCTGTACCACATTTTCTTTATCCAGTCTACAGTTGATAGGCATTTGGGTTGATTCCATTTCTTTGCTATTGTGAATAGTGCTGCACTGAGCAAACACGTGCATGTATCTTTGTAATAGAATGATTTATACTCCTTTAGGTATATGCTCAGTAATGGGATGTGGATCAAATAGTATTTCTGGTTCTAGATCTTTGAGGAATTGCCACATCATCTTCCACAATGGTTGAACTAATTTATATTCATACCAACAGTGTAAAAGCATTCCTATTTCCCCGCAACCTCGCCAGCATCTGTTATTTTTTGACTTTTTTATAATTGACTTTTTGACTGGCATGAGATGGTATCTCATTGTGGTTTTGATATGCATTTCTCTAATTAGCGATGTTGAGCATTTTTTCATGTTTCTTGGCTGCATGAATGTCTTCTTTTGAGCAATATCTGTTTATGTCCTTTGCCCACTTTTTAATGGCTTTTTTTTTTTGTAAATTTCTTTAAGTTCCTTGTAGATTCTGGATATTGGACCTTTGTCAGATGAACATTCCATGCTCATGGATAAGAAGAATTAATATCGTGAAAATAGCCATACTGCCGAAAGTAATTTATAAATTCAATGCTATTCCCATTAAACGACCATTGACATTCTTCACAGATTTAGAAGAAACTATTTTAAAATTCATATGGTACCAAAAAAGAACTCTTATAGCCAAGACAATCCTAAGCAAAAAGTAAGAAGCTGAAGGCATAACACTGCCAGACTTCAAACTACAACAAGGCTACAATAACCGAAACAGCATGGTACTGGCACAAAAACAGACATATAGACCAATAAAACAGAATAGAGAACTCAGAAATAAGACTGCACATCTACAACCATCTGATTTTCAACCCCTTCCTTACACCTTATATAAAAATTAACTCAAGATGGATTAAAGACTTAAATACAAAACCCAAAACTATAAAAACCCTAGAAGAAGGCTGGGCGCGGTTGCTCTCACCTGTAATGCCAGCACTTTGGGAGGCCAAGGTGGGCCGATCAGCTGAGGTCAGGAGTTTGAGACCACCCTGGCCAACATGGCAAAACCCTGTCTCTACTAAAAATACAAAAATTAGCTGGGCGTGGTGGTGCACGCTTGTAATCCCAGCTACTTGGGAGGCTGAGACAGGAGAATTGCTTGAGCTGGGGGAGCAGAGATTGGGGTGAGCCAAGATCTCACCACTGCACTCCAGTCAGCCAACAGGGTGAGACCCTGTCTCAAAAAAAGGAAAACAACAACAACAACAACAACAACAACAACAACAACAAAAAGCCCTAGAAAAAAATCTAGGCAATACCACTCAAGGCATAATCATGGGCAAGGATTTCATGATGAAATCACCGAAAGCGATTGCAACAAAAGTAAAAATTGACAAATGGGATCTAATTAAACTAAAGAGCTTTCTGTACAGCAAAAGAAACTGTTGTCAGAGTGAACAGGAAACCTACGGAGTGGTAGAAACTTTTTTTGTTTTTTCTTTGAGACTGTCTCACTCTGTCACCCAGGCTGGAGTGCAATGGCATGGTCTTGGCTCAAGCCAACGTCTGCCTCCCAGGTTCAAGTGATTCTCATGTCTCAGACTCCTGAGTAGCTGGGATTACAGACATGTGCCACCACACCTGGCTAATTTTTGTAATTTTAGTAGAGATGGGGTTTCACCATATTGGCCAGGCTGGTCTCGAACCCCTGACCCAAGTGATCCAACCGCCTTGGCCTCCCATAGTACTAGGATTACAGATGTGTGCCACCATGTCAGCCTTATTTATTTTTTAATTAGAGATGAGGTCTTGCTATGTTGCCTGGTATAAGTCCTTTATCAAATATATGATTTGCAAATATTTTCTTCTACTTTTTGGCTTTCCTTTTTTATTTTCAAAAATAAAGTGCAAGTGTCTTTAATTTTGAGGAGGTATAAAAGTTTTAAATTTTGATGAAGTCCAATTTGTTAGTTTTTTTCTTCTATGGATTGTGATTTTGGTGACTAAGAACTCTATCAGTAATGCAAAGGCATGAAGATTTTCTTCTATATTTTCTACTGGAAACTTTCTAGTTTACCTGTTCCATTTAGGTTTGTGATAAGTTTTGAGTTAGTTTTTGCATATTATATGAGATACCTTAATTCATTTGGGCTGGTATAACAAAATACTATTGATTGAGTTGCTTATCAACAACAGAAATGTTTTTCTGACAGTTCTGGGAGCTATGAAATCAAAGATCAAGGTGCCAGAGATTTCATATCTGGTGAGGGCCTGCTTTCTGATTCAGAGACGGTGGCCTTTTCACTGTAATCTCACATGGTGGGAGGGCCAAGGGAGTCTCTGAGGTCTCTTTTAGAAGGGCACTGCAGTAGTCCCTCCTTATCTACAGGGAATATGTTCCAAGACCCCTAGTAGATGCCTAAAACCATAGATAGTACTGAACCCCATATATATGATATATTTTCCTAACCCCCTACATACCTACAATAAAGTTTCATATATAAATTAGGCACAATAAGAGATTAACAATAACTAATAATAACTAATAATAAAATAACAATATAATTTAATAAAAATAAGGTGAATATGTCTCTCTCAAAAAATATCTGATTGTGTTGTACTGCTGGTAACTGAAACCGTGGAAAGCTAAACCATAGAAAATAGGGAACTACTATAATTCCATTTATAAGGGCTCCCCCTTTACAATCTAATCACCCCCTAAAGACTCCACATTCAAATCCTTCATGTTAGGGATTAGGGTTCAATATATGAAATTTGGAGAGATACAAATATTCATTTTATAACACACGAAGGTAATAGTTTTAAGGTTTTTTTTTCCAAATATTCTTTTCTGCATCTATTGAGATAATAAAGTGATGTTTGTCCTTTTTTCTACTGATATGGTATATTACATTAGTTGAATTGTATATTATGACCAAATGCATCCTAGGAATGTAAGTTGAGTTTAATATTGAAAATCAATTATGTGTTTCTAGATTCAGTTTGCTCATGTTTTGTTAAAGATTTTTTGTATCTGTGTTCATGAGAAATATTTGTGTACAATTTTTTTGTGATTATTTTTATTCTTTTGTTCAGCTTTTTATTTGCTTTCTGGGGGATAGAATTTGTGGACCTTCTCATGTAGTGGAGGTTGGGAGGCTGGAAGTTGTGCCCTATCTGTAATTACATTAGGAAATTCATGCAATTTACACGATTCAAAGTCAAGAATGAGAGTGTAAGCAAACATTTTGAAGCAAAAGGTTTTACCAAACTAAAAAGAGAGACCTTAATGAAGCAGAACCTGACTTTTTTTACTAACACTATACAGAAACAAACTAAAGGCAGAATTATTTATTTCCTTTTACAGGAGAACTGTTATGAGGATGGAGACCTAGAGCTGAATCAGGTACACACCTAATGGTATGAGTGGCAGTTTCAAATCCATTCTACACTCTGCTGCAGCTGACAATAGGCAGCATCAGCAGCTGAAAGATGAGAGTTTGGTAATATATTTTTCATTTCCTTTCACTTGCTCCTTGTTTACTTTCTTGTCAAAGCAAACCTAGCTCACCCCTGGGGCATGTCATTTTATCAAAAAAGAAATTATGGGTTATCCCCTTTCACAGTTTTCAAAGCTACATCCGTGTGTCTGTGACTTTAAGTGATTTCTGTTGAGTTTCCTGCTCCTGAGGTAACTTATGAGCCAGGCAATAGCACTTTTAGTGACATTTCTTCTCATAGCCCAGTTATTTTCTTCACCGTGAAGTACATCCAAATACTGTTCCTAGAACACCTACAAAAGCTGGTGCTTCCCATGTTTTAGAAAAGTGCTTTGTGGTAGGCAGAACAATGCCTCCCTCCCCCAGTCCTCCCTCGGTTCCCAGACGTGTCCCTGTCCTAATCTCTGGAAACTGAGAATATGTTAGGTTACATGGGAAGGGGAATTAAAGTTGATAATCAGTTGACTTTAAAATGGGAACATTATCCTGGATTATTTGGATGAGCCCAGTGTAATCACAAGGGTGCTTAAAAGTAGAAAAGGAAGGCAAAAGAGGTCAGAGTAGGGCCATGTGAGCAGAACTCAGCTGTCCATTGTTGGTTTTGAAGACGAAGGAAGAGGGCCGAGGGTCATAGAATGTAGGGATCTATGTAGCCATAGAATGTAGCTGGGAAAGGCAAGATTCCGCTCTAGAGCCTCCAGAAAAGAACATGTTCTGCTGGCACCTTGATTTCTGACCCAGTGAGAGTGTGTTGGACTTAGGACCTTCAGAACTGTAAGATGATTTATTTGTATTGTTTAAACCTCTAAGTTTCAGGTAATTTGTTATGGCAGCAATAGGAAATGAATATATACCTGTTCTTGTTGCTTCTCATTATACGCCTTTTTAAAAACAAAACAAAAAAAAACCGAGGCAGCCCTTACACAGCTCCTAGTAGTGCTATTCACATAGAATGCCCTCTTGTGCCCCCATGCATGTCTCTCTAAGTCCTTACTGAATATTCTTTTTCCTTACTTCTGGGGTGTCTCCACTGTGAAAGGATCTTCCATCAGAGCAACACTTCCGGTCTTTCTAATCTCCTTTACACACCACTTTTCTAGGGTGAAGATATGGTCTTTCTGCTTGGTGGGTTTAGAGAAAGGAACTGGACCTTCCCAGACCAGCATCTTGTTTTTGGAATCCAGCTGTCTGCAGGAAGCACACACCCTGCTCTGTCCTTTGTGACTAGGTGCGTAGATCTGCCCAATTCTGGACTGTAGTACCCAAGCCACATCTTCAGATCTAGCTTTTAGGGTAACAAAGGTGATAGCTTTTCCAAATGCTAGATTCCTCTCAATTAGTCCCAAACTCAGGTAGGAAAGAGGGGTGATGTTTATTGGACCTCTCAAACCCCAACACAGTAAAGCTCCAAAGGGATATTTCAAAGTACCTCCTCTTCGATATATGAAGAAAGAAATAATCAGCTTTCTTTCCAGCCCTGCTATTTCCAGTGATTTCTCATCTCATGGAAAGTCTATCCAGTTGTCTAGGCCTCTGTCTCCCCTCTTCCTTTCTTCACATCTAGTTAATCTCCAGGTTCTTGTTAATATTTTTCAAGTTCAGCTACTTTCTTCAATCTCACTACCATTGCCTTTGTGGACACCCTCATAACTCAACTCCTAGATTACTGCAATAGTTTGTTGTTGTTTGTTTTTGTTTTTAATTCTTCCTGTTTCTCAAAGTATAAATCACAGATTTTCTGCATCCAAATCCCCTATGTTTGAAACCAATCAGACCTAGTGAAAAAGAATTGTAGGTAATTGCTGTGCATACCAAAGGCTGTGAACCCCTGCTAGTATCCTTCCAGAAAATGTAAGGTAAAATCCTTACATTTTCACTGCAGTGATCTTTCTAGAGTGCAAAGCTGGTGATGATACCCTCTTGCTTAAAATTACTCATGGGTTTTCCATTAGCCATAAAGACACAGTTGAAAATCGACAGCATGACATACAAAGCCCTTTCATGCAGACCTGACTTGTGCTCACGATCGCACAGCTTTAGTTCTTGACATAATTTTGTTTTTCTTTATGTGCTCCAGTCAAAACGTGTCACCTGCATGCTCTTAATTGATCATGTCATTTCTGCTCCTGGTTCTTTTGTTCAGCCTGCTCCTTCCACTCAGAGCAGCTCCTCTAACCCCGACTTCTTTGTAACTAACATCCTCTGGAAAACCTCCCTTAATCTCCTTCTTTCCCAGGCTGGGTCGGGTGCTCCCCCTAAATGATCCTTTTTTCTGTCTCAGTCTTAGTAAACCTCACATCTTGTTCTGTAATTTTCCATTACGTTGTCTATTTTCCTTATGAGATAGTAAAGTTCTTTAGGTAAAGGAATATATCTTAGTTTTTCTTTGTATTTCTAGTACCTAACATAATAACTGGTACATTACAAGTGCTTAATAAGTTTTGATTTGATATATCCTGTGTTTCAAAGAGCCTAACTTTAAAGAAAGCCAGTCTACTCGGTGTATAATGGACAACCAGAGATAAGCATTTTTTTTAAACGATGTGTACAGAGAATAAAAGATTATTAGATAGACCCTGGATTCAGCCTCAATGCATTTCTTCAGTTTGTAGTCTAGGAAGACATTAGACTACATGCTTTGCATGCATTTTCTCTTATACTCGAAACATTCCCATGCAAGGGAGGTACTAATGAGGTCCCTGTTTTATGAAAAGACAACCAAGACTTAGGTTTAGTGACCTGACTGAGCCACATAAGCCATTTTTAATGGAAAATAGTTCAGGTAATCTTTAAACCTAGCATGAATGGAAAAGAAATTATAGCATCAAGGAACACATTTTAAAATGTTCAATGAGCATTGCTATGTGCTAGCAATATTCTAGGAGCTGTGAGTCTATCAAGGTAAAAAGAGACCAAATTTCCTGCAGTGATGGAGCATATATCTTCTAGGTAGTTATATCATCTTCACTAACACTACTAGTTTAATCAACATTTTAAAAGACAATAACAGTTTTGAGCATTTGACTCACTTGGGACAGTGAAGATAAGAAAAGATAAAAATTTCAAGTCATGCAGCCATGGGAGGACTTATTTTTTCCTTCATTTTTCTCTAAGTGATATCTGGGAAATGGGAATAGGTTTTCATGTACCCATAGCTTTGCAGGCAACATGAAGATCATAATCTAAACCTGGGCCTGGGGTAACTTGTTGGCCATTATAGCTATCTCTTTATTAGAGACACTAAGCAATCTAAGCAATGCCCATGTGTGCAATGTCATGCTTAGGGAAGCATCAAGGAAAAAAGAACAGCTGGAAACAGACAGAAAGGTAGTAGGAAAATAGAAAATGGAATGAGAAAGAGAGGGAACAAGGATATTGTCATTGATGAAGTATCATATAAGGATACACTCTATGCATCCTGGAAGCAGGGACCTGACCATACTGATCACTAGTGTGTAACTTGGGATCGAGCAGAGTGCCTGTTAGTTAGTTGGTGTTCACTAAGTGTATTAGAAAGATAACTTATTGAAAGAAGTCTATTCATTAATTCAAAAAAAAATCTGTTATGTGCTCTGATATATTCTGGCCATAGGGCAAAGCCTTGGTCCCTGCCATCAAGGGATGCAGAGAATCTTTGGAGGAATAAAACATAACCAAATTATTGAAGGAAAATCATGATGAATACTATGACAGAGAGATGAACATAGTGCTATGGAAACACTAGAAATAGCTACTTGCTCTATCTCAGGACTCGGAGGAGACTTTGTAGAAAATGTGGCATTTTGAGCAGAGAAGGATATTCAAGGCATGGTCTGAAGAGAACCAGGCCTGTCTTGGGAATAATAAGAATGTCACAGTAGCTAGAGATGGAAAACATGGAAAGAAGAGGCTGGGAACACATGTGGGTCTAGAAGGCCAGGATAGCAGTTTGCATGAGAGTCTTGGGCATCTGAGAGGCAGTAGGGACCCACATTACCCCAATACTCTGCTCTGCTGCCAGAGCGGTCTTCTTAAAAATGCAAGTTTTATGATTCTAGCCTTCTTCTTGAAAGCCACAAAGCACTCTTAACCATCACAAAGTATAATGAATTGCAGGCTTTGGTAGGTTTCAGGAAATACTACCCCCAAATATGGCACCTTGACATTTGAGAAAACAGCAGAAGTGGAAAAGTCTCTTTGACATTCTCTGGACATTCTCCCCTGAAACATCCTATAAAAGAATTCTCTGACCTACATCTACAGTAGGTTGTAAGACCCTCATATCAGAGGCATTCTCCCTAGGCCCAGAAGAAATGAGTGAAGATACAGAAACATATCGCAGAATCTGAGCAAACCGGCCTTGCTAAATTCCCCCATTTATTACCATTAGGTCATACCTACTTGTCTTCCAATGATACTTCTGGATGACTAACCATAAAAACACACAGATTTCCCTGTTTCTTTGGGTCTTCATCTCTGAAATTTCCTGTGTCTCATGAAACTTAACACTAGATAAATTCATATGCTTTAAATCTGTGTTTTGTTTTACTGATCTTGGCCGTGAACCCACCTATAGGTGAGGAAAAGAATACTTTTTCTCTCCAACACTGATGAGGTCTCTAGATATACACCAACATGGAAGTGCTATTGGGAAGCACTAGTCCACATGGTTTATTGTGGCGATCAGCCTCTAGGTGATCAACTCTGTCTCCTGGTATCCATGACCTGATGCAGCTCCCTCTCACACTGTATAAGGATAAATGTGTATGACCAATGGAGCACAGAAGTGATGGTATGGTATGTCATTTCCAAGGCTAGGCCATAAAACATTTTGTAGCTTCTGCCTTGCTTTCTCTGCTGGAGTATTTGCTCTGGGGGAAGCCAATCACTATGTTGTAAGGACAATCAAGTGGCCTATGGATTGCCCTGAGTTACAAGAAATTGAGGCCTCTTACCAATAGCCACGTGAAGAAGCCATCTTGGAAATGGATTCTCCAGCCGCATTCAAGCATGCAGATGATGGCAATCCTGGCTTGAATCATATAAAATTGGAGTTAAAAAAGACTAGAGGCTGGGTGTGGTGGCTCATACCTGTAATCCCAGCACTTGGGAGGCCAAGGTAGAAGAATCGCTTGAGGCCAAGAGTTTGAGACCAGCCCAGGAAACATAGGGAGACCCCCATCTCAAAAAAAAAAAAAAAAAAAAAAAAAAAAGGTCTGGCGGTTAAGGATTAAGCAGGGCAGACACTGATAATTGGGTCCAACATTTCCCATGAAACTTGTAGAGATTTGTGGAATCCTTCTCTACTACTATTGACGAGAATTGGCACTCTTTATTATTCCTGATACCAAGAGATGTAGTGTTTGGTCCAAGTTTGCATGTCTAGTTAATGAAAACAAACTCCATTTTCTGACTGCAAGTCCAGGGTTCTTGCCAATACTGTGCTACCATCCATACAAATGACTTACTTTTACCTCTTTAATTTATATGAGATACCCATTCACTTGCTGACAATCAGTCATTCAGCTTTTTAGGAATTACTCATCTATAAAAAAAGATCGTATACTGCTTAAGAGAATGGGAGATAGTTGGAATGCTAATTGTGGTAGGCAGAGTAACAGCTCCCAAAGGTATCCAGGTCCTAATTCTGGGAACCTATGAATGCTGCCTTATATGGTAAAAGGGATTTTGTGGATGTAATTAAGGATTTTGAGAAGGGGAGATTGTCTTAGATTATCTAGGTAAGTCCTACATGCCATCACAAATATCCTTATAAGAGGGAGGCAGAGGAATATTTGATGAAGACGAGAAGGGGATGTGACGAAAGAACAGGAAGAGGAAAGGGGATGTGATGCCAGTCCAGAAGCTGAGGAATGAGGACTGCATCCCTCCTGGCACAGGTAAGGAAACAGATTTTCCTCCAGAGCCACCAGAAAGAGCTCTACTGGTTCTTTGATTTTAGCCCACTGTACCTGATTTTGGCAGTCTGACCTCCAGAATTGTAAGAGAAAAAAACTGTGTTATTTATTTATGCATTTATTTATTTTGAGAAGGGGGTCTCACTTTGTTGCTCAGGCTGGAGTGCAGTGGTACAGTCATAGCTTATTGCAACCTCGACCTCCTAGGCTCAAGCAACCCTCTTGCCTCAGCTTCCTGAGTAGCTAGTTCTACAGGTGTGCACCACCACGTGAGGCTAATTTTTTATTTTTGTAGAGATGAGGTCTTCCTATGTTTCCCAGGCTGGTCTTGAACTCCTGGGCCCAAGCAAAAATGTGTGTCATCTTAAGCCACTTGTTTATTATAATTTTTTTACAGCTGCCATAGGAAACTAATTACACTAATCTTAGCTCCAACAGATCGCACTTCTGTTAGTTTGTGCAAGAAAATCTTTCTAAGACTCTGCTTTCTGATCTATAAAATGGGAATAATAAAATGCCTATTTCATAGGGTTGTGGTGAGATTGAATAAGACCACTCATATAAAATGTTCAGCTTAGGACTTGGCATATGGAAAGGTTTTTGTTGGCTATGGATTTGGTCTAGACAAGAAGATTGCAACAGATTTTTCTTCTATTTGAAAACTCCGGTAGAGCACTAAGTAGCTCTTGGAATATATAAAGGATTGTGTATTTATTAGCTATTCTAGCTTTCTCTCAGGAGTGCTGACATCTATTTGTTTCTTCCTTTTTAACTGTCCTTTCTCAAGAGTGTTGACTGCAAGATGAGGCAAAGGCAAATAGGTGGAATAACTGGAGAATAACCCAGAATGAGACACAGAAAGAGGATTTTGAAAGGATTTCCTTGCCTATTATCTGCTTTCTGAGAGAGCCACACAAAACAGGTGAAAAGTTATACTATTTATAAAGATCTCCTGAGAGGGAGTGTCTACAGCTTTTCTGGTAATTTCCCTTGGTACAAATGAAACCTGTTCATTTTCAAGGAAAATTGCACTGATGGCTACACATTCTTTTTCTTTTTAAATAAAATATTGGAATGGTGTTGTTTTTGGAAGCTGCTTGTTACCCAATGTTGCCAAAAAGGTTTTATTATAATGAGGCTATGTGTTAGCTGTTCATGTTTCTAGTGCAGCATAGCTGTATAAATTTTTTCTTTTTCTTATCTCGGATTTCAGATTTCCCTATTTTTTTAAAAGTGTATAGTAATAATATTTACCAGTATTGTTCATCCCTACCACTCAGTTTTCTGCATATGCTTGTATTTTCTATTTCCTGCTGATTTAACTTCTGTACTCTGTTGTTTATAGGGACTTGTCATATTTGCATAGTTTAAGTGCTCTGTCGTTTCTATCACAAGCCCTAGTGGGTAGGTACAACATCTATGTAGTTCGCTTGTGTAGTGCTTGGTGGAACATCTTGTGTTTCATGATTGATTTATGATGATAGAGATGATACTATAAAATAAAGCCAAAGGAAACTTTTAACAATAGGGTCTAATCCTGTTTGGTCCTCATTGGATGTCTCTCCACTTGTAGGGGAAAAAACTGGAGAATAATGGTTGTGTCATCATGACAAACAACTGACATAGTTGAGGCCAGTCGAAGGCCCAGAGCAACCCTGGTCCTGTAGTCAGAGACGACTTATGAAAATAAATGAATCTGGCTCATTGACTTGAGTTCTTGTACCCAAACTGGAAAGGTGTGGTACCTGACACAGGAACAAAGTCTGTCTGAAATCAGCTGTCCGGGATGTCATTTTCTCTAGTGCAGAGACTCGATTGCCTAAATTGGTAGCAGAGGTGGATGTTTCCTAACATGATCTTCCTTGGCCAACAGTGACTGACATCTGAGGTAGGTCTTACCTCTACCTTGGGGGCTCACTGCTTCACTGGTACCATATAATGGTGGCAGTTTAACAGTAATCTTAGTAGGTCTTTTTGGACATTTTAAAGCCACTGCTCCAAAGCATAAGCCAGGCAAAAAAATTGATTTCCCTCATCCAGATGTCCCCATTGTCCAACATAGGTGAGACATTTTTTAAAAAGGCATCTCCAGAAGGCGATTTTTGATCCCTCTCCAGATAAGAGGTTCAAGCCAGCTTTTTCTTATTGTGGGACATCAAAATTTACTATATGACCTGAAATCCTCCCAGGTGATTTAATTCATTCATAGGTTCTAGGAGAGAAGATGAAACTTTCATTTATCCCCATGCTACACACTGACCAATACTGCTTCACCAAACTTTTATCAGTCTTGTTGCATTTTATCTGTTTACACGAGATCCATAGTGCTTTCTCATCCCCACAGTAAACACTGAATTCTGTTTATAACAGAAGGGCAGGATCTGTGGGGAGCATCCGCAAAGTGCTCCAGGCTCCTTTTTCCCTTTTCTCAGAGACACCAGGAATGTGCCTTTGCACTGTTTTGCCAGCATCCTTAAATCATGATTAATTTAAAGCCTTTTCTCTCCTTGGTGAGGCCTGACACAAGCAACTGCTTCTCTGTCACATTGATTTTTCTGTCCTTGCAGATTCAGAGCCAGGGTTGAGTCCTCCTCACAGGGCGAGTTCTCTGACAAGGAAGTTTTGCAACCTAATTTACAGCTGGAGCCAAGCTTGTCAGTGAGTGCCAGAGGGAAACTGTCGCAATCGGCAGGCAAAGTATGCATTTAATAGTATTTATCCAAGCCAGTTTGTGATTTCTTCACTCTCTCCAACAAATATGTTATTTGTAATAGCTATCTTCTCTCATCTAGGTGTTTGAAAAATGTCTCTAACGTGTGTGGGCTGGAATGCATTTTGTTTTTTCTGCAGGTATATTCATTTAACAAGGGGAGTCTCTGAGGAGCTATCAAAAACTGCTTGCCATCTTTCCAAATCATCTCTGTCTGCAGTGACCATGTCTTAATCCTGAAGGAAAACAAGGTAATCTTTTCAAATAAACATTTTCAAGGATGTTTAGAGGGAACCAAATTGCTGGCATGTAGAACCCCCTTCCAGTGCTTAAAAATAGATATATTGAGGGAGCAAAACTCCAGTGAGTTGGAGTGTTTGGAAGTATTTGATATGTTCAGATGACTAACAATAATAAGCTAAATTGCAAGCAATGATCTGAATTTGTGTGTGTGAATATGAGTGTGTATGTGTCAAAGAGACACTGAGTATCCTGTTTCTCAATGTTGTTGGTGGAAAATGAGGCGCAGAGGGGTTACACACTCCCAGTAGGTAAGCAAGTTGGTAAGGGACTTTGGCAATATTTGACCCTAAGCCCATTAGATTTCACTGGGCTAACCTGACTCTGGGGAGAGTAAATATGAGATGAAGAAACATTTGATCATTAAATAAAAAGGAAGCACTGAAAGAAAAGCAATTGGTTGCATAAAACTTATTAATGCAATACTTCTGCTCTCAAGGAAGTTGACATGCAATAGAAAGAGAACATGTAGAGTATGGATTGAATAAACCAAAAATTATGTAGATGATGTAATTACTATAATTAAATCAAAACAGATTGTGTATGCTGGAACTTATTGTATTACTCACAACATAATTTTGTATAACTTTTTTTTAAACCTGTCTCTTTTCCTTTCTGGTCTGTGGGTTTCTGAAGGACAAACCTCTTTTGGCAGTTGGGCCTGAAGCCCCAGAACTTATGCTGGTCCTGGCACCAATGAGGACAGAAATGATTGAGCACATGAATTTGGTATTGAGTTTGACATTATTGTGCTTCATTTTTTGTGGGCCTGGGATGTTTTCTACGTAATTCGTTTATCATTTATTGTTTAAGGTGTCTGCATACTCAAAATATCTTTTTAATGTCCTCCGCCTATACATGACATAAATACTTTATTAACTTTGTTTAAAAAATCTTATCACAGTGCCATCCAACAGGAATATAATGTGAGCCATGTGTAATTTAAGATTTACTAATAGCCATATTAAAAAAGGAAGAAGAAACTGGTGAAATTAATTTTTAATAATGTTTTATTTAGCTATATTCAAAACATTATCATTTTAACATGCAAATATAAATTTATTAATATCTCTTACATTATTTTTTCTAGTAACTTTTTAAAATCTAGTTGGTATTTTATATTTAATGCACATTTTAATTCAGCCCTCAAACTTAATTGCAGACCATTGTATTTCAGTGCTCAATGAGCACATGTGGCCACCGTGTCAGCACATTTCAATAGTTCGCAGGTCAATGTAGAGGACATTTTCCCCCCACTTAGCATTTCATCCCTGTTATTATGCCCACTGAGTGCCGTAGTATGGAAAAAACATGTGTAGCCTAGTAGCACAAATGTAAACTGGGGTGACTAACATCCTAGTTTGCCTGAAGTGGAGAAGTTTTCTGGGACAAAAGACTTGCAATGTTAAAACCAGGACAGTCCTGATAAAGCAGAATGGTTGGTATCCCGCAAGTAAACTATGTTGGTCCAAACAATATATCCCCTCCATCACTGTGATTTGTTTTGACCTAAAGCATAGAAACCTGGCTGCCAATTATGGGATTTTTTTGGGAAGCCACTGGGAGAAAGAACCTTACTTTCTGCTGTGGTTATTATCAGCTAACCTTTATATCATGTGGGGAGAACCTGTTTGAAAGTATTACCTACTTTGGAGGAAATCACAATGAGAAAGAAACTGAGTTTTGGTGACTTATTTTTCAGTTCTTGGACACTGTCGTGTCTGAACCTATCCTATTTTTGGACTTTTCAGTGAATTAATACATTCTTTACACCTGTCTCCATATTGTTTGTTTAAACAGTTAAGGTTGCATTTCCATCATGTGAAACTGGGATAGTTCTAACTAATAGGTTTAGAAAAAAAAAAAAAAAAGAGTACAAGAAATCTAGTTGGAATTCTTTAGGTTCATAAGAAACATAATCAGGCTGTCTATTTTATTTTAACACAGCCTCCTCAAGCTACTGTTGAGTATGTATGTGGTGCTGCCTAGGAACAGTAGGTATTTTTGTGGAGCAAGGGATTGCAGACGGTGAAGTAGCTGCATACTGGCAATAACCTATGAATCTGTGGGGATTCTGAAGAGTAGGAAGCAATGAGACCTGCTGTCTTTCCTTTATTGTCCCTTCCTCTATTGCTCTCAGACTGTTGTGCTTTGCTTGTGTTGTGGGTGTTTTGCTCTGCCATAATGGCTCTCATGATGAACTATAAGCTTCATTCTAGGTCCTGGGACAATCTACAGTTCATGAGATTCTCACCTATGGGTTAGGGACCCTTGGAGATTTGCAGAGTTGCAAAGTCAAGCACCAATTTATTCTTTCTTAATCAATGGATACTAAAAGTGCAATCATTAGTACATAGAAGGCTTGTAACAATTTTTGATGGTTTCAGAAGAAGATTGAGTAAGCATTCAATAGATAGATGCTACTGAGACACTAATATGTAGCTTGACATGGTTAAATGCCTTATGTGAAGCACTTAACAAGTGTTAAAACATCACATTTAAACTTCACAACAATCTTATTGCTGGCATTATTATTCTTATTGCTTTGAAATAAAAAAAAATAGGCTGGGCATGAAGGCTCATGTTTGTAACCCCAGCACTTTGGGAGGCTGAGGCAGGAGGATTACTTGAACCTAGGGGTTCAAGGTCAGTCTGGGAAGCATGGAGAGACCTCATCTCTATGAAAAGTTACAAATAAAAAAAAAATAGCTAGATGTGATGGTGTGTGCCTGTAGTCCTAGCTACTCGGGAGGCTGTGGTGGGAGAATCACTTGAGCTCAGAAATTCAAGGCTTTAATGAAGCCATTTCTACTCTAGCCTGAGTAACAGAGCAAGACCCTGCCTCAAAAGAAAAAAAATTGAATTATTACATTTTCTTTATTCGTTACTCATTTAACAAACTTCATTTTATACTATTATATTCTCAATGAATTTAACATCTAGTGGAGAAAGTAGGTGTACAAAAGTGATTATAATGCTGTGTGTGAGCATATTAACAAATACAGAGGGGAAGGAGAGGAAGGGTCTCCCATAGCAGATGTAGGTGCAGGGTACAGAGCATGGGATCACCAGAAAACTCCCTGGAAGCACGGTGCTTGAGCCAAACCTGACACATCAAAGTAGATCTGCACTATTGCAACAGTCTAGTACAAAATAACTTTTTCAGGAGAGAGTTTCATTATCTTGCAATGACAAATTTTAGTTTGTTTTTCTGCATCATCGTGACATAAGTGACAGGATTCTGATTTGTAAAGCAAAAGAGTTGGATTCTTAACCCTGAATTTACTACTAATGAGGCCCTTGGGCAAAATCTCTCAAACAGTTGGGGCTAGAGTTTTCTCTCCAACGAAGTAAGGTAGGATCAGCAATTCATTCATAACAGCATCTCTTCCAAACTCCACACCCTGAAGGCTTCAAGTTGTGCCCTTCATTTGCACCTTTATTGTCCTTCTAGTAAGAGTCATTACCTGGAAATCACAGTTCAGAAGCAAGGCATCACAGTTAGGTGTAAAGGGTGCTTAGCTTACAAAGAAAAAGCTTCGACTAATTTAATTTTTACCAATATCATAAAATCACCCCATGATAATTTCAGGGTGTCTTCACTCAAGTATAGCCTAGGACAGGTAGTGAAGATGTGGTAAATGATGTTAATGGCAGCAGAGAGACCGGGTTTCACTGAATGCCTTGATCAAAGCATTACTAGATTCATGGTTAAAGAGTAATGAGTTTCATCAGATATTTAGTAAATGTCCCTTAAAGTTCCTTTTACAAAAGCAAAACCAAACAACGCAACAACAAAACAATCCCACACATTTCTATAGATGTAATTTGAAACACATCAAGTTATTAATCTTGGAATCTGGATTTTCCAAGAAATCAGCTTTCTTGTTGTATTTAATTTTGTTGTATCTGAAAATGCATTTATGTATGTGTGCAGTTATGAGGTCAGGTAGAGAGGGAGAAAGAGACTACTGTCTGTTGTATTGTTTCCCAGTTTAGTGTAGATGTCAGGCTTGATGATAAAAAATGAGAAGATGGAAAGGAGATAACTATTTATTGACCTTACTGGTGCACTTAACCTCTCACACTGGAATTTTTTTTTTGGTTTATAAAAACCTCTTGATATAAATAAATAAATAAATTAATTAATTAATTAATTTGTGACTTAAATGAAAATATCTCATATTTTATGAACAAATGTGGCAGTGAATATGTACTATATATTAGTTAATGTTAACATACCTTAGTTTTAAGATCCGTAGAAGACTCCATTTGACCTTTACAATGTGGATGTTTTTCCTTACCACAGGTGGAAATTGATTTTTACTTCTCTGCAGCTAAGTATGTGGCAGTCTTGGCCACATGGTGACTCAGCAGAGGAGCCTATGTACTGGCTGTCCTGATGCTCTTCCTGATTCAACTGATTCTCTACACTTGATCTTAGCCAAAAGGCCGAGAAGCAATGATTCAACTGATTCTCAAAAGGACACCGCTGCAGGAATAAACCCACTTCTAAATATGGTACACTTGGAAAGTTGTCCAGCTCGCAATGTCAGAGTCACAGACTTCATGCACACTCATCTCAAGTCAATGTTATCTAACACATTTCCACTAATTATTGGATGACACTAGCAAGAAACTCTGATATTTTTCACCTAACCTTTGCTAATTTAAATGTGGCCAGCCCACCCTCATACTGCATTGTGATGGGGATATAAAAGCCAATGAAAGATATCATTAATTGTTAACAATAGTCATCACTGACAACTTCCTGTTGAATGTCACTGTTACTCCTGCTACTGCTACTACCACTACCATTTATGAAGCTGCCATTATTACTAACTCAAAGCTTTCACAGATACAGAAACAGGTGTATTTTTTGTTTTGTTTTGTTTTTTGTTTTTGTTTGAGAGAGAGTCTTACTCTGTCGGCCAGGCTGGAGTGCAGTGGCACAATCTCGGTTCACTGCAACGTCCGCCTCCCGGGTTCAAGCAATTCTTGTGCCTCAGCCTCCCGAGTAGCTGGGATTACAGGCATGTGCCACCATGCCTGGCTAATTTTTGTATTTTTAGTAGAGACGGGGTTTTACCATGTTGGCCAGGCTGGTCTCAAACTCCTGACTTCAGGTAATCCACCTGCCTAGGCCTCCCAAAGTGCTGGGATTACAGGCATGAGCCACCGTGCCTGGCCAGAAACAGGTGTATCTTTAAAGCATAACTTCCTCTCTGCATCTTGCTTCCCCTCTTTCTGTCCCTTCTCCTCTCCCACCCCCACAGTTTTGGCTTCACTTTGCTCAGGCTGTGACAACTGTCTTTAAGGGAGCTAACTTTTATCTGACTGTAAAGCCAAGCAAACTAATCTTGCAAAACTGTTCTGCCACATAGGTTGGTCTCTTCCTGTTTGGAATTCATCTATATATTAGCAACTTGGAAAGCCTTTGAGCTGAGCTAGTGCGCAAAGCTGCACCTTAGACTGTGGTTTACAGTGCTGCTTAATTGTCACAACGGTGTCACTCACCTTGTCCTCACCTAACCTGCAAGGTAGACATTTAGGCTGCTTTCTTCATCAGTGTAAGGTGAAATAGCAGATTGGTGTGTAAAAAGTGTGGCTTGGAGTGTGGTGGTATGAACTGTGGGATTATTTACTATAGGGTCTCATTGCAAATCCTTTAGAACACTTGCCTCTTACACCTTTTGTCTGTCTGCTCTTAAATATTTTCTGTCCTTCCAGCATGCTATCTCTACCTAACAGAAGGGGTCATATCTGTCTCAACTAAAAGTCATTCCATTTGGGTCATTCGTCTGGAGGCTGAGACAGTGGAAGAGTCAAACTTGCCCTGAGCTTCACTCAGCCAGTACCTGTCTCCTCTGCCCACTGTCCAGCAACTTACCCTGACCCATCCTTTAAGGAACTTGCCAAGAGAGAGCAGAATACTCTTTCTTTCTCTCTCTCTCTCTCTTTTTTTGTCTTTCATTTATTCTTTGGATATAAACTGCAGACCTACTGGTTGTAAAGCACTGAGTTTCACAGTGAGGGCAACAAAAGAATAGAACACCTGGTTCCTATTCTGAGAGGGTCACCTCTGTTCACACAACTTCTGCCCATCTGACTCAATCTACTAGGTAAGCGGCAGAGGGGCTTCCTTCCCCCCAAAACCTCTACTGAATTATAAAAGATGGGGAAATTGGAATTTAGCATTTTCAAAACCCCACCTCTTCTTGCAGATTTACTTTCTTTCACTTTCCCAAGCAGACTTCATGTGGCAACCAAACTATACTGTCAAGTACCCTCTGAACCCGCCTGCCCTTCCTGCCTGCATGCGTCATGGAAGAGCTGCCTTTGCCCCAGGACACTGCTCTGGCCCCATTACCATCACCATCACCAAGGAAAATACATCCCTTATATTTCAAAGCCCTAGTTCAAGCATGTCTTCCTTTCAGGCAGATAAAATTATTTTATGCTTAAAGATGCAGAAAAAATGACACACACACACACACACACACACACACTCATAAAACAACTTTAGAGTCTATAAGATCTCATTCTGCACTTGGGTGCTTACTAAAAATATCTCACTGGAAGAATAACTAGCCTTAGTTTCCACATCTGCAAAATGGAGATAACAATACTATAAAATGATTATGGCTTTTTGATGATGTAGTTTGCATAAATGGCCTAGCCAAGTACCCGGCACCCGTAGGTACTCTACAAATGCTAGTCAGCATCCCTTCTTGGAAATCTCCACGATTAAATGATATCTTATGCAGCTGTTTGCAGCTTATCTCCTGTTAGACTCCAAGCTGCTTAAGAATAGTGACTATGGGCTTATTCACATGGGGTTCCCTGCAGCCTTGCTTAGTGCTTTGTACCTAACAGATGCTAAGGCATATTGGATACAACAGTTTATTACTGTAAAAATACAAATGACCATAGGTCTGGAAAGAGCCAGGCTCAGCAGGGTACAAAGCAGGCCTGGGGGTACAAAGCCCAGGCTCTTTAGAACCTTTGCCTTAGCTCAGCAAGGTTCTCAAGGGTGGAGTAATTGCAGAGAGAAAATGGCAGGCTCCATGTGCAGGCTTATGTGATTTAGGGCCACAGACTGACCCTTCCTGGGGTCACCCACAAGATGAATCAGGAAAAGAGAGAACAGAGATGGGGCCAGCTGCTCCCAGATCCTTAGACATTCTAAATAAGGGGGAGAGACTCAGTCTTTTCTGATTAATCTTTGATGATTTATTCTTTGGACATCATTTAAAAGGAGCATTTTAAAGTAAATTAATTGAACTCTCATGACCTTTTACCCTACTAATATCATCAAAAGAAACTAGATCTTGAATTTTAAAAAGCGCTTGATTTATTTTCTGTGACTTACAAACTACTGAAGAACATCAGTTTTTATTTTTTGAAATTATGAAAACTCCAGCTTTTAAAGCAAGAAGTCAAAACAGCTCAGTTTTGAAACATCCCAATTTTAGCAAATGAGTATTGAGTGAAAGGTGTCATAGACATTGGTAAAAGATAAATATGTAATTTAATACACAGAAAACTGGGTAAGTATTGTCTTCAAAAAGCCAATTCCCCTTCTACCACACTGACCCTGATGGTATTCTTGAGTCCAAATGACTTGGGTAAATTCTGATTAGTATAAACCAGTTTTTTTTTTTTTTAATTATTTTACTTTAAGCTCTGGGATATATGTCCAGAACATGCAGGTTTGGTACTTAGGTATATATGTGCCATGGTGGTTTGCCACACCTTATCAACCTGTCATTTAGGTTTTAAGTCCCACATGCATTAGGTATTTGTCTTAACGCTCTCCCTCCCCTTGCTCCCAACCCCCTGACAGGTCCCAGTGTGTGATGTTCCCCTCCCTGTGTCCATGTGATCTCATTGTTCAACTCCCACTTATGAGTGAGAACATGTGGTGCTTGGTTTTGTGTTCCTGTGTTAGTTTGCTGAGAATGATGGTTTCCAGCTTCATCCATGTCCCTGCAAAGGACATGAACTCATTCTTTTTTATGGCTGCATAGTATTCCATGGTGTGTATGTGCCACATTTTCTTTACCCAGTCTATCATTGCTTGGCATTTGGGTTGGTCCCAAGTTTTTGCTATTGTAAATAGTCCTGCAATAAACATACGTGTGCATGTGTCTTTATAGTAGAATTTATAATCCTTTGGTATATACCCAATAATGGGATTGCTGGGTCAAATGGTATTTCTAAACCAGTGTTTTTTTGTTTGTTTGTTTGTTTTGTTTTTTTTAAAGTGCAGGAAGCAGTTTATTAATTAATTCTAAAATCAATTTAGTACTTTGAATCAGAATTTTTTAAATTAATTGATAGTATAAAGAATAAAATAGAATGGAAAATATCTGGAGGTACTGCACATAAGGATTCCAATTTCTATTTTCAGAACTTTCATTTGTAATTTATGTACGCATCTAACGTGTATTTACGTGTATACTGAGTTAGGGTGTACAACTTTTCCCTGAGGCTGTATCTCAAAAACTTTGGAAGCTGAAGAATTTGTCCAAATCTATGTTCCTTTTTGTTTGTAAATCACCTGATGATGGTGATATAGCTGTGGCCAACGAAATGTCAAGGGAAGTCTGCTGGGGAAGGTAGACGTAGGATAGGAGTATGGGAAAAAATTATTCACTCAAAAGCATGATGCACAGAGGAGCTATGATCTTTTCTTGTTTTCCTCACTGGATGTTGTCATGTCTGTATGTACTTCCTGGAACTGTGGCACCATCTTACAACCATGAAAGGAGCTCACATGAAATCATGTTGAACATAGCAGAGCGGGAAGATGGAAGGAATCCGAGATCTATGTTTGATGTTAAGCGATGATGTTAAAAACTTAAAAAACTCCAGAACTCTCTTACCCCTGGGCTTGTTATAATAAAAAGATAATAATCCTCTTAGTGTTTAAGGCACTTGAGTTTTGTTGTTGTCGCTTTGTTTTGTTTTTTTGGTTGCTGCCAGCTGAAAGCATCCTAAAGGATAAAGAAAGCTTATTTAAAGAAGAATGAGTAAATCAACCCCTGGCATATAGGCCTGGTGGAAGGAAAACTTGGAAAGGTACCTTGGGCCAGATCTTGAAGAATGTTGAATTTCAGTGCCAAACACTGACACTAATACAGTACAGGCTTACAGTTCTGAGCACAGACTCAGGGGCAGAGTATCTGGGCTTGAATTTCTGTATGCCACTTGTTAGCTGAGTTTCCCTGAGAAAGTAATCAATCAAAGCAGTATGTTAGTTAGACTACTAGTCTGTCTGGGGTAGATTGAAAAATGGGAGAAATTGAAGGCAGTAAGGCTAGTTAGAAGACTGTTGTGACAGTCAAGCGATGAGCAATGAATGTGCTCTGGAAGAAATTGAAGGCAGTAAAGCTAGTTCGAAGATTTTTGTGACAATCAAGTAATGAGCAATGAGTGTTTGTGCTCTGGAGATGGTGAAGGAAACACAAAGAAAGAGAAGGATGAAGGAGATTCTAGAAAGGTGGAGTTGACAACAGACTGGACGTGGCCATGGGGCTGGGGACGAATCAAGTCTAGCCAAATGATGTCAATGCTGGAAGTCTGGGTTGGGAAAGGGGTGATGTGTGTGGTGGGTGGGAGTAGGAAGCAGGCAGGGGAGGTCACTTCCCCCGGCCCCCTTGATGGGATGGTACTGTATTTACTTGTAGTTTCCTCATGCAATTCCCATGTTATGAATGATAAGCCAAAATTCAGAGACATTAGGGAGATTTTGAGTGATGTAATTACAAAGCCAACATTTAATCTCAGGAATTGTTTACTTTAACTCTCTCCTCTATCCCTAACGCTTCTTGAGAGCCACATACAAGAAGAAGAAATCGGGAAATCAGGAGAAGGTGACAAGTTTTAGGGAGAAGACAGAGGCTTCAAACGACTGGTTTATAACCCAGATGGGAAATACAGGAAGGGCAGTGTATAAGGCTTAAAGACAGGTCTTTCTAGAATTATTTTTTTTTTAATTGAAGAAAAATGTGGGTGAGAAAATGAAGGTTAGTATTAGAGGAGACAAAGGAGTATGGAGAATGGCTGGGAGGAAGAACAGGAAGGAGAGATGCAGTGAAATCCAAAGGAAGGGTGCACAGCAAGAGGTGAGGTTCGTTCCAGTGTCACCACTAGAGATTAAGGGAAGGAGTGGCTGAGAAAAGGACACTGAAGACAATAACAAGTGGATTTCTGGTAACTTTTAGGCAAAACATTTTATATGCTTGATAAACAAAAGTGCTAGATTGTAGGACCTAAGGATGAGTGGGGGGAGCTGTGAATACCACCAATATCTGGAAAATGTGTGTGAATTAATGAAAAGACACAGGAAAAGTAAATATCTGACAAAAAAGGGAAGATCTTTTCTACTTTGAAGTAGAAAGAATGATAGATAATTTGATGATGCTTTAGAAAAATAGAGTAAAAAAAGAGAGAGCCATAGTAGTGAGAGAGAAAGGGATTGAGAGGAGAGGAAGGGAGAGAGGGAGAGAGAGAGAGAGAGAGAAAGGAGAGAGTGCAAACGAGCCTTCACAGAAAGCAGGGAGGGGCTAGTTATGGCAAGAAGACGAGCGAATCAATTCACCTAGAGTAGGAAAATATTTGACAGCATTAGACAGAGAATGTGGAGATGATATGTATAAACTGCTTTGCAATACAGAAGAGGTGAGTAAAACCAATCATGAGTAGCATCTAGGGGTCAGGGGAATTACAGGTTGCAACTTCTTCCAACACTAGCAATTCCCTAAAGACTTCAGGAGAAGGGGAGGAGAAAATGGAAGGGATGTGAAGTTTACAACCAGTGACTCCAGAAAATGCTACAAGGGTATTCGAAAAGCAGCACTGAATGGAGTTGGAGTCTGTTCTCCTGTAGCCAAGTTCTGACTGCTGGTGAAGTGCCCAGCATTCTAGTCTTGACCCTGCTCTAACTTGTTGGAAAGTCTTAGGTCTTTTACCATAAAGATCTTAATTACTTTTATATATATAATGGGACATATTGGCTATGGCTTTTTAGGGTTTTTCTGTGGAAATTCAAAAAGATGACTTGTGATGATGATGATGATGATGATGAAGTTGATGACCATGACACAATGACAATAACCATGATGACTATGATAAACATAGTAAGATTAGGTTGGTGCAAAAGTAATTGGAGCTTTTGCCATTTAGAAGCAATGGCAAAAACCACAATTACTTTTGCACCAACATAGTAGTAACAGCAACAGCATCTATTACAATCGATCTATTACTATTACAGCATCTATTACTATAGTCTTTTCCTTCCTTCCTTCCTTCCCTCCTTTCCTTTCCTTTCCTTTTTTCTTTCCTGTCTTTCTTTCTTGCTTGCTTGCTTTCCTTCTTTCTTTCTTTCTGTTTTGAGATGAAATCTCGCTTTGCTGCCCACCCAGGTTAGAGTGCAGTGGTGCGATCTTGGCTCACTGCAACCTCTGCCTCCTGGGTTCAAACAATTCTCATGCCTTAGCCTCCTGTGTAGCTAGGATTACAGGTGTGTACCACCATACTCAGCTAATTTTTTGTATTTTTAGTAGAGACAGGGTTTTGCCATGTTGGCCAAGCTGATCTCAAATTTCTGGCCTCAATTGATCTGCCCACCTCAGCCTCCCAAAGTGCTGGGATTACAGGGTTACTATAGTTTTTCTATGGTGGGCCAGATACTGTTCTAGTCTTCTACATACATTAACTTATTTAACCTTCCCATCAGTTCTATGAGGTTCCTGTAGTTTTTCCCCCTGGTTTACAGAAGAAACTTGGGTATCTTGAATTCAATTGCCTAAGTTTAACTACTACTAAGTGACAAAGCCAGGACTATAAGTAGCCTGGCTTCAGATTAAAAATTTAGAAAATGTTAAGCCTTATATCTTGCAAGATATTATTATAAAAGAAACAAGACATGGTCTGAACCATTTTAATCAGAGAATGTATTTTGAATGTAATTTTTAAATTATATCATGTACCTCTTTTCTAATCCCACTAGGTTCTTAATGACATTGTGTCTCCATAAATCCCCCCACCCTGCCCCCACTTGAAAAACAGTGCCTTCCATCTTCATGTAGCTTCCTAAGGAAGATGAACCTTTAATGTTGTTTTTTGGTATTTATTTCTGTGAGCAGCAGCATGTGTCTCCTCTGATGGATTACTCCTAAGAAACAGAGATGGCAACTGCTGCCGCAAGCTTCCTGGCCGACCCTGATCCAATCGGTATATCAAAAAAGATGATTGAATTAAGAGGAATATAGCTAGTTAAAGGTTAGAGAAACATCTTCACCATATCATACAAATGTGGAATCAAATTTTGAATGTGTTTCCTTAGAGTATGACTTCTGCCTCAAGTAGTCCCATGCTAGATTCCAAACAAATTGAATTGGGTAGGTGATATTTTATATCAAGAGTTGTACTGCACCCACAAGAGATTCCAGACTGCTAATCAAAGGCTTACTAGGCTGTTCTAAACAGTCCACAGTGCTTAGTAGGAAACCATTGCTCTCAGGACTGTAACAGCTTGTAGAAGACTATTTGCATTATCTTGCAATTCAGTTGGCTGAGTGTGGAATTGCTGTAGCTACCTGGAATTTGATCAAAAAAAGTTTAAAGAAATTAAGTCAGGGTGAAATCCTCTTTTAGCATCATGAAAACAACAACCCAAACAGGACTTAGTCTCCATGTCGTGTCTGCCTTCCTATGGGGTAGTTGGGGGCTGTGCTGCATTGACACAAGGCAAATTTGGAGCTGGTCATGCTAGAGTCAACAGATGATAAGCCAGTGCTCTGCATTCCTGGTTTTTGTAACTCTTGTAATGTGTTGTCAGATTTTATTTTTTTGTCCAGTTTCTCCACATCCTATCATATACAGCCACAATCTCAGATAAATGTTCTATGTGGTGAACAATAGCACTTTTAGACTCTGAAAAGGTCCACTTTCTCTTTTTAACCTTGTCCATGTTAGAGAAGGTTCAGTACAAAAAAGAAGTTATTGATTGAGAGCCACAGGAACTAGCGGGTAAATAGTAAAAACAGTGTGGAATCCATGCAACAAGCCCAGCCAGGTAGACATCAGCCCCCACAGCAGTCTCAGGGATGGGTTGGCTACCTCATGCTGTGTCTTCAGTGGTAGGACAATTCAGGCCTGCATGAAAGAAAGTCAATGGCAATGTCAAAGGGCCTTAGCCATCTGAAAACACAGCCCTGATTCCTAACACAGCGGCAATGCTCCCTTCTGGTTAGGTTTCAGCTTGCTTCTAACACACGTTTGTTTAAGATCTAATTGCCATACTTTTCTCCTAGGGTCTACTCCACTTTTCGTCAAGAAATGAAATATTACATCAGACTTTTTATTTAAAAAAAGGATCTCTAGTGTTAGGCTACAAACAACATACCAGGGACTTGATTCTGGCTCTCTGAGATCCTACTCAGAATTGATGAGAACGCTGTGGTCTTGCTCTTCTGAATATTTCAGGGGTCTGCTTACTTTACTTACAAAATCCACTTGAAGATGTGTGCAAATCAAATTTTATTTTAATGAATCGAACAGGATCTTACTTTTTTTAAACTAACATTTTCACTAATTTAGGAATGAGTATTATGGTGAACCAGGTTTCAAATTTGTTCATTAATATCAATTACTTAAATACCATCTTCACAATTTTTGGCATATCATCATACTAGTCTACTGATATTTACATAATTTTAAATGATTCTTTTCATAAATAAAATTACATTTTTATTGAACCTTATGTTAAGGGTTATAGTCCTGAATTCATAGATTTAATGCGATACATGTATGTATATATATATGTATATACACAAATATATGTAGTATTTTTCTGAATACACATTATAGTAAAGATGGAGCTATCACAATAGAGATCATATTCATTCAGCTCTCTTGTAAAATCATCCTGTATTCTAGCAGTGCTAAACATCTTACCATCTTTGGAGAACTCTGGCTTATGTGTTAAGATCTTTTTTTTTTTTCCATATATTTCTAAAAGATACCACCTAGAAACTTACACTTTTTTTCTCTTCTATTTTTATTTAAATTTATCTCACAACCTTTAGAACACATATATTTACTCTTTGACTAGTCACTTTCTTCTTTTTTTAACTCTTAGACTTCCATGATAAGAAACTACAGTACAGCTTTTGCCAAAATCTGCCACGTCTTAAGGATGTCTAACATTGCCTTCAAGTACAGTTAACGTTCATAAAAACATACAGAAAGCCATCTTTATTACTATCACTGAATTTTCATATCCACAGACTGGAAATGGCATCTGCGATTCATATTTAACCTGCAAGTGCTGCTACTGTGAACCATTTGCTGAGCATTTCTTCTTGTAGGGAGCTGAAATCCTAAGGTTGTTAGAATGATTTCTTCCCCATGAACAATTCTACAAAACCATCTCACATCTCCCCCCAGCATAGTAGGTAGGAACACAGGTTTTTGAGTTAGACCTGGGTTTGAATCCTGTCTTAAATCTTTGGTAGTTTTATAACCTTCTGCAATTATATAACCTCATGCAGCCTCAGTGTCCTCATTTGAAAGTCAGATTACATAGTTAAAGTGCTTAGAACAGTCCCAGGCATGAAATAAATGTTAAATTAATATTGTCTATTATAATGATCAAGTTAGAGGTACTTTCCAGAAATGTGATAGGAAGGAAGCAAGGGGTGAAGTAGGGGGACTTTTCTCTTTCTTGAAAATAAAAGCAGCATAGAATCAGGAAGATGAGGACAATTTGAAACAAACATGAGCTTATAACCTATGCTGCCCTGGGACTATTATCTGCTCTAAATATTAAAAAAAATTTTTTTGGTCTAGAATTATTTTCTTAGATGTTAGGTAGTTTTATATATGGAATTCACTTGGTATGCAATCTATATTCATGCTCTGAAAGTCAAACTAGGTTTGCTTTATAATATATTCTGAAATTTGCATTCTATTCTACCCTGTCTAGACTTCTACAACTAATAGGCCAAAAGAGTTGAAGTTGTGACTGAAAGCACTTCCTTGTCTCCATGTACTGTACTCCAGACCTTAGATCCAGAAAAGAGATGCTTAATACAGTTCCAGTCCTGAAATGAACCCTCTAAAATTTTCCAGACTTATTTTTGTTAGACTAAAATCTGAAACAAACACGTATTTGTACAATGTATGGTGCCTTTTTTCCTAATACCCTAGTATCTGTACTTTTCAAGATCAGTACTATTACAATTTGAATTCCCTGTAAAGGCAGAGGATTGTCTTGGTTATCAATGCCTTCTTGGTCTTTCAAAATTATTAATTGAATTGTGGCACTTCCCCGATTAAAATTCTTTACTGACTTCCCATTACATTGGGTAAAAAACAAACTGTCCCCATAGCCTTTAGGGACCTGCAGAAGCTGGACTCATTCTCATTGGAGGCCACTGTCTCGATTCCCTGGTCTCCATCCAGAAGGGCCTCTTTCAGCTTTTGCAAACTCTTTCCCACCTTGGGCTCTTCGCACATACTGGTCCCTAAATTTGTAACTTCTTTTTAGATTTATTTATTTGTTTATTTGTTTATTATTTTTTGAGATGGAGTCTTGCCCTGTCACCCAGGCTGAAGTGCAGTGGTGCTATCTCTGCTCACTGCAACCTCCGCCTCCTGGGTTCAAGTGATCCTCCCGCCTCAGCCTCCTGAGTACCTGGTACTACAGGCGCACACCACCACACCCAGCTAATTTTTGTATTTTTAGTAGAGACAGGACTTTGCCATGTTGGCCAGGCTGTCTCAAACGCCTAGCCTCATGAGATCCGCCTGCCTCAGCCTCCCAAAGCCTGGGATTACAGGCATGAGCCAACGTGCCTGGCCCAACTTCCTCTTATTTAAAATGTCACATCCTCCCCTTTGCCTTCCCTAATCATCTTATTTAAATAACTCCCTTCTTTTCTGCCACAAACCCCATGCTGATTTTCTATATCTCAACAGTCACTCAGTTTCCTTAGTAATTCTTATAGTTTATTTATTCTCTTTCTAATTGTCTGTCTTTTCTAAATGATGAGCTCTATGAGGTCAGGGTCACATGCCTGTGATAACCCTGCAGGGTACATGGCATGTGGCAGATATCCAACAACTATATGTTGAATGAATATGTGAGCTTGGGGAGAAACAATGATAAATGTTCCACATATTTATCACCATTGGTATAGAGAACAGAAAGAGACAAAATTGAAGATTTTGAATCCAGATTACAGAAGGGCTCATTAAGGGTATCCTGTAGTAGGTAATGATCAGTGTTTTTGAGCAGGAGACTGATGCCATTTGGTTTGTGTTTAGAAGGATTATCTGGCAAAAAAAAAAAAAAAAAAAAATAGCAGACTTGATTGTACTAGAAAAATAGCCCCAGGGAGACCAGTAACAGTATTACCTGGAAAAGACTGGAAGTAAGAGAAGGGTTTTGGATAAGGAAGAGTGTTGATTGAAAACCTTAATAAACTAAAGCAAATAGTCAAGAGAAAACACATTTTTTTCTTTTGGTGGCTAATTCATTCAAAATATATGTTTCGAGGTTATTGGGGAAGAGGGTATAAAAACATTATTCTCCATCACAACTCTCCAACCCAAAGAGGTTACTTTCAAAGATAGAGCTGGATCTAGTATAGCATCATTGCAGTGTTTTTGTTCAATAAGTCTTCTGGTCATGTCTAGGATGAGAAAGTTAAACAGTTGTTTGGTTAGTTTGTTTCCAGATATTTTAAAATCTCCCTATACAGAGCTATATTAATTGGCACGTATTTGATTTTTTTTTTTTTTTTTTTTTTTAATGGAGCACTGTGGAAGAGAAAGGCTGGGTTTCATTCCTTTGGGAAAAGCTGTCTCAGTTTGTGGAACAAGAATTTTGAGTCAGAACTTTTAGGCTTAAGTCCTGGCACTGCACCAGCTGGATAAAATTAGGCCAGTCATCTAACCCCTAAGCACTCTGTTTTCTGATCTATAAAATGGAAATGAATTATACCCTAACTCACAGTAAATACTTTTAAACTGTAGGCTGCTCTACAAATTCTAGTGACCTGGATTCAAGACACTCTATATCTTCACCTTGCCCAAATAGCTATATATTAACATTTTAATTTATATTATACCCAGAAATTAGCAGAAGGGGATTGACAAATATGAGAAATGGAGAAACTAGAAACGCCAACCAGGCGAGTGTATCCAAGGGATGGTGGACTAGTAGTGGATAACTTGTGGGCTGTACACCTACCTTTACACTTAAAATCATCAGGGAATTGCTGGTACTGATACCAAATTACCAAATATTGTTTTTGTTTTGTTTGTTGTTATTGGTTTTTTTTTTTTTTTTTTTGGTGAATTTGTGAGAGTATGGTAGGTGGCGAAGAAGGGAATTTTCATATTATGTCATCATTGTTACCAACAACAATATTATCAGTATAAGGCAATGGTTTCTAAACTCTCCTGAGTCAAGAAATTTTTGGAGTCTCTGATGAGAGAGATGGACTCTAGGAAAATTTTCATGTACATCTTTCCCCCACCCCAACTATTTTGATTATAAATCAAAGGATTCACAGACTACCTGAAGCCTCTCTAGAGACCAAGCAATCCAATGGACCTCAGGTTAAGAGACCTGGCTATAAAGTAGCAAGTGAATTTTCTGTTTACAGAGTCTGTTTTGCTTTTCTTTGTTTGTTTTTGTTTTATTTTAAGTGGGATTGTTGTCATGGGTCAAAAAAGTCATAAAGGGTCTGGCATTGTGCTAGGAATGTCCTCAAACCTTAATGCTTCTAGTCATTTTAGTAATACTGCTGGGTAAGGGAGTTTGTTGTTGCTTATATAAAACTGGTAAGAAGAAAGACTCCTGGCCAGGCGCAGTGGCTCACACCCATAATCCCAGCACTTTGGGAGGCTGAGGGTGGTGCATCACTTGAGGCCAGTAGATCAAGACCAGCCTGGGCAACACGGCAAAACCCTGTCTCTACTAAAAATACAAAAATTAGCCAGGCATGGTGGTGCGTGCCTGTAGTCCCAACTACTCCAGAGGCTGAGGCATGAGAATCGCTTACACCCAGGAGGTGGAGGTTGCAGTGAGCCGAGATTGCACCACTGCACTCCAGCCTGGGCAACAGAGCAAGATTCTGTCTCAAAAAAAAAAAAAAACAAAAAAAACAAAAAAAAAAAACAAAAAAAAAAACGGCTCCCAGGTTTTAGTAGTCACTATATACTCTGTTGGTTACTACAACACAGATTGTAAATATCTTCTAACATTCTGTCTCTTAGGAATTTTACTCTCTCAAAAAATAGACTGTTCAATGTTTTTAAACCATGTTTAATTCACAAATACAAAAAACGTACATGCTGATCACTGTGTATGTTTAGGGCTCCCAAATCTACAGTTCTATCTTAAGTTCTTTATAATAATGTCAGACGGTTCTTCTGACATTATTACAAAGGTCTGCTGAAAAAATCCGCCTGGATATTCCAATAGACTACTTACTCATAAAATATCCAAAAATGAGTCAGTCTCCTCCATCATCATATTCCAGGAGTCTGCTCCATCTCCAGGCTCCCTCTGTTGGTAATTGGCACCATTAGCCTCTTGCTGGCCACCAGGCCAGGCTCTGCCAATGCTTCAGAGCTCTGCACAGGTTTCACCCCTTCTGATGTTATTATACTTCCCTGGCACTGTGACACCTTTCTTATCTCATTTGGAGGAGAGTGAGGGCTGGCGAGAGAAAATCCAAACCACTGTTATTTTTGAATTGTTGCTATTATTACTACCATTATTATTAGTTTTCAAACAAGCACATTTGTGGTGATCTTCTTAGCATTCTAATATCTTCCTATTGAAATGAATGCAAAATTGAAACTCCTTATCACAACCTACTTGATCCCATAGGATTTGGACCCTGTTTCTAAGATTATCTTTTGTCCCTTACCAGCTTCCAGCCACAGAGGCCTTATTCTTTTCTTTTCTTTTCTCTTTTCTTTCCTTTCCTTTCCTTTCCTTCTTTTCTTTACTTTTCTTTTCTTGCTTGCTCTGTCACCCAGGCTGGAGTGCACTGGCATGATCTTGGCTCACTGCAATCTCTGCCTCCCAGGGTCAAACAATTTTCCTGCCTCAGCCTCCCGAGTAGTTGGGATTACAGGCATGTGCCACCACGCCCAGTTAATTTTTGTATTTTTAGTAGAGATGGGGTTTCACCATGTTGGCCAGGCTGGTCTCGAACTTTTGACCTCAGGTTATCTGCACACCTCGGCCTCTTAAAGGGCTGAGATTACAGGAGTGAGCCACCGTGCCCGGCCAAGTGAAGGTTTCATTAGGGAACCATTGACAACTCAATGCCTTTCACCACAGAGCTAAATTTATCTTTTAGGGGATAAATGCACTGCTCAGCCCCATCCTGGAGGGGCTCACTCAGCAGAGAGGAGGAATGATCACTCCTAGGATACTCTCTCATCTAGGATAACTTACAATGTATCAGAGCACCCCTGAACCCAAGGCATGTGTATGTGTATATATATTTTTTAAGACAAAGAGTTTTGCTATTAAAGTATTCAACCTGGAAGAACAAGAAAAAGCCTAAGTTTCACTGAGATGAGACAAATTTCCAAAAATGTTCTTTTCTAGGTCATTAGAATTTCCATTTCTGACCTATAAAAGAGGTGCATATATCTATATTTTCTCTTGTATCATTTATAATAATAGCTGTTTAACTTTGATAACACCTGTAATCAATTTTCAGGATGCAAGCTATTTCTAGAACATTAAAAAAACTGATATTCTTTAAATAAACTAAGTGCATAAATGGTTCAAGTGCTAAAATTCAAGGCTTCTATGTGTATGATGCATACTGATATTTGAAGCAATTTTACAGAAGTGCATATAATTGAAAAAGTAGCTTTATTTGGGTAAAATCAAAGTATTTATTAGTAAAGTCCTCTTAAATGCTCATATAAAAAGTAACTATAGACACATAAAATATCATTATTGTTATTATCATCATTAATAGCTAGCCTGGTACTTTAATGATTTTCTTGAAGTTTCCTTATTTGAATTAACTTGTTGGTCTTGATTGCAATTAACATTACAGACTGCTGAGTCATGCTAATTCTCAGAACAAAAAGAAAGCAAACCAAGCAACATCAAACCAAAGAGCTCTTTAAGAGGATCAAATTTTCCATGCCTCAAGGATAATTTCATATTTGTTTATACATATACCCTTTTATATCAATTAATATCCTAGAAGTAAAGATTGTTCATATCAGAGTAAAACAGAAATTTTGCTAGCTCTCATGATACAAGATAACTCTAGGTATTTGTAGGTAATGGCCATGAGTTTAGACTGATTTAAATTGAATTTCAGCAAATTATGCCCAAAGAAATGATATGATCTTATTCAAAGTCAGAAAACTCAGTGACTCTGAAATTGGTTCTTTGGAGTAGATCCATATGGTCAGTTAATACAATTTGATGCTTATCTGGTTGGTGTTCTGGAAAACAAAGTTGGTTTTTCTGCAAAGAAAAAAACAAATTCCAAAGAGTCACATAGTTTTTTATTTTCATTACATGTTGACATTTTGCTCCATTTTCTATCTTTTTGTGGGCATACACATTTTGAATGATGACACGGTCAGATAAAGTGATAGTTTCCCTGAAAGAATGATTCCACCTCCAAGGGAAAAATTCAACTCAGAAAGAAAGGAAATGGTCAACAATATATAGCAGAAAATACCACTTTCAAAGCTAAATTCTTAGTTACTAAAAAAAAGAAAAAGAAAAAAATCCTATTAGTTTCACAACGATAAGATTAGTTTAGGAGAAGTATCATGTAATTGCAGAAGATATTACAAGCTATTTTTCATGAGTGTCCTTGTTAACAGGTCTTGGATGGATGATTTTACTACTCAGATGCTGAATTACAAGTCTCAGCAACTGAAACTCAATAGAAAAAAAAACTCACGTGGAGTGGAGCACATTAATAAAATAAAACTGCAGATTAAATCATGTTTTAGGTGGGAAAAAACATCTTTTATTTAAAAACTGTTTTATAAAACTTTCAAAAATTGATAATTTAAGAATCCAGGGCTGGGCTCAGTGGTTCATGCCTGTAATCCCAGAACTTTGGGAGGCTGAGGCAGGCAGATCACTTGAGGTTGAGTTTGAGACCAGCCTGGCCAACATGGTGAAACCCGGTCTCTATTAAAAATATAAAAATTAGCCAGGCGTGGTGGCAAGCGCCTATAATCCCGGCTACTCGGGAGGCTGAGGCAGGAGAATTGCATGAAGCTGGGAGGCGGAGATTGCAGTGAGCCAAGAGTGTGCCACCAGACTCCAGCCTGGTCAACAAGAGCGAAACTGTCTCACAAAAAAAAAAAAAAAAAAAAAAGAATCCAAAAGTATTTAAGGATCATTATTTAAATAATAAATTTGATGTGTAAGACTGTAGATCTAAATGGCAGTGCTTTGTAAATTGAAATATTCTGATGTATTCTTCAGAGCTTGCAAGTTCTATGAGAACTTATTAGTTTTTTCATTTTACTGAATTAAAAAATGTACATGTTTCTTACGCCAGATCACCAAAGATTGCTATATGGATTCAGGGTCTCTATTTGTGTTACTGTTGCATCAATGCTGAGAGATCATCAAAGAAGTTAGTACTTAACTCCTAATATCCTTGGCCCAAACTAATGTCAAAATATTTGTCCTAAGGTAGCCATTGAGATGAGTTCCTTTTGCCAGTATAATGATAGAACTTTTTGTTTGCAACAAGAATGTGCAACGGAAAAACTATTTAATTGACCAAGACTTTAATTCCTTATTTAAAAATTTAGACTTTGGTCTGACACCATAAAAATGAATTTGGGAACTTACTGTTATGGAGTAATGAAGAAAATTTAGGAGTGGATTTACTATGTAAATAAATAAACTATTTGTGGTATGTGAAGGCCAAATGATATTATGGAGATGGTTTTATCATAATTGGTTAGAGAGAAGTAGTGGGACTTTGGGGCCTTCCCTTGTCACAGAGAAGTGCAAACACACTGAAGTGAAAAGAGCCCCACCCAAAGCAGGAGGCAGGATACTCATGATATGCAGGCTATGAGGAAATGTCAGTTGGGGATCTTGCCTTTATATGTGTAACAAGGCATTTTTAAAAAGTGCAACAGCAATAAATGCAAAAGTAAATATAAGAATTTTTTAATTTAGTGATTTTTTTACATTATTAAATTTTGGGATTCATTATTGAATTTTATTGATAATGGACTGATGAAAAATTAGTTAATTATCAAACTTTTCTGTTTTGAAACTGATTGTACAACACTGAAGTTTGAGGAAAAGTGATACAGGGAAATTCAATTTAATTTAGATTCACTCTTGGACAAACTGTAAAAGTTGCTTGAAATATACAAATAAGCAAACCTAGATTTCTTCTCTCCCTCCTCCCTCCCTCCCTCCCTTCCTTCTTCTCCCTTCTTTTCTCTCTCTTTTTCTATTTGCCCCTCCTCCACTTTCTTTTTCTCCTCCCCGTATCCTCTTCTGAAAGTTGAGAATGGCAAGATAACAACCCCATTTTAAATTCTGGATAATACAGATGCTTATTTAGCAAGCTAAGAAAATTTCTAACACAAATGTAAAATACATTTTATTTTTTCTTATATGTTCTGATTTAAAGGATCAAGAATGCTGTGAGTTTCAGGACATTTGGGCCACCTTATTTTTTCGCTGACTTAGATCTTAGTTATGTGAAGACACAGTAAATTGATATGCAATTACAGTTCATTACTCTTCAAAGATCCAGATTTTCCTGCAATAACTTCCACTGAAGACTTAACTCTTTAAAGAGCTAAATTTAGCTCAATGAATAATGTTTGAGAATACACTGTGTACAAGACACTGTACTAGAACCCTGGGATAACAAGAAAAACCAGAGGTTGTTTCAGCCACTGAGCAACTTAAAATCTGATATGGAGGCTACATATATTTTCCATTAAAATTTCAAAACATATATTTGTATGTTTAATGTTATGCTACTATTGTTTTATCACTTAAAATGTTTTCAGTCTTTTTTACTAGAGTTCAGAGCTTATGAGAGATACATTTCTATTTTACTAGTTTCACAGCATGAGAGACGTGGCTTCATTATTACATATGATATTTTTTGAAAGGTGAATATATCCTCAGACTGGGACTCCTGGATAAAGTGAAAGTAAAATAATTAAAAAGTAAACCTATGATGAAAGAGGTTTGAATTCAACACAGAATTATTAGCTAGTGTTGAATGACAAATGATAACAACGTTGCGTCCTTTCCAGGGCTGGTGGCAGGAGGTAGGACAGTGCGGAGCCCAGGTGAGACCATTAAAGGTCCAGGCAACCGTGGGTGGTGAGAGTCACTCTAGAGGTTTTCCTGAAACTTCTTTCATCTCTGCATTAAAAATAAATAAGTAAACCCAAATGGCACAGATGTAAAAAAAATTAAAAGAATAAAAACTATAAATAAAACCTTAAAATAACATGGTCTTTAATTATTTTACTTTGATTTTAAAGAAGGACGCTCAATATTCATGGAAAGGGGAGTATATAACTCACATTTAACACATGATACTGTAAAATGGTTATTTCAGAGGCACAAAACCAAATCAAACCAAAGAACCACTTTCCTGCTACTTTTACTTATGCATGTGATAGAATGTGAAGAAGGGCAAGGACATTTGTAGGGCAGAGTGAAAGTAATGGGCCTACCATACCATATTCTCTTTTTTCTTTTCCTTCCTTCCTTCCTTTTTCTTTCTTTCTTTCTTTCTTTCTTTCTTTCTTTCTTCTTTCTTTTTTGACACAGTCTCCCTATGTCACCCAGGCTGGAGTGCAGTGGTGGAATTATGGCAATCTTGAACTCTTGCCTCAGCCTCCCTAGTAGCTGGGACTACAGGCATGCACCACCATGCCTAGCTAATGTTTCTGTTGGATTGTTTTTGTTTTTGTAGAGGTGGGGTCTCATTATGTTGCCCAAGCTGGACTTGAAGTCCTTGGCTCCAGTGATCTTCCTTCCTCAGGCTCCTGAAATGCTGGGAGTATAGGTGTGAGCCACCATACCCAGCCCTGTACAATTTTTAGATTTGAATTTGTAAAGTGTGTCTTGATGGATACCAGCATCATGAGAAAAAAGTCTGGGTTCAAATAAGTTTGAAAAACTTTGGGCTCAAGAAAGCTAAGCAGACTTGTTTACTGCAGGACTTCTTTGAGACTTTAACACGTGGCTGTGTGGTGTAATTCCCACAGTGTAATTCCCGCAGTGTAATTCTCCTAGAGGTGACCATGTTGTGCAGCATCCCAGAAATGCTTTTGGAAGAGCCCACAGGGAAATCGGGTCCTTGGGACAAGTTTTAGAAAATCGTATGCTAGTATTGAGCATATGAGAAATGCAATTATTGTTCTTTATTTTGAAAGAAATGAATGTATCTCCTATGGGTTCATCATGGAGCTGAACACTTGACACGTGTTGCCTCATTCTATCCTAATCTCTGTGATGTAAGTGATATTATTCTTTCCCTGCCACATCCCTCTCTACTCTCCCCTTCCCAACTTGTAGATTAGAAACCTGAGGATCTGAGAGGGTAAATATATTGTCTTAGTAAACTGGTAAGATTTAGGGTGGCATTAAAATTACTCATAGCTTCTTAAAAGCTTGAATATTGGAAAACTTGAATTGCAATTGAAGACAAGGTGAATGTGAAATGGATTTAATCACATACTTGGGTCATTGCTTAATTCAAGGGACACCGCTGTGTGAGACTTTGGTAGTGCAGTGAAGATGTGACTCCTTCTTAGGAACTTAAAGTGTGGTAGGAAAGGCAAACCAGACACTTAAACAACTCATTTCAATGAAATATGGTAAGTGATTAAGAAAAGCACACAAATCTCTTTGCGTTGGGTCGTGATATTCTCTCTCCTTGAAGTCTATAGTGAACCAGAGTTCTCATTCCCACCCTTCACACACCATGAGCATCAAGACTGAATTCCAATGCATGCTCCCTGTGAAACATTTTCTGGGAACCCCAGTCTCCTTCCTTGTTTAGAATTAATTGCCCTCTACACTATGCTTCCAAGGCACTTTCATTTTCCTCCATCAAAACTCTTATTTTCAAAGTCTGAATTGCATTATAATTTGCGGTCTATCTGTTTTATCTTCCTCCCAAATTGGGAGTCTCTTTGGAGATGACATTGTCTTAGATGTTCTTATATCCGCCACTAGCCAAACTAGTGCTTTGCTGAAATACAGTAGGTCCTCATTACATGTTTTTGTTTGTTTGGTTGGCTGCTTCTTTGTTTTTGAAATAAAATAAACTTTTTTTTAAAGTTAAATTGTACCATTGTTTTTTTGAATCATTAATAACCTGAACTGTAGCATCAATAAAATGTTTTGAGGCAAAAAAGAGTAAATGTCCTTTCAGGACTTTTATTTATTTATTTATTTAATCTTCCATTGTTTCATCATTAAGTTACATAATTCACGGAAAAGTCAGAAGGAGTAAGGCATAAACTATCTGGATCATTAGAAAACCCATAAAAGTCTTCTCATGAACTAATAATCTAGTTAGTTTCCCAGGCGATTTTAGCAATTACAGAGATAAAATGGAATATTAGAAGGAAGTTCCCTATAAGCCGTTAGCACATGGCTTTTTAGAGATCTTTAGTGGTAGAAAGTTCCAGGACCATCTAAGTCAAGCCTGGGGAAAATAGGATTTTTAGTCAGCAATAATTACATCATGAAGAATATGAGTATTTACTTTTGTCAAATTTTGTCCAGACTTTGTAAGATATTTAAATATATAAAAAGACCATCATTATCTGTTTATGATTTGAAATTAGTTGGTTAATTAATAAAAAGGAGTTGAAGTAGAGTCATGGCCATACTACATAAAATTCTTGAACATTTAGGGTAGATGGAAAGCCTAATTATTTGTTCTTAAATGATCAGTTTTTGAAGTGTAAATCTGTTATAAATCTCATATGTTTTAGTTTTTAAAACTGGTTGACAAACAACTAAATAAACTAAATATCTCAGGGTAGTTACAGCAATAAATATATACATTTAGACATATAATCAAATATATATAAATATATAATCAGTCCCTTTAAAAAAAATAGGGACTGGAAAGGTTTGTCAAACCTGTAACCATTTTGGATTTACTTAAGCCAAATTTTAAATCTAGATATTCTCTGAGAGAATGATTTAAAGCAGGGATAAGCAGTTTTTCTGTGAAGAGTCAGATATTAGATACAGGCTTTGTAGACCACATAGTCTCTAGAGCAGCTATTTAACTCTGCCATTATAACAAATGGACAACCAGAAATTAGAAGTAAATGAATAGAACTGGCTGTATCAAAAAAAAAAACTTTATAAAAGCAGGTAGTGAACCTGATTTAAAGCATCAATACTGCTATACATCAATATCACCTGTGGGAAATGACAGAAAGTAGGAGTGGACATCTGTTGTTTTATATGCCCAAAACAACAGTTCCCTTCTAGGAAATGCTCACTCCACACTCACACTATGATGCTGGAGTTTGAACATTTTCTTTCTCCTGATTAAAAGGGTCTTCCTTTCATTAGGCCTAAACTGCCATGAGTTGTATTTCTGTTTCTTGCTCCCAGGAGGTACTACTAGTACTAGTGAGAAGCAACCACTGAGTTAGCGATGAGGCTGGAAAGGATCAGGGGCACAGTGGTCACCCTTTTGACTTACTTGGTTTGACTCAGCTGAACACTCCAGATGTTTGTCTCAGGCCCTCGAATGAGGCTTCCTGAAGTTGCACAATGCATTGAGGCAGATGAGTCTCTCAAATGGAGGTGATTGTCAATGGGCAATCATGTTCCCCAGGTAGAAGCCTTCAAAGGGCTATTCGGGTAACACCACCTTTAGGGAGACATTTGGTGTGCTTTGCCTATGTACAAACCATAGGCTGTGAACTGGACTTGAACATGTCTCCACTTTGTGCTGAAAGATACACCAGCTTGGCCATTCTCCAAGTGCTGTAAACATCCCTATTCCTCTGGGAGGCTTTTGTAAAGAAGAATATTTTGTTTCTCATAATAGTCATTGGTCCCCTTTCACAATTCTGAGCAGCATGGTCTTCGGAAAAAGTTCAGCAGAAATGAATGGGAGACACCCCAAATGGGCCTGTGTCTTCTTGTCACTTGGATCATTGTCTGCTCTTGACTGCTGTGAGACTCTTTCCCATCCTCTTTCCTGCAGCTGGTATATTGCTGGTGTATTTCTGTTTAAAATGGAGCATTGAGCAACTTGAATCTCTTCCTAATTTCAGAGGAATGCCATCACTGGGTTATGGGGCCTGGGTGGATCCCAAATAAGATATTACTGGTCAACATTTGCTGACTTCTAAGTGCATACAGCTCAGCATGTTGCACATTTATTGAAACAACTCTGCAGCTTGTCAAGTTGCAATTAAGTTCATGTTGATTATTTCACTGGGCACTCCCACTGAAAACAAAACTGTGGGCTGATGGGACAGAAACAAGTGACTAATGTGCATCCAACATGAGGATAACTAAAGACAAGTCAAAAATAAAAGCTGGAAAGAGCTCTAATTATTTGTAGGTTCTACTGTATGGTTATTTAAACATGCTCTATTTAATGAGATCTGTCAGTCATAATTGGTTCAGTGGTTAAACAAGAAAAATGACATCTCTACTTCATTGAACCTGAATGTGATTGCACCACATCATAACAAATGATGATTTATTAGGGAATTACCAAGTGTAAATATGAAGGTGTGCTATTTTATTTAATCCTTACAATAGTCCTCTTAGGTCAATACTGACTCCCTTTTGTGATGAGGAAAACTGAGGTTTAGAGAGGTCAAATAATAAGCCTATGGTTACACTGGTGGTGAGGGAGCCAGCACCAAAATCCAGGTCAGTCTGATTCCAAAGCCCATGTAGGCTGTAGACAATCTATAGAGGCACCAGAAATAATGCCTATTGCCTGAGAAGAATAGAAGTACTACTAAATTACTGACCTTTTCTAATGGGGACCATCTAAGACCAAGTTTACCCTATTCTGGTGTCATGAAGTTTGCTTGAATACATTTGCTGAATACATTTGTAAACATACAATACACAGCTTATCTGAGAACCGTAAATTTATGTTTTATCATCTAGAGCAATAAATGTAAAAAGCTCTCCTCAGTAAATTCTCTCTCCTTTCCTTGCGCCTCCCTGAGGACATCTGGCCATGTCTGGAGACACTTTTAGTTGTTACAAATGGGTGGGGGCTGCTACTGGCATCTCATGTGTAGAGGCCAGGATGCTGTTAAACATCCGACAACATACAGAACAGCCCTTTCCCAATAACGCATTTTCTCCCTAAAATGTCAACAGTGCCAACTTTGAGCAACTCTATTCTAGACTGATCTGGGAATTCATGGCAAAACAGTGGAAAGACTGAGAACTGGACCAAGAAGAACTACACATCTCATATCTATAGAGAACGTGATCCTATCTCTAGCAGCAATCACACATCACCCCCTTTAACACATGTCTCCAGCAGAACTGGTTTGTCATGAAAATATTGTTAAAAAGGTAAACTGATATCAAAGTGGAGTTTCAGCCTTTCAGAGACGAGAACATTGGCAGCCATGTTCTCTTTCTTACTCTATGTTCTGGAACTGCTGTTAGCAGCCATGATTGTTGTTGTTGTTGTTGTTTTCTCTCTCTCTCTTTCACTGAACATTTCTTTTCCAAAAAATGGCAACTTTCAAACTACGTCTCTTCTTTTGAAACACAGCATATGCTTGTTTAAACGCTCCATGTGGCCAGAGCTCCAAACATAGGGCTTTTCACATTTGTTTCTCATCATTTTTGACAATTAGCCTCCCTTATTTCAATAAACATCTCACTCTTAAAGAGTAGTTCTTAAGTGCCATTTATCTTTTCCTGGGTGGAGTAAAGATTTCCCATGAATAAGCATTTCATTTTTTTTTTTCCAAAATGTTTTTCCAAGTGTTTAGCTCTGTGAACAAACCTACAGGGCAGACAAAAAAGGATGTCGTGAGAGTTGAACGTCTAATTATTTAGTTTCCACATTAAGGAAAGCCCCCTGCCTCTGAGAACGGTCATGACTTAACACTGAGGATACAGTTTAGCGTCAATACAGGCAAATAACATTCTGGTTGGGCACTTATCCAGAATACAGAATATTTTGACATATTTTTATGAATACTTGATTTTAGTAGCCTTTCACTGTATTAACAATTTCAGAACTGGAAGAAAAAATAAGAGAAAGTTGAAATAATTGTAAGTTTTATTGGAAACAAACATTGACTGGTGTACTGTTTCTTGTAGGGACCAAGCAACTGAATCAAATAACATCATCATTACTAAAGCCAGAAAAAGTATAGAAATATACCATTATTTAACTGAGTTATAAAAGTCATGTGTTGGGTCACCTGGACATGGAAATTATGGAATTACATGAAGGTTATGGAATTATCAAATTAGGGGACTCCTGCATTGGTGTTTGAGATACTGCTTATAAAGCAGAAGAAAATTGGTTTACCAAGAGACATTAAAAATACTTAAGGCCCACACATATAAGATCAAGCCGTAGTCTTCCTACTTCAGTCTACCTTCATCAAACCCAGACTAAACAATGAAATCCACTTTCTACTTCCTAATTATTCACTGTCTCCATCACAGAAGCATCTTTTGTGTTTATATTCCTTGACAAAAAAAAAAAAGTCTTCAATTCAAGACATAATGTTACCTTGACCTTATTATGAATAGGCACACAAAGCAAAATTTGCCTATGGTGGGCCCCCAAGTTGGCCCTGACATTATCAAGTGAGTGAAATGTCTTTAAGTTTATTAGCTTGGAAGGCAATTGGTTTAGACTGAACAGTAATCTTTTTTTGACCCCATTGCCCTGGCTGAGAAACAGATTTTCTATAATTTGTGTTGTTTTCCCCCACCAAATCAAGGAGAGAGAGAGAGTGTGTGTGTGTGTGTGTGTGTGTGTGTGTGTGTGTGTGTGTGTGTATAAATGTATAATTAATTATTATAAAATGTGTAATAAATCATATGATATATAGTTAAACACAGACAAGAAGTATAATATGTATCAAGGTTGAACTTACATATTCTCCAATATACTTCTCACTTTAAAACTGATTAACTGCCCCAGTCTACCTTATAAAGTTTCATTCTTTTCCTGTTCATCTGCAATCAAAAGGAGGATACTGAAGCACAAATCTAATCCTTTTACCTCTATTACACTGTGAATTTTACAAAGAGGTATTTTATAGTCTGGGTTTCTTGGGGTGTGATTTTATCGGTTTGTACAGCAGCTACTCCTCCCAGGAGAAATTAAGTCTTCAGACTTCTGGTTGGCAAAGTCTTTGAGTCCTCTGCTGTGCTCCCCTTGGGGGAGGGAATTGTCTCAGGTTGATCTACAGTGACTTCTGTCACTGAGTAGTGCACTACTGTTCCAGGAGAAACTTGCCAGTTGGCAGCCAGACATGAGTGGTTTGGACAATTAGCAGGCTTCTGTTCAGCCCTTGGTCTTATTGACTATTCTAACTGCAGAGCAAGCATGTTACCTGGATGAGGTAGAAATTCAGGCATGTGAAGTAACTGTCCAGGATCCAGTGACAACATCATGGTGGGCCAGGTGCAGTGCTTTAGTCCTCTAGTTCAATCTCCATAAGTCCTCCAAACATAACAAATACACAGAAAATTTAAGTCAAAACAAACAGTGGGCTCACTATGCTTACAAATCAAAACAAATATGTGTCCTCTTCCAAACAGTTTTTTGCCTATAAGCCCTCCTTACATAGGAGTGTGGAAATTGCCTATGCCAATGGTCTAAGAGGGAATATTCCTCAGAATAAAAAATAAATAAATTATGGTTGGTTTTCAACTTGTTAACTGATATTTTTCTGGTAACACTGAGTCTTCTCGTATTGTATAGCTCCTGAACAAAACACTTCGCAGAAGTGAAAAATCTACAGAAGTTTTACAGCCTCTGGGATTATAAGAAGCTGAGCAAATACTTGTCTGGAGATATCTTGGATAACTGAAAAGGGCATTTAGGATTAAAATAAGTTATTAATAGATAGTTGGCAAGTATGTAGAAAAAGAAGAAGTGATGTTTAGAAATTGCGTGGATTCACTGAAAACAAATCCCACCAGGAAAACATAATTTCCTATTTAAATAAAATGTGTAAAGTGATAGATAAAAATGCTACAGGTACAGTGTTTCATTTTAGTAGGACATTTGATAGAGTTTCAGTTAAGGGGGCTGTTGTATAATGAAATGGTCACTGCACTTAGAAAAGCTACCTACTCTCCCACTTACCCGTTCTAAAAGCATTGATAAGTCATGTAGTTTTTCTGAAACTAAGTTTTATTGTTACGATGAAACAGACATATTATTTATGTATTTTCAACCTCATTCCAAAATTAGTGAATACTTGATGACAATATTACGCACTGTGGCCAGGATGAAACTCCAGTTAGATGGACTCACAGTGAAATAAAGAACTAGGCTCAAGGACTAGTGGCCAAAGGATCAATGTCAACTTTATGTACAGGTTTTAGTGGATTTCCTATAAACTCTAAATTTTGTGCTGTTTAACATATTATTGATACATTTTGTAGAGATGTACCGGTGATAATTTTTAAAGCTGTACAAAAATATGGAAGGATAACTTCCAAATATAGAATCAAATTATTAAGTATTTTATAGCTATAAAGCTAGGCTTAACAACACAATGCCTGCTTCATGACACATAGTCATATGGCTCTATCTTTAAATTACAAAATACCAGTAACATTATAACAGGATGGAAGCTGACAATAGCAGGTCAGAGGAAATAGCACTGAAGAATTTAACCAAATATAAGCCAAGTGGAAGAAAAATTCGACTGATTTTAGGACCTCTTTTCTTCCTCCACTTGTGCAAATATTCCACTAATTTTTTTGTATTATTATACTTTAAGTTTTAGGGTACATGTGCACAACGTGCAGGTTTGTTACATATGTATACATGTGCCATGTTGGTGTGCTGCACCCATTAACTCGTCATTTAACATTAGGTATATCTCCTAATGCTATCCCTCCCCCCTCCCCCAACCCCACAACAGGCCCCAGTATGTGATGTTCCCCTTCCTGTGTCCCTGTGTTCTCATTGTTCAATTCCCACCTATGAGTGAGAACATGCGGTGTTCGGTTTTTTGTCCTTGTGATAGTTTGCTGAGAATGATGGTTTCCAGCTTCATCCATGTCCCTACAAAGGACATGAACTCATCATTTTTTATGGCTGCATAGTATTCCATGGTGTATATGTGCCACATTTTCTTAATCCAGTCTATCATTGCTGGACATTGGGGTTGTTCCAAGTCTTTGCTATTGTGAATAGTGCCACAATAAACATACGCATGCATGTGTCTTTATAGCAGCATGTTTTATAATCCTTTGAGTATATACCCAGTAATGGGATGGTTGGGTCAAATGGTATTTCTAGTTCTACATCCCTGAGGAATCGCCACACTGCCTTCCACAATGGTTGAACTAGTTTACAATCCCACCAACAGTGTAAAAGTGTTCTATTTCTCCACATCCTCTCCAGCACCTGTTTTTTCCTGACAAACTGGTGTGGGATGGTATCTCATTTCCAGTAATTTCAATTAAACAAACTGTCATTGAATTTTATCAGTCTTTGCCCTTGAGATACTCACACCTAACTAGGAGTAAGTACACTCCTATGTGAGCTGTGCTGTGATAAAGGTGTGTAAGAGGGAATGTCGGAGCTGAGAATAGAACACAAACAAGACTTTTACTCAGGTGTGTGTACGTGTAGGTGTGTGTGTACTGGAATACGTCAGTGCAAGCAAGGTATTGAGGCAAGACTATTCAGGGTTGGGTCCTGAGAAACTAACTGGAGTTATTCGGCTGAATCACATGGGGAAGGGCGAGAGAGAGAGTCCATTTCTTATTTCTATTTCTTTCTATGTTAGCTTCCTTTCCTGATGCAACATTCTTTATTAGGCAAAATCTGTGATTATAGGCAGCTGTCTAGCCAGTTTAAACAATTTCCTCTAAAGGCTCTGTTAGCAAGCCTTGGGTTGTATTTCAATCCATAAACAAATCACAAGGTCAAGGGGTCAAGGGATGGGATGTTTTGTGTTTTGATAGGCTTGGGGCTCACCTGCCTTTTCAATACCATTTCCCACTTCTTTTTTTGTTGTTGTTGTTTTTTGTTTTTGAGTCTCGCTCTGTCACCCAGGTTGGAGTGCAGTGGCGCGATCTCGGCTTACTGCAACCTCCGCCTCCTGGGTTCACGCCATTCTCCTGCCTCAGCCTCCCGAGTAGCTGGGACTAAAGGCGCCCACCACCACGCCTGGCTAATTTTTTGTATTTTTAGTAGAGACGGGGTTTCACCGTGTTAGCCAGGGTGGTCTCAATCTCCTGACTTCGTGATCCGCCCGCCTCGGCCTCCCAAAGTGCTGGGATTACAGGCGTGAGCCACCGCGCCCAGCCCCAACTTCTTAATTGATAACAAAACCCTGAGTTCATGTTAAGATGTTGGAAACCAAACTTCATACAATTGATCATGATTAATTTTAGCTAAGCATTACAATCTGGTTCTTCATTTTCTGTTTTTTTTTTTCTTTTTTTTTTGCAACTGGAGCTATCCTTGAAACCCACTTACTTCCAATGAGATTCTAAGGAAAATGTGTTGCAGATGTTTCTAAGACACCATTTTCTCTCTTGATAGAGGATGTTGGATTTGGTTGCAGGCCCTCTTTCTCCCTTCTCCTTTTCTTCTTTCCATTGGAACAGATATAATATCTTGAGATGTAGAAGCCAACTAATACCAAGAGTTAATACATATGTAGGAAATTCCAAAGGAATTGCAAAGACATAGGCCCTAATTTTTTGAGCCACAATAGCCAATGTGAGCAACTACCTCAGTCTCATTATATGACAAAATATCTTTTTTGCTTAAGCTATTGTTAGACAGTTTTTGATTATTTTTAGGTAAATATCTTTCTAACGGTTATAATACTTCTAGCCAAAAAAAGATAGTCATGGAGATGAAGTCAAGCTTGAAATTGGCAACTACTATTCACAGCATATGTCCAGTAGGATGGGGGAGAAGAATCGGCTTCCTTCAAAGGAGAAAGTGGGTGTAGCACAGAGACAGTCACGGTGGGAATCACTGTAAATGGGGCAAAACCCCAGTGTGAATTTACTGTAGACGTATTTGGAAGAATCACTGCCTTAGCTCAAGAACTTTAAAAAGGGATGGTGGCAATGGGACTAGAGAGAAAAGAGAGTGTATGAGAGTCATAATAGAGGAAAAACTCAAAGGGGCCTCATTCATTTTAGGTTTACAGTGGCTTAGTGCTAAAAAACACCCTTAAGTAGAGAACAATAACGGCTAAAACCTATAAACAGGTGAATTTTTGGTCAGCAGTGATAGAAGTATAGAATCAAACTCAAGGAATTTTAAAGGACTAGATATTTACTTATCTATCTTTTTCTATCATCATCATCATTTACCATCTAGCTTACTAGGTATCAAGTTAATAATCTGTTCTTTCTCCAAACCTTGCTTTTAACAAGATACAAATAATTCACAAAGAAGTGTACATAATAATTAGTTAAAGGAAAAAGAACTGTGCACAAAACATGCCTGGCATGAAGTTTGGTATACCTGCTTGGGTGGTCCACTGGACTGCTGGTCCAGTCATTGAATGAGGAATAAAGAAAAGGGGTTCCTCCTAAAAGCTAGCAGATAACTAGGAATTGAATCCCTTATAATGTTCACAGTATGTCTATGCTATAAAAGCAAACCAGATACCTACAAGAAGCACAACTATTTCTGATGTGCAACCAGAGAGGTTTCTCCTAGGATCCTCAGAAACGCTATCATGTAAATATACTTACAGTCAATCTGGGACAGGTTTTATAGAAGTAGTTCTCATAATATCCTTCAGTATCGGATGATGGTATAATATCAAGTAAAATTCAATGTAAGCTTTCCTCTGGGTTTGGAATCAGGTAAATTAACAGTCCTGCTCTACTCCATCATGGTCAAGTATGTCTGGGATGCTATGTTCACTTCTGGGAACTTGATTTTATAAAGGACAATAGCCAATTGTGCAGCAGTCTGTACAGACTATATTCTTAATAGGCGCTTGCTGAATAAATAAATGATTAAATAAATGCATGAATGGTTGCAGAAACTGGACATATCTTACTGTATAAGAGAGATCTCTTGTTCCTTTCAAATAGCTTATAGTCTAGTTACGGCGACAAAGTACAAAACTCACAGGAAATAGGAACATATACAAATAAAAATAGGAAAATGTACAACAATGAAAGCAGTATCTTATGGTGGTAACATATTGTTTGGTAAATTCTATCCATCTATCTCTCCCTCTATCATCTATCTATCTATCTACTTATCTAACAAAGCAACGAGTTTTAGAAATAAATGTTTGCTAAATAAATTTGTGAAAAATGTAGAAAGTAACAGTATTTATTTTGATATTTCATTATAGTATGTGATAGAAGAGGAAACAACAGAAAAACCAAATGGGAAAAGCAGAACAGGCAGAGATGAAGCTAGACCTAAAGTCTCCAAATGTATGAAAAATTACAGATTATGTAGGTCATTAATAAATGGGTAAAACATAAAGCAAGCTTCCAGCATTTATGAAGAATGACTCTTGGAAACAGATAGGATGCAAATGCGATATGAGTTTATGTATGTTTCTGATCCGGAGCCAGGAGTAGATTCCAAGCATAGCCACAGAGTTGGTTACACATGTGAATGTCCTGGAAAATCCAGCCCTAATTCTATTTCCCCAAGTTCCTCAGCCTCTGACTAAAATCTTCTTGGAAACATAAATATTCAGAATGCTGCAGAAATCAGAGCAATTTATAGGATTGTTTTTCTAGAGAGAAATGTTTTAATCATTGTAGCATATCGGATTAGTATTCCACAAGAATTGTTCACCATATTCTAAATAAAATTCTAATAGTATTAAGAATCATTTACCTTTCTTCTAAAGCATTTTAATAGTTTCTACCTTACTCAAACCCACAGTTTATTTTACAGGGAAAGAAAACAGAAAGAAAATGAAAAGAGCCAGGCAATAAGGGAGTTAAACTGAAGAGTCCAGCCACAAATTCCAAGTATTTTAATGGCTATTCTTGGTTTTCCTTGGGTTTTGAAGAAAAATTTGCTACCTTTGCAATTTGAAATCACATTAGATTGCAGATTCTATTATACTTAGAATCAGAGATTCACAAAGCCTTTAGGTGAGAGGAAGCTTTGGAAATCCCACCCGCAAAGAAATCTTTTCCACTGGCTAGCTGCCAGTCGCTTATCCAACCTCCAGCCAAGCCCTTCCAGTGATAAGCACCTCATTACTGCACAAGTTAGTCCACTCCACTGTTGAATGTATCTGATGGCAAAAAAAGTTCCTCTTTAAAAAATTCAAGTGCTATTCCCCTTTTCAGCCTGTGAATATTTGTAAGATTGCATTTCCATTAAAACTCAAATTATGATGGCTTTGAGTCCCTATGAACCCTTGCAAGAAAGTCTCTTTTCAGATCATTTCTCAGGTACTTTCCATCCTACCCAGAGTGCTGTTTTACACATGCATCCCTGCGGATGTCACCCGGATCTTCACCCTGGCCCTCTTGTCAACCTGCGGTGATACAGGCTGGAACTCTGACAGTTCTCATAAGACGGCTGCTCTGCCAGGCACAGCTGGCTGTGACTTAGAGCCACACTTTGGAGCTTCTGAGCTTCCTTTTGCTTCTATTGTTAGCAAAGAACAAAATCTTCATGACATTCTCTATAGCAGAGGCTGTAACTTTCATTGAGATTTGTCAAAAGCTTGAGATCTTTTGCTATTAGATATGGTTTCCCTTGAAGCCTGCAGGCCATGGGACTCTCACATGGCACCCCCGCCCCTCTATAACCCCAAGCTTTTTCCATGCAGCAGGGTCCATTTACCCTCACTAAACAGTGTCCTTCAGTCACCAAATTGCAGGGAAAAAGAAATTACCCTTCACACCAATCTCAGGCCTGCATAGCTCTATCCACAAACCTGCGTTCTTCTAGATAATTATCCTGTGAGATCCAAGAACAATTATGGTAATATTTGCAGTAGCTCAGCATTAGTAATTATTTTCTATAGTATAGGCTGTTCAGTTTCAGATAATGTTAAGTAAAGGTCATTCTATTAGGAAAAGATCTTGTTGCAACTAACAGAAAACAACTGTGGCAAACTTAAACAGGAAATAAATTTGTGTAGGAGGAAATTAGGTAGCTTCCAAAATCAGGCTCAGAAAATAGTGACCTGCAGAGGTTACACAGTATGGAGCAGCTCAGGCCCAGCTGCAGCAGTGGTCTGGTCAGGAAGCTGCGCCTGGCACAGCCACCTCTGGACACTTATGCCAGTCATTACTGCCAGACTGTATGTTTCCTTTACCGCCAAACCGTAAATGAAGATTTGAAGTTTGCATGACAATGAAAGTATATTTTTGCTGTCTTATACAGAAGCCACTAGCATGTGATTACTGAGCACTTGAAATATGGCTAGTGTGTCTGAAGAAAATAATTTCTAATTTTATTTAGTATTAATTTAAATGAATTTAAATAGCCTCATGTGATTATTAATTATAATATGAGACAACTCATTTCTTATCTATCAAGATTTTTGTTTTGGAATTGTTAGTCAAAATTTTTCCAGGAAGCCACTTTTCCAGGTATAAAAAGTGCCACCTATACTTACATTTCTTGTCTCCTAGATCTCTATATTTGGCCTGTGGGAGAGACAACACTATAGAGGTCATTAGTTCAGTATATATAGCATCCTCTCCAAAAGCATTACCCACCAACCACTGGACTAAGATGGCTTTAATAGGCCTTTCCTTTATTTGACAAGGCCAGAGCCCCTGAGTGATGGGGTCATTATAAGATCAGTGGGTCCTTCCATGTCCATAGGGATTCAGTTGAGTTTTATGACACTGAAGCCAGACTTTTTAGGTTAGAATTTTGGCTCTGCCACTTGCTTAAGGTTCAGTGACCTTAAGTAAGTCATTTATGCCTAAGTCATTTATGCCTCAGTGTTCTCATCTATAACAAGGTTATGACGAAAGTACCTAACTCAAAATGTAGACAAATTTATATAAAGCACAGGAGAGCGTCTGGCATGTAGTAAGCTCTCAGTGAATATTGGCTTTTAATGTCATCACTGCTATCAGCACCCAGATGATTTTGCAATAGAAGATCCAATGCATAGTCATCAGTTTTCCTGTGAAAACAGGAATAGGTATGTCTGCAAAATTACTATGACTCTTAATATAGACTTAAAAAGTTAAAGATGCCAAAAGACATTGTTAACTCCAATGACCTGTCTCTAGGAAAGACAGCTGTTACCTTATTAGATAGTTGAGAATCTGTTTAAAAATCTCACCTTCTAGAAATAAGTAATAAGTTGTTTGATGATAAAACTTCTACTTCATATGTGAAATAAGAAAAAAATTGGAAGTCTTCAGATTTAGGGTAGAGTGGAAACACACAATGACGGAAACAGTGCCAATGACAGTAATTTGTGCTGACTCTAAAAAGCACATTAGTGGCTTCAAAAATTACTCCTCTCATTATATTGAGGGTTTCTATTTTTTATAAAAACAGAAACCAAAAATGCAGAAAAGAACTCCAGCACTCAGATTAATACATGGAACACTACAACGATGAAAGAAACTATGTTCGTCATGCATTGAGACATGTTTTCATTCTTGAACTTTACATGGACCTCACTGTGGGCCGTCAGCAGCCAGCATGTAGCACTATACAGTCCTGTCTTCTGTTTTAGACAAGTTTCTTTTTTGTGCTTTGCGAAAAAAAAGAAGAAGAGGAAGAAATGTAAAGAAAATACACAACAACAATAACACTAATCCCTCAACAATAATTTCTTCTCTAAAAATAGTTCAAGAAGAAAAATAAAAGGATCTTGCTGTATATTTTTTGTATCTAGATTGAATTATCTAGTCTTCATACTTTTCCACCTGGTTTTAAAAACAAACATCACAGATTTTAGTTCTCTATCATGTTATAAGCAACAAATGAGAGAGTTATGACTTATCCACAGGAAAAAAAAAACAACCTGGAGAACTCACTTCATATGAGATCAATAACGTTGCCCTCATGCACATGTGTATATAAATTTTCCAAGTCTTTTACACAGATGTTTCTCAAATGCCACTAGCTCATAGAAAATAACAAATCCTCTAGTTTTCTAGTAACCAAAATCAATAAGACATGGAATCTTCATCAGTCAAGAGCCAAGTACTTTGAAGTTTTCATACATGTCTTTAAACCTAAACACGTGTATTGCATAGTATTACTACCAAATTGGATATATTAAGGTTTACAACTTCACTGATGCAACTAAACAGTTTTATGCAATTTTTAGGGTGATAGAAAGCTAGTGATAAAAAGTGACATCTAAACTGAGCCTTTACTTTATTTGTTATGAATTTCCTAAAATAATATGATCTTTTATATATATTTTAAAATAGGATGTGTGTCTTGAGTTGACTTTCTGACAGTAAAGATGAGTTTTCCTCAACACATGTGCCTAAAGGTTCCATGAATGATAGCACACATTTGTGAGACGGCTGGCCAAGGTAAGAGGGATTTATATTCATGCAAAGGCAGTTATGTTCAAATCAGGATGAACCTGCAAGTTCACACTAGCACCACATTTTACCCAACCATATGGATAAATCTGAATCTGAAATGCTTATATTTACTTAGATTTTCCACAATCCTTTTTTGAAATGAAAATCCAGAAAAATCTACCAATTCACCCAGAATTCTTCGCTTTGACATGGTAACTACTAGAATCAACAAGAAGTGCTATAGGTAGAGGTCAATTTGCCCTTGTCTGAGAAGACAAACAGTCAAAGGACATAGTGGTAAAGAAACTAAGGAGCCCTCATTTCTCTATCTTCTTATGCTGAAGTGCAACTTGATGTCTTCCCATTTTACTCTATATTAGAGACATCATGTTGTTTATGTCATTAGGATATCTTTCAAAGACAATGGGCAGCGAGGTGAGACCACAGCAACCAGTGATTCTTCTTCCTATCAATTTCTTCAGATATAAACCCTAAACACAAACCTTACAGAGAAATCTCTTGTTAACTTGCCCTCTCAATTTACTTACAAATCTCTGCTTCTTCCTTCCTGTTTTTCAATCCTGTTTTTCACCAGCACTTCAAGAGCTAGAACAATCTCTTGTTACTGAGGGAAGAGATTGACATGCTATTCAAATGAGTTACTATTCACTGATGAATGAGCGATGATGCTGAGTTGCATGATGAACTCAGCAATCAGTGAAGGTTACTGGGTTCATTTCCTTTTGTTTTGGAAATAATAAGAATACATTATCAAGGAGAATTACATAAACATATATTCTATTAAAACTCCAGGGGCCTGGTAGAGTTCCAACCAACAGAGAATTGTCTGAATAAACCGTAACCTTGGGGCCCGAGAGGACCAAGTTCAAGCTTTCAAAACCACACAATCAGGCTCTCTTTTAAAGAGATGTTTATGTAATGTTTTAACAATTATTTGGGGAGTAAAAGTTTTAGCTGGTTAAGTGGCTATTTTCTTTGTAACACTACCAATAGACTATTTACCTAAATGTCTTATTGACTAATTCCTCTTTTTTCATATCTCAAGATTTAGAGACACATACAAACACAAATACATGCCATGCACACAATTTGGTATGGTATCAATGTCACATTTGAGTGTGAATAGCTAATTTTGGCAATCATTTTGCAATCTGATCATGACTGATTTCTTAGGATTTTTTTTTTCTTTTTTGACAAGGTCTCACTTTGCCACCCAGGCTGGAGTGCAGCGGCGCAATCTCGGCTCACTGGAGCCTCAACCTCCTGGGCTCAGGTGATCATCTCACCTCAGTCCCCCAAGTAGCTGGGACTATAGGCCTGCGCCACCACTCCCAGCTAATTTTTTGTATTATTTTGTAGAGATGGGGTTTTACCATGTTGCTCAGGCTGGTCTTGAACTTCTGAGCTCAAGCGATCCACCCACCTCGGCCTTCCAAAGTGCTAGGATTACAAGCGTGAGCCACCACGCAGGCTGCATACGGATTTTTTTATTTTTAACACAGGCATTTAATCTCCAGTTTAACAATTACCTATTCTTGGGTAGGAATGAACCCCCGTGTAGCCCTTCAAAACACAATTGTAAGTATCTGTGATATTCCTATTGCAAAAGTATCCTCCTATTCTAAAGGAAAATATGGTTGAAATATTAAATCTATTCTTTAGAAGGTCACCTGAAGTTTACTCTTCATTTACCTTCTTCTCCCATGAAAACCCCCTGTGCCCACTGCCCCATGCTGGGGACCTTTAGACAAAAGCATGGTGGTGAATCAAACTTGCAGTTCAAACTCTGAAAGAGACTTTATTAAAATGGACAACAGATGTGAACAAAGAAAAGAAATAGATCAAAGATGTGAACTCCATTCATGAGGATATTTGCAAACACAAAGCATGCAGGTTTTTGTTATTTTTAACTTTCATCAATGCAACCTTCTGGGTGGAGGAGGAAATAACACTGAAAAATAAAAAAGAGGGAGTATGCAATTGTGGAAGAGAAAGTCTTGTATCTGTGGAGTGGAATGGATTTAAAAGAAGACAACTCCACATACATTTTGAGCATCTTATTTGTGTAGACACTGGTGGGGATGCTGATGGCACAGGCAGGAAAACATGCCATGATCTCCACCTTCAGAAGCCCAGGGTTCAGGGGAGAAATCCAAATTACAAAATAACTGTAATAAATGCCAAATGCAAAAATTCAGAGATACAAATTTTTCATTATATATGTTGATACAAACCATTGATATACTTTTCAAGAAATGTGAATTGTTTTCGTAATTAAATAATAAACTGAGCAAACTGTAGCTGTTGCATAAGAATTGAAACAATTTGGAAACAAAACAAGTAATTGTTGGCTTTTATGATTTATACTATCCTTGTGCTGGAGAATCTGAATGAAGCAGTTCTGTAGAAGAAGCAGCGGAGGCCACAGATAGTAAATTTGGAGCCTGTGATTTTCAGTACTTTGCTGGATTGCTGCTTACAGTCATTTCTTACAACTTTAAACTTGGCCATGTCTCTTATTCCTTGCTGACCAATTAACATTCACACCACAAGTTCTAATGCCTTTTATTTGCTATTTGGCATTCCCAAACCTCACACATTCGTACTGCTTAGTCCAAGCTTCACAATTCTTTTGGTGCAATTTGGAGATTTCTATTTGAAAACATAGTGGGGTTATTGGGAACTTGTTTGCATAGCTTTTATTTTTTAATAAAGTGTTAAGGTCAGGACAACTTTTAGCTAAGTCTCAAAATGGCCTTATAACAATGGAGAATGAAGAGAATAACAGCACTTATTGTTTTCTGTTGGCTATTAAGCAGATATCTGGAAACTTCAGATGAAGAACTTTACCCAGTTTTCTATAAACCGAGATAGTAGAAGAAAATGGAGAAAATTATTGGGTTCTTCCTTACTTTAAAAGCTTACTTTTCATTTTAAGAAGCATCAACTGGTTTAACAATAATAAGTACTATTTATTTTAGAACTTTGAAAACATTCTAAGGTCTATGGGATAATTTTGAAGGTCTTTTCTTTTGTTGAGATTATTTGTGAGAGGAAATATAAAGTTGTAGTTCTTCCTGCACAATGATCTCAATTGGCAAGGACACCCAAAACAGGCCCAAAAGCTGTCCAAATTCTAAATTGGAAAACAAATGAATTAGCCTTAAATGTTTAGAAATAAACAGGTCCAAACAGGTCCAAAAGCTGCCCAAATTCTAAATCAGAAAACAAATGAATTAGCCTTAAATGTTTGGAAAACATATAAATTACAGTCAGTCTATTATGTAAGTCAATAAAATATTTTTATGCACTAAATTTCTTTTTTCATCAATGAAACAAATCTAAAAGTTACTTCTAAAATCTTATTTGCCCAAAGTTAGGCCACAAAGTGGAAGATAATTTTATTTTTTATTTCTCTTATTTTGAGGAGCTAGGGCTAGTAAAAACATAACTAAATAAATATAAAGAAACCAAACCCAGCGTTTTCTGATATTAAATTATTTCTATGAAAATGTAGATTCCATTTTAGGATAATCGGCTTTGTAACATGGCTTCCAGGAATATATTGTGGTAAAAGTATGATGTGCCTTTCAGTAGTATTACTTCACAGATAAACACATTACTTAATTGGAAAGCATAACATCCAGCTACCTACCGTGATGAAATGAAAAAGGACACAAAGTAAAAACAAATCAATAACACTTCAGAGTGATCAAATTATTTTCATAGTGAGTGAATGGATTCATAAACAAAATGAATTTTAAAAGGAGGGTCAGAACACAGTAAAACAGGTAGCTACTCGGGGTCAGTAGGCTCACAAAAGGGAGTTAGAGTTGGAATTCAGCCTAACAACCAAGTGGTTTTAATTGTTTATGACAGTGAGGAATAGAGTGAAGAAGAGCATATAAAAATGACAAATATAAAAAGAGCCCACTTTTTTCCCTGGTTACTTTTAACTTACATCTTCCCACCATACATTTTCTTAAATTCTGTTTGCCTACATGTAATAAAATTGTCTGAAGTGAGTGTAACCTGTTCTTTTCGTATTCTTAGTCTGATGAATATAGCAATATTCCCAAGCAGTTATCCAGATTGAGGAGCTAGGCTAGAAGACAAATAATTCACTTTTCTCTCAATCAAGTAAGCCTTGCTATTAAAGTAAAAACACAGTTGAACTAAGCAGTGCCCCTAGCAAAATAGTAAAAATTGTGAATTATGTAAATTCTAATGCATTAAATTAGAAATTGTTCTCTTTATTATGAGATATCATGGAAGCTGATTATAAACGACTGCTATTGAATGTTTCAGGGAGAAGATGAGATGATGTAAGAAGGTGAAATTTCTTTTAAGAATATTTAAATTATGAAACACAGTCTTCATGCTTCTACAAGATAAGAAACAGTTTGGTTCCAACGCTTAAAGATGGGAATTGATCAGCTGGTCTTTCTTGTCTCTTTAGTATGTTTGATTTTTTTTAAATACTTGCATGCATTGTTTTTATACTAGAGCATTTTATACATTGTTTTTATATTAAAGCATGCATGCATGTTTTAATACTTGCATGCATTGTTTTTCAGTGACAGATAAAATTGAAAGGCAAAAACAAAAGTTGGAAGTGAGAAAAAATAGATCTTCTATACATTCTTATGTTTCATAATGAAACAACAATTATCAATAAAATAAGTGAGAATTTTTATATTGCACATCTGTGAAAAGTAAGAACACTTTATAAGTTCAATAGAATGATATTTTGTCTGTGATTATAATAATAGAAAAATGACATATATAGTTTTTATGCCTTCATTTCTCTCAATAACATTCTAATAATTTATTTGTATTGTATTTTATAAAAGTATAGGCAGTAAATACATTTAAAATCATAGACAGTTTGAGACGAACTGCTCTATATCTGTGATTTTCAGACTTTAAGCTGCATATAAATCATCTTGGAATCTTGTTAAAATGCAGATTTTGATTCACCATATCTTGGTGTATCCAGAGATTCTGCATTTGTAACAGGTGCTGTGTGACAAAGATGTTGATGGTCTGAGGACTGTACATTAAATAGCAAGGCAACAGATCGCTTCTGTTATTTTTTGGATAATATTTTTAGTTGTTGTTAGTCACTAGACACTCTTGCTTTATGGGCAACCAGTCTTTAATTTTATACAAAGCATGTAAAGAATACATAGAACTGCGTAGAAACTTCAAAAAGTCAAGGCAATATCCCTGGAGTGACCACTCAGTCTCATGGGCAGGGTTGCTCCAACCATGTCTTCTGGGAAGTTCTGAGCTGGTAGAAGCGGACCCTGGTTTGAGTAGTGAGCAATTTCAAGGATTGTTCAAAGGAAAAAAAGAGGCCAATGGAACTTTGAAATTTGTCAATAGTAGTTCCCCGGGGACTTAATCCATGAACATTTCCTCTGATTTTTGGATGCAGCTTGAATTAATGGAAGTCCTTCCACCCAGCATTTCCACTGAAGGTAAACCAAATTATGTTATCTTTCTCTATAGAATTATTGGCATAAAATCTTTTAAGTATCAGTGCAAAATTATAGATTTATGGCATTGTTTTTTGATGTATTCCTTATATTTTGAGGCTAATTTGTGATAAAAGCCAGAAACATGATGATTTCTTTATGAAAAGCATACCATTTAATAAGTATGGATGAGACTACGGTGCTGAACTAATATAAATATGACGCATTAGTTCTAGGTAGTTTGCAGGCTATGCAATGTTTATATTATACTAAGTATGTTGAGTTAAATGCAGAAATACAACAAAGAGAATCTTAAATGAAAAGAAATAAAAACAGAAGTATATGAAGTTTGCAAAGTGATAGTTAAAGAGTAGTATTTCCTGATTGCAGGCAGTATACAATGCAACATAAGCAGAAAATGGCTAGATAATGGCTTTGAATATGAAGAAAGAAGTGAATGCAAATATAAAACTTATCCTAACATACCATGTTTCAGATAATTCCAAAGAAGCACATTTTCTCAGTGTTATCATGCAAAGTTCTGCATGCCATCTTGCTGTATAAAATATATTGTCATTCCATCTTCATACTTATTTGCAATACTGTTTATTGTAGAAAGAAAACAGAAGGAAAACCCTAAACAAATATTAAACATTCAGGGAAAAACCCTGTTTTATTTTGGATGTCATTTATAATATTTGAAGAAAAAAATGCTAATACTGTGAAGTAAAAGGTTTCTCTTTTTGTTTATCTTTTCCAAAGAGCTTTCTTCACATTTGAATACATCATAAAACTAAACTTTAATAGTAATATTAATTGTGGCACACTACAATAACTCTGACTCTCAAAGTAAGCTTAAGAATCAGTTATGGCCTAAACATTTATTTAAATATGTGTGGCTAGAGATGGTGGCTCAAAACAGGCCCAAAACACACCTGTAATCCTAGCACTTTGGGAGGCCAAGGTGAGAGGATCACTTGAGGCCAGGAGTTTGAGACCAGCCTGGGTAATACAGCAAGACACAGCACCCCCATCTCTACAAAATTTTTTTTTTAATTGGCAGGCATGGTGATGTTCACTGGTAGTCCTAGCTACACAGGCGGCTGAGGCAGAAGGATCATTGAGCCCAGGACTTCAAGCTTACAATGAGCCACAATGGTGCCACTGCACTCCAGCCTGGGTGACAGAGTGAGACCCTGTCACTAAATAAATAAATAAGTATGTGTAAGTATTGAAAAAACTTACTTTGCTTATGGAAATTATTTGCTGTTATTTGAAGAGTACTTAAAAAATAATGATGATAAAATAATAGTAATAATAATAATGATAAAGAGCTTCTAGTACCTTTATTTCTCTGCTAACTATAAAGTACATCCTCATTTAGGGAGGCTGAGGCGGGCGGATCACGAGGTCAGGAGATCGAGACCATCCTGGTTAACACGGTGAAACCCCGTCCCTACTAAAAATACAGAAAATTAGCCGGGCATGGTGGCGGGCACCTGTGGTCCCAGCTACTCGGTAGGCTGAGGCAGGAGAATGGCGTGAACCCGGGAGGCAGAGCTTGGAGTGAGCCAAGATTGCGCCACTGCACTCCAGCCTGGGCGACAGAGCGAGACTCCGTCTCAAAAAAAAAAAAAAAAAAAAAAAAAAAGGTACATCCTCTTTTAAGGAAGTAACACATTAACATTTCCAGGAAGGACATATGGCATTATTCTTTCAAGTCTCCCTCAAAGTCAATTGGAGTTACATATTTTTACAAAATGTGTAAAATAAAATCTTTTTTTACTGCACATTATTGCCTATTATTTCCAAGAGCAAATCAGTAAAATCTGATTATTAGCCAAAGTGATAGAATGCTTTCTGGCAAGCCACTGTCACAGATTCACACTGGGAATTAGGGAACACACAGAGTTGGCAAATAAAGAAAACAATCAACCTCCTACCTTGTCCGATATTTTCATAAGGTTTTTTGAAATAGGGGAGGCCAGAAGAAATTGGAGGAATATTACAGTTTACTTTGACCTAGGATTTTAAAATATCAGAGGAAAATAATACTTTTTTTGGATTGAATAATAATCCTTATAATTTTATAAAACCAACTATACACCTTCTGTGTGTGTGTGTGTGTGTGTGTGTGTGTGTGTTTCTGTTCCTTCATATAGTTGAGTAATCACTGCCCTTACTTTTAGGTAGCCTATAGGTATTTTCATAATTAAATGTTAAGACATAGCTTTCAAAATCTACTTTTATTGGAATTTATCCTTGATTTCTGAAAAAAAATGCAATTATTTACAGTGATCAAAGTCAGGTTGTTGTGCCTGTATCAATTTATATCTTTTGAGATCCACTGTTGGATTGTTAAGTCTTGCACACACAATCATTGTTTTAGAAAACGGTGGGATATCTTCTTAAGAATGTCATTCTGTAGTGATGAACTTAAAGTTTAATGATGTTTTCTTTTGACTCTTCTTCCAATCTGTCCTTCAATTCTCCATTTCTGTTAACCTAGCACCATGGGTGTTATAATTGCCATGAAAAAGATAGCTGAGGAAAAGACCACTGTGCATGATTAAGATAGATATTAATGTGGAAGAATAAGTGTCTCCTACAAAGTTTGAATACACCAACAGATGTTTTATTCACCAAATGACTAACCCTAAGTATGTGTAGATTTCTAGAAGTCAAGCCGAGGTTAACTGAGAATAGACTTTTAGACACAATTTCTGCAAAGATAGTTCTTAAGCCCCAACTCTGCCAATTTTATCATCTTCCACAGTATTTGTGATAGTTGGGAATAAATTCTAGTCTATTGTTTATAAATCGTTGACATAAAACATGTACTCAGTGAATAAATTGGACAAATCATTATTCTGCATTGTGATTTTTCTCCATGATTTAATATTTTTTTAGCTCCTGTGGTATGCATTGTAATGATATAAATCAGCATTCCACTTACATGAGGCAGCCTTAATTTGACTCAATATCCATCTGTGGTAAACATTTACATTTTCAAACATACCCCAACATTTGAGAGGAGAAGACAAGAATAAAATTGTATGTTAGACATATGCCACATGTCTAAATATTTAAAAGATATAAACCAAGCTATTAAACTGACAATTAAATTTGGTTCAATTCTCTTATTTTGTCAAATATACTTATTCAAAAAAGAATTTGTGCAAAGCTATTATTTTTATAAATTGAAATTTGAGAAGATGTCAGACTACTGAGTTTGTTAATGCACATATGTGGATGCCATCTTGATAAGCCAGGTATGTTCAGTGAGTAGTAATATAAATGCATAAATTGCTTCTTCCAGAATATTTCAGCTCTAGTTATTTTGCTATAATCAAAAGTTTTACATGATTTTTGTGTATTGACAGTAATGAGCTAAGGGATTAAAAGTATCCACAAAATGTAAATTAAAGTAAATATAAAACAGTAAAATTAGTTGTCATATATGTTTTCAAAGATTATATATCTTAAAATATTAAGTTTATTTATCAAACATTACACGGCAAATGCAAATTTTAATTTATGTGCACCAAAAGTTTTAAGAAAACTATTTGAATACTTTTCATGTCTGTAATCCCAACCCTTGGGAAGGCTGAGGCAGGAGGATCGCTTGGAGCCAGGAGTTCTATACCAGTCTGCAATGTAGCGAGACTCTCTACAAAAATAAAAATAAACCTAATGCTAAATGACGAGTTAATGGGTGCAGCACACCAACATGGCACATGTATACATATGTAACAAACCTGCACATTGTGCACATGTACCCTAAAACTTAAAGTATAATAATAATAAAAAATAAAATAAAAATAAAAATAAAAATAAATTATCCAGGCATGGTTGTGTGCAACTGAAGTCCTAGCTACTCAGGAGGCTGAAGTGAGAGGATCACTAGAGCCCAGGAGTTTGAGGCTGGAGTGAGTTATGATCATGCTACTGCACTCCAGCCTGGAGATTCTTTTTATTTGTTTAAAAAATCAATTCAAACAAACATTTTGTTAAAAAAAAAATTCTAGCATTCTGTACTCATTTAGTTGCCACTATAAAGAATTGCTATCATACCTTAGGCATGTTATTTAACCACCATATATACAAATGTAAGAGTAAAAGTATCTTTAGAAGTACGAACTGGGAAATAAAAAGAAGAAAAGAATAAAAATGATGCCTTCAACGCTATTGGGAAACCATACTTCATTATGCAAAAATCTGTTGAATTCATGCTATCCTCTTTGGCAAGTTAATTCATTTTTCTTATCTCTTAATGTGTTTGCCTCCCAAATATTCTCTGCATTTTGAAGCAGTGTGTTTATATCTTCAATGTTGTTGCTACAGTTTGGATGTGTTTTCTCCAAAATTCATGTGTTTAAACTTAATGGCCAACACGATGATGTTAACAGGTGGGGCCTTTAAGAGGTGATTAGGCCTTGAGGGCTCCTGCATCCTGAATGGAAAGGGAGGCTTCCTGTGCTGCCTTCCACCAGGTGAAGACACAGCCTTCCTCCCTTCTGGAAGATGCAGCAAGACACCAAATGCTGGTGCCTTGATCTTGGACTTTTGGCCTCCAGAACTGTAAGAAAATAAATTTCTGTTCCTTGTAAGTATCCCAGTTTGTGGTATTTTGTTATAGAAGCACAAATAGACTAAAGTAGAAGGCAGTGGCACAACCCATACACATTTGAGCACTGCTGCCTTCTGTTTTGAGAACACAGGGCAAGAGAGGTGGTGAAGTGTTTCCCTGGGGCCTGGATGGTATTAGTAAAGAAAGCACAAGTTTAGGGTGCAGGTTCTAGAACTGAGCTCTGCACACTGAGTAACATAGGCGGTCATGTTTTCTAACATGAATTACTTCTGTTGTTTATTATATGCAGAGTTCTTTAAAATACAGGACCCAAAGCAAGAGGCCTTGTCCAAGTTTCAGGACATGTTTTTTGTTTGTTGTTTGTTTGTTTTTACATATGATGCAGAGGGCTTAAGAAATCAGTTTGGGAATTCAAGATACAACCACATTTAGTCAAGACATATTTTAATGATGGATAAGTCAAAACCACTTAAACTTAAATTTCTGTAAAGGAGGAAAGAAAGTTTCCAGTTGCTTTGTAGTTATATATTAATTATCGCTTGATATCTGCAAGGCATTGGTTCCAGCACTCCTGTGGATAACAAAAGTTGCAAAAGCTCAAGTCCCTTAAATAAAATGTATAACATTTGCATGTAACTTGCACACATCCTCCTATATATTTTAAATCATATCTAGATTACTTATCATTCTTAATACATCTAAGTGCTGTGTAAGTATTTACAGTGTGTTTTAAAGTTTGCATTCTTTATTGCATTATTCTTATTTTATTTTCTAAAAATATATTTGATCCATGGTTGGTTGAATAATCTTCAAATGTGGAACCCATGGATATGGAAGGCTGACTGTATATAATTTGCATTTTTAGGTATAATTTACACGCTTTGGAGGTAGATGGGGTTTGTGCAGAGAATGTAGACATTGACAATTAATATTTGCTGATTGATACCAATCAGTTACCTTCCCATTAGAAATGACACTATGTAATCTTGAGAAAATTCTTCTGAGAGAATTCCATAGGTTTTGCAAAATATTTTGTGAAGTCATGTTTCCATTTAATTATTGATAGTTAACTTGATGCTCATTATAGTTATGAATTATAATTCTGCTGAGAAAAAAACATTTTTATGTAAGGGACAAGAAAGGGAAAGGAAGACGAAAGAAACATTCTAGCAAGCCAAATGGCAAAAGTCTGGCAACATGTAATACAGATCTGCCAAATACATCCTGCTGCTTTTCAGTGTGGCCACCTGCCAAATAGCTCTGCATTGCATCCTCAATAGGTTTGACAAGAGGAAGTGAAAAGAGACTCCACTGTAATGCTATGGCTCAATTAATAAACACTCATTCTGGAAACCATTAATTGTTTAAATTGGGTTTCCTGTCTGGTAGAATGTTCAGGCTTGTAGCCGAACAAGATTAGTGCTAATTCTCATTAGGCATTTAAAAATACTTGTTTTAAGGACATCTCTTATTTATTAATTATGTGCTTAGCATCCATATTTTAGATAAAGGGCAAACAAAGTACAAGTCCTAGAGGGCTGAGTTAGTAATAAATAAAGCATAAGAATAAACTGTTCCACATTTAAAAATTCATGATTCTGGGTTCAAACCAAATTAATTTCTTAAGAGTAATGTTTCCTTCAGAGTCCAGTACTCTTATTATTCCTTAAATCAGTTTCATGTATGGTTGCCCATGTTGGCAAAGTAAAACATTCTGCTTTTTAAATATTCCTAAGTTAAGATAAATCTTAAATTAAGGGGGATAAAAGCTTTATAGAACTAGGCACTGTAGAAAAAAAATCAAGAGAAATAGTACTAAGTATCCCAAAGAAATACACAGAATAATAGAAATGTTGAACTTAAAATCATGAACTATGTATGATTATTTAATCCAACTATTAATTTTAGATGTGAGGCAAATGAGGGCTTTGTGATTTCCAGTCCCATATTCCTGTTAGTAAACCTTGATGTTCATCAGAAACATCTAATGGATGATTCATGTGTTTAAAGTATGGTAGCAGAAAGCCATATTTTCAACAGATGACTAAGGTTATTTACAGGCATATGGTCCATGAATCTCACTTTCAGAAACCCTGCAGGACCCAATGTTACTACCCTGAATAGAAGACAGTATTGAATGTTGCAAAGGTTAGAAGGGAGATGATTGACCAGTAAAATGATGGAAATGCAAGAAAATAAGAATGTTAAGATTTTTCAACGCCCACACCCTAAGAAACGGGATTGAAAAGCAGTGACTTCAAGTATAACACCAGAGTTTCCATTTGGATCCTTGAGGTAGGCCACTTCCATTTTCTGTCGGCACCCAACATCATTCTTCCCTCCCTCCTTTATTTACCTCTTTGTGTGTATGTGTACATTTGTTAATATCTGTCTCTCCCTCAATATCATGAACTCCTTTGAAAGGAAAAACTGTCTTACTTTTGCACCTCCTCAATTTTCTTATTTCTAAATGAACTATATGGTTCCTGTCTACTTTGCACTTAATTATCCCATTTTTCCCTCAGTTCTCTTCACATCAGTTAGTGCAACTTTAGGACTAACTTCTTTGTCAATTGCTTTGTGTCCAAGCAGACTTTAGGTTCTGAGTATAAAGTCCATATGTGATACATATCTTTATACCCACCAGAATCTAAGAGAGTGCTTGGCACAGAGTAGGCAGTTTATACTGGAGAGCAGGCCTTTATTGACTGATGAGAATATGTGACAGGATTTGAAATCTTATCCAGCATACACGTTTTGATAGCAGCTACCGAAACAAGGGAATGTTGGAAGGGAACTTAGGATGACAGGAGGAGGGTAAAAGGCAAATTGAGTGACTTTCACGTTTTGAGTCAGTGAGAACCAAAATAAAGGACTGGTTCAAATCCACAGGTTAAACTCAAGGAAATATATATATATATATATATATACAAATTATATATATAATATATATAATATTATATATTATATATGTAAGATATATTATATATTACATATATAATATATACTATATATAATATATAATATATAATATATTTTATATTACATATATAATATATACTGTATATAATATAATATATAATATATTTTATATCTAATATATATTATATATTATATAATATATTATATACATTTATAATATATATTTGTATAATATATATTTATATATTATATACATAATATACATTTATAATATATATTTGTATAATATATATTTATATATTATATACATAATATATGTGTATAATATATATTTTTATATTATATATTTATATATTATATACATAATATATATGTATAATATATATTTTTATATTATATGCATAATATATATGTATAATATATATTTATATATTATATATTTATATATTATATACATAATATATATGTATAGTATATATTTATATATTATATATTTGTATATTATATACATAATATATATGTATAGTATATATTTATATATTATATATTTATATATTATATATTTATATATTTTATACATAATATATCTTATAATATATATTTATATATTATATATTATATATTTATATATAATATATAATATATAAATATATAATATATAAATATTATATTATAATATATATTATGTATATAAATATTATATATAATAGATTGTTAACCAGGAAATCATGTGTAATTTTATTAAACTGCAGTTTAAATCAGTTGTCTAGCAATAATGGATCAGAGATGCAGCAAGATATTTGAAATGGATGAAGTGAAGGGAACTATTGTTTTATGTGAACATTACGTGCCAGGGTCTGGAACATATTTTATATAAACTCCCCAATTAAAGAGAAAAAATGTGGTTTTCTGTTAAGCTATAGATAGTGCAAGGGTGAATACAGCTCTAATGATGATACTCAGATTTAAAAAGATGCGGCAGTTCTGGAATTTCAGTTTTATGGGGCTTTTTTCTCCCTCAATCTTAGAAGATACAATAGAAGACAAACATATTTGTTCATGTTCATTAAAAGAAAGCCTGACAGTGCTGAAAAGAACAGGTAGTGACTGATTCCAGGAAATATTATCTGTGATACAGTTGTAAAAATTGCAGGGCATCTGTACAAACTACAATTTATAAGCAAACAGAGAAATCATGCTGGGTTCTTTTACTTTCTATTAAGGTCATAAAAGAAAGTAGAAAAAAATAAATTTAGAAGACTTTTTTTAGCAGTGATTAACACAGAGAGGAAACAAAATGAATGTGTAGTTAAGAGCCATTATATTTTTTTGGTGGGGAAGTCAAATTAATAGTTTTTTTTTCCCTAAGAAAAATTTGAACTCTAATGGACTTTTGACTACAAATCACCTATCAGGGGATTTTTTTGAAACTACATATCATTTATCAGGGGGATTTTTTGTATGTGTGTGAAGTGATTGATAGAATGACATTTTTCTATTGTCTGTAGATAAAATATGCCAAAACTATAATTGTTTTCAGAAGTTTGAAGTCATAAAAATGTATTTCAGTAGTGAATTTTTTAAAAGTATATTTAAGCCAGGGAAAAAAGATACGGAAGTGACATTTTCAAAGGGATGGGGGTGTCATTAAAAGTTATTCCATGATAAAGGAAAATTGCATCGGTTTTCTTCTTATAGCAGATTCTCTCGCCTATCATAGTCAGTGTTATAACTGGGTTAGATAAAATGCAGGTAAATTCTTGCTGTCTTCATACTTCAGTTCCAACCAATCTCAGGATTTTTTTTTTACATGTACACTAAATCAGTAGAGTAAAAAACTAACATTAATAAATAACTTGAACTTTCTTTTACTCTTCAAGATTTGAGCCAGCTTTAAAAAATGCACAAGCCAGTCCAAACTTGGTAGATATCCCTTTTATTTCCTTAAGTAAATTTTCTCAACTGCCAAATTGAAAAATTTTAATTTATTAATGCTTGCATGAATAATTCACTCTCAGACACTGAACGATCCCAAACAAACAAGCCAGTTTGTGTATTTAGTTATGTGAACTTTTGAATCCACTGCCTCATAAATCCAGTACTTTATTGAACCTAAAAAAAAAAAAAAAAAGTGCTGACCCCTATTGGCCCCACCATTAATTATCTCCCACTGCAGACATCACATCTTTTCTTTACTCTTCAGGATTGTTTCTTCCTTATTAAACATTTTATATATTTTCCCCTATTATGTCTGTGGTGCTCCTCAGTAGGCATTGGATGGCTTTGGTATAATTTCAGTAATTTTTCCCAGGATATTCTGCTGTACCCGTAAAGATATCAGTTATTTATTTTCTAACATAAATCTATGGGAAGTATTGATATATTCATCTCCACTAATGAGAAGATTGGGCCTCAGGCAGGTTGATACATGGTCAAGATCATTTCAATCCAAAGTGTTGCACCTTTCTTTTTTTTTCTTTGGCCTGTAAGTCATGTTCTTTGCCTCTGATCACTCCTGTGCCCTGTGACTATCCAGCAGACCTGATGATATTTTCCCTGGCTTCCGTCTTACAGATCCCTTCCCTGAGCCTCCAGTCTAAATTGGGTCCTCATTAGACAGTACTGTCTTCATTACCTCATATTTGTATAACAATTTGGGATTGTAAACTTGTGTGATTGATCATATATGTGTCATGTGCTATCCTGTAAAGCTCAGTGAGGGGACGGATTGTATCTATTTCACTTCCACTGCTGCATCACTTGTGTGCACCACAGAAACTAACATACAGCAGGGCACACAGTAAATATCATTGAAAGAGTGTGTTAAAGTGAGATTTAAAACCAAGCCTGTACCATGGAAGTCACAGATGTACTACTGCAGGAGTGGTTGTGGTGTTTTCGTGAACGGTTCCTATACATGGATTCCAAGTCCTGGTGGCTACATATGCACTATCCTGTACCCTATATTCTATATTCTATACTGTCATACTGAAACTAGGTTGAAAGCTCATTGAAAGCAGATCTTACGGTTTCTATTTAGACTAAATGAAACATGTAGTTAGTTGGTTAACCCTTCATAAGTACTTACTAATTGATTGGAAACTGATCTTAACATTTAATTTGTTACAGAGCATACTTTATTTCACTAAAGCCATCTTCCTGACGCTGTTCTCTAGCATGCTTTGTTCTTCTGTTATAATGACTGACGATCATAATCAGGAAAGGGTATGCCTGGTGTTAATGCTTCATTTTTTCCCTTTTATTCACAGGCAGTTGGAGTGATCAAGCTTTCAAATCCCTGAAAACGTGAGCTGTGCTATGTCTGGGGCAGGCTCCATATTTTTATTATGTACCACACAACTCTAAAAGCAATACAGAAATTCAGGGCACTTAGATTGAAAAATGAACACTTTCCACATTTAAAGGAGAAAGACTTACATATTTTTGGAGTTACATACATTCTTCATCCCATTTATGAAATCCAAAACCCACGGTTGGGCATAAAGCAGGAGATTTAATACTCTTCTGCTGGTGGGTTTTGTTGATTTTTACTGCCCCCTCCACCCACCCCTACCTTATCCCACTCCATCCCCTCTGCTCTTTTTGTTCTTCATAGTTTTGTGCTAACTTCAGAGCTGCAAATGTGTCATTGATCACAGATTTATATATATGAGCTAAGAGCAGGAATGCTAAAATAATTTCTTTCTCAGGCCTTAAAGATAAATGATAGGTCAAGATGCTTTACTTCATAGCCAAACATACTAAGGCACAGAGCAACATGGCAGGAATTTGAGTTGTGAGCGCCAGAAGTGCTTGTTCAGCACTAACAAGAAATAGGAGAATAGGATCAGTATAATCTCATATTCTTATTAAATTAAAAAAAGACAGAGAGTAATGCCAAGGTTATGACATGAACTGACAAGACCAAAAAAAAAATCAGTTTTTCTGATGCTTCAGCCTTTGCAAGCATAGGAAAGAATTAAAAAAAAAAAAAAAAAAAGCCCTGTGGCATGAGTTATAGATGAAGTATCTGCCTTTAGCTTGGAATTTCCTGGCATTTTTCAGCCTGTGACACAGACTTGATGTGATTAAACAAAGGCTTTTCTCCAAATTTAAAGCTCTTAAAAAAAAAAGCTGAATCTAATACTCTAACTTGTTTTTAAATGGGAGCAGATGCCTCTGTTTCTTGAGCTGACTTCCAGATTCTGAGAAATAAATGAAGAGTGGAGGCTTGTTTTGGTAGAGGCTGAGAAAAGGAGTTGGCCATATTTGCCCTTCAGAACTTCGTGTCATCCCCCAGCTCCCCAACGGCAGGGCCACATTCTTTCACAGGACGGAGTTGGGGCAGATTATGGCTTCCTCTGGATTGGATTTCCCTTGGCTTCCCTGAGGGCAATCCCCCGAGGAAGCACATCCTGGAGCCAAACTCACCCAATGAACCACAGCAACAGCTCCTAGGAGAATGAAGAGTGTGAATGGAGTAAGTACATGCGTATGGGTGGACGTGGTGGCCAACTTGGATAATCTCTGAGGTTCTTTCTAGGCCTGACATCCTAGGATGCTCTAATAAAGGACGACCCCTGAGATGAGGCAGAACACAAGACCCTGGGCTGGCAGGGGGTTTGGAAATGGCACTGAGCCTTAGCAAAACTCAGTTTTCTACTGAAAAAAAAAAAAAAAACAAAACAACATAGCTCCTTGAAAAATTATTTTTGATTGGAATCTATAGTTATTTATCTATCAATCAGACATGTTCTTTTAAACTTATTATTTATAAGTAAGTACCATCCACAGTTTGGCATGTGTTTACATTGCATGGGTGTGTTTGTGTATGTGTGTGTATTTGCTCAGTATCCTGTTGCAACTCTTTCTAAAGCCTGCCCACTCATGATGTAAGTTTTTTGTTTTTTGTTTTTTGTTTTTTTTAGATGGAGTCTCGCTCTGTCACCAGGCTGGAGTGCAGTGGCACCATCTCAGCTCACTGCAACCTCTGACTCCTGGGTTCAAGCGATTCTCCCACCTCAGCCTCCTGAGTAGCTGGGATTAAAGGCATGCACCACCACGCCCAGCTAATTTTTGTATTTTTAGTAGAGATGGGGTTTTACCAGGTTGGCCAGGATGGTCTCCATCTCCTGAATTTGTGATCTGCCTGCCTCAGCCTCCCAAAGTCCTGGGATTACAGGTGTGAGCCAACTGCTCCCGGCCCATGATGAAAATTTTTACCAGTGAGTTTCTAGACTCTTGACTTCAGAGTCTGTAATGGTTATCATTACATATATTAAGGCACACTTAAACCTTATGTTAAAAAAGCATGAGGAGTTAAAAATTGTTTTGCATTAAGATAAACTTTATTTTTTGTAATTTGTTTCACCACCTCTCACTTTTTTGAATACTTGTAAAGCATTCATTGAATAAAGAAATTATGTACAAAAATGTTACATCAGGAGCTGTAGGGTGCTTTAAGAATTTAAGCACCAAAGATTATATGGTCCTAGACACTTAACACTTTAAACAGAATAGTATTAAGGTTGTGTTAAAAGCTGCTACAATTTATTTAAGGCTGTGCTTTAGTATTTGACCTACAAAAGTATTTGAAAGCCTCTAAAACGTAAAATCTGGAGGTCCATGGAAGAAGCCCGATCCAACAACCCTGCCACAGACAGTTTTGACTCCATTAAATGTTGATGATCTTGAAGAATTAGTCATGGAAAAATAATTTCAATTTCTTCTAGTGGCCTTTTCAAAATGATGAGCCTGGAAGAGTTACAGACTCTGGCCCGAAAGAACCAAAGTTGAAGGTAGAGATGTTTTAAGGATGAGCAGAGCAGAACAACTTAGCAGTGGGATGTTAAAGGCAACATGAATCAAGTAAGTAACTTCCTTTTAATGTTCCCAAAGTGCTTTCCTTGGGACCTGTTAGAGCAATTGCCAGAAAATATTAACTATAACATTTAGCTATGGTCATATCTGTCTCGCCAACGTTCTGTTGGCTCCTCAAGGAAGGGAATATAGTTTATTTCTGCCCCCTCCATGACTATTGTCCCAAAGATGAAAATGCTGATCATTGAAATCATTTTATCAGTCTCTGAACTGACTCTCTGGACTTGAAATTTTTGCTCAGAAGTGTAACAATCACCTGAAACTTGGCACAGCCACACAGCTTTCTACCTCTACCTCTCCCAAGTCTGTTTCTTTCCCATTTCAATATCAGTTTCTCAGTGCAAACCTCAAAAGCTATCCTTGATTCTTTTGCCATTTACTCTGTCTTCCATTCTCCAGCATCACCGGCAAAACGTATTCTGAAATCACCAACTCTTCTTTATCTCGATGTTCACTTTAGTTCAAGCCAGGTTGACTGTTGGGATGGCATATCCCAGTGTCCACACTGGTCCCTGTCTCAACCCAGATCATTTCCACATAGCAGCCAGAGTGATCTTTAAAAAAGTTTTAAAAAAGTTAAATCTATGTATGTCACATCTGTTCTGTACCCTCCACTGGATTTCTACCATAGTTAGGATAAAATCCCAAGTTATTTCTGAGGGAATGAGGCCCTGCACCCTGCATCCCCTGGCTTGTCTTCTTTGGCTTCATCCCGTACACTCTACCCATTACTCAGCATGTTACAGCTACATGGGCATTCTCTCTGTTCTTTACATCCAAAGCTCAGTCAGACACTTTCCCTTTCTTCAGCAGCGTATTCTCTGCTCCATGAACCCCTGGGGCTGGCTCCTTCACATCAGTCTGACGTCCATCTAAATGTTTATTTCTCAGCAAGTTCTTACCAGGCCTCTTTGCCTAAATTAGCACACACACCAACACTCATTTTTACTACATCATTCTGTTTTATTTTATTTGGAACATATATGGTTATTAAGCACTATCTCTTGTTCATTTTTTGTGCTCGCTTATTTTTTGTTTTCTGCCATGTCAGCCACTCCCTGCTAGAATGGAAGATTCATGGGAGCAGGAACCTTGTTTACTATGTTCCTTATTGCAATCCTAATGCCTGGAACTCTAACTAATACGTAGGAGGACTCCACAATTCATTGAAAACTGAAGAAATGAATTCACTTGCGCATTTCCAGTTCCATTCCTGAACTCTTCCTTTAGTGAGAAGCACATGATGACCTTGTTAATATGAAAATTGATAATGGGGTGAGAGAAGAAAAGAAAAGCATAAAATACCTGTCTAATCCATGCACCACCAGACACCAGAGCATGTGGGAAGTGGCCAAGAAGATGATGCAGGGACGTCTGAGCCCACTTTCTTATTGGACTTTCCTAGGTACTGTGGCCTGGGAAATGATATTAGAAGTAATGCATTAGAAGTGGAAAACAAAACAGGAAATTTAAGGTCAACATTCAGAGTCTACTGTGCTCTCTTACTTGGGCTCACCTGAGAGCATCTTGGTAGGCCAATGTTGTTTCAGGGGCTCTGAAGTGGGATCCCCTTGAGAAATGACCTTGAGTTTCTCTGTTCCACACATATGGAACCCTAGCCTTTGGAGGACACTTAGGTCTATGTGCTTGGGATATAACAAGACTCTGCTTTTGATCTTGAAAAGCTTGAATGATATTTAGGAAGGCATGATATATATACAAGGAAAATGAAACAATGTTTATGGTTTTTTTTTTTTTTTTTTTTTTTTTTTGAGATGGGGTCTCACCCTGTCGGCCAGGGTGGAGTGCAGTGGTGAGAACTCAGAGGCTCACTGCAACCTCCACCTCCCGAATTCCGGAGATTCTCTTGCCTCAGCCTCTCAGGTTGTTGGGATTACAAGCATGTGCCACCATACCTGGCTGATATTTGTATTTTTAGTAGAGACAGAGTTTCATCATGTTGGCCAGGATGGCCTTGAACTCCTGACCTCAAGTGATCTGCCTGCCTTGGCCTCCCAAGGTGTTGGGATTACAGGCGTGAGCCACTGTACCCTGACAGAAACAATTTATAAGAAAAATTACAAAGTAACAATGTGTGCAAAGTGTCAAATAAAGGATAACTTCAGAACTGATGACTTCAGAAGCACAGAGGGATGACTGTGAGTAAAAGCGATTAGGGAAGTGTTCACTCACATTTACCAAAATATGTAAAACCACTGGAGTTGTAGTGAGGCTGGAAAAAAATGGTTTTCTGAATATACTGGAACTAAATATTTATTTATTTATTTTTTGGCAAAGTATTGTGAGATCAAAAGTTGACCTCCATTCAATTAGCAACAATTAACATAACATAGGCTTTAAATTTTAAAATAATGAGCTATAGGATACAGTGTTTTTACATCATTGAATATTAAGATTTGTATAAGAAAAAAAATCATTCCCAGTCCTATGTTCAGTTTTACCTTCGTATTTTTCAAATTATTCATAGCTTGATTTCAGATACAGATTATCTAGTTCCTTTATTCTCCTTTTCACATACGTTGTCCTCTTTTTCCTTTTAGTAATTCAGACATGAAGAGAAGCTCAACTTAACCACTTAGATTATTTTATTATTTTACTTTTATTTTATTAGAATGTTTAGCAGCTCTAAAAAAAGTCTTGGAAAGAGAGAAACTCAAAACCAATTATCCAAGCAATATTTTGAGGCTATCTGGTGATTTTCAGTATTTGTGCTCTTGGTATCACCTGAGATCAACATAATTGTGCATTGAGTCCTGATTTACTACAGTTTATCAGGCAAGTTTTTGGAAGGTATTGTGGGCCTTTCTTCACAGCTCTTTAGTAAAATGCCCAGCCCTCTTCTAAGAGCTGACTTTCAAAGCTACATGGGCTCTTTCAGATGGTTATGAAATCTTCAAGCAGCACTATCGGACTCTTTTGGTCTAAACTGATAAAATTTCCAAAAGAGAAATCTTGTGACTTGAGAGAACGCAAAGTAAATGCTGAACAAAGGGAGTTGGTTAATAAAAGCTTCTCTACTGAAAAAGACAATGAAACCCTGGTCTTTGATTATTTAGACAAATTTGAGATATTTCCATTTTCATTCATTTCCAATTCTTTAGTAGATAAATTTTTATCAATAATTTGTGAGCTGAGAATTTCTAAAGTTGTCCCTGAATAAGGCATTTGTTGGTCAAGTAGCTATTATAGCTGAATTCTTTATCAGAAAGACTTCACTAGGCAGCTGAATACTTTATTGCCTTTTCTCAGTCTAGTTAACAAGGGAGAATAGTCCCTTGTTAAATGCATAAATACTTATTCAACTCATACTGTAGCAATTTAAAAGTGTTCCCGGAAATGCCATGGGCGTTTTATGGATTATGAATTCTTTCAATTTTCAGTTTAAAATTTATATCATAACCACAATAGTGTTGAAGACCTTTAGAAAAGAAAACCTCACTTCTTCCTTAAAACCTATGTCTGAAACTGGTTATCCTCTCCTTTATGGAGAGAAAAAAAACTATAAAATTTATGAGTTTGGAGGAGAATCAATGTCATGTATATCTTAAATCATATTTATTTATACCTGGCATATTTATCCTAGCTTAAAGAGCTCTATGACCCCCAAATAGTAAAGTGGTTAGTGTACAGGGGGAACTTCGGAACACATCTAGTGTGTATTTCTCCTGGTACATCGCTTCAGCTGATCCTCCCAGGGTAAAGGGTGGAGAAGTACTGGAGGTCCCTGCGGGATGTCTAACTCATTTATTCTAACAGCAGGCAGGATCTTAAGATGACCACCAATATGCATCTTATTAACTTATCACAACTCAGGACAATTTGCCAGTTTCCAATATTATTCATTCCCTATAATATAATTTGCTATATTTATTTACTTATAATAATATAATAATTCAAGCAAATACAAAATATTTAATTTATATTTTATTTGTTTTATATATAATTATAAAATAATATAAAAATAATTCAAGCAAAATTTTATTCCTATAGCAAGAATATTGTTTCATCTTTATGAGAGTTTCTTTTCTTTTATATGGCCTTTCACATACAAAGTGTACCTTGCAAATAAATCAAAAAGTAAGTTTGTACAACAAAGCCATTTACTTCAAAGGAAACCTCAAGAAAAGTACTGATCAACTATAATGGGATTTTCTTTCTATCTTAGTATAAGTTGTGACTACCAGGACACACACCTATGTACACACACATACGTATGTGTATTACATATGTATCTGTGTATGTGTATATATACATGCATGTATGTGTATATATACATACACGCATGCATAACATACATACACACATACATACACATGTATAGTCTTTTTTCCTCTGTCCTACAGTGGTAAAAATAAGACAGACTTATATTCAGAATACAGAAAGGAATGCTTGTTAATTTTTATTTTTATTTTATTTTATTTGTTTGAGATGGAGTCTTGCTCTGTCACCCAGGCTGGAGTGCAGTGGCATGATCTCAGTTCATTGCAACCTCCACTTCCCGGGTTCTAGTGATTCTCCTGCCTCTGCCTCCCCAGTAGCTGGGATTACAGGAGTTCGCCACCACGCCCGGCTGATTTTTTTTTTTTTTTAGTAGAGACAGGGTTTCGCTATGTTGGTCAGGCTGGTCCTGAACTCCTTAACCTCGTGATCCGCCCGCCTCAGTCTTCCAAAGTGCTGGGATTACAGGCATGAGCCACTGCACTCAGCCTATGCTTAATTTAAAACTTTGCTTGCTAATCTGAAATTGAATTTATTTGCTAATCTTAAAATTGTTAAACATTATCCTAAAATGCAAGATCATTATATATTTTCACATAGATTCACATCTTGAAGCTACTAGAAGGTGGAGGGGAGGAACTATTTGGTGTAGGACAGTTGATTTGACAAATCTTAGCATTTCTGTATTTCAAGACTCTGAGAAATCCTTAAGTTCAGGGGTTCCCACATAGTGATAGGCCTATGTTTGGGTGGAGGGCAGAGCATTTTCTCTATCATTTCTATAAAACAAGAATTTTAGTTCCCCTATTTTCCAAACTTCTAAAGTCAACATTCCTTTAATTGTGAGCAAGAATAAATGGGCTTCTATTATACACACATAAAAAATTCCCATTGTTTCTAATATCTCTCATTAGATATTAGGCAACATGGGGAATCAAATAAGTACCTTTAATTTTCATCTCAGATGTGAGAAAACTGGAACTTAGAAAAGCAAAGTAAATGCTCATGGTCACACTACTGTTAAGATAAATCTGGGATTTAAATGTAGGTCTCTCTGATTATAAAACTCATGTTCTTTCTCTTGCAGGATGCTGCCAGTGACCCCAGAGCCTTTTGTTTTCCTCCAATATTCTCAGTGCTTTAAATATTTAATGATCCTTCAACGTCTCTCTGAATGCACTCCAAATTATGGAAGTCCTGGTTGAGAGTGGGGCCTGGAGCAGTTTAGAACCCTCTAATCAAAGGCAGGTCCATCTCTGGAGGAAGTTCCTACCTGGGGCAGAGAACAACTTATAGCACAGTGCTCCAAAATTTTCAGAGAACTGTGGGTAAGATGAATATCAAGGTCAGGCTTAAAGTGGAGCAACAAGGGAACGGATATCCCAGTTAGCAATCTGTGGCCCAGGGAGTGAGAGAACTTTAGCCTCAGCCATTGCATTTGTAACTGTTTGAGGATGCAGGAGGGAGGGTCCAGGCTGGGCCTAGAGGACACTGAGACATATCTGGGCTTATCTAATGAGGTTGAGAAGTTGGTGGGCCACCAGGCTTGCTTAACGGGAGGGTAGAGATTTTCACATTGGAGTTTTCATGTGGTGATGTGTTTCCTTAGCCTCCCTGTTTTCTAGGATACATGGACTAAGGCATTGGAGTGAGATAGGAAAAGCTGGAAGGTCTCTATGAGATCATGAGAGGCAGGGGTAAAGGGATCTGCAGTAACTCAGTGTGACACAGTGTGGAACAGAATGATCTCTTTGCCTCTGTGGGGAGGACAGCGTGCCCTAGCACTGTGGCTGGTAGTGTTGGTGTGTCAAGGTCTGTTTCAGGTGGCACTGAAGGCTCTATGAGCATTGGCGGCAGAGTGGTGTGTTGGTGAAGAAGGAAAGCCCTAGAGCTCACAGCCATCGAAGAGACACACCTAAGACAGCTCCTCACACTCCCAGAAATGTCCTGGGGGAACTTTACAGGGGCTTCACTGGGATGTGTGTGGGGAGGGCAAATTTCGGTTATTATTTTAATTGTTAGCCTAACCATGTCTGCATCATGATACCATAAGCCAGGGAAACAGTTGGGTCAGAATTAATGGAAATTGTTACTTTTCTCACGCGGTGATGTTTTAAGTGCCTGCTGAACTCCATTTCGGGCCCATAGACTCAGGCCACGCAGGAGTGCCTCATTTCTGACCTTATAGATGACTCAAGTAGGACCCTGAGAGACTGCTGAAAGCTTTCCTTCATTTTAACTAATTCAGCACATATTCTGTGGTTGCTTTCAGAGAGTAAGGCCTTGTACCAGGAACTTCCACTGTAGCCAAATAGAATCTGCAAGCGTGCCATAAGAGAAAGCCTGGTGCAAGGGACAGAAGATAGTTCCAGAATCAAAAGACCTCTGTTTGTATTTCAGGACATGTTATTTTGGGCAAAGAATCTGATGTCTCTGGGCTCTAGTACTCTCAACTGTGAAATGAGAAAATATTTTATGAATGCAAAATTGGGACATAGAGTCTGACCAAGGTTTCCTATGGGAGTTTCAGGTATGAGACTCAAACTAGCTCCTAGAGATTGGGTCTTACAATGCTTGACTTGGGGCTACAGTTCAAGTGAATCTAATAGAAATGGTTTAGGATATTTAAAGCAAAGATTCCGCTAGACAATTTTGAATGAATTTAGTATAGAACCTCCCTCGTGGTGGAGTTCTGAGGATCAAATGAGGCAATGAAGGTGGAGGATATTTTTAAAATGTAAAGCACCAAATAAATATTGACCATTTTAATTATTACATTTTACTACTCTGCATAAATCCAGACTTTTGCTTTGTATTTTAACCCACGTTGCTACCTTGCAGACTTGAGACCCCAGACCTGTCTCTCATGTTTATGGAAGAATCTGACTTTCTGCAGTTCCAAGCAAGCCACTTTCTTGCTTCCTCAGGCACTCATGATAAGCACTGAAGGGTACAATTCTCCACCCACTTATGTGGGGGATCCCTTTCCATGTGGCTTCATCCTTTCTATTTCTTAAGTTCATATGAAATATGGCTCAAAGAAAAGTCTATCTGATTCATGGCCTTTCTCTTTTTTTAAGGTATGAGATTTGTTTGTATTATTTAAAATGTATTCCCTCATTGTTGTATACCATGGGCCTGACCCAAATCAAATCAGCAGTTTCTAGGCTTTCTTGCCCAAGACTCCCCAGATGCTCTTTCTCTGTATTTCGGTTCTGCTCCCTTTTGCCCTGCACTTCTTTCTGTTGCTGCACTCCGTGGAGTATCAGACACTATCTTGGCATGGCAATTAGGCTAATGGTTGGATTGTGATAGCCTGAGAAAGCAATCTGGGTGTCAGGGATGTCCATCTAGAAAAATGTAAGTAAGTGCAAGGAGGGAAGAAGGAAATGAAATTCACAGGCCAAACTTCACCATTATTTCTCCTTGCAAAGCAAATAAATAAGGCCTGATTTCGGGAACCCATGCTTTGGTATAGGTTCATAGTAGGCTCGTGGGCAACCAGAGGGACAATACAGTTTTGGGATAAGGTAGCGTGTAAACTATGATTTAAAAAAAAAATGTATCCTGTGGTTTTCCTCTGACTCCTCCACAGTTAACCTTCTGAAAATAAAACCTTAGTGTTGAAAAAATTACTGGCTATAAAAGAGATAAGTTTATTGAGAATTCAAGTGGACCAGGGGATTTTAGGGTCGTTGCTACATTGCAGAGGAACGACTCATCATTTTCTGGCTATAGGTTGACACTGGTGAAATTACAAGATCATGGGTCTTGGGACCACTCAGCTCCTTCTTCTTCTCTGTCTTCTGCAGTCCCTTCAGAGGAGAGTTTCCACCTCTCATTTAGTGTTTTTAAGGCACTCAGATCATTAGCATTGTGTGCTTTCTGTCCTATGCCTTATATAACTAGAAGTTATTATTATTCCAGAGTCCATTAATGAAGAAAGTACCACTGGGCCTAGAGTTCTTCCTTTTGATTGTCTTTTTTTAAATTAGAAATTCCACCTTCACAGTTTTTGTGTAGATGATCCTATTTTCTAATCATGTTTTAGGCCTTAAATATTTAATAGAGTGTAGTTTCAATCATCTCATTAGAAATTCCATTGATGTTTAAGAAACTTACCCAGGCTATCTGTCCTGTTGCCCCACTATCAATGTAACAAAAAAGTTGAAATGGGACAGAGTATGTGCGTGTGTGTGGAAGCCCAAGCTGTTTGCCACCCTTCTCAGTTCCAGACAGCATATGGAATCCCTAGATACTTTTTTTTCTTTTTTTTGACATGGAGTCTTGCTCTGTCACCCAGGCTGGAGTGCAGTGGTGCTATCTTGGCTCACTGCAAGCTCCGCCTCCCTGGGACTACAGGAGCCCGCCACCATGCCCGGCTAATTGTTTTGTATTTTTAGTAGAGACGGGGTTTCACCATGTTAGCCAGGATGGTCTCGATCTCCTGACCTCATGATCTGCTCGCCTCGGCCTCCCTAAGTGCTGGGATTATAGGTGTAAACCACCGCGCCCAGCTCCCAGACACATTTTTAAAGTCACATTTTAAACACACATTCCTCAAAACTGGACTAAAATGAGCAGTGTGTACTTAGAGTACCTGAGATCACACTATCTGAAACAATAGTGAGGAGCCTGTGGTTAGACAATGGAAAATGATTGTAGGATAAAAATGGAATAGTTGTTTATTTGTTATATTTTGTGTTGAAAAAAAAAATCATGTCTTTCCTTTTTTTTTTTTTTTTTGGTAAGGCAAGATACTTAACCCAGTGTTTACTAAAGTGTGTTCTGAGAAATACCAATTTTTCTGGATGAAACCAGAATCCACATTTTCAGTTTCATGGCCAAATAAGTTTGGAAGCACTGTTACACAAAGCCAATCACATTTCTGCACTGCTGAAATTCTGAAGACTTTACTAAACTAACAGGTTCTGTGAATTCCTCGGTCGGGGGAGGTAGCTCATACACAGTCTTCTTTTCCTATGGGGTCATTTTTAGAGCCACTGAAACCACTGTGAAAACTGTGGACCAGCTCATTGGAGAGCCACTTATTAAGAGTGACTCATCCAGGCAGATTACAGGATGAAGACAAGTAACAGAAGAGCCACATTTACACATGGAAATCACTAAACAAACACCAATGGGACCCTTCATGGCAAAGTCTAAAAGTGATTTTGGTCTAAATTAAATGGTTTCCAAAAACTTATCTAGAACAAATGCCTCTTAAAAATGAAATACTTGTTTTGTGTTCATAACAGCTCCCTAGAAAATCAAGCTTTTAAACCAAAACTTATATAATTGGTCTGAAGAACTTCCTGCCTCCTCCTTAAGAGATTTAGGGAACATAGAAGATGGCTTGAGGATATTTCCAGACAGTGACATCAGAAGAGAAGAATTAGCATGATGTTAGGTAGCTGTATTTAGGAATTATCTCTCTACATAGAAGTCAGTCTTTCTTCATGAGAGCCCCTGACATTTCCAGCACTCCATGCTGGCGCATATACCTTCAGGGCTGAGATGTGGAATTTCTAAGTTCCTCTTGACGCTTGGCTCGAAAGACTTTTCCACAGATGCTGTCTGCCAGCCTGGGCTCAAGATTCACCTGCTGGGAAATTTCCAAGCACAACTTTAGGCCTCAAAGGAGCAGAACTTGATGGTGTCAAGAGACAAATGAAGTGGAATTTCATTAAGAAATTTTAATGCAAAAGCAATGATGATTAAGAAGCCTAAAGAAAATCTGGCCAACGTGCTTTTTAAACTAATACAGGAGGGAGAATTCCACAGGCATCTTCATTGCCCATCTCTAAGGATGGGATTTTGAGAGGCATAAACACTGCTGGGTTTAAAGAAAGAGTGATAATTCCAGCTAGGGACACCGAGGGAGGCTGAGGAACCCTCTCCATGGTCTCTTTAGCAAGAAGCCTCAGATAAAGACAATGTTCCCCATTAGATAGTTTTAAAGGCCTTGGGTACACAACTAGAAATTCACTGGAGAACAAGCCAGGAAAATCACCTACATTTTCAACCTCTCTAGTTTCTCATTATAGTTTTCTATTTTTTCCCCTTGAAGGTCATAAAACATAATGTAAAAACAAGGTGAATTATAGCAAAGCATGATCTAGGTGTGTAACTAATTCCTATAATATAAGAGACCTTTAGACTTCTTTGAAATAGGCCTTTCACTTTATTATGGGGAAAATTAAGGTAATATAAAAACTAGCCCTTAAAGTTTTCAATTAGCTCAAGTTGTGACCATTTCCAACAATAATCATATCTGAATAATGTCATTCTTAAAACCACTTAGGCTTTGTCTTATGCTTTTCCAGATGTTAGTGATATAAAAGATTGCAAGTAGTACATTTTAATTCTGAATCACCAGGAAGCATATTTTGGCTATGATACAATCATTATCTTTTTTTTTTTTTTTTAATTTAAGAACACTGGTTCCAAGAGAACATAAGACAAGGGGAAGGTGTTCAATTTTTGGTACTGAAAGTAATTGTAATAAATGCTATGACCAAATATTAGAATTCTATTTGATATATTTAAAAGAAATTGAAAAAACACTTTAATAATTTTGCTTATCATTTGCCACTGATCTTTCTAAACATAATAACTTGAAAGGCCGTTGACATTTAAGAATAAATAATGCAAGCAGGTTTAGTTTTCTATATATTTCATACTTTGCCAAGTGAGTATATAGTTCATGTGATGACAGTTCTAGTCAAGGAATAAGGAAATCTCACAGAAATGGACAACTTGATTTTAAATGTAAGCGTAACATAGACACATTTTTATCATTGTTTTTATATTACTCAGGAAGTCCTATAGCAGACTTGTGCAGGAGACAGAGAAAGACAAGCCTAGGGTCCATCCTTCAAGGACTTGATAGCCCAGTTCGGGAAAGAAACATGGGTCTATGGGCAGTAAAACTATAACAAAAAGAGTAAGTGCAAAAAGCCAGATGAATAATAAAGATATGATTAATTAATGAAGTTCAGAGGGAAGAGAGAAAGAGAACCTTTTAGCAGTGGCAGGATTTGAATCTGAAAGTGAAGCATAGCTGAGATGATCTTAGTTGGAGAAGCTGGAGCAGTTCTCTCCAACTAAGATAATCCCTCCAATTCATTGCATGTGAGGGACAGAGAGAATGGTTTGGGAAAAATTTATGCAACAGGATATGATCACTTTAATTCCGGGCCAAATTAATAATATCATTTGTTTGAAGCCAAGAATTTCTGTGGGTCAAGGAATGAAGAGCTGTAGATCTAAAAAGGATAATTGTAGCTGGACTATGGAGGGCTTTCAGTGGCAGACCAAATCTGAATTTTCTAACATAAGATTTGAGATAGGGACATGATGATCTCAACTGTTTTGAGGAAGAAGGAGTGCTGTGTGGGAGAGGGAGTTGAGGGGCAGGAGGACACAGCCAGTAGACCATTGGTGTTAGCTGATAAGCCCCTGGACCAGTAAGCTACGCAGTGATAGTGGGAGAATGGGGGAGAACCAGGGAGCAGAGTGTGGTGGAAAGTGAGAATGAGAGAGTGGAATCTCTGCTGACTATTTCAGCGAATGCCAGGAGTGGTTTTCTTTTCTTCCCCCCGCCCCCCTTTTCAGTGCATTTTTAGTCATGAGTTGACACATTCACTGGATCTTAAAGCTGGAAGTGAAGTCAAGTGACATTTGATCAGGTCCCCTGTTTTTATTGAAGTTTGTTTATTCCTGTTTTACAGACATGGTAATTAGAAACCAGGAAGACTGAGAAGGAATCAAATTTGCAGCAGCTCAGTAAGTGGTAGACTGGGAACAAGAAGCCAGTTCTCTGGGCTCTTGAAGCAAGGCCCTGCCACGTTGTCTTTCCCCAGGAGAGGAGGTATGACAGATAAAGGTCTTAGGTTGATTTTTTAAAACTGTGTGACTATCAGTGTCTGGTATTTTATTCCAATAACTTAAAACATAAAATTAAAATCACAGCATGCTCAGCCGCAGATTTCCCTTTCAATGCGATGCTTTTGCATACCAAAGGATCTGAGGACAGTTTTCTATTTCAAACTGTTTTTTTTTAAGCCACTATATGTATAGGCGCTAAATGTAGAAGTCTTTATTATTTTAAGTGAATTTTTTCTTAAAAACATGAAAGAAAAAAATCAATTTTAAGAAATTAATATGTGAAATGACTTGAATTTCTCTAAGGGTTCTTTGCAATGCTTTCCCATTATTACAACTTCAATATCCTGTTTTAGCAACACTTATTTAACTAGTCACATTTTACTTTTATGGGGGAGCAATAAATGTAAAAGGCACATAAAAACCACAGCCAAATGGTTGACATTTGACCTTTAATCATCTCTTGGACTCTCCTTTAGCAACATACCACCTCCTCTTCTACATATACACAAATACACAGTGTGTATCAACACACTTCCTAATTTACCACATATCATGATGTTGCTGAAGAAAAGAAATGACTTTCTTCAACCTGGTCTGCCTTTTGTTTCTCCTCACATTTTTTTTTAACTATTTTTATTATTTTCTGTTATTGGCCTAACAAATTACCACTTCCTTTGTGATTAAAATTAAGACTGGAGCCCCAAAAAAGGTGGTAAGAGGTGATTTTTTAAACTATCACAAGACCAAGAATCAAGTAAAAAGTTTGTTTTGAATTTTGAAACTGCATTATTATAAACAAAATAGTTCTTTATTTTTACCAATATATGAGTAGTTATCTAACCTAAACTATACATACACACACACACACACACACGCATATTATATATTGATTATAAACAACAGGAAATATAGATAGAATTAGTAATTAGTAGGAAGGGACCTGAGAAGAGGCCTGATCGCCAATCATTTGACAGATATCAAGGCTGAAAGACATGGCTAATGCCGCATGGCTACTGAGGGCAGAACTAGAACAAAGACAGAACAGCCCGGGCTTAGCCCTGTTGACTTACAGCTATGCCCCCAAATATGACATCACTTGCAGAAAGAGAATGTTGTGCCCTGAACATACAAAGATTGAACCAGAATGTCTCAGTGTTCACAGCAAATCCAGAAAAAGATCCCATCCTTGAAGCAACTTTCTTGATGGCTGCCCCTATTTCAAAAACTTGAGATGACGGGCGTCCCCACAACACTCCTCCTCTGACTTGTTTTGTCTTCATGGTATGAAAAAGGGTAGGAAAAATCTGGAAATCTGACCCAGCTCAGTCAATAAAAAGGCTTTTGTCTGTGAACCTGACCACAAGTGACTCATTAACAGCCGATTGAAAGATTTTTGTCGGGAACTCCCCCCTATCTCTTAACAGAAATAAACAATTTGAAACAAAACTGAAGTATAAGGTGAAATCAATTCCCACTTCAAAATAGTGTTGTCTACTACATGTAAAGGTGTTTATTTCCTCCTGACAAAACATTTGTTATGGATTTACTGCCATTTTTATCCCTTTACCTAAATCCACCATTTGTTTTGTCAAAGATGGAGCATGAAAAATTCTTTACAAAATGTCTTAAAGTGCATCCTGAATTAATGGTCCAATTAATTTTTTAAAAAACCTTAATTTTTTGTTTCTAGCAGATGATTAGTTACCCTTAATTTCAAATGGTATTGTATTTTAATTTATTTTATTAAAGTTCAAAATAAATTAGTAATTCAATTTTGTATTTTTATCATTTATTTTTTAATGCTAAGTACTAACTTTTTTTTTAAGGTGCTTACTGTGTGTGTTGTATTTCATTTCCACAGTATTCTTCCTTAAAACACATTAATAATTTTTGATCTTTTAATAATTGACTTCAAGTTAGAAAAAGTAGTGGCATTAAACTATATTCAGAATTTATTAATATAGCATTTAAACTCAAGGAAAATGCCAGACTCAAAAATTCTGACAATGCAAACTCATTCTAATCAGGCTTTGTCTCTGCCCTTTGTAAGAACTGCAAGAAAACTGGAATATCTTGTATGTTAATATTCTGAAATATCTCCAGTAGCATCCATCTGTGAAGTTAAAAGACTTCATCATATTTACTTTTGATTTTTAAAAAGGGCATGGGCCCTCTGCCTCTCCAGCTTGAGGTATGAGAGGATCCACAAATGAAAATACATTATCATCATTAAAGACTTGGAATTCTAGAGACAATCTTATCCAGAGGGAATTAAAATAATGAATTACATTTGGTCCTGGTAGTTTTAGTGTTGTGATACTTTAAATTGGCTTAAAGTCACTCCTGTACAATCCCCATACATGTTTCAGTATTAATCGTCAACTCCCCTTTAATTGCCTATATTCCTTTAAGATTCTGCTATACTATCTCACTTCCTATGAGCAAGAGCTAAGCCTTCAGCCCTGGGCGAGCAGCATGGGCAAGTGATTCAAATGAAGGGCTTGATTAACAGACTCTTTGCAGTTCTGCTCTAACAAGTCCAGCATTTCCTGGAAACCTGCTCACAGATTGTGGGACTATTTTTAGTAGCTCACCTCCCAGTAAATGTAGCTATTAGATATCCAGATATCCTTGCCTCTTTCAGATGCAGTAAAATAGAACATAAAAGGATGTAATTGAATGATTACAGCTAAAGCCTGTAATCAGTAGCCATAGGGTCTCTCTCTTTCCCCTAAGTGATCTGGGACACAGACCCAGGAGGGCCTTGTCCCTCCCCACTGCCTGGGAAACACACATGCCGTGCACAGGCCATGCTGACTCTCTGCAGATGCAGCCTAACCTCAAAAGCAGGCGCCCTGCAGATGCAGCCTAACCTCAAAAGGTTGGGACTGTTTTCTGTGCATGCATGCAGGGTAGAAAGGAAAGGCAAAAGAATTCACATATTTGGACATCTACTTGTGTATTCATGTGATTTTCATAGCCATGTGAGGTAGGTAGGTAGGTATGATTATTTTCATTTTACTAATGAGCAAAATTTACTGCTATGGTCTGAATTTTTGTGTCTTCCCAAAATTCATATGTTGAAACCTAATCACCAATGTTAAGGTATTAGGCAGTGGGACCTTTGGGAGGTGATTAGGTCATTAGGGCAGAGGTCCCATGAATGGGATTAGTGCCCTGATGAAAGAGGCTTCAGAAGGCCTTTCCTCTTCCACCATGTGAGGACATGGCTGGAAGATGCCATCTGTAAACAAGAAAGTGGACTCTCACCATCCCTGAATCTGCTGGCATTTTGATTTTGGGCTTCTCAGTCTCCAAAACTATCAGAAATAAATTTCTGTTTTTTGTAAGCCACTCGGTCTATGGTGTTTTTTTAGGGCAGCCTGAATGGACTAAGATATTTACCAATCAGCCAAATTCAGCAATTGCCTGAGGACCTGTGGCTAACGAGCAGCAGTGTCAAAGCTGGGTTTAAACTCAGCCCATGTTTCCCTTTTACACTCTGCTCTTTAATGGGGGACAGAATAGCAGACTCTATAACTAGGGTGGCTGAGTAATTTATTGTCCAAACCAAGACATGTCTAAGGAACAAGTGGAAGTGCCGTTAATAAAAACACTGGGACAACAAGCCTAACCTGTAAGGGTCTTAGGCGAACTAGGATATGTGCTTGTCCTGTCCCTAACCCTGCCCTGCTCACGCCAGCAGAGCCAAGACTGAAGGTGAGTGCCCAGTAGAAAGTTTCTAGCCCACTGGTCAGGGTGGGGACGGCTTATACCCGAATCCTGCAATAGGTCCCTTGGGCAACAGGGAATGAAGCTTTAAAAAATACTATATTTAAGACGAGATTTTAGGCATGAAATTCTATTTCATTTTATGTAACTCAGAGAGGATCCATCATGCAGAAAGTGTTACTTACAGCTGCACCCCTAACTCCTTAGAGGCAGTGAAACTGTATCATTGGACTGCCAGTCACTTGCATTAGATATGTTGAGATAACACAAAAATATCTAACATTTATTGACTTGCCATGTGCCAAACAGTGTGCAAAGTGCTTTACTTACATTATCTCATTCGATTTTCTCAAATACTCTATGAGGTAGGTAAATTTATTGCCCCATTTTACAGATAAGAAAACTCAGGCACTGAGAAACTTGCTCGAGAACACACACATAGTAAGTGGCTCAGCTATATTCAGACAGAGGACTTCTGCCTCCAGAGTCTGCACTCTTCATTATGACATAGGGCCATGTGTGTTGTATTGATCTTGGAAAGAGAAGGGTCACAGAGCGGTGTGACCTCACAAAGCTTGTATATTATTGAAGAGAGGCTTTTTTATATCACCACATCTCAACTAACACCTCAGTGTTTGTTGGAAGACATCATGTATGTAGTTTTAAAAATACTAAGTGTCAAATGAGTGACACAGAACACTCTGTCATATCACAGTGCTTTGTGGATAGAGACAAGGTGGCATATGCTAATAGAATATATTGATATTTATCTTCTTAAATATCCATCTCATTCTCCCTGATAGCATGGGAAGCCTTGCAAGGATTGTCCTGCCGTTCTTTCAAGCCCTAGCTCTTGGCACATTGTAGACACAGATAACTCTGTGCTTTATGACTGCAGTTGTCAGTTCAACCACAGAGCGTTCAGAGCAGAGAAAGTCTCTGGGGGTTACATGCAAGGGACTTGAAGTTGGGAAAAAGGCTTTGAAAAAATGAAGGAGAAAGATGAAATGTATTCCAGGTGAGAGAAACAAATTAAATAAATGAACTCAGATGGGAGTTTTGAGGGCAACGTAAAGAAACCAGGCTGTCTGTATTGAATTTTATTAAAAAAGACTGAATGAGAAAAGCAAGATTATGAGGTCTTTGATGTTAAGATGTCAATTGGGCCATATTTCATAAAATAAGATCAGTCTCCTGACCTAGTACTACAGGGTGTTAATGCCCACAAAACAATACCCCAAAATGAAGGCCTCAGAAGCAAAAATTTTTCTCTGGCCTTCTTCTGCCCACTGTCTCAGTCTCATTCTCCTCCAAGGCTAGCCATAGAAACTAGGAACCCCGTTGTCCCCAGGCAGGTTACAGAAACCAGAATCCCTTTATCCCCCCCAAGACAGCCATAAAACCTAAAAATATTACTTAACGTTCCTCCACCTTTCTGTGTAAAAACTGGCCATAAAGAAATTATTTTATCGATCTTGTTTAGGTCATAAGACATTCATTCCAGAGAGAGTCCTGCCCCACCTCTGAGAAGGAAGGAATGTACACTCAAGAGAGATCAAGAAGAATCTAAACAAACAGGCCCTTCTGCGTTTTCCCACAAGAGAAAATGATCTAATTAACATTCGATCATAACTTTTTGTCCAATTATATTTCTACACTGCTGTTCATACTTTATTTAACCTAGGCATAAAAATTGACAATTTTTATTGTATTTTTGGCTCTTCATTCTGAAGGCTTCCATGTATACATGTTAAATAAATTTGTACACCTTTTCTCCAATTAATCTACCTGAGTTGATTTTTTAGTGAATCTTCAGAGGTCCAAGAACCCGTCCCTTGAGCCCTACAAGTGCTAGAATCCTACTCTTGGTCCCTCATGGAGGCTGAGTAGTTCTTCTGGGACCATGAATTGAACTAGAAATCTCATCTGCTTGAACAAGAGAACATTGCGGTCATTTGACGAAGAATCTTGTAACAGCTGCTGGCCAATTTTTATCTGATTTGGAAGGACATTGGAAGTCTTTAGGGGGTTCTGAGAAGGAAAGCATTATGGCAAAATTAAATGGTAGAGTGATATAATTTTTTTTTATTTTCTAGGAGGAAAAAGGAAAGTCGGGACATATGGAGAAATAGATGTTTGAGGAATATAAGGAAGACAGTGTTTCAAAACTATTCATGGAGAGCTGCCTAATATTGCTTCTGTGTTCCTCAATACTGTGGACCATTTTAGACAGTAGACACTGGAACGGAGAGTAGTGAGGAAAAGTGAATTCTTAATGGCTGTTTATCTCATTAGGCAAAGTTTTTTTCTGCCTTTCCTTATACTCCAGAAGTTTTCAAGCTGAAAAATTGAAGCTTACAAAACTACAAATTTATGAAGGGCAAAGACTACATTTTCTTTGAATTCCTACACCATCTTGCATGTTAATGGTTAACCAAGTATGCATAGACCTCCCCATCAACAGGGAGAGTATGATGGATACCCAATAGCTAGTCAACATTAGCAGTTGAGTAAGCAAACAAAGTGAGGTGTGGAGGTAAGAGTCTAAGTGCCTGAAGTCATACTAGATTGTGGTGCTCACAGGCATTTAATGCCTCCTGAGAAGAGACAGTTACTCTATGATGAGTTCCTGAGATTAAGCCATTTTAGAGCCAAAACTTTTTTATTTTGCATGTAGTTTAAAAAATATACAAATTATAATTGTTATAATTAATGACTCACCCACATGGAAAGCAGCCTTCCATTTAAACCCTGAAATATGACCATGCTTCTGAAAGCAAATGAGAATAATCTGTAAGTGAGAAAACATTCTCACAAAACATATGCATGTTTTTGTTTTGGATAGAGCCTTTTTCAGGATCCTAAGCCTGACACTGTATATGAAATGAAATCAGTTAAAAGAAGCATATACATTAAAAGGATATGTCTAGAGATGATGCCACAGGAAGGAAGCAAAAATTATACCAGGCAAAGAGGTAGTTAGTGCTAAGGGAAAATGAGTATCCACTTTTGTTCTCATAGAAATTGAATATATTTAAGGTGTACAACATAATATTTTGACATACATATATATACATAGTAAAATAGTTACTACAGAAGACCGGGGGCAGTGGCTCATGCCTGTAATCCCAGCACTTTGGGAGGCTGAGGCAGGTGGATCACCAGGTCAAGAGATCGAGACCATCCTGGCCAACATAGTGAAACCCTGTCTCTACTAAAAATACAAAAATTAGCTGGACATGGTGGTGTGCCCCTGTAGTCCCAGCTACTTGGGAGGCTGAGGCAGGAGAATCTCTTGAACCCGGGAGGCAGAGTTTGCAGTGAGCCGAGGTCGTGCCACTGCACTCCAGCCTGGCGACAGAGCAAGACTCTATCTCAAATAATAATAATAATGATAATGATAATGGTAATTACTACAGAAAAGCAAATTGGAATATCCATCTTCTCACAGAGTTGACTTTCCTGTTTGTGTATGTGGTAAGAACATCTGAGATCTAATCTTTGAGCAGGTTTTCAGTATAAAACACAGTATTATTATTATCCTCATACTTCTGGACATATTCATCCCATGTAACTGCAACTTTGTACACTTTGATCAGCATTTCTCCTTTTTTCTCACCTCCTTGCCCATGGTAACCACTGTCCTACTCTCTGCTTCTATGTATTGGACTTTTTTAGATTCTGCATATAAGTGACATCATATACTTTTTTTTTTTTTTTTTGAGACACAGTCTAGCTCTGTCACCTAGGCTGGAATGCAGTGGCATGATCTCGGCTCACTGCAACCTCCACCTCCCAGGTTCAAGCGATTCTCCTGCCTCGGCCTCCCGAGTAGCGAGGATTATAGGCGCCCGCCACCATGCCCAGCTAATTTTTGTATTTTTAGTAGAGATGGGGTTTCACCATGTTGGACAGCCTGATCTCAAACTCCTGACCTCTTGATCCACCTGCCTCAGCCTTCCAAAGTGCTGGGATTACAAGCGTAAGCCACCGCGCCAGGCCTGAGATCATATACTTCTTAATAACTCTTGAAGGCATCAGTATTATTGGAATCTGTATCAGTTAACATGGGCTAGATTATGTCATAGTGCCAAAATATCCCAATGTCTCAATGCCTTGGAACAGCAAAGGTTTATTTCTTGGTCACACTGCATGGCAGTTGTGGATTGACTGGGGCTCTGCTCTGCATCACTGTGGCCCAAAACCTCAGGTAGAGCGTCCCCTACCTGGAAACACGCTAGTGATGAGAGCAGGGAAAATGCAGGGCGAAGCACAAAAGGACTCTTAAGGCTTCTGCATGGTGGTGATCATATTGCTTCTGCTTACTATTAGCTGCTGTAAATTACATGCCAAGCCTTACTTCAAAGGTACAGGAAAGCATAACCCTCTCCTAATGAAAGACAGTGGATATTGGTAATGAGTAATCCAATCTTTCACAGAGTCTAGTAAATAATGGATGCTTTTAGAATTTAGTAATCTGAGTAATGAAGAAAATGTCAAATGATTCCTGTATATTTCATTCAGCACCTATTTATTAGATGTTTTCAATATCAGGCAGTACACTAAGTACTACATAATAAGGCAAATGAATGGATAATATATTAATATATCAAAGTGTTTGCACTGAAAGGAATATGTTTTATTTTTTTGAAGAAACTTGTGTTTAAGTTAATTCATTTGCCAAAAGCAGAGCAAAGCTACCATGTTGCCTGTATTAGTTCCCTATTGCTGCCTGACAATTTATTGCAAGCTTAGTAGCTATAAAATATCACAAATTTATTATCTCGTAGTTTCTGTTGGGCAGAATCTTGAATGACATAGCCAAATTCTCTGCTCAGGGTCTCAGCAGGCTGAATGAAGGTGTCAGCTCGGGCTGTGGTTCTCATTTGAGTCCTGGAGTCCTCTGCTAAGTTCAGTAATTGTTGGACATATCCATTTCCATGTAGTTGCAGGACTGAGGCCCTATTTTCTTGCTGGTTGTTGGCCAAGGACCTCTCTCAGCTCCCAGAGCCCACCCTCAGTTCCTTACTACATGGCCTCCATAGGCAGTTCATAGTATGGATGCCTGCTGTCTTCCAAGTCAGCCAGAGCATATACCTCTGACATGCACTCCTTCGATCAGCTGGAGAAAACTCTCTGGCTTTGAAATGCTCATGGGATTAGATCAGGCTCACCAGATAATAGCTGTAATTTAAGGACAGCTTATTTGGGATCCTAGTCACATCTCCAAAATTCTTTCATAGCAGCAACTAGATCAGCATTCGATTAAATTACTGGGAAAAATGTGTGTGTGTCAGGGGCTGGGAAGCTTGGAGGTCTCTTAGAATTCTGTCTACCCCCTGACCTCACTGCAAAATGGTGGGTGTTAGTGTAGAAAAAAAAAAAAGGTAATAGTTTTTCCTCATGCATCACAAGGTTTATGGCTGAGACCCCTATAACAAAAGACAGATTAACAAAAGAAAAGCATATATATTTATTTAATACAAATTTTATGTGACATGGTAGCCTTCAGAAATAAAGACCCAAAGAAACAGGGAAAACTATATTTTTATGGACAGTCACGCAGAGAGGTATGATTAGAGAACAAAAGAGTATGATCTAATGGTAATAAACTGGGGGGACTTAAGAAGGCCGCTTTGTCCCAATGCTTCTTAATATCTCTGTGACATTCCTTTTTCCAGGAATACAGAGGACTCCTCTGGAATGAGAGGTTTATGACCTATTTTCAGGGGAGGTTTTATGGCCTGCTTCGGGGGCAAAGGTACAAGTGGAATTCTTTCTATATCCTACTTCTGCTGTTTCCTCACATGCTAGGGTGCCATATTTTTGTGTAGCATGTCCTGAACTCTGTTGTTATTTCAGTTTGCCTATGGCAGGATTGATGAGGTAGGGCCTGTTCTAGAGTAAGTGGCTCTCCTGGGTAAGAACTGGAATTATTAGGAGGGGTATCTTTTGAGGACATTTGTGATGGGTTTGCTCAGTGACTGGTGAGACCCTAGTTGTGTGCTCCCAAGCTGGATTCTCTATGAGTAACACTGAAATTATTGAATCCCTTAAATTCCTAGAGGGTTACTGCATTAGTCAGAGTCCTGGCAAGAAGCAGACAAAATTTTCAAACTGGGTAACTGAAGAGAGTTTAATAAAGGGTTATTTTTTTATTTAGGTGTGGGCAGAGTGTAGGAAGCCAACAAGGGATCGTTATTTCTCCTAGGCTGAAAAGGGGAAGGGGAGAGTGGGACTGGGAATCTGGAGAGGGGAGTTGTGTGGAAAGGGCTCTGACAGGAGCTATAGCCTTTGGTAGAAAGATGCCACCAGTCCATGGAAACTAGGCAGGAAAGTAAAGGGAAACAAATAGCCTAGTCTCTTCCTTTAATCCTCTTATCTCTTGCCAAGAGGGCAAAAGAGCCTGTTTGTCCAGTCCTCAGAGGTCAGCTTCATGGGGCAAGAACAGGGTGGAGAAAGGTAGGGAGGAGATCTAGAAAGGCAAACAAAAAGATAGGTAGCATGATTACTAAAGACATATTTCTTGGCTGTGGTCAGGGTCACAGCTTCCGTTGTGACTCACAGATGAAGTCTCTTTATCTGTGCTTCATAGAGTGTTTTAGTTAGCTTGGTTATAACTCTATCCCACTATGCAATATCATTAACATATATGTCTGTCATTCCCGCTATTTTGTGAGCTTCCTGAGAGCAAGGGCCATGCCTTATTCATCTTTATACATGCAGTGTCTATGTGCTTGGCCCACAGTAGATGATTAATGAATGCTTGTGGGATTATGAAGATATGAAGTCAATGGTGAACAATTATTAAAGTCCTACAAGTAAATTGGGTAATAGGGGCATAAGCAAATGCACAACACTCTTACTGCTCTCTAAGATGTTCTATTACATATTGGCTGATGGAGTTAGAAGATACACTTACCATTGCTGCAACAAATCTCCTGATACTATGAAAATTTGATGTTCTATTTTCATTTTCTACTTAAAGGTCATTAATTTCAGGTTGTACTACACGTTTCATTTAATGAGCACTAGAATCTATCAACAGAGAAGGAGGAACAGCAAATGCAGGGCAAATGAGACAGCTCAGAGCCACTAGTCATCAAACTCAGTTGGCTGTCTGCAGAGTGCAATGACTTTGGGATAAGACGTGATGCTTTACCTTCCTGCCATTGTCACATGTGGTTCTTGTTGCCAAACAGGGAGTAGAGTGTGCTAAGTCTATGAAAAAACTGTTTTCTTCTGTTTTACTTTTTGACATTTTCAAAGCACTAGATAAGGATAAATGTGGTCAGCTTGATGTATGATTGTTTTGGTTCACGTAGAATCATATGCTGAAGAATCACAGGGACTGACAGGGGAAAAATGTAAATGTCATAGTTTTGCTAATTACTTTAGCATGTGTTTCTTCCACATGTCTGAAAGCAAATGTAATTGAGGGTTGTGGTTTCTGGGGCATGGCCAAAAGTACAATGTGACTAACAACTGAGGAAAATATCATGGTTTATCATGTGGTAGAGGATCTGTTATCGTTTTCTTCCCCTCCCCCACAAAGTAAAGATTTTTCCAATATTTAAGGATGTTACTGGAGTATGAAAGAAGAATTATACAAATTGAATCCTGGGATTGGTATTTTTATCGGGTAAGAAAAAAAACATATAAAATGCAGTTTTAAGTTCAGTGGCTGTTCCATTCCATCCTAGAGGTTTCTATTGCAAAAAGTGGATTTGCAAACAAGAAAACAGCTCTTTCAATTCTTTAAACATTTCAACGATGATAAGGGTCTTTCTCAAGCAAATAAATCTCAGGAAATTCAAATACTAGTATGAAACCATAATCTCCCTTCACCTTGTTGCTTCAAAGCCTAGTAACTCTATTGAGAACTCCTGAAAACCAGTGGGTGATCTGACCCCAAGGCTTCATATACTATTTCTTATTTTTATCACAGGAATTTCACAATTTAAAGGCAAGGTTAAAAAACAGTCTATTTTCTCTCTTAAGCAAGTGATCAGGTTGCTTTGTGAACAAAGCAAAAGGCTGAGCTCACATGGAACACTTTTGAAATCTTCCTGGTTTGGGATGGACTGCAAATGCTATTAGTATATTTCCTGGTATTTTAGATGCCTATGAATTGCACCGTAATGAAATCTTTGAATAACAAGCATCTGGTAGCCAGAGCCCACAAAGACTTTCCTATATTATGCAGAACCTTCTGCTACTTTTGAGGCTGTTCTCTTGGTCTTTTAGACTATATCTTTTTCCCTTTATTTCCCCACATGTTTGGGAGTCACAAGTATTTTTGTCACATTTATCACTGACTGTACATAGGTGACTAAACTGGTCATCTGCAGGTCCAGCAGGTTGTGAGAAGAAACTGGGTGATGTATATTCCCCTTTCTCTCCCATATCAAACACCACACCCTCATCCCTGCCCACTAGCCCTATAACTGCTGACTATAAGCTGCAGAAGCAAATGGAAAGTCTATTCTACCAGTGGATTGAGGGGTGTTGGGACTCAGAAAACAATAACCCAAATGAAGGCTTCAGAAGCAGCCTCAGAAGCAAAAGATTTTCTCTGACCTTCTCCTGCCCTCCTGTTTCATAGTCCCACTCTCCCTGGAGGACTATCATAGAAACTAGAATCTCTTTTCTGCGAGGCAAGTCATAGAAGCCAGAACCGCTTTTCCCCAAAGCCAACCATAAAAACCTAAAAATATTACTTTAACTCCCTCCTGACATCTTTCTGTGTAAAAACTGGCCATAATTTATCTGATATACCTTGTTTGACTGTAGGTCATAAGACCCCCATTCCAGAGATGGTCCTGCCTCATACCTAGAAGGAAGAAATACATGCTCAAAGGGGCCAAGAAGAATACAGACAGACAGGCCTTGCTGGCTTTCCTCACTCGATCTATTAGCATGAGATCATACCCTTCTTGTCCAATCATATTTCTACACAATCATCCATACTTCATTTAACCTAAGCATAAAATGAACAATTTCTTCTGTATCTTTGGGTTTCTATTCTGAAGGCTCCTGCGTATGCACATTAAATAAATTTGTAAACCTTTTCCCCAATTAATCTACCTTTTGCAAGTTGATTTTTCATAGAAACTTGAGAGGACCAAGGGGAAAGCTCTCCCTTGGCCCCTGAAAAGGAAAGGTTCTAATGTGTTATTGAGAGTAATGTCAGATAAGAAAATCCAACTAGAGAGCAGAGGAAAGGAGGAAAGCTGGAATAGGGGTTCTAGCTTCTTTAGGGAGTTGAGTGTGGGCCATGAAGGGCCTGAAATATTATTCAGGTACCTGCTTGTATTATCCCATATGCTATTTTTTTTTTTTCCTGAAAAGAGAGTTAAAACTTACAATTAAATTCAAAAAGGGTTTGGGCTACACAAAGTTTTAAGGCTGATTATTGTCAAGAAAGTAAGTTTAGTTAATTGATTTATATTTTACAAATCCAGGAGAGAAGGAGGAATGGAAGGAAGTAAGAAATAATACAGGTAGGATAAATAAGAAGAAAATAGGCATTAGAGAGATACTAGCATTTTATTCCTTTTATCAGTTACTTAATACTTGGTCTGGTGAAATGGGATCTGGGGATAGACACCATTTCTACCAGACAATATGCATGTGTTTTAGAGATGAGACAATGAAGGCATAGAGAAGTTGAACAACGTGTGCCAGTTCACTTAGCTGGTCAGTATCAGCCAGCCAGCTTTGGGGGTTGCGTTGCTCTTCGTTACTCCTGGAAATCTCTTTCTCTTTCTTGATATATTTTACAAAATATACTTTTTGTAAACTGGAGGATAAAGTTGCATACCAAAATATTATCTTTGGGTGTTGTGATTATGGGTGATTTGACATTTTATTTTTGTCACCATTTTATCATAGTTATAATAAACATACCGAACTATATAATAAAATAATTGTAAATTGCTTTCACCTTTCTAAGAAATTAGTTATCATGTTGTTAACTCCCTCAGGAGCAACCACATTTCTGCTGAACAAAGGGCATCATCAAAGGCTGTAAGAGAATTGGAAGAATTTTATATTAACTTATAATGTCCACTGCCATTATAATAAAATGCGGCTTGTTCATAGTAAGTAGTGAGATTGCTTGATGAAATCAGTGCATAAAACACAATCATATAAAAGTAATTTCAATATAAAATTATAATATTTATTCAACTAAATACATTTAATCATCTAAATTAATATCCTTTAATATGTTTCCTGGCTGTGTCTCCATAGGCACAGTGAACAGATGCTCATGGCAACTTCTGCTTTAGAAGCCTCACAGGTAAAACTCATCATAGTGGTGATCTTCAGAGGCTGAGTCAGCCATTTGCTTATTTGCTACAAGAGAATAAATACAACTGTTTGAGAAAAATTTTTATTTTTCCATCAGTTTATCTGTTTAGTCACTCTCTGTAGAAGCTGAGCAGTTCTCCTTTGAGGCCAGGGTCTTGGTTAGGATTCTGTATTTCCAAACAAGGATATGAAATTGAGTAAGTTTCCGCTTTCCCAAATCCCAAAGTGTAGGATGCTCCCTCAACCAACAAACTCAGGAAAAGGATCTCAGGCCCTTCCTCTAGACTAAATTCTCCTTATAGATTCCAGACTCTTCATAGAGAATGTAATCCTGGGTTGCCTCTAGGCTCTCTTCCTGGGGAAGTGACCATCTGGAGGATTTTTGGAAGGCAATTCCCTAGGCACTCAAAGTTTCATTTATGCATTAGTCCAGATCACTGAAAACATGGTACCACTTGGAACACATTATCTTGGCCTTATTTAGAAGTATTTTTCTTCAGGCTCTAATGGCAGCCCTCAGTTCTTATCAAAGGATACTATTAAAACCACCAGCCCTCTGCCTGTGTTTCCAGGTGTCATCAACTACTTAGGCCAGAATATCCGATGCAAAATCTTACCTGATAAATTTCTTACAGAATTTGCACTACAAAAGACAATCTTGCTTGAAGTGATTTGTTTCTTTTTCTCTAATGATAAGAATACTTGTGGATGGTGAGGATGGGGTTGGATGTCTCCAGGGGCAGGCAATATGTCTTTCTACTAAAATTATCACAGGGTCGTCAGCATTCCCAAGTTGATCAGACTCAGGGAGGCTGACTCACTCTTATCAAGCTCCTCAGAGTCTGACTCGTAAGCTGGAATGCCAATGTCCTCCATCTGGGGTCTGCTTTTCCTGCCGTATTTAGATTTGCTGAGGAAACATAAGAAGCAGAGCCAAGAGGGATGAATAATTTAAAGAGAAATTTCTTATAGAACCTAGGACCTAGTACATTATTCCAGCCAGAAACATGCATTTCTTTTTCATTCAAAAACAAATTTTTCTTTTTCTTCCCAGGACAGTGCTGGATAAAACTGCCAGCTTCAATGGCATATATATATATATATATAACATATATATGTATTATTTCTGTCACAACTGACAGATCACACTGTTATGGATTTTACCAATTTAAAACTCAGGAAGCAAAATTCTTTCAAGATTGGAGGGTTGGACAGTACACATCAGTATTTTCCTTATCATAAAAAAGGTGATGTAACATTTCATCTCTTTTTGCTTCCGCTGCCAAAAAAAAAAAACAAAAACAAAATACAACGAGAATGCTGCAAGGAATTAAAATTTGACCATTAAACTACATAGACATTTAGAGCTCCCATATTTGTGAAATTTATCCCAATGTGGCCTTAAATATCTATTCTTAGATATATTTCTAGGACTATAATTTTATTTAGCCTTTTACCTTTTTTGTTATAATTGTTCAGTCTTCTCAAATCCTCTCTGGACAGAGGTGAGGCAAAGAATCCAAGATTCAGACAAACAAGCAAACAAACCAGACATTTTCCCAACCCCTCTCTTTCATATATAGGAGTTTTTAATGGTCTGTTGGGTAAAAACAGAAGTACCCACTTATTCAAGTTTTCTGCTGGTCAAGTGAGAGATACCATAAATCTTATAGTAAAATATAATTTAAATTTGAAGAACATTATTAGAAGCCAAACTCTATTTTCTAGAATGCTTAGTAAATGGAGTAGTATGGTTAACTAAATATTTTAACTGAGTTGTCACTAATATTAGGTATAAATCATATATATTACATGTAACATGCATAATGTATATAATATATAATATATGTAGAGGTGTGTGTGTGTGTGTGTGTGTAGTATAAATAGATCTTAGGCTGAGATCTACACAGATTTTGCAGTTGTTCCAGATAATCATTGGTGAGAGCTGGGAGAAAACTAATCCTTTGGACATTTACATTCTGGTTTCAATTCTAAATAATTAGAGGTTTAAAATATTAAGCAGAGATGCATGTGATATGCTATGTTCTGTGTAAATTAAATAAAATAGTATGTGACCTACATATATATATAAATTCTTATTCTCCTTGTTTTGTTGCCAATTTGAAATAAAGAAGGATACATTTTTTATGGCCCATGCATATAAACGTTAACTTCCTCTTGCTGCTTCCATTTTTCTAAGAGTCTTAAGTCTCTGTTTCTAGAAGCTTCTTGAAGAAAGCATTAGGAATAGATAATTCATTACATCCTTTTCCAAGTATCAATCTGTGAAACAGGGAAGAGCTGATGACCTAATACTATTAACAAAAACAAAACACCACATGTTTGATCCCATTTTGTTTTCCTATCACAGGAAACTGGGGAGGGAATCATGTTCCAGCAGTGAAGAACAAAGGCAGTTTTTTGGGGATTTACATACGCCATCTCCTACAAAGTTAAAAAATTTTCTTTTCCTGAAAGACTACAATCAAGATACAAACATGTACAATGGGTGAAGTGGATTAACAAGTTTGTGTCATGTTAATTATATATTTCAATAAAGATAATTTTGGAACTAGTTTTATGGATGTAAATATAAATTACAAGTTAACTAAATTATATTGAGGATGCAAATAACTTTGGAAATAATTATAGGTGTAATCAGCCATTTGAAAATAAAATGAATACAATTAAACATGAATGACAAAACATGATGGCAAAAGGTCTCCATCTTGATGCTCTTTTCTTAATCCATTCGGACCACTGAGGACCCACGAACACTGGTCCAGTAACTGCAGATAACGCTGGACTCACTCTCCTGGAAAAATCATTCTATAATTTGACAGCTTCGATTAATGAAACAATAATATCAATGAAAAATATTACATTTATTTCTTTTCTCATGGTTAGGAGTAGTCAATATAGTAATTTAGAGGATTTTTCAGGGCTGATGACTGTCCTTAGAAGCTTAGGACCCATCCATGCCCTTTGTGTTTTCCCTGGTGGCAAAATGCATACTTTTACCTGTGACCAACAAGGGCTGCCTGTTGGAAAAAAGGAGTGGTAGAATGGTGAAGACGCTGGTAGGAGAGGGTTATGTGTGGGCAGCATGGCCAACAATTGTCCATTTCTAAAATCAGATGGGCATGGATTCGCATTCCAACTCTGCCACTTACAAGTTGTGCAATTTTGACCAGGCTTAAAAAAATGCTATCTCTATTCCTCCAAACTTTAGATTTTTTAGATAGCAGAAGGGAGAATTATTTCTTCCCCCTGAATCACTGACCAACAACACTAACACTGATTCAGAATGTAGAATATACTCGGTGTTTATCTGCTGCAGAAAAACTCCCCTGGTATGCTAGCTCCTTTACTGAAACTATTCAGGAAAGTATCACTAAGCAAAGGAAGTTAAGAAATCATTACCATACTGTCATCATCAATGCATTCAGGATTTGATCTGCATTTGGTAAGGCATCTGTCTTTCCAGATTTAACACAAGCCACCCTAGCAGTGGAAAAAAATAGAAAACACCTGGATAACCAAAAAGGCCTAGGCAATCCTTTGTAATTCTTCAGACAGGGCCATCTGTATATTATTTTGCATACCCATAATAATATAATGAATAATTAGCATTGATTAAAAAAGTACGAGGAATCTTTTTGGAGCAATGCCTATAGAGGGATTGTGGAGTTTCCCCAGACTGATAGTTTGTGATCTTCACCACTTCTGAGGAAGCCAGAGTTCACGAAGTGCTCCCACTATGCGCCACATTGACCCAGGAATTGAGCTGTGACAAAAAGTAAATTTTCTTCTAAAGAAAAAAAGAGTTGAAGGATAAAAATATTTTTTCTTCCAATTCATAACTTTGAGCACTTACTATGTTCAAAGCACTATGTTAGACCACCTGGGAAGTATGGCATTGTCTAAGACTCAATCTTTTTTCTCCAGGAACTTAACTAGTGAATGTGAAGGGGCCCAAAAGTAACTTTAATTCCCGGTAGAATGAGGGTAAGCAGTAGAGGTTGGTTAGAAGTTCAAAGGTGGGGCCAGGAGGTGCCCTGTTAGAGTAAGAGCACAGGGAACCTTGAGGAAGTAAGTGGCATTTGAGCCAGACCTTGATAGATTATAAAATTTTGAGAGAGGAGTGGAAGAGGAAAGAAAAAGTAAGGACTTTCTTAGATGAAAGCAACAGTGTAAAAAAGGTAAGTTTTGCTCCCTTGAGGGGATATTGCCTCCATGGGAATGCATGAGGTCAGAGACAGATGAGAGTGCAGAGAAGTCAGAGAGTTAAGAGTAATCAAGATAGATGCAGGTGACTTTCCCTTAGGCTCTCACCATTTCCGGGCAAGCAATCCCTACAATTTCCAAATGTAAGCTCTGAGATTCTGTGCCTGAGGCTTTCTGTAGTTGCCAGAATCTCTGCAGCCCATTGCAGGGAAGGCTAGAAAGGTGGAAGAGTTAATGACTCTTGGAGACAGACCTAGGATAAAAATACTCTTGTTCCCTTCCCCATAGTTTGAATAATTTCAAGAAGTGTTTAGCACTGTATTCTAAGCAATAATGAGCCCTAATTACCCTTGAGGTACCCAACTTGACAACACATTTTTTTATTGGCTTTCTTCCCATCACCGTATCATCTCCATTCCCTTATTGACACTTCCTGAAATCATCTCCCAAATAAACTATTTGCACTCCCATCCCTGTCTCAGCGTCTGCTTCTGGAGGAATGCCTACTTGCGAATGTTTCATGCTTCAATTTTTTTTTTCTCCATTTGATGTATAATGGAGATCTTACTCTGAATCAGATGTTCTAGAATGATTTTTCTGCCCAGGGGAAAGAAAATGTCCTAAGGGACATTTGGAAATTTCTGGAAACATTTTTATTTGTCACAACCAGGGGAGACAAGGTACTACCTGCATTTAGTGGGTAGAGAGCAGGAATGCTGCTAAACATACTCCAATGAACAGGATAATTTCACACAACAAAGAATTATGCGACCCAAAATGTCAACAGTGCCAAGGTTGAGAAACCTTTCTTTAGATTTATCCAGTTTAGATGACAAATTTGCAATCTTGAAATCTTTATACTTTTCACTAGTCCTAAAATGCGGCAAACTACAAAGCTGTTCATTAAGAAGTATATAATGATGGATCAATAAGGTACAAATAGATAAAAAGATATAATCCCTAAGTTTCTACTTTATCAGAAAACAGCAATGTCTTGTCACTAGAGAGCAAATATTTGACACATTTGCCTATTATTTGACAGGAATCCTGTACAGTCATGTTCATTGAGAGGTGATCTATTACATCTTGTTTCCATCATTGGCAAAGATACTCTATTTTCTTATCTTCTTTAATTTCCTTTATAGTGTGTTTGAGCCTTGAGTAACTGTTAAGATAAAGCAATCCAAAATTATTAAGTCCTTGGTGAGCATTTATCTTACAAGTAAATTTGCAGAAAGGTGCCTTTTCTAGTTTTGAACCCGATGAAGAGCTAGATAATGTTGGAATCAGATTTTTTAAAAAATGGATTAACATTATCCACCTCAAAAATCACAACAAACAGCAGGTTGCAAGCATATTAAGAGCATTCTTACTGAAAAGAATAAAGATTTATTGCCAACTGTGAAGGGGCAGATTTGATGACTGATAGAAAAATCACACTGCTTTGTCAGCTCACATAAATAATCATTCATCAAAGAAATGTGTTGATGAGTTCAGTCTGGTTTGAATTTAAATCATAGTGAATTCTTTGGAAACAGCTGAAGTACCTGAGCATCATTAAAAATCTTCAGCACCCTATCTAAGCATACAGACAATCCTTCTTAAGTTATATAATGAATCTTATCAAAAACAGCAAGAATATTCATGCTCAGAGATGAATAAAGGCTGACTATACTTACCTTGAGAAAAACACATCTGGATGCTCATGAAAGTCTGATAAGTACTTCAGAAATTTGATCTGAGTTCACTTTTGCAATAGATGCTCAACAAAGTGGATAAGGGGGTCAGATGAGTGTTTACCAGACACAAAAATAACAACGGGTGGCTGATCAACTTTCTCTGATAATTATTGTTCAGTGAGAAAAGATAAAATGTGATATTTTCTCCGGTAAGCATTACACCATTGGGCCACCCGAATCCAAAGACTCTCTGTGCTACCGATGAATTGATGGATTCTGACAAGCCAGTGTGTGTATCTGGCAGCCAGGTGTCTTGGTGTGGGTGAGACAGGAGCTAACAGAGTTGATACATGGGAATATTACTCCCAGATGTTCTCCAAAGGGAAAGGACAACTTTCTTTCAACAAGGACAACCTGCCCTTTCAAGATGAGTCCTATGGCATATGTGCAGCGGTTAGTTAGCTCTCTGAGAAGCAGCAAAGCATCATGGGTGCCATTTTTGCCAGAAAAACAAATAAGCATATCTAATGGGTTCTGTCCTATCCCTTAGTAAAAACCAGTGGCCTGTGTCTGGAGGTCATTCAAGGCAAATGAAAGAAAGAAATTTTCTGATGTTGGGGAGATAAAGAAGAAAGAACACAGTGAAGATGCATGGTGTTGATTTTAAACTGAAGAGAAACCTAACCAAGCTAAGCCTGTCACAGTCAGTTACAGCCCTTGCTATAAATGCCTCTATGGGAAAAATACAACCAACAGTTAATGTCCCTCATGCCAGTGCTCTAATATCCATAGCCTGTCAGGTCTCAAGCTCTTTCATTTCTAATGGAAACAAGTATTAGTCTGACAATATTTTCATTTATATTTAAGAAACTTTGGTTTTCAATATGAGTTGCATTAAGAAAGTTTTCTCAAGTTGTCAATTCCACAAATTTCTTAGCATTCTTTAGGTCTTCTGAATTCAGTAATGCAATGTTTGTCGTCATAATTGATTTTACGTTTCTAGATTACACATCCTGAAAATGACACACACAATATGCCGAACTGCACTCACAAAATCTAAATCCATGGGTAATGGAACAATTTAGGGAAAACACAACAGATACTGAATAGACATAGTTTATTCTATATATATTTCAAGGGAATAAACCTAAGCTGTGATTCTATGGTCCCCTAGTACTCTATCCTGTAGACAGTATCTAATAGATAAGTTTGATTTATCTCTTTTTATGAACAAAATTTGTTTTATTCATTCTATTAAATAAAATTATCATTGCTTAGCTGTCAAAAAATAAATAAATTGACATGTTTTTATTTTCCATTATTGTTTTTAGCCTTCCATCTTCTCCAAAGCAGAAGAAAGATATAACTTTCTTCTATGAAAAACAGTTTCTATTGCAGGTTCTGGCTAAGATAGTCTGAGAGAATCCTGACAGTATTTCAGTTACTTCAAACTCATCATTTCAGGTTACATAAATCTACCTTTCTATAAAATTTTTGATTCTATAACTTTAAAAAATTAGGTTCAACTCCTGGGATTTAAAAACCTGTAACCAATTTAACCCAGGCAGTATTACTTTTGCATTGTTATGTATTAAAATTTTTGTTAACTTATAAAAATATCCAAAAGCATTTATAATTTTCTTTCAGGGATGAAATATGATAGATTAACTTTGCCCATATCAATCCTATTTATTTTTACATATGTATATTATATATATATATATATATATCTTAATTTTACACTGAAGCTTGTGTCAGTTTTAAATGTACCGTCTTTCAGCTCCAAATACGTGCTTTCCTGTTCTGCTTTATGAAAATGGAACTGGACCCTGTAAACTGTTCTCCTTTGCCAGTGGGCATGACATTTGGCTTCGTCAATAGAAGACTGGTTCTGGTTTCCTATTTTTTAAATCAACTTCCGCCGCATTTTCAGGTCAGGTTTTCCCCAATCACGGGCAGCTTCTGAGAAGCTCTAGGGTCTGTGGCAGCTTTGGTTGAGCCCTTAGACTGCACCCTCTTTGAAGAGATCTGAATCTCAGTCTTGGGGAAACCCTTTCCTAAGTCTCTGGTCTCTTTATTATGTACTTTCCTTAAGCCTGGAGGTAGTAGCTGATTTTTTTGCAGCTGCATATTCTTGGCTGCTTAGAGTTCTCTTTGAGTCTTTTTAAATTGTTAACCACATTTTACTAGTCAAATTTAATTTTTTTTTTTTTTTTTTTTTTTTTGCGACAGGATCTCACTCTGTCACCCAGGCTAGAGTGCAGTGACACGAACACAACTCACTGCAGCCTCGACCTCCTGGACTCTCTGAGGGGAAACCCTTGCTTCTACATTTTTAATTTTAAAAAATGCCCTTTGAAATTTTAAACAGTGATCCATATTTATTAAATGCTTCTAACCGATGATGAAGAAGAGACAGACATTAAGAACCTCATTCTTAAAAAGAAGCTTTTTTTGGGAGAAAAAGACTTACAGACAAGTAAATTTTATTATTAAAGTATTTTATATATATATATATATATATATATATATATATATATATATATATATATATAAAGCAAAACAAGGCAAACTTGAGGAGTGCCAAGTAGTTCAGCACTGCTCTAATCTACAAGATGTATGTGTGTGTGTGTGTGTGTTGTGGGATGGTAATGTAGGGAGGGGAGGTGGCAGCCTTGAGAACAGTGCAAAATGAGCCTGGAGGGGTAGGCTAGCTGCAGACCAGAAAGGACTTTGCATGTCATGCTAAAAAAATTTGGATTTCATTTCACAGCAACTACAAAGCCCAAAAATGCAAGGGAAATTAACATATACAAGAAAGTTAAAAGTCATTTGTTTTATGCACCTTCACTATGTGGAATCCACTATTGAAGGATTTAAATAAATTCAAATATTCAGACTTGGTCTGAAGTTAAAAGAGGGGAGATGATCATATATGAAATATTTAAGTATTAGGAAGTAACAAGAAGCACTAAATTGAATGGCAAAGACTAAAATGGGCACTGGGGTCTGAAGGTGGGAGAGGTTAGAGTAATTAGGGAGAGGGTAGAACTTGGGCATGGTTCTAGAGCACTGGAGGGACTGCATTTTAGGAAAAGATCAGAATGAGCAGCCTTTTAAACCAGGGGAAGCATGACCACAGAATGGCTTGGCAGCAGGAGGGAGCCTGAGCTGAAAGGGGATGTTGAGAGAAAAGGTTAAGATTGTAAGACAGAGCTTCTGGAAAGACAAACCTATGGCACTGTGTCTCTACCTCCCCCTTCCACAACCATACCACCTCTATATTCCTGCTGAGCCAAGAGGCAGCTCCAGTTCTCTCTCAATCCATTGCTCAAGGAGTCATTTCAAATCAGGAGTTTATTCTCTAGGATACCATTATAAATTTTTGACTTGTGAATTGTTGATAATACAGATTTTTCTGATCGTATAGTTGTAGATGACTGATAGAAGGGAGGATCCCCAATGTGGAAGCCAGAAAATGTTGAAATGTCCTTTTATATGTAAGTTGCATTTCAGGTGTTGAGAGGTTACATGTTTCAGCTGTTAGTTTGGAAAACATAAGGCATATTTGCATTAAATTTATATTCATTTTATCTCCAAAAGAAGCAATGCCATAACACACCAAATGTCATAAATCAGAATGTCATACTGAAAAAGGACTGTTTCACATTTCTATTTCTCCCTTAGGATATGACTGACCTCAGACACAGGAATTCAGAAATCTCACTGCCTGCCTCTTTGCCATTAGGAAAACAGATACTGGCTCCCCAAACCCATGATGAAGAAAGAAGCTGGAAGAACTCTCAGAAGAGTTTTCAAGACCATGAGTGCCCTTGCCAAAACCCAATGGAAAAGTCTCTAGAGAAACAGAGGTCATAGAAGTTTAAAGGTTTGGTTACTTTTTAAAGTTTTTACTACCTTCCCAGTAAATATTGCCTTCATTCTTCATTCTCACTAGCAAACTGTCATTTAGCACCCAATAATTCTCTTATTAAAGCCTAGAGAGAGAAATATTATTTTCAAGGATGGGTAAATTTAACTGCCTTGCTCTCTCCCACAACTTTGCAGAGTAGTTCAGGGTACAAAGTTCTTCTCATTTTTCCCCCTGAATATATTCCTCTTTTATTGTACAACATAAAACCTTAACTACCAAGAATCAAATGTACCATAAGAGAAAAATACCTCATGGCAAAGTAATTGCACAGTGGAAACAACCTTAGACATAAGCTCTAGGCTTGGCTCTATGAAGGTGTAACTAATTCTTCGACTCTCAGAAAGCTTTTTAACCTCTTTGTTTTCTCTTTAATTAGTAAATGTGGATAAAAGGCTTTATATATATAAACAACAACAACAACAACAAATATATATATATATATATATATATATATATATATATATAATCAAGGTGAAATGAGATGATAGATATTGAAAGTGATTTTCAAACATGTTTCTTATAGGAACATAAGAAATTCTTCTCCGTTATTCTAATTTACAGTTTTCCTTATGTACCCTTACGATCAAGAAATCTAGATGATGGTGTCGGAAAATATTTCCCTAATGTAAAGACATAGATGCACAGTGGTATTTTCAGTGGACTGTACATTTTAATTGCATGTACAGTGATATACTAGCCAGAAGACCAGTGATTTTCTGTATGGCTGCATCTTCATCTTCACTCATTCATTTAACAAATATTTATTGAATGCCTACTATGTGCCAGGCATTGTTTTACGTACTGAAGATACTGCGTAACGAGATGATGCGTCTTCTTTCCTGTAGCTTATATTCTAATTAGAAAAGACATAAACAAGTAAATAAGCAGTATGCCAGGTAATATTAAGTGTAATGAAGAAAAATAAAGCAGGAAATGAGAATATTAAGCAGGAGTCAGGCCACATCTGGCCTGCTGCCTGGTTTTGTAAATAAAGCTTTATTGGAACATAGCCTCAGCCATTCATTTACACTTTTTTCATTAGCTGCTTTAAGTTAAATAGTTGAAACACAGACCGTCTGGTCCACAAAGCCTAATATATTTACTCTCTGGCCCTTTACAAACAAATTTGAGGTTCCTGATGTTGGCCATCGAAGGGTGTTTCAAGGACTTTAACTTTTATGCTGAGTGAAATGTAATGACGATGATGGGAGTAACTTACTCTAACTTATGTTTTAGAAGCATTATCCTGGTGGCTGTGATGAGAATGGACTCAGGAGCAAGAGTGGAAGCTCAGGACAGTTTTGAATGTGGCCCAACACAAATTCATAAACTTTCTTAAAATATGAGATTTTTTTTGTGTTTTTTTTCTTTTTTTTTTTTTTTTAGCTCATCAGCTATTGTTAATGTTAGTGTATTTTATGTGTGGCCTAAGGCAAATCTTTTTCTTCCAATGTGGCCCAGGGAATCCAAAAGATTGGACACTTCTGATTTAGATAGTGATTACAGTGATGCAGAGGAGAGAGATCATCATAGAGTAGTAAGGATGAAAATGAGGTGATAACAATAAGGATTAGTTCCCTGGATATACTTTTGAAGTTAATGCAGTGAAGGATTATGGCTTAAAGAGCTAGAAGTTTGGAATTTCCATCAATTGAAATGGGGTGGCCACTAGAGAAGCATGTTTGGGGTTGGAAATTAGCAGTTTGGTTTGTACGTAGAAGGTTTGAGACATCATGTGGCCATTGAACTAGACATGCCAACAAGGCAGGGGACTATATGAGCTCAGAATTCAGGGGTGGGGTCTAGGCTGGAGATAAAAATTTCATAGTTACCAACATACAGGTGAGGTTTAATGCCATTAGATAGAACAAAATAATCAAGAGAACTTTTTTTTTTTTTTTTTTTTTTGCTCTATCGCATCTGTCAGTTACTGCTCAGGTGGCTTCTTTATTTGCTGGACTGTTTTTGCTAGATAGAGTTTTAGGTTGCAGGGCATATGCTTTTTGCATATTTCTTGATAGCATTTTGATTCATTGTCCTGATCCTACTTTTAGCTTGAAGTAATTAGGAAATGGGGAATTTTGTTAGTTAAAAATGATATCCTGGGCCTAGTTTTGAAAAGCAAAAATCCTGTAAAATGTGTGTCTGCTTCTAGAAGTCAGACCCATTTTACCCAGGCACATTTTTCTTGGAATGGGTAAAGAAAAGAGAATAAATTACATTTATTAAATACCTACTATGTGCCAGTGATTTTACAAACAATAGTTCATTCCAGGGCTCTGTTTTTGAATTTGCAAAATTGGGAGGGAGTTACTCTAGTATTTCTATTATTTTTTTACTTCCAGATGGAAATTCAATAAGGACAGTTTCTGTCTCTTGCTATATCAACATCTCTTATATCAGAGGAAAATTGAAAATAAAATTCCAAATTAGTGCAAACACATTCCTGACTTTCATGAGTTCACTTTTAGGTCACTTCTAAATCAGTGTTCTATTTATTGGAACAGGTTGGTTCATTACACTGATTGGTGTTCTCTTTCCAAGGCTCAATAAAATTCCATGAAGCATCAACCTGAAGAATAACAGCCATGCAAAAAAAGCTCATCATCACTGGTCATTAGAGAAATGCAAATTAAAACCACAATGAGATACCATCTTATGACAGAATGGTGATTATTAAAAAGTCAGGAAACAACAGATGCTGGTGAAGCTGTGGAGAAATAACAACACTTTTACACTGCCATTGTGGAAGACAGTGTGGCGATTCCTCAAGGATCTAGAACCAGAAATACCATTTGACTCAGCAATCCCATTACTGGGTATATACCCAAAGGATTATAAATCATTCTACTATAAAGACACATGCACATGTATGTTTATTGCAGCACAATTTACAATAGCAAAGACTTGGAATCAACCCAAATGCCCATCAATGATAGACTGGATAAATAAAATGTGGCACATATAAATCATGGAATACCATGCAGCCATAAAAAAGAATGAGTTCATGTCCTTTGCAGGGACATGGTTGAGGGTGGAAACCATCATTCTCAGCAAACTAGCACAGGAACAGAAAACCAAACACTGCATGTTCTCATTCATAAGTGGGAGTAGAACAGTGAGAACACATGGACACAGGGAGGGGAACGTCACACACTGGGGCCTGTTGGTGGGTTGAGGGCAAGGGGAGGGAGAGCATTAGGACAAATACCTAATGTATGTGGGGCTTGAAACCTAGATGATGGGTTGATAGATACAGCAAACCACCATGGCACATGTATCAAATAAGCACATGTACCTATGTAACAAACCTGCACATTCTGCACATGTATCCCAGAACTTAAAGTAAAATAAAATAAAATAAAATAAAAAACAACAACAACGAAAAAAAAATGGACAGAACCCCACCCCCCCCCAAAAAAAGGAAATAGGCATATTTGTAGCCATGGACTATGCAAGAATGGAGAACACAGTGTAAATTGTTCAGCTCTCTTGATTAAAGTGCACATATATTACACATAGCTGGGAATGCAAAGAAATGCAGTCTGCTTGTGGATCATCAATCTGGAATCTCTCCTCATTACCTAGAGCCAGGTTTCTCAATCATAGCACTATTGGCACTCTGGGCCAGAAATTTTTTTTTTGCTTTAGGGGGCTATGTAGGCTGTTTATTTAGCAGCGTCTTTGGTCTCTAACCCTAAGTGCCACAAGCAAACCCCTCTCATCTAGTTGTGACAAGCAAAAATATCTCCAGAGATTGCCAAATGCTTTCTGGGTGTGGGGGTTGGGGGTGGGGAGAGTTGATAACCTAGAATTTAAGTTCTATTTCTTTTAGTCTAGCATTGAAAGTCCTCTATGGTTTGGCCGGCGTGGCGGCTCACGCCTGTAATCCCAGCACTTTGGGAGGCCTAGGCGGGAGGATCACGAGGTCAGGAGATCGAGAACATCCTGGCTAACACGGTGAAACCCCGTCTGTACTAAAAATACAAAAAAATTAACTGGGCGTGGTGGCAGGCGTCTGCAGTCCCAGTTACTGGGGAGGCTGAGGCAAGAGAATGGCGTGAACCCGGGAGGCGGAGGTTGCAGTGAGCCGAGATCGAGCCGCTGCACTCCAGCCTGGGTGACAGAGCGAGACTCAGTCTCAAAAAAAAAAATATGTTTTAATAAACAAAATAAAAAAGCATAGGTTTTATAGCATGGCCAAGATGGATTCTAGTCTTAGTTGTACCACTTGCATCAGCACTGTCCAATAGAAATATGAGATATATGTGCAAATTTAATAGTTTCTGGTAGCCACATTAAACAAGTAAAAATAAAAGGTGAATTTAATTTGATTAACATATATGATTTAGCCTATTACATCCAAAATGTTATCATTTCCATATGTAATCACCATGAAAATGATAAAAGAAGTATTGTACATTCTTTTAATCTATATCAAGCCTTACAATCTCTTGTATATTTTAATCTTACAACATCTCAGCACACAGTAGGCATATTTCAATGCTCAGTGTGCTAGTGGCTGCCGACTTGCACAGCATGACTTTACATCTATTTTTCCATCTCATGGATGCTGTTGTGTTTAAACTGCTTTATCATCAAAACCAAACCCAGCCTTCTCCTCATACACCTACTTCTCCTACCTCCCCATCTGGACTAAGGCTAGCAGCGTCCATTTGAGCCCGAGTCCCCTGCAGCATCTTGGCTTTGTTCCCATCTTGGGTTTTGTTCACACACCCACATCCAAAAGATCTCCAACTTCTGTCAGTTTTGACACATGTTTTCTCAAAAGACTGCTTTTCGATAATCCCATGGTTACCACCTCACTTCAGATTCCAAAGGACTTCCTACCCCACTTCCCTCACCGCAGCCTCTTGCCCGTCCACCCATTCTCCTCACTGCTGTCCATGCAACACAGGAGCACAGACCTGACTGTGCCATTCCTCAAACCTCCCACAGATTTCAGGAATCAAATCTAACCCCTGGCCCTGTGTTCAGAGAAGCAACCAAGTGTGTGCAATCATTTTTCCAGCCTTCTCCTTCCAGTTTCCCCATGCACACCTTGTTTCCAGTGTTGCAGGCCACTCTCTGTCTCCTAAGGACTCTGTACTTTCTTCACTTTTCCTTGGGGCTTTGTCCCTCTGTCTGGGAAGTTCTTTACCCTCTTTTCCCCTCTTTGCTTGTTGAGCTCTTACTTTACTTTTATGACAAATGGAAACTCCTCTGAGAGGCTCTACAGGCTTGGTCTTCCTCTCTCCCTTCCACATCCTTTGTGCCCGTGTGTGTGTGTGTGTTGAAGAACATTGGTATTCAACTTCTGATGCACTAGGAAATTCATCTTCTGATCCTTTCTATGCCCCCTTCTGCTCTGTTAATACTAGCAAAACAAATTATTTCTTTTCTTTAATGAATCAGTTTAGAGAAGAATTGTTCACTTATTCAGCAGACTAGTGTCCTTTAAAAATAAAAGGGCCCCCTAATCGCCTTAGTACGTGTCACCAACACAAAAGTGTGTCAATTTCTTTTTGAGAAGAGCAGATTGTACTAAAAATACATATATATGCATATTTGTTTTCAATAGGTTATAAACCTCATCAGAGCAGATTTTATGTTTTATTCGTCTTTGTGACCCAGGATTCAGAACCCAGAAGTCGGACTAGAGTATAATAGGAACTCCGCAAATGTATCTTTTGAGTCGACATCACTATTTCTGACCTGTGAGATTCAAAATGAGTCATGGTCTATTGGGTTTACTCTTCATCCTTGAATCCAAAACACATCCTCCACTCTCAGAGTCAGGAGCCCAGACACACTCACATGCTGTAACATCTACACAAGGACAGGCACAAGGACAGGCGCAGATACACAGATGCAGGTGCACAGGCATAGAGGGGGGTAACTTGGTAAAAACTAAACCCACCTTGAGCAATCTTTTCATAACTCTGGCTAGAAAGAAACTATTAAGCTCTCCAATACCCAGTTTTAGAGAATATTGTAAACTACAGTTTTAATCAAATTTTTAGAAAAGAGTTATTAATAAATTGAAATATTGACTTTTTGGAATTTTAACTTTTCCAGTTTCCCAGGTTCAAAGTTTGGTGCTGACCAATGCACAGTAAAATAACCAAGTCAACTAGGAGAAGAAGAAAAGGGGGTCACTGAAAAATATCACATATATTTATAAAATTTAGTTATTTCTGTACCCATTTGTACTATTTAATTATAGTTAATGATATTTTTAGAAATTGGGCTTGGGATCTGGCAGTATCCGGTAGTATATTTTAAAAAAGAAATAGGATTAGGTAACCTGCAACTTGCTTCCATGTAGTTTGGTGATGGAACATGTTGATGATATTTAGTTGGGTACATCCAGCGAGAGTGAAAACAAAACACAAAGGTAAAATTGTCATCTGAAAAGGGTATTTTCATTCTTTGAAAACATTCCTATGGGTAAGGCTAAAATGAATGCACTGGAGGTTTTCTTTAAATAGAAATTCTTCATAATATTTGAGAAGCTGGTGCAGTAGATGTCAATGTGCAACCCTCATGATTTTATGTTATTTTTGAGGTTTAAAATTAGCCCTTTATTAAAATATGAAAAAGGGTATAATATTCAATTAATAGTGATTTTTTCCACACGGCATAAATTCACATTTTTGTAAAATTTAGAAATATATGTTAAATTTCAATCTCTTTGCTTGAAATTAGTAAAAGTCAGGAATGAATGTATAAAAGATGTTTTCAGTTTGGGTCCTGAATTCTCTTTTGCCATTAGCATTTTCAAGGCTTTTTTTGTTTGTTTGTTTGTTTTTTGTACACATCTACAACCCAGACGTAACATCTCACTTGACCCAAATTCAGGACCCAGTTCTTTCAGAAGAGCCAGGGAAGGTTGTTTCTTATCTGCACATCGATGTAAGCACTGCTTCATGTAAATGGTAATTACTTCTGTGTGGCACCAATTCCAGATAATTCTAGTTACTTGCTTTTGACTGGAGAACAAAGATACAAAAACACACAAAGGCACAATCTAGGTGGGGTTACTTGGTTCAAGGACTTTTTAAAAAATCAGGCCCAAAGGGGTATTGTTATTTGGTTCCTTGGTTTGTTTGTTTTACCTCTAGACATTGTGAAGTCAAAAAAAGATTGGGAGAAATGGAGGATGGTACTAACATTACTGAATTCACGTCACGTAAAGCATCATGTCAGGTTTTTTACATGAATTCTTTCAATGTATAAAAATTTTATGGGTTAAGTATTATTTTTAGCCCTAATCTTCAACTCTAACAATAAAGAAAATGAGCTTTGGAAATGTTGTCACTTGTCTAAGGTCCCAGAGCTAACATGTCTCAGAGCTGGGATTCAGCTCATTGTCCATACTGGAGCATATGACCTGCCACCATGCCAAGACTGAGTCACATAATGGAATAAATTATGTGCAGTTCACAAACAGTTAATTTAAGCAAATGTAAGTAGACACACACAATAGGGGTTTGTACCAGCTCAGAAGAGCTGATAGTTAAATTTTCAAGTGCCAGTTGTTATACATAGACATTAATAAAAATTAAATTCTATACACTTAAAATTTAATAAATTATATTTTTAAAAGGCAATAAAATTCAAAACTTACAAGTCCCCCATTATTTTTCTCCATGTTACCATTATTTGTGTTCTTGAGGTTATTAATGTCTTTTGGGTGGAAAAACCATATAATGATATGCAACTCCATATTTAATGGCTTTCCCTTGTTGCTTGAAATTGTCCTCCACCCCAGGAGAGCAAATTGTTCATATTTACCAGCACACCACTGTGCATAGCTCTTATAAATAATGTGCATACTTCGATTGTTTTATGGTTTCTCTTTGTATGAATTCATGAACATTCAACACATATTTACTTAGCACTCACTGCGTGCCAGGTATTGCTGGACACACTTCCACAAGCATTATCTTGTTTATATCTCTTAAAATAGCTTAGAGGTAGATCTGATTGTTTTTATTTTACAGATTAAAAACTAGGATTTAAAGTAGTTCAGTAACTCTTCTAAGGTCACAGAGCTAGTAAGTAGTGGAGCACAGGCTTGACTCCACATTGTGTGAATCTGTACTTAACACCACAGCTGCAGTGACTTATTGTGTGAACAGTCCAGGACAGGATTATAGTCAAAGGAAAACATTTTACTAAGGCTCTGCTGCTTCTTTGCCTGTTTTACTACCACTATATTCATTTGAGTAAATAATCAACATATCCATTTGAATGCAACATGACAGTCTATAATGTTGAATAGAAAAATGAAGGCTAGAGTAGAGGATAAGAGGAGCTGAGGGGGAAAGGGAAAAAACAAGTGGCCATTTAGACTAGTTGTCTCATGCAAGGAAAATATTTGTAATGTCCTCGTACCACAAACTGGGTGATCCAGTTGCAACATTCTGAACACACAGTTTTCCCACTAAGAATTTTATTAAGAACAAAAAGAGCTGATGATGCTTTTTTTTCTTTTTTTAGCGTAGTAAGGCAGATTTCATTCAGGACTTTCATGGTAGATATCGAGACCACTGCAATGGGATTTTGCAGTTGGGGAGAGAGATTGGACTAGAATCTGATTACAGCTTGGGCAAAGTAGGAATTTATAGCCAAGGAGTAGGGTAGGGGTTAGTGATGGAAAATTACAAAGAGGAAACATCAGGGGTAAGAATAATTCCGGTTAAACTAAACTAACAGGATTCTTGTTGAAGACAAGTCAAGGTGAATAGACATCACCTGGAGGATGACAGAGGATAAGAAGGCTGATTAAACACTGAGGATGATCAGATATTGAGGTTGGGGGAAGGATTCTTTCAAAACTGACAGGGTTCTTTGCTCATACTGAATTTTACAAAGAAGTACATAGATGACCCTAGGAAAGGTTCAGGAGTTTGGCCAAGCAGAGAATCTTTGTCAGTCTCATGCTCTTGTCCTTTGAACACTGTAAGTCCATTTCCTCATTTGGTTGACTTGTGGTTCATTATAGTACCTATTCTAGAGTTGATTATGCTATGGAATGCTTACCTGTTACTTGGTAATACAGAGTCAAAGTCAAAGTATATATGTGTGTATATAATATATATAATATATATATTTTCTAATATGTCTTTCAAAGTAGAAAGTTTAGAGGGGCTTAAACGGAAAATCTTAGATTTTATAATTTCCAGAAAGCAATTTCCTAGGTCAGAAACACAAACCCCAGAATCTCAGTAGCTTAATATAACACCACTGAGTGAACAAGATTTTCTACTTGCTCACATCATAATCTGATGCAGGTCAGGTATTAGTGGTTTGGTGGTTCTCCAGTGATGTCTCAGGAATCCAGCTGCTTCAGTTTTCCAATGACTCCATTTCAGAGTTCTTCACTTCCAGCCAAGGCGTCAGTGGAGAATTTGCATCTGTTCTTAGCTGCTTCAGATCAGACTCCCATTCACATTCTTATCATTGAGCTTCAGCTAACTGCGCATCTAACTGCAAGGGAGACTGGGAAATGTCAGGAAGCACATGGACAATTGGTGCCAGGGACGGTCTCTTCTGTGTTCCTGTAGGATACAAAGCTTTCTTTTATTCCATCCACTCTTACTTTACTCTCTAGTCAAAGTAGATTTCTCTCTGCCAAACACAGCAGAAGAAATGAAGCGTGACTCATTAAGAATATATCTATTCTTTTTCCTAATGGCAAGATTTAGACAATACAATTTGAAATCAAGTTGACAGAGAATAGTCAGCATCGTTGAGCTGCTTCGCTTGCAGAGCGTTCTCTAAAAAGAAGGCTGTCAGATTTTTCATTATGTTTGCTCCTTAGCATTAAAATCAGAGAACTATAAAAGAACATTAGAGAAATTTGTCATGGTATTTTTATATATCAGTCAATAAACCATGCCATTTACTAAAGCTTAACTGTCTTCTTTGTGTATTTTGTGTAAATTTCTTTTACATAAAGATTAAATTAATCTTTATGTAAAAATATTAAAAATATTATATTTTAAAATATAATAAAATATTAAAAATATATTGTATGAGAGTATTTAACATTTACTCATTTTAATGGGCTCTTGGACATTGTCTTTTTAGAATTCCCAAGGCCCAGTGTAAAATTTGGCATTATAAATTAATGTGTGGTTTTAAACAGCCACTCCTCCAGAGTAGCTAAAACATCATCAAATATTAATACAGGGTTTATGTGATCCATTTCTGATTTTTGTCTCAAATCTCACACCAAGCACAGTTAAAAGATAGAGAATGATTTGCCAGGAACTAAGAGGGTTCCTGGAACTCAGTACTTTCAAAGCTAAAACCAGGAAAATTCTAGATAAACCACAATGAGTTGGTCACACTCAGTATTCTTCCTTGAACACAGTTTTGGTTTCTTGTAATTGACTTTGTATTTTTATCTCAGGTTCTATTCCCTGTTCTGTGAATTGGAAAGAGACACTATAATGTAGTATTCAGGCATCTACAAGAAAAAGAAAACAGACCATCCAAATGAATTTCTGATAAGTATGTTTGGGAAAATGAAGGTTTCATCTTGGAAGAGAAAATTCACCATAAATCTCAGTCTCAGTGGTGGAAGTATTCCATTTTCACAATCAGGTCTTTATACCTAAATATTTGCTCACTTTATTTTAAATTAATTTTAAATTTCAAATTAATTTGGCATAGCGAGCAAAACAAATAACAACACAAAGAGAGGAACTTTTGACCTGGCAGCCCAAACTCATACCATCCAAAGTCTCCATTTACCTTTTGATGACAGCTAGCTTGCTGCAATTTTCTTTTTTAGTACCCTCATCAGACGAGGTGAAAAGGTGAAACTGCTGGTGTGACATTTAAAAGTTATGATTTTGGCAAGTTTGCTTAAGAAAAACGTGCTTTGCTTTTAAAATGACCTCTTCTTCCCTTTTTAGTAAACATTTGTGGCCGGGTGTGGTGGCTCACACCTGTAATCCTAGCACTTTGGGAGGCTGAGGCAGGTGGATTACCTGAGGTCAGGAGTTCAAGACCAGCCTAGCCAACATGGCGAAACCCCGTCTCTACTAAAAATACAAAAATTAGCTGGACATGGTGGTGGTCACCTATAATCCCAGCTATTTGGGAGACTAAAGCAGTAGAATTGCTTGAACCTCGGGGGGCAGAAGTTGTAGTGAGCTGAGATTGCAGCACTGCACTCCAGCCTGGGTGACAGAGCAAGACTCCACCTCAAAACAAAACAAAATGAAAATTGTATTACTCTTAATATTCTGTTTCTTATATGGAACTTAAGGTTTTGCTGTTGTTTTATTGTCCTTCCCTGGTACTGCTCTGTAGAAATTCACTGACATGTTATTCTCCCTCTGCAAACACGTGGCACCGAAATAGAAAGATAAAATGTAAAATGAAGTCACAAGAAAGTCGAATTCACTTCCAAACAGTGAAGAGAGGAAAGAAAAGTTAGATTTTAGAAAGTGGCTTGTGATCCTTAGGTACAGTTAAGTAAGACTGAGAATGAACTCAACCTAGAGAAAAGCAGAGTTGAGACATGGAAAGAAAGAGAATGTGAACTACTGACGGCATGTGGTGGTGGTGATGCGGGGAGGACAGTGAGAGAGATCAAGTCAGGATTATATCCTTTGTGACCTTGGATCTAGCCGTGACTAATGTATCCCCTGGAGCTTTTCAGATAATGTGAATCCATATCCCCTTTGTTCTTAAGTCAGTTTATTTTCAAACAGAAGATCTCCAACTGAAGGAAAGGTAGCATCTTAATAATTGTTTGTATTTTTATGGCTCCTCAGGACTGTGAGCCCTGTTAAGTGACACCATCTCAATTTTGTTCCCTTGAAATGCAAATACTTATTTATTTATTTAGTCGTTCAACAAGTGTTGATTGAGTGCTTCCAAGAGGTGGAGAGAAAGGGGGGGGGAGGATGAAGGGCACAGGCTCTGGGGTGGAAGTTCCTCCACTTCTATTAATGTCTTTATCTTCCCATTCTTCTGTCACTTAACTCATCAGAAGATTGTTTTGAAGATTAAATCAAGTTTACACCTTCAAAATTTAAATGTTAAAAATAGCAGGTACTTTATAACTTTTAGCAATCATTACAATTGATATCACTACTATTGATACTATCTTTCAAATGTACAAAGCCTTTTGCAAGGTGCTCTATGATGTAAGTGGGGAAGGGTAGGAGAAGGTAACTTAACAACAAGAAATTGCCAGAGTGGGTTGTAAATAAACACACACTTACTTGATGTATCATAGTAATGAGTATTTTAAAAATATTTAGGGTATTTACAAAAATAGAATTTTTCAAAATGACTTAAGTTATCTGGGAGTTTTTGTTGTTTTCCTCCATTTTTGGTTGATTTTCCAATAAGCCTGCTTGAGATTTACTTGTTAGTTCCATGATTTTTATATTTTCTGTTTTTTTGTTGCTTCCTTTATCTTTCATAACTTAGTCCCTTCTCTGCTTTCTTTTCATTTTTTTCAACCTTTATAGATTGAATTTTTCTTGACTTTTTATTATTTTATTTTTTAATTTTTATTTTAGGTGTGGGGATACATGTGAAGGTTTGTTACATAGGTAAACAATGTGTCACAGGAGAGTGTTGTACATATTATTTCATCACCCAAGTACGAAGCCCACCCTCAAGTAGATCCCAGTGTTTGTTGTTTCCTTTGTGTTTATAAGTTCTCCTCACTTAGCTCCCACTTATAGGTGAGAATATATGGTGTTTGGTTTTCTTTTCCTATGGTAGTTTGCTAAGGATGATAGCCTCCAGCTCCATCCATGTTCCTGCAAAAGACATGATCTTGTTCTTTTTTATGGCTGCATAACATTCCATGGTGGATATGTACCACATTTTCTTTATCCAGTCTATCATTGATGGGCATTTAGGTTGATTCCGTGTCTTTGCTATTGTGACTAGTGCTGCAATGAACATTAGCATGTATGCATCTTTATGATAGAATCCTTTATATTCCTCTGGGTGTGTATACCCAGTACTGGTATGTTCTGCTTTTAACTCTTTGAAGAATTGCCATACTGCTTTCCACAATGGTTAAACTAATTTACACTCCCACCAACAGTGTATAAGTTTTCCCTTTTCTCTGCAACCTCGCTAGCATCTGTTACTTTTGACTTTTTATAGTAGCCATTGGGATTGGTATGAGATGATATCTCGTGGTTTTGATTTGCATTTCTGTAATGATCAGTGATACTGAGCTTTTTTCATATGCTTGGCCACATGTATGTCTTCTTTTAAGAAGCGTCTGTTCATGTCCTTTGCCCACTTTTTAATGGGGTTGTTTTCTTTTCTCTTGTAAATTTGTTTAAGTTCTTCATAGATGCTGGATATTAGGCCTTTGTCAGATGCATAGTTTGAGATACTTTTTTTCCCATTCTGTAGGTTGTCTGTTTACTATGTTGATAGTTTCTTTTGCTGTGCAGATGCAGAAGCTCGTAAGTTTAATTAGATCCCACTTGTTAATTTTTGCTTTTCTTACGATTGCTTTTGGGGTCTTTTTCATGAAATCTTTGCCCATGCCTATGTCCAGGATAGTATTACCTAGGTTGTCTTCCAGAGTTTTTATAGTTTTGGGTTTTACATTTAAGTCTTTAATCCATCTTGAATTTATTTTTGTATATGGTATAAGGAAGGGGTCCAGCTTCAATCATCTGCATATGACTAGCCAGTTATCCCAGCACCATTTATTGAATAGGGAGTCTTTTCCCCATTGCTTGTTTTTGTCAGCTTTGTCAAAGATGAGATGGTTGTAGATGGCAGCCTTATTCCTGGGCTCTCTATTCTGTTCTATTGGCTTGACTTTGTTTTAGTTATTTCTCTTTTTTTGAGGTAATACCTAGGTCCACAAGTTTCCCTTTGAGTGTTTCTTTATTGTTTCCCATAGTTCTGTTATGTAGTGTTTTACTTATCATGTTTCCTAAAAGTGCTGAGATTTTGGTTTATATTTTTTCTGAGAAAAATTTTTTCAATGTCCAGGTGAAAGGGCCTTTTGGTTTTCAGTTTTTGTTATTTGTGTCTTTTTGTGTGCATTGTAATTGAGGAATATTGTCTATACTATTTATCCTTTTATAAATTATTGATGTTTTCATATGTTCTGATTTTTATTCATTTTGTAATTGTTTCATGGACTCTTAAAAAAACATTCTCCATTTTCAGGATGGTGTTTGAATTTTATCAATAAGATAAACTACTTCAATTATGCAATTTAGGTTTTCTATAAATATTCTTATATTTTGTTAAGGTGATTGCTAGAGACTTAAAAGCAGGTGAACTAAAGACCTCTTCTATTAGTTTTTAAAAATCTATTCTCTATTTTTTCCCGAAATTTGTTTCATGAATATTGATGATATATTACTTGGTGGAATGTCATATCTCCACCTTAAATTATACTCTTCAGCATTATAAAGTGCCATTATTTACCTTGTTAATTCTTTTTTGGCTTACATTCTACTATTAAGATTTTAATCCTTGCATCTTTAGTTCTCAGTTGTCAAAGTTTGTCTATTCTTTTGTTTTTCACCTTTCTAAATCACTTTGTTTTAGGTATATTTCTTTCTAATTACTTAAATGGACACACCTTCTTGATTCTACTAACAAATAAATAATAAGTCAATTATAAGTACAATTTGTTTTTAATGGAAATATACACCAAAATGCCTCACTTCTCTGCCCCAGATGTTGTATGTGTGATACAGTGCTTCTAAAACCTTATCATGCATTGGAATTATCTGGGGGCATGTTAAAACACAGATTGCTGGGCCCCACCGCTAGAGTTTCTGATTCAGTAGGACCGGGGCAGGTCTAAGAAGTTCGCAGGTGTTGCTAATGTTGCTGTTACGAGGATCAGATTTGGAGAACCACTGGTACGATAAAGTGGAAAGACTAATCCTATTGATCTATGCCAAATTCAAAGACACTTTTGCTCTTCAAAACATCAGTAACTCGAGGAAATAAGAGTCAGAGTTAATTTTGATAATATCTACTTTGATAAGAGGAACAGAGCCAAAAAAATAATAAGGAAGGGGTGTGTTTTTGATAACCTCCAAGTTTTTTATTTTAAGAGCTTACAGTCTTCTTGTTTCTGAGGGTCTTTAGCTCAACTGGATTATAGATGTTATACTGGCAGGCAGGGCCAGTTTCATGGCCATGGGACCTGTGAAGTCACACTTGGTTTAATGCTCTTCTGTCTCTGTCTTACAATTCTTAGTATCTGAACAAGAGGTCCTCACATTTTTGTTTTGCACTGGACCTCACAGATAATGTAGAAATGTCCTTTTAACAGCAACTGTATTTCACTGACATATTCCCAGTGCCTGGAAGACTGCCTGGCATGTATAAGGTGCTAGACAAATATCTGTTCATTGGATGGATGAATACTGTACCCATGGTCTCCTAAGAAATTGGATAAATTATTTAGATATAGAACTGTGGTTCTTAAACTTTAATACATATAAAAATCTTCTAGGCTAATTTAGTTTTGTTAAAGTACAGATTCTAGGCCCCAGCCCCAAGGATCCAAAATTTAGGTGGTATGAAGTGAGGCCTGATAAAGTTGTATTTTAAAATAATTATCTTCCATAATATAGATGCTGACAGTCTTTGATCCGCAGTTAAAGGAAAACCCATATTGAAACAGAACTAAATGACTTTAATCTTGGTGACCTCACCTGGTGGTTTGCACCTACCTTTCACCTCTGGGGTAAGGACAGGAGCACATTCATCTAGCTTACTCTTCCTTGTCCTCCAAAATTCAGCTCAGTAATTATTTTATCAATAAAATTTTTCTTGACATTGTATTTCCTACTTCCCTCAGTTATTCTTTGTCTCTGTTTCAATCGTGTAGTGGACATTCATCTTTTATTATGCCTCTCAGCAGTTTTTTCCCCTTCTGGCTGTAACTGTACCCTGAATTTCATCTGGGTACCATCTTTTCCCTCTTTCCCAGTTGCGGTGCTCTAAGCAGAGTTGGTTGCTCCCCTGAATCAGAGTCCAAACATGGCTATGTTTGGTCAATTAGAGCATCGCATTCCCCTCATCATGGCAATTTGTTAAAGATGAGCAAATGGCCCAATCAGAACTAATGAAAAGTAATAACATTTTATTGGAAGTTCACGAAGAGTCAACTTTCAGTTACACTGGAAATAAAACAGAGAAAAACTGAATTCATCTTGCCTCCATCTGGAACCTGAAAACAAGACCAACCAATGAAAGACAGAAGATCCCAGAGATGAAAAGATCTGGCTCTTTTGATATTACTTGAGCCCCAAATCCAGCTATGAATGAATTTAGCTCCACCCATGAGCTTGTTAGTTATAGAGGTCAATACATTTCCACTTTCCATAATCTATTTTGAGTTAGGTTTTTTATAGCCAAAAAAATCCTAACTAATGTACATAGGAAAGAGTAATAGAAATACTCTGGCACTTATTCCACTGAATTATAACTGTGGATTCCCTTTTCCATTTTCAAACCTACTCCATATAAACCACCTTCTGCCCTTACTATGTTGTGAGCAACTTTATAGCAAGAAGTATATTCATTTAATTCCATATCCCCAGAAATTATCAAAATATATTACAGATATTTGGTACAGAAATAATATTTGTCGAATGAAAGAAAAAATAGGTTAAATGTTCTATTTGCCAGTGAGTTTTCTGAGCATGGAGAGGAATTAAGATGCTTGCCATTTTTATGACTGAGCTGTGTTCTCATCCTTTCTTCTTGGATATGTTTTTCTTTATAGTGTATTTTTTTGATCATTCTCATTTTAAGCAAACCTCTTGAAATTTTGTCCTTTAATTTTTATTTTTAGGGAATAGCCCCTTTCTCTTTGAGTTGTGTCACACAACCACCTGTTTTATTACTTATTCAGTTTTTTTGTCTTTGATTACATTATATAGTGTTTTTATTTAGTGGTTCCGAGTCATTCAGGCTGTTTTCTATAAGCATTTCCACCCACTTATGAGATCTCACATGAATTAACTTCCTGACACCTGGTAATAGATATTTACTATCCATTCTTTAATGTGCATCCAAGACTGTTTCTCTACCAAACCCAGAGCACAACTGAGCAATACTGTTTCCTACAACTCTTTCCACAGATTAGGAAAATAAACAGACAATCTGCCATTCTGCAGTCATTTAATTAGCAAAAATATATCAAATGGGCGTTGCATGTATGATTCTAAGCTAGGTGCTGTAAAGGATACAAAGATGAAAAGCACAGGGCTCTGTCCTTTGGGAACCATGGTGGAGGAGACCAAAGTAAACATACTGCAAGACAAAGTAAAAAAAAATGCTACTTAAGTGTGCAAGAACTCAATGAAAAAGAAATGAAAAAGGAGTGATTATATTTGACTTGGGACCCAGAGATGATTCAATCTGGACTGTGAATAATGGGTGATCGCTTTAAAGGTGGGGACATGGTGCCAGTGGAGGGAACAGTAAGAGTAAAGGTATGGAAGTCTCTGTCTTGATTCAATGTTCCATGTTTTTGGGGCACAAATATAGCTATTAGAATAAAATGCAGAGAGGGACATAGTGGGAAGTGAGATCAGAACAGGTAGAATATTAGTTTTTCTATTGCTGCTGTAACAAACAACGACAAACTGAGTGCCATGAAACAACAAAAATTTGTTATCTTACAGTTCTGTAGGTCAGAAATGTGATATTGGTCTTATTGAGCTAATATCAAGGTGCCAGCAGGGCTGTGCTTCCTTCTGGAACCTGGAGGGAGAGCCATTTCCCTGTCTTTTGTAGCTTCTTGAGGCCCCCTTTCCCTTCTTCCACCTTCAAATCTCTCTGACCACTTGTATTAGTCTGTTCTCACGCTGCTAATAAAGCATACCCAAAACTGGGTAATTTATAAAGGAAAGAGGTTTAATGGATTCACAGTTCAGCATGGCTGGGTAGGCCTCACAATCATGGCAGAAGGCAAATGAAGAGCAAAGTCACATTTTACATGGAGGCAGTCAAGAGAGCTTGTGCAGGAGAACTCTCATTTATAAAACCATCAGATTTCGTGAGACTTATTCACCATCATGAGAACAGTATGGGGGAAACTGCCCCCATGATTCAATTTTCTCCACCTAGCCCCACCCTTGACATGTGGGGATTATTGCAATTCAAGGTGAGATTTGGGTAGGGACACAGCCAAACCATATCACCACTCTTTCATTGTTGCATTTCCCTCTGATCAGAACAAGGAAAGGTCTTCACTTTTCATGTGATTAGACTGAGCCTACCTGGAAAATCCAGGATAATCCAGGATAATCCTCCCATCTCAAAATCCTTAATCATATCCACAAACTCCCTTTTTTCCATGTAAGGTGACATTCACAATTTCAAGAATTGTGAATTCTTGTAATCTAATTTCAAGAATTAGAAGATGGATGTCTTTGCAGGGGGTTGAGGGGGGCATTTCTCCACCTACCACAGGTGTTTGAAATCATAAAGAACTTTGCCACAATTGCTTCAACAATATATTTCAGGCTTGGTAATATGAAGTATTACTCTAAAAACAGTAAATGCAATTAAAACAGGTCAAAGCTGAGAGTTCAAAATAATCCAACCTAAATGTTATTGGAAGCTGTGAACCCATGGACAATCAAATTGTGTTTAAACACTTGCTCAATTCTTATATTCACCTCTGTATTTACTATGGCTCTTTGCAACCAAATCAATAAGCAAGATTTATAATTTGCACATTAATTTGAGTCTTTGTTTTCCTTTCAGCTAATGCCATTAGTGATATAGATGCCACACTGAGAATTTCTGAAGTAGGAAAAGAAAAGTTAATAATACATACTTCTTTTTCTTTTTCTTTTTTTTTTTTTTTTTTGAGACGGATTCTCGCTCTGTTGCCTAGGCTGGAGGGCAGTGGTGCAATCTTGGCTGACTACAAACTCTGCCTCCCTGGTTCAAGCAATTCTCCTGTCTCAGCCTCCCGAGTAGCTGGGACTACAGGCACGTGCCACCATGCCTGGATAAATTTTTTTTGTATTTTTAGTAGAGATGGGGTTTCACTGTGTTAGCTGGGTTGGTCTCGACCTCCTGAACTCGTGATCTGCCTGCCTAAGCCTCCAAAAGTGCTGGGATTACAGGCGTGAGCCACCACACCTGGCCAATAATACTTCTTTTTAAACATATAGGTACGAAAACTCTAGCAGACATAATGTTACTAAACATGTAATTTATCAAATAACTTCCACAAATACATGAACATTTTTGTTGAATTTAATTTGGTTTATTCATTCGGCCAAGTCACTTTTAAGCAAACAATTTTTAAGCAACGACAATATGCAAAGAATTTACATGCTTCTATTCTTTAATTAATTAGCTAAGCAGATATTTATCAAGAGCCTACTACATACCAGGCACTGTTTAACCACTCTGAATAAAGTAGGAAACAGAATAGGCAGAAGTCCCTGCCATCATATAATGGAGTGAATGGACAATGTACAAGAAAACTGAGCAAACTAAATAGTATTTCAGACTGTGATAAGTACAAAAGAAAAAAATCTAAAGTAGGGGAGGGCAATATAAAATATTAGGGGTGTTGAAATTTGATGGTGAAGTTCATGGAGAAAATGATTTTCAAATAAAGACCTACAGTAAATGGGTTGATCTTATGGCTCCAGTTTTCATGATAGAAATCTGAAGCTTAAATGCTCCAATTGACTGGTCCCAGTTCTCCTGGCCTCTGGGGTCTTTCCTCCCCCAGCTGCCACCCACTCTCAGGAACACCAGGAAGGGTGGCGGGCAAAGCAAACATGAGTCAGATGCAGACTCTCTCCTGAGGAGCTTCTGGGGCTGGGGAGGAAGGAAGGACACAGATCATTGTAATCGACGGTACAAAATGATTTGTAAAGCACCATGACGGATCAGCGGGAACTGAGAAGTGCTTAAACAGGAGTTCTGTTTATCACCAAGAATGGCAAAGAGCCAGAAAAGCATTCAATCTATAGAATTCTCAAAACAGTTCTTCAGAAAACAAGCTGTTCACAGCTGCCTTTTGATTTTTTCTTTCTGTTCCTGTGACATGAAGCAAAAACCCAAAGCAAATGAGAGAAAAGACAAGTTTCCATGTAGCATCTTGTAATACCTGCATTATTTGAAGCTTGTGAGTGAAGAAGGGTCAGGGTTTTGGCTACTTTTGGTTAGCGTTCCTCCAAACACAGCAGGCTCCACACTTACGCTGGCAGCCAGAAGCTGCCATTTGGAAACACAGAGGCCTTGTCTGGCATCTTATTCCTTATGTGCTTGCCTGTCAGTCAGCATTCAGCCACCTGTGTTCTTTCTATTATGTTTTTGTTCCTTGTAATAAAGTAGATTTTCTTTCTTTGAGAATGAGCATAAAGATACACAGAAAATAAAACCAGGTGCCTCTTCGCAAGGCTCCAGCAAGCAAGCACACAGATGAGGCATCTCAGCCTCTCCTGTAGGTTTCCCGAGAGGAAAATGCTGCCGCTGACATGAATAGCAGAGGCCAGACAATGATTCTTAGAGAAGATAAACAGCCTGTGATTCCCTCCTGACGGCTCCCGCTCCTTTCCTCGATGACTGATCCTGGAGCAAAAGGTCACGGGGATAATTCTGCACCTGCAGCCTGGGAGGACCATACTCAGTCCTCAAAAAGAGCTCTCCCATAATGGATGCTAATTATTATTGAGTCAAATGCATCCTTTCATTGAGGGGCAGGTGGGAGACTCTGTCACTGTCAAGGCCATTATATCAAGAGCAAGTTTAGAATTCTTTGCACAGATGTGCCTGTGCCCAAGAAGTCCCAAGTGTTGTATGTAGGTGGTTCATAAAGAATATATAATCAAAAATTTCTTCAATTCTATAATGACATGTTTGGACTCAGGTGAATGACAAATGCTACCCAGCACCCAAGGCCAGAATATTGAGTGGAGGAGCATGATTTATTCATAAGAGCTTGAACTCTACTGCTGGGCCTTGGGTTTCATGTGAGAGTTTGCCTCCAGCCATCTGCACTCTGAGCAAGGTTAGCAACAGCTATCGGGACCTTAGAACCCTCTGGGAATTTGCTTCTATGGATATTCATCTGCTTTCTGGTGACTTTTATGAGAGGATAGATCCAGCGAGGAAAATGAAGAGAAGGGAGAAAATGAAAGAAAATGCATCCAGCTCTAGGTAGAGCATGACTGGATTTAGCTGAATGCCAGAGTGTATATGGGGACTTTCACTTGATATTAACCACCCTTTGTTTAGGAGAAGAATTTTAAAAATGTTATTTTTTCTTGCTTTAATCCATCATTTCTACTTTTCTCCCTATAGATAATAAATTTAATGGTTTTTAAAGATTTCTCATATATCAAAATACCATTGCAGAAGTGTACAGTGATACATGGTATTCACATTTACAATTTTATTCTGAATTTTGATTGTTGTATTTGTAAAAACACAACTCTACCCCTTAAACTAACCATTGATTGGAGAAAAAAAGGCCTACATATTCACTTATTTATCAAGAACTATTATATTCAGACTATTTTCTGGACATTTATTCTGGGCTCTGACACAAAGATAGGGAAGGCCTTATCCTTCTCATTATTTTTACTACAGTACTTTAAAGATGCTGCCCCACTATTTTCTAATTCGTATTATTTCTAATGAGAGCTCTAATGCCATCCTTATATTTATATATTGGCAAGTAATATGTCTTTTTTTCTCTGGCTGCATTAAAAACTTTTCTCTTTATTACAGTCTATAGGCAATTTAATTTATGTTAGGCCTTCCACGTAAATGTCTTCAAGTTCTTTGTGTTTGAGTTCATTGAGCTTTTTGGATCATTTTCATTTAATTTAGAAATTTTTTATTCATAATTCTTCAATTATATTTCTTTCCTCTTTTTTCAACCCAGGGACTACAAACCACATACATGCTCAAAGTTGGGTTGCAGTTTGCTGATGGTGTATTCATATTTTTTTTACTCTCTTTTCTCTCTATATTTTACTTTTTGATCATTTACATTGCTAGGACTTTAAATTCACTAATATTTTTTTCTAGTGTTTAACCCATTGTTAATCTCATTCTTTAGATATTGTTTTTAGCTCTAGAAGTCCTATTTGTCTTTTTAATACTTCCACATCTCTTTTAACATGTTCATGCTTTCCTCTACCTTTTTGAGTATATGGACTGTAATTATAACTGTTTTTATGTCCTTATCTACTAATTTTATCACGTGTAATTTCTGGATCTGTTTCTACTAGTTAATTTTTCTCATTACAGTCTTTTGTGAATAAGGAATATTTCTTTAAATATCCTTGAGTTCTGCTTTAGGATGTAGTTAAATTACTCGGAAAGATTTTGATCCTTCCAAGGCTTGGTTTTTTGCTTTGTTAGATGTACATGACCGCTCTTTGAGTTAGGGCTAATTTGGCTTCACTAGTGAGGCAATACGTTTCTGAGTACTCTATTAGTGCCCTTTGTATTACAAAAATATTTCACTCTGGCAAGTGTGACATGAACTACTTCTGGTCTTGGGTAATCTCCAGAAATTGTTCCAATTGCTTCAGCGTTTTTTTCCCTAAGACTGCAGTCATTTGCTCACAATCATGTGCTGACAGGTTTTAGCTGAAGACTTAAGGAAAACTCTATGTCTTCAGAACTCTCTCTCCTTTCTGGCCCTCCATCTTGGGAATTCTAGCCACCTTGACCTCTCCAAATCCTCCACTCTGTGCTTTCAATTCTGAACCTGCTTCTGAATTATCTGGGGTATCTATTAAATTGGAGATTCTGAAGCCATGTACACTACCTGAATCATAATTTCTGAAGATTAGGCCCAGAATTCACCAGGTTCATAAGTTCCCAATAAAGCTACTGACTTATGAGAACCACAGCCCTGATGAAACCTTTCTGAAAGTTTGTCAGTTGCCAAATCCAACAGCCTTCTCTGGGCTTCAGCCTCCTTAACTTTGCCCGAGATACAGCATCTTGATGCTCTCCTTTTGGATGTCCTAGTACTATAATGTAAAAAACAGGAATTTACTGGTTATCTGAGCTCAATAGTCATTCACATACTGTCAAAGACAGAAAGAACTTGGCCTGGGGCTTAAGAGACTCAAATCCTAGACTGAGCAGTACTATTGACTTGCTCTAGGATACTGCGTGACACTGCAACACTGTTTCCCCCATCTGCCAAGTGAACATTAGTAATTTAATCCACCTTAGGAGGTGGCTATAATGATCAAATGAAAATAGATATAAATGCATATACATAGTGTAAAGATCTCTCAGCTTTTCTTACATGTGTTTCATTTCTTTGTCCTTTGCTCATGCATTCCAACAATATCCCTCAGGGAGATATTCCAGCTTATTCATTCTATCTTCTGCTATTCCCAATGTACCACTCAGCACATTTATTGAATTGCTTTTATTTTTAACTTCTGTGAGCATGTTTTTCCAAGATCTCTGCTTCTTTTTCATGAAATCCTTTTCTTGTCTTATAAATGCGCTGTCACCTAAAACCTCTCTGAGATAGAAATTGTACCTGTATGTTAGTTGTCTTCTGTTTGTTCTTCTCACTCCACTGCATTGGGCATTCTGTTATTTGGTGAATGTGGGGCCTCTTTTTTCTGGTGCTTTTACTCAAATCCTCAGTGATTGTTGATGGTTCATATTTGCATATGATAATCAATGTTTAATTGTTTGTGAACATATGTTCTGATTAAAGTAGCCTTCTCTGAAAATTGTATGGAAGGACAAGAATGTGGTTTGCCAGCTTTTGAAGATTCTTTCAGAGTGTGGGAGCTCTCTGCTAATTCAATAGTCTTAAATTAGTTGGGGTACTTTCCTACTTTTCAAAGCCTAATATTTATTGTGGGAGCCTTTTATGGCAAAAATACACACTTCAGGAAGTAACGTAGTTATGGCTTTAGCATGCGCAAGCTGAAGTCCATTGCCCCTCTTTCTCTCTCTTTCTTTTTTCTTTCTTTCTTTCTTTCTTTTTCTTTCTTTCTTTCTTTCTTTCTTTCTTTCTTTCTTTCTTTCTTTCTTTCCTTCTTTCTTTCTTTCTCTTCTTCCTCTTCTTCTTCTTCTTCTTCTTCTTCCTCTTCCTCTTCTTCTTCTTCTTCTTCCTCTTTTCTCTCCCTCTCTGTCTCTCTCTTTCTTTCTCCAGTTTCCTTATGGAGGGTGAAGATTTTTTTAGGCCTTACTCTGTTTTTCTCACACTACTCCCATCAGTAGTGTGAAGAACCTTATCTTTGAAGATCACTCACGTTATTAAAGACCTGGGTTTTCTTTGGAGATAGTTTTAAAAAAGAATATTTGGGAGACTCATAGCTACTGCCTGTTGTTTAACATAAGTGGGCACAAGAGGGGTGAAATTGGCCTGGTTAATCAAAATGTGGTACTTCAGTTACCCTGACTATTTCCTAAGCTCCTCTTGATTTTTGATTCCGAGTTTTGATTATAAGTGAAATTGCTTTTAAAAGTAATTTTCTCATCTGTGTGTTTTGGCTGTTGTTTTCTCTGCTTTTGTTTCTCTGACATTCTGACTCCATCTGCTTCCTATCTTTCAGGAATTCCTCAAAATTTCCCAGGAGCTGGTGGTATTCTTTCTGTTTGTAACTGCTGTTCTGGATTTGTTCCTCTAAAAAATTTAAGTAGTAGACTGGGTGTGGTGGCTCATGCCTGTAATCTCAGCACTTTGGGAGGCCAAGGCAGGAGGATCTCTGGAGCCCAGCAGTTTGAGACCAGCCTGGACAACATGACAAAACCCCATCTCTACAAAAAAAAATACGAAAATTAACTGAGCATGGTTGCACACACCTGTAGTTCCAGCTACTCGGGAGGCTGAGGTAGGAGGATCACTCAAGCCCAGTAGGTTGAAGATGCAGTGAGCCCTGATAGCACCACGGCACTCTAGCCTGACCAACAGAGCAGGACCCTGTCTCAAAAAGGAAAATAAAAATAAATTAGGTAGTAGGAAAGATGGATGTATGTGCTCTGTCCTCATGTTAATATAATCTTTACCCTAGTACCTCTAATTTTAATAATCAAAGGGGAAAAAAGTTAAATGATCTAAATAAATTCTTGGAGAATAGTTTTCTAAATGTATTCTCAAATTTCGAATGTGTGCTTATTTAGAACCTGTGACTCCCTTTATGCAGTTGCCTTATAGATTGTCTCTTATCCAATCTCATAATTAATTAGTAAATTGCAAAAGTTGATTAAAACAAGGAATCATAAATATCATAAAAATGATTATAATAATGATACATACATACATGTTCTTTCAATGTGTTTGTGTATATATGTGTATATGTATGTGTGTGTGTGTATAGATATATATTCTTGTGTCAATCTTTTGATTAGAGGCCATTATTTTGGGATGCAGATACCTTGTTTATAATTATAATTCACCTGAATTACATAGAACATGTCCGTTGAGACATAGTCTGTGTTTTCCAGTTTTGGTTACTCTCAAGTGGACAGGAATGTAAAGCCATCTGAGTGGAGAATTCTTCTGCATCTTTATTATTTACATCCTTTTGTCCCAATCATTCACAGTTGCCTAGTCCACACCTCTTTTGCAATAATCATTTAACAATTCTCCTTTTTGCAATACTTCAAAAACAGTTTTTATTGAAACAACCCCCTCTTTTCACTCCCATTTCATTTGTTTATGTAATATTTAAACTGTATAGTTACAGTAAGTACAGTGGGCATAAACACTTTGGGAACTAAGATACCTAATGCTTATAAGAATACAGTTTGGGCCAGGCACGGTGGCTCACGCCTGTAATCCCAGCACTTGGGAGGCTGAGGCGGGTGGATCACGAGGTCAAAAGATTGAGACCATCCTGGTCAACATGGTGAAACCAAGTCTCTACTAAAAATACAAAAATTAGCTGGGCATGGTGTCGCATGCCTGTAGTCCCAACTACTCAGGAGGCTGAGGCAGGAGAATCACGTGAACCTGAGAGGCAGAGGTTGTAGTAAGCAGAGATCGTGCCACTGCACTCCAGCCTGGTGACAGAGCGAGACTCCTTCTCAGAAAAAAAAAGAAAGAAAGAAAAAAGAAAGAAAGAAAGAAAGAAAGAAAGAAAGAAAGAAAGAAAGAAAGAAAGAAAGAAGAAAGAAAGAGAAAGAAAGAAAGAAAGAAAGAAAGAAAGAAAGAAAGAAAGAAAGAAAGAAAGAAAGAAAGAAAAAGAAAAGAAAGAAAGAAAGAGAAAATACAATTTGGCTGGTGGATACAAAAATGCAAGAGCAAGTGAGATTTCAGCTGTGAGTGTTTAGAGACTGTGAGCATCAGGCTATGTTTAAAGTGGGAAGAGAGCTCTGTTTGATTTGACAATTATGTTAAGTGAACACTGGTTTAAAAGGCTTTAGTATAAATAGGTCATTGTCATTTATTCTACACAATAATTCTAGGCATTCTATCAGATTCCCAGGATATAGAGATTGACATGATGAATAATAACAGTTAAGACACACACACACATAATAAGATACAATAAAAAGCTCGCACAGGTTTGTGTATGTACTTATCATAAACAGGAAACCATAAATAATGGGAAAAAACTAGTCGTTTAGAAAATGACCTTGGGAAAATTGATTCACTATATGGAGAAAAAATAAAACTGGATTCCTACCTATTTCCACATACAATGGTAGAGTCCAGATGAATTAAATACCAAAACATGAAAGACAAATCTGGAAGTTGGTAAAATAAAAATATAAGAGAATATCTTTTTGATTAAGAGATGAGGTGGGGAAGAACTTTGTAAACAAAGCTTCAAAAAGTACAAACTATAAGGTAAACTTGATTGTTTCACATCAAAATAAGTATTTCTGTTCAATAAGGGATTTAATGGATTAGGTAATGGACATGTGGCAAAATGGGAGAATATATTTCAAATGTCTAACTCTGGAAACTTCTTCATGTATAAGGAACACAAGGAACTCCTGAAAATCATCAACATTAACAAAAAACAGCAATCCAATAAGAATGCACAATGATACAGAAAAGAAGAACCCCCAAAAGCCTGAGAAGTATGTAAAGTGATTCTTAAATATATCAGTAATCAGAGAAATGCAAAATAAAAAACAAAATACCATTTTACATGGCTAGACAGCTAAAAATTTGGAAGGTAAGTAATGCCAAATGTTGGTAAGGACATTGGCATATTGATATTCTCATATGCTTATGGTAGGAGAGGAGATAGGTTCAGCTATTTTGGAGAGTATTTTTGCACTGCTTAGTCAAATTAAACATGTGAGTTTCCTGTGACCCAGCAATACAGCTTTTAAGAGATAGTTACATTTATACACACTTATACACACATGTATGTACATATAATATATGTATACATAAAAACATACATTATACACATATGTGTATGTATTTATAATATATATAAATATTGTACACACACACAAATTCTCACAATCTAAAGGGAATTGTAAATGAATGCTTGTTATTTAGTTATGTGGTGATGGGAATTTGGAACCACTAAAATGTCCTTGTGAGAATAAATAGGAAAATTGTGGCAGCTGTATTAAAGAGAACATTATGCTCCAGCTAGATGCAATTGATTAAATATATACATGGCACCATGAAGGGATCTTAAAAATATAGTATTGAATAAGCAAATCAAAATACAGAATATGTTTAGTTAACAAATTAAAACACAGACTATGCATAACACCTTTAATAAAAAAGTTAAATACCTGCATGTGAAACAAAACAATTTACAAGGACATGTATGAATATGACGGTACACATGAACACATTACTCAGGTTGCCTATGGGATAACAGAGAGAAATTGGAGTGTATATAGAGATAAAAGGGTTTAAGTAAGTGAGTAAACAAATTAGTACTAGGTGTTGGATGGTTTTGTGAGAACAAAGTGAGATAATATGCAATGAATTCAGAAGTAAAATTAACTTAGCCCTCCTCACATGAGGCCCCAAATATTTAGAAGAAAAGAAGCCTCAATAAAACATCCGTTCTCTGAGAACTCATCAGATGACTAAGTATTCAAAATAACAGAAGGTAGCAAGTGCAGCGTGCTAATGGAGAACTTGGGAGAAATACCTCATGTCTGGAAAACTCCCTGGAAGGGTTGACACATAATTCTGAAAGATGAATGTGAATTAACCAGGTGAAATGAATGGAAAGTAACATAAAAGAAAGAAAACTGGGATTTTTTAAGTAAGAAAGAATTTTTATAACATAATATGGTTTAATTTATGGATTATAGTCATATAAATTAGTTTAGTAGAGATTTTGTCCTGATCTTAGATATCAACATTAGAATGTATTTGCTGAGCATTTCTTATGCGAAATGATGTTTGAAATTCTAAAATATTTGTGGGAAATTCAGATAATCCTATGTGGCTGTAGTCACTATATCAGCTAGAAATTGCATTTGGCTGCAAGAGGTCTGTAAAACAGTGGGCTAAACAATGTAGAGATTTATTCCTCTTTCACACAGAGGAAATGTAGAAGCACACTGTTCAGGGCTGCTGTGTCATATCACTATAATGGTTAGTTTTATGTGTCCACTTGACTAGGTCATGGATGGCCTTGATATTTGGTCAAACATTATTCTGGGTGTGCTATGAGGGTGTTTGTGATGAGATTAACATTTAAATTGGTAGACTGAGTAAAGCAGATTGTCCTCCCTAAAGTTTCTGGGCCTTAGTCAATCAGTTGAAGGTCTGAATAGAACCAAAAGGCTAAATAAGAGAGAAATTCCTGCTGCCTGATTGCCTCCAAACAGGGACATCAGTCTTCTCCTCTCTTTCCACTTAAACTGAAACATCAGTTCTTCCTGGGACTTGAGCCTACTGGACTTCAGACTGGAACTACACAATTGGCTCTCCTGGACCCCCAGCTTGTTGATTGCCCATCTTGGGACTTGTCAGCCCTCATACCCTCATGAGACAATTGTTTATAGTAAATCTCCTTCTCTCTCTCTCTCTCTCTTTCTCTCTTTATTCTCCCTTCCTTCCCCTCCCCTTTTGTTCCCTCCTCTCCCCTTCTCCTTCGCTCCCCCCTCTCTCCCTCATTCTCTCTCTCTCCCTCTCTTTTGAATGCTGGTTTTTATCATGGAACTCCAGCCCTCAATTTTTTGTTCCAAGCAACAAGCTGAAGAAAGATGGAAGGGCTGACATCTGGCCAAATCAGCTCACTGTACACCTTCTACTACAACTTACTGGCCAGATCTTCGTCATGTGGCCTCTTTATCTGAAAAGAAAGCTGGGAAATGCAGTTTCTCAGTTAGATACACTGCCATTCCCACACCCAACAGAAAACAGAGTTCTGCTCAGGAAGAAGTAAAGATTGAACATGGGATAGACATCTTTCAGTCTTTGTCATAGCAACTAATGCCTTTTGGCACATAGTAAACATTCCATAAATATCAGTTGAATCAAAAATTTTAAATTTTCATAAAATTATGCATTTCTCATAGAATTGTAAAGAAACAAAATATTGAGCTCTGAGTTCTATTACTCTTCTCTGTTCACAAATTCATGTAGAACATAAATTCTAAAGAAATGTTGAATGACTTTTAAGTGCCGAGAATTTTTCAAATTATGTTAATGAATTATTGTAGAATAATCTTAGACAGCAACAGATAAAATTTTATCAGACAGATAATAATCATATAAATACATAAATTATTTAAATGTAAATCAATTTTTCTAAATTGTTCTAGCATATTTGAAGAGTTATCTATTTTTAATAAGTTCAAACATTCCTCTTTGGTCTTATGATATTATTAATCTAAGAAAAATGTTCTTTATTGGAAGTAAAACCTAAATTTCAGCCAGGGCTCTGAGTAATCATAAAATATAAATGGATGAATGCTATCTCATGGAAATTTTGCCTAACTAGATAGACTCATTCTTACCCTAAAATGTAAAATATATATATTTCAGGCATTTAAAATATAACATATGCTTTCAGTATTAATTGGTGATTAATTATGTTGAATATTTTAAGTTTTTTATTTTTTTCAGTTTTTTCTGAGCAAGACAGAATAGCAGAGCTTAATGATATGCATCTTGATATTCTGTGCTCAGAGAAAAAATGAGTCAATCCAGTAATTCATTTGTCATATTGATACATTAGAAGTCAGTTATACTTAAACACACACACAGACACACACACACATACAGCTCTTAGTGACATCAGGTTAAAAGCAAAAATGATCAAGCTATGCTCATTCATGGAAAAGAGATAACTCAATCACTGCAAAAATGACACTTTCTGATTTTGAAAAGTTCGCAGGTGGGTTGTCTCTGCTTCTTCCCTGAGAGAGTTCCCAGTGCGAGTGATGCACATTGCTGGTGCTACAGGTGCCAGTAGAAGGATCTCCAGGGCAGTAGAATCCCATGGCAACACGGCAGATAAAAATGACTCAGCCCTCTGCTGCCAAAGGTCTTTGCCAGTGTGTGAAGAGCAAGGATCTCAGTTGTAATTCAGTCCTTGGTATTAATAGAGGGGAATTGTGTTGTTCATCAGTAAATGCTGTTCATTCATCCTGCATATTCATTGGTCCGTATTCTTTTTCCCTATTTAACCAACCATTGCCATCCTTTACTATCCATCCCACAGTGAGTCTGAAAATCTGTGGTGTAAGAACTAGTCATTGCAATTAGATTATTGCTATGATCACATAATATGGCATGTCATACTTCAGAAAGAAGTGATAGAGTTACATAAAAAGTTCTTAATTTCTCAGATTTTGGCGGAACAACTTTCTGATTTAAACATCGAACATACCCATTAACTCATATATGGGTGCAGCACACCAACATGGCACATGTATACATATGTAACAAACCTGCAGGTTGTGCACATGTACCCTAAAACTTAAAGTATAATAAATAAATAAATAAATAAATAAACATCAAACATAAAATATAGATATTATCTTTTGAAAACAATAGGAAATGTATTTTTCTACCTTGTAATGCATTTCACATTGGTGATAATATTTGACTCTATGTAAAATGCCAGTGTTTCAGCTTGGATTACTTTGGTTCAAATCTTGGACTTTATTTATAAAACAGCATATGTTAATAGTACTCCCTTTGTCGCTATTGCTCCTTTTGATGCCCTTGTCATCAATTGGCATGACCAATGCTACCTTTAAGTGACAAAATTGAACCAAATGCTCAGTACCTTACCATTCTGTAATTCAGATCAATATGATGACACTATTTTTGATAGTAGCTCTAAACATATTTTGTAACAGAAACCCGATTTGAGATAATAAAACAAATGTAACAAAACTACTATCTAGTATTTTCTTTCACCATTTTGTCCTGAATTTTGAACATGAAATGATAACCAAAATTAAACTTCGTGAGTCAATTTGGCTAAAGTTTAGAGCAAAGTTTCAGGGTTTCCTATTATTTTTTTCATGAGAAAGTGACATATTTTCCACACCACTCTCATATCAATATCTTAGCAAAGGAGGTAAAATTTAGTGTTGCCCTTCACAGAGTCAAGTTCGACAAGGGAGTATATGAATGGAAATGGAAGAGACTCATATAGAGAAGTTGAAACATATTTTTGCCAAATAATATCCCTGACAACTGGGCTTTTAAGCTGTAAGATTTTTCACTGCCTCCTTTGGGATCCTCCATAACCAATATATGACTTGGCCATGTGAGTATTCCAGGCCTGAGGATCGACCCCAAAATATTTACCTTGCAGTTGATCACTCAAAACAGCTATGTTGAAGAATCACTACTTAACCTTACTTAAACAGTGAATCATTTCGGATTCTCGTCATGCAGTTAAGTCAGGTGAAATTAGAACAATAGCTCTGTTCACACTTGGGGTGCCTATTATTTCTTGCACTGCCCTCTGCTGGCAGGCTTCGTTCACCCAGTCTCACAGGTATGGCTGGTTGCTCCTTTGTCAAGGTCAGTTGAGCCAGCCTCTACTCAAAGCTGTTAAAAAGTCTCCTCTGAATTAGTGTCCTCATTCAATAGCTCATTCTCTTGAGTAGTGGTTCTCAAAGTGTGGTCCCCAGATTAGCAGCATCAGCACCACCTGCAACTTGTTAGAAATGCACATTTTGGGGCCCACCACAGACCCTCTGCATCATGAATTTTGGAGGTGAGGAGCAGGAATCTCAATCTTGTTGTAATAAGCCCTTCACATGGTTCTGATGCCCACTAACTTTATAGAACTGTTGTTGTCTTGTGGCCAGTGGTTAGAATTCTTCAGAAACATCCCTACCTCTAACAGTGATTTGCTAGAGCCTGACTTCCTTCTCTGTAGGCACAGCTTCTACAAACACCAGGATCATTGTATTTTCTTCAAAAGTGACACCGCAGTTGATCTTTTATTTGCAGTTAGTCCCTTATCACTCAAATTAACTTATATATTCTTCTGTTATTAGGATATAAAACAGAAAATAATCCTTATCAAAAGTATGAAAAGTAGAATAGGCTCTTTATGAAAACTGAAACAATACAGTAGTGTATGAAGCAGAAAGTATTTTCATCTTTCTCAGCCTTTCTCATGTAAATATAACTGTACATACAGCCTACCATGTCAATGCACATAGTCATCTCTCCTCTTGTTAAGATTTGCACAACCCATTCTGTTTATAGCAAAATCAATCCCACTACCTGCTCTTGATAAATATATATATTGTTTCCAAGTTTTAGCAGTCGCAAGCAGTGTTGCATTGAGCATTTGTGTTACACATCTCTGCTTACGCATGGATTTCTATAGTATAAAACCCTAGATAGTAAATTAGTGAGTCAAATAAAATACATACATGCATTAGCATATTTTCTTATTTTCTCTATTCTTGATGCTCTGGCATCTGGAGTGTTTCTGTCCCTGGACAGATTGCCCCTTCCAAGGTTAGATTATTCCTAGACATAGCAAAAAAGCAACCATTGGTTGGTTTGTATAGCAAAAGCACACTTTTATTTTTTTGGCCTAAAAGTGTGCTTTTGATATACGAATCAACCAATCCCAAGTCCATACTCTCAACCACCTATTCTGTCTGGTTCTTATACTCCAGGAGGCAATATTCATCTGTCCAAATTATCCCAGGGCTGGGTATCAGGCAACTAGAGATAACCCCTGTATCTCAGAGCCCACTGAAATTATTCAAACTACCCAGTCCTAAGACTGCACAGCTTGCTTCCCTTGCCTTGTCCATTCCTTCCTGTGAAGACTATAACAAAGGCTGTGTCCCGTGCTTTCCTCTTGCTTCTTCTCCCACCTGCCTGACCTGGGTGCTGCCCAGGTGGCCCTGTGTGGTTTAGCATGTCCCTTCTCTTGGGAACTGTGAGCAACAAACTGTCTTTTTGATAACCCTGTTTCTTGATCTGTTAGCCTCACCATCCTCGAATAAAAATAAAATCTTGGGCACATTTAAAAACAATATATGAAACACTATAGGGTTGTATTACAGAAAAGTTAAGGCCACAAACTTTGGTGCCAGAGTATATGGGTTCAAATTCCACTGTCTCTGCTTCCTAGTTGTATAATTTTTTTCTTTTTTAACTAGGTAAGCTATTGGACCTCTCCATGACTCAGTTTTCTCCTCTGCAAAGTAGGGAAGAATAATAACAATATCTACCTCACAGAGTCCTTGTAAAAACCAAATGTTAATAAACATAAAGTATTTAAGGCATAAATACTTATGCAATATATAATGCGTAATAAATACTTATCATCATTCTTATTGATTAAAAATGCCCACTTGACCTCAAAAAAGTTGAATCAATTTATTATTTATAAAGAACATTCATGAGAAGCTATTTACCTATACCCTTGAGAACACTTTATAGTTGGATAATATCAATATTTTAAATTATTTTCTGTCTAATAGATGAAAATATTGATCCTATTAGCATTGTTTTACTATTGGAGTAATAAAAATTTTTAGTTAACATTTGATTCTTTAATCTTCTATTGTGAATTATGTATTTATTCTCTTCACATGGTTTGGTTATCATTTGACTAGAGACTCTTACTTCAATATTTAAAATGGAAAACATTTTTGTGACTGTGGATTAACATTTTTATGTCATCTTTAGTCAAATAAACATTTACAGTTTTGTATGGCTAGCTGGTTGTTGTTTTTCCTTTATGGTTTCTGTCCTTTATTTATTTAAAAATTCTCATATTTTTAGTATTCTTATAGTAACATTCCTTTGCTTATAATTCAATCCCTCTGAGTTTTGAGCATCTTAAGACAGGAACTTATTCATATTTGGGCAAACCAATGTCAGTACAGTCAGACAAATTCCCTGAAATATTCCTAGTTTAATTGTCCCCAGCATTACCGCACCCCCTTATTGGCACTCTCCCATATACAAAATATGGAACAGAAACCCTTACCACAGGAATTTTTCAATAGAAAGTTCATATTTATGGGATATGCCCATCTTGAGCATGAACACAGTAAATTCATTTGAAATTTGAATGATCTTTGGTGACAAAGGAAGGCCAAATTGGTTTTCGTTCTGGCCCTCATTTGGCTAATTAAATAGATAGTGTCCTCTCTGGATCTTTTCCAAAAGTCCCAGTCATGATAACCATTTCCAAAGACCACAGGTAACCAGCTTACCAATGGGGCCTTCCAGGTTGGTCTTGTTTTTTCTCTCCTTTTTAAAATTAATACTAAAACTGTTGCTTCACTGCAAAATCATTTCTAGACTCACTGGGGATTCTTTCTAATCACTATTGAAGTCTCCTTTTCTATTGCATATTTGTATTAATTTATTAACTTAGAAATTATATTACTAATTAATTATAAAGGGCCTATCTTAGTAGGCACTAGAGATACATCAGTAACAAAACTCCCAATGGCAGAGATTTTTGACCTTATGAAGCATTTCTCTCAAGACTTTTTATGGTGTTTGGAATGCTGTGTGTGTGTGTGTGTGTGTGGTGTATGTAAAATAACGCAATGTGCATATAGATAATTGATTGGAAATGTTCACTGATTTGGATGCAGATAATTACTTCTCTTAACATACTATTACTATTGTTTATGTTTTAAAAAATATGCTTTATTTTTTAGAACAGTTTTAAATTTGCAGATAAATTGCACAGATAGGACAGAAGGGTTCTCATATATCTCTTTTCCATCTCTACTCACCCACACACAATTTCCCCTACTATTAACATCTTGCATTGCACTTGTTATAATTAATGAACCAGTATATTATTACCAATTATCACTAACTAAAGTTTATAGTTTACATTAGGATTCACTCTTTGTGATGTACTATTCTATGGGTTTTGATAAATGCATACTTTGATATATCTATGATTACAGCATTATACAGAATTGTTTCACTGCTCTAAAAATCTCCTTTGCTTCATCCCCCTGGCAACCATGGATATTTTTTAATGACTCTATAGTTTTGCTTTTTCCAGTGTACCATAAAATTCGAATTATATCATATATAGGTGTTTCAAACGGACTTCTTTCACTTGTGTTTCAAACAGACTGGTTTTATTTAGCAATATGCATTTAAAGATTTTCCAGGTCTTTTTGTGGCTTGACAGCTCATTTCTTCTTATTTCTAAATAATATCCCTTTTATGGATGTACTACAGTTTGTTTGCCCATTCACCTATTGAAGGACTTCTTAGTTACTTCCGGTTTTTTGCAATTATGAATAAAGATGCTATAACTACCCATATGAAGATTTTTGTCTATATGTAAGTTTTTTATCCCATGTGGGAAAGTATGATTGCTGAATTGCATGATATGTTAAATGGTAAGAAACTGCCTGTCTTCTAAAGTGGCTGTATGATTTTGCACTCTCACTGACAAATAATGAGACTTCCTGTTGCTTCACATTTTTGCCAGCATTTGGCATTGTAAGTTTTTAAGATTTTAGCCATTCTACTAAATATGTAGTGGAATCTCTTTGTTGTTTTAACTTTGCAGTTCCCTAGTTACATAACATATTCTTTTAAAATGCAAAAGTTATAGAAAAGATGATGTAATAAGCTGATATTAAGCATTAACATCACATTGTCAATTAAGGAGCCAAATATTATGTCTTTCCCTCTCTTCCCTATTCAAATGTTTTCAATGAATCCCATCATCTATAAGAAGATATTAATTTTTAAATATAAATTTATTTATTTATTTATTTATTTTTTGTGAACTAGTTTTAAAAAAATTCTTTTTTTATGTTCAGGGGTACATGTGCAGGTTCGTTATATAGGTAAATTCTATGTCATGGGGGCTTGATATACAGATTATTTCATTACCCAGGTAATAAACATAGTACTCGAAGGGTAATTTTTTGTTCTCCTCCTTTCTCCCACTCTTCACCCTCAAGTAGGCCTCAGTGTCTGTTACTCCCTTCTTTCTGCCCATGTGTATTAATGTCCAGCTCCCCATCATAAGTGAGAACACGTGGTATTTGGTTTTCTGTTCCTGTGTTAGTTCGCTTAGGATTATGGCCTCAGCTCCATTCACATTGCTGCAAAAGACATGATCTAATTCTTTTTTATGGCTGTGTAGTATTTCTTGGTGTATGTGTACCATTAATATGAATTTTAAAACCTTTAGTTGTCTGACCTGAATTCTGTAACCAAAGTTCCTACCCCTTTCTCTTTGATTCTGCTGAAAAGAATACTTTACTCTTTTACATTTAAAAAATGTGGACTATATTCTCTCAAAACTCTATCTCTTTGCACAGATGAATCATTCAGCTACAAATGCCCCTTTGCCTCAGTTTGCTCATCCTGGAAAAATGTCTACATTTGGCTTGGGCTTTCCTCTCTGTGATCCTTCCTTGACTCACACAAATGGGCCAGCACCCTGCAAAATTCTGCATGTTCTTCCAGGTTGATATCTGCTGACTATATGGTAAATGACCTCCCTAATGCAGAAAAAAAATATTTGAAGGGGAAAATTATTTATTATTCACAATTCCTAAAAAAGTTTATTTGCTGACTAAATGAGGTAATGAGAGTCAGAATGCAAATCAGAGAAGCTAGTGTCAGAAGAGGTTTTAGGAAGGTGAAGATTAGATGTGCAGGCGGATGAGGCTAGAGCCAAATAAGCAGATTACTAGGTTATGTGTGCTTATGGGGAAAGGCAGTGGCAGGAAAATTGGGTGCCAAGAGATAAATGCCCAGCCATTGGCAACTACATAGAAACTTGGCAGAAAAAACAACCTGTATAAAGGGGATTGTAGCACAGGGGTGGGTAGCTTATTATGATTTTAATTTGTGTATCTAGTTACACTCAGGTAGACAGACACGTTGACTGTTTTTAAAGGACTAACAGGGAGTGGAGGGATTGGTGAAAACTCCCGTTCTATTTGTTCACATGGAGTTGTGACTGCAACTGGAGAGAGAGCCAAATCTCAGAGGAGATGGCTGCATATGCGGCATATGGAGGCTGGGCCTGGGGCTCCCAGCTTTGGTAAAGATTTTTATGCTTCCAGCATGGTACAAAAGCAGCAAAGCCATCACACCTGAAAGAGTTCTGTGGTTTTAAACATGAAAAGTCTTGTATCAGCGATAACCACATGCTTCTGTAACGGGTGACCCATGTAGCCCCTCCTGACTTATTGGTGATGTATAAGACCCTGGGCCCATGGACATAACCTTGGGTTTATGGGTGTGAGTGAGCAATGACTTATAATAACTGGGGTAGCATTTGCCACCGGTCCATCAGGATGAGATCCCAGAATCATATTTAAGTTAATGTGAAGAAGAAAAGGAAATGCGAAATAAAGTTATCACCATCTGCTGATGATATACTTAGGCATAAAGAAAATCCTAGATTCACCAAGCATGAACTTTCAGTTGTCTTCTCTCTGTGGAGTTGTATTTATTTATTTCTCTTAACAGTAATGCATGAAAATACACATGAAGTACAGGTTGAGTATCCCTAATCTGAAAATCAGAAATTTAAAATGTTCCAAAATCCAAAGTTTTTTTAGCTACAACATGGTGCTTAAAGGAAATGCTCATTGAGACATTTTGCATTTTGGATCTTTGGCTTAGAGATGCTCACTCAATAAATATAATGCAAATATTCCAAAATCTGGAAAAAAATGTGAAATTTGAAACACTTCTGGTCGCAAGCATTTCAGATAAAAGATACTCAACTTATATTGTCACCTAAGGAAGCTTACCTGAGCCTTAGTAACTAAGCTGATACTGCATGGCCCAAGTCGTCCACCATTGTTAGCATAGAAGACTTGGCATCACCCAATGTCCCCAGGGAAACAAGAGCACTCTTATTAGGGAAGAAACTACAAGGACTTCAAGGTTACCTCCCAGGAGCTAGGTAAGGGCCAAATCTTTCTTTGGAATGGTAACCCAGACTTGCTGAGTTATTCTTTTGCTGCATAATACATAAATAAGTTGTGTTACATTCATACAGAGGATAAACCACATCTACAAGCATCAGTATGTTTAAATCTTAAAAACCTAGTGCTAATAGAAAAAGCAAGTTGGAAGAAAACAGGTACAATGCAAACCTATTTATATAAAGTTTAAAACATGTAAAACATTGTGAACTATAGAAAGAGTATTAAAATTTGAGGACCATTCTGAAAGAAATTGGTGATAGGTTGATTTGGGCATATATTCTCTGAGTCTCACTGTTGCAGATGAAGGAGATGTTTAGGATCTAGAGGAAGAGCTTGTTATTCACTACAGAAATATGTGCTAGAATGGAGGTAAAGAGGGAGACTTTTAAACAAATTTCACCAATCACACAAGTAGTATGGAGCTAGTCCTGGCCTATGCTGAAAGTGAAAGGGCTAATAAATGACACATTTTCACTGGTGTTGCCAAATCACAGAAATTAAAAAAAATTACATGGTGATAATTGTCCTAGGATTACATTTAAAATCCATTTAGAACCCTCTAGACTGAAATCCCCCAGTGAATTACAATTGGCTCAAAGCCTAGTTGGCAGATGCACAGAAGGAAAACTTCCATTCTGCATTGGAGCCTTGGGGAATGCCTTTCTAGTTTGAAGTACAGGCAAAGAGATCACTCCATGTCTACTAATACCTGAGAAGGGGACAATAAAGTATGATTTGGGGGTGACTAGGAAGGCAGAGATATATAGCACCCATTAACCATGGAGAAAGAAATCCAACCTTGTCTTGAAAGATGAAGTCAGAGAGAACATATCCCTGGCCACTCATACAAGGGACAGTGTAAATAAATCTCGGGCTAGTCTACCAAGGAGGTATGGCACCGTTCCCCATACTAAGCAATGACATGCTATAATTTTAACCAATTTGGCACTGACGAAAAATGATGGATTATAAAGTCATATGTACTAATATCTAGAATATCTAAATCCCAATTCTTAAGCTGTAATTGTGTGTGTGTGCTTGTGTGTGTGTGTGTGTGTGTGTGCACATGAACTCAATTTCAACTTTTTTATGACTAAGGTTATGATTGATTATATGGTGCCAGGAAAAGGCTAAATTTTCTAAGTCCGGGTTGTGTTAGCATTACAACTGGAGAGAATACAGAATGCTACCTGGTAATAACAGTGATAAGAACTAAGACATATTGGACACTGACCATGTGCCAAGCACCTTTGCACGTGTGTTGTAATTTGCTGCTCACAATAGCCTAATGAGGTAGTTAGTATTGTTAACTCAGTTTTACAGATAAGGAAACACAGGGAAGTTGAATAAGATGACCAGAGTCATACAGGTTGTGGAGCTTTGCACTCATGTTTGTCTGATTCTAAATCTCAGGCTGCTCTTAATCACCATATGTAACATTATCTCTTGTTAGTCAACTTTGCTATTTGCATACAAAACAATTTCAGTTTGTTAAAAGTGCCTATTGGAAAAAAAAATATTCACGCTGGGCCAGACGCAATGGCTGACGCCTGTAATCCCAGCATTTTGGAAGGCCAAGGTGGGTGGATCACCTGAGGTCAGGAGTTTGAGATGAACCTGGCCAACATGGTGAAACCCGTCTCTACTAAAAATACAAAAGATTAGCCGGGTGTGGTGGCACGTGCCTGTAGTCCCAGCTACTGGGGAAGCTGAGACAGGAGAATCACTTGAACCTGGGATGTGGAGGTTGCAGTCAGCCAAGATTGTGCCACTGCACTCCGGCCTGGGTGATAGAGCAAGACTCTGTTTCAAAAAAAGAAAAAAGAAAAGAAAGAATATTCACACAGGATGATCTACTTCATAAAATTCTATGAGACTGAATTAGATCAGGACATATCATAATTTTTTTCAGGAAATAAAGCAACAATAATGGGAGAAATATGACTGTTATCATTACTCTCCAGTCTATTGAGCCCCTGCCCCCACACCCTATCGGGTTCAGAGCAGAGCTTGTGAGTGCTGGAAAGGTAACCATCTCTTGCAGCACTGCCTTTCAACGTACAAAATATAAATGGCTAATGATACAGAGTTTCTAGAATTTTACATTAGAATGAAGAGAAAGAAGGTTGATAGTACTGACCTGTAAGACTGACAATGAAACTACACTCTAAGGGCTAACCTCTCTGCTCAGTGTTGTTTATGAATTTTCATGTCTAATCCTCACTATAACACTATTGAGTAGCATTGTTGCTTTAACTTTACCCCTGATAAAATTGAGACACAGTGAGGAAAAGTAACGTACCCAAGGTCACGTCCCAGCAGTACCACTTGGAAAGGCAGGATCCTACCCATGTGCAACGTGCCCTCTGCTTAATCATGATCACCAAACTAGGAAACATTCTCCTCCTGTGAATGCGACTTGACTTTTGAGGATAAAGATGAGGGATGGAGAAGACTCATCTGTAAAGGTATAAATGTAATCATTTAAAAAGTCCCGTATTAAAAGGAAAAACCCAGTGAATTTTTTGGTGGTATATTGAATTAATCTCTTTGTAACATAGTCAAAATTAATAAGAACCACACTTATTTCAGAAGCTGGGGAGCCAGGCAAAGGACTCTCCACATCACAAGAGAGTCCAGTGAAGTAGCTACTGGTAGAAAACTAAACAGCAGCACCTGAGCCCTTAGGTTCCTTAGGGAGGGACCATGGGGGACCCTGGGATTAATAAAGAAAGGAAACAAGTGTGTTGGAAAAGGCCTTTCCCTGCCTTCTTGAATGATCTATTCAACATACCCTCAATGTTTTTATTTTCCTTCATTCCTAGGGCTGCCTTGCTATCCTGACTTGTTCGATGATAATGATTTGACACAGAAATGATAGTTTTAAAAAAAGTAAAACTCCTTTTTCTGCCATGATTATAGTTTCTACATTTATTGATTAATTCAACTATTTGTTAAATCCTTAATGTGTGCCAAGCAATCCTCAGCTCTCGGAATATGAAAATGAACAAGACAAAATTTCTGCCCACATTGGGTGCATGTCTAATGGGAGAAGATAGGAAATACATAAGAAGAGATGGAGCCCTAGATAGTGACAAGTGCTAAGAAGGGAATAAAGCACTTCCCTGTGAAGGGAAAATGTGAGCAGAGGCTGCATGATGTGTGGAATTGAATAATAGGGTAAAAGCTGGGAGAAGCTTACAGTTGGAAAGACTAGCCCAGGTACAATGTAAGGCAGGAATGAACTTGACGAGTTTGCTGTATAAAAGGATTATGGTGTTTTTTTAGATTATGTCATGATTTTTTTTTTCTTTTAAATAACTTTTATTTTAAGTTTAGGGGTACATGTGCAGGTTTGTTACATAGGTAAACTTGTGTAATGGGGGTATGTTGTACAGAATATTTCATCACCCAGGAATTAAGCCTAGTACTCAACAGTTATTTTTCCTGATCCTCTCCTTCCTCCCACCCTCCACCCTCTGATAGGCTCCAGTGTGTGTTGTTCCCCTCTATATGTCCATGTGTCCTCATCATTTAGCTCCCGCTTAAATGGTAGAATATGTGGTATTTGGTTTTCTATTCCTCCATAGTTTGCTAAGGATAATGGCCTCCAGCTCCATCCATGTCCCAACAAAGGATACGATCTCATTCTTTTTTTATGGCCATATAGTATTCCATGAGGTATATGTACTACATTTTCTTTATCCAGTCTATTGTTGATGGGAATTTATGTTGATTCCATGTGTTTGCTATTGTGAATAGTGCTGCAATGAACATTTGCATGTATGTGTCTTTATAATAGAACTATTTCTATTCCTTTGGGTATATATTCAGTAATACGATTGCTGGGTCAAATAGTATTTCTGTCTTCAGGTCTTTGAGCAATTGCCACACTGTCATCCTCAATGGTTGAACTAATTTACACACCCACTAACAGTGTATGAGCATTCCTTTTTCTCCACAATCTTGCTAGCATCTTTTATTTTTTTCACTTTTTAATTATAGCCATTGGGACCAGTGTGAGATGATATCTCATTGTGGTTTTGATTTGCATTTTTCTAATAATCAGTGATGTTGAAATTTTCTTCATATGATTGTTGACTGCATGTATGTCTTCTTTTGAAATGTTTGTTCATGTCCTTTACCCACTTTTAAATGAGATTGTTTATTTCTTGTAAATTTGTTTTAGCTCCTTATAGATGCTGAATATTAGACCTTTGTCAGATGCACAGTTTGCAAAAATTATCTACCATTCTGTAAGTTGTCTGTTTACCCTGTTGATAGTTTCTTTTGCTGTGCAGAAGCTCTTTAGTTTAATTAGATCCTATTTGTCCATTTTTGATTTTGTTGCAATTGCTTTTGGGGTCTTTGTCATGAAATCTTTACCTGTGCCTATGTCCTGAATGGTATTTCCTGGGTTGTCTTCCAGGGTTTTTATAGTTTTGGGTTTTACATTTAAATCTTTAATCTATCTTGAGTTGGTTTTTGTATATGGTGTAAGGAAGAGGTCCAGTTTGAATCTTCTGTGTATGGCTAGCCAGTTATGCCAGCATCATTTATTGAATAAGATGTCCTTTCCCCATTGCTTGTTTTTGTCAACTTTGTTGAAGATCAGTTTGTCGTAGGTGTCTGGTCTGATTTCTGGGTTCTCTGTTCTGTTCCATTGATCTATGTGTCCGTTTTTGTGCCAGTACCATGAGGTTTTGGTTACTGTATCCCTGTAATATAGTTTGAAGTTGGGTAACATGATGCCTCCAGCTTTGTTCTTTTTACTTAGGTTTTCCCTAGATGTTTGGATTCTTGTTAAGTTTCATATGACTTTTAAAAAAGCTTTTTTTCTAGTTCTCTGAAGAGTGCCATTGGTTATTTGATAGAAATAACATTGAATCTATAAATCGCTTTGGGAGGTTTGGCCATTTTAATGATGTTGATTCTTCCTAACCATGATCATGGAATGTTTTTTCACTTGTTTTTTGTCATCTCTGATTTCTTTGAACAGCGGTTTGTAGTTGACCTTGCAGAGTTCTTTCACATCCCTGGTTAGCTGTATTCCTAGGGATTTTATTCCTTAAGTGGCAATTGTGAATGGGAGTTTGTTCTTGATTTGCCTCTCAGCTTGACTGTTGTTAGTGTATAGGAATGCTAATGATTTTTGCACATTGATTTTGTATTCTGAGACTTAGCTGAAGTTGTTAATTAGCTTAAGAAGCTTTTGGGCTGAGACTATGGGGTTTCCTAGATATAAGATAATGTCCTATAGTTTGACTTTCTCTCTTCCTATTTGGATGCCATTTATTTATTTCTCTTGCCTGGTTGCCCTGACCAGAACTTCCAATACTATGTTGAATAGGAATGGTGAGAGAGGGTACCCTTGTCTTGTGCTGGTTTTCAAGGGGGAATGCTTCCAGCTTTTGCCCGTTTAGTATGATGTTGGTTATGGGTTTGCATAGATGGCTCTTATTATTTTTACGTATATTTCTTCAATGCCTCAATTCCTTATAGAGACTTTTTAACGTGAATGGATGTTGAATTTTATCTAAAGCTTTTTCTGAATCTATTGAGACAATCATGTGGTTTTGTCTTTAGTTCTGTTTATGTGATGAATCACACTTATTGATTTGCATATGTTGAATTAACCTTGCATCTCAGGGATAACACTTACTTGATTATGGTGGATGAACTTTTTGATGTGCTACTGGAGTTGGTTTGCCAGTAGTTTGTTGAGAATTTTTGCATCAGTGTTCATCAAGGATATTGGCCTAAAGTTTTCTTTTTCTTTCTTATGTCTGCCAGGTTTTGGTATCAGGATTATACTGGCCTCATGGAATGAATTAGAGAGGAGTACTTCTTCCTGATTTTTTTTGCAATAGTTGTAGTAGAAATGGTACCAGCTCTTCTTTGTACATCTGGTAGAATTCAGCTGTGAATCTGTTTGGTCTTGGGCATTTTTTTTTTTTTTTGGGTTGGTAGGTTATTTATTACTGCCTCAATTTCAGGGCTTGCTGTTGGTCTATTCAGAGATTCAATTTCTTCCTGGTTCAGTTTTATCATGATTCTTTACTTACATGGCTGTCTTCAGAAGCAGAATGTTATGACATAGTTCTTGTTCATCTTTTATTCTTAGGTACTAGCACAGAGTTTGCGATACATTGGTATGCAACATATATTTAACAAATGAATAAGTAAATTGGAACTATTTTTTTCTAGAAGCTGTAGTCACAGTCAAATAAATAAAATCTCCTTACCCAGAACTCAGGGTGTTTATTAAGATATATTACATTGTCAACATTTTTTGGTCTTCTTTGTTCAACATATGAAAGTTATAAATATGTCTATGTTCACTGAGACAAAATTATGACAATAGTTTTGTTACATATTTTCCATTTGTTAGATAAGCCTAAGGTGTTAAATCTACTTCATTAAGAAGTATTATTAAATACCATATTAGCATCATTTATACTTACTAATAAAGTTTTCTGGAGTTTAGATCCTATGATTAGTTTGAATAAAATGACCCTGTAAAATTGAATCTTTATATCTGATTACATAGTGTATTATAGAATACCAGTACTCTTCAGAATGATGATATAATAAATTTGGAAGATATGAAAGCTTATAGTGTTTTACAGTGTACTGTTTGAGATTTTAAAAGTGGGTGGGACTGGCCCAATAGCCTTGTGTGCTGATAGTTTCCACATGGAAACACAAATTCTAAGAATTCCAGAGCAACAACATTGGTATTATATTAGTAAAAAATAAAAATAAAAATCCCATTGGAATTGAGCAGATCTCTATGAGATACATATTTATTGATTGATGACTAACAGAAATGCTTATTTATTTTGCCTTTGCCTTTGTGATACTGCATAGTGGCTGCCTTGTCAAGTACTCAGCAATTTGAACAAGTCTGTGGTTTCAGTTTTTAGTCAGCGTAATGCTTTTTCTTCTGTTTTCTAAGTCAGTCTTTGGTAATTGCCTACTGAAATCTTTGCTTTATGGGCCTCCATATTTCAAAAATCCTGACAGCATGAATGTCTGTAATCATCCTTCCCAAGGGGAGCTCTTTCTTCTAGAACCAGAACCCAAAAGAGGAGATTCTGCTTCCCATTTTCTTCCTCATCTCTTCTCACTCTTTTAGCAGAGACTGACAATAAGAAGGAAGCCAATCACAGGGATACCATTTCTACTCTAAATGGATTCAGATCTCAAAAGAGAGAGGCTCATTCAAACCATTAATTTTATTTTTTTCCCTAATCTTCCCTTTCCCATTAAAAAATATGGATAGATATCAATCAGACTGAATTTCAGGGAAACATTTTTGCTGTAGAATCCCAGCCAGATGACTGACACTCAAATGGTTTTTAGAAACCCTTTAGATCGATCTTGGAGTAACAAGCTCCTTAGGGAGCATCCTAAGTTAGAGTTAAATTCCATTCCTTTGCTTAAGTTCTTTCTGCATTGTTTCCACCGATCTACATGCAGAATTTTATGATCCCAAATTCCACTGGGCCTAAGACTCTATTTTTATCTATTCTACAATATGGTATATGGAAAACTCATTATTTTATTTCTTTTTTTACAGGCTCCTGCTGCTAGTAATTACTTGAGTGGTTTTATAGATAAAGATTCAGGGACACAATTCTCTTTATATATAAAATATCTTTTCATATTCCCAAATTTCCAGGAAGATTGATTTGTATTATTTGTTTTTTGGTATGTGATTATAGTTCAACTGCTCAGGATTTGTGAAAACAATACGAAATGAAACAAAACAAAACATTGTCTTTACTGACAGTAACTTGGAAGGAAATTTTCATGTTTGTTACATTTTTTTTGCAGAACTAAATAAATTTGTAAGCAAAAGTCATAAAATAAGGTTAATAAACCCTTATATTGATGCAAAATTAACATTGGTCACTTGGCAATCAGATAAAAATTCAGCTCACAAAACAGCATTTTGGCTGCAATCAATGCTTATGAAAACCACGAGCAGTTTGTGTAAACCCTGCTGGATTTGGCAGCGCTGGGAGTCAGCTGTGATTTCTGAGCATAATAAATGCATTGGTTTGAATTCTCCTGTCTGTTGTATGTAAGGTTTGTCTGGAGCTCATTCAGATTCAAGATGCACTTTAAGACAGAATTAAGAGAGGAACTAAAGGAAAGAAGCAATTCTTCCATTTCATATCTTTTTATTGGAGTGTGGACCTACTGGGTGATTGATGCACTGGACATAGATAATTTTCAGAAATGAAAATAACATTGCTTGCATTTGATCAGATTTCACCCACAAAAATGACTAAGGCCTTACCAGAGTTGGCATCGGATGAAACCTTAGTCCTTTATGAAAGGGAATCATCTGGCCTTCTATTTCTGAAATAGACTAAAGATTACTCATTTATTCTTTGCAATTACAGCCATCAGATCCTTTGAAATCTTGGAAGGCGTGAGATGATAACATGACTGTCACACAAATCCATACTGAAGAGCCAAGTATTAAAAAATTCCCCATGTTCACATACCAAAGGGTCACTTATGAGCTGATGCATATCACTGATAACCATAAGATTGTCAACTTAATGTCTGGGCAAAGAGTGAAAACAGAAAATGCATTCTACTCTTCACTTCTTGGTTTTAAATATAAGAAGCATTATATATATATATATGTATATTTATATATACATATATATTAAAAATATAAACATATTTTTAATATATATAAATATTAAAAATATATATATAAATATATATATAAACATATATATATTTAAAAACTGTACTCCTTAGTAATGGTATCAATAGAACATATGCAACTGGAATGAGGATACCCTTAAAGGAGGCCTTTCTTATTAGATGAAAAGGTCGTTATTTTTTTACAATCGAGTGTTATAAAATTCAAGGTAAAATGGCCAGATTGTAGCCTGAAGCTCTGAAGACAAGGAATACCACTGGTCCTTCTTCAGCTTCCCCGACTCCTGGACACCCGTCCTGGCCTCTCTAGTCTCCCCTTAGCTGCAAAGTTTCAGCATGGAAGCAGAGGATGCTGGAAATACTTGAAAGGGCTCAAACAGCCACTGAGATACTTCTCTTCTAAAGCCATCTAAAATGTCATTTCAGATACTCCTATCTTTTGAAAAAAAAATTATATTAATGTATGGAACAGTAAAAGGCATTGGATTAGGATTTAGAAAGCTGAAGTTCCAATATTTTCTTTGCTGTATACTTACCACTAAGCTTTTTAATTAGTATTAGTTTTTTCTGAAAATTAAAGACACTTCCTGGCCTCATGTCACAAAGTTGTTAGATGAGTCAATATGAGACAAGTATCCTGTGAATTGTAAGGTGCTACATAAAACTCATTTTTATTATTGTCTGCATCTAACCAGTAGAGCAGCAAACATTTGTCATATGATTCAACATTATTATTCTTTCGTGCTTTTATTTTCTACTTCCTGAAATAGCCTTACCAATTCTCCCCTTCTCCAGTTCCTGCAACTTTTTTTCTCAATTCATTTACCCTGTATGTGTCATCTAACTTTTAAAAATTGTTTCATCCCATACTGATCACTCTTACCCCTTTTGTGCTTCATGATTTACCACTGGATTAAATGTGGCCTTGCAGTACTCAAAAGGTTCCTTGATCTTAAATGCAGTTTCTCAAGTAATTTTGTAAACTTTCAGCTACTTCATTTCTATGATGATGATATGCATGTGTACTTAAAATAGCACTGGGCAAATTTGGCTTGTCTAGCAGGATGGTTTGCACAGGTTGAGTTTGGCTACTGTGATCTGGAACCCTGTGTGTTGACCTCCATATACTATGCTCCATAATGCTATGTTTGGTTCACCATGACCAAAATATCTTTCCTCCTTGGCTAGCCATATCCTTAGATATTTTATTTCTGCCTCTAGAACCTTGAATCTTTTACTTCGTTCAACAAAAATGAATTTGAGTAAGAATAACTAGCTTATGGTGTGTAAGCAAAACAAGCTGGAATATCAAGAAAGATATTCTTGAGTGGTGTATTAGTCTGTTCTCACGCTGCTAATAAAGACTTAAGTGAGACTGGGTAATTTATAAAGAGAAGAGGTTTAATTTACTCAGTTCCATATGGCTGGGGAGGACTCAGGAAACTTACAATCATGGCAGAAGGCACCTCCTCACGGGTAGCAGGAGAGAGAATGAGAATCAAGTGAAGGAAGAAATCTCTATAAAAGCATCAGATCTCATGAGAACGCACTCACTATCATGAGAAAAGTATAGGTGAAACTGCCCCTATGATTCAATTATCTCCACCTGGTCCCGCCCTTGACATGTAGGGATTATGACAATTCAAGGTAAGATTTGGGTAGGGACACGGTGCCAAACCATATTAAGTGGGAAGGAGCTTATAAAGAGAGAAGGACAAGAATGCCTACCTCTTTTATTTTTTATTCACACTTTTAACTGGATTGGAGGGGGAATAACATTGGATGGGAGGGGGAATTGTCTTCAGTTGTAAAAATAAGTTACTAAATCAAAAAATCAAAATAAAAAATAAATGTGCCCTGAGTTCATTAAGCAGCAAAATGCTCCATGAAGAGGAATATTCTAGGAAAGAATGCTCTGAGAATATTTTGTTGTATTTCTCATTGTTGCATTTATCAGTATTGCAATCCTATCTATTTCTGATGAATGTGGTGGCGGTTACCCAGAGGTCTAGATTCAAATGGTTCCCTGAAAATCAAAAATGTTAAACTGAAATTACCATTTTCAGCAGAATCCCCAGGCACAAATTCTGTTATTGCCATCTAGCAGCCTGTGTTCTTGTTCACGCTTCTGTGCAAATTTACAAACACCATACAGTTGCCTTCTTGGGTAATTATAGAGCCTCAAAGTACTGGAAAGAGGTAGCACTTAATAACACACATTACGAAAACATGGTAACTTAGGAAGTAAAAACACTGCTTAACGGATACCATTGTAATGGGAGCTGCACAGTGGGGCGTCCATAATAATCAGAATACATTTAATGTATGTACTTATGCCAACTGTAAAAAGGTTGCAAACAACAGCAGGCGACACAGTATGTTACACCGAGTGGAAAAACTGAAATAGAGAACAAAACACATTCTTGACTTATTAAGCCACAATTTTTTCTCTTAAAAGATGATCTAACATCATAAGTCTATCCACAGAATCAATTATTTGTTTTCAATTCTAGTGTATTTTGGCTATAAACCATGAAATTATCCTTATTCAAACTCAGTTTTAGTTGAATTCTAAAATATCAATATGGTTGAATATATAAAACCCATTCCAACTGTTTAACCTTCTTGTCCATATAGACTCAATTGTGTTTTTTAAAAAGCACATTTATTCCTCTTATCCAAAGAACTGTTCAAGATAATACTCCCTTTAAGTAAAATGCATATAAGCTTTAAATATTATTGCAAGATGTGGGTGTGAATTTTGATGGTAGGGAATTTCCTGATACAGCGTAGTACCACCAACAGTGCAGTTTTGTAGTGGTGAAAAAATAGAAATATTCAATTTTCTTTAAAAAAACCCCACAAGCTGACTGTGAATGCAGAGTAGTTTAGTAATTTCTTGATGTTATATGAAACAAGAGTTTGAAATAGTAACAGAGATGTATGCAAAGAAAAGATTTATTTCAGTAGTACCTTGGTATTCATTTAATAAAATTAGATTCTTCAGAAGGTCTCCAAAATTAGCTAAATTGTGGTTTCTAAGAGTCTTTTCTTAAACAGAGCAACTGTATCTTATAGCTATGAGAGCTATAGCTTTTGCTATAGCTAGCTCTTGCTTCTTTCTCATATTTAAAAACTTTATATAATTGTATAATGTTCAATTCCTGCCTACTCCAGTCATCAGCAATAGGAATTTCATTTCATGACCCAATAACACCAAACCATATTCTCTCCCTTCAAAAATCTCCAGCAATGTTAACATGTTCTACAAATAAATACTGGTGCTATTCTCATCCCACCAGCTAAAATGTCCATACTACTTCTATTGCAAAGTTTTGAAGTCATATTTTGTTGTCTTCCAAGAGGGTTATTCAGGTAGCAACTGGTCCATCCCATAATGCTTTACCCCAAATGCAGGCACAAGTTCTTCCTTAATTTTCTAAAGTATGATTAACTACAGGATGTAACTTTTTAAAAAAATACTTAATTGAGATATAATTTATATGCCATAAAATTCATCCATCTTAAGTATGCAATTCAATGAATTTTAGAACATTTACAGAGTTGTACAATCATCATCACAGTTTTAGAACATTTTCATTATCCTAAAGAAGACACTTCCTGCATATTTATAGATATCCCCCATTCACACCCCCAGCTCTAAGCAAATGCTAATCTACTTTTTGTCTCTCTATATTTTTATTTTCTGGACATTTTGTATAAATGGAGTAATACAATTTATGTTTGTATGCCTCTGGTTTCTTACAGTTAGCTTAATGTTTTTAAGGTTCATCTATGTTGTAACAAGTGTCAGTACTTTGGTCTTTACATTGCTGAATAGCATTTTACTATATTAATATACTGTATCTTATTTATCAATTCACAGGATTCAACATTTTCAAAACTTCGATGAATGGGGAATTCCACTTGTGGCATGCTTGAATAACAGTGTAAAAGTTGCCTCACCCCTGCAAGCAATTAGAAAATAAGGCAAAACTGAAACTACTGTTTTCAAACAACAGGCTCCCAGGACTGCCATAATCAAGAGAGAAGAGAAAGTAATGAAGTCAGTTCTGTGATGGTCCTGGCTTTCTATGTGAAGGAACTTTTCATATTGTGCTCAAATTGGGGGAACTCAAACTTAGCACGGTAGTCTCTGAGTTGAAGAGATAGGGATCACAGGAAAGGGAGGCTGATGGAGCTGGTATTTAAAAGAAAGAGTACTGGAAATAAAAAGACTACATAGAAAAAGAGCTACAGTAACTGGTATGGTTTGGCTCTGTGTCCCCACCTAAATCTCATGTTGAACGGTAATTCCCAATTACAGTTGGGAATTGATGGGGACTTGGTGGGAGGTGATTGGATCATGTGGGCAGATTTCCCCCTTGCTGTTCTCGTGGTAGTGAGTGAGTTCTCACAAGCTGTGTTTGTTTAAAAGTATGTAGCAATTCCCCCCTTAGCTTTCTCTCTCCTGTCACCACGTGAAGACATGATTGCTTCCCATTCAGCCTTCTGCCATGATTGTAAGTTTCCTGAGGCCTCCCCAGTCATGCTTCCTGTACAGCCTGCAGAACTGTGAGTCAATTAAACCTCTTTTCTGTATAAATTATCCAGTCTCAGGTAGTTTTTTATAGCAGTGTGAGAATGGACTAATACAGTTGTCTTCCTAAAGACTCCTTTGAATATTTTGCTAAAGGGTAAACACTAGAGATCTATGAGGTAAGGCAAAAAAGTACCTGGGAGCTGTAAATGGAACATTTCTCAGAGTTCTTACAGGGCTGGGATATGTTTAAATTTTTACCAGCCAGAGTTGAGAGAACTCACCAAACAGCATATACTAAGTAAAGACCCCAAAAGCCATGTATTCAGAATAGGGCTAAACTAGCCCTCATGTAAAGACTATTCTGGACCCTCCCTAACAATGCTTAGAAACAAACCTCAAAAGGATCACTTTGATGCTAAAGTGTATTAACACCAGCCCAAACAAAATTCAACATTCTTTAAGGGAATATAACTGAATCTAGACACTAAGCAATGTAATTCACAATGATAAACATCCAATTAATAATTACAGTGAATAATTACTAGACACATAAAAGAGCAAAAAGGTGACTCATAATCAAGAGAAAAATTAGTCAATAGAAACAGAAGCTAGGAATGTCAGATATGATACAATTATTAAATAAGAACTTTGAAATGGTTATTGGAAAAATGCTCAGTGATTTAGAGAAAACTCAAAATAATGAGGCAAAATAGGAAATAGAAAGTAGAAATAAATGGATCCTGTAAGGCTGAAAAATAGAACATCAGAAAATAAAAATTCATGGATGAACTACATAGCACATTAGACACTACAGAAAAAAAATTATTGGTGAATTTAAGGTATAGAAATAAAACATACACAATTAAAAAAATCTAATAAAATTGCTTCAGTGATCAAAGTGACAGTATTAAATCATCTAAAAACTGTGTTGTTGCAATCTTTCCAGGAGAGAGCAAAAATACTTTTGAAGAAATATCAAAAATTTTCACATTCAACGAAAATTATAAACCACAGATCAAAGCAGCTCAATGGAGCCCAAGCATGATAAACACAAAGAAAACAGACCAAAGTATATAATAATGAAATTGCTGAAAACCAGCAATAAAGAGAAAACTTCAAAAGCAGCCAGAGACAAATGGCACAGGACAGGGGGTGAAAGATAATGTCTTCTAAGAAACCTTGAATGAAATAGTGTGACATTTGAGAAGAAACACTGTCAGCCAGAAGACAGTGGAACAATCTTCAAAGTTGCAGGGAAAAAAATTAGCCTAGAAATCTATAGCCAGCAAAACTATCTTTTAAAGTGAAAAAAAGGACATATTTAAACAAACGAAAATTATGAGAATTTGTCACTAGGAGACCTGTACTACAAGAAAATAAATGATTCAGATGGAAGAAATTACATCAAATGAAAACTTGAATTTACACAGAAGAATGAAGAGTGAAGAGTTGCTAAAAATGGTTAAAATATGAATTATTATAAAATATTTTTCCTCACTGAAAAATATTTTAAGGGATAATTGAGTGTTTAAAGCAAATAGTAACAAGGGACTTAAAGTTTTAAAGTAGAGTTAGAAGAATAACATGACAACACTAGCAATAAATAGAAAGCATGTAAGATTCTTATATGTGCAGTATCAAAATGCAATATGAAGGCAGGCTGTGAAAGTTGAAGTTGCATATTATAAACCCTACAGCAATTACAAATTAACCAATCAATTAAAAATATTCTAATAAGCCGTTACTGGAGGAAAAATGAAATACAAAAAATGCTTAGTCAAAAGAAGTCAGGAAAGGGAAAAGAAGAGATAAAGCAGATAACAAACATCTGGCAAGATGGTGGATTTATCCAAACATATTAATGATTACATCAAATGTAAGTGGTTTAACTATTCAAATTAAAAGGCATCGTTTATCAAACTGAATATAAAATACAATCCACTTATATGCTGTCTATAAGAAATCTACTTTAAATATAAAGCTATAGATAAGTTAAAAATAAAAGAATGGGAAAAGGTACACCATGCAAACACTGATTAAAAGAAAGGTGGGAAGTGATTATACTAATATCAGACAAAAGTGACTTCAAAACAAGGAATATGTTCAATAATGAAAGAAATTCTTAATGACAAAAGTTAACTGCCAAAAAACATAGCAACCCTAAATATGTATTCACCTAATTACAGATCTTCAAAATTCATGTGGCAAAACTGACAAAGTTAAAAGAATGAATAAATTTATTATTGTTCTTTAATGATAAATTAAATTGTTTTATTATTTAATAATAAATTAAAGATTTTCACATTCTCTCTCAAAAAATGATAAAATGCAACACTGAAAATCAGTAAGAATATTGTGAAAAATACTATTAACCAACTTGACCTAATTGACCTTTCTAGAATGCCAAACAGTATGGTACATGTTCTTTTCTAGTGCTCAGGGAAAATTTACCAAAGTAGCTGATGTCTTGAAACATAAAACAAGTCTCAATAAATTCAAAATGTCTGATAACATAAAGCATGTTCTCTAATCATAGTGGAATTAAATTGGAAATATCTAACAGGCATATAGATTGGAAAGGAAAAAGTATACTGTCTTTATAAATCAACAGAAGTTAAGAAACACTGTTCTAAATAACCCGTAGGTGAAAAAGAAAATAAGATGGAAAATTAAAAGATTTTAAAATTAATAAGAGAGAAAACATAAGACATCAAAGTATGTGGGGGAAACCTAAAGCAATCCTTGAATTTTATAGATTTAGATACTTGTCATGCTCATGTTGGAAAAGAAGATAGATCCAAAAATCAGTGACCTAAGTTTCCACTTCAAGAAACTAGAAGAACAACAAATTAAACCCAAATTTAATTTTTAAAAATAAATAAAAGGATAAGAGCAGAAATTAGTAAAATAGAAAGTAAACAAATAATGAATAATAAAAATACAATCAACATCTAGTTACTTTGAAAGATCAATAATGTTTGTTGTTGTTGTTGTTTTTACCTTAAGTTCTGGGATACATGTGCCGAATGTGCAGGTTTGTTACATAGGTACATGTGTGCCATGGTGGTTTGCTGCACCTATTGACCCATTCTCTAAGTTCCCTCCCGTCACCCTCCATCCCCCAACAGGCCCTGGTGTGTGTTGTTCCTCTTCCTGTATCCATGTGTTCTCATTGTTCAACTCCCATTTATGAGTGAGAACATGCAGTGTTAGGTTTTCTGTTTCTGTGTTAGTTTGCTGAGAATGATGGCTTCCAGCTTCATCTGTGTCCCTGCAAAGGACATGATCTCTTTCCTTTTTATGGCTGTGTAGTATCTCATTGTGTATATATACCACATTTTCCAGTCTATCACTGATGGACATTTGGGTTGGTTCCATGACTTTGCTATTGTAAATGGTGCTTCACTAAACATATGTGTGCATGTGTCTTTACAGCAGAATGATTTATATTCCTTTGGGTATATACCCAGTAATGGGATTGCTGGGTCAAATGGTATTTCTGATTCCACATCCTTGAGGAATCTCCATACTGTCTTCCACAATGGTTGAACTAATTTACATTCTCACCAACAGTGTAAAAGCTTTCCTATTTCTCCACACCCTCACAACATCTGTTGTTACTTGACCTCTAATAATCACCATTCTGACTGGCATGAGATGATATTTCATTGTGGTTTTGATTTTCATTTCTCTAATGATTAGTGATGTTGAGTTTTTTTCATATGTTTGTTGGCCACATAAATGTCTGAAAGATCAGTAATGTTGACAAATATCTAGCTCAACTCAGAGAGACAGAGAGAGGGGATATATAAATTACCAAGATCAGGTATGAAAGAAGGGACATACATATTAATTTTCCATATATTTAAAGAATGATAAATACTATGAATAACTTTATGCTGATAAGTTTGACAGCTTATGTGAAATTAACAAATGCCTTTAAAGACACAAAATTACAAAAGTTATTTAAAAATAGAAAACTGAATAGTGTTTACCAACTAAACATTTTCAATTTCGTTTTAAAAATCTTTCCCGAAGAACATCCCAGGAACAGATAATCTTACTGCTGAATTTTATCTAATATTAAAGGAAAAAACAACTGAACAACTGAAATTCTATATATTTTTTTAAATAAAAGGATAATACTTCCTAACTCTTTATCTGAGGCTAGCATTTCTCTTATACCAAGGTCAGACCTGCACATTATAAGAAAGCAAGCAACAAATTAATATTCCTCAGGAATGCAGAGAAAAAGTCTTTGATAGTAACAAATCCAGCAACATTTAAAAATAATAAATTGTGACAAAGTCTAGTTAATCCCTAGATTATAAGGTTGGTTTAGCATTTAAAAATCACTCAGTAATTAATCAATTAACAAAGTAAAGGGGAAAACCATGATTATCTTTATAGATGCAGAAAAGGACATCTGACAACATTCAATACTCATTCACGATAAAAATTTATGAACAAGTTAGGAATAAAATGTAGTTTTCTCACCCTGATAAAGGGTACTTTAAAAATGTCAGCTAACATACATAATGATGAAAGCTTGAATGCTTTCTCCCCCCAAATTGGGACCAAGTAAAAGGATATCTGGCCTTACCACTTCCATATAACACGTTGCTTGCTTTCCTAGCCATAACAACAAAAGAAGTAAAATAAAAGACATACCGATTGGAAAGGAAAGAGTAACATTTTCTGTACTAACAGACAACATGGCCACATATAAACAAAATCCTAAGGAACCTACAAAAAACCTGCTGAAATTAGTAAGGGAATTTAGCAAAATCTTAGAATACAAGGTCAATAAACCAAACATAAAAATCAATTGAACTCATAAATATTTGCATTGAACCACTGAAAAATAAATTTTAAAATATTTCATTATTAATAACATCAAAAACATGAGATATTTAGTGATTAGTTTAATAAAGTGGGGGACAAACCTGTACACTGAAAACTACAAAAGATTACTGAGAGAAATTAATGAAAACCTAAATAAATGAAAAGATATAACATGTTCATCACTTAAGAGGACTCAATGTTGAGATGTTAATTTTCCCTAAACTCATCTATAGAATTAATATGATTGCAATCAAACTCCAGCAGACTTTTTTTTTTAAAAGAAATTGACAAACTGTTTCAAAAATTTATTTGGAACTGCATTGTTAATAGTTTTGCTACATGGTTTTCCTGATGTTTCCTGCACATGCCAAAGAACTGCTCCCCATCCTCAATTAGGTATTAACCAGGCAGGAATCCTCTATGGAATTAATCCATGTGAATAGTGAAAGAGATTCACAAAGATGCCAAATATATTTACATTTCATAATGAGATAAATTGGTGGAATTTTAAGAATGTGACAGACTGACTTAAAAATTTTGGTGGTATGCATATGATCTGTTTACCCAGGGAGATGCCACCATCTACTAAGGTTATGGTAGGTTGAGAATGTGCCACAAGGGCAACCCCTCTGCCGGCATTTCTCAGCAACTTAGTTTTCTCATGAGACCACAGATGCTCTAAAAATGTTTTTTAAATGTTGTTTGTTTGTTTGTTTTCTCATAATGCTTTCCTTAGCACTAGTGGCTGTTTCCAAGAATTGTAAGAGGGATATTTGTAAGAGCAAGAACAGCTTACATTACAAAAAATTATCTACAATATTTCATCATTAATAACTGTGGTTTCTTTCTATAACAACAACTGCTTATAAAAGGCAGACTTCATTAACATTCCTCAGTCCTGCTGAGTCTCCCCTGCAGCTCTCAGCAGTCATTCACATTTCCAAAAAGCAGGAAGGTCAAAATTCTGCATCTCCATGTGTCAGAATCACTTCATGACTTCTACTTACATTCAGACCACATGGGTCTCCATTCTTGCTTCTGAAACAGAAACCCAGCAAGAATGCACTCTCTGGTTAGAACAGCCATGTTGGTAAAGCAATGAATACTAAATCTTCAGCCATTCAGCCAAATTAAAAGTATTTGTGACCAGAAGAACTAAACCAACAATGTACCAGGATGTGAATCTGAGCATGACTTAATTATTTAACTTAATTTGTGATACGTATTCAACCTAACTCAAAAGGGATTCTAGACAAATTATGTTAAGTAAACTTAAGGAAATGAAAGTGAATATATAAATGAAAGGGAAAATCTCAAAATGGCCCCAATTATTTTAAATTTAAAGAAATTGTGGACTAATTTGGATTGACAGAAAAATTATGGAGAGTACAGTGTTCCCATATATCTTGTACTCAGTTTCCCTTATTATTAGCATCTTCTACTAGTATGGTACATTTGTTACAATTAGTGAACCTTACTATTAACTAAAATCTATACTTTATTCAGATTCCTTTATTGTTATCTAACACCCTTTTTCTGTTCCAGGATTTTATGCAGAATACCATGTTGCATTTAGTTGTCATGTCAGCTTAGCTCCTCTAGACCAGGGGTCCCCAACCTCCAGGCTGCAGACTGGTAGCAATCTGTGGCCTGTTAGGTACTGGGTTGCACAGCAGGAGGTGAGCTGTGGACAAGTAAGCATTACCTCCTGAGCTCTGCCTCCTGTCAGATCAGCAGCAGCATTAGATTCTTATAAGAGGGCAAACTGTTGGAAACTACACATGTGAGGAATCTAGATTGCATGCTCTTTAAGAGACTCTAACGAATGCCTGATGATCAGAGGTGGAACAGTTTCACTCCCAAACCATCCCCCAGCACTTGTGGAAAAATTGCCTTCCACAAAACTGAGAAACCAGTCCCTGGTGCCAAAAAGGTTGGGGATTGCTGCTTTAGACTATGACAGTTCCTAGACTTTTATTATTTTTGATGGTCTTGACAGTTTTGAGGAATATTGGTTGGGTATTTTGTAGACTCTCTCCCAGTTGGGATCTGATTTTTTTTTCTTTTTTTCTTGGACAGGGTTATGGGTCTGGGGAAGACGACTACAGAGATAAAGTGCAACTTTCACCACATCATATCAAGGGTACATGTTATCCTCATGACTTATCATGGTTGACTTTACCCTTGATCACTTGGCTCAGGCAATGTTTGTCAGGTTTCTGTACTGCAAAGTTAGTCCATACTGTAATTGTTGGAAGAAGTACTTCCACACTGTACTCTTTTCTAAGAGGTGACTATGTACAGCCCACACGTAAGGAATAGGGAGTTCTGCTCCACCTCCTTGAGGACAGAGTACCTACATTTTATTTGGAATTTTTCTGTACAGGAGATTTGTCTCTTCTCTCGTACTTATTTATTTGTTTAGTTATTGATTTATTTCAGTATGAATTCCTGATTATTTATTTTATACTTTGGGTTAAAATTGAGTACTACATTTTTTATTTTGTTGCTTAAATTGTTCCAGCTTTGAGCATCCAAAGCTCTTTCAGTTGCCCCCCTCCCCCATGCCCCTTTGGCATATCTATGTCCCTATTGTTTGTTTCTGTTTTTATTTCATCTTGTATATTACCTGCTCCAGTCCTAGAAGTAGCCATTTCTCCAAGAAGCTCTGGTTCCTTTTATTAGAGAATGTTATCAAAAACTAAGATCTGGGTACTGAGAAGACTGCTCCAATTTTTGTAATACTAATTTTCTCCATGTGACTGAAATGACTATACAATTCTGTTTCACCGGTGGATTTCCAGGGTCATTTAAAAATGCTTTGAATATGGCACTTAAAGGAGAGTGCCAGACTAGCAATATCCCATTATTTCCACTGAATAATAAATGTATCCAATATCAACCTGTTTTAGTCACATTTTTATTCTTATACGATTGATGCAAACAATACAACACGAAGTTTAAATTTATAAAAATTATATAAATTAGAATTGATCAACACCAGGAGTAGAGCTTCTCAGATTCTAATGTGCATACACTGATCACCTGGAGTTCATTTAATATATAGTTTCTCATTCAGTGGATGCTGGGTAGGGCCGGAGACACTTTTCACAGCAAAATCTTAGAGCAAGAGTTGGCAGATTCTATTCTCTAAGGGGCCAGATAACACATATTTTAGGGTTGTGGGCCACATGGTCTCAGTGACAATTATTCAGCTCCACTGTGGTAGCAAGCTGTAGGCAATACATAAAGAATAAGCATAGCTGTGTTCTGAAAAGACTTTATTTCTGAAAACCAACATTTGATTTTCATATGATTTTTTAAGTGTCACTAAGTATTAAGGTAAAAGCCTTTCTTAGCTCTGGGGCTACACAACACCAGTGGCAAGCCACAGTTTGCTGACCTGTTGAAACAATGGTTCCAAAACCTGGTCATGTGTCATAATCTCCTATAAGGAAGTTTAAAGTACAATTGTGCAGATTTTGTTCCAGAGGTTGCCATGTTGTCTGTATTTTCCAAAGCTGTAGATTCTGAGTTGCAGCCAGGTTTGAGAGCCACTGTTGCCTAGTTTCTCACTGGTTGTAGTCATCTTCTCTGCTTGCACACTTCTGGTGAAAGAAAGCCCACTCCCTGGCAATAACCACTCCATTTATGGACACTTCTAATAATTGTGAGTTTTTTCCCCCTATCATTATCTCTAAATTTGTCTTCTTGTAGCTTCTACTTAATTGTTCCCTTCTCCTTCCAAAGCCATAGGGAGCACATCTAATCCTACTTTTTTACAATGCTTTTGAAGTATTTGAAGTGTGCTATTATGATACTATCTTCAAATCTTAAATCTTCTCTTTTGCAGAGTGAACGTCCTCGTGGCCTTTAAAGAATTTGTGTGCAATGTATTTCCAGCTTCCTGTCACTCAGGTTGCACTCCTCTGGACATCCCTTATGTTCCATTTTCCCTTGTCATTTACTGTACCCAGAACAGGTATGGTATGACCCCTGAAAAATCCCAGGACTATTGGTTCCATTGGTTTGACTTCTCTACTTTCAATAAGGTGACCTAAGATTACATTAGTTCTCTCTCTTTTGGATGTCAGTTCACATTGCCGATTTATATTGAGCTTGTTACCAACCAAAGTTCCTAAGACTTTCTCAGGGGACTGAAGTTAAATCAGGTCTCCTTGATCCTCTACCTGCTAAAGGGTGTTCTGAATGCCAGTGCTACATTATATATTTATCCCTATGAGATTTCTCCTTGTACTTTTGGTCCACCATTCTTGCCTTTTAAAAAAACTTTTATAATCATCTGTGTTAAATTGTTGTAATACTGGCTTCCAATTATTTCATACTCTACCCCTAAACTTTTCTAGTCCCTCTCATACTGACTCTGGGCTTGGCCATGTGACTCACTTTTGCCGATGGAACAAGAGTAAATTTAACACAGCAGAGACTGGAGAAGTGATTGCAGTACAAGTTTTTAGCTGCTCTTGGAACCATGAAAGTGCAGGATAAGCCCATGCTAGCCTGCTGGAGGATAAAATATCATGTGGAATACTGGGGCACCTCATCCCACAGTCAGTCAGCTCAAACCAACCCACGGTTCACTGTAGACACCTAGGGGAGCCTCAGTCAAGATATGTTAAGCCCAGGCCAGGTCAGTAGAATTTTCCAGAAAAACCCAACCCAAAACATTGATCTATAAAACTATGAGCTAATATATGCCTGTTGTTGTATGCCACAAAGTTTAGGAGTATTTTTTGTACAGCAAAAGCTAATTTATACAACATATCACATAGTAGCTATTCTTTTGGACATCACTCACAATTTTGATGTGTTCCTGTGGCCAAATTATTGAATAGATTGTGAACAAATAAGGAAATCTGAGACATAATTCTAATGTTGACATTGGCCAAACCTCTTTGTTCAGCCAGCTACTAAATACTCTACATGCAGCCCATAATTTGCAAAGGAAAAATTGCATTGGAATAAGAGAGTTACATTGTCATTTTAATGTATTTATACCTCTGATTAGTTTGGAAGGTCATGCTCCCTTTTTAAATGTCACGGTTTTATTTTTGTTCAGAATGTTTAAATATCTGTAAATAAACTGTCTTTATTAAAAGGTTAAAATATTTCTGAGAAAGGTAGTCAAATTGTTTCATATACTGAAAATAAAAAGAGATAAACTATTGGCGGTAGAAAAATTTCTTCAAATTTTCTTTTTGTATTGATGGTTGTTGCATTTCTAAGTGCAGTGTGGAAGCTTTCATTTTTTTTTTTTCTTCATTTTAAATCCATACATTTGCTTTCCTCCCAAGGCCGCTAACCATTGTGTTTAGTCTGAAATAGAAGTGGTAAAATCATGAGTGTAAGGGTTGGGAAAAGAATAAAAAAGACATTTCCTGCATGACTAGTAGCAGGAAATACCAGAAATCTCATCCAAAATATTCGTTTCCCTACAGATTTCTTTTTGTTCCACTTATTATTTTTATTTTTGTTTGTAAAAATCAATATCTTATCTGCTGAGAAAGGAGTGAATACATTTCTTTTATACTCAGTATACTTGCTACACAAAAGTAATTAAAACCTTAGAGGAACTGTGGGATAATCGGAAACAGAAAACCAATAATGTTATGATAAGACAGAAAAATGTAGTGGACAGAAGACTCAGTAGGGAATCAGATATACTGGTGGGATAGCCCCATATATCAATTACTAGCTTCATGACTTTGGGAAACTTATCTTTTGGGATTTTTGTTTCTTTATAAACAGTGAAGATGATAGTACCTAACTTACTGGATTATTGTGAAGACTAAGTAAGATATGCATAATGTGTCTAGTATATTGTGGTCAATTAACAAATAATACTGTTACAAAATTAATAGAAATAGAAAATACCTAATGAGTACTTATTTTGGGCCAGGTGGTATGCTAAGTGGTTGGCTTGAATGTTGTGGTACCTCATGGCATCAGAAATCAAGGCTCCTTCCATTTTTTTATTCTGCCTTATGCAGCTTCCATTTTGGGTCTAAGATAGCAACTCAGAATTCAATTACAACATCCTTGTTCATAATAGCAACTAAATAAGGGAATACATTTTTCCCCCTTTAAGAACACTTCCGTCTTCCTCATGTAGCCACATCTAGCTATAAAGGATACTGGAAAACATACCCTTTATTTTGACTGCAGTTAAAAACTAGGAATTTTGTTATTGAGAGGAGAGTGGGTATTGGGCTAAACTAGAAGTCTCTACTACACATATTTGACATATTAATTCTTCAATGTTTTGGTCCAAATAAGTTTTTAAAAACACATTATTTTATTTCAGTAGGTGAGGTAGAAACAAAAGTAAGGAGAAACACCAGTTAAAAATTTGATCTAATTCCACATTTTGTCTAAGGCTAGCCCAGAGAAGATGTCTGATTAGAAAATGAGTTTCTTGAAGCCTGAATATTAACACATTATAGTTATTCTTTCTTCCTCCCTCCCTCCTCCCCTCTTCCTCCTTCCCCTCCTTCCTTCCTTCCTTCTTTCCTTTGCTGTCCTTTCTCTCTGCTCTTTTTTTTCTAAATAAGAACAAGAATTAACTTCTAAAAATACCAATACTTGAATGAAGTCCAAGTATAATTTATTTTTCCAATCTAGAGCCTACAAAAATTTGACTTTAAATAAAAGCATGTTATCCATCTGTAAAAAGCAAAACTAAATTAAACCTTCTCTCATGGTGGATCAGGTAAATAGATTCAAAAGGCAGCCTCAGAGAAGACTGGAGAAAAATAACATAACAACTAATTTCTACTTTCATTAAAAGCCATGTGTAAAATACCTTAATTCATTTTTACATTTGTTTTTTCCTCCCATATCTTCATATTTTGTATTCTGGAAGTTTCTAATTTCCTGATTTCAGGATTTAATTTTCCCATTTTGGTTTATTTTCTTTGTAATATTGGGTAGTAAATACTATAGATATAGTATTCTAGTTGCAAGAATTCATATATTTATCAGAAGAATGACTGTCTTAAGAATTCATATCATGTGCTATAAATATCTCTATTAGTTTTCAAGGGCCGCCGTAACAAATTACCACAGACTTGTTGGCCTAAAACAACAACAGCAATTTCTTCTCTCATAGTTCTGGAGGCTAGAAGTTCAGAATCAAGGTGTTGGCAGAGTTCTTATTTGTTTTTTTCTGGACATTATGGGGAAGAATCCATTCCATGCCTCTCTCCTAGCTTTTAGCAGCTGCTAGGAATCCTTGGAGTTCCTTGGTTTGTGGCTATATCACTCCAGTCTCTGTTTCTATCTTTACACTGACTTTTTCCTTGTGAATTCATGGCATTTGTGATGACATTTTGGACTTACATGGTTAATCTAGTCTACTCTCATCTCAACATCCATAATTTAATTACATTTCCAAAGACCATTTTTCAAAATAAGGTAACATTTGCAAGTTTCAGGGATGATGAGGACTGGATGTCTTTGGGTGGGTGTTATTCAACCTACTACAATACTGTTTAAATGTTGTTTAACCCTTAATGTATGATATTAAAATACTCAATAGTACTAGATTCCAGCTCTTTATACTGAATGTAACATGGTTTACATTCAGTAGACTTTGTCACTTTATAAAAATATTAATAAAATATATTTTTCACAAAGTAAGTAAAATTCTTGAGCCACCTTATATGTATATCACTTGACAGCTAGTTTCAGGAGTAGAAAAAGACTTCTGAGTAACTAATCTGCAAGACCATAACCTCTCATCACTCTGAATGTTCTTTATCTTCTCTCACAAGTACTTTAGCAAAAAATAGGGCATTATAAATAACAGAAAGTGGTAAAGATCATAATGCCAAGGACTTCATAGTCTTCACTAGACATTCACCAACCTTGGGTAGAATACTCAGCTTCTCTCCTTCACTAAAACTGTAAACCTCCCTAACTGGACTCAAGAACACTTTGTTTTTCTGGAGGAGGCTAGTATTTATTCATAAATGTGTGTGTTATCAATATATAGTAAATAAATCCTTATGCAGACTGTCTGAAATAGGATGGGGTAAAAGATGGTATAGCTGGCAGATTCTCTGAAGTAATCATGTATTTTGACACAAAAGAAACAAATACAAATTAAATTCAATTGTAATTGTCTTTAAATCGCAGGCTATTTGTTTAAATTTGCTTTTTTTCCTATTAGTTTATATGCATATATTCAGCTGATGCATAATTCTATACTGGCAAATACTGAGACTAGAAAAGCACTGAGAAGTGGCAGAGAAGATTCTTCATATACGCAGTATATTTAATTGCACTGGTATAGTTTGGATATTTGTCCCCTCCAAATCTCATGTTGAAATGTGATCCTCGGTGTTGGAGGTGGAGTCTAATGGAAGGTGTTTAGGGCATGGGGGCAGATCCCTTATGAATACCTTGGTGCCTTCCCCACCCCATGGTAATGAGCGAATTCTTGTTCTACTAGTTCTGAGGATCTGATTGTTAAAAAGAGTCTGGTGCCTTTCTTCTCTCTCTTGCTCTCTCTTTTGCCATGTGACATCCATGTTTCGCCTTCACCTTTCACTATGATAGAAAGATTCCTGAGGCCCTCACTAAAGCATATGTTGGTGCCATGTTTCTTATATGGCCTGCAGAATCATAAGCCAAATGAACCTCTTTCTAAAATAAATGACCCAGCCTCAGGTATTCCTTCATAGCAATGCAAAGTTGGCTAATACATACACTTCTTTCAATTAAATAATTTATTAATTTTTCTATAGCTCTTCTTTTGAAATGCTTCTATTCCTCCTGAGAGATGATGGTTAAAATACAGTTTTTGAACAGAAATTGTTATTTTGTTGTAGCAATTTTGATTGATTAGACAGGAAGAAGAAGAAGAGGAAGAGGAAGAGGAAGAAGAAGAAGAAGAAGAAGAAGAAGAAGAGAAGGAGAAGAAGAAGAAGAAGAAGAAGAAGAAGAAGAAGAAGAAGAAGAAGAAGAAGAAGAAGAGGAGGAGGAGGAGGAGGAGGAAGAAGAAGAAATGAGTTCAGTGAGAAAGATGAGATAATTCAGGCAAAAGATAACCCGGGATGCACCAGTCTTTTCATTATGGATTGTGGGTGAAGGGCACACTTTAGAGAGAAAGTGGAGGAAGAAAAATGAAACATGCTGAATACCTGTGATAAGGGTAAAGAAAAATTACATGGTGGGAGGAATAAATTAATATGGATTTTTTTAGTTCATTTGTCCACATCACAGGCCAAACTTGGTATTTGTCTCTCTTCTGCCAATAGTTTGAATCAGTTGAAGCTACCAGGCTTGGAATACTCAAACTTTATGGATGTTTACATTATCATTTTTTCATCCTAACAATGTAGTGGAAATAACTCACTATATTGATAACAGATAAAAGAAGCAACCAACAGTATTATCACTTAAGAATTAAATACAGCAATATTTACTATTTCAATGACATCTTATAAATAGATTTCCTTAAAGATCGTAAAAGAAAGATAATAATGGGTAAGTCTAAATCAATAATATGTTGCCGATTTTTACCCTTGAAGGATGATTTTCTGCGATTCAGATTTAAAGTGAAACCAGTGTTATTACTCCCAAAGGATTTGGGGTATCCACTTGGCAATGGGACCCATGTCTCACAGAATATGGCCTGAAAGAAGATAGCAAGATTTAAGGAATATCTGAGGCTGGGTAATTTATTTATAAAGGAGATTTATTTGGCTTATGATTCTGCCATTTATTTTCACACATTCCATATTTCTCATGATAAAACAAGAAATTCAAATTTCTGGTTTGCCTTTATGTCAAAGGAAGGCCTGGACAATTGATTTAGTTATTTTGTTAACAACCTCCTTTGAGAAGCCCTGTTGGAAAATCGAATTCCCAGATAGAGCAATTCACCAAACTGGGCTGGACATTGATAATTATCTTTACTTCCAAAGGATAGGTAAAAGTGATCTATGTAGAAAGCTTCTTGTTTTATATGCCATCCTTTGGCAATCAACATGCCATCATATTAAAGAAGAACTATATTCCCTCTTGGAGCAGCAAATTCTTCTAAAGTACAGAGCTCAGAGCACTGAAATAAGAACCTAGAATTTTGGATTTCAATTCTAACTCTGTCACCAGTCAATTGTGATCCTAAGCAAATTGTTTTCTTTGTTATATTGTATTTACAAAATGGGGATAATAATTAATATGTCTTAGTTACTTTATAAAATATCTAGGATGATCATATATGTATGTTTATATCTGTGTGTATGAGTGCTTTGAAAACCATGATAATTATATAAGAAACAAATTTTTAAGTATTAATGAAACTAGTTCACTACTTACTTGGGGAGAAATTCATACGTGCATGTATATGTGTATATATATGTGTGTGTGTGTGTATATATACACACATATACATATATATGTGTATCAAGACATACATATATGGGAACAGCTGTTTGTATTTCTTTTTCTTGGCCTCTGCTCCATGCACACAAGGCTATGACTTCATTTAAGTACTTCCATCTGGAACAAAAAGTAAAGTTGAGGAAGTAATGTGCCTTCTCAAACTTCCAGACCACATTTCCCTAGAGTTCAAGGTCTGGCATGCCTTGGAAGAGTTTACAACATTTTATACAAAAAAAAATCTTCCTGTAACAACACAAATTCATTTGGAAAAGGCATCTAGAGCCAATATTCAGCATGTTTCAAAAAACACCTAATGTGAATCTCTACTATTGCAGTAGCAACTCTGCTTTGCTAGAACACTTACGGGAAACACATGCAAAGAAGATGATAATTGCAAAGCACTTGCAGAGTGGTTAATTTTGAATTTATTTCCTCCAGATTAGAGACTGAGAAGCAGTAGAATAAGTGTAACTCATGGGTCCTCAAGGCAGAAATTTTACCTGTATTGGTTCATAGTAAATTTCCAGCAGAAATGGACTCTCTCCTTTGGTGGTCTCCTTTAATGAGTAAAGTTTGTTTTGCTGCACTCTGAGCTATGTTACAGTCCATTGAGGTCTCTTTTCTGAACATTATTTGTATCTATAGTACTTTAAAACATTTTTAATGTAAAGTGAGACTTTTGTCAATCATTTAGATGTGTGATCTACATGACATTAGGTGTTGTTTTTAGGCTTGTAAATGATGCAAACATTTACATATGTACACGTGAACACATCTATACATATGTATACATGAACACGTCTATAGCATGATAAAGAGGAGAGAAAACAAAACAGATCGAAGAAAGAAAATGAGAGGAAGGAAAAGAGAAAGTTTGGAGTCATCACCAAGTACCCCAAAATGGCTCTCTCTTCCTTACATGGTAGATTTACCTGTAGCATATAATGGTGTTTGATAACATTTTACCCACTTTAGAACTTCTTTCAAAAGTGGAGTCAGTTATCTCAAACCCTGCCATTGCTTTATCGACTAAGTTTATGTAATAGTCTAAATTGTTTGTTGTCATTACAATAATGTTCACAGCATCTTCACAAGGAGTAGATTCCATCTCAGGAACACTTACTTTGCTCATCCATAAGAAGTAACTCTTCATTTGTTCAAGTTTGATCACAAGATTATAGCAATTCAGTCACATCTTCAGGCTCCATTTCCAGTTTTAGTTCTCTTGCTATTTCCATCACATCTGCAGTGATTTCCTCCACTGAAGTCCTAAACCCCTCAAAGTCATCCTTGAGGGTTGAAATTAATTTCTTCTAAACTCCTGTTAATGTTGGTATCTTGACAACCTTTTGTAAATCACAAATGTTTTTAATGACATCTAGAATGGTAAATCCTTTCCAGAAGGCTTTCAGTTTACTTTGCCCAGATCCATCAGGGGAATCACTATCTATGGTAGCTAGAGCCTTACAAAATGTATTTCTTAAATCAATGTTGTCCAATCTTTTGACTTCCCTGGGAAACATTGGAAGAAGAAGAATTTTCTTAGGTCACACATAAAATACTAATACTAATGATAGCTGATGAGCTAAAAAAAATAAACAAAAATCTCATAATGTTTTAAGAAAGTTTACAGATTTGTGTTGGGCTGCATTCAAAGCTGTCCTGTGCTGCATGTGGCCCACAGGCCATGGATTGGACAAGCTTGTCTTAAATAATGAGACTTGAAAATTAAAATTATGCCTGATGTATGGGCTGCAGAATGAATATTGTGTCAGCAGGCATGAAAACATCATTAATCTCCTTGTGTATCTCCATCAGAGTTCTTAGTTGACCAGGTGCATTATTATTAAATGGTAATTTTTTGAAAGGGATATTTTCTTCCCAAGCAGTAGGTCTCAACAGTGGCCTTAAAATATTCAGTCAGCCATGCTGTAAACAGATGTGCTACCATCCAAGTTTTGTGTTTCCATTTGTAGAGCACAGGCAGAGTAGATTTAGCATAATTCTTAAAAACCTTGGGATGTTCAGAATGATAAACGAGCATAAGCTCTAATTTAAACTCACCAGCTCAGTTAGCCCCTAAGAAAACAGTCAGCCTGTCCTTTGAAGTTTTGAAGCCAGGCATTGAATTCTCTCTAGCTCTTAAAGTCCTAGATGACATCTTCTTCCAATAGAAGGCTGTGTTGTCTACATTGACAATATGTTTAGTGTTACCACCTTCATTAGTGATGTTGGCTAGATCTTCTGGATAACTTGCTGCAGCTTCCACATCAGCACTTGGTGCTTCACCTTGCACTTTTATGTTATAAAGAGGGATTCTTTCCTTAAACCTCATGAGCCAATTCTGCTAGCTTCAGCTTTTCTTCTGCAGCTTCCTCATTCAACATTCATAGAATTAAAGAAAGTTAGGACCTTTCTCCAAATTAAGGTTTGTGGCTTAAGGAAATGTTTGGCTGTTTGTATCTTCTATGGAGTCCACTAAAACTTCTTTTTTTATATCAGCAATGTCTGTTTTGCTTTCTTATCATTTGTGTGCTCAGTGGAGAACTTTAAATTTTCTTCAAAAATTTTTCCTTTGCATTCACAACTTGACTAAAAAATTGGAGCAAGAAGCCTAGTTTTCAGCCTATTTCTTCTTTTGACATGCTTTCCTCACTAAACCTAATCATTTATTTCAAGTTTTTGATTTGAAGTGAGACGTGTAATTATTCCTTTCACATGAATATTTAGGGACAATTGTGGGGTTAGTAACTGGTTTAATATCAATATTTTTGTGTCTCAGGGAATAAGGTGACCTGAAGAGAGGGACAAAGAAGGGGGAACAGTCAATTGGTGCAGCAGGCAGAACACACACATTTTTAAAATAAAGTTCACTGTCTTATATGGGCATGGTTTGTGGACCTCTCAAACAATTACATAATAACATAAAAGATTACTGATCATGGATCACCATAAGAGATATAATAATAATGAAAAAGTTTGAAATATTGCAGGAATTACCAAAGTATGACACAGAGATGCAAAGTAAGTGCATGCTGTTAGAAAAAGAGTGCTGATAGACTTCTTGGAGGCAAAGATGCTACAAACCTTCAATTTGTGAAAAACATAATAGCTGCAAAGAACAATAAAAATAAATGCAATAAAATGTTGTATGCATGTATATCTGTTCTCCTTTTGAACCTAGAAGAAATAATGTTTGACTGTGCCCTGGGCCATACAAATATACATGGGAACTCCATGGGATCATCCCAAGGTCATCTGCCAAGATAACCTCTTCCATCACTAATCCTGCTTCTGTGCTGAGCTGGGGTATGGCCCCAAATCTGGCCATAAACTGCCCCCAAAACTGACCATAAACAAAATCTCTTCAGCACTGTGACATGTTCGTGATGGCCATGATGCCCACACTGGAAGGTTGTGGGTTTACCGGAATGACGGCAAGGAACACCTGGCCCACCCAGGGTGGAAAACTGCTTAAAGGTGGTCTTAAACCACAAACAATAGCATGAGCAATCTGTGCCTTAAGGACATGCTCCTGCTGCAGATAAATAGCCAGAGCCCATCCCTTTATTTCAGCCCATCCCTTTGTTTCTCATAAGGAATACTTTTAGTTAATCTATAATTTATAGAAACAATGCTTATCACTTGCTCACTGTCAATAAATATGTGGGTAAATCTCTGTTTGAGGCTCTCAACTTTGAATGCTGTGAAACCCCTGATTTCCCACTCCACACTCTATATTTCTGTGTGTGTGTCTTTAATTCCTCTATCACCGCTGGGTTAGGGTCTCAATAACTGAGCTAGTCTCAGCAAGTGGCGCTGAACATGGGGCTCAAACCCTGGTTGAAGGGTCGCTGGAGCAATCGTTGGAGAATGTGGAACTAAGGTGGAGGACACCTGAGTACTCTTAAAGCAATCCCCATGGCGAGTAACAAGGGGAGTTTGGAAGCATCAGGGTAACAATGGGACAAGTTTGAGCTCTGGTTCGTTCCACCTTGGAACCTTTTCACACTGATCATGTGGAGGAAGGGGAGTATAACAAAGTAACAGAAGACGTTATAGAGCAGGTTTGTTTGCAGCTAAAGCTAAAGTGGTAAAGGAGGGAGAGGTTCATCCCTACCCTTCTTCACCCCCTCATTATTATTTTGAAGAAAAAGAGTGGCCTGACCCTCCAGATCTTTCTTTCCCAGAGGACACTGGGTGAAAAGTATTTGCCCCAGTGACTATTTGAGCAGCACCTTGAGTGACTGCTCTGCATTCTATTCAGGCAGGAATTCAGCAAGCTAGATGAGAGGGTGATTTAGAGGCTTGGCAGTTCCCTGTTAGAATACACCCTCCAGATCAACAGGGAAATATTATAGCTACATTTGAGCCTTTTCCTTTTAAATTTGGGATACACCATGAGGGGCCCATCCCTGGCCTTGTTCCAAACTGGGGCATTTTCGGCTCAGGCCATTCCCTCACCCCTGTACAAGGTTTGTCCCCGACCACAGCCAGTAGTGCCACAGTAGATTTATGCTGCACAAAAGCTGTGAGCCTTCTGCCTGGGGAATCCCTGCAAAAGGTCCCAACAGCGGTCCATGGACACTTGCCAGTGGGGATGATAAAATTACTTTTAGGAAGGTCTAGTTTAAATTTAAAAGGGGTACAAGTACAAACAGGAGTCATTGATTCAGATTACAATATGGAAATTCAAATTGTTATATCTACTTTTGTTCCCTGGAAAGCAGAGCCAGGAGAGCGCATAGCACAGCTCCTGATTGTGCCATATGTGGAAAGGGGGAAAAGTGAAATTAAATGAACAGGAGGATTTGGAAGCATGAATAAACAAGGCAAAGCAGCTTATTGGGTAAATCAAATTACTGATAAATGTCCTACCTGTGAAGTAACTATTCAGGGAAAGAAATTTAAAGGCTTGGTAAATACAGGAGCAGACATTTCAATCATTTCTCTACAGCACTGGCCATCAACGTGGCCAATTCAACCCACTCAATATAACATAGTTGGAGTTGGTAACGCCCCCAAAGTATATCACAGTGGTTATATTTTGCATTGTGAAGGGCCCGATGGACAACCTGGGACTATTCAACCACTTATAACTTCTGTACCTATAAATTTATAGGGGAGAGATTTATTACAGCAATAGGGAGCACAACTTCTAATTCTGGAACAATTATATAGCCTTCAAAATCAACATATGATGCATGAAATGGGGTATGTCCCTGGTATGGTACTAGGAAAAAATTTGCAAGGTTTGAAAGAACGGCTTCAAGAGGAAAGACAAAGTTCCCACCAAGGTTTAGGATATCATTTTTGATGGTGGCCATTTTTAAGCCTCCAAAACCTATACCTTTAAAATGGTTAACAGATAAGCCAATTTGGATTGAACAATGGCCACTAAGTAAAGAGAAACTGGAGGCTTTAGAGGAATTAGTTACTGAACAATTAGATAATGGGCACATAGCTCCAACATTTTCCCCTTGGAATTCTTCAGTTTTTGTAATTAAGAAAAAATCAGGTAAATGGAGAATGTTAACTGACTTAAGAGCCAACAATTCAGTTTTACAACCTATGGGAGCATTACAGCCGAGATTGCCTCCTCCTGCTATAATTACAAAAAATTGGCTTTTAATAGTCATAGATTTAAAAGGCTGTTTCTTTACTAGCCCCTTAGCTGAGCAAGACTGTGAACAGTTTACTTTTACAATTCCTGCAGCGAACAACCTGCAGCCTGCTAAGCATTTTCATTGTTTTACAGATGGGTCTAGTAATGGTAAAGTTTCTTATTCTGGATCAAAATGTAAAGTTTTTCAGATGCCCTATACTTCAGCTCAAAAAGCAGAGCTTGTAGCTGTAATTTAGGTATTGACCGCTTTTGATATGCCTATTAATATGATTTCTGATTCTTCATATGTGATTCATTCCACACAGTTAATTGAAAATGCTCAGTTATGATTTCATACAGATGAACAACTGATGACTTTATTTACCCAATTGCAAACAGCAGTTAGGAGTAGAATGCACCCTTTTTGTTTTTTTGACAGAGTCTTGCTCAGTGGCCCAGGCTGGAGTGCACTGGTGCAATCTCAGCTCACTGCAAGTTCCGCCTCCCAGGTTCACGCCATTCTCCTGCCTCAGCTTCCCAAGTAGCTGGGACCACAGGTCCCCACCACTATGCCTGGCTAATTTTTTTTTTTTTTGTATTTTTAGTAGAGACTGGGTTTCACTGTGTTAGTCAGGTTGGTCTCGATCTCCCGAACTTGTGATCCACCCGCCTCGGCCTCCCAAAGTGCTGGGATTACAGGCATGAGCCAGCGCACCTGGCCTGAATGCACCCTTTTTACATCACTCACATTAGGGCTCATACACCTCTTCCAGGACCCTTGACTGAGGGGAATCAAATGGCTGATCACCTAGTTGCTAATGCAATATCTAAGGCTAGACATTTTCACAATTTAACCCATGTTAATGCCTCTAGTCTCAAATGCAGATACAGGATTACCTGGAAAGAAACTAAAGCTATTATCCAGCGATGCCCAGCTTGCCAAATGGTACATTCCTCATCTTTTACAGGAGGAGTTAATCCTTGAGGATTGGAACCTAATTCTCTTTGGCAAATGGATGTCACACATGTTGCCTTGTTTGGGAGACTAGCTTATTGTTATGTGTGTGTGGTCACCTTTTCCCACTTTGGATAACAACAAGTTGGGAAATAGGTAAAATAATAACTTAGGGTAGAGGTTATGCTTGTGTTTCTCCAGGACCGAATCAACAGCCAATTTGGATACCATCAAGACACCTGAAACCTTATCATGAGCCAGATGTTGAGGAAGAGATTCCAGGAGGATCCTGAGGACCCCCTGATTGCAGCCATGTCGAGACTGATGCTGAGGAGGACCCCAACTGTCATGAGCAACACCAGTCAAACACAGCCACCCATGTGCGGACAGATCAAGAAGCTGTCACAGATGGTGGAAGAAAACCTGAGGAAAGCAGGACAACCAGTCACAGTGAGTAATTTAATGATAGATATGATAGTGGTGATCACCATTGCCATGAGTATTCCTTCAACAAGGGCTGACACAGAGAACAGTTATACTTATTGGGCATATTTATCAATCTTGGCTGGCAATAATGCCTGGATGTAATCACTGTATGACACAGTTACACATGCTTTCTGATCTCAGTATTTACCATAATAAATCTGCTCCTATAATTGAGGCATACCACCCTCAAAAACCTGTTTATAAACAAAATTGAACTTGGCCAGAAAAAATGAACGTACTTCTTTAGGAAGATTGCATTGCAGAACAGGCAGAGGTGCTGCACAACAACTCCTGTGGAATCATTATTGATTGGTCCCCTAAGGGGATGTTTAGCTTGAATTGCACCTCAGTCTGAGTGCCATGGTCGTACTATGTTCAGCTGGTCTGAACAAAATGGTCAGATGGTAGAAATGGTAGGAAGTATGGCAAGAGTTCCTATTATTTGGAACCATGGCGGTATAGTGGCACCTCAACCTCAAATGATATAGCCTGTTGTAGGAGCTAAACATAAGGATTTGTGAAAACTATTAATGACTCTTAATAAGATCAAAATTTGAGAACAAATATTTAAAGCATCTCAGGCACACCTGACCTTAATGCCAGAAACTGGAGTGCTTGAAGGAGGTGCAGACAGATTAGCAGCTAGTGACCCATTAAAGTGGATAAAAACACTTGGAAGCTCTGTGACTTCAATGATGATTGTACTTTTAATCTGTGTTGCTTGTCTTTGTATAGTCTGCAGATGTGGAACTTGACTCCTGCAAGAAGTAGCTCACTGTGACAAAGCTGTATTTGCTTTTATCGTTTTGCAAATCAAAGAAGGGGGATATGTTGGGAGTAGGCCCCCCAAATCTGGCCATAAACTGGCCCCAAAACTGGCCATAAACAAAATCTCTGCAACACTGTGACATGTTCGTGATGGCCATGATGCCCATGCTAGAAGGTTGTGGGTTTACCGGAATGAGGGCGAGGAAAACCTGGCCCACACAGGGTGGAAAACCGCTTAAAGGCATTCTTAAACCACAAACAATAGCATGAGCAATCTGTGCCTTAAGAACATGCTCCTGTTGCAGATAACTACCCAAAGCCCATCCCTTTATTTCGGCCCATCCCTTTGTTTCCCATAAGGAATACTTTTAGTTAATCTATAATCTACAGAAACAAGGCTTATCACTTGCTTACTCTCAATAAATATGTGTGTAAATCTCTGTTTGAGGCTCTCAGCTCTGTAGGCTGTGAGACCCCTGATTTCCCACTCCACACTCTATATTTCTGTGTGTGTGTCTTTAATTCCACTAGCGCCACTGTGTTAGGGTCTTGATGACTGAACTGGTCTCAGCACTGGGGCATGGAGAATTCTGGAATTTTGCTGTTTTCTTAGACACTACCTGTGTCAAATATGGGACCCTCAGATCTCAGTTCAAACATCTACTCCTATGTTGATGTGTGGGTGAAATGACTCAACATTTTCTCAGGGACACAAACTAATGCCTCACCCATCATTTAATTTCTAATCCTCTTCCCTCTTCCTCAACTTCATTTCAGTTGCTAGAGAGGTGTTGTCCAGTAGGATTGTGATGATGGAAATGTTCTATATTTGTGCAATCCAACATGGTAGCCACTAGCCACAGGTGGCTATTGAGCACTTGAAATGTCACTAGTGAGGCTGAAGAACTGAATTGTGTGTTTTATATGTTTTAATTAATTTAAATTCTAATAACTACTAGTGGCTAATGGCTATGATATTGGATAGTATGACTCTAGAATCTATATAATCTGGGGCGAGGAAAGGTTGATAGGAAGAAAAATATTTTCTAATTAACATTCTTCAGTCTTTATTTTACTTTTTACATTTTTTTTTCGTAATTTTGACTTTAATTTTGGTTCAGGAGGTGGATGTACAGGTTTGTTACATGGGTATATTGTGTGATGCTGAGGTTTTTGGTATGAATGATCTTGTCACCCAGATAGTGAACATGGTACCCAATAGTTAGTTTTTCAAGCCCATGCCCCCTTCCCTTCCTACCCTCTCTGGTAATTTCCAGTGTTTATTGTTGCCATCTTTATGCCCATGCCCATGAATACCCAATGTTTAGCTCCCACTTATAAGTGAGAACATGTGGTATTTGATTTTTCTGTTCCTGTGTTAATTCACTAAGGACAATGGCCTCTAGCTCCATCCATTTTCCTGCAAAGAACATCATTTTATTCTTGTTTATGGCTGCATAATATTCCATACAGCATATGTAACAGGTTTTATTATTTATTTATTTATTTATTTATCCAGTCCACCATGGATAGGTATCTGGGTTGATTCCATGTCTGCTATTGTGAATATTGCTGCAATGAACATACAAAAGTGCAAGTGTCTTTTTGGTAAACAATTTATTTTCTTTTGAATATATACCCAGAAATGAGATTGCTCATATTCTTCATTCATTAAAACTTTTTCTATGCACTAAATTATTTTAAAATTTTTAAGTCAAGAATTGGTTTCCATATTCTGCTGCATCACTCCTTTCTTCAGACAATGAATGCTGCTACCTGAATGTGGAGTGGACATATGTGAATGAATCAAGGTCAATCTCAGTTACAAATTTTAATGTAATTCCTCCAGGTTGTTACAATAACTGCACTTTTCTTAAGTTTTAGTTTGGAATAAATCTACATAAAAGATTGGAAAATTCACTTCTGAGACAGAAAAGCACAGGTCCCTAAATTTTAATCTACTTTTTTGCTATTCCCTCATACTGGGACCTTAGGAAAATCACTTAATTTTTTCAGAACCTTAATTTATCAACTTATAAAACTAGGCTAATATCATTTTTATACAATAGCTGTGGTGTCTCAAACTGAACAAAGTCATTCATAGTTTAAGTATCATTACTCTTTTTTCTTTGTTTCTGAAATAAAATGTGTTCAATAATTTCTTAACTGATATTAAACTTGGTTCCAATTTGTCTTCTAATATATGATCTACTGATCTCTACATAATATCATCTCAGGAAATTATTGATCATTTTGTTTTCTAAATATTTATTATTTATAAGAATTATAACATTATCAATGTACTACTTTGTGACTGTTATTTATTTTTAATGATTGTATATGTCTATGGGTAATATTAGGTCAAAGTTTACCTAGAGTTTATATAGATAAATGTTTACAAGTGCCTATGCATATAAAACATATATTCACATACATAGACATTGCTCAAACACTTTCCCTTTTGAAAAGAATTAATTTGGCAATACTGAAAAATTAAAAGAAAAAATCACACTCATATCTGAATTGTCAATGCTACTAGTGAAACTTTTCAGAGGGTGACACAGGTTATAGCAAACTACATTATAACTATAAGCCAACATGGTTGGATGCCTTTACACTCTTGAGAACAAAGACACTAAATAGGAGGTATTCATAAAAGAGATGTCATGGGCTCCACCTAGACTAATAAATCAAAAGGCTGTTTCATCTTGGCTTGATGCTTTTGCAGTAATACACACCAAATTCGTGGTTGTGTAAAGGAGTAGGAGATGGCTTTAGAGAATGAACCATTGGACCCATGAAAAACCACCAGAAAGCACTAAAAGGAAAAATTACTGTGATCAGGGCTAGGTTCATTCATTCATTTATGCACTTAAAAATGCATATTTATTGTTGTCTATATTGTGATAGGTCAGTGTTTGTCAACCTTTTTTCATTATCAACATTATCTTCCTGATTGTTCTCCTTTCCCATGAAATTTTAGGACCACAGATATACTGTGTGTCTGTATATAGATTTGCATCTTTTGGAAGATTATAAGCTGTTGTATTGTCAAAGTTTCTTTACCCCCTTTGGAGGTGATATCACCTCCATTGAGGATACATATGCTATTTTCTGGAAATGATGGTGAATCATTTCATCTGCTGATGAAGTCTGTGTCCTCTGGGTACTGAGAGTTTAGTGGGGTAGACAGACACACACATAGACAATTATATAACATGATGAGGGCTACAACACGAGTATCAAAGAACCAACAAACATACTCCAGCTGGGGGAACTATCTCTCAGCCACCACATCCAGGAAGGAGGCTTCCCTCAGCTGAGTATCCGGTGGGATGCTTCAAGGGAAGGAAACATTGAGGCTCAGTTAGAGCTGGTTTGGTTTTACATAGTTTCAAAATAAAAAATGATAATGTCAACAATAAAGTGGCTAAATTCAGTTTAAACTTTCCCCAGAGAGTTTGGGGGACACAGTAGACTTCTGTTTCAAGCTTGAAAAATGCTAAGCAGCTGCCTGAAGAGGCCAATAAGTAGATAGGGCTGCTCTGGGGAGCCAACTGTACCCTCACTGAGAGATGATCAAGGGCTCTGATTCGTTAAAACCAGATGTGGGTCTTGCAGTAGAAACATTGGCCAGGGGCTATTTTAAAAGGGATAAAGCTCAGGAGGGCCTCTTCCGTGGGGCAAGACATCTGTGGCAGGAAGAACTAAAGATGTGCTGATGTATAGGAAGCCAAGGAAGCAGCAAGGCAGGGGCCCTACCTGAGTGGAAGGGCTGCACTCAGAGGGGCCAGCTGAAGAATTAGGAGGACAGAAGTGCCCATAAGAGGCTAAAACATCTGCTGCGGCCAGAGAAAACTAGTGCCAGATGACATCAGTGCCAGCCAAAAAAGATGCATCTGCCCTTCCTTTTCTTCCTCTTCTTTATTCCACAGCCCAGTGGATGGAAGGAAGAAGAAGAAGCCTAAGAGAGGGAATAAAGGAGGCAACCAATCACACACTGCTTCTCTCTGTATTAGTCTGTTTTCATGGTGCTGATAAAGACATACCTGAGACTGAGTAATTTATAAAGAAAAAGAGGTTAAAAGGAATCACAGTTCCATGTGGCTGGAGAGGCCTCATAATCATGGCCAAAGGTGAAAGTCATGTCTTACATGGTGGCAGACAAGAAAGACAGAGAACCAAGTGAAAGTGGCTTCCCCTTATAAAACCATTAGATCTTGTGAGATTTATTCACTACCATGAGACCAGTATGGGGCAAACTGCCTCCATGATTCAATTATTTCCCACCGGGTCCCTCCCACAGCATGTGGGAATTATAGAAGCTACAATTCAAGATGAGATTTGGATGGGGACACAGCCAAACCATATCATTCTCCTCAGGAGTCCAGCCTATTGCCATAGGCCCAAACTGGAGGAAGAAAGAAAAATCAACCTTTAATAAAGAGTATCAGGTTTCTTCCCATGAATTAACCTCCTGTGAGACCAGTGTGTCCGACGTGCCAGTCACACAGGGCACTATGTTGAGAGCCAGAAAACCCACCACGGGCTCTGCTGGAGCAAGAGCAAGGTGACCCTCTGCTTCAGAAGTTGGCTTGAGAGCAACCAGGCCAACTGGCACATACAGCAGAGACTCAGCAGGAAGGGGAGACTGAGCCCACGGAGTGAGGCCATTGAGCTGAGAAAGAGTAGATCCCAGACAAAAGGAAGTAGACATTACCCACAGAGGTGCAGAATGCACACTCAGGGATACAGACCAAACACTGCAGCCAGAGCCATCCAAAACCCAGGTGATGCTGCATGAATCAGCTGAGTCTTCCCTCTACCCACAGGATCACACCAACCCCTTCCTTACATATCCCTAACTCCATCTTAAAGAGAAGAGTACAGAACTAAGAGACTGAGCAGTATTCCTCCAAACTAATCATGACCTAAAGGGACTGTTTAATTTTATCACTCAAGTTTATAAACTAGTTGGACGTTTGTTATCTTATCCCCTGCCTCCTAGGCAGTGGGAATGCCTAAGGAAAATCAGAGCAGTAATAGACAAAATAAATAAACATTTCCCTTGCCCTTGGCATTATGATGAAGTAAATCTGTGGTGTTTTCCCCACACATTGAGCATGGGCACTTAAATAACATGGCAAAAATGTGGGACACACAGATGAAATTCTTATTTGTTCTCCACTTTTAACAAGTAATAGGTGTATTTTTCTACTGTTTGTGACTAGAAGCAGGGGCAGTGCTGAACCAAGTTCTCATTTTGTTAATGTGGTCCTTTCCATGCAGATCATACTTTTTTTTTTCACATGCCTAGTATGCAGTGGTGCTCAATGCAATGAATGAACAAACAAGGCATCTTCTACTACAATAGTTCATTTAAACTTAATGGTTCCAGGCCTCTGGATGCCTTTGCACTTCCTGAAGTCTAGTTCCCAGTGTATTAAGCTGCGTAACTTAAGAACAGCATCTGCTTTTACTCTTTCTGAAATTCATTTGAATTTCATCTCTTTGTCTCTCCACATTTGCACTCTTGTGCTTTGCATTAGGCTTCTGAATGGGAGACATTCCTCTCCATATACCCGTAAAAATCTTTTATGCATTCACTTAGAACTCTGCATTAATCTTTGCTAGGATCGGTTTTCTTAAGTGACACTAAACTACTGGGCTTTCATCTTGTGCTGCTCTTTGCATCTTAACTTTTCCTGGAAGTCTACCCAAGAAAGCCCCTTTAGATGGTATGACCACAAGGTCTGTAATCGTCGATGCCTCCTCTCTTTCCCAACTTGCTGAAATCTACTGCAATGACCATTTGCTCTACCTACCTGTGGGGACCCTTTGATGGTCACAACGTTCTGGTCAGTTAGGACAGCTGGAACCCAATAGTTCTCACCATTTCTTTTTGGTGTCAGCCAAAAAGGATTAAAGGAAAGGACTTTAATTTTCTCTTCCTAATTTTGGACATGAATAACTTCTAGGTAGTGGGTGGCTATGAAAACAGTATCTCTGGGAATGATGCTTCTTTTCCTTGTTCTTGTAAAACATACCTATTCTTTCACAACATTGGCACAGGGACAAAATACCTAAGTTTAGCATATGCAATTTTGTAATTCATATTTTACCTGGTGCCAGACAAACAGGAAAATACTTAGAACCACTTTAAAATTTTCCCTACAAATATAAAAGGTTTATTGATCCTTGATGTATAAAATATAGACTATTAGAAAAGTGCAAATGAAAGGTCTGGAAATCTGGAGAAGCTGTTGTCTGAGAAGTCAGAAGTCTCACCCAGGTAGCTGTGATGTAGGCAGCTCACTTGTGCTCTCTGAGGATCTGTTGCCTTTTTCCATAAATTAAAGAGGTTGAATTAGATCATTGTGAGGACGTTTTCTAACTGGGTATGCCAAATTTAATTAGATATCAATTAGCACAAGGATTGGCTAACTAAGGCCTGCAAGTAAAATCTAAATAAAGTTTTATTGGAACACAGTAACGCTCATTAGTTTACATATTGGTTGTGGCTGCTTTTGCTACAATAGCAGTATTGAGTAGCTGTGACTGTAACTGCATCTCCCACAAAGCCTAAAATATTCACTATTTGATCACTTAGAGAAAAAGTTTGTTGACTAATGGTCAACAGTTTTGAAATCGGCAGGTATTCCATTGATTGAACAATGCCATATTTTTATTGAAGTATAATATATATACATAAGAGTGCACATATCATAAACAAAATGATTGAATTTTACATACCTGTTTAACTAGATCCCCAGGTTACAATAAAAACCAGGTCACTGCCAACGCTCTAGAAGACTTTTTGTGCTACCTTCCAGTTACTACTCTCCCCAAGGATACCCACTGTCCTGATTTCTAACATTGATTTCTATCAATACTTTATAATTCTATTTTGAATTTCATAGTATGTGCTTTGTTGGTGAATAGACTCTTTAACTCTCATTATGCTTGTGAAATGCACCAGTGGTATGCTGGTAAACCAGCTCTTTGGGGGAAGAAAACGCCTACTTTGTAGCATTTGCTGGTTTCTGTGGCACAAATACACCCACCATGGCTGATTTCAAGATGCCAACTTGACATCATTGAACGCAGATTAGGAAGAGATGCTAACAGTTCTTGCTAGTGGGGGTAAGTCAGCTCTGGCATGCTATTAAATTATATTGGTGAGGGTAGTTGCATGTTTATTCTCAGTTATGTACAGTGTTTCATTATGTGAATGTACCACAAATTATATATCTTTTATATTGTTGATGGGTGTATGAGTAATTTTCAATTTCTGGCTTTTATGAATGGTGCTGTCATTAATATTCACTACATGTCTTTTGGTAAACCTATGCAGGTGTCTGAGTTGGACATATCCCTAGAAATGGTATTCAGAGTCATTGGTATACACATGCTCAGTTTTAGTACAGTCTGCCAAAGAATTTTCCAAATTAGTTTTTCTGTTTTATATTCCCTCCAGCAGGTATGGGACTCTGGTTACTTCAAATACTTGCCAAAACTTGGTGTTTTCTAAATTTTTCATTCTAGCCATTTTGGTGTGTGTAGTGGTATCACATTTTGATTTGAATTTTAATTTCCTTGATGACCAGCAGGGATATTTCTTTTCATATGGTTATTGAACATTTGATACTCTTTATGTGAAGTATATTGTCTTTTATTTCTGTTGGGCTTTCTTTCATTTCTTATTGATTTGTAGTGGTTTTATTGATTTTGTAGTGGTTTTTTTAAAAACTAATTTTTTAAACATATTGTGAATAGAGTGTTTCTTTGTGTTGTAGTTGGATATACCTCTTGCAGTTATCTTTAGAAAATTTGGGGGTTGCTTTTTCATTCCCTTAATGGTGTCTTTTGAAATACAAAAGTTTTATATTTTAGCATAGTCCAAATTTTATTGTTTTATGTACAGGTACTGCTTTGTGTGTTATAGTAAAGAAATTTTTCCTTCAAGATCATTTAAAAGCTTTGCTATTTTGCTTTTATATCTAGAATACCCCAAAATTGATTTTTGTATAAGGTCTGAGGTAGGGATCCAGATATTTTTCTCATTTATTAAAAGAATCATTCTTTTCCCACTGCACTGGAAAGCTGCTCTTATCAAAACTAAGGTGACCATATATATATATGGGTCTGTTTCCAGACTCTTTTTTTCTTTTCCAAGATCAATTGTTTATTCTTGTACTAATGTTACCCTGTTTCAATTACTACAGCTTTATAACAGACTTTTAATCTGGGAGTGTAAATCTTCCAGCCTTGTTCTTTTCCTTCAAGATTACTTGGTGGCTATTCTTGGCCCTTTGCATTTGTCAATTTACACAAATACAACTGCCATGATTTTATTGGGATTTCATTGCATTTATAGATTGTTGGTGACTTTAATTATATTATAAATTGTGTTACTTTTAAATTGCGTATTCTATGTTTTGTTTCTAATATATAGAGGTATACTTAATTATTTTTTATATAGCCTTGTATCCAGCTCATTAACACTAATGGTCTATAAATTCTTTGGTTTTGTAGCTGTGTAGTATTGTTTCATGCAAATATTGAACAATTTCTTTCTTTGCTTTCCAATCTTACATTTTTTCTTTCTTTGTCTTGCCTTATTGGACTGGCTAGTTTCCCCAGTACAATTTGAACAGAAGCGACAATAGCAGATATTCTTTTCCTGTACCCAAACTAAAATGGAATTGCTTTTAGTATTTCACCATTGATATCCTTTGACTGTCCTTAATCTTTTTTTCCTTTCTTTGTCCACAGGGACACAAACTGAGCCATGGTCCAATACCCAAACCGTATGTTACCTGAATACCCATAGCATTTCATTGTAATTCTTATTCACCTATTTGACTGACACACATTTAAGTTACTCTGATGTTTCAAGAGTTAAGGAATGTTAGTGATAATATAAACAACTTTATCTTTTTCAACAGAAAGAGACTAACAGATGGGTTCAGATCTGAATATTCATGGAAAGTAGGGTAGATTGCTAGGACTTCTGTTTTTTTTTTATTGTTGTTGTTTATTTATTTTTCTGAAACAGAGTCTTGCTGTGTCATCCAGGCTGGAGTGCAGTGGCATAATCATGGCTTACTGCATTGTCAACCTTCTTGACTTAAGCAATCCTCCTGCCACAGCATCTCAAAGTGTTGGGATTACAGGAAATAAGTCACTGTGCCCAGCCAACTTGTGTTTTGAATAGGACTCAATGCCTTTCTATCTTAAAAAAAATTTTAAGTTCAGGGGTACATGTGCAAGTTTGTTTTACAGGTAAACTTGTGTCATGGGGGTGTGTTGTACAGATTATTTTGTCACCCAGGTATTAAGCCTAGTATCAAAAGTTATATTTTTCGAATCCTCTCCTTCCTCCCACCCTTCAACCTCCAGTAGGCCCCAGCATCTGTTGTTTCCCATTATGTGTCCATGTGTTCTCATCATTTGGCTCACACTTATAAATAAGAACATGTGTTACATGGTTTCCTGTTCCTGCATTAGTTTGCTGAGAATAATGGCCTTCAGCTTTATCCATGTTCCTTCAAAAGACATGATCTTGTTCTTTTTCATGGCTGCATAGTATTTCATGGTATATATGTACCACATTTTCTTTACCCAGTCTACCATTGATGGGCACTTAGGTTGATTCCATGTCTTTGTTAGTGTGAATAGTGCTGCAATAAACATACATGGGCATGCATCTTTATGATAGAATAATTTACATTAAAAATGTATATTCCTTTGGGTATATGCCCAGTAATGGAATTGCTGGGTCAAATGGTAGTTCTGTGTTTAGGTCTTTGAGGAATTGCCATACTGTGTTCCACAATAGTCTAATTAATTTACACTCCCACCAACAGTGTATATACATTCCTTGTTCTTCATAACTTCACCAGTACCTGTTATTTTCTGATGTTTTAGTAATAGCCATTCTGACTGATGTGAAACATGATAGTATCTCATTACAGTTTTGATTTGCATTTCTCTAATAATCAGTGATGTTGAGCTTTCTTTCGTATGTTTGTTGGCTGCATGTATGTCTTCTTTTGAAAAGCGTGTGTCCATATATTTTGTCCACTTTTTAATGGGGTTGTTTGTAAATTTGTTTAAATTCCTTATAGACGCTGGATATAAGATCTTTGCCAGATGCATAGTTTGCAAAAATTTTCTCCCATTCTGTAGATCATCTGTTTACTCTGTTGATAGTTTCTTTTGGTGTGCAGAAGCTCTTTGGTTTAATTAGATCTCATTTGTCAATTTTTGCTTTTGTTGCAATTATTTTTGGCATCTTTGTCAAGAAATCTTTGCCCATTCATATGTCCAGAATGGTATTGCCAAAATTATCTTCCAGGGTTTTTATAGTTTTGGGTTTTACATTTAAGCCTTAAGTCTATCTTGAGTTCATTTTTGTACATGGTATAGGAAGCAGTCGAGTTTCAATCTTTTGCACATGGCTAGCCGGTTATCCCAGCATCATCTATTGAATAGGAAGGCCTTTCCCCATTGCTTGTTTTTGTCAGCTTTGTCAAAGATCAGATAGTGCAGGAGTGTGGCCTTATTTAAAGGCTCTCTAATCTGTTCCATTGGTCTATGTGTCTGTTTTTGTACCAGTACCATGCTATTTTGTTTACTGTATCTCTGTAGTATAGTTTGAAGTCAGGTAGCATGATGCTTCCAGCTTTGTTCTTTTTCTTAGGTTTGCCTTGGCTATTTAGGTTCTTTCTGGTTTCATATAAATTTTAAAAATATCTTTTTCTAGTCCCATGAAGAATGTCACTGGTAGTTTGATAGAAATAGCATTGAATCTATAAATTGCTTGGGGCAGTTGGCCATTTTAATAATATTGATTCTTTCTATCCATGAGCATGGAATGTTTGTCCATTTTTTTGTGTCATCTGTGATTTATTTGTGTGTTGTTTTGTAGTTCTTATTGTAGAGATCTTTCAACTCCCTGGTTAGCTCTATTCCTAGGTATTTTATTGTTTTTGTGGCAGTTGTGAAGGGGATTGCATTCCTGATATGGTTCTCAGCTTGATGGTTGTTGGTGTCTAGAAATGCTAGTGATTTTTGTACATTCATTTTGTATCCTGAGGCTGCAATGAAGTTGTTTATTATCTTAAGGAGCTTTTGGGCTGTGACTATATGGTTTTCTAGATACAGAATCACGTTTGTAAACAGGGATAGTTTGACTTTTCTCTTCCTATGTGGATGCCCTTTATTTCTTTCTTTTGCCTGATTACTGTGTCCAGGACTTCCAATACTATGTTGAAAAGAAGTGGTAAGAGAGGGCATCCTTCTCTTGTGCTGGTTTTTAGGAAGAATGCTTCCAGCTTTTGCCCATTCAGTATTATGTAGGTTTGTCATATACTGCTCTTATTATTTTGAGGTATGTTCCTTCAATGTCTAGTATTTATTGAAAGTTTTTAACATGAAGGAATGTTAAATTTTATTGGAAGCCTTTTCTGAATCTATTGAGATAATGGAGTTTGTGTATTGATTCTGTTGATGTGATGATTCACACTTATTGATTTGTGTATGTTGAACTGACCTTGCATCCCAAGGATAAAGCCTACTTGATCATGGTGGATTAGCTTTTCAATGTGCTGCTGGGTTCAGTTTGCAAATATTTTGTTGAGGATTTTTGCATCAGTGTTCATCAAGGATATTGGCCTGAAGTTTTCTTTTTGTTGTTGTTGTGTCTTTCCAAGGTTTTGGTGTCAGAATGATTCTGGCCTCATAGAATCAGTTATGGAGGTGTCCCTCCTCCTCAATTTTTTGGAATAGTTTCAGTAGGAGTGGTTCCAGCTTTTCTTTGTACATCTGGTAGAATAGGCTGTGGCTCCATATAGTCCTGGGCTTCTTTTTGTTGATTCAATTTTGAAGCTTGTTATTATTAGTCTGTTCAGGCATTCAGTTTCTTCCAGGTTCAGCCCTGGGAAGAGTGTATAATGTCCAATAATTTATCTCTTTCTTCTAGATTTTCTAGCTTATTTTTATAATATTCTCTGATGGTTATTCGTATTTCTGTGGGGTCAGTGGTAATATCTTCTTTGTCATTTCTAACTGTGTTTATTTGGAATTTTTCTCTTTTCTTCTTTATTAATCTAGCTAGTGGCGTATATTATTAATTTTCTTAAAAAACAAACTGTTAGATTCATTGATTTTTTGAATGGTTTTCCATGTCTCAATCTCCTTTAGTTCTGCTCTGATTTTGCTTGTTTCTTGTCTTTTGCTAGCTTTGGGGTTGGTTTGCTCTTGCTTCTCTATTCATTTCAGCTGTGATGTTAGTTTGTTAAATTGAGATCTTTCTAACTTTCTTTGTGTGAGCATTTAGTGCTATAAATTTCCCTCTTAACATTGCCTTGGCTATGTCACAGAGATTATGACATGTTGTGTCTTTGGTCTCATTAGTTTCAAAGAACTTTTATTTTCTCCCTTCATTTCAATATTTACCCAAAAGTTATTCAGGAGCAGGTTATTCAATTTCCACGTACTTGTTTGGCTTTGAGCAATTTTGTTAGTCTTTATTTATACTTTTACTGCACTGTGGTTTGAGAGACTGATTGTTATCATTTCAGTTCTTTTGCATTTGCTGAGGACTGTTTTATGTCTGATTGTGTGGTGGATTTTAGAGTATGTGCCATGTGGCAATGGGAAGAATGCATATTCTGTGTTTTTATGTAGAGAGTTCTGTAAAGGTCTATCAGGTCCATTTGGTCCATTGTGCAGTTTGGGTCCCAAATATCTTTGTTAATTTTCTGCCTTGTTGACCTGTCTCATACTGTCAGTGTGGTGTTAAAGTCTTTCACTGTTATTATGTGGAGTCTATGTCTCTTTGTAGGTCTCTATGTGTTGGGTGCATATATACTTAGGATAGTTAAGTCTTCTTGTTGAATTGAACCCTTTACTATTATGTAAGACCCTTCTTTGTCTTTTTTGATGTTTGCTGATTTTAAATCTGTTTTATCTGAAATTAGGATTGTAATCCCTGACTTTTTTTGTTTTTTTATTTACTTGATAGATTTTCCTCTATCCCTTTATTTTGAGCCTACGAGTGTCATTACATGTGAGATGGGTGTCTTGAAGACACCATACCATTTGGTCTTGGTTCATTATTGAGCTTGCCGCTCTATACCTTTTAATTGGGGGCATTTAGTCCAGTTACATTCAAGGTTAATATTGATACGTGTGGGTCTGATTCTGTCATCATGATGTTAGCTGGTTATTTTGCAGATGTTAGCTGGTTATTGTGCAGATGTTTGTGTTATTGCTTTATAGTGTCACTGGCCTGTGTACTTCATTGTGTTTTGTAGTGGCTAGTAATGATCTTCCTTTATGTATTTAGTGCTTCCTCCAGGAGCCCTTGTAAGGCAGGTCTGGTGGTAACAAATTCCTTCAGCATTTGCTTGTTTTTCTCCTTCACTTATAAAGTTTAGTTTGGCCAGATATGAAACTTTTGGTTGGAATTTCTTTTCCTCAAGAATACTGAATATTGGACTCCAACCTCTTTTGTCTTGTAGGGTTTCTTCTGAGAGGTGCACTGTTGGTCTGATGGGCTTCCCTTTGTGGGTGACTTGACATTTCTAGCTGCTTTTAACTTTTTTTTTTTTTCATTTTGACCTTGGAGAATTGATGATTATTTGTCTTGGGGATAATCTTCTTGTGAAGTATCTTACTGGAGTTCTCTGTGTTTCCTGAATTTGAATGTTGGCCTCTCTAGCTAAGTTGGAGAAGTTCTCATAGATGATATCCTGAAATACATTTTCCAAGTTGCTTCCATTCTCTCCATCTCTTTCAGGACACCAATGAGTCATAGATTTGATCTCTTTACATAATTCCATATTTCTCAGAGGTCTTGTTTATTCCTTTTCATTATTTTTTCTCTATTCTTGTCTGACTGTCTTATTTCAGAAAGCCAGTCTTTAAACTCTGAGATTTTCTCCTTAACTTGGTCTAGTCTGCTATTAATACTTGTGATTGCATTATGAAATTCTTGTAGAGTGTTTTTCACCTCTATCAAGTTGATTATATTCTTTTCTATACTGGCTATTTTGTCTGTCACCTCCTGTATCAATTTATTTTGATTCTTACCTTCCTTGAATTGGGTTTCAATGTACTCCTTCATCTCAATGATCTTCATTCCTAACCATATTCTGAATTCTATTTCTGACATTTCAGCCATCTCAACCTTGTTCAGAAACCTTGCTGGAGAGGTAGTGTGCTCATTTGTAGGAAAGAAGGCACTCTGGCTTTTTGAGTTGTCAGAGTTCTTAACTAGTTCTTTCTCATCTTGGTGGGCTGGTGTTCCTCATTCTTTGAAGTTGCTGTCCTTTGGGTGTTTTTTTTTTCTTTTATCCTATTTGATGACCTTGAGGGTTTGATTGTGGTATAAGATGGATTCAGTCAACTGGTTTTGTTTCTGGAAGATTTTAGGGAGCTAAGGCTCAGCTCCCAACTCCTAGATTACATGCTGTAACTCTGGGGGACTTGTATCAGGACCAACTTTGTTCTCTGGCTCCTTGAGGTTAAGAACCCACTGGTGCTGGTGGGGCTGAGGTGCTCCCTGACCACTGATAACTACACTTTGATAGGTGGTGTTAGCCAAAATGTTTCCTAGGGCAGTGGCAGTAGGACCTATCCTTGTTCACATGTGCCAACTGCAGCAACATCATGGTGGGGTGCATGCTCATTGGCTGCAGCAGGTGTCGGGTGCCTGCCTCCATGCATTCACAGCAGCAGTGGAGGAAGCACAACTTGGGGTGGGGGCCCATTGGCGACTGTGCACACAGTCATGCTGGTGGTGGTATTAGCATGGGGGCAAGATGCTGGCAGGCTCAAGTCTGTGTGTGCCCTGTGGCTGCTCAGGGTGGGGGAGGGTCTGCTATTCTCTCTGCCTAGTTTCACTCTGGCAGCAGTGTTGGCACAGGGGTGGGGCACTGGCAAGGGCAATGCTTACAGGCTCTGGTGCCCTCCAAGGCTCTGACTACAATGACGGTATCACAGGGAAGGGGAGGCAAAGTGCACTCCCCTGGACCACAGAGGCAGGGCAGGATGCACATACACACACACACTGGCAGAGCAGGGAAGGCAAGATCTCCTATGCACACATGCACTGGCAAATCAATGTTGGGGGTGGCTGTGGGCCCAGAGGAAGCAGCAGTTTGGGGAGACAGCAGGCTGGCTGGTGTGTGGTCATGGGGGCTGCCCCCCTGGAGCTCTCCATTGGTCAGGCATAGTCCACAAGTGCAGGAGCTATGATGCAGGCCCCCAGGGCACCCGAGACTGCGCTGCAAGCAGGCATGGCCAGGCTGGGGCCCCTGGAGAGGCTGGAAGACCAAGGGGCACTCAGGTTAGACCAGTCTTGTCAGATGGGCCATACTTCCCTGCAGAGTTCAGGTCTGAGTTTCTCTAGGGTTGAAGTCTCCTATGGGAGGAAGTCAAACCTGGGGAGATGGGCATCCCTGACCATGCTTTGCTACAGACCCTTCAGCTCCAAACCCTATGGGCTCTGCTTTGTCTGGTGCACTGCCCCTACCACTTCTCTAAGCAGTTCTCCTTGACAACTCCAGTGCCCATGCTGGAGTTGTCAAGGGGTCTCCTCCTGGTGGGATTCCAGAGGCCCATGGTGAGAGTGGTTTGCTCTTTGCCAGCTAAACTTAACCATTTTCCTGGCGTCACTGGGGGCCAGGAATGAGTCCCAGTCTATTGTAGCAATGTGCAGGGTTCTCTGGTTCTTCCCACTTCAGCCCAGCTTCTGTGTCTTCCCTCTGTCCACTCTCAGTGCCTTCCCTCTGAAGATCAGTTAGGAGTTCGCCAGTCATCCTGGCCCCTCTGTGGCAGCTGTTTCACCTGGCTGCATCTAGTTAGCCATCTTACCCAAATCCCAATACCTTTATTTCAAAGGGAAACAGTTCAGCAGATTCAGGGAAAGAGCACTAGGTTGTAGGTAGCAGCAGCAAGTGAGTATCTAGCCTCCTGTTTTGTGCTCTGGGTGAACATGAAGGTAAACCTACTAAAGAAAAGCTTTCACAAACTTGTGTTTCTTCCTAAGTAACACCTTAATTGCTTGAAAATACAATTTTGTGCCATTCAAACATTCTCTCATCCTCAAAACTCGAAAGTATCTTTCTCAGGTTCTTAAAGGAAGAAAAAACAAATTGAGTTAGGAAGTCTTATAGTAGCTAGCTTCCAAGATGAACAATGAATTTTACTGGTTCAATGAATCCAGTGAATCTCACTTCTTGGTATTCATACCTTTCTTTACTCATTTTTCATATTAAGAAGAGCTGACTTGTATAACAAATAAGATATTGCAGAAATAAAGATATATGATGTGTGACTTCCAAGCTAGGTTATAAAAGACATGTGGCTTCCACCTTACTCTGTCTTATAACACTTGTTCTAAGTGAAGCCAGTCACTGCATGATGAGGCTACTCAAGTAGCTGTATAGGGAAGTTCATGTAGTAAGGAACTGAGGCCTCCTGCCCATAGCCAGTATTAACCTGCCAGCCACATGAGTGAACCATGCAGGAAGTAAGTCCTCCAGTTCCCATCAAGCCATTAGGTAATGCAGCTCCAGTTGACATCTTGACTGTGACATCATGAGACTCTGATCCAGAATCACTCAGATAAGCTGCTGTCAGATTGCAGCCCCACAAAAACTGAATGAGGTAATAAGCGTATCTTGTTTTAAACTGCTCTGTTTTAGAATAATTTGATATGCAGCAATAAATAACTCTCGCCTTCGAATAATCACTACTTAATTTGATGTGAAAAGCATTATAGAACATTAGTGTTTATTCCAGGAAAAATAATTTGGGAAGTAACAGCAACTTTCCTTTTTAAAAAAATCCAACAAGAGGCAGTTATTTATGATCTTGGAATATAAAGGACAATGGTAGTGACACCAAGGCAATACCAGGAGTCAAAAGAAGCATCCACAGACTAAGGCTTCCAGGAGGGAGTGAGGAAATTATAATTGAAAATATAATTAAGGAAAATAAGAGAGTTATATTGGTCTTCAAAGAAAGAAGGTCAATTCCCATTACTTTGTCATAGAAAGAAAAAGGTTTGAAGAAACTGGAGGGGAACGCAGCATCAAATAAAATAATCTTTACCATTTCAGGTATTACCAATAATGCTTGATTTTAACTGTCTTACAGTGACAGCATTCATGAGCCATAGTAAATAATACAATATGAACAGACATGTTACTTTTGCCCAGAAAAATAAGCAACATACATGTCATCTGAAAGATATTTATCAGTTGATAAGCCATTTGATTACAAATAAGGGCATGCATTTTGGCAGAGATTATTATGTGATGATTTGGTTTGCCCAGAGCCGATAAAGCCATATTCTACTCAGAGGCCAACTGTCAAGTAAGTTTAATTTTATCAAGTTAACCTAGCAATGTTAAAGTAGATCATAAGATATTCAAAAGCAGTTGGTACGATATATTTTTAATTCCCTGGAAACTTCCTCCCACTCAAAATGTCACATGTCATCTAGGAACTATCCTATTGCACTGGAGGTATTCTAGAAACTTATATCCTAGTTTACATACCAAAGAACCCAGACAAATGTATTTCATCAGCACAGGGCTAACTATTGGTTAAACTGAAACTAACACTTTATATCACCCAATACAGGACAATTTAATACTTAAAACACAAAGCTATGGAAACAAAAGTTCACTCCCCTGATTACAAAAAACATGTGCTTCACCCTAGAAAGATACTTATAATGTCACAGGTTAAAGACAAAAAAGCATAGTGTTACCATAAAAATCAACTAAAATAGATTTCTTTGTGGGAAATTTTGACAACAGCAGTTTAAAAGCAGCAACTCCTCTAAAGCTATTCAGTAGCAACAATTTTGGTTGCATATAAATACCCTTCAGAGTGACAAAAATGAAGAAAATAGACTTTTCTCCCCTGCTAGGGCAAATGTTGCAATAGGCTTACGTGATATTTCTATGGTCAATGGGAAAATACAAAAACAGCCTCAATAAATGACATTTTTGTTTTGGACTAAGGGTTTGAGAGATGTGGCCAACGTAATTCAGTATTTGGGTTGGGTTTTCAGAGTTCTATTTAGTATTTTGTCCCCCTTTGTGTTCTTGTAGTTGTTAGCTGCTGCAATGATTAAAGGCTGAGTTTACCTGGAACAGAGTTCACCTGGAACAGAATTCGTATCTCATAAACAGCTTTATTTGAAGGCTTGTTCATCTTCAATCAGTTTCTCATGATTATTTCAAGTAAACACCAATTTACATAGAAAAGCAATTTGATGAAGGGACATTGTATAGCATACCCACTTAACGGAATTGGGAGAAGTGTGAGCCTAGAGCAGTGGCTCTAACTTTAGCATGTATCAGAATTATTGGTGAGCTTGTTAAAATATAGATGCTAAGACCTTCCCAGGCTTATTCAATCAGGCTCACTCCTGGGAGGCATCCTGGCATATATATTTTTTAATGAGCTCCCATATAATTTTAAAATGCAACAAGGTTTGAAAACAAGTAGCCAGTGTGAAGAGAAGGGGTCAGAGCCCATTGGTCAGGGTACTTCACTTCCTATATTTATGTCCCAGGATAGGGCTTCTCTGCTTGCTGGGTACCAAGCATTTGATGCCACAGGAGGCCTGACCAGTCTTCCTTATTCAATCCTAGAATGAAGCTAGTCCTCCCAAAAAGGAATGAAAATCAATCCCCACAGAGGAGTACCTCTTAGTCTTGACTTAACTTTAGCATCTTTCAAAGAAGGAATAAAACTGTTAATGACAGTCATCAGATTTCATAAAATTTAAAACTGATCTATTCTGGCAGTAAGACTCCTGACCTTCCAAAAATATAGTTAAATCCTCCAGATGGCAAATTTCTCTTAATAGATTCTATAGTGGAACAAGCAGTAATAGACATAGTACAACATGGAAGGAACAAGTTCCTCATCTAGTCCTGCAAATTTCCTCTTCCTCACAGTCATTTTGTGATTTCAATTGGATGAGCTGCCATCTTTTAGATTGTGGTTTGAAGGAGGCTTAAGACAGACTATTTTGTAAAACACAAGAAATCATTGCATTCTCTACACCCCTCCTCTTGACCTTCCTTCTCTCTTTCCTTCTTCTCTCTCTCCCTAACTTTTTGTCTCATTCTAACTTTGACTCTCTCTCATTCACTGACTGTAACTTTGTTGTCTAGTGGTTGACCGGACACTGAAAAGAGAATAACTCCAATCTCACATTTGGAAACATGTAGGAGTTGGTTGAAGGAAACAGCTAAAACCCATGCAGTAAGGCCTCCGCTGTCCTCTGACAGCGTTGGGAGTATAGCACCAAGATGCTTTTGATGACAGTACAAGCTACAGCAGGGGAATGATTGCTGGTCTGAGCACTGACGCTAGTTTAGCTCTCTGCAAATGTAGTGGCTGTAAATGTTTTTTTTTATTATTTTTATTTTTTAGTGTTTTTGTATTATTATTGTATGAAAAGCATAGCTCCCATGCAGCTGCTTCATAATATCCTGGATCATAGATGAAATAGCAAAGCTCTGCTGGAATGAGCACAGGAGCTTCTACAGTGTGAGGCCTTTGAGTGTGTGCATTATTGTTTCTGAGCAAGTATTGCCACTAGAGGTTTACAAGCTATGAAGACAGCATCAAGAAAGGTATCTCTAGATAATTGCAAGTGCCTTGGCATGAAAATTAGATTTGTTCTTTGTCTCAGGAGTTCTGCGCAGGTTGCCTGTTGTCTCAAACAAACGAACATGAGGCATATTTGCATTTTCCAAATTAAAACTCAGTCAATAATAGCTTTTTCCAGGCACTGGCATAAGAGGGCTAGTCAGATTCCAAATCTAGGGGGCAGTCATGCCAGGTTGGTAATAGGAATGTGAGGCCAGGAGTTAGGTTGTTTCCAAGGCCCTGGAGGAGAGGTAAAATTGCATGGCATCGGGGAGGGAAGAATAAAGGATAAGGAGCAGGGTCAGTACCAGCTTTCCTCAGAGAGCAGCAGAAGTTATTGCCAATACTGTAGGAATACAAAGTCTGGATACTGGGTCAGAGATAAGAGGAAAGGGTCAGATGGAAAAGAGAAGACAAATTTAACTGAATGATTAACTTGTTGCCTCTACAAGCTTTCCCTTGGCCAGCTGTGAATCATGATGCTCTGGTTCTGTCTGACATCTAAAAGGCACCATATGATTCTCTGGCATAGCTTTAACATGTCAACAGAGACATGGAGATTAAAACCTAGAGTGTGCATTCAGACCAGTTACCGTCGTTTAAATTTTACTTTCTAAACTGGCTATTCACTTCAGATACAAGCAGAAGGATTAATTCAAGCTACACAAAGCTCTCAGAAAGGTAGACACTAGATAATATTCTACTTTGCCTTAGCCATTATAGAAACCAGTTTTATATAAAAATACCATTGTATGATTGAAAGGTTTTATTTTTTTTTTCTAATGTGAACAGTCAAAAAATTAAGGTGGGAAGTAGGAGTTCGCTGGAGTAGGAGTTAGAAGACTGGGATTGTAATCCTGGCTCAAACACAGGTGTAAACTTAGGCAAATATTTAACCTTTTTAGACCTCAGTTTCCTCATTACCAAATGAGGCAAATAATTTTTTCGTTTCCTAATAGATAGTGAGAAGCAAATGTGATAATGCACGTAAATAGCTTTACATTTTTTTCCAAAGTCAATAGAATAGTCTAACTAATTTTAAGTTATTATGATTGTAAAAAGGCTGGGCTGATTTTTAAATCATCTTTATAAGTATCCTTATATCATCATTTTATAAATAAAGAACCCTAAGTCACCACTTAGATGGATGATTGTAACACATCGCTGCCCTACCTTCTGGTAGGAAAATAACAATCATGTCAAGTGGATATCTCCTAATTGTCTCCCCAGCATTCATTTCTCCTTGTCCTTTCATAATGTGGTTCTGAATTTCCCAGTGAATGGGTTTGAGTGAAATTAATGCCACCATTAATTTTTATAATTGGCTTAGGTTTATCACAGGTCTAAAGATTGGTTTTAGGAGAAAGGATTTGCTAACCATATCAAGGCTAATCAGAGTGAATCTCAGACATACTCTGAATGTCGAAAGTAGATTCTTTGTGCTAGGATTAATGCTATAAGGATCAGAGGCTTGTTGGTGCAGCCACAGCCACAAAGAGAGAGCCAGGAGCTACTTGCAATCACCCAAGAGGAAGAAGAACCTATATATGGATCCTGGTGATATAATTTAGGTCCATGATAAAATACTCACTCCTACCTTCCCAATTTCCCCCTATACCCCTGGATATTCTAATATAACAAGCCTGTGGTCTGGGACCCAAACGCACTTTTAACCATCCCTGCCCCCCACCCAACCCAGCCTCCATGATCCTCACTTGCACTGGTTTGGAGTATCTCTGGTCCTGTAGATTATTTAGGGAGAGAACCAAGAGCGCTAGTGTAGAGATAATCTCATAATGAAAGGTTCCTTCTGAACATGGACTTCTACTAACCACATTTTTCCATGTCTTTATTTAGAAATTTTTCTTTTGATACAGTACACTTATATATTATTTACAATTCATTAGTTGACCCATTTCATTATTTTTCTAGTATTAATTAAATACCTATTTAGTGCTAAGCGTGACCATGAGTAGTGGCAGGATGGGGTAAAGGAAGAGGGAATGGGCATGTTCTCTATTAAATTCTGATAGGTAGAGCTATGTAACTTATCTCACAGAGCAGGCACTTTATCAGGGCTAGATGGGACTGGTTATAAATCCCATTTACCACACAAAATATGATGGATGTAAATATAATAGGTAAACTTCTCTTGATGTCTTTATGAGGTATATGAGGCTATCTATGTTGAAAGAGAAAGAGATTGATTCCAATTGAGGGAGTGGTCTGGGAAGGCTTCCCCGAGGAAGAGGGACTTGCCTTTGACCTTGACAAATAGTTACAATTTGGATATGGAGAGAAAGCCATAAAAAAGGCAAAGCGGTAGAGAAAAGCATGTCTGGGGCACAAAGAATAGACTGGCTAAACTGTTTCAGCTGAAGGTGTAAATCTAGGAATAGCAATGTTTATCTTCTTAACACGGAATGCTGATACACAATTCCACACTTGTTCTTTCACAAAAATGAAGTCTGTAAAAAGATTTTTATAAGCCGTTTACACCTCATCTGTTCACATGGGCAACAGGCTTCGATCTGAATGTAATGTGGGTATAATGTAGGAGTGTTGGTCCTTGTTAAGCTTGTTGAAAAGGCGCTCTACCTGTCATGTAGTCAGCCCATTTCGACCAGCTCTTAAATCTGTATATAAATAAGGAAATCAAGCGACCCAAGGGGACAGAAAGTTTTTGCCATGATGTATATCTAAAGGTTCACCTTAAAGAAGTACAGAAAAAAAAGTGTTGAAAACTTAGGAGGGTTTAAGGAGTGCAAAGTGCTTGCTTTTTAGCATGCTGTTCTTGGACCCAGGCCATTTTCACAGTACCCAATGGTGTTTTATGTTTTCCCTAATTTATTGGTGATTTTATTTCATGACCCTTAATCCAGGAAATGCCACATAAGAAACACACTGAGGAAACTTTCCTATCATAAATTTTAAATACACAAAAATATGGTCATCTCTGGGCACCGAAGTGCCTTGGAAAGCTTGTTCCAGGGCAGGTCATGGAGCATCATTAAACCTTGAGAAGGCATAGGAGAAAACATTTTCCTTCAACTGTACTGATTACAACAATCAGAACAAGGTTTGATTGGAACACATTATAATATACTTGTCATTAATATAATGTGCCGCAGCAATTCCTTAGCTGTATTAGAAGCAAATGCTGGTTCCATAGGACCAGATGGGATGTCCCAGGTTCCTTCCTCAGATGGACTTTTTGGTTAGCACACAAAGGTCAAATTGCCTCTGGTGTCTTTGACACTTGGTACTGTTTCAACCTGTTCTGTTTCTGTCTTTGGGCACCCTGACTAAGGTTCATTTCCACTTAGAGGTTCCTTTTAGGTGGGTGCCTCTTGGTTTCTTACTGAACGTAGGCCTAGCCATGATTCAACTTCCCTCTTAACTCCTTGGCTTTCATTTTGAATCTATAGATTCCAGGTTACCTGCTTTTGGTCCCAGCGTGGCTTACCTGGTGAGCTGGGGCTCTTGGCTGCACCTTTGTATAAAACTCTCTACTGGGTCAACTGTGGTGGCTCATGCCTGTAATCCCAGCGCTTTGGGAGGCCGAGGCAGGTGGATCACCTGAGCCCAGGAGTTCAAGACCAGCTTGGGCAACATGGCAAAACCCCATCTCTACAAAAAAATACAAAGATTAGCTGGGTGTGGTGGCATGCCCCTGAGGTCCCAGCTACTTGGGAGGCTGAAGTGGGAGGATCGCTTGAGCCTGGAAGGCAGAGGTTGCAGTGAGCTGAAATAGTGCCACTGCACTCCAGCCTGGGTAACAGAGCAAGACCCTATCTCAAAAACAAAAACAATCCTTTCTGCTTCCTGCTACTTTCTTCCAAGTGACAGAAATGTCTGTCTCCTGATGGAAGTACAACACTGATTTAATCATTTGAGATGGAGGGAGATTTAATATATTTGGTTCTGGCAAAAATATCTTTTTTTCCTTTCATCTAGAATTTATCACCATTAAAATTCATGGAAATTTATTTTAAAACAAAACAGCATTTGTTGATATAACCTCCCCAGAATATATTAACAGTGGGCCCAAAGCAAACAACTGCATATAATCTAAGTACCTTTGTTTATCACAGCAGGCTGTGATATGGAATTATAGTTTTCAAATTATTAAAATTTATTGTGTAGCAAAGTTAAAAGATACTTCCACAAAAGTTCATCTATATATTTAAAAAACCTTCTTGAATTATCAGGCAATTGTTTAATTGGCTAAGCTCTCGATATACTTGGCCCTCCACCTTGATTGTAGGTGTTCGTATCTTTATAAACACAAGTGATTCTTATGTGCCGCCCAGTGCTTCATTGAATGTGTACATGAAACACCTGGTGATCTTGTAAAAATACAGTCTCTGATTTGAGAGGCCTGGCTCAGGGCCTTGGTTAGGGCCTGAAAGTCTGCATTTTTAACAGACTCCCAGGTGTTACTCATGCTGTAGATAAACTTTGGGTGGAAAGGCTCCAGACAATGACTTCATCTATATTTTTAGGGTCCTAAGGAAACAACCTCTAATACACAGCCTATGCTCAATATATACTAGTTAAATGAGGGAGCAAAAGAATAAAAATGAAAATGAATAATTAGAGGAGTTTAATGGTTTCTTGCATTAATAGACCCAGGGACAAGTAGAAAGGTAATATAGACTTAGGTCATGAACCAAAATGTATTCCATGCTATGGCTTTTGGGATGACACTATGTCATGTTTCTGACATACTTTGCTATGCTTACTCATGTTGCATTGAGTATACAACATATTCAATATGTTGAGACCAACTACATACCAAAGACTGTGCAAGGTAATACAAGGATGACGAAGGAATTAGATAGCCATGTCTGTGAAAAATATATTTTGTATTACTGTTCCTGGAAGCTAACATTATTCAGGGAATATCTAAAGATAATTTGACTTTCATATCTACTGTTAGGGTTACTTACTCTGTTATGGCTGATCAGTCATATCTACTTACCCAACATCAAATGCAATTCTGTCATGAAACTGATTGCTGAAAATGAAAAGGAAATGTTCTTAGGTGGGCTAGGAACTTTGAATGGCATATGATAAGCCATATCACAGTTTCAAGGATGGTGATGACAATGTTAATCTAATAAGAATAATAAAACCTTTTATGGAGCACTTAGTATGTACTAAAAACTTTATAAGGATTACCTTCATTAATTTAGCTATCCAAATTTTCCCATGAAATACATACTATAGGTTTCCCTTTTTATGTATGAGAAATTAGACTCAAAGATAAATTAACTTGCTCAATGTCACACGGATTAGTAAGTGGTAGAGCCAGAATATAAACCCAAGCAGTATTTCCCCTCTGGAATTCATTCTCATAACTTCTGATCTATGCTGCTGTAAGAGAGGGATAAGCAACTATGATGGAGATTCCAAGGAAAATGAGGTCACATGTGACAGAAGGGATAGAGACTTGAAAGATGGTGGAATTTTGATAGGTGCATTAAAGTGGAAGGACATTCTATAGACACATCACATCCTGAACAAATGCTCTGAGACCAAAAAGACCATGACCAAAGTTTTAATCCTAGATGAAAAAAAAAAATGATGGTGTATAATTAACACTAATACGAAGTCAAAAGGAAAACAAGGGAATTTCTTAGTTTATCAACGGATCATACAAATCATTAAAAAAATTGGAAACCATGTTTTTAAATGCCAGGAAATAGATCAAGACTAAAAATACTGATTTAATAGCCACACGTTTAACCATAAATTTCTTGCATATATACTTTGTTTTGATAGTAAAAATAATTAGGAGATGGCAAAACTACAACTGTTTTTATGTGTCTTGCAAGACAAAATACTTACTTTTGAAGTAATTGTGACCATTTAATCTCCTCATTTATTATTATTATTATTATTATTTTGACACAGGGTCTCACTTTGTCACCCAGGCTGGAGTGCAGTGGCATGATCATGACTCACTGCAGCCTCAACCTCCTGGGCTCAAGTCATCCTCCCACTTCAGATTCCCAAGTAGCTGGGACTACAGGTGCCCGCCACCATGCCTGGCTGATGTTTTTATTTTTTAAGTTTTTGTAGAGATAGGGTTTCGTCATGTTGCTCAGGCTGGCCTCAAACTCATGAGCACAAGTGATTGGACCGCCTTGGCCTCCCAAAGTGCTGGAATTACAGGCGTGAGCCACTGTGCCTGGTCAATCTCCTTGATTTTAATTCTAATAAATGAAATTCTACACTGAGGAGGTATATTATATATAATTATTCAAGTTTAGCAACTATTCTTTCTTTGGTGTGCTAATTTAATTAAATCTAATTGGAACACTTATTACAAGATGACATGCAAAATTATTAGATAAAATGAATAAGTGCTTTCTTTTTTTATGTCTCCAACAATGACCCTTCAGTACATGATGTGTTGATAAACTTAGCTACAACAGTGACCAAAAATAATGCTATGTCTTTTCACAAATCTTCAGTTTGAATCTGGTCCATGAGTAGTTAAGAGTCCTGGCCTAGGTTCAGATCCTGGTTTGTGAGGCTGAGCATTAGTGTCCTCATCTATAAAATGAGAATAATAATAATAAGACCTACCATTTAGAACTTTTCTGGGGAATAGTTAAATACAGGTAAATTTCTTTAAGTAACATCTGATATGAAACAATAGTAGCTGGCATTTATTGAGCCCTAGTTATCTGCCAAGAACTATTTTTAGTAAGAAATTAAGAAATACTAGATATCATTATTACCATCAATAACCTTTAGGCAAGCCTCACTTTATACCATGAACATTTCCTTTTAAAATAACTATAAATTATCTGAAAGAGATGAACAAGTTAGTGCATAAGCTTTTTTTTTTTTGGCTTTCTTATATTTCTGCAGATTTTAATCCATTTAATCTTTGGAATACTGCTACAGAATCAAAGTTGATATTTAAAGGTGAATTTATTCTCCCCCAAAAGTTATAGCAGAGTAAACATTTTCCCCAAAGTAGTACAATGCACGTTTATAACGAGCAAAAAAAAAGTTTCTTGGTATTTTAGGGACAAAAGTTGAAACAAGAACTTGTGAATTATAAATACAGTTCTGTGGTAAGAATTGTGAATATTTTTTATTTATTTTAATTGTCAGCCGATTGAATACTGCTCAAATTCTATCATTTTTCATAGTGGCTGTACCAATTTACATTCTTACCAAGTGGTAAGTGCTCTAATTTTTCCATATCCTCACTAATACTTGTTATCTTTGTTTTTTTATAATAATCATCCTAATGGGGTGAAATAATATCTCATTGTGGCTTTGATCTTCATTACTCTGATGATTAGTGACATTAAGCACCTTTTTAGATACCTGGTGGTATCTAAGTATGGTATGCCTTCTAAGAGATATCTGTACCCCCTGTTCGTTGTGGTATTATTCACAATAACCAAAATATGCAAACAACCCAAATGTTCCTTAACAGATGAATTAAGAATATGTGGTTTATACATAAAAAAATATTATTTTGCCTTAAAAAAGAGAAAATCTTGCTATTTCCAACAACATGGACAAGCCTAGAAGACATTATACTAAGCAAAAATCAGTCACAGAAAGAAAAATACTGTGTGTTTTCACTTACCTGAGGTCTCTAACAGTCAAACTCACAGAAGCAGAGACTAGAATGATGATTCCCAGATAATAGAATGCTGGAGAGGGAAATGGGGAATTGTTTTTCAATGGGTATAAAGTTTCTGTTGTACAAGATGAATAAGTTCTAGAGATCTGCTATATAAGCATTGTTATAATAAGTAGTATGGTATTATACACTTTAAAATATGTTAAGAGGATAGATTTCGTGTTACATGTTTGCACCAAAAAACAAACCCCTCAAAAGAGCACAAGGACATTTCCAAAGGTGATGGATATATTTCTTACTATAATTGTGGTGATGGTATCATGGATGTATGCATATGTCCACACTCATCAAAATGTATACGTTGTGTACATTTTTCGTGTATAAATTATATCTCAGTAAAGGTTAAAACCAACAAAATAAAAATAAAAAAACAAAAAAGAATTAGGGAACCATTTAAATAAGAAAAAAAATCACATCAGTGATGTTCAATATAATCAAAACAAAATTTTTAATATAAATGTAACCAAATAGTCATGCTTTAATATACACACAGAAGCAAATGCGCTATGTTTATTATTCAGGTTCTCCTATCTTTGAATCTATGTGGGTATCACTTTGACTTACGAATGTAACTTATACTTTTAAAAGTTTAGTAGATTAACCAAAATTTAAAGAAATAAAGTACTTGAGGGAAAACAGATTGATTGTGTTCACAGTGTCAGGACAAATTATAGTAGAGAGATCACAAATTCAAATGCCTCAAGAGGCCAAGAAGTTAACATAAATGTGTTAAAAAGCCTCATGTAAATCAATGGGCAGGGGTGGGGTTTCGGGAAGGCAGCTTGTACACCACACCTGAAAGCATCGTGGAAGCATTTTGAGCCAAGCAAACTACCTGTGGTTTGGCTATGTTTGTATGCACTGACTTGTAATGTGATGCCACTTATTTTAGGGGATTTGACTTACACTTGTTTTAAATACCATTTTTTAGTTTCACTGACCCACATCTGTTTGCTTATTTCTACTCTAGAACTGGAATAATAATTTACAGCATTAAGTTATATTAGATGTTTGGAAGGCAGTTAATAATTTGAATTAACACAAGGAACATATGTTGAATATAAACTATCTGCCATATACCATCTGCTGAACATGACATACAGGCAAACAACTTACGATAATTCAATGTGACATGTTATACCAGCTATCAGAAAAAGCTTCAGGTAGGCCTGAGGAGGAGCATGTTAATCCATCCTTTCCTCTTCTTATTGACTGGAATGATTTAACCTGGTTATGCGTGTATCTCTGTCACTTCTGTGATTTTTATTTTGACAAATCATGAGTGACAGCTATGTCCTTAGCTCTGAGGGTTGGGGGGAGGGAAGCAATGAGGAGAAGAAAACAGCAAAAAGTCGAACAACAAACAAATGCTCTCTTGCTTATGAGAACCTCAGGGTGTATGAAAGAGACGACGTGACAAGGGCTCTCATAGAGCCACTGCTGCTGAGGGGAGTGAGGAGAAGCTTCACAGGTGAGGGGAGGTGGGATGGGTTGTGGGTTGAGCAAGCTCTCTCCACAGAATGGAGAAGTCAGAGGAAATTCTAGATACAGGCAACAGCGGCTATAGAGGTCTGAAGATGGCTGAAACTGGAGTATACTTGTAAATGATGCCCCTACATCCTGCTTCCAAAAATCATGGTCAACAGCAAGATCAAATAACATGGTTCTTCCGGGAGGCGGAGGTTGCAGTGAGCAGAGATCAAGCCACTGCACTCCAGCCTGGGAGACAGAGCAAGACTCCATCTCAAAAAATAAAATAAAATAAAATAAAATAAAATAAATAAAATAAAATAATATGGTTCTTGTGTACTCATTTATTAAAAATAATTAAGTAAATCAATCCCTAACCAGTATACAGTAAAAGAATGGGTTGATGGGTGCTTTCTCTTTTCAGTCATTAAATCTTTGCATTAAGTGATTACTTTGTTTTCAGCCTCATGTCACAAGATTCTGTTTATCTCTTATTGCTGAAGATTTCACCCAGTGCCTATAACCAAGAGCTATATCATTAATATTTTTGATGATGGTGTTAATCTACTGTAAAGCAGCCTGAAGAAAAAATAAATTAATAGATAAAACTGATAATGTTTGAGATTCAGTACTCACTAAACCCAATACATCCTAAATTGCCCTGGATTATATAGGACTGTGCTGTAATGCAGCATAGGGAGCATATTAAGTCATTTCAAATAACCTTAACTTCATCTCATTGCTTTATTACCTGTAACATATTCATCATTCCACTCATGCTGTTCTTTAAAATGCCTCTCTTACCTTTCGTATTCCATTGCTCCACACCTTATCTGTAAAACAAAGAAAGGAGTAATGTGTACTCTATAGGGTCTTGAAAGGATTAAAATATACAATGTATGTAAAGCACTTAGCACCATGAACTCTTAGACACTGGTAGGATAAATAATTGTTGTGTAATGATAGTGGCATGGGCTGTATCACTTAGCCCAGGACTATAGCAATGGCCTGTTGGCAGATCTCCCCATATCCAGAATCTTATTTATTTATTTATTTATTTATTTGAGACAGGGTCTCACTCTGTCCCCCAGGCTGGAGTGCAGTGGCATGATCTTGGTTCACTGAAGCCTCGACAGCCTGGGCTCAAGCAATCCTCCCACCTCAGCTTCCTGAGTAGCTGGGATTACAGGTGTGCACCACCGTGCCCGGTTAATTTTTCAAAATTTTTTGTAGAGATGGGGTTTTGCCATGTTTCCCAGGCTGGTCTCAAACTCCTGGGCTGAAGTAATCTTGGCCTCCCAAAGTGCCGGGATTACAGGTGTGAGCCACCACATCTGGCAACTATATCCAACCATTATCTCCTACCTCCTGTTTCTTAAAGGTCTGGAATCAGAGTATCTTTGAGAACATCTGTTTGATGCATGATTTTTTTCCACAACAGAACCAATGAGAACAAGATCTTTCAAATCAGTAGTGGGGAATTTGCACTTTCTAAGTCACTCTATGCCATGTTCAGTTTAATCAAATTGTTATATATTTTTCTCTTGGAGCAAAATTTCTCCTTCTGTGGTTTATACTCATTGGTCCTAGATCTATCCTCTAGCCATAAAACATAAGCCTAATTTCTTTTTTCATATTTAGATTAAATTTAATTAAAGCAACTTTCTCTTTTCTTCATATATGATTAAAATCTTCAAGTGAATTCTATTTGCTCAAAAAATGAATCCCAGATTTCTCTACCTACCATTGAGAGTTTTTCTTAACCTCAACTTACTTATTTTGCCTTGTTTGCTATTTTAATCTTTATAACATAAACCATAAGTTAGCCAGTCTAGTCATCTTGCAATTCTTCTGTTGCCCTTCATTTATTCACACTCTTGCACATTGCTTCTGCTCTTCCTTCAACCAGCCAAACTCATCTCTTCCCCTCTAGATTTTAAGAGTCTCGTGGTCCTTTAATGCCATCTCTCCATTAAAAAAAATCTCATCAGTTTCTATTAATCTTTCCCTCTGAACTTTTGTAGCAAACCATCCCCACCAGCAAATTTTACCCAATTCCAGTCTTTTGATGCTGTCTGTTAGCTTCAAGACTCATGTTTTTCTTCTCTTTCTATTATGTTTAATGCTTAATTACATCTAATATTTTTCTAATTTAATTTTATGGTTATTAAAGTTAGAAGACAATTTATATAGACCTTTTTCGTGGTGTTACATTTTTATTTGTTGTTATTTTACAATTTTATATTTGTGAGCTTGGTTCCCCAAATAAGACAATAAGTTCTATGAGGCTTCTGTCTTGTATTCCTTTTGGGATTCAATAACACATCATACATTCTTTTCTACTACACACTCAACAGTGATTTGATTGAAGACACCATATGCTCATAATGACTACTGCCTACTTGGCTCTATACTGGTTATTGTGAAGAAATATGAAGATAAGGCAGGAACATTCTATAAAATAACTTGTTGGGAATAGATTGTTCTTCCTAATATGTTATCCTCTTATCAGAAAACCTGATCAAATTATTCTTCAATGTGTTTAAGGGTACAAGAGTTTGTTTAGTTCATTTTTTTAATCAAATGTGTATCTCTATCTAGTTACGACGTCAAATCAATGGTAATCTTTTTTTTTTTTTTACACTTTAAGTTTTAGGGTACATGTGCACATTGTGCAGGTTAGTTACATATGTATACATGTGCCATGCTGGTGCGCTGCACCCACTAACTCGTCATCTAGCATTACGTATATCTCCCGATGCTATCCCTCCCCCCTCCCCCCACCCCACAACAGTCCCCAGAGTGTGATATTCCCCTTCCTGTGTCCATGTGATCTCATTGTTCAATTCCCACCTATGAGTGAGAATATGCGGTGTTTGGTTTTTTGTTCTTGCGATAGTTGACTGAGAAAGATGATTTCCAATTTCATCCATGTCCCTACAAAGCACATGAACTCATCATTTTTTATGGCTGCATAGTATTCCATGGTGTATATGTGCCACATTTTCTTAATCCAGTCTATCATTGTTGGACATTTGGGTTGGTTCCAAGTCTTTGCTATTGTGAATAATGCCTCAATAAACATACGTGTGCATGTGTCTTTATAGCAGCATGATTTATAGTCCTTTGGGTATATACCCAGTAATGGGATGGCTGGGTCAAATGGTATTTCCAGTTCTAGATCCCTGAGGAATCGCCACACTGACTTCCACAATGGTTGAACTAGTTTACAGTCCCACCAACAGTGTAAAAGTGTTCCTATTTCTCCACATCCTCTCTAGCACCTGTTGTTTCCTGACTTTTTAATGATCGCCATTCTAACTGGTGTGAGATGGTATCTCATTGTGGTTTTGATTTGCATTTCTCTGATGGCCAGTGATGATGAGCATTTTATCATGTGCTTTTTGGCTGCATAAATGTCTTCTTTTGAGAAGTGTCTGTTCATGTCCTTCACCCACTTTTTGATGGGGTTGTTTCTTTTTTTCTTGTAAATTTGTTTGAGTTCATTGTAGATTCTGGATATTAGCCCTTTGTCAGATGAGTAGGTTGTGAAAATTTTCTCTCATTTTGTAGGTTGCCTGTTCACTCTGATGGTAGTTTCTTTTGCTGTGCAGAAGCTCTTTAGTTTAATTAGATCCCATTTGTCAATTTTGTCTTTTGTTGCCATTGCTTTTGGTGTTTTAGTCATGAAGTCCTTGCCCATGCCTATATCCTGAATGGTAATGCCTAGGTTTTCTTCTAGGGTTTTTATGGTTTTAGGTCTAACGTTTAAGTCTTTAATCCATCTTAAATTGATTTTTGTATAAGGTGTAAGGAAGGGATCCAGTTTCAGCTTTCTACATATGGCTAGCCAGTTTTCCCAGCACCATTTATTAAATAGGGAATCCTTTCCCCATTGCTTGTTTTTCTCAGGTTTGTCAAAGATCAGATAGTTGTAGATATGCGGCGTTATTTCTGAGGGCTCTGTTCTGTTCCATTGATCTATATCTCTGTTTTGGTACCAATACCATGCTGTTTTGGTTACTGTAGCCTTGTAGTACAGTTTGAAGTCAGGTAGCGTGATGCCTCCAGCTTTGTTCTTTTGGCTTAGGATTGACTTGGCGATGCGGGCTCTTTTTTGGTTCCATGTGAACTTTAAAGTAGTTTTTTCCAATTCTGTGAAGAAAGTCATTGGTAGCTTGATGGGGATGGCATTGAATCTGTAAATTACCTTGGGCAGTATGGCCATTTTCACGATATTGATTCTTCCTACCCATGAGCATGGAATGTTCTTCCATTTGTTTGTCTCCTCTTTTATTTCCTTGAGCAGTGGTTTGTAGTTCTCCTTGAAGAGGTCCTTCACATCCCTTGTAAGTTGGATTCCTAGGTATTTTATTCTCTTTGAAGCAATTGTGAATGGGAGTTCACTCATGATTTGGCTCTCTGTTTGTCTGTTGGTGTTGTATAAAAATGCTTGTGATTTTTGTACATTGATTTTGTATCCTGAGACTTTGCTGAAGTTGCTTATCAGCTTAAAGAGATTTTGGGCTGAGACAATGGGGTTTTCTAGATATACAATCATGTCATCTGCAAACAGGGACAATTTGACTTCCTCTTTTCCTAATTGAATACCCTTTATTTCCTTCTCTTGCCTAATTGCCCTGGCCAGAACTTCCAACACTATGTTGAATAGGAGTGGTGAGAGAAGGCATCCCTGTCTTGTGCCAGTTTTCAAAGGGAATGCTTCCAGTTTTTGCCCATTCAGTATGATATTGGCTGTGGGTTTGTCATAGATAGCTCTTATTATTTTGAAATACGTCCCATCAATACCTAATTTCTTGAGAGTTTTTAGCATGAAGGGTTGTTGAATTTTGTCAAAGGCTTTTTCTGCATCTATTGAGATAATCATGTGGTTTTTGTCTTTGGCTCTGTTTATATGCTGGATTACATTTATTGATTTGCGTATATTGAACCAGCCTTGCATCCCAGGGATGAAGCCCACTTGATCATGGTGGATAAGCTTTTTGATGTGCTGCTGGATTCATTTTGCCAGTATTTTATTGAGGATTTTTGCATCAATGTTCATCAAGGATATTGGTCTAAAATTCTCTTTTTGTGTTGTGTCTCTGCCTAGCTTTGGTATCAGAATGATGCTGGCCTCATAAAATGAGTTAGGGAGGATTCCCTCTTTTTCTATTGATTGGAATAGTTTCAGAAGGAATGGTACCAGTTCCTCCTTGTACCTTTGGTAGAATTCGGCTGTGAATCCATCTGGTCCTGGACTCTTTTTGGTTGGTAAGCTATTGATTATTGCCACAATTTCAGATCCTGTTATTGGTCTATTAAGAGATTCAACTTCTTCCTGATTTAGTCTTGGGAGAGTGTATGTGTCGAGGAATTTATCCATTTCTTCTAGATTTTCTAGTTTATTTGCGTAGAGGTGTTTGTAGTATTCTCTGATGGTAGTTTGTATTTCTGTGGGATGGGTGGTGATATCCCCTTTATCATTTTTTATTGCGTCTATTTGATTCATCTCTCTTTTTTCTTTATTAGTCTTGCTAGCGCTCTATCAATTTTGTTGATCCTTTCAAAAAACCAGCTCCTGGATTCATTAATTTTTTGAAGGGTTTTTTGTGTCTCTATTTCCTTCAGTTCTGCTCTGATTTTAGTTATTTCTTGCCTTCTGCTAGCTTTTGAATGTGTTTGCTCTTGCTTTTCTAGTTCTTTTAATTGTGATGTTAGGGTGTCAATTTTGGATCTTTCCTGCTTTCTCTTGTGGGCATTTAGTGCTATAAATTTCCCTCTGCACACTGCTTTAAATGCATCCCAGAGATTCTGGTATGTTGTGTCTTTGTTCTCGTTGGTTTCAAAGAACATCTTTATTTCTGCCTTCATTTTGTTATGTACCCAGTAGTCATTCAGGAGCAGGTTGTTCAGTTTCCATGTAGTTGAGCGGTTTTGAGTGAGTTTCTTAATCCTGAGTTCTAGTTTGATTGCACTGTGGTCTGAGAGACAGTTTGTTATAATTTCTGTTCTTTTACATTTGCTGAGGAGAGCTTTACTTCCAAGTATGTGGTCAATTTTGGAATAGGTGTGGTGTGGTGCTGAAAAAAATGTATATTCTGTTGATTTGGGGTGGAAAGTTCTGTAGATGTCTATTAGGTCTGCTTGGTGCAGAGCTGAGTTCAATTCCTGGGTATCCTTGTTGACTTTCTGTCTCGTTGATCTGTCTAATGTTGACAGTGGGGTGTTAAAGTCTCCCATTATTAATGTGTGGGAGTCTAAGTCTCTTTGTAGGTCACTCAGGACTTGCTTTATGAATCTGGGTGCTCCTGTATTGGGTGCATATATATTTAGGATAGTTAGCTCTTCTTGTTGAATTGATCCCTTTACCATTATGTAATGGCCTTCTTTGTCTCTTTTGATCTTTGTTGGTTTAAAGTCTGTTTTATCAGAGACTAGGATTGCAACCCCTGCCTTTTTTTGTTTTCCATTGGCTTGGTAGATCTTCCTCCATCCTTTTATTTTGAGCCTATGTGTGTCTCTGCACGTGAGATGGGTTTCCTGAATACAGCACAGTGATGGGTCTTGACTCTTTATCCAATTTGCCAGTCTGTGTCTTTTAATTGGAGCATTTAGTCCATTTACATTTAAAGTTAATATTGTTATGTGTGAATTTGATCCTGTCATTATGATGTTAGCTGGTTATTTTGCTCGTTAGTTGATGCAGTTTCTTCCTAGTCTCGATGGTCTTTACATTTTGGCATGATTTTGCAGCGGCTGGTACCGGTTGTTCCTTTCCATGTTTAGTGCTTCCTTCAGGAGCTCTTGTAAGGCAGGCCTGGTGGTGACAAAATCTCTCAGCATTTGCTTGTCTGTAAAGTATTTTATTTCTCCTTCACTTATGAAGCTTAGTTTGGCTGGATATGAAATTCTGGGTTGAAAATTCTTTTCTTTAAGAATGTTGAATATTGGCCCCCACTCTCTTCTGGCTTGTAGGGTTTCTGCCGAGAGATCCGCTGTTAGTCTGACGGGCTTCCCTTTGAGGGTAACCCGACCTTTCTCTCTGGCTGCCCTTAACATTTTTTCTTTCATTTCAACTTTGGTGAATCTGACAATTATGTGTCTTGGAGTTGCTCTTCTCGAAGAGTATCTTTGTGGCGTTCTCTGTATTTCCTGAATCTGAACGTTGGCCTGCCTTGCTAGATTGGGGAAGTTCTCCTGGATAATATCCTGCAGAGTGTTTTCCAACTTGGTTCCATTCTCCCCATCACTTTCAGGTGCACCAATCAGACGTAGATTTGGTCTTTTCACATAGTCCCATATTTCTTGGAGGCTTTGCTCATTTTTTTTAATTCTTTTTTCTCCAAACTTCCCTTCTCGCTTCATTTCATTCATTTCATCTTCCATTGCTGATACCCTTTCTTCCAGTTGATCGCATCGGCTCCTGAGGCTTCTGCATTCTTCACGTAGTTCTCGAGCCTTGGTTTTCAGCTCCATCAGCTCCTTTAAGCACTTCTCTGTATTGGTTATTGTAGTTATACATTCTTCTAAATTTTTTTCAAAGTTTTCAACTTCTTTGCCTTTGGTTTGAATGTCCTCCCGTAGCTTAGAATAATTTGATCGTCTGAAGCCTTCTTCTCTCAGCTCGTCAAAGTCATTCTCCATCCAGCTTTGTTCCGTTGCTGGTGAGGAACTGCGTTCCTTTGGAGGAGGAGAGGCACTCTGCTTTTTAGAGTTTCCAGTTTTTCTGTTCTGTTTTTTCCCTATCTTTGTGGTTTTATCTACTTTTGGTCTTTGATGATGGTGATGCAAAGATGGGTTTTTGGTGTGGATGTCCTTTCTGTTTGTTAGTTTTCCTTCTAACAGAGAGGACCCTCAGCTGCAGGTCTGTTGGAATACCCTGCCGTATGAGGTGTCAGTGTGCCCCTGCTGGGGGGTGCCTCCCAGTTAGGCTGCTCGGGGGTCAGGGGTCAGGGACCCACTTGAGGAGGCAGTCTGCCCTTTCTCAGATCCCCAGCTGCGTGCTGGGAGAACCACTGCTCTCTTCAAAGCTGTCAGACAGGGATATTTAAGTCTGCAGAGGTTACTGCTGTCTTTTTGTTTGTCTGTGCCCTGCCCCCAGAGGTGGAGCCTACAGAGGCAGGCAGGCCTCCTTGAGCTGTGGTGGGCTCCACCCAGTTCGAGCTTCCAGGCTGCTTTGTTTACCTAATCAAGCCTGGGCAATGGCGGGCGCCCCTCCCCCAGCCTCGCTGCCGCCTTGCAGTTTGATCTCAGACTGCTGTGCTAGCAATCAACGAGACTCCGTGGGCGTAGGACCCTCAGAGCCAGGTGCGGGATATAATCTCCCGGTGTGCCGTTTCTTAAGCCCGTTGGAAAAGCGCAGTATTCGGGTGGGAGTGACCCGATTTTCCAGGTGCCGTCTGTCACCTCTTTCTTTGACTCAGAAAGGGAACTCCCTGACCCCTTGTGCTTCCCAAGTGAGGCAATGCCTTGCCCTGCTTCGGCTCGCGCACGGTGCGTGCACCCACTGACCTGCGCCCACTGTCTGACACTCCCTAGTGAGATGAACCCTGTACCTCAGATGGAAATGCAGAAATCACCATCATCTGCGTTGCTCACGCTGGGAGCTGTAGACCGGAGCTGTTCCTATTCGGCCATCTTGGCTCCTCCTCTCAATGGTAATCTTGAAAGAAAATTTTGGTTGCAGCTTCTATAAGGTCAAATGTCTGTGTCCTGGGAAATCTTGTAAACACCTCATAGAAGTCCTTTTCATTAGAAATATATATATATATTTTATTGATTCTCACCCTCAGCACAATTCTAAGATCTGACTTAGCAGAGCCCATGTAAGTTGGCCATCTTATCTTGAATGTTTAGGTCAATATAATATTTGTTTCAAACTAGCTGTTAACAGTAATTTCTTTTGTTTTTCTCAAGAGGTTTATTTTCCAGATACATTATAAGCTCAAGAAAACAGACTCAACAGTATAATTATGTCATAATAACTTAATTGCACATAATGCTTTAAAGTCTGTTTGGATGAAGTTCTCAAATACTTTGGTATATGATCTTCAGGGACTTTAATTAGAAACAATAGAAATTATTGCTTTAAAATGGACAAGTCCTTGGTTAAAGTTCTACATTTTGGGCATTTATTTTTGGTTAAGATGGTCCCCAAACCAATTAATGGTACTGATATATTACTAGTTTACAAGACTTCATTTACTCTACCTCTGATGTAGAGGGAGGTTACAGATACTCATTTACTCTACCTCTGTTGTAGTGGGAGGTTACAGATACTCACTTACTATAATATGTCATTGGATAGTTTCAGTCTTTCACTTATAAGCAGAGAAATCAATAGATTTATTATTTCTCTGTCAGTTTTCTGTTATAACCTAAACTGTATAGTAATTTGCAGTAACTGTAGACATTGTTCCACAGTGTATGTGATTATGATTGATAAGATGTAGCGCATTAAATTTAGAGTTAGCTTATTCTGATAAGTCAATATTAGACTGTACAGCTGCATTAACTATAGAAAGGTTTAAGTTAATGCTTATTTAAAAACCCCAAACCATTTCATTTACAAGACAAAGTGTTGCAAATGTATAAAACAGCAGATGTACAAGGAGAGCACAAAACATACTTTATTAAAACAAAAAAGCAGCCATAACAAGATGCAACAAGTAGAAACATACATAAGCAGTCAAAGGATTAGTGTTCCATAAAAATATATGTTTTCTTTTTTGTAGCCTTGGCAATAGCCATAGGATGTAAAATAACATTCTGTAGTAGCAGGTAAGGAAACTGTGGAGCACTCACCAGTGGTACGGAGCACCTTAACAAAAAGACACAAGAATGAATTCAGCTACTTTAGTGCAAAATGTCTAGAACAGAACTGTAAATTCAGTTCAGTTACTAAGAAGTGAACACTAGAACTTGATATGACTTCCAGAAGAGCTCACTCAAGTAATAGTACATATTATTTTAAGTGATAAAAAGGTGCTAAGTAAAGTTATTTACAGATATAATGGTTGTACAGTACCTTTTAAATCTGCAATTTAGGTTTCAGATTTTCCATTAAGAATTAACTGCACTGAAATTCTATATATTTTACTTAAGCAATTCAGCTATAAGCATTTACAAAAAAGAGATAAATATTGCCATCTGAATTATTAATTACAGTTCAACAATAATCTCAACATCAGCAACCACTGTAGTTACTATTATCTGACTTGTTTGGGCATCTTCTAATCTCATATACTTTATGGTTCACAAAATCTTTCTGGGCATAGGAAAAGATCCAACTTTCATGTAACAACAATTAGACTGCATATCAACTTTTAAAAATAATCACATGCAAGACTACATTGCAGCAGTTATTCCAAATACCTGTTTTAAGTTAAAGCACTCATTAAAAAAATTAATACCTAGGGCCTTTCAATAAAATTCTACTACTAAGTTGGTAAGTCTGAAATTTATGAATGACTTAGAAAATCTGTATTACCTAACAGTACCTTTTGCAGAAGAGAAGAGGAGCCTGATTATAAGCTACATTAACACCTAAGTGAACTGTGCTATGCCCCTGTGGCCAGAAAATTGCATTTTTTTATAAAAAGAAGACACTCTTTTTTTTTTTTTAGACTCTTTCAAAGCTTGATTTATAGTAACTACAAACATCATTACTTTTGGAAGTTTATAGAAAAACTCTTAGAAAAAATAATTTCAAACATTAGTCACACTGTTGAAATACTCATCCAGTATTAATAATTTGTTCTTCATAGCAAATGCCTCAGAATTGCCTCACTCAAATACTGCAGCCATTAAAAACCAAACTGTTAGCTAAATCAGCAAAATGTTCTTGCAATCTTGCTGAACACCTGTAGCTCTATCCTCTGTTGTTCCAATAGGCACCATGTTTATCTGAATAAGTAACAGCAGGTCGCATCTGACAGATGCTAACACTATGCTAACATACTGTATGAAAAAGCCTAGCACTGCTGTGTGTGCTTGCTATAGGTGTATCGTCTGATGCACATGAAAGCGGACCTAGTTAACACCCTTTGGGACAGGAGAGTTTATGTTTACTTTGCCTTGAATGGTTCTCATTCTAACCAGCGAACTCTAACTTTTTGTATATAATGATACTCTTTTAAAAAATCCTGTAACATGGAGGGTAAAGGGAGCCCATCAATCACATCATACTTAGTGCACCTGTAGATTTCCGCGCCACCGATATACTTCAGGCTAAAAGTCCCATTGAGTGATATGGTAAGCAATGGTTCAAAAAACATGCACTAACTGAGATCTTTATAATGTTCTAAAAGTCCTGTTACAGTGGAGGAGTGAAATACACACGAATCATGGGCATCAAAACTAAAGTTGTGATTTCACTGCTCAATTCGGGCATGCAGGGATCTGTTGCCTCGCTAAGCTCACAGAGAAGAGGTAGTCCTCTTGCGCAGCGTCCCTGAGCAAAAACGCGCTTTCAGGCCTCAGGTTTCACTTCAAGAAGGCCTTCTGCTTCATAACGGTCCATCACTCCCCAATAATAGGGATTCTCTGTAATTTGAAGCAAATCAGGCGCTAGACAGTGTATGTAATCAGTCTGTGTGTGGACTTTCCAAGCTCTCTGTCTGCTAACACGAGCATGGCTGTCTCGAGATACCTAACGATTCTTCTGCTTCCGTGACTGCAAACACAGGGTGGTTGTATCCTCTTCCGAGTCATATTTAGCTTGTGGAATTGCAGAACTGTCCCCAGTTATTTCAGTCATTCCAGGAGCTAACTGTGGTCTCAGTTTACATAATGGATTAACCTGTGCAGTAGCTTCAAACGTATGTATTTGCGCATTGCGAGGGGATCAACCCCTTCTTCAGTACTAAGCCGCCTTCTCTCTCTAAGCCTATCTTCATCTTCTAGAAACTAAAGATGGATCAAATGTATCAAAAAATGTTGAATATAGGAACTGTATGCTGTTTAATCAAATGCCATTTTGGGGCTAAATCTGAGCCAGCAGGAAAGGGGCATTTCTCAAGCATTAATTCAAAAAGATGAAATTTTTTTTTCTTTTTTGAGACGAATTTCACTCTTGTTGCCCAGGCTGGAGTGCAATGGCGTGATCTCGGCCCACTGCAACCTCCGCCTCCTGGGTTTAAGCCATTTTCCTGCCTCAGCCTCCCGAGTAGCTGGGATTACAGGCATGCGCCACCACGCCCAGCTAATTTTTCTATTTTTAATAGAGACAGGGGTTTCACCACAGAGACGGGGTTTCACCATGTTGGCCAGGCTGGTCTCGAACTACTGACCTCAAGTGATCCACCCGCTTCAAGTGATCAAGCCTGGGATTACAGGCGTGAACCACCGTGCCCGGCCTGAATTTTTGTTTCATTGGAAAGGAGAGGCTTTGAGTGCTTGCAGTAAGCTCTCATGGGAAAACACAAGCCCACAACCTCTGTCTCAGAGAGCGACTTCCTACAGTTCTGCTGGAAGCACTGTCCATGTCGTGTACAGAACTTACGCCGTAGCGCCACTCTCTCCTTTGAAGTCCACTTCGAGTTCCACCAAACTTTTTATCAGTATCCAATGAACTCTGGGTCTTTGTAGAACAGGAATGTTTTTTCTTCCCACCCCATGGAGCATGTCGAGAGTAGGAATCTCTTCGTGCAAGCCTTTTTCCCGGGGTAACACCGGACTCATTATCCTTTTCAATGCTTATTTCAACAGTTTGAGGGATTTCGGTGGCACGATTTTGATTTCTCCTTGAAGAATTCTCTGAAGGGCTTAATCCCGGTTGTAAGGCAACATTTTCTCTTAAGGGACTGCTTTGTTGCTGAGGAGTTGAGTCTCCTACGCTGATGTTCGTCTCTTTGACAGACAAACATCTATTGGAGTTCATGTCCACATTTTCACTACGGCTTCCTGCCTCATGACCAAAGAGATTCTGAAACCTGTATTTGAAGTTATTCCACATTTTTCCCACTTTATCCATCGATTATAAAATCGTTCGGGGGCGCGCAGGCGGCCTCATCCAGGGCACCTGCGGCCAGGCAAGACGGTCCCGGATGGCGCAGTCACCAGCAGGTCGAGTCCGCTTCCCCTCTGGTGCTTCCCGTCCCCTCTGACTGCCCAGCGAGCGCAGCTTCACCAGCCTCACCAGCCTCACCAGCCTCACTTCCTCTGGCCGGAGCCCGGGGACTCCAGCTCCGCAGGATGCCCCCGCCAGGCCCCACCCACTTCCCCCACCTCTTCCTGCTCTTCACTGGCTTCCCCTCTCCCCTCCCCTGCTAACAGTAATTTCTGCAAACTGACTGGAAGGACAGTTTATCAGATCACGTCTCCTCTCCTCCCGACTTGTACCAGATTACAGGCTATCTGCTGAATGGAAAATTATCTTTTATACTCCCCAGAGGAGTCATTTTGGATAAAAACCCCTAAATTAGTTGATAAAGCAAAGTTTGATTTGGCAATTTCACCAAAGACTAACAACATTTACATGTGTAACTATTCAAACAAGGATATGTTTAGACTGTTTCTATTTATTTATTAGTCTTTTAACGCTGATTTTGCCAAAAGTCAAAGATAGCTATTCACAGGTTTCATGGGCTGTTTTCCCTGATTCTGGGGCTTTGCTGAGGGAGAGCAACAGTGGTTGCAATGCAGAATGCCTTTGAGAACTTAGCGTTTAGACACCATCACTGAGTCATAACGTCTGCCTATAGCATTTATTTTTCTGAACATGCTAATAAAGGAACAAGATGCAAAGGTTTTGATTAACTGCAAATGGCATCCAAATTTTGGAAAAATTGGAAAATGAACTTACCAAAGGAAGTTCTGTTTTGAAGATGATTTCCTTCAGTTAATACAAGATGAGCTATTTCTGTTATAGAAATTTTGAAAGGAATATAGCAGAATTTAAGAGATTAGAAGAAGAATTCTCTCCGGTGAATTGAACTAAATTATGTTGGCATTATGAAAATTAAGTCTCAAGGAATGAGTTTTAAAAAATTTTTTTAAAGTGACTATGGATGGTTTCCATGGCTCCTCAAGCTGGACTTGCCTCCTGTCAGATAATCATCTGATTCCTACTTAACAATTTCCACAAACCTCAGATGCTTTCGATCTGCTTTGCATCTTACAGACAGTAACAACTGTGATACATAACCATTGTACACCATGATTACATTCATATCTGTCCCAAAATACTTTCTGTGCCACTGTAGATTACTCAAGATTAGAGGTGCTGGAAAGAATAAATACAGTAACAACATCTTTTATTAATTTCATTAAAAGGTAAAATAAAACTGATGTGGGGTGTGTGTGTGTGTGTGTGTGTGTGTGTGTGTGTGTGTCTATTTCCTATGAAGACTTTTATTTGTAATTTTATTTAGAAGTTGTGGCTAGATTTTGTACTATGGTCATGGAAATTTAGTTTACTTGAAATTTCATAAAATTGTTTTTCCTAAGGTCAACAAGTTTCTTTTGTGTAGCAGGAATATATTTTATTTAGGTGTAGAGTTTAAATCTTACTTTCTCATTGTTTTTATGACTTTTGGATAACCTGGTCATAAATTTGTTAATAGGTTGGATATAGAATGTTACTCTGCCATCCAAGAATATCTTAATTTATTATTTATTAATTTGTTTGTGTATTAAACAAACATAAATTGGATACTCACTATATAAGAGGCACTTTAATAGGTTACAGGGAAGAGAAATGAAATATGTGACCTCTGCCCTCAACCTAGTGAAGAAGACCCACATCTCCACAACAGGCTAATGCAAAATGAGAAATGTACAATGTGTTATGATAGCACAAAGGAGGGAATATGTAAATTCTCTAGATGGGGTATATGAGGGAGGAGGGACTTTTCAACATAGCAAACATTTGTGAAAATGTCCATAGTTTGGAAAAGAGGGTAGATTGAAAATGCAGTTAATCTCATCGTATGACAGCTGTGGACCGTAATGAAAACAACAAAAACCCTTAGGTTTTATAACCTTTTACAGCTCCAAAGTACTTTATAGATACCTTCTTACTGGATTCTCAAACAAACTGGTGACATTGAACATTACTGTCAAATAAATGTAAGCCGGTAAGCTTTTGTGCAAGAGGAATAGGCCTCTGTGTAGGCCTCTGTGCAGAAGTGCAGGCTGGTTAGGAGATGTGGTCATGACCTCACTTGTGACCACACTGTGCTGATGTTGCCTGAGGTAGGGAAGCAGTCAGGAGTTGAGAGACTCCTCATACAGGAGCAAAGATAAATTATTAATAGCAAATTATTCTCTGTTCCTCACACTCAATAATGTGATTTAGAATTTAATTCTAGGAGTCTTAGTTACATGTTGAATCAAAAGAGAAAAAGTAAGTACGACTTTACCAAAACTTCAATGTTACTTTCTGGCAAGTAGTCGTGCTCTTTCCCATTTATACTTTCTTGTGAAACAGTTGAGAATAAGATTGATTCCCTCCCATTTTCTAGGGGGGAGTGGGTTCTTCCCAACCTTGGAAGGGAAAAATCAGTGCTGAATGCATGTTATTTGCTTTCCTTCAAAAATACGTAACTAGGAAGAGCAGAGTACTATGTAATTTTGCTAATCACATGCTTTACTAAGTAAACAAAGAATACTTTAGGATAGATTTTATTTAAAGTCATCACCTTTCATAATCATTTTATTCTGCATCATAATTTCTTAATCAGGTAATGTAATTATAGGGTGAAAATCCTATAATCGTATGCATTTAGATTAATTATGTTAATCATTAATTACTGTTGAACTACCAAAATGGTAACCTGTGCAAATGAAATGATTATAAAGAAGCAGCTCAGGTTTAAAAATTATGCCAAATAATAAAAACAAAAAAAGTCTAATATTACACTGATTAGAATCCTATATGGCGTAAGTATTTTTTAAAATGCAGTTAACTTGTCAGTATTTAAACCAATTCAATTAGCATCTCTTTCATGTTGACTTCAAGATAATGATAGAATTATGTTCAGATGAATTTTTGATTTATAATTTACATCTATCCACAAAACAGTAATAAATGCCTTGGGAAGGGATGAACTAGCAGATATGCTATAGCTGAATAGTGACTATTTCCTAATGGAAAACACAATGAAGATAAACTAAATTGTTCACAAGTTGTATTTTCTTTGCATAAGTGAATCTGGAATCATTTGCTAATTTAAAAATGTCTTTGCCATTGCTAAGTGAAAAATGTTTGCATTTATATAGGAATATATAAATTCATGAAGCAATTATTTGACCTGATTCTGTTTGTGATGAAAATGTATACTAGTCCTGTTTTCAGAGCCAACAGAAAGAATGGTATCTTTCCCTATTCTGAGGAGATGACCTTATTATTTATATTATAAGACCCTCCTTAGAAGAAATTTTAGGCTGGGCATGGTGTCTCCCACCTGTTGTCCCAGCTACTTGGGAGGCTGAGGCATGAGAATTGCTTGAACCTGGGAGGTAAAAGTTGCAGTGAGCCAAGACTGCACCACGACCCTCCAGCCTGGACAATAGAGTGAGACTCTCTCTCAAAAAAAAAGAAAAAAAAATTAAACTGTTAATCAATTGCTATGGGTGTGGGGTGTGGGGGAAACTAAATACTGATTAGGACAAAAATAAACTTCTAATCTGAAGCAGATTTCTCCTAGCATGCAGATGGGTAGCACTAAACCTATTTTATAATTTAACCTATTTAGTCCATTGAAATACACAGGTAAAATTGGCGTTCTTTAAAAAATACATATATAATTTATAATTTTAACTTAAAATACATATTTTAATCTGAAACCTAACTTATCCATCAAACTTTAGGTGTAAGGTCAAGGTGATATCATCAAGTATGAGCCCTTTGAACGGAGTTTGAGGTCATCTTTCCTTGGAAAACTGAATCTGTGGTAGATTCTCTGGTATCCAGTTTCAGATTCTTTAAAATGAAAACAAAACAAAACAAAATAAAACCAAGGATATTTGCTAAGTAATCTGAGCATACTATCCTAGATTTTGCCTACTTAAAAAAGTTTTTGGTGTAGCAAGAAGAGTAGGTCATATACCTATTTTGTGACCCATTATCATTGGTTTTCCCAAGGCCAATTTATTGCTTGATTGATTGGTGTGAATACCTATTCCTTAATCTTGAGTTATTTTCCATTCTAATGTGTTTAGCAGGATGGCAAGAATTCCAATGTGTTTAATTGTGTAAAATTTGAATTGTATATGTTCTTGTACAATGTGTAGTATTTTGTGTGATGTACTATAAATGTAGTATAAAGTACAGTATATCTCATTTCATGTCTACTTTCATTGAGCACTATATTTTCAACAGCCCTCTATGTTGCTTTCTGTGGAATTTATCTACTACTTCTAATGCTGCATGATATTCCTTGATGTGAATCCAATGTATTTTGTAGATTCAGTTTTCCAGTGATGGGCACTCACCACTACAAAAAATACTGATATATTGTGATATACATGCATATCACATATGTCTCATTTTGGTGCAAGAATTTCTTTGATATAGATATTCAGGAGAGAAATCGCTGGCTCATGGCGTATGACATAATTATCTCCAGAATATCTGCACTAGTCTATAATGCCATTACCAATGCATAGGAGTTTCTGTATTTGCACATCTTCTCCAATACTTCACATTTTCCAGTGATCTAATTTTGTCAGCCTTAGAAATGTAAAGGGATATTGCATTTTTTATTTTTAAAAATCTTTTATATTTTGAAATTATTTTAGATTTACGTGAAAGTTGAGAAGGCGGTACAGAAAGTTTCTATGTACCCTTTATCCAGCGTCCTTAACGTTAACATAGCCATGATACATTTGCCAAAACTAAGGGATTCAACATCAGCCCAATACTATTAAGTAAACTACAGATTTTATTTAGATCTCACATTTCTCCTTGTAGGTCCATTTTCTACTGCAAGATTCACTTCGGAATATTACATTGCAGTTAGTTATTCTATCTCTTTAGCTTCCTCCTATCTGTGATAGTTTCTCAGTCATTCCTTGTTTTTCATGACCTTGAGACTTTTGAAGACTGCTGAACAGGTCTTTATTTTGTAGAATGGCCTTAATTTAGGTTTCTCTGTTGTGTTTTCCTGATTAGACCTTGGTTTCAGATTTGACAAGTATATAATAGAGACAAGATTCTCTTCTTATTTTGTCATATTAGGGGATACATAATATCAACATAACTCAACTTATCATTGGTGATTAAGTCAAATGGATCTGATTGTTGTTTTCAACTGCATTTATCCTTTTACTAGTCAGACAGGGTATGGCTTCATGTATTCGATAATCTTTTGTGTTTACTCTTCTCTAAATGGTCTGTTTACATCTTTGCCCATTTTCCTTTGAAGATCCTGTATTTTTCTGGTTAATGCAAAGACATTTTTGTTTTATTCTACAGATTAGTCCTGTTGGTTTTAGACATCAAAAAATATTTTCCATATTTACGTATCCACCTGCTTATTCATGGAAATCTTCATTAACCAGAATTCCTTATTTTTTATGTAATCGCATTATTTTATTCTTTTTGTTTCATGGTACAGGCTTTTGAAGTTTTAAGAACATTTGCATTCCCTTAGATTACACAGATATTCTCTATTTTTTGTTCTGTTAAATATTTAGTTTTATCTTCAACCTTAAGTGTTAAATCTACCTGGAATCCACATTACATGTTGTGGTAGGTAGAAATAAAGTTTTCTTTTTCTCTTTATAATCAACCCATTTTTCAAATTTCATTTTCTAAACAGTCTGTTTCTCCCTATTAATTTGAAGTGCCAATTGTATAATAAATTGAGAGTCTTCTCTAAATTCTCTATTCTGTACCATTGATCCAATGTCTGTTGCAAAGTGTGGCTTAATATTTGGTAGGACAAATCTCAGTATTTAATCTTCTTTTGAAGCCTGGTATCTATTCATGTTCCCTTATTATTCCCTTATGTATTGTAGAATACTAATTTTCTCAAATATTCAAATATAATTTGTATTGAATTGCATTCAGTTTACAGATTAATAGACATGAAGAATTGATATAAACATCTCTTTTCAGATTATCCTTTTTGTCCTTTTTTTAAAAAATGCTGAAATTTTATTCATGGAAGTGTTTTAGACTCTTGGTTAAGCTAATTCCTTATAATATTGTGGCTATTGTAAACAATTATTTTAAAAACTGTTTTTCTAATTAGTTATTGCTGGTAAAGAGAGACACTTGGTTTTCATAAGTCGATTTAGTACTCACCAACTCATTTACTAGCTACATTTTTTAGCTATCTTGTTCACATTTGATTTTATTCATTAATTCAGCTAACATTTAGAGTCTATTTTGCACCAGGCACTTGGGGGCAGATTGGAAAACAGAATGCTGTCATGGGGATTATATTCTGTCTGCCTCATGGGTACAAACAAACAAATAATAAACATAATAAATAAATAAATAATGTAGTCTATAGAAGTGGAAAGTACTCTAGGAAAAGGAAAACCAGTGTAAAAAGAATTAGAAATGTGGGAGTTTGTGAAATGAAGGCAGAAATAAAGATGTTCTTTGAAACCAGTGAGAAAGAAGACACAACATACCAGAACCTCTAGGACACATTTAAAGCAGTGTGTAGGGGAAATTTATGGCACTAAATGCCCACACGAGAAAGCAGGAAAGATCTACAATTGACACCCTAGCATCACAATTAAAAGAACTAGAGAAGCAAGAGCAAACACATTCAAAAGCTAGCAGAAGGCAAGAAATAACTAAAATCCGAGCAGAACTGAAAGAGATAGAGACACAAAAAACCCTTCAAAAAATCAATGAATGCAGGAGCTGGTTTTTTGAAAAGATCAACAAAATTGATAGATCGCTAGCAAGACTAATAAAGAAGAAAAGAGAGAAGAATAAGATAGATGCAATAAAAAAAGATAAGGGGGATATTACCACCAATCCTACAGAAATACAAACTACCATCAGAGAATATTATAAACATCTCTACGCAAATAAACTAGAAAATCTAGAAAACAAGGATAAATTCCTGCACACATACACCCTCCCAAGACTAAACAGGGAAGAAGTTGAATCCCTGAATAGACCAATAACAGGCTCTGAAATTGAGGCAATAATTAATAGCCTACCAACCAAAAAAAGTCCAGGACCAGACGGATTCACAGCCAAATTCTACCAGAGGTTCAAAGAGGAGCTGGTACCATTCCTTCTGAAACTATTCCAACCAATAGAAAAAGAGAGAATCCTCCCTAATTCATTTATGAGGCCAACATCATCCTGATACCAAAGCCTGGCAGAGACACAACAAAATAAGAGAATTTTAGACCAGTATCCCTGATGAACATTGATGCAAAAATCCTCAATAAAATATTGGCAAACCGAATCCAGCAGCACATCAAAAAGCTTATCTACCACGATCAAGTTGGCTTCATCCCTGGGATGCAAGACTGGTTCAACATATCAATAAATGTAATCCACCATATAAGCATAACCAAAGACAAAAACCACATGATTATCTCAATAGATGCAGAAAAGGCATTCGACAAAATTCAACAGCCCTTCATGCTAAAAACTCTCAATAAACTAGGTATTAATGGGACATATCTCAAAATAATAAGAGCTATTTATGACAAACCCACAGTCAATATCATACTGAATGGGCAAAAACTGGAAGCATTCCCTTTGAAAACTGGCACAAGACAGGGATGTCTTCTCTCAGCACTCATATTCAACGTAGTGTTGGAAGTTCTGGGCAGGGCAATCAGGAAAGAGAAAGAAATAAAGGGTATTCAATTAGGAAAAGAGGAATTCAAATTGTCCCTGTTTGCAGATGACATAATTGTATATCTAGAAAACCCCATCATCTCAGCCAAAAATCTCCTTAAGCTGATAAGCAACTTCAGCAAAGTCTCAGGATACAAAATCAATGTGCAAAAATCACAAGCATTCCTATACACCAATAACAGACAAACAGAGAGCCAAATCATGAGGGAACTCCCATTCACAATTGCTTCAAAGAGAATAAAATACCTAGGAATCCAACTTACAAGGGATGTGAAGGACCTCCTCAAGGAGAACTACAAACCACTGCTCAATGAAATAAAAGAGGACACAAACAAATGGAAGAACATTCCATGCTCATGCATAGGAAGAATCAATATCTTGAAAATGGCCATACTGCCCAAGGTAATTTATAGATTCAGTGCCATCCCCATCAAACTACCAATGACTTTCTTCACAGAATTGGAAAAAACCACTTTAAAGTTCACATGGAACCAAAAAAGAGCCCGCATTGCCAAGACAATCCTAAGCCAAAAGAACAAAGCTGGAGGCATTACGCTACCTGACTTCAAACTGTACTACAAGGCTACAGTAACCAAAACAGCATGGTACTGGTACCAAAACAGAGATATAGACCAATGGAACAGAACAGAGCCCTCAGAAATAATACCACACATCTACAACCATCTGATCTTTGAAAAACCTGACAAAAACAAGAAATGGGGAAAGGATTCCCTATTTAATAAATGGTGCTGGGAAAACTGGCTAGCCAAATGTAGAATGCTGAAACTGGATCCCTTCTTTAAACCTTATACAAAAATTAATTCAAGGTGGATTAAAGACTTAAATGTTAGACCTAAAACCATAAAAACCCTAGAAGAAAACCTAGGCAATACCATTCAGGTCATAGGCATGGGCAAGGACTTCATGACTAAAACACCAAAAGCAATGGCAACAAAAGCCAAAATTGACAAATGGGATCTAATTAAAGAGCTTCTGCACAGCAAAAGAAACTATCATCAGAGTGAACAGGCAACCTACAGAATGGGAGAAAATTTTTACAATCTACCCATCTGACACAGGGCTAATATCCAGAATCTACAAAGAACTTAAACAAATTTACAAGAAAAAGTCAAACAACCCCATCAAAAAGTGGGCAAAGGATATAAACAGACACTTCTCAAAAGAAGACATTTATACAGCCAACAGACAGATGAAAAAATGCTCATCATCACTGGCCATCAGAGAAATGCAAATCAAAACCACAATGAGATACCATCTCACACCAGTTAGAATGGTGATCATTAAAAAGTCAGGAAACAACAGGTGCTGGAGAGGATGTGGAGAAATAGGAACACTTTTACACTGTTGGTGGGAGTATAAACTAATTCAACCATTGTGGAAGACAGTGTGGCGATTCCTCAAGGATCTAGAACTGGAAATACCATTTGACCCAGCCATCCCATTACTGGACATATACACAAAGGATTATAAATCATGCTGCTATAAAGACACATGCACATGTATGTTTATTGCAGCACTATTCCCAATAGCAAAGACTTGGAACCAACCTAAATGTCCATCAATGATAGACTGGATTAGGAAAATGTGGCACATATACACCATGGAATACTATGCCGCCATAAAAAAGGATGAGTTCATGTCCTTTGTAGAGACATGGATGAAGCTAGAAACCATCATTCTGAGCAAACTATTGCAAAGACAGAAAACCAAATACCGCATGTTCTCACTCATAGGTGGGAACTGAACAATGAGAACACTTGGACACAGAATGGGGAACATCACACACCAGGGCCTGTCGTGGGGTGGGAGGAGCAGGGAGGGATAGCATTAGGAGAAATACCTAATGTAAATGATGAGTTAATGGGTGCAGCACACCAACATGGCACATATATACATATGTAACCTGCACTTTGTGCACATGTACCCTAGAACTTAAAGTGTAATAATAATAATAATAATAATAAAAGAAATGTGGGAGTTTGCGGTCCCACTTAAGAGGTCACATTTGGCCTCTATATTAGGAGAAGACAGCATTTGAATAAAGACTTAAATGAGGCCGGGCACGGTGGCTCATGCCTTTAGTCCTAGCACTTTGGGAGGCCGAGGCAGATGGATCATTTGAGGTCAGGAGTTCGATACCAGCCTGACCAACATGGTGAAACCCCGTCTCTACTAAAAATAAAAAAATAAAAAATTAGCCGGGAGTGGTGGCAGGTGCCTGTAGTCCCAGCTACTCAGGAGGCTGAGGCAGGGGAATTGCTTGAACCCAGGAGATGGAGGTTGCAGTGAGCTGAGATAGCGCCACTGCACTGTAGCCTGGGCGACAGAGTGAGACCCTGTCTCAAAAACAAAAAACAAAAAACAAACAGCAACAACAACAAAAACTGAGTGAATTAGCTACATAAGCATCTGAGGGAAGAGTCTTACAGCAAGAGCATCAGCCAGTACAAAGACCCTGGCAGTTATCTTGAGAATAGGCTCAAAAGGAAAAAAAAAAAAAAAGAAAGAAAGAAAAGAAAAGATGAACAGGACTGCCAATAAGTAGGCTATTTCAATAATCCAGAGGAAAAATGAAAAATAATGGCTTAGACCAGGATGGTATCAGTGAAGCTGCTGAGAAAGAGCTGGATTTTGGATATATTTTGAAAATTCTACATTTTTTTTAAAGCAAGATTCTTGTATCGATCTCTATGAAGACACAAATTAATTTTTTTAATGATATAATCTGTTTTTACAAGGATACATTCATAAGGATAAATGCAACTTAACTAGGGTAAATATAATTTCACAAGGATAAATACAATTTAATTAAATAGGTTACTAAACTAACAAGCAGTACAGGATGAAACCAGCTGTAGAACAAACACAACTGATTTAAGTTTGTATTATTACTGGAGACAAATATATACTAGCATAATGCAAAGTTGCTTTCCAATGGAATTTTAATGTGCCCTGGGCAAAAGCCAAAAGTTTTACAGGAGAAATGGAGAACATTGGTTAGTCTAGCAAGGAAGCCAAGTGGGGATCAATTCAGAGGGTTTCCCTTTCTCTGCCAGTCTCTGTATGCACATATGTAAGGACATAGGTATGCATAGTCCATTTAACTCCAGAAAGAATTTACCTCAGGTTTACAAACATAGAAAGCATAACAAGGTAAAATATATTTTGAAGTAAGTAGATGGGAAAAGTAGGTAATAAGGAAAAATGAAATCTGGAAAGATAACATAAAGACAAGAAACATTATTGTTTACTAGAAGAAAATTATAAATCTGGTTCTAGCTTTTAAACAGGTTAAATCATCATGCTTAAAAATCCTTTAGGCTGATCCCATGTATAAATAATAAACTACACTTTTGAGTTACTTGATGCTAACATTTCTTTATTTTTTTTTTCTTTTAGAAATACATTTTAACTGTATGCCATTTAGTTAAGTATTTATTCAAGGGTCAAAATATGTGTACATATTATGTATATATATATATATACACACACATATATACATAAATACATACTCTATGCTATATACTATGAATGTATAATATATTAAATTAGCTGGTGTTATTTATAATAATGACCTCATAGTTCCCTTCAAAGTTTACATTTTTGTCTTTTTAGGTTGAATTTCAGTGCTTGGTTTCAATTAACAATGGGTATTCTGTAGACTATTTTCCTCTTTAACTTTTAGGAAGCTCAGGGGTGATTGCTGGGGATTTTCTTAGTTTTTTTTTCTGTAATAATTTCGCTTATTCTCAGGCCTTCATATTATTTGGCGCTTCTATTTTTAATTTTTGAAATAATTTTGTTTCATTTTATTTGTGATACAAACACTTCTAATTCTTTTTTAAAATTTCTTGTGTGTGTGTGTGCACATGTGAATTAACTAATTTATAACTCCTTTCCTTAAAATTAATAAAAATATATCTTAAGCAAAATATACTGAATATCCTTTTAAGATTATAGGAGTCAGGACTGTAATGTAGATTTCAGGAACAGAGATTGAAAAGGAATCAGACTATCTGTTGCCCATCAGGTCTGTTTCTCTTTCTTCTTACTGTGACTGTCTTTCTCTGCTTCCTGGACTCCCATGCTACATGCAAATGGTCTACCTCAGGTCCTTAGACCAACAACTTTTGGGACAAACCACCCAAGAGGGCTGGCGTCAGTCCTCAGTTTCTCTCTCTCTTTTTAAAATTACATAAAATAAGAATTTGATTTGAAAATATTTATCAGGCACTTACTCTGTTCCAGAAGACAGTATTCTAGCTTCCTGATTCTGGGGATATACACAACATTGTTTATGGCTGCAGAAGAATAAATACCTTCCTGCATAGCTGTATGTTTAGATTGTCAAAAGATGGGTAGATAGCTGAATATCTCTTCGCATACAAAATTTAGGGTGGTATATGTGTTTCTGTACCTTATACACTTTTCCACATTATATACATGCATATACATTCCTGTTTACACTGACATTCTCTATGAAAGTAGGTCAAGCAAGAATATTGATGAACTAATAAAACCATGTTTTATTTTCAAAATACCTAACACTTACAGAATGCACAATTACAAGATTATTCTTCAAGTTGCATTATTCTGAAAATATGTGTATTAAAACAAATAAAACTGAAATGATTTTAAAGCTGGATTTATGTTTATTAGTGAAAAGTGACTTCAGTTCTTAGCCCAGCGGGGCCCCTGAGACAGCCCAGATGCTGGGTCACCCTTCAGAGGCTGCAGCCCAACAGAGGTCAAGGTGTGCTGGCCTCCTCAGGCACCAGAGCCACAGAGGAGACAATCCAGATGCTTTGGGAAGCAGGAACCTGGAATTCCTTCACGGGAGGTACCAGCAGGTATTTCCTAAAACGGAAGGGCAGGGGAGTACATAAACATAGGTCTGCTCTGGGACAAATCAAGGAGTAACATGAGCCTGTTTAGCTTGGTGTTGGTCTTAACTGAACGGGAAAGATGGTCAACTGTCTCCGTGATACCTTAATGTATTGTTCCAGCTGACAATGTGGTCATTGCATCAATAAAGTAAGTAACTGTGTATAAACACATATTTGATTTCTCATTTCAAGACAAAATATTTAAATATTGACTACTCATTTGATTTAAAACATTGAACATTACAATTTTAGCAAATTAATTTTAAATATTTAATATCTAATGTTAATGAAGGGGGGGCAGCAGGGGAAATAATAGGCCCAAATAGGTGCCCCCCTAGGCAGTACGGTATAATATTAATATAATTGATTTAGTTAGACAATCTCAAGGTCCTATTTAAAAGTGATTTGTAGCCTTCTTTATGAAAATTGTGGTGTTTGGCAAATGTAATCTTTTCCTTTGCAGTTTCTGCCCAAGAATTCCAAGAATTTCACATATGAAATAAAAATTAACACTCACATGAACACTAAGGAATGCGCACATACACACCCAAAGGGAAGAAAGATGTACACATACAATCAGTTTGATTGAATTGGTAACCAATTTGGTGACCAAATGAGATTCATGAGATTCATTATTTACTTTCAGTTTGATATCTAGTGCAGATAATTAAATACATTTTTCACTCAAGCTGGTTAATATCACTAATATAGGCAGTCATTTCATTTAGGCCCCCTAAGTCATACTCCCTTGCTTGTGAGACAGTGAGGCCTTGACTTTCATCATTCATAATACCCTCTGTCACCAAGAAACTCTCTGTCTTTCCTGTCTGGGGTTGTATTATTCCCTGTTATTGGTCATCATGAGTTTGTGGAAGTTAATGCAGCATTTTTGAAAAGAAGAAAAACATATGACAGAATCTCCCCATATTTGATCAGGATGTAATCTAACCTTTGCCAGTAAAACTCCTATATCAGATAGGACAGGTATTTTATTTGGTGGCAATGGCATTTAATTCAGATCATTTGCTTTCCATTAAGCAGTGCATATAAAACTGAGCAATGGAGATTTTTACTTACAGGCTGTGGTGTAATACCTTGGATAATGGACACACTGACAAAAATTAATGAAGTTCAAACTCCTAGGCAAGGAGAGTTTAGAAGGGAAGGTGCCTTTTCAAAGCAAGACCGAGGCTGTCACTCAACACCATCAGCACTAATTGGTGGACTAAATATCTAAGTCAATCAGAATCTAGTCCCTAGGGAAAGCAGAGAAAGAAGCAGGTAAGAATTCAGAAGTTTCTCGAAGTCAAAAAATGGCCCTTGCTCCCTTGCTGGCCGGGTGCGGTAGCTCACGCCTGTAATCCCAGCACTTTGGGAGGCCGAGGTGGGCGGATCACGACGTCAGGAGATCGAGACCATCCTGGCTAATACGGTGAAACCCCGTCTCTACTGAAAATACAAAAAATTAGCCGGGCGTGGTGGCGGGCGCCTGTAGTCCCAGCTACTCGGGAGGCTGAGGCAGGAGAATGGCGTGAACCCGGGAGGCAGAGCTTGCAGTGAGCCGAGATCGCACCACTGCACTCCAGCCAGGGCAACAGAGCGAGACTCTTGTCTCAAAAAACAAAAAATGGCCCTTGCTGTCAAAGTCAACTTGATTCAAGCAGGGAAATAATCCATCTGGTATTATAATTTACTTTAAAATCATGGGAACATTGTCTTTTCTCCTATTACTCCGTAAATAGTAAGTAGGCTTTTAATTCTCCTTTCTACAATCCTGGTAAACAAACATTAAGAGCTTGAGAGGATGCACAGTTTGTTTGCAGTATCTCTCTTTTTTACCCTGTGAGTGAAGCAATATTATTTCTGAAAGCTTTGGAAAAATATTGCAATGAAATTTATTGGTGATGGTTTTTGGGAAAAAGAAACCTTCCAACAGCAGAGCTTTTTATATCTCTAACGCAATGGAAGGCTTTGGTTTGATTTTCCATCACATATTCCATTGTTGTCTATTCATGAATAGCCTTGAATTTCCTCTGCAAGAAGAATGGCACTTTAGATGGATACTTTATGAACTCATAGTGCAGGCAAAATGTCCAGGATGGGGGATAATAGGCAATACCACGCAGATCATGTTGTTTTCACAGTTTGCTGTTGTGTTTCTTAGCAATTAATATTGAACAAGGAATATGGGATATTGTGAAGTGATATATATTCATCAAGAAGATGAGCTGCAGCAAAGTAAATCTGTTTTGCTATGTTATAGTGAGTGATGAAAGATTTAGGCTGAAAGGAACTGTGTATTATTACGAATGAGGAAATGAGGAATGAGAATAGAGGCTAGATGTGTAAGTACTGCTTCAGTTTCCATAAGCTGTAGAAAATAAATTCAGTTTATTCAGAAACTCCTTCAGTCCATCAAGGTAGTAATTCTCAGACTTCTTTATCAGTGTCTCCTGTGCCCTCTTCACCCCACTGTCCCCTATCCAAGGTATACGTGGAGCTGCTTATTCCTACTTGGGTTCCTTTTTTGACCTTCCATTTATTACTGGGAAAAGTAAAGGTCCATTTGAAAGGTAAGAATTGTTCCCAGCTCTTCTATAGGAATGCAGCATCTTCAGTCTCCTCAGCTTCTCCTGTTAATCTCCCACCTTGCTTTCACCTAAAACAGATGAAGAAGGGACCCTTCAGAACTCTTTTGTTTCAGTCTTTGGCACCTCCAGTGCCCGAGAGAAAATTGCAGATTCAGCACCATCTTCCCTCCACCTTCGCTTTAGGATCAGAAGTGAACAAATAATTTCAGGACTGAAGATTAAAGAAGAAACTTGGGAGCCCTTCTGGGTGCAGGTGAAGGCTTAAGGAGATCAGGGCAGAGACAAGATTGCCTGGGAAGAGAAAATATGACTTGGGTAAAGATAACTAGTCTGAGAAGGCCAGGAGGAATTTCTAATCCAGGAGGGGAGGTAGGGAAAGAACTAAAGCCAATGATGGATCTAGTTGTCTCCGCATCATCTTTTGTATTGATGAAGAAATCCCTGTCTCAATGATACAACATACAATAAGAAGATAATCAAGAAAATGACAAATTAGTAATGTTTTCCGGGACCAACACCATAATGCCTTTCAAATGTGCATCATCACTGTCCACTTAGAAAAAGCCCTTCTGAGATCTGCTGGTGAACTTCTCTGCCCTCACCAGGGACCCAGTCTCCTCTCCCCTTCCTGACTGTCTTGAGAACTCTGATTTCCTGCTAACAATAAGGCAGTGTGTGTCAAAGGCCTTAGATTGGACATCATTTTAAAATTCTGTAATTTTTGTGTCTTAAAGAACTTGGGTGTAGTAGTTGCAGAAGAGCTCTCACTTTCCTTCTTCCTGCATGGAAGTAATTCAAATGAAATTCTTATTTCCAGTTTTGATTGTGAGGTCTCTTACTTTCCTCATTATTAACTATATTTACTCCTCCAGAACTAAGGTTTTGGAGGAAAATTAATCATCAGAATGCCCTAATGTTAACATATTTCCATCGAGAAGAAACAAAAAGAAGGGATAGAGAAAGGATGGAAGGAAGGAAGGGAAGAAGGAAGAAAGGAGAGGAGAGGAGGGAGGAAGGAAAATGGAGAACAGGCATAGAAGAGCAGATCCATTGTACTGGCTGCTAAGTATGTTTAAATACCTCATCCTCTTGGAATCTTCATAAGATTCCTAAGCTAGATGTGATTATCCCAGTTTTACAGACAAGGGAACAAAGACTTGGAAAAATTTTAAAAATTTCCCAGGGTCACAGACAGTAAAATCAAAGGAAAGAGGGAGAAGAAGAGAATCATGAAGTGGTAGTTTGTCTGACTGCAATGTCCAAAATTGACCTTTTCCAATAATTTTAGAGGGTGACATGATTATTGAAAGACTATTGTGGAAAGCTATTAGAAGAAGCTGAATGAAATCGAGGGATTCCCCAGTAATCACAAGGCCTGGGAGAAGTTATAGGTGAGAGACTTGTAAGGCTCTAACAGGTAATCAGGATGCAAGGGTAAAACAAGTGACTCCTGCTCCAGCAGGCCCCACAAACAAGCCCCCCTGCACCCTTCACCACACACACACACACACACACACACACACACGCACACAACCAGGTATCAACATGCATGTCAGTTTCAAGGTGTTTAAGAACAGAGACTGTATATCTAATAAGAAAGTGTATGAAGAATATTGACTTCAGGTAGGCTGGCTACATAATTTGCAGGGATGCTTGTCTAAAAATTATTAAGAATTTTGAAACAGTGATAGCAGAGCTTTAAACCAAGTACAGTCTTTCTGAGCATGAGGCCCTGTGTAACTTCACACCCATGAGCTGACCCTGGATGCAGGTGATTTTGATAGATGGCAACTGCTCTCAAGAACTGAGAATGGCTCCACCAGTTCTTTCCTCATCTAGGTGGGAATATACTCAACAATCTGTATTTCTACCTTTATCAACCATTGTCTTAATCCTCTTCCCTACTACACAGAGAGGCAATGCCATGAGATCTGGCCTGAGGCCTCCATCCTTGCTGCTTCATCCAGCCTTTCTGGCTGACTTACCCCTCCCCTCCCTTTCCCTTCCATTCCCTTCCCCTTCCTTCCTTCCTTCTTTCCTTCCTTCCTTCCTTTCTTTCTTTCTTTTCTTTTTCTTTCCCTTTCTTTCCTTTTCTTTCTCTTCTTCTTCTTCTCTCTCCTTTCTTCCTTCCTTCCTTTTTTTCTTCCTTCTTTATTTCCTTTCTTTCTTTCTGAGATGGAGTTTTGGTCTTATTGCCCAGGCTGGAGTGCAGTGATGCAATCTCAGCTCACTGCAATCTCTGCCTCCTCGGTTCAAGCAATTCTCCTGCCTCAGCCTCCCGAGTAGCTGGGATTACAGGCGCCCACCACCACACCCAGCTAATTTTTTGTATTATTAGTAGAGACAGGGTCTCACCATGTAGACCAGGCTGGTCTTGAACTCCTGACCTCAGGTGATCCTCCCCCCTGGGACTCCCAAAGTGCTGGGATTACAGGTGTGAGCCACCGTGCTCAGCTGACTTATCCCATTTTTCCCTATTCTTAGTAGCTTATCTCAAAATCCATTTTCTCTATAAAATTTTCTGGTAAAACTGGCAATTTGATAACTTCCCATCCTATCTCACACTGTTTAATCTGTATCCTTAGTCCCTGATGGTGTTTAATTTAGCAGTTTGTTTAACTTGTTTTATGTCTAATTATTTGAGGTGTGAGAATTCTGTATCCCCCAAATGGATGTGTATTTCTTGGAGGCTGGGATTTTACAAAATACTCAGTACTCTGGGAATGAGGCGAAGGGAGTATAGGCACTGCGAGGCTGGACTTTCTCCCTCACATCTTCAACAGGCTTCCGGGACATGGGGAAATGCCCATGTGTGCAAGTTTCTATGGCAGTGTCCTGACCCGAATGTTGCTAAAATAATTGCTAAGTGGTCTCTTATAGGAGTGGAGCTGATTTCCCCAGAGCTGCCCCTCTCAGTACGGTCCACTGTGAAAACACAGTGAGGGCTAATTGTTTTCTGACAGATTTATAATTCCACTAAATCAATGCCACCATTTAGACCAGATGGAAAGCTGTGGACCAGACTGGCAAAAAGAAATATGGGCTTCCACCTTTCCTTTTCCCTTATTTTAGAGGACAAGTAGCCATGGAGGGAGTCAACAGGTAGGTGGGAACTTGGGTACACTGCTATTGCCACATGTGGGAAGATGGGGGCGTAGTGATCATATCTTGTAGTATGTGTGAATATATGTTTAATGTATTAGGCAACAATACTGTGGTGCACATTTATTTGTATTCTTTTCCAGATACCACACACTGCAGGCATTACAATAGCTATTCAGCTGTACAGCTACTTATAATTATACACAGTTGAAATCTCTCTGAGCCACTCTCTCCCTGCTGCAGCCTATAGGAAGCAAACATATAATACATTTGGTTCTCCCCATGCATTTTGACAACTTTTTAAAAGACATCAGGATAATGTTTGCATGCATTATGTAGCTAGAATAATGAAAACCCCATTACAAGATCTAAAATTCCTAGATTCTCTTAAAGTGACATAAATCAAGCCCGTTTGACATCACCATTTCAAGCACTCATGTTGCAGGCACCAGGCAGAGTATGCAAATGTAAATGGTGCTTTTTAGTGACAGAGAGGGTGAAGCCTCAAACAGAAAGATTTAGAATGAGCTACATTTGATACCCAAAGATATAAAATACTCTTCCTCTCTTGGTGGACACAAGCAAGTGTCTTGGGCTATTTTAACTGCCAGTGATCATAATAGCTTCTTGGTGTCCCATTGATCTGAGTGATTAATATCCTTATCTAATGGAGTGCAGACCGTATGAGATGTTTATAACCTCCACACCTCCTCTCAACACTAATGTGGGCTTGGCTATGTGTAATAGGGCTATAATTCTCCCATGAGCTCCCAGCGCATCCTAACCTGCAAGTGATGCCATGGTGATTTAGTAACACCATCAGTGATCTGGGGCTGAATTATCTTTACATGGGCAGTTGTACATTTGGTTGTTTATAATCTACTTTGTTAAAATTTTAATGATAATGGAAGATCATTCTCCTGCTTTGATGGTACTTTTCATTTGTTTTTAAAAGGTGAAAGTGTCTGTTTAATTCTTTAAGACAACTTTTACTGGTAGCTTTACTGCCTTAAAAGTTCAGATTGTAAAATAAACTATTCTGGAAGTTTATGGTTTCTTAATAGAACACAAAATCTGAAAGCCAAATAACTTGTATAAAAATATTGAGGTATATAGCCTCTGGTGTAATCTATTTGAGATGATCTTGGTCTGAATTTTCTTTCTCTTTTTTTTTTTTTTCCCAGAAACTGGGTCTCACTCAGTTGCCCAGGCTGGAGTATAGTGATGTGATAACAGCTCACTGCAGCAGCCTCCACCACCCCCCAGGCTCAAGTGATCCTCCCACCTCAGCTTCTTGAATAGCTGAGGCACCACTGCCCTGGCTATATTTTTGTATTTTTGTAATTTTTGTATAGATAGGGTTTCACCATGTTGTCCAAGCTGATCTTGAACTCCTGGGCTCATGCGAGCTGCCTGCTTCGGCCTACCAAAGTGCTGAGATTACAGGTATGAGCCACTACATTTGGCCTGAATTTTCTCAATATTTCTGTTATTTTACCAAAAATGTATGAGTGAACATTAATTAAGGGTGTGTGTGTGTGTACATGTGTGTGTATCAAAGAGAGAGAGATTTCCCAGTACCAGGTACTGAGATCTTCTTTATTTCAAAATACATTTTTGTAATATAAAGTGGAAAAATTAAGTAACAAAATACCCCTTCAGCTATTGTTTCTTATTAAAATTAAATATATAAATTACTTTCATTGTTTTAAGAGAAGAGATGCTAAATTTATTTCCACAGTAATTTAGCTAATTCTTTCCTTAATATTTCATTTGTCTTGACATAAGCAAACAAAAACTGAAGCTCTGAGTGTATACATTTGCATATGTGCACACACGCATGTGTATGAGCATGAATTTTATGTATCTGTGTGTCCCTGCATATTTTTACATGCATACTTGTGTATGTTTGTGTGCGTAGGCATTCATGTGGGCCTTTGTGTGTGTGCATGTTTGTGACTATGTATATGTATATAAACAGGGGCAGTTTGTGCAGACCTCATATTAGGTTAATTTTCAACTCAGCATAAATTCACTGAGCATGTATGTATGTCCCTAGCATTTAGTGAGACACACATGATCCAAAAATGAGTATGATCCTGTTTTAGACCTTAAAAATATCAGAGCAGAACAGGAGCGATAACTTTGGATACAAAGAGCAATGCAGCAAAGTAATAAAATGCCTGTTTTACTAATTTATTGTATGAAGAACTTAGCAGATAGGATGGGCTTACACATTCAGAGAAAGGATAGACAATCAATAGAGGAAGATCATGATGATATTTGAGAGAGTATTGAAGCTTAAATAGTATTTTGCCCTTTAGAGAAACCAGGAGAAGGTAAATTAGAACAAAGAGAGCAGAGTGAACAGACAAATGGAGTTGTGACAGCGCATGCTGTGTTGGAGCAATGGTTATTTAAATGTTAGGAGCATAGGGAACATGAAAAGAGAAAGGAAATTAAGATTGCCTGAGTGCCTACTGCAATATAGGGAAACATGGTGGTGGAAAGGTGGGCTTTGTCACTGAATTGTCCACACGTGACTCTCATCTCTTCCATTTACTAGCTGTGTGATTTTGTGCAAATAACCTCTCTGAGCCTTGGTTTCTTTTTGTGATAGTAACTACAGTGAGGATTCATTGAAATGATAAACTTGATACAATGACTGGTATATAGTAAGCATTTAATAAGGAGTATTTAACTACTATCTTGTGCTTGTCCTGGAGATAATATTGATAGCTAGAAGTTATTAAGCTTCCTACATCACAGATATATACATCATGCCATTTAATTTTTACAATAGCTATTTGACATGATTACTATTATTATCCCCACTTAGAGATGAGAACATCTTAGGGAGGTCACAGAGAAGAGTAGGGCCACACCTGGTTTTGCCTGACTCTGGAGGCTGGCCATTATGTCTCCTCTCGGGGAGATCATTGGTAGGAAATAAGCCTAGAATGGAAATTGGTGTTCAAATGGTGAAGCTCTGGAATACTAAGGCAAAGAATCTGGATTTTTTTTTCTCCTCAACAGTAGAAAAGCATAAAATATTTTTCTTAGGGAAATTATACTACCATTCATTCATTACTTCATTAATTTAGCAGTTAGATATTGTACTCAGTAAAACATGCTTGTGATTATTTTATTTTATCTTCGAATGTAAAGCTCTGCTTCCTACTATTGTCTGACATTCTTGGGCCTGACTTGTATTTTCTTAATCTATGAAGTCCAAGCTACTATATGCCACACATTGAGCTAACCACTGGAGTAAAATTGTGAGCAAAAGCAGGCGTGGTTCCTGTCCTCAGAAAATGGACGGTTTAATGTGTATGTAGGGAGAGTGGAGGATAATGTATCTAATAAGTACACAATGGTAAAATCGCCACTGTGACAAATGCTACAAAAGTGAGATCCAACATGGTGTGAGCTCAGATTAGAGGGAAATTCAACCAAGACAAATAGGTCAAAAATGTTTTCCTTGAGCAAATGAGGCTTGAACAGAGAACTGAAAGATAAGTATGGCCTAACTGATCAAAGAATAGAAAGGGAGAGGAATGGCACAGGCAAAAACCCTGTGAGGAGAGAAAGCATGGTGAGTCCAAGGGGCAAAGGGAACTAGAGTATCTGGAGAAAGCAGATCTAAAGCAATGCTGCTCAATAAAAATACTATGAGAACCACACATCAATTTTTTTTTCTAGTAGCCACATTTTAAAAAGTAAACAGAAACAGGTGAATTAATTTTTATTAAGTATTTTATTTAACCCCATATATCCAAAATATTGTCATTGCAACATATACTCAATATAAATATTATTAATTTCATACTTTACCTTCTTTTTCTTATACTGTTTGAAATCCAGTGTGCATGTTAAGCTTTCAACACATGTCCATTCAGATATTACATTTTCATTGGGAATACTTGATCTGTATTTAAATTTCATAACATTCATGATTAAAAAAGTAAATTCATACAGCCAAGTTGTTCCAAACACACTTAAAAGTTTTTCAATAAACTGAATTGAGTATTCATTTTTAAAATTTAAGTTATAATTAATTAAAATTGAATAAAATAAAAAATTCAGTTCCTCAGTCACACCAATCACATTTCAGTTGATCAACAGTCACAGGTAAGACTGGCAGTTACCCCACTGAGCAGTGCAGAGTGGGGGAATGAGACTACTGCCAGATCATTCAGGTCATATAAACCTCATAAAGGATTTTGTCTTTATTCCAAGATCAGTGGGCACCACAGAAGAGTATTAAGCATGGGGTAACATGAAGAGATTTAAAATGTGAAAAGATTACTCACCAGCAGTGTGGAGAATGTTGATAAATAGGAATGCCAATGCTACAATTTAGGCCACAGATCATGATAATTTGGATAAAAGTGTTGATGGAGATAGAAGTTCACGGATTCAATAAATACTTAAGGAATGAAATCTGCAGGAGGAGTTGATGATGGAGTTGAAATAGAGGGAGATATTGAAAGAAGACCAGATTGCAATTGGTTGTTGCATTATCAATTTATCAATGGGTCAAGAATTTAGACAGGACTTCATGGGGATGGCTTGTCACTGTTTCATGGTATCTGGAATATCACCTGAAGAAAATCAAATGGCTGGAAATGGCTTGGATGGCTTCAGATGTGAGTATCTGAAGGCTTCTTCATTCTCATGTTTAAAGGCTGGCATGGAATGACTAAAAAGCTTAGGCCTAGCTGGGGTTGTCTACTGGGATGACTATACACAGCCTCTACATGTAGGTTGGGCTTCCTCATGGCAGCCTTAGCATTGTTGAAGTTCTCTCATGGCAGCTTTCCGTAAGCATTCCAACAAATAAGGTTGACATTATTCTATATCTAGTCTCAGAAATCACAAACCTTCACTTCCACTGTACTATTGGTTGAAACAATCACAAGCTCACACAGATTCGAAGAGAGGGTACAGAAACCCCACCTCTCAATGGAAAGAATTTCAAAGAATTTACAACTATGTTGTAAAGCCATCTCAGTATAATCTGGGACATTCTCACTTGAAGGTACCTCTGAGTCATCTAAGAGGGGTAGTTGGATACTCTGGTCTGAAGATCAGAGATGAAGTTAGGATGGAGACATACATTTATAAATTGTCTGTATCAGTGTGGTAATTAAAGTATAAGTGAGAACTCCTAAGAAGAGAGTCTAGGCTGAGTAGATTGCCTTGAGGAATTTCAAGCAATGGCTTCTCTGTAAAGAAAGAACTCTGCAAGAGGAGCAAAGAAAATGAAGCCAGAATCTCAGGAGAAAGACAGGAGAGCATCAGGCTTGGAGAGGCAGAAGAAACCTGCGGTTCAGGAAGGAAAGAGGTATTTTAAATCTTCTGTGATGTCAAGAAAGGAAAGGCAGGTAAATATGTCTCGTGTTTATTGACAAGGAAGTCTTTGTTTACCTTTTGAAATTATTTTGTTGTTTTAGGAAGAAAAAATATGAATGCAGTGCAAAAGATGAGTGGCTGCAGGAAAGGCCTGAACTTGGGAAGAAACTGGGGATTGATCTATTCAAGCTATAGAGTCAAAATGACACTTTTAATTGGACTGCAGAGAGCACAAATTGATGAACAAAATGCATAATTTCTCTTTTTTATAGAGATGAACATTTTCATCTAGTCATGTGTGTCATCTTAAATACAATATTACCCAAAATAAAGAAAATAAAATTCTATACTGGGTTTCTTTCACGCAATATTATAGACTCGAGAGGTCTAAATATTTGTCTAGATGTAACTAAAATTTTTGTCAGATTTGGAAAAATATCTAGATGCTGTGGGTTCATTCTATATGTAACCACATAAAACTGCTAAAATAGATCAGAATTTTTAGATATGAGAGAGATAGGCTTTCCATATCTAGATTCCATTCGGTCTGAAAATTTTTTATGTAATAAAATACTCTCACAGTTTTAAAATGAAACTCAAAGTTTAATTACTTAAAATACACAAACACACAAACACATATACAAATCTAATATTGTGGGACAAAAATATTTCATCTCAATGAGAAATAAATATACTTACTTCTAATGTATGTATTAGTTTGAAATTTTATATGAATATAGTTATTTATTCAATGGATTTACAATAATTTCATATTCAAATAACAAGAATTTAAAGAAGGTTCTAGAAATATGACTACTTTTAAAATTATAACTACATCTAGACTCTTTTAAAAATTATTTTTATACAAATATGAAATGATTTTTAATGAACTGGAGTTAGGTGTTTTCGGTTTGAATAACCCAGATACATCCTTCAAATTCCTGCTCCCTTTGTGATGATCTGATCCGATCATATTATTTGTTTTTAGGATCAGTACTGAAAGCTGCTGCTGGATCAATACTAGTTCCAAAGAAGGTTACAGTGACTGGATCATGTATCTCATAGTATGCTTGCTTATATTCACATTTCTGCCAAAACCTGGAAGAGAAGCCAAAGAAATAGAAAACGAGAGTTTATTTTTCTGAATAAACTGGCTTCTGGCACAACATAAGCACTAACACCACACCTCCCAGGATTTTCTTAGTGCCAAATCTGCATCTAAGACTTAAAAAGCATAGTTTGGTTTAGTGGAAAAAATATTAATTGTATATTAAACAAAGTAGTCACATATGTTGCTTTGTATAATAAAAATAGATCAACCATTGTATTAACTTTTAACCTATCTCCCTGATATGCAGACTCAGTTTCCTTTACTTTTCAATCCCTGTGAAAAGAGAGCACTTTTGTCTGATTTTATAAGAAGAGATATCCCAGGATAAAGAGCTGGTAAAGTACGCATTAATGAAGCTATATTGAGCGCTACTTCTATTTCCGCTCCCTTTTAGTTAAAAAAAATCTTTCTTTTTGCTGTTTTCTTTGAAAATTTGGCTTCAATGCTCTCATTCTTTCTTTCTTGTAAACTGTTCATTTTATCTCTTCATTGTGCCACCATATTCTTTAAATGTGGCAGTTTACTAGATGTCACTATTGATAATAGATTTATTTATACCTGGTGACTTTTCTACCTGAATAATGCATGTTTTAGAAGATCATTTCATATTAGCATTAATTGTGGAAACAAAAGGCCAACAGGTGGAATCTAATATCGATTTGCTTCAAAATAACAACGATGTTCTTCAATGGTGGCTTGCTATTGGGAGAATTTTATGAGCCCTGTATGCAGTATTTCTGAAACTTGAGTAATGCGTTGGCTTATCTCAAAGAAACAATCTTCTAGACCTATAGTGTTGTTTTATTAGAATGTGACATGCATATATGACATATAAAATTTGGGGCCAGGCGCGGCGGCTCATGCCTGTAATCCCAGCACTTTGGGAAGCCTAGGCAGGAGGATCACTTGAGGTCAGGAGTTCGAGACCAACTTGGCCAACATGGTGAAACCCCAGCTTTACTAAAAGTACAAAAATTAGCTGGGTGTGGAGGCACACACTAGTAATCCCAGCTACTGGGGAAGCCAAGTCATGAGAATCACTTGAATCGGGAGGCAGAGGTTACAGTCAGCCGATATCTCACCACAGCACTCCAGCTGGGGCAATAAGTGAGACTCTATCTAAAAAAAAAAAAAAAAAAGTGATAATAATAAATAAATAAATAAATAAATAAATAAATAATAACAAATAAAATTTGGTATAAATTTACTATGATTATAGTTTCTATACAACAGTGCAATCAAAAACTAATCTATAAATTAAATACAAAATAATAAGTAAACATAAACAACTTCTAATTATAATGAGGTAGTGCTTTGGATCCATTTTTGTCTTTATTACTATCCATTGGCTTTAATCAAGCAAATTCAGAATATGACTGTTGGCATTACAATAGTATCCAAATAGCAATAAATTCAAATTCAGCATAATCTGTCATTCCTCCACAAACAAAATCCTAATGTTGTTTAAATATCTTCATTTCAAGATAAAATTAGCATATATGACATTGAAATTTATATTAAATTGGTATGTAATCCAATTATTTCTGGAATCAGAAACTGGAAAATTGTATCTGAAGTTGACTTCAACTCTTGCGAAGTAGGAAAAAAATTATATTTTCAACAAAGTACATCACTGGACTGTTGAAGGAAATTGCAATTTATTAGAAATGAATCCTCTTATTTTGCATTTAAAATTTCAAATCCTCATGAAGCTATTATTTACCATTAAGCCTTTACTTGACTTGAATATTTCAGTTTTGGATTACGCTACTGTTCTATTCTCTGTAGTTTAAAAGGATGAAGGCAATGTATTGTGTTTGCACACATTGTTATTTCACCATGTAGAATTTAAGCTTTACTTTATTTAAAAAATTCAGAAATTAAATTTTTATATCATGGAACTGTCACATGTGAATTATTCATGTAGTAGATACGTTTCATATTTATTTCTAGTAAAATAATTCAATATAAAAACAATAATTTAGCTCAGACTTGCTACTGGTTCCCAGATATATTGACCCCAAATTAAATATGCTTATAATCACTTGGCATAAACATGACTGTAAGAAATACAGAAGTGTGTATACCAAGTCTTGTGGTAAAACTTTGTTCTAAGATGATGATCTAGATAAATTAGAATAAACGTTTAAAAAAACCCTTTTACTTTCAGAAAAGTATTAGACTTACAGAAAAATTGTGAAGACAATTCAGAGGGTTCTCATACAACCCACATCCAGTTTCCCCTTATTAACATTTACATAAGTGTGGTACATTTGTCACAATTAATGAACCAATACTGATATCATTATTAACTAAAGTCCAAACTTATTTAGATTGTCTTAGTTTTATCTAATGTTGTTTTTCTGTTCTAGGATCCCATCCAAGATACCACATTGCATTTCATTGTCTTGTCTCCCTAGGTTTCTTTTGGCTGTGGCAGTTTTCAAACACTGTCTTTGATGACCTGGACATTTTTGAGGAGTCATGTCGCATGCCCCTCTGTTGGAATTTATCTGATGTTTTTCTCATGATTAAACTGGGATTATAAATTTTGCAGAGGAAGATAAGGTAAAGTGCCATTCTCATCACCTCATAGCAAGGGTGCATGCTATCAGAATGACTTATCACTGTTAATGTTAACATTGGCTATATTGTTGCGGAAATGTTTGGTGTATTTCTCCGTTGTGAAGTTACTTTTCCTCCCATTTTTATACGTTACTTTTTGGAAGGAAGTCACTGTGTGCAGTTCACACTTAAAAAGTGAGGAGTTATGTGCCACCTCCTTGAACATAAATTATTTGGAATTTAGATGTGCTTACTGCTACTTGGGTGACGTGGCATCTAGACCCCCTCAGTTCACAGAGCAAGGACACATATATGTGTATATGAATTCATACATATACATATTTAGAAGCATCTCAATATCTAGAGGATAGAAAAGGCACGAAATGAATTTTCCCCTAGATTATCCAGAAAGAAGACAGTTCTGCTGACTCCTTCATTTTTGTCCATAAGTCATTTCAAACTTCTGATCTACAGAATTGTAAAATAATAAATTTGTGTTGAGTTATGCCACTAAGTTTGTGATAATTGATCACAACAGCAATAGGAAATGAATACAGATAAAGACAAATGAGACTGAACATGTTTTTGTACACTTATTCATCACTGTTACACCTTCCTTGGTGAGAGGTCTGCATCTTTGGGACATTATTAAATTGGGTTGCTTGGTTTCTTGTTGCTGAGTTTTAAGAGTTATTTGTATTTGTTTTAATACAAAACCTTTATGAACTATTTATTTTTAAATAGTTTCTTATGGTCTGTAACATCTATTTATTCTCTTAATATTGTCTTTTGGAGAGTAATTTTAATAAAGTCTAACTTATCAATTTATCTTTCATGAATTATGTTTTTGACCTTGTATCTAAAACTCATAAACAAATTCAAAATCATGTAGATTTTACCCTATGTTTTCTTCTAGAAAGTTTAGAGTTTAGTATTTTACATTTAGGTCTGCGACTCATATTGAGTTAACTTCTGTGAAAGGTTTGTGTCTAGGTTCATCTTTTTGCATATTGATGGACTCCCTCCCTGACCAAACTTTAGTCAGGCTCCTCTGATCTTCTCAACTAGTCCTCGAACATCCTCAGATCATGGTTTTTAATACTATTCTCCAGTAAGGACAGTTTTATTTCTTTCCAATTTGCATGGTTTTTATTTCATTTCCTGTTAATATTGCATGAACTAGGACTTCCAGTATGATTTTGAATAGGAGTGGTTCCTTGTTGCTGATCCCAGGGGTAAAGTGTCCAGTTCCTCACCACTAAGTATGTTGTTAATTGTGTGATTTTTTTTGCAAATTTTTTAGATCAATTGAGCAAGGTTCCCTCTGTTTTTAGTTTGCTGGCATTTTTTTTTTTTTGGTCATGAATTGGTATTAGGTTTTGTCAACTGCATTTTATGCATCAATTGATATGAGCATATGATTTTTCTTTTTTAGCTAGTTGATATGTAAGTTACATTGATTTTTGAATATTGAACCAACCTTGCATACTTAGAATAAATTCCACTTGGTCATGGTGTATAATTCTTTTTATATGCTATTGGATTTAATTTGTAGTATCTTGTGGGAAATATTTACATCTTTGTTCATAAGATATATTGGTCTATAGCTTTTCTTTATTGTAATGTCTTCATCTGGATTTGCTATTGGAGTAATGCTGATCTGATAGAATGAATTGTAAGTTAGGATGCTCTAACTTACAGAGTTACTTACTCAGACCAGAATTACTTTCTCTAATGAGTTGTAAGTTAGGATACTCTAGCAGTCTCTCTCTAATGTTTGGAGGAGATTGTGGAGAAATGGCATTTCTTCTTTTTTAAATGTTTGGTAGAATTCAACAAGAACATTGTGTTGTAAATGGGAGATTAAGTTACTCTTATAGGGTCTTTAAGAATCATTCCAACATGGTCATGAATATTACACTCAGATGTATATGAAAGTGAAATATTTATTATACTCATAGGTCTTAGAGACCAGAGTACTCCTAGGTTTTAGAGACCAGAGTCATGGCATACCATACAGGGAGCCATATGAGAGGAGCTCCCAAAGTGGACTTAACCAGCAGGTAGGGAGAAATGGGGGTAGAGTGGGGTGGGAGGGAGAATGAATGAAGATCAACCTGTGGGTAAGTGTCCTTACTTACAGGGGGATTTCACAAGCAAAGGACATGAGGGAATTTTATTGGTGTGTTGAATGTCATTAGGTCATAGTCAGAGGTGGGCAGGAAGTTTTAACCTGTGGTAGTGACCAACTTTGTGGCACTGATATACCTAGTCACCTGAGTGGAATGTTTATAGCCTGTTTGTGGGGATGTTGAGGCTTTAGAAAAGTGTGAAGTTTGAAAGATTTATGGTGCAGAGACCATCTAGACTTGGTGCTTTTTTGGGGGAATATTAGTAATTATTGATATAATTTTTTCATATATATAGGCTGTATTATCCATTTCTCCTTGTGTGAGTTTTTGGTACTTTGTATCTTTCAATGAATTGGTCCATTTCCTCTAAATTAGTGAATTTATGGGCATAGGCTTGTTCACAGTATTTGTCTCTTATGCTTGTAATGTCCATGAGATCTGTAGTGATGAAACCTCTTTTAATTCTAATATTGATAATTTGTGTCTTCTGTCTTTTTGACTTGGTTAGCCCAGCTAATTTCTATTTTGACAGTTGTTAAATTAAAAATTCAATTTTCTTAATAGTTATATGGCTATTTCAGCTATATGTTTCCCTTTGTATAAATTGTGGTAGGCTTAATTTTTTAAGGAATTGTTTCCTTGCCTCTGAGTTGTCAAATTTACATTTGTGGAGCTGTTTGCAGTATTTGCTTATTATTATTATCATCATTATTATTTATGTCTTCAGGGTCTGAGTGAATATTCTCCTGTTTTATTCCTGATATCAGTAATATGTGTCATCTAATTTTTTCTTTGTTAGTCTTGTTAGAGTTCATCACTTTTCTTGAATATTTCAAAGAATCTGCTTCTGTTTTTGTTGTTTTATCTAGTTTTCCTGTTTTCAATTTCATTAATTTCTTCTCTAATTTTTATTGTTTACTTTCTTCTGCTTGTTTGGTTTTTTTATTTTTTCTTTAGTTGCCTATAATAGAATCTAGGTTATTGATTTTATATCTTTCCCTTTTTAGTGTATAGATTTAGTGTTGTAAATTTCTCACTAAACACTGCTTTACTGTACACACAAATTTCTGATAAGTTGTATTTTCATTTTTCATTTAATTTAAAATATTTAAAGGTTAGAATAGACACTCTTCAAAACATTAAAATTGCAATGCAGAAACAAACATTTTGTATAGAGATACTTTTGGATTTCTGTGAGTACCCAAGGGTTTACAGTCTCCATTTTGGGCTGTCCTAGAGTAACCAGTAATGATACTTTCTCATGCTACCTACTACAATCTGTTTTGCTGACAAGTTGAAAGTTGGACAAATATGTTCAGAAGGACATACCACTGTGATTTCAGTAAGACCAGAGAATTTAAACTGTGTTCCAATGCTTAATGGCAGAAAAATTTCTCCTTCTAAAGGAAACCTTTGGTTAAAATGGTCAAAGAGGTGAAATTAACCACTTTGTGCCAAACAGCTTCAAAAGGAAATACACTCCATGAGAAATCATGATAGAATCAGATTTGCTAAGTCCCCTAATCATCCGAGAAGTTTTACTTATTCATCTTTTGTACTTCCTCCATGCCCTAGTAAGAATTTATAAACTACGCATTGCATCACAAAAGGACATATATTTATCTAGCACTTAACATATACCTAATCCTGTGCAAGATAAATACCATGTATTTATCTAGCACTTACCATATACCTAATCCTAATGCGTCTGAGAGACGCATACATGAAATAACGACACCTTCGTTAGAAACTACAGTCTTGTTGGGTGAACAAGACTATCACCAACAAAATAACTAGTGAGCAATATAAGTCAATATGTAATTAAGCCCTGAGTAGGTAAGTGATGACTGTAAATACCATCAAAATTTCATGTGAAACTGTTCACAATGTCTCTTTTACTTAAGGGGAGTTTAGAAATAGAGTCTGTTTAATAGACTAGTCAAGAGCATCTCATTAGTTGCTTTTATTGGAAGGGACAGAAAACGAGTGGAAACTAAAATACCCATGTAATTAATAAACACAGAAATAGCTCAGGTCACTGACCCTGCAAATTATTTTTAATGCAAAGACATATCAATTCCTTTGATTTTGTCTCCTTGGATGAGGCCTGGAATGTGATCTCCACTGGAGTGGAAAATAATAATTTTTGACTGAATTCCAGAAAGGAATGCCTCCCTGCCTTGTTCTGTGCCTGTGCCTGTGTGTGTTTGTGTGTGTGTGTGTGCAAGCGCGACACACCTGCATGCACAAGGGGGCAGTAAGATCCATTGCTTCATGTTCAAATCAAATGCTTGACTACCTATTGCATTAAAATGGAGAAGGGTATCTTTCACCAAACACCACTCAATTCTGTTTCTTCACATCACAAGCCTAATGAGCTAACACCTGGTGTTTCCCTGAGGCAGGAAGAAGGCTGAGGAAGATGGGTGAAACTCAGAATGGGTACCCTTTGTTAAAACCCATAATGGCACTGATTGAATATCTGGGGCAAGCATGTAATGACCTGCATGGTAACTCCTGCAGATGGTTTTCCACTCGGGGACACTATTGCAACCGTCCCTTATTATGTCTCTTACGTTTTTCAAACTGAAGTCGTTTATATACCACTTTTATGACATTTGCCACATCTATGTACCACTCATATAATTACTTAATGTATCCTTTTATTTATGTCATAAAACATTGAATACATTTATTAGTAGTAGTAGCAGTAGTGAGGGGCATTTTATGTTACTTCTACAGATGTAAAAACCTATATTGTATGGCCTTCATAGAAGAAACTCATTTTAAAAGGTTTTTCCCCCGAATTTTTGAGTAAAAATAACCAAAGTATTCAAAAACACCCAGAATCAGCTTATGTTCCATTAAAAACACACATGACACACTTTGGGAACTATGGACATACAGGTAAGGTCTTCATTGTCAAAGTACACAAAGCCTTCATGATCTGGCCCCGGTTTCTCTTCAGCTTCATCTCTTTCTGAGCCATGTTTTACACCCCATTGTTTAGCTTGCTTGCATAATAATAATAATTCATATTTCCCTCAAATCCACTCTATTTTAGACACCTAGTTCACAGCAATTCCTAGGTGACAGAAAACATTTCACTCCTTGGTTTACCTAAAAATAATCTGCATCTCTTTTAGACATTAGCTGGAGCATCATCTTTTCCCTGAAGCTTTTACTGACACCCTAAAGTAAAATTCTTTTTTGTGTGTGTACCCTATAACATTTAAATAAGCTTCTTTGTTTTGAGGTCTCTTTTCATCTACTAGATTACAAATGCTTTCTGATATCTTGAATAAACCAAAGTAGAATGGTTGGTTGACTCCATGGAGTAATCTCTTTGGTAGCTCCACAATTAGTGTTTCTGCAAACTTGCTCAGCCTGAAATTCTGCAAAAGCAGATACAGTTCTTTGCTTTAAGAAACTGTGTTTGCTCTTAAAGTTCAATTGCACCTGAGATTGAAATTAGTCAAGTATGCTAAGGTGTTTGCAGATCCGTGCAAAGGTTTTTTGCAACCTTTCCTGAAAGTAAGTTTTGAGAGACGAAGATTGAGAAAGACGTGGAAATGTGAGCGCTGAGGGGAGGATAGCATGAAAGAGACATAACAAATTGTAGAAAAAGATTGTCCATTCTGAGAGTTGCTGTGTAGGCCACTATACTGATGGTTTCAACCAGAGTACACTACAGCAATACAGAGAAGCCTAGGTCCTGGGTAAATTGTTATTCTCTCTGTATGAGAGAAAAGATTTATTTTCTCATCCAACTCTAGGATTATGGCTGAGATCCCTATAACAAAAGACAGAATAGCAAGAGGAAAGCATATAAATATATTTAACATAAGTTTTATGTGACATAGGAGGCTTCATAAGAAAATGAAGTCCAGAAGAAACGAGGAAGTTGTGTTTTTTTATACTAAATTTGCTGAAGAAGTGGATGGTTGTGGAGAAGTGTGATTGGAAATAAGGAGTATTATCTAATGGTAATAAACTGGGGAGAACTTAGCAAGGCTTGTTTGTTTAAATTCTTATCTGTGCCCTGTGTCTTCTGAGATAAAGGTAGAGGGAGTGCACTCTCAAATGAGAATCTTATGACCTGCTTCAGTGGAAAGTCAGAAAATTCTACTATGGCCTGCTTCAGGGGAAAAGGGTAGAAGAAGATCGCAGAGACCTTCCTGCTTCTGCTGTTTTCTCAAATCCAAGGAGCCACATTTTGAGGTAGTGTGTGTTGATAGTTCACATCACCTCCACGCCCACCTTGGGCTTAATCCCAGCTCTAGAGTACAAATGGCTGTGGGGATGGAGAAAATTCCATGAAAAAAACACACTGGGCTAGTAGGAAATGAACAATAGCGTAAGAAGTGAGACATATCCTAAGAAAACTCAGTTCTTGATCTTTTGATAAATAGAAGAAACAGTATTCTCTGAAATTGACCTAATAGGCAAAGATGCGATGCCATAGGATGTCAAAGATGGTGATTGTTTTTAGACATGCACAGTCACAAGCTCCTATGTAGGAGGAAGAGAATAGAAAAAAAGGAAAATATATTATATTGGAAAAATCTAAAACTAATTTTACAGTGCCATAGCTGAAGATTGCTACAGATCCATGGAATTGAAATAATATTACAGCAAATAGCCTGTGCACTCTTCAGCATGATTTTCTCAGATCTCTGGCAGAAGGAAGTAATTCTGGTACTCAGTTGAGAGTTGGAAGGTGGAATGCTTCCAATTTAAAACAAACTCTCAGATCTGTTTGCCACATGTTTTTTTAATAGTCATTTAATTTTGGTGAAACAGCTTTGTGGAACTATGGAGGTGTCTCCTTTCTGTCTCTTAGCTTGCCTCTTTGAGACCATTAATTTTCGCAGATAAAATAAGATCCTGGTATGTCATAGAACATATTTAAAACATCTGAATTGTTTTTACAATGAAAAGAAATAAAGCCAAACTTCCTGAGGCAAAACTTCTCCCCTAATTTAAGGTGATTGCGACTCTTTTATTTCTTTAGATAAATTTATTCTCTTTATATAAAACATAAGGCATTGCTTCCTTCTGTAGTCTTAAGAAGGTGGTGAGATACCTGATAGACATATGAGAAAGGATTTTCTTTTAATTTGAAGACTATGTAAGCCTGTGACAGTTATTCCCAGTTGTTATAGAGATTATATTTCTCTTCAATTTCAAGAATTCTGAACAAAGTGATAAGAATTGTAGAATTTATAACTTTCTGTGGACATATCTATTTCAGTGATCTGAAACTAGAAATGCACTACATTTTAGAAACAAGTATCTAAATTAGTGAAAAGTCCATCACTGCAGGGGAGCTGGCTGTCATAATTATATCTTATTTGGGTCTTTCACTTGGGGGATCCTATTCGTTATCTTTGGAATGTCACATAAATGATTCTCTGAGGATACTAGCTAATAAAAATACCACCTAGCTGTGTTCTGTTATTTCTGCCCCTTCCTTCCCTACCAATTCAGGTGTCTAGTTACAAACAGCAACTAAATTCAAGTGTGTTTCTTCCCTTTCAGCAGCTTGTACATCTAATTTTACCTGTTGGCAATCTCAACCTAAACAATGGAAAGATAACATATTTTTAAGAACAACTGTATTATTTTTTATATTGTAGACTGAATACACCAAGTTCCATTTCTACTACTGTAGTTTATACCATGATGTTTAACATGGAAATCATGAAGTTATTCAGAAAATTTGATGCCTGCCTCAACTATAAGTTTCAGATAAGCATATTTTGAAAACATTCAGGCATTATCTTAGACCTATACTTTGCTTGGACAATATTTTACAGTATTCAACTTCTTTTTATTGACAAATCCCTTGTAATTTATTATTATTACACAGCAAGAGCCCACATACTGCTATAAAACACAGTAAGTAGCGCTTATTTAAAAATAATTTATGTTATGAAAATTGTATCTTTAAATTCCATCCTTTCAAGATATGTGAACTCTGAACTCCTATGTTTCTGAAGAGCTCAATACTGTGACAGATTGTGTGTGTGTGTGTGTGTGTGTGTGTGTGTGTGTGTGTGTGTGTGTGTGTGCGCGCGCATTTGCTGTGGGGAGACAATGGACAGTTTGGAATGAATTCTCATGCACACATGGCCTGATGGAAGCATTAAATTCCTAGACATCCCAAAGTACCTTCCTTCTTTGTGTTCAGACTCTGCAAGATTTCCATATTTTTTTCAGAAGAGAAATGATTTTTTTTCAATTTCCAAAATCCTGGTGGTACTTTAGCATGTGAACCAGGAGAATGACATAAAGGCAGCAGCCCTTCATCATGTCTTGTGCTTTATTGTGTGCTATGTGGCATGAATATAATCTTTTTTTTTGTACTAAATTATAAGCATGTTTCCTATATAGGGAAATATGCAGGCAAGAAGACATTTGAAATAGCTGAAGTAAAGAAATACAGGCTGGGCTCAGTGGCTCATTCCTGTAATCCCAGCACTTTGGGAGACTGAGGCGGGTGGATCACCTGAGGTTGGGAGTTCGAGACCAGCCTTAGCAACATGGAGAAATCCCATCTCTACTAAAAATACAAAATTAGCCGGGTGTAGTGGAACATGCCTATAATCCCAGCTACTCAGGAGGCTGAGGCAGGAGAATCACTTGAACTCAGGAGGTGAAGGTTGCAGTGAGCCGAGATCGCACCATTCACCATTGCACTCTAGCCTGAGGCAGGAGAATCACTTGAACTCAGGAAGTGAAGGTTGCAGTGAGCCGAGATCGCACCATTCACCACTGCACTCTAGCCTGGGCAACAAGAGCGAAACTCCATCTCAAAAAAAAGATAAAAAAAAAAAAGAAAAAAATATAAACGTGACACAATGAATCTAGCATAGATGTGGAGCTGTGGCACACAGGAGGAGCCTCAAGATGTGCAAGGAGTCCCCAGGAGCCACACAGCAAGGTGAAAAGCTTCCAGGAGGTTTTCATTTCAGCAGCACTGCCAGAAAACATCTACCATCCCAGGCTTTTTTTGTGAAATTATAACTTCAAATTCCAAGCACCTGGGAAATTCCCAGGGGTTGAGCTGGAACAGCTGTGGCCCAGAACTCCTCTTGCAGTTCTCCAGGAAGAATACTCTGTCCTGAGAATCTGAACTCTGGAATAATCCAGCTCTTCACCATCCCCACATCTGTCCCCACATAGTCAAGCATGACAGCAAAATAAAATCCACAAAAAGGGGACATGGATGCCACTTTGAATCTGTGGTCACTCATCCTTAAGGGGCTTTTAACACTGCATAGAAATTCTAATGAGATTTTTTGTTAGCTTGCTTCCCCACTCCCTGAAATGGCAATTTAAAATATTTTCTACTCAATTCACATCTGCAATTTTCTCTCTTCTCATTCTCAGCAGATGTCCTACCTCAAAGAAAATTAAAAGAGAAACCATGAAAACAAACCAACTTAACTTCCTGACATCATAGCTACAAATCTATTTGCTTGCTGCTTCCCTTGTCTTCTTCTCTGCTGGTACAAAGTGATGGGTGTCCTTTTTCCCAAGTTACTTCTTGTCTGGATATACTCACCAGTCTCCAGGAAGCAAAGCTGGGGCCCTGCCCCACTGTGGTCTCTTCCCTGGATTACAGAAGAGGCCCTGTCAATGGCACCTTGGCTCTTGGCCCACCTTCTGTCTTGGCCCTCTGCTACACTTTCCAACTTACAAGCAGAGTGCACGTGTCAAGCCTAAATGGGGTTATATAATTGCCCTCTGCTAAACCTTCTGGTATGGGCTGAATTGTGCATCCCTGAAAAATTTATATATTGAATCCGTAGCCCCCAGTACCTTAGAATATGACTATGTTTAGAGATAGGCTCTTTAAAGAGCTAACTTAGTTAAAATAAGGTCACTGGGATGGGTGGCTCCTAATCCAATATTACTAGTATCCTTATAAGAAGAGATTATGACACAGCTGCATACAGAAGGAAGACCATGTGAAGACACAGGGAAAAAGACAGCCATCTACAGGCCGAGGAGAGAGCCCTCAGAAGAAACCAACCTTGCTGGCATCGCAATCTTGGGCTTCTAACTTCCAGAATTGTGATAAAATAAATTCCAGAATTGTGAGAAAACATTCTTGCTGACATCATGATCTTGGGCTTCTAAATTCCAGAATTGTGAGAAAATGAATTGGTTCAGCCACTCAGTCTGTGGTACTTCGTCAAGGCAGCCCTAGCAAAACTCTTCCACCTTCTAATGACTTTTAGTCATCTCTGGAATAAAACCCACAGGCTCTAAGAAGTTTCTAAGGCCTAGGATGATCTGACTGACTCTTGCCTCTGGTGCCTCAGCCTTAGACACTTCCTGCCTCTCTCTACTCCAGCCACACTAGCCTCGGTGCAGTTCCACATACATCATCCTCCTTCGTCTGGAGCCTCTGGATGTCCTGTTTCTTTGGCTTGGAATCCTCCTACCTGCTCATGCTACTTACTCACCTCGTCAGTAGCACCACCCTTCAAGTCTCAGCTTAAACATCGCTCCTTAGAGAAGCCATCCTTGTTCCCTTAGACTAGGGAACAAGGGAATCTGTGGTAATTCTGTGGTAATCTTCCACAGAATTTTGTACTGGTAATTTACAGCCCTTATGATCCTCCAGTCACTTGGTCAACATATCTCTTCTATGCAAGATTGTATCCTCCAGGTCTCAGGAACCATTTCTGCTGTATCTGTGGTATATTTGGTGTGGTATATATGTATTTGAATGAAGCCTCAGAATGAACAGGCTAACAGTTGCCAGGATCATGACCATTCTGGCAGGAAAATGGACAGAACTGCTTTGGACACGGTAGTAGTAAGATTTCCCCTGATTATCAAAATCCAATTAGGTAGATTTTGTAGCTGAAGTAATGAAGTGATTACCTCTAGAATAATTTGTTAGTAATTCAATTCAGTTTATGAGGCAAAGGTTATATTTTTATTTTTTCAGTCAACTTTAGCAAATGTTCAGAATTTTTGGACCAGATGTATAGTAGGTCTAATTCATTTTGGGATACATATGAAACAATTATATGAAGGATTGATTTTATATTATCACCTGGAATTTCTGACCTTTACAGAAACTGCCAAAGTGTGTTGGAGTTTGAGCCCCATCACAAGACATTTAGCAATGCATATGTTGTTGTGACTGGAAATTGGGTTTGCTGTTGCCCTTCATCTCTGCTTCATAACAGTGGGTGGAAGCCCTTTAAAAGAAGCATTCTGAATTTTAAAGCTCTTTTCTTGTGCTGTCCGATAGGAGATGCCAATATTATGAGGCACTAGCATGCAAGTGTGGAGGGTCCACTTTTTGTAGGGTAGCCCATGGCTGCTAGGAGAGGTATTTTGTAGCATGTGTGGACTTGGTTTTTGTGGCGTGAAGAGAATGGGTATAACACTGATAACTTGCCAAGAGAAGCCTATTTTATGGTGCTTTTGTGATAAGTACAATGGTGCCATCTATTTGTGACTGATATTTTTTAATGGAGTTGACTGTTCCTGAGTGGTCCGAGGACAAAAAGAATAATGTAGCTGGGCATCATTTGCACATTTATTTACATGTCAGGGCTTTTGTTCAAATTGTGACTGAAGTCTATTTGTAGAGTCAGGCATAACAAAGTAAACCTCATTGAGATTCACTTCAGGACATATCCAAACAAACAACATCTTCATTCTGAGCCCATCCAAATGTCTGTAATTTGGTAAATTACTCATTCTATTTGAATGCATTAGTCATCATTTATGAATGCCAGTGAAATTGAATGGACTTCCCTCAAAGCTCTATAGAACTTTTCCATCGTGCTGCAAATGCCTGTTTTTAATTTTTTTCAAGACATATTTTTTGTTACATTTTAAATTTCTGGCTCATATGCCAAATAAGCATCCAAAAAAATAAAGAATCATGTCGAAATAGCTAAATGGGTCTTTGTAAAATGACTTTTTTTCTTTAGATTTAAGTAGATTAAGGTCACATCACAGTATGTGAAAATGCATAAACCTTTGTAATCTTCAGGTTTAATCTTTACTATGAAGTACTTTGGGAATGTTAGTAATCTTCAACATAAACAGCTGTCAGAGGGAATCAAATAGGAAGTGTTTTAAGGAAGACAATGCCTCAAGTGCTAACCCCCTTGAAATTTTTTTTTTTTTTTTTGGAGTGATGAAAGCTTTTTCTTGAGTATATTGGTTAATAGCCAAGAAAGATGGGGAACCTTGAACAGAAAGACCATACAGAAATTTTCTGATGCTTTGACATTTTACGTTTTCTTTAAAATCAAATGGCTCTAGTAACACAGCAAAAAGGGGAATATGACATTTTGACATTCATCAGGTATCTGTGGTACTTTTAAGTTATATCGATTAAACTTTCCTATCCCAACAATTTTTTTATCTGCTTATGGAAGCTATCAGTCTTTATAATGTATTGCAAATGCGTGATGAAGACTGAAGATAAAGAAAAGCTGACCCTTGAACTTCTGAGTGTATTTATGTAATTTCCTAAATTTTGAGTAATCTTGGCAAAAGAGATGTCCTGAGTTCTTTTTTACATTTATTTAAGGCAATGGTATCTATAAACTATTATTGCTCAAATGTCTAGGATTCTTTTAAATGTAAAAAGGAGTGGTTCTTCTTAGGAAAGGATGATTTTAACTATCTTTGAAAATTTCATAAATCAAGAGCAGATTTGTAAAATAAAGTGTTAACAAGTGGTTACAGGTTTAGTTTTCCAAAGATAAACTTTTGTCCTTCTTATTTTGTGTCCCAGAACCTTCCCTATTCTCTCCATTGTCAATGCTGGTTTTTCTAAGAGGAAAAAGCTGACTATTCGTTTAGAATCTCTGTGCAAGATTTCTTGTTAGATTGATCCATTATATTTCAGCTGTGTACATGCTGCCCACCTTCTCCATGCATTCCTTGTATTTTAAATCCTACAGGGCTTTCTTTCAATACAGGAGATATGTCTCCCTTTTAGTTATTTAGACTTGAGGATGATTTGATTCATGAGGATGTATATACTTTGTGTTTTTAAGTGTGTGTGTGCAGCAAATATTTATCAGTGTGCCGTATTTCATCTTGAAATTGAAAGACTAGATCATTCTTGGAAGGGATATTAAGCTTCCTTATGCAAGCATTTTTGCACGCTAATGCTTCAAGGCCCAGAAAGAAAAGGGAATGAATAAAGTGGTTGTGGGCAAGTGGCTAGAGAGCACTTGCCTTGGCTTAGGGCACCAGTATCTATTCAGCTGCAGTCAACTGCAGCCACGCAAGAACAGTCCCAGTGTTGTTCAACTATCCAGGTTTACAAGAGTAGTCAGAAACTTGGATTTTCATTTGAAATTTCAAAATATTTAAATGCTAGTAATTAATTTTAATTAAACACTGTGTGAGCTAAACAAAATAAGTTTATGGGTGCTCAGTGTGCCAGTTCTGTAAAACAGAAGTTATAGCTAAAAAAGAAAATGCCATACCATAGTTTACTTACCAACTTTACTTAATAGCTATGTAAAATGTTTAGAAAAGAAACATAAATGTAATATGCATACTTAGATAACATGTTTGTTAGAAATATCTTGGGTAAGGGAAGAAATTTTCTTTCCATCTACCCATGCCATTGATGAGTCTCTGGTTCAGAAAACTGATTCCATTCAATACCACCTACTTCCCCATCCCAGCTCCCATTAATACAAGTATAGGGACTTAACATTTCCTCAATGCCCACCTCCTTGCTTGCTGTTCAGGGAAATACACATTTTGGTTTATGGATGTCCTGGGGTGCTGTAAGAGTCAAGGAAGTTATTGAAGGACATTTTTAGATAATAGACAGCATCAATCATGCTGGGCACATACTGAGGAAAGTGATGACAAAGAAGGGACCTATCTGCCCAACAAGAGCAGGACCTTGGAAAGAATGGTTCTCTGTCTCTTTGGCCTTAATGTACAAGGAAAAAATGAGAGCTGGAAAGTTTACACATGGCCCTCAGATTTTAGGCAGTGCCAGAGCATCAATGAGCATGAGGCTGAGTGATCTTCACCGGGAGCAGTCTATTGCTGCAGACTCAGCTCCCATAATGAAAGGTTGAGAGTAAGACCCTTTGCAGAAATATTCCTCATATCTATGTTATCTCCCTTCAGACGTCTTCACACCACTTCTCAACATCTCTGCTCTCACTATATTCCTTTCTGGTGGAAAGAGCCTTCATTCTCTCACTTTGGATGTTCCTTCTCTGAATTTGTCCCTGCCCTAAGTCATCCTCTCCATGTTCCTAAGTCCAAAGGATTTTGGAAATCATCTACATAAGAGTCCCCTCTTCTCAAATTTACACTCTGTCACATTCATCTCTGAGGCAACAAACACATTGAATGAGCTTGAATGGAGAAGAGAAAAAAAATCTAAACATCAAAATAAAAAAGTTGTTAACATCTCAAAAACTGTTATCCTACTGCACAAAGATGTTTAATGCAATTTTAATTTTTATTTGTATTAATTTACAAATTTGGAATCACAGTCTTTTTTGGCCTACAAACAAAATCAGACATTCAAAATCAAAACTGCACACTCAATATAAAATTTCTACTTGAGTGGATACATTTTTCCATACTTCTTCCTTTTAGCCCCTTTAGAAGGAATGTGAAGGTAGCAGCCAGTCTTTGGTTGTGTGCCATTGCTTATGCACCTAAGGATAAATACACCTGAGAATACATGGGATGCAGATTATTTTCTAACTTTAAGCATCATCTACTATTAAGAGTATCATAAAGTATCAAGGGCTCTTCAGCCAATGATTAATAAAGTCAGCGTGATTTGAATACTGTACCAGGACTGACCGTCATACATAAAAGACGCTACATTTTTTTTTCCATAAGAGGACACATTTAGACCAATTACTTGTCTGGCAAATGACTAGAAATATATCTCCTTAAATGACAAAGAATATAGAGAAATGTGGGTCTATTTACCTCTACTGTTTGTAAATTCTTGTCAGTGTAAAAAAAAAAAAACAGAAAAGAAATTCAATAAAATTCTCACCTCAGTCACCGTATCATCAAAGTCATTGCAAACATTTTTTCGCCTGCCAGAAAAATCCTCTCAGGTGTTGTTGCCTGAAGTACAAAGAGCTTTAAAAAATGAATAAAGGAGACTTAAAGAAAGTGTCTGCTGATGCCTTCAGGAACATTTTGGCAGGACTACGGGGAAACAAAGAACTTTGTTTTCAATGCTCATATCTTTGGTTATTCTTACCTCTTTTAGACCCCTTGTTAATATCTGAAACCATCATGATCCCTTTACCTTCCATATTTCTCATCTTAAAATATCACTTGCTTCAAATGACATTATTTGTATATTTCACAGATACCAAGAATTTTCACATGCTATGTTGCATGGCATTATCATAATTACCTACTCATTTACTCAAATTAGTGAGCATCTGTTTACTATGGCAGATATTATATGCTAGGTTTTTTGATATAAGAGAGCTGACAGTAGAGGTAGGGGAACAGAATGTGCAAATATGGTTATGATATGTTGTCATATGTACTGAAATAGATGTAAGTAGGTTGCTTTGACAGATCATAAGAAGGGATTATATACAGCTCCCAAAAAGAGATGATCTTTATACTCAGCCTTCAAGAGTAGATGGAGGCTATAGGTAAAAACTGGATATAAAATTCAGAAGAGGAGGTCCCTAGAAACCAAGAGGCAAAATAATTTCAGGTAGGAGAGAAGGAGTGTAATCGCTGGTGTCAAATTTAGTGCAGGGATTGAAAAACAGAAGAATTAAAAAGAATGATTGAGATTTAGCATCCTGGTTGATATTGGTGACCTTGTGGCAGTTCTTTCAATATGTAGTAGGGTTAGTAGACAGACTTTAGGATTTTGAGAATTAATTGGATTGTAAGGGGCCCAATGGCTTAATCTGGTTATGCAGGTGGTTTCTTGTGTGAGAACCCTCAGCCAAATAGGTGAATGTGAGCTAAACACAGCTACTTGCTCCATTCAGTGAGTCATGCCCTGGCACAGAGTCACATCCAGAGAAATGGGCAATTTTTCTTAGGTTTTACAAAGCTGTTGATGAGTTAACAGAAACCTGATGGCAGGTACTGTTTTCCATAATATGAACTGTGAAGAGAAGGAGGGTAATATCAGAGAGGTATAAGGTTTAATTTTTAAAAGGTCAGCTAAACTTGAATATATTTAAAGGCTACAGGCTAAGACATAGTATATGGAGAGTTTAAAGAGACAAGTGAAAATAAAATAATCAACAGAGAGCCATGAGGACACAGAGGAGAATGGGATCTTGAAAGTTACAAAAATTAGACAGTAGAAATTTCTCTTTTACTGACTTGGAGAGGAGAAGATAAGCATGGGAAAAGATGCAAATAAGCTTATGGGTGAAGGGAGATAAAAATGAACTAAAAATAGGCAGAAATAAAACAAGAAAAGGATGTACAAATGGCCAACAAACATATGAAAAAATGCCCAACATCACCAATCATCAGGGAAATGCAAATTAAAATTACAAGATACCACCTTACCCCAGTCAGGATAATGGACATTATTAAAAAGTCAAAAAATGATAGGCAGCATGGATGTGGTGAAAAGGGAATGCTTGTACACTATTTATGGGAATGTAAATTGGTACAACATCTATGACAAACAATAAGGAAATTTCTCAAAGAACTAAAAGTAAATCCACCATTCGATCCAGCAATCTCACCACTGGGTATCTACCCAAAGGAAAAGCAGTCAATATATCAAAAAGGCACCTGCACTTGTATATTTATTGCAGCACAATTCAGAATTGCAAAGGTATGGAACCAACCTAAATGCCTGTTGATCGATGCGTGGATAAGGGAAATGTAGTGTACACACACATACACATGCATACACACACCATGGAATACCACTCAGCCATAAAAAAATAATGAAGTAATGTCTTTTGCAACAACTTGGATGGAGCTGGAGGCCATTATCCTAAGTGAAGTAACTCAGGAAGAGAAAACTAAATACCTCATGTTCTAACTTACAAGTGGGAGCTAAGCTATGGATATACAAAGGCCTACAGAATAGTATAATGGACATTGGAGACTCAGAAGAGGAAAGAATGAGAAAGTGATGAGGGATGAGAAATTACCCCTTGGGTACAAAGTACACTATTTGGGTGACAGATACACTAAAAGTCCAAATTTTATCCCTGCACAATTCATCCATGTAACCAAAAACCACTTGTACCCCTAAAGCTATTGAAATTGAATAAATAAATAAATAAAACAAATGGTAGCAAAAATAAATTAATTATAAGTACTAAAAAGATAAATTTGCTAATTAAAAACAGTAGATAGGCTACTCCAAATTGGATACAAAGTGAGATAAGAAAGGTAAATCCAGCAGTTTGTCCAGAAGGCAGTAAAACAGAGACACGAAGAGACAAAGTTTTAAAAAAGAGAAGAGAGGCTGGGCGCGGTGGCTCACGCCTGTAATCCCAGCACTTTGGGAGGCTGAGGAGGGAGGATCACAAGGACAGGAGATCGAGACCATCCTGGCTAACACGGTGAAACTCCGTCTCTACTAAAAATACAAAAAATTAGCCGGGCGTGGTGGCACGTTCCTGTAGTCCCAGCTACTCGGGAGGCTGAGGCAGGAGAATTTCTTGAACCCAGGAGGCAGAGGTTACAGTAAGCCGAGATCGCGCCACTGCACTCCAGCCTGGGCAACAGAGTGAGACTCCATGTTAAACAAAAACAAAAAACAAACAAACAAACAGAAAGAAAAAATGTAAGAAAAGAGAAACTACAATACACATACGGTAGAGTGATGAACAGGTCCACAGCTGTCTAAAAGAAATTCCAGAAGATAATAAAGGAAGTGGCTTATAAACAACAACAACATGTAAAGAAAACAGGAAAGTTTTCTAGAATTGAAGGAAGATATTCAAATGAAAAGGTTCACACCAGCTGTCAAGTGGTTTGAATAAAAAATAGTGATTTGATAGATCAAGAATAAAAAGGAAATGTTCAAAGGTACAAGAGAGGAGACAGAGTTTGCCTATGGTGGCAGGTTGTATTATTTACTTACAAATCTTCTTGCTTACCATTGCCAGGGTGAGTGGTATATACTTCCCTGGATCCTTGATTTGGGGGTTGGCTGTGTGATTAGTTTTGGTCAAGGGCAAAATGACAATGTGCGAGCTCCAAATCTGAAACCCTTTTGAGTTTGCACTCTTTCATGAAGAGTATGTCCCAGCTAGGCTGATTCCTTCAACATAGTTCCCAAGATAAAGACATGAAGAACATACCTGAACCCAGCAGAAAGCTTAGAACCCAGTTAGGCCCAAATAAGCCTGTCCAAGGTCAGCTGTACTGCAGTCCATTTATAGAGCTGTGAATATGAAATAAGCAATTGCTGTTCTAAGTCACGGAGATTTGGGGTTGTTTGTTATGTAACATTACTGGAACAGAAACCAGGTAAATTTACAAAGAAACTATAATTAAATGAACAATTGATTTCTCATCAGGATTGACATACTAAGTTGAAGAAATAATATCTAACATAAATGACTGAAGCAGGTTGGGTGGGGATTAAAAAGGCAGTGTAGGAGCTATGGCAAATTGGAGGGCTCACCTAAACATGTTATTTGAGCTTGTGAAGACATACACTCAGTTTTGTCAGACTGGCTATTTTCTTAAAGGGAGAATTTGAAAACCTGTATTTCTATGCATAGCCTGCTAATTTTAAAAAGTTGATGACATACCTGATTTTTGTCTCCTAACTTTTTGTGAGCCAACCTCACATGTTCATAGCCTGCTTGTGTTTTGAGGGCCAGATATAGTGTGGGCGACTAGTTTTTCAACACCATCTTGAAAGCCTGCAGGATGGTTGGGGAGAAAGTAGATTTGCCCATCCTCTCTGACCTCACATTGTTCAGATGACCAGAGCCTCCTTCTATGGCCAGAGCTCAGTTTCTGACTGGGGGCCAGGATGCTGCTGTTGGTTCAGCATTTGTGCTTTGCCTGCTCACCACCTTGCCCTAAACCATTTGGTTATCTTGTGTGCCCCCATCCCTTTTCTTCACATTTAGCCATTTCTACTCAAATGTGTGTGTCAGCTTTTAAATATAAACTTAAAGATGATCACAAAGATCTATAGAGTCTTTTCTTCTGCCTTGATTTTTTTTAAAGGCTGATGGGAGTGAGGTTGTTCTCCTTTGGAGTATGTGTGGTTCATCACTGATACATCAGAATTACTTTATTAGCTTAAAGGTAAAAAACTAATGTCCTTCAAGCTTCTTCCTGCAAATAAGGATGATCTTTTCAATAGAATACATAGTCCAAATATTCTTTGCAAATTGTCCTTCAACGGGAAAATCTGGTATTATTCATTCAACAAAACACATGAAACCAATATTCTTTTTGGTATTCAGTGATTATTGTGTTGAATGTTGTATAATGTAGTTTTAGTTGAGATTTTGATAAATTATTATTCCTTTTGTTTTTGTTCTTCCTAGTAAGTTTGCAACATTAATACATGAGGCTTGTCTCCATATTTAGGGCTGTGCCGTTAACACAATACCAAGATCACAATCAGAAACAACTTACATGTATTCTTTACTAACACAGAGGCTCATCAGAACAGCTTCCGTAGGTTGCCAAGAAATGTCAGCCTATTATACAATAGAAAGTCAATTTACTTTTAAGGCAATCCCTTATTGAAAGCTTTCTTAATCAGATTATGTGTATATTCAGAAAGCAAAGAGAAAAACAAAGGCGGTGACCTTAATAGATCTAGCTTTACAATTTTTTGTTGTTGATATATTAAGATAATGTCAGCCAAAGTGATATTGAAAGACCTCAGTTATCTAGTTTGTTTTATCTTTTTTTTTTTTGACATTTTACTTTGTGCATCATGACATGCCTAGTATCAGGAAATGGAATGGAAAGTACGGTTCTTATTCTAGGTATATGGTGGGAAACCTAGGGGATTCTTACAGTCGGTACATGAGCATCTTTTTTTTTTTTTTACAATAAAAAGGAAAGACTGTTAGAAAATTAGTTTTACCCTTTCTAAACACTGTCCTTTTTGAAAGTTTGAATATATCCACAGTCTGTTGAAACCTTGAAACTAAAAATTTAGACTCTTATCATCATCTTAAGTTCTTCATGCTACTCTTAACCTCCCAAAAAGCAGTCTCTAAGTCACATACTTGATGTCTTCGGCATTTTCTCTCTCAGCCATGGAGAGCTATGAAAGGAAGAATCGCTGCTTTTCTCAAGCAAATCGGTTTCTTGATGTCTTTTGATTCTCACTCCTTGCCTGCTCCTGGTGTTTTGACCCCTTTTTTTATAGAACAGAGTGCTCTAGAATAATGGATGGTCTTGGAAGGTGGATAAATAGGGACAGGGACAGTTAAATTGGGAGCCTTTCTGACAACCTTGATGGGTTTTTTCCCCCCAAGTTTCCTTCTCCACTGAAATGCCACACCAATGCTAGTTGGATTCATGAGGTGGCCAGACCAATGTGTTGTTTTTCTTTATTATTATTTCTTAAAGCTTCCCTTGAGAGAATAAATGGTAATGGAGAGAACTACTTAACAAGGTCCTGGTTTCTCTTGCAACACAGTAGCTAAACTTGCCTGCTTTTATGTGCATTTTTGTAGGGATCAACTTGGTAGACAGTATGAGCAGAGAAACGACACCTTGATCTTGGTTTGCAAGCCCTTCTCCCATCAGTCCTAGATTAGGCCCTGTTCAGCCATGCAGGGGTGTTGGTTTATGCGTGCTGCAGCAGTGGGCATAATGAATGTAATTTACTCAGTGGACAAAGGTGTGTACCAAGTGAATTTAAATAATTGGTGTGGATTGGCCAGTAGCTAAGAAGTGGGCTTTCAAAGAGTATTGAAGACTGAAAGGTTTTTGTTTTTGTTTTTTTTAAAGAAAAAAAAACCATTGATTGTAGAAAATGAAAAGCTAGGGTTTGCCCTCTTCATGTCTACTCTCCTTCCAAATAGTTATATCCAAAACTGTTTCTCCCTCTCCCCTACCTTATCCCCCCTATTAAAATAGAAACAGGGATTGATTAACGTCCCGCTCCTGAATACATGTAAAACTTGTACAAAAATATCTTCTATGAAAATGATTTGTAATCTGTAGACTTATTACCTGGGAGATGTCTTGATGTAAAATCCCATCCTTTGGGTTGTGGGATTTCTGTTTTCTCCAAATAAATCTGATCTTTTAAGTTCATAAAAAAAAAAGAAAAGAAAATTATGATTATCTGGCCACAACTTCTTTCAGGTTTAACATTGCCTACATTGTAAAGCCTGCCATTACTCTATCTGCAGAATAAGACCTGTATGAACCATGAACATTAATAGGTAGAAATTAACTTGAGCAAGTGTGTTTTCTATTTTATTTAGCATTCACAACCAAAACAGGGCTTTTTGATGACTACAATCAACTGCCTTCATGCTTGAGTCTAAGCTTCCTAAATCAGAAAGCGCCAGAAATTACACTTTGAACCTCCAAATAGTGTGAGTTGAACAGAAGTGTATTTTTGGATACCAAATGTGCTCTCATATCCTTCCAACTCTGAAAAATCAAACAAGCAGGAATTTCATTATCTGGGTGTCCAGTCTTTATCCCTCACAACTGACCCTGTCTTCCTGTGACCCTCTTCCACAGCACCAGACAGAGCCATAACTGTTTCCCAGTGTTCTTTTCCATTGCACCACCACCCCCTCTATCTCCTCCTCGCCCTCTCCCCTCCCAACACAGAAATGCTTCAACAGAAGGCAGAGAAAACTCAAAGAATCCCCCTTTACTAACTAGAACTAAGATGAATTGTGTCAGAGTTCAGAGCCCTGTTGTTGCTTTGGCATGAAATCATGGCCCTTGGTTTCTGCCAAGGCGGGTGTCAGCTGGTGAATTATAACACTGGCAGACAGGACTGAGATAAGCAAAAAATACAATGACAGCTGCTACACAGAACTATTCTTTCTGGCCTAGTGAATACAAAAATACATTGTGTAAATAAAGACAGACAGCTTCATTATGCAATTGTCTGCTACTCTGTCACTGCTAAAGAACAAGTATTGATTTTGGAAAATATATCCAGACTCTTCAAGCTAATATGCTCTTGCTCTTGCAATGTATGGGGCATTAAGGAAAGAAATAATCTAATCTAACTTCCTCACATTAGAGCTGAACCAACATGTAAATTTAGTATAACATCTCCCTACATTAGACATTTGAAATTTAGCTTTTTGAAAAACAACCATTTCACATGCAAGTCCTCAGTTCTATTATTTTAATGTAAAACTCTAGAGCTTGGACTGCATTTTCGTGAGTTATAATGTAAGTGGGTGTATTAATCTGTTCAGGCTGCCATAATAAAATACCATAGACAGGGTGACTTAAAGAGCAGAAATCTATTTTCTCACAGTTCTTTTGGCTGGAAGCTGCAGGTAAAGGTCTGGCAGGGTCAGTTCCTGTTAAGGGCTCTCTTCCTGGCATGTAGACGGCTGCCTTCTTGCTGTGTGCTCAGATGGCAGAGACAGCAAGAGTGAGCACTCTGGAATCTCTTCTTATGAAGACATTAGTACTATTGGATCAATACCCTACCCTTGTGACCTCGTTTAACCTTAAACATCCTTAAAGGCCCCATCTAAAAATGCAGCTACACTGAGGGCAGGGAGGAGTTGGAATTTCCATATGTGAATTTTGGGTGACACACAACATTCAGCCTATAACAGTGACTTGGGCAAACTTGATTTTTATTATAAATAAATTACTTGATGAACTTATTTACCTTCTGATTGGTGATTTCTAATACACTAAATGGTGTTTTCAGTAATATATCATTTAGTGACTATTTTTTTCTCATTTAGCAACCAACATGAGGAATTGAGCAGGAGAAGCAAGAAGTGTTTACAGTGAAACAGTCTTCAAAGCGAGGTACCTGAACACTTGTAGGTCCCTGAGAGCTATTCTGCAAGGTCAATTCTGTTTTTAGAATAACACTAGAGTTGTTATTTGCCTTTTTGACTATGCTGACATTTGCACTGATGGTACAAAAAAAAATAGTGATAAAATTGTTGGCACCTCAACATGAATTGAGGCAGTGACACCAAATTACACTAGTAGTCATTGTATTACTTACTGTCATGTATTTGCAGTTTATATAAATATATAGATATATGCATATAGACACACATATCTACACACATACATATACACACATACATATACATGTCTGTGTGTATGCCAATTTCATCGAAAATTACTCTTGATGAAAAAGTAAAATGTATTACTTTTGCTAGATTTTTACTGTTGATCACCCATCTCTTTAATATTGTGTGTCCTAAAATGAGAAATATGCATAAAACACTTGCTGCATACTGAAGTAGGATGGTCAATGGTAATCTGGAGGAAAAGAATTTGTGTGATTGTTTGAGTTGCAAGCTTAACTGACCACTTTTTTTGTTGGAAAACTATTTTTACTTTAAAGAACAACTAACAGACAAATTATAGTGTTCATACTTATTTGGCAGACATTTTCTTGAAAGTGAATAAAGTGAGCATGCCACTTCAAGAAAAACAACTGACAAAATTTTTTCCAATGATAAAATTTCAGCTTTCAAGTGAAAACTTGAATTTTGGAAAACTTGTATCTATCATTGTAGCTTGAAGATACATAAAAGACTTCAGTGATCTTAATAGATGTGAATTTTAAAATCTTATATAATGTAATGTATCCACATTTAGAAGTGGCATAACAGTTTATTTGTCTATTCTTACATTGCTATAAAGAAATACCTGAGGCTGGGTAATTTATAAAGGAATGAAGTTTAATTGGTTCACAGTTCTGTGGCTGTACAAGAAGCATGGCATGGGCATCTGCTCAGCTTTTGGTGAGGCCTCAGGAAGCTTACAATCATGGCAGAAGGCAAAGGAAGAGCAGGTGGTCACATGATAACAGCAGGAGCAAGAGAGAGAAAGGGGAGGTCCCAAGTTCTTTCAAACAATCAGATCTCACCCGAACTAACTGAGGGAGAACTCACTCACCATCAAGGGTGTGGCACTAAGTGATTCATGGGGGAACTTCCCCCATGATCCAATATCTCCCACCAGGCCCCACCTACATTTCAAGATGAGATTTGGAAGGAGGAATATCCGAACTGTATCACTCAGTGAAACAATATTTTCCACGTAAACAATAGTTGATGGTACAAAATCATTCATGAGTAAAGGAGTCCTTCAATGTGCAATATAGACCAATAGATTTGAAACCAACGCGGTACAAAAAAATGCACTGATACAGTTATTTACCTTCCATTGGAGCTAACTACCCTTGGTTGAGCTTTTGTAGATATCAAATATTAATATCTACAGTTACCCGAAAAGGCTATTGAATTTCTTCTCTCCTATCCATCTACATGTTTATGTGAGGCTGGATTTTCTTTATATACTTTACCCTAAATAATGTATTTCAACAGATTTAGGAGAAGCTGATCTGAGAATCCAGCTGTCTTCTGTTAAGCCAGACATTAAAGTTGGCAAATATGTAAACCAATGTCACTCTTTCCAGTAATTAGTTTTTCAGACAAATGTAATTGTAAAAAAAAAGTATCTGTTAGCATGTGTTTATTATTTTAAATGAATTAATAAATAATATCATTTAAAATTTTTGTTTTATAATAAACCTTGAGAGAGATAGCCCACATAAACACAAGTTGTTTTGGATCCTCAATAGTTTTTAACAGTGTAAAGGATAGGAGAACCACCGCTATAGAGGGAAGATGAGAGCATTTGGCAACTGGAAACCTTTGGCTTTTTAATGTAACTTTTGCTAGTTATCCTGTGATTTGGGGCAAGTGACATAACTCTGAGTCATAGTTATACCACTTATAAGATAGAGATAGTAAAGTCTACTGCACATGGTTTTTGTAAAGATTTATTTAATGAGACCATGCATATGAAAGCCCTTTATAAACTGTAAAGTGCTGCATGATGTCACACTTGAAGATGCTACACCATCTTCAAGGCTTACTTCAGACCCTCATAAAGCAATTCCAGCCACTCCCTTCTGCTCCCAAATTTGGAAATGATTTTCTGTTTTCTGACTCTGCATACTAATTTTGCGTGTTTACATGTGTTTCTACTGGTACACTTGCCTTTATACTTATTTAAGCTCAGGCCACTCCTCTTGGACCATAAGCTTCCTCAGCAAAGGGATTTTGTATGCACCTTTGTATTCTTTGCAGACAGTATTACTCGTAGGAGGTATTTAATATGTTTGCATTGAATAGAATATAACTAATGAATATCCCCAAATCTTTTTTATTTATTTAATTAATTAATTTATTTTCGAGACAGAGTCTTGCTCTGTCATCCAGGCTGGAGTGCAGTGGCATGATCTCGGCTCACTGCAACCTCTGCCTCCCGTTCAAGCAATTCTCCTGCCTCAGCCTCCCGAGTAGCTGGGAATACAGGCACACACTGCCACGCCTGGCTAAGTTTTTGTATTTTAGTAGAGAAGGAGTTTCACCGTGTTGGCCAGACTAGTCTCGAACTCCTGATCTCAGGCAATCTGCCTTCCTCGGCCTCCCAAAGTGCTGGGATTACAAGCATGAGCTACCATCCCCAGCCCCCAGATCTTTTTTATGTGGTGAGATTACTTTTTTAAATATGGGACAAGGTGGCATATGAGGCTCAAATTCTTTAGAAGGCAAAAACCAATTCTTTTAACATGTATTATAGGGGGAACGTCAAAAGATAACCATACATCTGTGATGTTCCTGTTGCAATAGGTCATTATTGCCCTTTTCTCTTATCTCCCTCATAACTCCCTGTCACTGGTGATACAAATGTCGTGCAGAGCTTTGTTCCAAACCTGTGTTTCCATGGGCAATGCCATGAGTTGATTCAATATATTTAATTAAAAAATTATTTAAACTGTTTGCAGTCCATTTAAGAAGGCTTATTTTGCTTTTGCTTTCTGTTTTTCACTTTTCAGGAATTTGCTCCTGTCTGCAGAAATTATGAAATTATTTTTTGAGAGGGATCCCTTACCTTTAACTTGTGCTTAAAGCTGTCAGCTAGAGGAGATAGCTAATATGGTTTGGCTGTGTCCCCAACAAAATCTCATCTTGAATTCCCACATATTGTGGGAGAGACCTAATGAAAGGTAATTGAGTCATGGGGGCAGGTCTTTCCCAGGCTGTTCTCATGATAATAAGTCTCATGAGATCTAATGGTTGTTATAAGGGCAAGTTTTACTGCACAAGCTCTCTTTGCCTGCTGCCATCCATGTAAGACGTGACTTGCTCCTCCTTGCCTTCTGCTATGATTTTGAGGCCTCCCCAGCCATGTGGAACTGTGAGTCCAATAAACTTCTTTCATTTGTAAATTGCCCAGTCTTGGGTATGTCTCATCAGCAGCATGAAAACAGACTAATAGAATACCCACATTAATTCCTTGTCCCTTTTGATAAGCTGCAAATGTGGAACCAGGCTGACTAGCAGGATTCTTCAGCAGTCTTAGCAACATTCCATGCTAAGCAACATTCTGTTCTGTCCAGTACAATAGCCAGTAGACAAAAGTGGTGTTTGAGCACATTTAATGTGGCTAGTGCAACTGAGGAACTTAATTTTTTAGCTTAATTAATTTAAGCTTAAATTTAAATAACCACACGTGGCTAGTGGCCACTGTATTTGACAGTGCAGGTATAGAGTGTGAGTCAAGAAGATTTTGCCTATTTGGGACAAGTGACTCATGAAATGGTGAATTGAGGGCCATAATCTAAAGGTAACTAAAATTGCTCTTTTTCCTTTAAGAAACATAAAAGATAAAATTTCTTTTATTTTTAAACTAAAGGAACAAGGACAAATTTATGGTGAAAGATAAACAATAGGGAAAATGGAAACACAAAAGCAGATATACACAATGACCACATAAAACTAAGAACTGAAGGAAAGGAAAAGGTAGACAGGAAACAAAACTCTTGGGGTTCTGAGGAGTTAATTGGATAAACGTTTATCTTATCCTGTGTTTCATTTAGATTGTGTCTTCAGATTATTAGCATTTCTAATATTGCTCTTTTCTATTCTGGCTATTTACTGCTTGTAGTTATTATAGTTTTTATTTAATCAGATTTAAAGAGGACCAGTGCTTCTTAAACTACTACTAGAATTTCACTAAGATAAAATTATTCACTGTGTTGCTGCAATAATGTCCTAAAAAAATATTATTCCTAGGGGTGCATGAAAGAAAGCCAACAACAAGTACAGATGTATCAGAAACATGAACAAAGAAAGTATCAGAACAATAGTATTCTTATTAGTTGAGAAAGAGAAAAAAATACTGTTTTAAGTTTTATGGATAAATTTTGATGTATATTAGAGAATCTTCTAATCTTACTTGATCTCATCCTTTTGGTAAGCGATCTATGAAGCTGTAAAGTTTAAGATGTTGGTAACTGGGAAATACAATGTGTTTAGTAAAGGTCATTAAGTTCCATAAAAAAGTAAATAGAATTTGCTCTTTAGTAATCTTCAGACTGTGAACACTATTGATTCAGCTACATCTGCAAAAGCAGGTGGTAGGCCTAATGACCACTTTAACAGTAAATCAGAATCACAACATTACTGTAAAAACTGATAATGTTCCTGAAGATCACTTCTAAGGTCAAGAAGGTAGTAAATTGGAAATCTTGCACACAACCTCAGCTACTTATAGCACATAGTTAAAAATGGGAAAAAATTATCTTATTTCTAAGAATACTTTTCAAACTTTTTCAACATTCTCAAAACTCCTTGAGCTGTAATAAATTATAATATTGCCATAATTTCACTACAATAAAAAAAACTCAGTATAAAGGAACTTACAAGTAAGTTTCATTATATATTTAGTCTAAAAAGGCAGTATTTCTTAAACTAATGATCTAAGAACATTGTGAAATCCATTTAAGAGCCTCAAGAGCAGTGTTTATTTCATTTAAATTGGATAGGGTAGACCAGAGTGCTTTGCATGGAGTAAGGGTAAATATTATATTGTGAAATTTGGTTTCATTTAGATAAATATATATTTATTTGCTTATTGGTTATGTTGTACAATGCTTTTCTATTGTGGGTTACCTTGCCAAACACTGTTCTAATTAAATATCCAATTGATTTAGTGCTAGTTCAAAACAGGGCTAGACTGTCTACACACTGAAGCATGCTTTTCCTTCATGGAAGTGGACAAAAAATTTTAACATTCATTCAAATTTCCTTGTTGGTAGTTTTGGATCAAAAGATAGTGAAGTGATTAGGATTTATTGATTTGAATACACAAATAAATATAGGGGACATCTGAGTATTTGTCACTTGAGTTCTGTAGTTAATTGGTGCTGGGCACTCTGCTGGCCTGTTACTGTCTTGAAATATGTCATCCAATTCTGGGATTTTTTTTTTTTAATTACCAAAGAAGTAGCTTGGTAATTTTTCCCCCTCTGTTTCTTTTGTTCTCTCTTTCTGGAACTTCTTTTATTTGGGTGTACCCTTAGTAGACTAACCATCTAATTTTTCATCTTGTTGCCTTTTGGTCTACATTCTGAAAGATTTTTTCATCATTATCACCTAAACCTTCATTTGTATATATATATATATATATATATATATATATATACCACACTTTTAATATCCAAGAGCACCTACCCTCCTTTCTACCCTCTTTTTCATACATATTCCTTTATTTATGGCATCATGTTTCATGGTGGAAATGCCTTCTCTTCTTTCTAATATATAATTTTTCTTTTATTATTATTATTACTATTTTTTTGAGATGAAGTCTCGCTCTGTCGCCCAGGCTGGAGTGCAGTGGTGTGATCTCAGCTCACCGCAACCTCTGCCTCCTAGGTTCAAATGACTCTCCTCTCTCAGCCTCCCGAGTAGGTGGGATTACAGGCGCATGCCACCACATGTGGCTGATTTTTGTATTTTTAGTAGAGACGGGGTTTCACCATGTTGGTCAGGCTGGTCTAGAACTCCTGACCTCAGGTGATCCACCTGCCTCAGCCTCCCAAAGTGCTGGAATTACAGGCGTGAGCCACCGCACCCAGCCTACTGTGTGCTTTTTAATAATTATTGGATATCTCATTTTATCAATGGCTTTTCTGCATCTCAAAATATCATGTGACTTTTATACTTTATCCTTTTATGTAGCAAATTAAAAGGATTGATTTTCAAATTTCAAATCAACTTGAAGCTGCATTCTTGAAGTAAATCCATTAGGTCATGATAGATTATCATTCCTATATATTGCTATACTTTTCTAATATTTTCTTTATGATGTTCACATATATGTTCATGAGGGTGATTGCTCTGATATTTTCCTTTCTTATATTGTCTTTGTCAGTTTTTGGTATCAAGTTTTTCTGGTTTTAAAAAATATGTCAGTAAGTATTTCCTTTTTCTGATCTCTCGAAAAATTTGTGTGAGATTTATTTTATATTTTTCTTAAATGTTTGGTAGAAATGAATTGTAATACCATCTGGATCCGTGAATTTTTGGGGGGAAGTTATTAATTACAGATTTTAAGAACTGACATAGCATTATTCATGCTTTTTATTATTTCTTATACTAATGTTGGTTATTTGTGTTTTTCTAGAAATTTGTCCATTTCATCTTTTTTTTAATGTATTGGGCTAAAGTTGTTTATAATGTACTCTTATTTACTATTAAACAATGCTATAATCCGCAGTGATATCCCCCTTTGTATTCCTGGTATTGATGATCTGTATTTTCCTCTCTTTTTCTTTTTTGTCTTTACTATTCCCATCCTAATCTAGTGTTTATCAATTTCTTTTAGTTATTTCAAATATATTCTGTGTTTTATTTTGTTTTATTAATTTCTGCTGGCATTATTATTTCCTTCCATATAGTTTCTTTGAATTTAGTCTCACTATGTCACCGAGGCTGGAGTGCAGTGGCGTGACCTTGGCTCACTGCAACCTCTGCCTCCCAGGCTGAGCCTTCCAAGTAGTTGGGACTACAGGAGCATGCCACAACACCCTGCTAATTTTTGTATTTTTCATAGAGACGGGGTTTTGCCATGTTTCCCAGGCTGGTCTCGAACTCCTGAACTCAAGTGATCCACTGCTTTGGCTTCCCAAAGTGCTGGAATTACAGGCATGAGCCACAGCTCCTGGCCTACTTATATAATTTCTTGAGGTAGAGACTTTGATCTTTAGTATTAATTCTTTTAATATATTCTTATACTTAATATGTTTAAGTATAAGCATATATTAAGTATAAACATATATTTTAATATTTTAATGTATGTTTATACTTAATTCTATAAGATTTTCTTTAAGCAGGGCTTAAGCTGCCTTCTATAAATTTGATGTCATAATTTCATAAGCATTTAGGTCAAAATAAATTCTAACTTCCATTGTAATTTCTTCAATCCCTCAGTTATTTAGGCGTATATATTTTCATTTCCAAGCATTTGTGGGCATTTTTATTCATCCTTTTTGTTTTTTATTTTTAGCCTAATTTTCCTGCTCTCCATTTTCAGCTAGCTAGTGAAATGCTCTGAAGTCAGAAGGTGTCCCCTTAGAAACAAACCTCAAGCTAGATACATACTAAGGCTAAGAACTGCAGCCCGAATTCCTCTGAGACTAAATTAATAAAAGAGTGATGCCAGGGATCAAGGAAAAATAATTTTAAGAAAATGTTTCATGAACTGACATTATTATTTAAATAAAACTTTTGCAGATTCAACATTTTATTATATTTTTATTACTACCTTAAAAATATATATTGCAATGACCGTGTTTTATTTTTCAGGCTGTGTTAGAGTGATGTCAAGCACCAGGTATAAGATTTATTGTAATAAATAAAAGTTACTGAAAGCATCTATATGCCATTTAGACCTATAATTCTTTTACTAATTTTTAAAATATATAGGTAAAATCATTATGTTAATTTAGAGGAACTAAGTCACAGTTCAAGAGATTTACCAATAAAAATGAAAATATCTTATAAAATACAAAGCAGGACACGGACTATTATTGTGCTCTATTTCTAGCTTTAGCACTAGGATGGAAAATCTGTAGCATTCTTCCCTTGAAATAGTCTTAGTTTTATTCTTTTATGTTTAAAGAACTCTTTATTTCTCCTCCTAGGAGCAAATAAGACTCAAGGTCTAAGGTTGCCTCCCTCTGCCCTTGGATGAATGAAAATCATTGATACTGGACAATTTTAAAAACATGTACCTTTCCTAAGTCAATCAACGGGGCATATGGCATGAATAATTTCATAATTTATTGAGAAGTCCTAATTTTAAAATTGTATTAAATTAATACTTTCTGGGAGAAAATTGCAAGCAGTTTTGTGAGAATTTTAAAATCTGATAAGATTATGTGGTTCAAAAGATCTATAAAGAATTAAAAGATGGAAATTAAATTAATAGATGTCATAGAAAAAAGCTACTAAATGTTGCAAAATTTGTTAAATTATTAATATAAGGAAGAACAAAATATAGGCATTTTTTTCTTTCAATTGCATATATATGTATTTTTTTTACAGTTCTGTGAATTCATTTTTATTGGGTAAAATATGCATATAAAAATTACCATCTTTACCATTTTTAAGTGTACAGATCAGTAGTAATAAATACAGTTATATTATTTTTTTCCCTTTCATCTCCCCATCCTCTCTACCTTTCCCAGCCTTCCCACCATTCTACTCTTTATCTTCAGAAGATCCACTTTTTACCTCTCATATATGAGTGAGAACATGTGATATTTGTGTTTCTGTGCTTGGCTTATTTCACTTAACATAATGGCCGTCAACTTACATTATCATTCAAGTGACCATTATGTTAAGCGAAATAGGGATTTTTAAATTCTTAATAAGATGATGTACAAAATGGAAATATATTAATTATAACCAAAATCAAAATGTGAAACGTAAATTTCAAATAAGTTACAATTATTGATGTATTTCAAATTTCAAAATAAAGTGGAAAAGATCTCACATATTATTAGTTTTACTTTCAGAAAATGCAAAAAAGAAGAGACTACTATAATCTTCCATATGTAATTTAAGGAATTTATATATTAAGAATCAACCTCATAAAAATATGAAATAACTTTTGTAAATGTAAATCACTTACTCTGAATTCAAAATTTACCATTGTCAAATAGAGCATAGATTGGATTACAAAATTAAAATTTCAAAGGATTTAAAAATTTTCATATATTTATAAAACAATTTTTTCCCCTACACTTCTGCTTTGATAATCTTTCTTTTAACCTCATTTTTTGAACATGTGCAATAGTCTATGCCTAATTTAAAATACCGCTCTTTTAGAGCATAGGAAGTATGTTTAAAAAAAGCAGTGTTATTAATATTTGTAGTAAGTGAATATTCTCTCTAAAGCAGTAGTAATGGTTGGGCAGTCATAGTTTGTGAGCAACAATGAGGATATAGCTTTGTATAGTATTGGTAAAGCATCCTTAAGAAAATAACTGGTCATCCAGACTTGTAATCTAGGACAGTGTTTATAATTTAGTAGTGATCAGGTATTTGATATGTGCTACATAGTGTACCAAGCTGCTTACATGCAGAGTTTCATTTAATGTTAACAAATAACCTATAAATAATTATTTGGACTCCTTTAGTGGATAAGTAAGCGAAGAACTACAGAGGTTAAGCATTGACCCAAGGTCAATTGAGTAGTACTGAGATTTGAATCCAATAAATCTGATTAAAATGCTCACTTTTAATGTACTATTTTAAAAATACACAATAATTAATAAATATTATCAATCTCTATTACTTAGACAAATGACCTGATGAACTGTGATATATTTCATGTGAAAGATAATTATAGCTCTTTGATTGCCACTTAGAGGTTTCTGATGTTTGAGATGGTCTTGAATTTGGAATAGGAGATTCCAAAGTCTATTGATTCTAGGAGACAACACTGGGAACAAATGGCAACAAGCTTTTCTTGGTCTCCAAATTCCTTCCCATATAAAAAGTGTGCTAACTTTAAACATTTTCTGGTTAATTTTGTTGACACCCAAAGAAGCAACGATCCCATAGGAATGAACAATAATGATTTCTACTCTTGGAACTATACCTTTACCTCAACATCCAGATTTAACTGCTGAGGCAAATTTTAAACATAGTTACAGGACAAATGTGCAGGTGATACAAATAATTAAAACTGGTTGTTTTTAAGTGCAAGGGTGCTCTTAATGCAAACATAGCTTTATTTTTAAATACTACACAAACCTTAGAAACGTAACCTTCTTTTCTTGTGTTAATTTCATGTTCAAATGCCTACTATTTCCTGGGATTTTTAGACAAAAGAGTTTCACTTATGTAGCCAAGGCTGCTATCCTAACTCCTTTCTAAACAGATGTAAGCTGTTTTTTTGTGTGTGTTCAGGGGAATAACTGGTCCCCAGTTAGGTAAGGCTGATGGGAAAAAATCATATTCCAACCCAGAAAAATGTTTCCTTACTGCTTTCAGGAATCCATTTTACAATTAACAGTAAATTGCTAAAATTGTGGTGGCAAGTTTAACTACTAGCAGAATATGGTCAAAAAGGATTTTGAAATTAGTACAGGATTTTGTTTTTAAGTGGCATGATTGCATAATTTTAACTGAGTTTCTGATAAAGGAAAGGAATTCCCTTCTGAAGCATGAAACAAATTGTCTATTAACAAGCACCCCACAGGATTGTTTTTTGCAATCGCTGTGTTTTTGTGGCAGTGAGAGATGAAAAGTAATGTTCTTGGCTTTTTTTATTGTTGCTTATAGCAAAAACTGATGACATTCATGCATGATCTTTTTACTATGTCAGTGTTATTAGAATATTTGTGAATAAGTGAGTTTATTATAAAGCTTATATCTCTTCTAACTAAACTGGAGAGACAAGATATAATCATCTCAAGCATTTTATTGCTATTGTAGTCTCACGTGATAACTCATTGTGTAATGTAGCTCACATGAGGACTTTATATAATTTCTTCCAAATTTATTCAGTTCATCTTTGCTCTGGAATTCACATTGCCATGGGTGTTATTCTTAAATATCTTTACTTCATTGTATTCCCAATCCATCTCCAATTTTATTTTCTTCTCAATCTCCTCATGAAATAAAGCCAAAACAAAGCAAACAGCTTAAAAATGATATTACTCGTGAGTGTTTTTTGTTGTTGTTATAATAAACGAGTTGTTTCTCCGTCAGTCTGAGGCTATCTCTAACAGAAGAGTTATAGTAATTTAAATGATTGTGATGCTGTAATTGTATCTGTTCTTTGCTTTATTTTATCAAGAGCCACAGTCAGAGTCAACAGGCTTTGTTTCTAATATTTACTAACATCTTAAAATTAGTCCTTAGAGTGCCATAGCATGTTCTCTAAACAAATTACATTTTGTCCAAGTAGAAACAGGTCACTCTAGGTCTCTGTATTTTATAATGTAAGAGATCCTAGAGCTCATCTAGCTCAAAGTGTTTATTTCAAAATTAGGAAAGCAGAGGAGGCCAGAGACCTGTGTTCGGTGACTTGCTCAAGGACTCTTAAACATGTGGCAAGTCCCAAGAATCAACCTAGGCTTTCTGACTCCCAGTCCAGAACCCTGAACATTATGCTGTCTTCACTATGTGAAGGCACATTTATGTCCCGGATACATGTAAATATACTTTGTGATTCTCTGTGTCTCTAAAAGTACACCCGTTGGTGCAAGATCAAAGCAAGTGGTTAAATCGGGAAAAGTATAGAATTTGACCAGGATATTTAAGGTACAAATGCAGGATCATACCTGACAAATGAAAGTTATTTTAAGCCATGAAGGTCATAATGAGTTCATGTTCTGTCAACAATAAATTTGAACAAGCTGCAAGGCAGGGAAAGTATATACCAAGGAAATTGTGCTGAAAATAAACAAAATACAATATTTACATAAAAGAGATGGCCCAATGTCACCTTTGATGAAAATATTTGAATTATGTGTTTTATTCTGCAAACAAACAATTGAAATAACTCATAAGGTAGTTTTGAACAAAGAATGAAAAATGTCATTTATGTGAACTATAGGAATCACTGCTTTGAAAATATAAAAATGTTCATTTTTTTGTTATGTAAATGAATAATTTATTTACAGCAAGATAAAGAATATTACAGATGTATGAATTATAGAAATCTTAAAGTATAACAATAATAAAATTTTAAAAAGTTCATTCTTGATTATTTTTTCTTCCCTCAGGAGACGTCTACTTAAATAACTCATTCTACTTAGCACTCTTTTTACTCTTACCTGAGAATATGTCATATTGTCTGAAATACCATAATATTTTTTCCAATTTAAATAAATATATAGTAAATATATATTTAAGTGATATTGTGCATCTTTATCCTCATATCTATTATCATAGCAACAACTTCTTTTCAAAGCATTTTTTCTTTTGAGAATGTTAAATTGTAAAAATGCTAGAAGTGGTGCATAGATAATACTAACAAAAGTGTCATGGGCTTCAAATCAATCATTTTCTTTAAATGATATAGAAAGTATTTTAAACATGTCTATAAATTAGTAGACTAAGTACAATGTGATAATCAATGAATTGTACCCACAATCACCCACAGTGATTCAGAACACCCACAATCACCAAGTATCCATCATGTATACTAAACTTTAAAATAACCAGACTTTTGCCTTCCAACGGTTTTTTTTGTTGTTGTTGCTTGTTGGTTTGTTGGTTTTGCTATCATTATTTATTTATTTTTAAAAGATAGTCAAAGATATGATCCCTCTCCATAGAGAAGGATGGTTTTGCAGATTAGGAATTGTTTGTGGTTTTATTTGTTATTTAGAATGGTGGTGGGAAGTTCCTTGCTCAATTCCTGCTTCCTCAAGTTTCCTCAAGGTCTCAAGTAGTTATTGTTTCCTTTAGACAGAAATATTCTGAAGGTCTCCCCTGCCTTGTGTGTGCTTCAGAGGAAGGGCAAGGATGCTGTTTTTCCCTTCCTGATTGTACACCTGATTCTGATGGTGGAATGGGGTGGAGGTAAGCCATGTGTCAGAGAGCCTGCTTACCTAAATGAGGAAGCTCCCTCTAACTGCTGGATTTTGCTTTCCCTTCACGTAGTTAAATGCATGTTCGATTGTCGCAAAATGTTACCAAATTGTTTAGAAACCTGCAATCAATTATTTTTTCAAAACCTGAGAATGTCCTTTAGGGACTATAGATTATTTTATAAGAAAATAAGCTGATCATGTATAATTCTTGGTAGGAGCAACACATACATAGGTTAGAACATATACTGTTCTTTTTAAAGAAACTATATTATGTTCAAAATATTTAAAGTTCACTTTTAAAGTATCTAAGAATAAGTCAAAAGGTATTGTTTTCTGATAAGATCTTCATTACATTAACTCCTTTCAACGCACTTTCAACCTAACATAGGCAAAATATTTCTCTTTATAATATTTATTCAAGAAATTCAAAGCAGTGTTTGATTCTTGCCTTCTTTCCATTTTATTTAACAAACTTTAAAACATTCCAAACATATATTGAACTCTTACGATGTGCTAGGCACAATGTGAGGTGCTAAGAATATGAATAATAAGAAAACTCTGGACCCACAGACCTTTCTAATGCAAAAGATGGATTTTATAATAATATTTGTGTAATATAATAATAATATGTATGCATAATAATCATATGCATAGGTATAAAATTGGAAATTATCAATCCATGGAATAAATGCAAGTACATATCACAAGAGATAGGTGAAGGGTGACAGAGTTGGGGCAGGCTTCCAAAGGAGGACCTTACTCAACAGGTTTTGACAGTAAATAATAACTCACCAAATAAGGAGGAGGTAAAGGGGTGGGAGTGGGATCTGAAAAATCCAAGAAGAGGGCTGGTGTTATAGGTTCAATAGTTCCTTACCAAATTATTGGGTTAAAACCTGACCCCCAGTACTTTATAAACTTATTTGGGGATAGGTGCTTTACCATGTTAAAATGAAATCATTAGGGTAGGCCATAATCCAATATGACTTGTGTCCTTATAAAAAAAGGCACATTTGGAGACAGAGTGGCATACAGGGAGAATGTCATGTGAACATCAACACAGAGATCAGAGTGATGCATTTACAAACCAATGAATACCAAAGATAGCTGGCAAACCACCAGAACTAGGAGAGAACCTGAAATAAATTCTTCCTCACAGCCTTTAGAAGGAACCAACCCTGTTGACACCTTGATTTCAGAATTCTTGCTTCCAGAGCTGTGAGACAATATATTCCTTTTGCCTAAGCCACCCATTTTGTGATATTTTATTACAGCAGCCCTACCAAACTAATACAGATGGGCCAAGTCTTGGTAGTAGGGAGAATAAAAATATGAGTTGCTTCAGGAACTACTAATTGTTGTGAATTCTAGGCTCATAGAAACATGCAATGGCAAAATACTTGGAAGTGAGAATATGGGAGGAGATAGCAGTGGTTTCCAGAGAACCATGCTCAGGAGTTGGAGTCCATCAAGTAGATAACGGGAAATAAATCAGGAATCTTAATTAACAGAGTGATATGGCCATATTTTTGTTTACAAAAAGATCATCCCAGCAGCAATGTGAATGCTGTTTTGAGGAAAAAAAGAGTAGGAAAAGGAGGTATTATAAACAGGAGTTCTCCTTGGCAATGCTTACCAGAGTTTAGTAATGCATGGGCAATTTAAAAGTATTTGTAGGGGAGTTTGCAGATGGTACCTGTCTTAGTTTGTTTTGTGTTGCTACAACAGAATACCACAAGTTGAGAAATTTTTGAAGAACAGAAATTTATCTGTCTCACATTTCTGGAGGCTGGGAAGTTCACAACCAAGAGGCCACATCTGGCGAGGGCCATCTCACCCATCCTATGGTAGAAAGGCAAAAAAAGGGTGAGAGAGAGCAAAAGATCAAATTTGCAGCCTCAAATCCTTTTATAATCTGCATTAATATATTCATGAAGGTGAAATCCTCATGATTGAAACACCTCCCATTAAGTGCCACCTTCCAGTACTGTTGCATTGGGAATTAAATTTCCAATATATGCTTTTGAGGGGACACAGTCAAACCATAGCATTTCATCTCTGGCCCTCAAAACTCATGTCCTTCTCACATGCAAAATAAATTCATTCAATCTGATAGCCCCCAAAGTATTAACTCATTCCAGCACCAACTAAAAGTTCAATGTCCAGATTCTCATCAATATGGTTTGGCTATGTCTCCACCCAAATTTCATCTTGAATTGTAGTTTCCATAATCTCTACATGTCCTGGGAGGGACCTCGTGGGAGGTAATTGAATCATGGGGGTGGTTGCCCCCATCCTGTCATCATGATAGTGAGTAAGTTCTCACAAGATCTGATGATTTTGTAAGGAGCTTTCCCCACTTTGCTCGGCACTTCTCTGTCCTGCTGCCATGTGAAGATGGATGTGTTTGCTTCCTCTTCCATCATGATTATAAGTTTCCTGAGGCCTTCCCAGCCATTCAGAACTGTGAGTCACTTAAACCTCTTTCCTTTATAAATTATCCAGTCTCAGGTAGTTCTTTATAGCAGCATGAGAACAGACAAATACATCATCTAAATCAGATATGGGTGAGAGTCAAAGCAGGATTCTTCCTGAGGCATATTATCCTCCAGCTGTGAGGCTGTGAAATTAAACAAATTATCTACTTCCAAAATACAATGGTGGAACAGACATAGAATAGAAATTTCATTCCACAAGGAAGAAATTAGCAAGAAGAAAGGGGTAGCAGTTGCCACATAAGTCCAACACTCAACAGGGAAAACAACATTAGGTCTTAAAGCTGGAAGATAAAGTTTTTTGACTCTGTATTCCACATCCTGGATACACTGGGGCAGGTTTGGGCTCCCAAGGCGTTGGGCTCCCAAGGCCTTGGGCAGCCCTGCCCCTATGGCTTTACTGGGCTGTCTACCCAGCAACTCTTACAGATTAGAGTCTAGTGGTTATGGCCCTCCCAGGCTGGAGTTGCATGCTGGTAGCTCTACAGTTCTGAGTTCTTAGGATTTGCCTTGCTCTCCTGGCTCCACCAGGCATTGCCCTGTTGATGTCTCTCTGCAATGGCTCTTCCTTTGTGACAAATCTCCACTTGGTCCCCCAGTCTATCTGGGACATTCTTTGAAATTTAGGTGGAGGCCACCATGGCCCTATAGCTCTCAAATTCTGTGCATCTGTGGAGTCAGCACCACGTGGATATTGCCAAGGCTTACAGCTTGCTTCTTCTGGAATGATGGCCCAACCACACCTGGGCCCACTTGAGCCACAACTGAGGTGACCAAGGAACACTGCACAGGAATGTGGGGAACAGAGGCTTGAGGGGGCCCTGAGTAGTGAGCTTCTAGACTGTGCTCTGGTTCCATCTACCGAAACCATTCTGCCCCCCTAGAGCTCTGGGCCTCTGATGGCAGGAGCAGCTTCAAAGATTTCCAAAATGTCTTTGGAGTCATTCTCCCTTTGTTCTGATGAGTAGAACCTGATTTTCTCATATCCTTATTGATCTCTCTTGCAAACAAATGCTGGGCTACACCCTTAATATTCTCTCCCAAACATGCTTTTTTATTCATTATATGACCAGACAGAGTTTTCCAAATTTTTCTGTCTGATTCCCTTTTAATTATAAATTTTGCCTTTAAACCAATTTTATTTTCTCTCATTTTACTGCAAGTGGCTAAAATAAGTCATGCATCATCTTGAATTCTTTGCCACTTAGATATTTCTTCTGCCAGATATCCTAGTTCATCATCTTAAGTTTTGCCTTTTACGAAGTCCTAGTGCAAAGTTCTTTGCAACTGTATAAAAAGGACGGCCTTGGCCGGGTGTGGTGGCTCACACCTGTAATACCAGCACTTTGGGAGGCCAAGGAGGGTGGATCACGAAATCAGGAGTTCAAGACAAGCCTGTCCAAGATAGTGAAACCCCATCTCTACCAAAAATACAAAAAAATTAGCTGGGTGTGGTAGTGGGTGTCTGTGATCCCAGATACTCAGAAGACTGAGGCTGAGAATTACTTCACCCCAGGAGATGGAGGTTGCAGTGAGCCGAGATCACGCCACTGCACTCCAGCCTGGGTGACAGAGTGAGATTCTGTCTCAAGAAAAAAAAAAAAAAAAAAAAAAAAAGGATGGCCTTTACTCCAGTTTCTAATATCTGTTTCTCATTTCTATCTGAGACCTCATGAGAATGTCCATATTTCTAGCAATATTCTGATGACTACCATTTAAGTAACCTACAAGAAGATTTAGGTTCTCTCTACTGCTCTCTTCTTCCTCTGAGTCCTCATCAGAATTGTCCTTCATTCTTTATTCATAGCAAGATAGGCCTTTTCTAGCATGCTCCTCTAAATTATTTCAACCTTTGCCCATTGCCCAGTTCCAAAGCTGCTTCCACATTTTCAGGTGTTTATTTCAGCAACAGTCCTATTTTTTGGTACCAATTTTCTGTCTTGGTCCCTTTCATGTGGCTATAAAAAATACTACAAAGTGGTAATTTATAAAGCACTGTGGGAGGCCGAGGGGGGCAGATTACCTGAGGTCAGGAGTTCGAGACTAGCCTGGCCAAAGTGGCAAAATCCCTCCTCTACTAAAAATACAAAAACATTAGCTTGGTGTGGTGGCACATGCCTGTAATCCCAGCTACTCAGGAGGCTGAGGCAGGAGAATTGCTTGAACTCGAAAGGTGGAGGTTGCAGTGAGCTGAGATTGTGCCACTGCACTCCAGCCTGGATGACAGAGCAAGATTCTATCCCAAAAAAAAATAAAAAATAAAAAGGATATATGTTCATTTAGCTCACAGTTCTGGAGGTGGGAAGTCCAAGATTGAGGAGCTGCATCTGGTGAGGGCCTTCTTGCTGTGTCATCTCATGGCAGAAGGGCAAAGAGAGTATGAAACAGAGCAAGAGATTGAACTCATAGCCTCAAGTGTTTCTATAATTGTCATTAATCTATTCATGAGGGTGGAGCCTTCATGACATAAATATCTTCCCTTAGGCCTCATCTCCCAACAATATTGCATTGAAGATTAAGTTTTTAACACATGCACTTTAGGAGACATATTCAAATCATAGCAGTACCAAAGAGTATGCCCTGCAGAGACCCAAAGCATCAAACCAAACCACTGGGAAGTTCATTCAAATGTGTCTTCTCCACATTAATTAAAATCAAAGAATGAAGAAAATGTTGCCTGAGTCTAAGAAAGGCTCTCACTATTTCTTTTCTTTAAATTATAGCCATTATACTCCATGGAAAATACTAGATAGGGATTTTTCTTAATTTGTTAGGAATAGACTCCATATGATAAGGGGCATTTTTGGTAATCACAAGCACTCTTACTAATGGACTAACCTTCTAAGGGCTAACCGCTGTCTTTTGTTGGCTGTTTATTAAGTAGCCTGCAGTATGGATAATTATTTTTACTGAATCTGACATGCAGGCTAGTTGAACCAGCCTGAAGAAAATCACATGGTGGAAAGCCAGAGTCTTAGAAGTGAAAAATTACAAAGCAGAGAGTCTTTTGAGCCAATCAGTCTATTCAGTACCTACTTGATGTTTGACAATATTACAAAGGAGCATGACTGTAAATAAAAGCAACTCTAAAAATACATTTTTGTGTGCTTGGCAAATTATTACTTTAACATAGCTGCTTAAGTACTTCTTTGTGTTTCATTCTTTTTTTTGGCATAAACTTAGCACATATGATAGCATATTGACATTTTCATCTGCAGTGTCCCTGAATATCTGCACAGAGCCTTATATAACCATACTGATAAACGTTCTTGTTATATGATTATTTATTATATATATAAAATATATTTATATATTTATCTTTATTATATAAGTATACCTTGTTTTATTCACGTTGTCTTATTGCACTTCACAGATATATTATTTTTATTTTAAGATCAAGGTTACAAGTGCAGGTTTGTTACATAGGTAAACTTGTGTCATGGGGGTTTGTTGTATAGATTATTTCATCACCCAGGTATTAAGCCTGGTACCCATTAGTTATTTTTCCTGATCTTCTTCTTCTTCCCACCCCCTCAACCTCCAGTAGGCCCTAATATCTGTTGTTTCCCATTATGTGTCCATGAATTCTCATCATTTAGCTCCCACTTATAAGTGAGAACAAGTGGTATTTGGTTTTATGTCCTGGTGTTAGTTTGCTAAAGATAATGACTTCTAACTCCATCCATGTCCCTGCAAAGGACATGATCTCATTCTTTTTTGTGGCTGCATAGTATTCAATGGTGTATATGTACCACATTTTCTTGATTCAGTCTATCATTGATAGACATTTAGGTTGATTCCATGTCTTTGCTATTGTGACTAGTGCTGCAACAAACATGCACATGCATGTGTCTTTATAATAGAATGATTTATATTCCTTTGGGTATACATCCAGTAATGGGTATATCCTAGATCCCTTAAGAATTATGCTATATTTAATCTGCTTCTAGATTTTTGAGGAATCACCACACTGTCTTCCACAATGGTTGAACTAATTTAAACTCCCACCAACAGTGTATAAGCATTCCTTTTTCTCCACAACCTCATCAGCCTCTGTTATTTTTTGTCTTTTTAGTAGTAACAATTCTGACTGGTGTGAGATGGTATCTCATTGTGGTTTTGATTTGCATTTCTCTAATGATCAGTGATATTGAACTTTTATTCATATGACTGATCATTGGCCACATGTATGTCTTCTTTTGAAAAGTGTCTGTTTATGTTCTTTGCCCACTTTTTATAGGGTTGTTTTTTTTTTCTTGTAAATTTGTTTAAGTTCCTTATAGATGCTGAATATTAGACCGTTGTCGAAGGCACAGTTTGCAAAAATTTTCTATCATTCTGCAGGTTGTCTATTTACTCTGTTGATAATTTCTTTTGCTCTTTAGTTTAATTATATCTCATTTGTTAAATTTTGCTTTTGTCGAAATTGCTTTTGGCATCTTCATCATGAAATCCTTGCCCATGCCTATGCCCTGAATGGCATTGCCTAGGCTGTCTTCCAGGGTTTTTGTATTTTTAATGAATTGTAGGTATGCAACAACCCTGCATTGAGCAAGTCTATTGACACCATTTTTTCTAATAGCATGTTCTCACCCTGGGTCTCTGTGTCACATTTTGGTAATCTTGCAATATTTCAAAATTTCTCCATTTTATTATATCTGTTATGGTGATCTGTGATCAGTGATCTTTTATATTACTATTGTAATTGTTTTGGGGCACCACAAGTCATGCCCATATAAGACAGTGAATTTAGTAATTTTGCTTGTGTTCTGTCTGCTTCAATGACCGGGTGTTCCACCTTCTCTCTCCTTCTGCCCAGGCATCCCTGTTCTTGAAACACAGTATTATTAAAATTAGGCCAATTAATAACACTACAATGGCCTCTAAGTATTCAAGTGAAAGGAAGAGTTATACATCTCTCACTTCAAATTAAAAGCTATAAATAAATGTTTAAGCTTAGTGAGGAAGCTATGTCAAAAGAAAAGATAGGCTGGAAGCTAGGTCTCTTGCTGCAAATAGTCAGCAAAGTTGTGAGTGCAAAGAAAAGTTCTTAAAGAAAATTAAAACTTCAATTCCAGTGAACACATAAATGATTATGAAAGCAAAATATTCTTGTTGCTGATATGGAGAAAGTTTTAGTGGTCGGGATAGAAGATCAAACCAGCTACAACATTCCTATAAGCCAAAGCATAATTCAAAACAAGGACCTAACTTTCTCTAATTTTATGAGATAAGGAAGTTGAAGAAACAATGTTGAAAACTGACAGCAGTCAGATCATGAGGTTTAAGGAAACACACCATCTCCATAACATAAAAATGCAAGAAGAACAAGTGCTGATGTAGAAACTGCAGCAAGTTATCCAGAAGATATAGCTAAGAACATCAATGAAGATAGCTACATGAAACACCAAATTTTCAATGTAGACAAAACAGTCTTCTATTGGAAGAAGATGCCATCTAAGACTTTCATAGCTAGAGAGGAGATGTCAATGTCTGCTTCAAAGCTTCAAAGGACAGGCTGACTCTCTTGTTAGTGGGTCATGCAGTTGGTAACTTTGAGTTGAAGTCAATGCTCATTTACCATTTTGAAAATCCTAAGTCCCTTAAGAATTATGCTATATTTGCTCTGTCTGTACTCTATAAACAGAACAACAAAGCCTGGATGATAGCACATCTGTTTGAAATATGGTTTACTGAATACTTTAAGCCCACCGTTGAGACCTACTACTCAGGAAAAAAGATTCCTTTTAAAATAGTATTGCTCATGGACAATGTACCTGGTCACCCAAGAGCTGTGATAAATATTCACAAGGAGATCAACATTGTTTTCATATTTGCTAACACAACATTCATTTCACAGTCCATGGATCAAAGACTAATTTTGACTTTTAAGTCTTATTTTTTAAGAAATACATTTTTTTTAAAGCTGTAGCTGCCATAGAGAGTGATTTCTCTGATGGATTTGGGCAAAGTAAACTGAAAATTTTCTGGAAAGGATTCACCATTCTAAATCCATTAAGAATATTCATGATTCATGAAAGGAAGTAGAAAAGTCTACAATAATAGGAATTTAAAAGAAGTTGATTCCAGCACTAATAAATAGCTTTGAGTGGTTCAAGCTTCAATGGAAGAAGTAACTGCAGATAGCTGTAAATAGTAAGAAAAGTGAGATTAAAAATGGAGCTTGAAGATGTAACTGAATTGCAGCAATCCCATGATCAAACTTGAACAGATGAGGAGTTGCTCAATTCTTATTAAGCAAAGAGAGTGGTTTCTTGAAATGGAATATACTCCTGGCAAGGATGGTATGAGCATTGTTAAAAGGAAAACAAAAGATTTAGGGTATTACATAACTTCCTTGATAAAGCAGTGACAGAGTTTGAGAGGATTTATTTCAATTTTGAAAGAAGTTCTAGCGTCAGTGTATTAGTCAGTTTCATGTTGCTATAAAGGAATACCTGAGGCTGGGTAATTCATAAAGAAAATACATTTATTTGGCTCATGGTTCTGTAGGCTGTATAAGCATGGCTCATGGCTCAGGCAGGCTGTATAAGCATCTACACTACTTCTGGTGAAGCCTCAGGAAGATTTTACTCATGGTGGAAGGCAAACAGGGAGCACACATGCCACATGGTGAAAGGGGGAACAAGAGAGAGATGCCAGGTTATTTTAGATAATCAGCTCTCATATGAACTAATAGAGCAAGAACTCACTCATTACTGTGAGGATGGCATCAAGCCATTCATGAGGGATCTGCCCCCATGACCCAAACACCTCCCACCAGACCCCATCTCCAACACTGGGGATCACATTTCAACACGCAATTAAGAGGAGACAAACATCCAAACTATAGAAGTGGGTAAAATACTGACAAACAGCATCATATTCCACAGAGAACTCTTTTGTGCAAGGAAGAGTCAATTAATGCAGCAAACTTCATTGTAGTCTTACTTTTAAAAGTTGCCACAATCACCTCCTTGTCAGTGAGCAACCATCAACGCAGAGATAAGACCTTCCAGCAACAAAAAGATTAGGACTTGCTGAAGTCTCAGATGGTCATTAACATTTTTTATCAATAAGATATTTTTAAATTAAGGTATGTACTTTTTAAAGACATAATGCTATTGCACAGTATAGTTTAAACATAACTTTTATATGCATTAGGAAGCCAAAAAACATGTGTGACTAGCTTTATGGCAATATTCATTTTATTGCAGTGGTTCTGAGCCAAACACAATATCTCTGAGGTATGCATGTATATTTATCAGAGGACAACTCACTACCAGTCCACCCATGGCTTTTTTAACTGGAAACAGAATTAAGACCAGATTATCACATCAACTATAGAGATAGGAAAGATTTCTGAAGAATTTTCTATAAATGTATAATACAAAAGTAAAATCCATGCAGTAATTACCAGGCTAAGTTGTACCTTGTGTTCAGGATATTATTCCTCCGTTGCTTCTCAGAAATGAAATAGAAGTGTTTCAGAAGGACAACCATCGTTTCAGGGTAAAAAATATATATTAACTATTTCCAGCATTACTGATTCCTTATCATATACCGAGGACTTTTCCAAGTTATTTGTTTGCTTTACTTTATTGAATTCTCATAATAGTGCTATATAGGATTATGATTGTTATTCTTATTTTACATGGGAATTTAGTCTTAGAAAGATGAGTAAATTGCCTAATAAGTGTAGAAAATGATGAGGCTGTTTTCCTGAAAAAGAAACAACTATTAGAAAAAACAGGGCCAAATGCTCATATAAGACAGCGTATGTTTCTGTGTGTTTATATAACGTGTGTATGTGTTTGTGTATGTGATTGCCTGTGCTGTGTGTGTACATTTGTGATAATATGAATGTGTGTGTTGTGTATGTGCATGCATTGTGCATCAGGGTCAGAGACTGAGGGAGGACAGAGGAAGATTCTGTCATCATTCTTTAGGAGACTGTGTTGGTGTGATCATTCCTGTAATGAAGGTAATATGATTTATTTTGTATTTAAGGAGATATGTCAGTATTTAGTAGGCCCTCTCAAATGAATTGTCATTTAAAAAATGAGTTTATTTGTAATCATAGATTTGTATTGCACAGGCCTTTTCCCTTTCCTTCATACTTGCCATTCCCATAGCGGCAAACACATGCTGCCTGCAACTCTATACAAGGCTACAACTCAAATGACTCAATTCTCAAAAGGTCTTATAAACTGAACAAGAATCACCACATTAAAATAAAGCAGACTCAGGCACCTTATATGGACATACAGAATGCACCTAATTATGTACTTGCGGGCCCAGCTTGTGCATTTAGATTGTGTAATGCCTAAATTTGGTTTGCAGCTTTTCTTTGCTGGGGTTGAGTGATTCAAAGAGAAGAGATGAAACTGTACAGCCTAAGGAAGAAGTTGTTTCTCACAGGCCTCAGGGTTTGAAAAATGTATAGACTCCTGATTGCAAAATCCCTGCCCCCAAACAGGTGGGGGATTATCTTTTCTCCCAGCTTCAAATATTCCAGTTATAGAACTTGCACTTCTATTTTTTGGTTTCCTTTTATCCAGATGGAAACTTTTATTTGACAGGATTTAATCTATATAAACAAATGCAAAATATTAAGCTTCAACAAAAATGACTAAAAATATGTTTCACTCTTTATATTCTCCACGACTTTGGGGCTTGTCTGCCAGTTGGCCATTGTCGCTTCATAGGATGACGTTGCTGACCTCAGCCAGTGCCTCTCCAAGAACTCAAAGGGTAGCAGAGCTTCTTAAATGGGACAGGGACTCCTTAGTTTAGACATTTTGTTTTCTGTTCCCTCACACCTGCTACTGGATCTAGGGAGGAGGTTTGAAAAACAGAGAGATACAGTGGGAGAGATCTTAGGTCAGGGCTGCAAAAACAAGCACTGTTTGTTTGTTTTGCAAAGACAAAAAATGGCCACTTCCTCTCTGAAGAGCCTTGATAAGCACTCCTGAAGGTCTATGTTGCGCTCTTGATGAAATTACTCTTTCTATCTCAAGTCACAAAAAAAGCCTGTAGTCCTCATTGTTAACACAGGACTTCACATCCCATTTCCTCAATACCTCCCTTTCTTTTTCACATGCCTCTTTCCTTTAATTCTGGCTTCAACAAACCTAAGGAGTGTGAAGACACAAAAATAACACACACCCAAAGGCACGTGCACGAACACACACAGACAGCTCACACCTCACAATTGCTGCACTAAAATGTAAAATACCAATATTTTCAAGACTAACATTTCATTTGCAAGTGGATTGTCCAAAATAAGGCAAAGAAGTAGAAAAGGAATATGTGCATTTGCTCCTTTCCCCCATGTTATCAGAATGAGAATACATTTGAGTCTGCAGATATGAGAAAAAGTAATTTCAATAATATAAAAACACTAAGTTCAATTATTTATTTGCTTATTGCAACAAATATTTATTAAGTGTAGCAGTCTTGTTCACTTTGTATTAGGAGAGTAGCAATCCAGGTTTGTAACATGTAAGCACAAATTACTGCAAATGTGCTAATTCTCAGGAAGAAGATGGATCTTTTAAGATGTAGATAAGAATACAAAGTTTAACTGTTTCTGTGAGTATACATTTGGAATTTACTTACTATATTTTCCTAAAAAACAATTTATAAGGTAAGCAAAGCCTTCTGAAATAGGATGAACTCCCCCTGGGAAGGACTAGACAGTAACTCATAACCACCATCATATGATTGAAAGAAGATACAGTGGCTTTCTAAGAAAACATTTGTGACTTAAACTATTTTGTGAGTTCATGTTTGACTTATAATTCACTAAAAGAGCACAAATACTGGAAGGAGAAATTCTATTACTGACTTTTACAGTATTTCAAAGAAGGAAAAGCCCAGTTTTGAGCTACCGAAGTCATTCTTGTCACCATTTTCCCAAAAAAGTGAGCCATTTTTTCTTAAGACAGTTATCATTTATGGAGATAATATTGTCAGTATTGGATTTCATCTAGCATGTATGGAGAAAGCATAGTTTTCCTCTATGTCTGTGCTGCATATGCAATTTTGAGTATTTGAAATGTGTCTTGTTCAAAGTGAGATATGCAGTAAATATTTCAAAGACAACCCCAGTTTGCATTATTGCAAAGGCAGCCATTGTCTAAAGCTATATAGCTACTGTACATATTAGGTGGACATACAAGCTGAAATGTGCTACTTTACATTATCCATCTGGCTCTGATAGGTATTTGAGTTTTCAATTCCATGTCTAGGTAATTATTAATGCCCCTTTCAACTCCCAGCTTTGATTATGAGATCCTTGACCTGGTAATTTAGCAATCTTCCTAACAGGCTGTACTATCAAAGTAGAGTTGGATTCATTATCCTTCCTAATTTCTATTAAAAAAGAATAAGCCAATAAATATTCCTGACCTCCAATAGTGGTGGGAAATATTACAGTGGCGATTTAAATAATAAGCATTATGAAAAATCATCAATTATCCAGATGAACTTTTTGTGATAGTAAAATTAACTCAGTATTTGCCAGATCTAGTTTCTATCACTAGTATGGGATTTTTTTGAGGTAAAGAAATACTGGTATGGGATTAGTAATAATGTTACCCATGTGTTTATGTTATCTACCAAGCAGAAAAGGGACAATCTGTATAGTAAATATTGTGATGTCATTGTTTAGTAGTTCATTCATACTTGAGAATGACAAGATGCCATTATGAAAAAATAAATAGCCAACTTTTCCATATATCCTTGATATTTAAAAAATGTGTTTGTCACATAAAATTCTCTATTGAGAACTACAAAGGAGCTGGATTGTAGTGCTTGCATGTGGTAGAAGTGGCACAAATACCAGGAAAATTTAGCCAGAAATTTCTTTCACTTGCCATTTCAACATTTTATGCTTCTTTTGAAGAGTATCACAAATGATGCATCAGAATTCTGAATAAACTTCTTCATCTATGAAAAGGAAACAACACTGAACACTGTACTTTCTTATTTTCCTGGCAATTCCTTATAATATAGGTTAACAAGGCAACCTATTTGTAGTCCTGTTCTTTCATAGGTAAAGAAACTGAGGACTTAGCAGATGAAGTGTTATGATTAAGACTATGCAGTTGCTCAAGATGTCCATAAAGAAAGTAAACTAATAACTACTATCCTGCCTAGATTGTCTAGTCAATAGATTAGGCTTGCTTGCAGACACCAGCAAGGTATGACTTCAGAAATATTTCGGCAGAACATGGCAAAGACTTTCATGTCGACATTAAAAATAAGTTAAGAAAATCAAAACTTTGTTGGATCTCCTGATACTTATTTTATGTTTCAGTATTGCTTTTATTCTAATTTTATACTATGGATGGGTGGGGAGGTGGGGACATGATCGTTTTAGAGTGTAGGACCTCTTCAAATCATCATCTGGCTTTCATGTTTGAAACTTATTTTGGTCTTTTATATTGACGACCACCTTTATATTTTTACTAGAAGAGTCTCAAACTAACTTTGCATTATTTATAATTCATATAAAAGTCTGTGTGTTCATATCAGCCTTAGTTTCTTTGGGCCTTTCCCAAGTGTATCTCCTCCTTCCTTGACGAATACCAGCACCTGAGAACAAAATGTCATTCCCTTGTACAAGGCATGAGTAGAGGCTGAACTGGGCATTAAGATGGAATGAGTCAAGCAACAGCCATAGCTGAGCGTTCTGAAGCCCGACTTCTGGAATTTTTCCTTCTTATAACAGAACTTCTTGGGGGCTTAAGGCAAAAGATCACACACAGATAAGCAAGGCAGCCACTCCTCTCATCAAAAATACTACACATACACCATGTTAGAAAGTACTGCTATGAATCAGAATCCCCAAGATTAAAGGGACCATAGACTTCCTCTAATCTTTGCAAATGCCATATTATAAAATTGTGCATTTTAATGGGAGCACCTTTACATGAGTTACCAGACTAGTGAAAGAAGACAGAATTTAGTTATCCATTCATTTGAATGCTACATTACCATCAGTTAAAGGGATGATTTTTATCTTTATCTTCAATTCACCTAAAATGCAGGTGGTACACTTGACTTAAACACAATAAGAAACATCATTGGATATTTGAAATCTGTGCTTTTGGCATCTCTTGGAAAGGATCTTGTAATATTAATAACACAGAATAAAAGTTTTAATGTTCAACCATTAGTATTTCTTTAACAAATTTTGGTGATGTGTATATTGGAATAAAGCAAATCAAATATGCAATGAATTTTTTTTCTTTTTTTTTTTTTTGAGATGTAGTTTCACTCTTGTTGCTCAGGCTGGAGTGCAATGGTGGGATCTCGGCTCACAACAACCTCCACCTCCCGGATTCAAGCCATTCTCCTGCTTCAGCCTCCGGAGTAGCTGGGATTACAGGCATGCACCATCACGCCCGGCTAATTTTGTATTTTTTTGTAAGTAGAGATGGGGTTTCTCCATGTTGGTCAGGCTGGTCTTGAACTCCCTTTTGTATTTTAATAGCTTGTGATGAGGTAGGTTTACTCTCTAGCTATTCAGTCAGTTCCATTTGATATTGAGTTAAGTAACTCTTTTGATAATGATTCGGCTAATCACAATTCCAAGCCTCCAGTGCATGCAAAGTGGATGTGAACTGATGACAATGATATAAATTTAATTTGTCAGTGCCATGAGGAAAATGATGAGCCAGATATTTATAATAAGGAAAGACATAAAAGTATATCTTTACCAGACTCAGCTAAGAGTTTCAGCTTAGATTTGACATTTTCTTTGGATCATCCTTGGAAAAGATAATAGAGGTAATTTATCTGTGTCTTGACTTTTTATGTATTTATGACATACAAATACCTTCCACAAAAATCTGAAGGAAGTTTGGCCTACGGTAGAAGCATGAATGGCAATGTTGTTGGTGATAATTATTGTGTCCCCTGTTCTACCTGTAGTATTGCTTAATTGAATAATGGGATTATGGGGACAGAAGCAGAGCTCTCTATCGACCTGCTACAGTTAGGTTTTTAATAATTTGCTTATGTTGCATGTTTTATCAGCAACACACTGAGCAAATGGGTTTTCTGTCTGAATTACGAACTTCATTTCTCTGTTGATAGTTTACGAATATTAGCCATTAAGTGACAGATTTTCTTGTGTGTGTTTGTATTCATTGCTCTCTAGAGTGGTTGTTATATCTTGAATATGCCAGCTGTCTCTTGGAACTACTTTACAAAATAAGAGGATTTTTTTTTCCTCAAAGGAGTATTTTTCTTCATAAAGGGAAAGTCAAGCTCTATTTTCCCCCTACATTATTTGATAAAATTAAATATCGTAAAGGAATGTTTCCTTTCCAAATTATTTCTTTCACATAAATGGCACTTACTTCAAAGATTTTTGCATTATTTTCCCAAATAGTGAGGAGCAGCACAAAGGAATCTGACTTGAGTTTAATGGTGTTAGGTGGTAAACACTGCATAGCACTTAGAATCCTCTCCAACAGTAATATATGATAAGACATTTTTATTAATAAAAACTATAGAATATTATCTGTAATTTCTACAAATTCTTTATGCTTGATATTTATTTCTGCAAATAGAAAGTGGGTATCTTGCTGAGAAGAAATGTAAAACATAAGGAATCTGGGCAATGATAATTGTGTCTAGACATGGATGTTTTAATCTCTTCCTCCTCTCCCCCATGCAATGAGAAGTGGCTGTGAATTCTAAATCAAGAAGGCTGATATTGAAATCTACATACATTTCAGTATCAGCAAGAATTATGGTTTGATGAAAGGATCACACCTTCTGGTTAAAATACAGTGGATAAAAACATGAGACAGTGAAGTCTCATACGACACTGCTGAGAGTAATAAGCTTAGGAGACATCAGCAGGAAGAAGACCATGGGCTAGCTCAAGTATGACAGATCAGTGAGAATGGGATTACTTCTAAAACTGTCAGACTTGCGTGGGAGGCTTCCATGCTCCTCTGCATAAATTCATGGCTGACTGATGGAAAGTTCTATAGTCAGAGGATAAAAGTATCATCTCTAGAGCTTGAGTACCTAGTACAACTGGGAACTAATTCAAAATATACAGCAAAAGCAATCCATGAGAACCCAGCCAAAGGAAGATGAAGAAAAGTGAGCTATGCAGGAACAGTATTCCATGAAAATGAAGGTCGGCTTCACAGGAAAAATATCTCGACAGGATTTGCATATTAAGGAAGTATCCTGACTTCCAAACTTTTTGTTCCAAAGACCAATTAAACTGCAGAAAGAGAATGCACGTGATTTAGGAAGCCATTTTGCTGGGTCCTCCAGGGGAGAAAGAAGACAAACAAAAAAAATCCTGCTTTGTGGTCTTATTGAGATACAGAAAAGTTGTATCTGCCAATGGATAGGAGCCCATACATGCACATTCACTATTTCAATATCCAAGCAATCACTTGCACCTTATTCCAGTTAGCAAACCAGAGTGGTTTGTTTGAAAATCTTATTTTCTGAATGCAAAGATAATGTCACCTATGATTGGACCACATTAGCTAACTAGAAAATGACTGCCTTTCCTTATGCCTACTCAGGAACACACTTCCATCATTATAGGGTTTTATCCCTCACCAGGAGCTGGGATGAATCCTGTCTATGTGGAATCAAATACATATAGACAGAAGTAAATAAAATATCAAAGTAAATAAACACCAGAGGTAAACATGGTGCTTTTTTTGTTTGTTTTTTAGGATTCAAATTTTCGAGATCACTTTTGTTACAGTATGCCTTTTTATTTTGGAGATTACAAAATGGTGAGTGAAAAGAAACCTCACATTTCAGTTAGCCTAAATGTGAAAGTACCTGTTGAGATATCAGCTATCAAACACAGCATCATTAAGATACGTTAGTATATTTCTCAAGATTTCCTACCCAATCAGTGATATTTCCCAGAAAAATATTTTCTTAGCCAGACTGGGGGACGCCATAGGAGCCCCCAGCATAGGAATGCAACCAAGAAAGCCTAAGATAATTTGCTCGATTATATTGTGAGCTCTAGATAAATCCTCTCATGCCACTTGAGTGATTAAGAAAACCTTAGTCAATGCAAGAGCAATTAAAGGCAGAAAGATAATGATCACCCTCATAGTTATAAAAGCTGGTGTTTACTGAGAATGTTTCAAATGCCAAGCATTGTGTTAGATGTTTGATAAGCAGTACCTTATTTTATTGTCTCAATGCCTTTATAACACAGGTATTAATATCCACCTATTTTTCAGATGAGAAAACTGAGGCTAAGAAAGGTTAAGTAACTTGCCTAAAATCAAACAACTACTAAAAACCGGAGCCAGGTTTCCAACTCAGACTGTTTCCCGAGTCTGAGTTTTCAACAACTTTCCTACTTTAACTCTAAGAAGCTATAAACATAGAGATTTGGTTTTGTAACATTCAAACAGTGTTCAAATGTCTAAAACATTACAAACAATTAAAATAATAACAACTATCATTAATTTTGTACTTGCTATTTCCTAGGCCTATTTAGTATTTATGTCCAAAACAGGTTTACCATCCCTATTTTATATTATGTTAAAGCTGAGTTTTAGTGAGCTCTAGTAGCTTGTCTAAAGTCACATAGCTTGTAAATGAGATAATTCAGATTTGAAACCCCAGTTTGCCTAACTCCAGAGTCATCCTCTTACTGAAAGACTATTTTGTAGACAGCCATCTGAAAAAAAATTTGTTTCATTTGTAACAAATGGTTGTTTTCATATATCAAAACCAAATATCACTAATAAAGTACAGAAGATAAGAAAATGTACAGAATGTATATAACAGGAAAGTAAGCAAAAAATAATTAAAATGGCTAATAAAGAAATTGATAAAATTAAAAGAAATACAAATAAAAACAAATAATGAGATAACATATTTGAACAAAATAATTGACCCCAATTTTTTATTTTTTAATAGTATCCAGTGACCCTGAATATGAAAAAATACAAGTAGTCTTCCCAGTGACAGTGGATATGTGAGAAAACAAGTGTTAATACATACTACTCATAGGAGAGTAAACTGACCAAACTTTTAAAGAGCAGAATATGGATATATTAATAAGAAGCTTTAAAAGTAGACAATGACTTTGGCTTAGCAATTCCACTAGTAAAAATTTATCACAGTTTTAACACAGATTTGATAAAATATTAATTGAGGCATCTTTTAGAATGGGAGAAAGTCAGAAGCACAGTAAATGTCTCAGAGTAGGGATTAGTTAAATCGGTTAGAGTGCGTTTATATAACGGAATGCCATGCAGATTTTATTACCATACTTCAAATGCATATGGGTTGATAGAAAACATGGTCACGATGTAATGAACAAGACAATAAAGATACTCAGTGTGTACACCTATGCCTCTTTTTTTGGTTTTTGTTAAAATGAGCTTGTTCATAGAAAATTCTGAATATATACTTACTAACATATTGGCAATGATTTTTTGAGTAGTGGTTTTCTTATGCTTCACTAAATTTCTAATATTTTGAGTGGAGAATCTTTAATTAAAAAATAAACTAAAAAAAAGGAAAAGTCTAGTATACACACCTACATAAATACACATGCACTTATGCACACACAGACATACTCTCAAATTTAGTAAGGGATATGAAATTGCTACCAGATTGCCCCCAGATGAAAAAGAAAATCCTTCTGGATTTCCAAGCAATTTCATGTCTGAAAAATTAGCTCCTAGGCAAAATCTAGTTAAGAATTGATACAATTTACATGAAAGCTGGTGTGTACCAAGTTTTCTTTATTGATGAGCTTCTTCATCAATTTATAAGAAGACTATTGAGATGAAAAAAACAGGGTTTTTTCCTCACTAAAAAGTCATCTGTTTACTAATAAAGGAGAAACCTACATCAAAATGAAAGACATCTCATAGACAATAGTACAGTAGGTCAGATTCTCTCATTTTGATGACCAATCCTGCTCCTGTTCCCCAAAGTATAGACTGGTTGACCACTGTTCACCAACAACATTGCTCCCCAACAGAGGATTGACTCATTTCGCCAACTAGTAATTCTTATACAGCAAATTGAAAATAATTTGACATTTATTCTTAAAATGAAACTTTATCTTTAGGAAAACAATAATATTGGTTATTTAAGTTAATGAAAGTCTGATGCACTTTTATTAATTTTGTCTTCATGCAGGTGATCTTGATTGTATATTGCAATTGTAAATTGGTTTGACTATTTTAGAATATTTTTTACAGTAATTCAAATGTTAACCAATATTCTTGTAGGATAACAAGAGTATTAAATTTTAATGTTTAGGCTTCTAAAAAATTATATAGGCACAAAATTGTAACTAAACTGATGGTATAATTTTAGGTCTGATTCCTCAGCTGTGTAGACTTAGCATCTACTTATCTGTTATATCTGCTATCTACCTATTATCTACTTGTCTATTATCATATTTTTATCATATATATGCATTTATTGAGACTCAGTTGTAGAAGAAAAATGAACACATATACTACCTTGCCAATTGGATATACAATTACGTATAAAACATTATTTCTTCACATCTTGTTTTATGAACTAGAATAAAAGTTTCCTAGATTTAAAGAATGCAATTTTTTTCTCGAAAGAATCTGTAATTAGTAGTAATTTTTTTAAAATTTATTTGTTTTGTATTGATTTACAATGACAAGCAAATAGATTGCTTTATCAATTTTGGAAATACACATTTTCTATCATTCTTCCTGCTTCTCTTTATTATTTATTTATTTGAGAATTATTTCATAAATATAAATTAGGATATTTTGTAAATATAAACAGACTTCTGAGGGAGGATTTCATAACTTGAATGAAAATAATTCATTCTTAAAAAAACAAACAAAGGAAAATACAAAAATAGAAGAATGGCATCAGGAGGAAGACCTTGTCATTAATAACGATAAAAATTCCTGTCATGGAACTCTTAGCACAAGACCAGAGAATCTAACCCTAGCCCCCTAACTCATTATTTCTTTCATCCTATATACTTAAGTAACTTTAGGTACAAAAACAATTGGTCTTAAATGGTCTCACATCTGTGAAGCTATGTCTCATTCAATACAGTAATAAAATTGAAGCTGTTTTTCCACTGCCAACTATCTGCTTGAGTTGGGGCCTCCTGAATCTTATAAATGATTTGTTCCTCTTGTGACATTTATTGTTAGAGACATACTCTCTTTTCACCTTTGCTGAAAAGTGCTGTGTTGGCAGGCAGTGTTTCGGGAGTGCAGACTGTACTTTCCTTTCCAGCTCACAACAGACAGAGGAAAGGAACGTGTCTTCCTGCAGCCCATGCGGCCCTCCTGGTAGGCGCTCTCCACAGCTTCAAGGCTGGCCACCTGGGCCGGCAGCCCGGTTCAATAGCTGGATATCCTGTTCTGCTTTTCTGCTGTTGAGCTGTCCAGGATGATCGCCTGGGAAGTGAATTGTGACTTTCCAGGGTTTTAAGCTTGCCAAGATTAGTTAGGAAAACACAGTTTGGGGTTATACAAATTCCACATCTTCTGGCACTCTTGTTGCCTGAAATTTGAGAGAAGGAAAAAGTATTTGTGGGAGTTGTGAACCTAAGTGTGTTCAAAAGCTAGGGGTTTTTGTTGAAAATATTTAAATTCTCAGAATATATTTTTATATGCAAGCCAAGGTATACTACTGACATTTTAAGAAAATGGTCCCATTAAAATGTACGGTCTGCTGCCCCTGTGCCTCATGGATGAACATGTGGAGATTGTTCTTGCAGTATGGCATGACAAATACTGAGGGTGAAAGTTAAAAGACATCTTTCAGGCTTGCTTGAATATTGAGTGCATTTAAATTTTAGAGGAATAGTCTTAATCTGGAATTTTCTTGATGTTCTAGGAGAAACAAAACAAAACAAAACAAAAACAGGAGAAAGTTTGTTCATATGCCTCCTCACGGGCAATCCTGGTATTTCACACACAGGTTCTACTGAGGAAATTTTTTTTTTTTTTTTTGAGACAGAGTCTCGCTCTGTCGCCCCGGCTGGAGGGCAGTGGTGCGATCTTGGCTCACTGCAACCTCTGCCTCCGGGGTTCAAATGATTCTCCTGCCTTAGCCTCCTGAGTAGCTGGGATTACAGGCACCTGCCACCATGCCCAGCCTCCCAAAGTGCTGGGATTACAGACATGAGCCACCGCATCCAACCTGGTGACATGATGAGTTTTGTTATTCATACCATATTAACATCGAGCAAATGTCACCTTTGCTAATGTTGCTGTTCTTAATCTATTTCCTTTCATTAAAGAAACTTTAATGAAGGAAAGACTTGGAAACTATTTAAATCCATGGTTAACCATATTGGTAGAAGAAATTGAACACACATGTACATAAAACACCCACACATGTATATGCTTATTATAACTAAAGATTGAATGTTAACTAACATTAACCCTCACCATAAATGAATCTCCAATCTGCTCTTTGTTTTGCTTTCACTGAAAAGAGAAGACAGCTCTGTTAACAACAGAGAAAGGAAGACCACAGCTGTGCATAAAATCAAAATATGAATAATGATATTTATTTTCAACTAGACTTTGAACATCCACACTCTGAGTTTTGGATGCTTATTGCTTTAACAGGAAAGATAAGTCCTTTTATAAACTACTGCAATCACAGAAACTTACAGATAATGGTAGCAGAATGGAGAACTTGTTATAGGAATAATATAAGACATGTTTTTCTGATATATGTGCACACGAATGTGTGCCTGTTTGTACACATACACATTTAGGAAACAGTTTCTCACAATTCAGATGGAGCTTTTAGTAAACCTCATGCATAATTTGAATGACAGGATATAAAAATTCATTTTTGGCAAGAGCATCTTAGAAGTTTATATTATACACAACTTTTCAAAAGATACACTAAAGGTTGATCTGAAAATTAAATTTTGTTTCCAATGTATTACAATCTCAGTGCAGTTTCAAGTTGAACTATGTGAAAATATTGTAAAAATAAATTACTTTAGAAAACATTTAGTCTGTTCAGTCTTTCACATTAAAATGGTAACTTTAGTGTAAAAAAAAATGGAGGCCAATATTCCAGTCCTAGAAATAATTTTTTGAAGTTTGATGTTAGTAAATAACCATTGTTCCTCTTCAAGCTTGTGAAATGTTAAACACTTTGTTCTCTACTTAATTTTACCTTTCATATTCTAAAACTAGGATTGGCAAAGTGAACCGCAATGTTTCAATGAAGATTTGGTTATATAACTCACATGTAAAAATGCAGACTTCCAAATTAATACCATCCTTTAGTGAATGCTTGGTTTCTTGATGAATTTGATTTTTATATACCTCTTAGAATATCAGTCATTCTGATTCTGACTTGGCACGGCAAAAGGTGAAATAGTGATCCAGAAGAGCAGGAAAGTCCTCCCATAAATATCCTCCAAGAGCATCTCCTTGAAATTGCTTGGTACAGAATCATAACACATGGCTGCAGGGCGTGGGTCACAGGTGGTAAAAAAGGGTGATGTGTTTTCTGTATTCAGTGATAAATTCGTTTTCTTTCTTTCTCTCACTCTCAAGATGCTTGTGCAAATGATTTTAGAATCATGAAGCTGTATACAATGCTATGCATTCTGATTATTGTAAGCTCTGACATCTGACATCAATGATTTAACTTTTTTATAAAATGATATACTCATTTTTCCAACAGATTCAAGTCAATTGCATAAGCATACATCTTCAATTTAGGGACACTAGTTTCATTCTTTTTTGGAGAGATAGGTTTTTGGCTATATAAAAGAACTGATACTAGTGTCTCAAGATACATTAATGACATTCCTTCACCCCCAGAAAAAGAAAGAAAGAAAGAAAGAAAGAAAGAAAGAAAGAAAGAAAGAAAGAAAAGAAAAAAGGTTATTCTTTATCTTAAAGCAGAAAAAACATTTTAGACATTTTAATGAGCAAGCTCAGGATTTCATCTCATATGAAATTAGATGAGATTTTGAATGTTGCATAAGAGGCAGATACAAATAGATCTATCTATAGTCAATATAAAGTGGCAAGAATTTGGTTAGATCTGATGTCCTGTCATAACAGACTCATGAGTTCATCCATTTCAAGTGAGGCTGAGGCAGACTTTTTGACTTGGGGTCGGTAGTTGGAGACCAGCCTAGCCAAAATGGCAAGACCCCATCTCTACTAAAAATACAAAAATTAGCTGGGTGTGGTGGTGGTCACCTGTAATTATAGCTACTCAGGAGGCTGAGGTAGGAAGAATTGCTTGAACCAAGGAGGCGGAGGTTGCAGTGACCCCAGATCATGCCACTGCACTCCAGCCTGGGCAAACAGAGCAAGACTCCCTCTCAAAAAAAAAAAAAAAAAAAAAAAAAAAAAGAGTCATCATGTCTTGGAAGCCTAGTTACTAACATAGTATCAAATAAACTAGACTGAATTTATTTGGTTGCCATGCTTCATTCATTTCATTCATCCATTCAGCAAGTCTGTATTGTCTAACAAAAAACTAAATAAATTTATTCAGTAAATTGACCATGATAAAAGAAAATTTTGTGAATATTTTATACTTATTAACTTACTGCTCATCAGTTGATACTAGAGAATAACAAACACTATTTTAGGATTGATTATGAAAGGTAGCTACATTTTGGGGGAACTCCTATTATCTCATTTTTCTAATTTTAGGCATGTGAATTATTTCACATGGGTCAGAATCTCTTGCCATATAGCAAACATTGTCCAAATTCTATAATGAGATATATAAAAATGTGATATAGTTCTAAATAAATGTGAAAATAAAAGACAAACCATTTTAGTAAGGTAAATTTTGGTATAATATTTTTAAAATTTTTTATATTTTCAAATTCATATATTTAATATATGAATGTGGGTGGCATATTTCACTTATGTGCTTTAGATTTCATAGCAAGTATTGTAAAAATTTTAAAAGATACACATTGACAATATGGATATAACAATTTTCGAAGGCTTGAAGTCATTGTTTTAACAGATACATTTTTCTCAATTTTATATTTTATATAATAATAAAGTTTTAAATCAGAGTTTAGTATTTAAGACTCATAAGGATTTTAAGACCATTTATCAAATAATGTAGGCAACAAAGGTATAAATCATTAAAGTAACTTTAAAATGTACCTGTGAATAATATGTTTCCTTTTCAGACATTTATGCAAGCTTGCTTTCTAAAACTATTCATGGTAAAGTTTCCCCTAAAGAGCTTAACATTTTGAAGAAATCCATAGAAACAATGAGGCAAAGAAAAAATAATAACAAAGTAGTAAACATAGACAAATTTTGCTGAAAATATACTATCTAGATCTAATAACCATTGTATTAGTTTGCTTTATGCCATAAAAATATACCATAGACTGGGTGGCTCAAACAACATAAATTTATTTTCTCACCGTTCTAAACGCTGGAAGTCCAAGACCAAGGTATCAGCAGAGTTGGTTTCTCCCTATGCCTTTCTCCTTGGCTTACTGATGGCCACCTTACTGCTGTGTCCTCATATGTTCTTCCGTCTGTGAGTGTGCATCACTGATGGTTTTTTGTGTGTCCAAATTTCTGCTTCTCATAAGGACTTCAGTCTAATTAGATTAGGGTCCACCTTAAGCATCTCATTTTAATGAATCATCTCTTTAATGAACCTGTCTCCAAATACAATGGCACTCTGAGCTATTGAGGGCTAGGGCTTCAATGTATGAATTGGGGGTACAGAGGTGAGGGACATAAATCAGTCCATGACAACCTTCTATTAAAAAGAAAAAACATTTGTACTTTTAAAGTAATTGAAAATTTTTGCTCACAACATTTTTAATGATTAACATTATTTTATTTGAGATTAATAATAACATAATTCAACTACTTAACTGTTATCAAACATATTGAGGGGGCAGCATTCTAATAATTTAATAATACTCTAATAATAGCAGCAATAGTACTACTACTAATATTAGTATTTGCAGCAGTTTAATGGTAATAAAGGCATTTATTTGCCCTGTACTAGGGACTCCCTTTACGGTATTTTTTTCTTTACCATCACACAAAATTATCACCCCCACTTTACACGCAAAGAAACTATGAACCAGAGAGGTGAAGCAACTTATTCAATGTCCTTAGCTATTGAGTTTTAGAATGGGGATTGCTTCAATTACAAAAAAACTGTAATAGTAAAAGTTGGGTGTTCACTAACTATAAATGACATATGCATTCTTTATACAATATTGCTTAAGATCCTTGGCTGAGAAAGTAATTTATTTAATCACTGAACAATTGTTATTGAGCACCTATTATGTGCCAGGCCTTAAGGTACAAATACAAAAAAGACAGATTTAACGTTATTTTTATAGCTTATTGTTGCTTAACTATGCCAGTTTTAGCCTTTGCTTTTGACTTCGGTGGGTTATTTCTTTTTAATTTTATTGCTTTATTTTTATGTTTTTAAAAATAGAACTTGATAATTTCAAACGAGTTAGCCTAGTAAAAGTGATTTTATGTTGATAAAAGGAAATATTTTAGAAATATATCTTTCCCCAAAAATAGTTTTAGGATTGAAAAGTTGAAAGAGTCAAGAGAAAAACTAAGACAAGATGGTCTAGAATTCCAACTCCACATCTTTTAAAATAATAATCAACATTTTTTAATTGTGAAAAAACAGAGCAAAAAATTAGGTGTATATGATTGAAAAGAAATGAAAAAAGAAAAAGTCATCACAAATGTTTTCATTTGGAATAAAAATGATCACCAAACATTTGTCTTTGTCTCATTTCTTATTTTATTAAATTCATGACCATATTGAACACTGTGTCCTATTTCCTTGACATTCTAGTGAATGAAAAATGAGAGAACACAGTTAATGATTTGATTATGGTACAAAATTATATCTTATATGTCAAGATAAATGTTAACATTGATACAGAATTTATGGATTTGTAGACAGTATTTGATTTCTGGAAAAATATTTTATCAAAATTATTAATCATTTATTATTGTCAACAGAACTGTGTGACAGTTTTCATTACACTGTGGTAAGAGATAGTGAATATAAAATCTCTTTCCAGACTGACTGTCATGCAACACCCAAAGCATTTTGAAGAGGACCAATTTTAATCTGTCTTCTTACAAAGATTTATGCCATCATCAGTTTTATATAAAGGAAAAACTCAGTGCCCAGAAAAAAAGATACCTGAAAATAAAATGTGCATTAATATATGTACTTCCAATGAGGTCACTGGGGCCAGGGCTTTGTTTACTAATCCGTTGTGCATTTGCAGCAAGACAAAAAAAGATACTAATCTTCTAAACATTAAAAAAAAATATTTATAAGTTGCTTTAATGTAAAATTAATTTATAAAACATTTTCCATATCTATTGGTTTAAAATAATTCCTGCTTTTGTTTCAAGTAAGACAACTCACCAGTAAGAAGGAATCTACTCAACATTAAACATGCCAACAAATATTAACTTTTAAAGAATTTACAAAATTTTGAGTACAGTTCCATCTTTCTTCAAAGTAAAATGTTAAATTGAAATGTGGCTTTTCATCTGATCATTGTGGTACTGTAAGTATTGTTGTTATATAATTGTCATGACAGTCTTCTTAGCAAATTAACTCTTATTATGCAGAGCAAAACAAATACGCAAAACAAAAACAAAAGCAAATTATTCGTTAGCAATCCAAATTGGAAAACCCCTGCTATTAGCTTAAGGAAATAACTGGCTATAACAAGCAGAAACAGATGATTCAATTTATCAGGATCTTTCATATTAAAGTGAAGTGATTACATAAACATAAGATTTAAATCATACATGCTAAAATCGTGTGAATTAAGTGTTCTGTTGAATCATTTGAAAAATAATGACTTTGATATATTGAAAACTGAACCCTAGTAATCTGAAGAAGTCAATGTGTTTTTAAAAAAGAAAAAAATAAATAAAGAGCTCAATTTACTCACAGGGAATAATTTGTGCAATGTGAAAATTGGGCGAAAAATGAAAATGTGTTAATAAAAGCCAGTCTTTAATGTGTATAAGCATAAAAATCCATAGAATACACACAAGATAACAATTCGGGTTTTAGCTCATTTGTTTTGAAAACAGACCATCTTGATTAGATCTCAGAAAATGATTCAACAGGTAAATTATAGGTATAAATTTTTAAAAATAATTTATTTTAAGTAATCTGTGTGGCATGAGAAAAAGTAAAACTGGAGGATTTAGGTTTTACATTGAACATGTATGTGGCTTAAATTTTCTTCCAATTGACTACTTTCTACTGTGGTGAGTCTTAAACCTCTCTCTTAAGAACAAATATTCCCTGTGCTCCTTGTAGAGTAAACTGCCATTTTGCTGTCAGTACCAAATAAATAGATAGCAATAGAAGAAGATGTGAACACTTTTCCTGTCACAACTAAGTAGCTTCCATAGGGAGTATTAATATCAGTAACAATAGCTTGTTTTTATTAAAAATGAGGATCAGTACTTACACTAAAAACAGAATTTTAAAATGGATTTAGAAAAAAAAAAAAACAGGAAAAGTACCGTTTTACCTAAAATGACAATTCCACATATTTGTCCATCCCTAACGTGGATGTTTAATCCAAACTGACACACCCACATGCAATGCCTTTCTATAAAGATAAACTACAAACATGGAACTGCTGATTCAAGTTCTTTTGAGTGTCCTCATCTATCTTGAGTTGTTTCTGAGCTGACTTCACTTCTAATCTGCTCCTTATCTCTTATTTATGGTTTCACTCCTGACTATTAATTTTTCTTTTCTGAATGTGTTCCTCCTTCATCAACTCTTGGACCTCTCTCAGGGACCTGCCTAACCCTCCTGACTGACTCTCGCTGTTCTCAGCCCCACCTTCAATGGGGCACAGACTTATGGTGGTGTTCATCTTAAGTATCTGTAGAATGTGCCTCCTACTCTCCATCATCACCAACGGTTTCTTAGTGCAGAATTTTATCATCTCTCACTTGAAACATTACAATACCCTGCTTACCAGTTTTCTTGCCAAAGTCCTGGTCAACTTCCAATTGATTCACTACACTTTCCCAGAGTAATCTTTCTAAAACAAAACTTGGATCAGTTCTCTGCTTAAAACGATTCGATGCCCCCTAAAGCCTTTTTGGATCTAATGTGGACTTCCTTGCATGATATACCAAGTCCTTCATGATCTGGCTCCTCCCTTACCTGTTTACAGCAGTCTCCTATCAATCTTCAAAAGGAACACGATACACCAGCCACACTGAGCTGTTCTGTCTTCCTGAAACACAGCATGTTGTTCCATAACTTTGTGCCTTTGTATTTGTTGTCCCTTCTGCTTAAAGTACTCTTTCTTATTTGTCTGTGCCAAATGTAAATAAAATTCTGAATATGAAGATCAAGTGTTCACTTCCATAGGTAGGGAAACTGTCATAGTTGACTTTGCATATGCCTGAGGGGTTTCTCGGGACACGGGATTTTCAGCTATAAATCTGAGATAGTCCTGAGTAAATTACAATGGCTGTTCACCCTTGTTGAGAATCAAAAACTAGACAGAAACAAGTCTTCCTCTTGTATGTTCTTCATCTTCCCTGAATCTCTACCCTAGCCGTTACTGCCTTCTATTGCAACTGTTTTAAATTTATGTCTTATTCCCACACCAGGCTATGAGCATCTTCAGAGACTAGGCCTTATTCATCTTTGTATTTTTGTCAGCTACTCTATCATCAGTCATAGGTTATGTATTCAGGAAATGTTTGATAACTTCGAGTAAAGAAATTGATGAATAAATGCAGGAATGATGGAATGATATAAAAAGATTATAAAGGGAGGTCAGGATTTGTGTCCCAAAGAGTATAGACAATTTAAAAAATAAACCCTGGAACTAAGGCCTGGCATGCAGGTCTCAGAAGCAAGCAAGAAAACCACTTGTCAGATTCTAGGGCACATGAGTAACCTAGATTAACACAAGTCTCTTGACTTCTAGAAATCTCAGGAAAGTTAGTTAAATTATAATTTCCACCGTTCTCTGGAAGTCCAAATCTCTCTTTAACACATTCATTCATTCTGGGAGGTGGAGAAGATTTATGTTCTTACAGTCACATCTGCTGCTGGGTTCCTGTTTCCTCAAGTAACACATTTTAGGATCAGTCAAAAACAGATGTAAAATTCAGTCCTGCCCACGGGTTCCACAAACAACCCATTCACTCAAAGCATTCGCAAAGTTGTAGTATTTACCAATGATTTGAGTAAGGTAGAAGAAATACTTATACTACAGAAATGTAAAAAGTAGCATCAACCAACAAAACTTCAAACTGAACATTTGGCATTTGTGTTCCTGCTCTGTAATATCCTCTGGCCACCTACCACAAGAGAATTTCATCTAACTTTTCTCCTGAGAGCCGTCTCATCTCTCACTAACTTTAAGGTTTCTGCCTCTTTCCTCTTTCTTCTCCACTCTTGTTTTTCTTCACTCTTCCTCCCTCATAGAAATAAAGAAATTTGCCCTCTTGTTTCTTACTGAGCAGTACAGCCCCGGTTTTTTTCAAACATCCAAATTCCCTCAGAGTCACTCTCTACTCCCAAGGGGCTGACCAAGGTATATTCCCATAAAAAAGATAATTTCCACCCTAAAGAGAAGTTATGGCCAGCCTTTACGATGATTACATTTCCACCTCATTACCAAAGGTCAGAAATGGAATAATCACAATGATGCAATGATGAAGAATCACAGTGATGACCAAAGAAAACTAGTAATTTCATTTTACCTAATGACAGGCAGAACAGGCTGGGACTGGAACCGGATCCTAATCAGCTTAAAGCTAGAGACTATAATTGACTTGTCCATTAATGGATCATTGGCAGTTAGCCCAGCATCAGACACATAGTAAGTACTCACTAAATGATTTTTGAATTGTGAATACATGATTTGCAAGTTTGGTCACGCAAACATTTGTTCTAATTAAGCCACTAAAATAAGTGGTCAGCTGGGCGACAGAGCGAGACTCCATCCCAAAAAAAAAAAAAGTGGTCAGTTTAAGGAAAAACAACCTGTTAATCCATTTAACTAAAATGGATGACTTATTAAACACAACCAGTTATTAGCCATCTTGAAACTTGGCAATGCAAGTTAACAATTGGTTAAAAAGTCAAAAAATAAAATTTACTGAATGCTTCTTTATCACACTTGTAAAAACATTTCTCTGTGTTGACTAAACTAATTCTTACTTTAAAAAATTGCACAGGCAGAAACAAAACTACAAATAAACATTTTTGTCTAAGTGTACTGCAACAGAAGGCATGCAATTATTTGGGCTCAAAATTAATATTAAAGGATTAAACACATAAGTGTACATATTACTTGGAATTTATAATTAAAGTAAAGCAAATAGGCTCATAAGAGAATGCTTTAATATTGTTAACACTACTTATTCAGAGTTATGTAGAATGCTAAAGGCCTAATTTGTTTCACCAAACAATTCATAGATCCAGAGAGATGTCAACATTACCAAAGATGTAGGAGTGATCTCTTCCTATGCCAGAGTTAAAATACTATCTTCACTGATAATAATAATAAATTTAATCATCAATGTATGTAGAATACATTTTAAAAAGCAAAAATCTTAACTGCATAATCGTAGCTACATAAAAATTATACTTTCCCAGGAATGATTTCAGAGGTTTTGTTTTTAAAATCCTTTAATCATCTTCTAGTTTAAACATACATACATTAGAAATACTATATACGTTATTTACCTTTGGGAGCCTTGGAAACAATGTTTTAGTATTTTAATCCATTTCAGTTATTCTTTCCATTGGGTTATTTTCACGTTTTTAAAATTCAGAGTCAAAGAAACTATTCTAATGACTTTTTAATTCTGTTGTTAACAGAGATAATTATAGATTATTACATAATGGGATTCTGCTTTCCAATGTTCATGAGAACATTTAATGACTATTAGTAAAAGACTGAGAATTATAGAGAAGCTGGATATCGCTTCACTTCACTAAACCTGCACGTTAAATAATCATGAAAACATGTAAAACCTATCAATGAGTTTCCTCATAAGATGCCCTTTCAAGTGTTTGTCGTTTTCTCCTTCCATTTACAGAGTTAAAACGGGAATGCACATACCTTACCTTTCTTGTGGCCTTCATTTTTCATTAGCCCCAAGTGTGGCTCAGACATCACAGCTATTTTAGTTAAAACATGAGAATATTCTGCAATGTGGGTAAACTCTGATTTTTAAGCAGCTCTAATTACAAAAATTCTTGCTTTGCTATTTTTCTCAGGGATAGCAAGAGCTGCCAGCATTCCAATTTGGAAAACCTTTTACGGGAAAAAAAACAAAACTAGTCCACAATGTTTTTTAAAAGTCTTGTGTGGTGAAAGGGAAACAAATTTTATTAGCTTTGTTGAGTCAATTTTTTAAATAAATCTTTTAAATGATTAAAATATTAATATACATTCATTTTAATGTGTCATTTTGAGGAGTTTAGACTTTTTTAAATGAAATACTTGCAAATATTGGGCAAAATGGGTGACAACATTTTTCTCCTGGAAGCCCCCCACTGCCACCCACAACAACCTTGTTCTGCCTTGTTTCACATCAATTATAGATCCAAAGAGACTCTGTTGATTTTACTTGGATTATTTATGGTAACACATTCTGTCACTGACTTTTCTTGGGGGAAAGGTGCCTGGGTAACATTTTTACACAGATCTTAAAATTGCGAGATCATTCATCTCCTTTTTTCCTGTAATGAACACTTTAGTTGCATTCATATTGTATCAGATGTGGGTAAAGTTCAATATTTTAAAGTAGTATAAAGTTATCACTGAACAAATAAAACTTAACTAGAGGAAAGTTTATAAGTTTTATATATTAGTTTCATATATATATGCTTATTTTCATATATGCTTAGTTTCATATATATATGCTTATTTTTGTTTTTTTCTGTTCTCTTAGATAAAATAGGATTGCTCAGAGCCTATGTATGTCCAAGTTATATTCTCACAGGCAGCTTGGGGAGTTCAATGACATGGAAAGACCGTGGAAGTGGTTTCCAGTGAGTTGAAAGAGTTAAAGCAACTTTCAAAGGCAACTCCTAGCATGTAATTTATATGCATAGAGAATCCACCTCATTTTCCCTAAAGACCAAAATGTCCATTCCCATCTGCTAGCATATTTTTAATCGTTATTTATTATCATAGATGTTGGAAAAGGAAATACTTATTCATACCACCATGTTCCCAGAAGCATATTTTTTCAAGAGATCCTGACAACTACCCTAGTCAAACTTTAAATAATTCCAAGGTTTTTTATCACTGACTTAAAAAAATTTCAAATTAGCACTCCTGAGTTTTTCCCCTGATATCTGTAATTAATCTGTCAACCTCAATAAAACCAATTTTTCTAAATCATTCTATGTGCTGATAGTCCTCAACATTTGCAAGATAGAACAACTAGAAATGCTTTGTTTTTGCTACCATAAAAATTTCTTTAGGTCATTTATTAGCCCTTAGTATTTGTCTTCTTTGAATTATTAGATACGTTTTTCTATATTTTTAAGTTCAGAGTATCTGTGCTACATTTAATAGGAATTCTGGTTTTTTTTCTCACAAAGTATCACTGAATTATGTATAGGACTATGTCATTTGTATGTGAGATCTTTGCACTAATCAATGTATCTTTCTAATAAAGTATTTCAATCTTAATATAATAGTTTTATTTTTTATTTGCTTTAAATTAAGAGTGAAATGTACTTTTTGACTGTATATATACACATATTAAATAAATATAATATCTCTTTATTTAACCAATATTAATTGCCATTCAGCTATGTCACCATCCTAGGCATGAAGAGAGAGTTGTCTCAATAATTTCAGACAATTATTTTGTCTATAAAAGTATCTAATCATTCATAAAATTTCAGAGAATTGTATCTGCTATATCTTTGCAAATGAGTTATTAATCTTATGCTTAATAGATTCTTAAATAGCAAACATAGATTCCTAATAACTTAAATGGTTACTAACAAGTCCATTCACATGTTGCATATTAGTGGCATTTACAGTAGTATTTACAGAAAATATGCAAAGCGATATCAACAACTTTCCACAAGGTCATTTGGGGTGAGAAAATATGCAAGTTTTACTGAGGAAAGTTAGCTCTTAGGCAAATTGACCATTCTTGCACAGTGCAAAAAATTAAAAATCCAGATATGTGGTTCTTTTTGTTCCTTTGCACATTTTCAATTGGCAATAAAATATATTGCACTTGGGGTAAAAAAATTTTTGGCTTCTTGAAATTTTTAAATCTATCTTAAACTTATGCAATTAAATGGTTCTCCTTGAGTTGTTGTTCACTAGAACTTAGAAAACTTCGGATGTAGTTATTTGTTTTCTTGCCTGAGAAAACAGTTTTTAAAAAGGATGAACAATTCAAAACAATTGCAGATTAAATACTTTTCAGGCTTGGAACTCTGACTTCATAACAAGTGATAACGTAAGTTATTAGTTTCTGTAAATTGCGTCACTTACTATATTCCTACAGCAGGTCCTCCATTGAAAAGAATAATGAAAAGGATAGCTCACTTCTGTGGCTACCTAATCTGTTCTGCAATGTCAAATCCATCTCACAGAAGTTCAATCTCAAGAGAAGTTCTACCCAAAAATTGAATAGCATGGTAGTTGCTCAAGTATCTATACATGTGTGTATTTGTGTGCATTTATTACATGTAGACAGAGCTTCTCTTTTATACTGGGCTGAAACCTCCCAGAAAATCTGTAACTCTTAACAGGAAGAAAAATAGGAAACAAAAGACACAAGTCTAAAACAGCAAACATTCAATTGAATATCAAAATTAAGACATTGGGACCTAACACATTCTTACAAAAGCACATACCTGCTATTGAATACTAATTTCAGACTAATTCAAAACATCTCGTTTCTTACAGGCTTTTTACAATTCTAAGAATACACAAACACACACACACAGATAATTTTATGGGACAATTCCTAAATTTTTCTAAGAATTTAATTTACAATTTCCATGTCTTGTTAATCAATGTAAAAATCAGAGTGGAACTAAAATGATCTTACACTAATTCACAAGTTAAAGTTTTGCTATTAGGAGAACGATTTAGTTAATTCTATCTAGTAAATATATATCAAAGTGTAAGCTACTGAAAATTAATATTATATACTTGCATGGTAAATTTCAATGTTCACTGAGCTTATTTAAAGTTTTTATAATGGAATACACACACACACACACACACACACACACACACACACACATGCTCCTGGATATTTAGAATAACTTCCCAAAAGGCAAATTCATTTCTCAATAAAGGTATCTCAACCCAAATATACTAAACTTAAGTATTAACAGCTTTCTTTGTTATAATACTAATCATCTATGAGTAGTATAGAAACAATATTACATGTATTGTTTTGTAAGATTCTGCACATTGTAAAAATATTGGGGGATATCTACATTCTGTCCTGCTTTTAAATTTGTGGGACTGATTTTATGCCACACAAGATTCAATTTCATAGTCTTAAATGCCTCAGAAGTGTTCTAGAGATTCATTGCCTGAACAAGACACATTGTCAATCCCCACCCAGGCAACAGGTCCATGCTTAGTTATTAAATAGTCCCAGACAAAACAGTAACCATGGTGCTTTCCAGCTAGCTGTAAAATACTTGATTTTCTTGCAAGGAGTCCATTCTGATGTTAAGAATTCTTACAGTCAAGCCATAGCCTTGTACGGTTAGTTATTATCCTTCATGTTGGAACTAAATCTCACTTTTTCTTTTGTACCCTCAGTAAAAACAAACTTTCTGACACTTCTTAAGCTCTCAATATATTAATTGAAATGTATGAGCAAACAGTTATTTATAGTGTTTTGTTTCTGCACCTCTTTTGGTCACTATTTAACTATAAAGATGAATAGCTCAAATTAAGTTTTCCCATTTTATTTTCATTGCATTGAGCTCTGTTGAAATATACTAAATATAATATATATAGCAGCATACTAAGGTTGAGTATTTCATATATAAAATAGAGATGCTCAATTTCTTTCCTGCTTCTAAACCTGTAAACTTCCCTGTCTGTACTATCCTGATCTCCCTCCATTCTTTCTCTCTCCACCTCATATCTAATCTTCCTGCCAATGCACAGTATTTCACCCTCTCAGCTCCTAAGAGAACTTACTCCATCAGTGATCCTTCTTTTTCTCCTGGGATTGCACTTTCTTTCTCATTTATCTAAAGATATTTTTTCAATATCAAGTGTCTCCTGCCTTAAAACAAAAAGATGAGGAGTGTTCCACATTTGCTGTCTTTCTTTACTTCATTGTTAGTCCAACCTCAACTCACTGAAATCTAGACCCTTCCCTCATTTCATTTAAGCTGCTCATACAATCTCATTACTGGCCTCTTTACGGTACCTTTTCCAGTTTTCATCTTATTTGACTTCTCAGTGGCATTGACAGCACAACAAATGACTACATTTTCCTTGCTGGAATTTTGCCCATTAGGTCTCAGAAAAACCATTCAGTCTAGGTTTTCCTCCTAATTTGCTAGGTATTGCTTCTCAGGTTTGGATAGTCATATTTTTCCAAGCATTCCTTAAATACTGTTCCTTCCCTACCCCCAGAGTTCAATCCTGGGTCTTTATTTGCCCTCATCCTGTTAACTCTTTCTGTGAATTTGTCCTTACAGTTGGCTTTCACTGACACTGAAAGGGATGATGACTAAAGCAATTGAAATTTCAAGCCCAGGATTCCTTCCTGAGCCATTGGGGCATGCTGGAGTCCCACAGTACCAGAAGTACCTCTTGGCTGACCCCTCCAGCTTCTAGGAGGTAATTATTAAAGTTCTGACTCCAACTGGCCTGGTCTAACTCTTCACGGTTTGCTATTTTCTTTTTCCTTCTCAATTTTGTGTGACTTAAAAATAAAACTTTTATTTAACTTAATAAATCTATCAATATTATAATTTTAAATTCTATTTTATAAATATCAGAAAATATAAAGATTTCATTGAATTACCATGAGCAAAGATTATAACAATATAATGTAACACTTATTTTATTGTTTTCAAATAATATTTTCATATTTAGTCATTAAATCCACACAACCAACACGTAACTTTATTATTATTGTTTACTGTAGGGAATTTAGGCTTCTAGAGGTTTGGAGTCTTGCCCATGATCACACACTAGTAAGTGACAGAACAAGAAGCTGAAATATTAGAAAAAATTACATATCCTCACATAAATATTTTATGGTCTTTAACTGTCACCAATCACAAAGTCGTGCTCCAGGGTTGAGAGTTGTTTTTCTCAAAGATGCTACAAAGAAGGAAACATTTAGTTTCTTATTCCTTGCTGACTTTTATTTTTTTGATAGAAGAAATAATTTAGTCCTAAAGCATTAGAAAAAATGAAAAATTAAAGAGGGAAATGAAAGACCATGAATCACCTACAAAGTGAGTTTTATATTCTACATAGTCAAGAGTTAATAGCATATGTATGCTTTCTTTTGCATGAGAGTGAACAAATTACAAGCTGGACAAGATGTATCAAAATTCAAAAATAAATCTTAATTTTTTATAAAGGATTTAAAAGCTACTTCTGCAAGATTCAGACAAATTGCTTGTCCTCAGTGCATTTTGCTCAGTTCTCTCATATGGTGATGGCCTTTTGACATTGGCTTTAAGGGCCTTTGCTGATCTTACCACTCGTTCCATATGTTTAAACAAAGCATGTGGTTTTGCCAGCATCCTGCCACAGACAGGGAAACATAATCTCTGAATGAGGCAGGAGCCCAGAGCCCAGAAGATCTTCAGTTATGCTGGGACGAGACTCCCGTCTAGCAATGAGGGGCAGTAACATTCCTCCCTGGCGCCTGCTGAAACAAATTTCAAGAATGGTAACAGTCTTGTTTTAAGGTTTTAAAACTATCAGTCTGGGATCAGCAGCCTTTTCTAAGAAGCTGTGGATGCCAAATTCCAGCTGTCACAACTTGCTTCTGTGAGAACCTCTGCTCAGTTGGTCAGAGACTTGGAAGACGAACCTCGTTAAGACTGTGAGCCACAGCTCTTTTCAGACAGACCAAACCCAAACCACAAATCGCCCTCTTGAAAACCCCAGCCTTTCCTTCTTGGTTTGGAATACAGGGTTAACACAAGGTTATCTGTAGGTTAGATGTGAGCACCCAAACAAAATATTTAGCCAACTATATGACTAGTTTGTGGTTTCAGGTTTTTATTTCAAAATATTTGCAGCCCATTAATCACTATCATGAAAGAGTCTTCATCAAGGAGTTCACACTCAGTTCATTTATTAGGCTACAGAATCAGTATTTATATACTTGTATCACAAAGAGAAAAAAATAATTGACCAAATTGAATCAGAAACATGTCTAGGATTTGAGGCCTTCAAGCAACATTTTTTTCTCTTTACAAGATTTTCAGTTATCCAATCGTGACTGCAGAGTGGGTGACATTGGTTCTCTTAGGGAAGGAAAGGTAAGGTTTCAGCTCCACATGCGCTTTCTCAAGACCAGAACCATGACTAATGAATTGCTCAACAGGAAAAATAGCTGATCTTCAAAGAGTTGAGAATGTGTAGCTGTAGTGAATATTACACATAAATAATGTTTATTGGACTTGAGTGATCTCTCATTACACTCCTTAAAAAGAATTTCCTGAATTATTTTTATGGGCAATTAAGTCATAGTTAACAATAATTAAATGCTTAATATGTGAGGGCACTATTTTGAGTCTTTTACTTGCATTAATGCATTTAATTCTCACAATACTACTTTGTGGTTGCTATTTGCATTATGCCTATTATATCGATAAATACTAGCCTAGAAAAGTTAAATAACTTGCCCAAGATCTCATAGCTAGAAGGTAGAAGGACCAGAATTTATCTTTGATGTTATAATTTAAGCAATAGATGGAAGGTCATGTTTTCTACTGTGGAACTTACTGTGTCTTTTGGCTTCTCCTCCAAAATGTGTAGGGGGCTACCTACACAATAGGTGTCTGCCTATGAAATAATAGTACGATTGGATTTTTGGTGATGTGGCTTCTTCCATTAGTACAGTTTGTCACTTTTAGTAAGTCAAGTGCAGTGTTGATACTCTGGGTCAGTGTTTTCTTTGGACCACTGGGGTAGGAATTAGAAGCCCTCAGTAACAGATTCACCTCTGCCATCAACAAACTCTATATCCTTAACTAGTCTTTTAACCATTTTGAGCCTCTGTGTCTCCTCTCTACCTGAAGGTAATAAGTCTTGCCCTGTCCCGGCCAAAGAACAGAATCCCGGACATATCAGTGACAAGAAGTTTGTTAAAGTAATATGTCCATAAAAATATTATATGGATATATGTTGTTATTAATTTTTTATTAAATAAACACCAAGCAACCTTAAAGCCATGGGAGTGAGTTAAACAAAAAGTTTAAGTAGCTATTTCTTATACGGCAGGAAATTTTGCCAAATGTCATTGTGTTTAATTTTGTTGAAGTACTACTTATCTATTTTTGCTTTAGTGCTTTTGGTGCTGTATCTAAAAACTCATTACCAAACAAAAAGTAACCTAGATTTTCTCCTAGATTTTCTCCTAGAATTTTATAGTTTTGAATTGTACATTTAGGTCTATGATTTAGTTAGAGTAAATTTTTTTGAAAGGTGTACAATGTGTGTTTATTTACTTATTTTTTTTTTTTTGTTTAACTTTTATTGTAAGTTCAAAGGTACAGATGCAGGTTGGTTATATAGGTAAATTGTTTGTCCAGGTGTTTGGTGTACAGAAGGTTTCATTCCCCGGGTAATAAGCCTAGTACCTGATAGGTAATTTTTCAATCCTCTCCATCCTCTCATCCTCCACCCTCAAGTAGGGCCCAGTGTCTGTTGTTCCTTTCTTTGTGTCCATGTATACTCAATGTTCAGCTCCCACCTACAAGTGAGAACATTTGGAATTTGGTTTTCTGTTTCTGTGTTAGTTCACTTAAGATAATGGCCTCCAGCTTCATTCATGCTGCCGCAAAATACATGATTTCATTCTTTTTTATGGTTGTGTAGTATTTCATGGTGGATATGTACCACATTTTCTTTATCCAGTTCACTGTTGATGAGCATGTAGGTTAATTCCATGACTTTGCTATTGTGAATAGTGCTGTGATGAGCATATGCATACATGTGTTTCTGTGGTAGTACAATTTATATTCCTTTGAGTCTATACCCAATAAAAGTATTGCTAGGTCAAACGGTACTTGGTTTAAGTTCTTTGAGAAATCATCACACTGGTTTTACACTAGCTGAACAAATTAACATTCACATCAGCAGTGTGTAAGCATTGTCTTTTCTCCATAACCTTGCCAGAATCTCTTATTTTTTGAATTTTTGATAATAGCCATTCTGACTGGTGTGAGATAGTATCTCATTGCAGTTTTGATTTGCATTTCTCTACTGATCAATGATGTTGAGCTTTTCTTTATTTGCTTGTTGGCCATGTGTGTGTCTTCTTTTCAAAAGTATCTGTCATGTTCTTTGCCCACTTTTTATTGGGGTTCCTTATAAATTTGTTTAAGTCCTTTACAGACTCTGGATATTATTTTTTTGTTGGCAGGATAGTTTGAAAATATTTTCTCCCATTCTGTGGCTTGTCTGTTTACTCTGCTGATAGTTTCTTTTGCTGTGCAGAAGCTCTTGAATTTAAGTAGGTCTCATTTGTCAGTTTTTGTTTTTGTTGCAATTACTTTTGGCATCATCGTCATGAAATCTTTGTCAGGGCCAATGTCGAGAATGATATTTCCTAAATTATCTTCCTGTGTTTTTATAGTTTTAGGTTTTCCATTCAAGTCTTTCATCCATCTAGATATGACATTTGTATATGGTATAAGGAAGGGGTCCAGCTCTAATCTTCTGTATGTGGCCAATACATATAGTACCCCGGGACTATTTATTGAATAGGGAGTCCTTCTCCCATTGCTTGTTCTTGTTTACTTTGTCAAATATCAGATGGTTGTAAGTGTATGGCTTAATTTATGGGCTCTCTATTCTTTTCTATTGATATATCTGTCTATTTTGTACCACTACCATACTGTTTTGTTTGTTGCAGCCTTGTAGTATAGTCTGACATCATATAACATGATGCCCTCCAGCTTTGTTATTTTGCTTAGAATTGCCTTGCCTATTTGAGCTCTTTTTTGGTTCCATATGAATTTTAAAATAGGTTTTCCTAATTCTGTGAAGAATGTCATTGGTAGTTTGGTAGGAATAGCATTGAATCTGTAAATTGCTTTGGGCAGTATGGCCATTAAAATGATATTGACTCTTCCTATCCATGAGCATGGAATGTTTTTCCATTGTATGTGTCATCTCTTGATTTCTTTTAAAAGTGTTTTGTAACTCTCTTTGTAGAGATCTTTCATCTCTCTGGTTAGCTGCATTCCTAAGTATTTTATTCTTTTTGTGGCTATTGTGAATGGAATTGCTTTCTTGATTTGGCTCTCAGTTTGGATGTTCTTGGTATATAGAAATGCTACTGATTTTTATGCATTGATTTTGTATCCTCAAACTGCTGAGGATATTCATCTGCTTAAGGAGCTTTTGGGTAGAGGCTATGGGATTTTCTAGGTATAGAATTGTATCATCTGTGAAGAAATAAAATTTGACTTCCTCTCTTCCCATCTGGATGCCTTTTCTTTCTTTCTCTTGCCTGATTGCTCTGTCTATAACTTCCAGTATTATGTCGGAAGTGGTGTCATTGTGGTGTAGGAGTGGTGAGAGTGGGCATTCTCATCTTGTTCTGGTTCTCAAAGGGAATGTTTCCAACTTTTGCCCACTCATTTTGATGTTAGCTGTGGGTTTGTCATAATAGCTTTTATTATTTTGAGGTATGCTCCTTTAATGCCTAGTTTGTTGAGGGTTTTTCACATGAAGGAATGTTGAATTTTATTAAAAGTCTTTTCTGCATTTATTGAGATATAATGTGGTTTTTGTTTTTAGTTCTGTTTACATAGTGAATCACATTTATTGACTTGTGTATGTTGAACCAACCTTGCATCCCAGTAATAAAGCCTCCTTGATCATGGTGGATTAGCTTTTTGATGTGCTGCTGGATATGATTTGCTCATATTTTGTGGAGGATTTTTGCATCTATGTTCATCAATAATATTGGCCTAGAGTTTTCTTTTTTGTTGTTGTTGTGCCTCTGTCAAGCTTTGGTTTCAGGACAATACTGGCCTCACAGAATGAGTTAGGAAGAACTTTTTCCCCCTCATTTTTTTTTTTTGGAATAATTTCAGTAGGAATGGTACCAGCTCTTTACGCATCTGGTAGAATTTGGCTGTGAATCCATCTGATCCTGGGCGTTTTCTGGTTGGTAGGCTTTTTATTAGTGATTCAATTTGAGGAATCATTATTGTTCTGTTCAGGGATTCAATTTCTTCCTGGTTCAACCTTGGGAAATTATATGTTTCCAGGAATCTATCCATTTCTTCTAGATTCTCTAGATTGTGTGCACGGGTGTGCATGGAGGTGTTCATAGTCTCAGAGTTTTTTTTTTATTATTTTTCTGTGGTCAGTGGTAATGTCTCCTTTGTAATTCTGAGTGTGTTTATTTGGATCCTCTCTTCTTTTTTGTTTTTAGTCTAGTTAACTGTCTATCAATTTTATTTATTTTTTCAAATAACCAACTCTTTGATCCATTGATCTTTTGTATGTTTTTTTTGCATCTCAATTTCCTTTAGTTCAGTCACGATTTTGGTTATTTTTTGTCTTCTGCTGGCTTTGTGGTTTGTTTGCTCTTTTTTCTCTAGTGCCTCAAGGTATGATGTTAGTTTGTCAATTTGACATCGTTGTAACATTTTGATGTGGGCATTTGGTGCTATATAAACTTCTCTCTTAACATTGTTTTAGCTATGTCCCAGAGATTCAGTTATAGTATATCTTTGTACTCATTAGTTTCAAATAATTTCTTGATTTCTGCCTTAATTTCATTGTTTACCCAAAAGTGATTCAAGAGCAGGTTGTTTAATTTCCATGTAATTGTATGATTATGAGCAATTTTCTTAGTAGTAATTTCTGTTTTTATTGTGCTGTGTTTTAAGAGTGTATTTGGTATGATTTCAGTTTTTTGTTTAATTTGCTAAGGAATGTTTTATGGCCAGTTGTGTGGTTTATTTTACAGTATGTGCCATGTGGTAAACAGAAGAATGTATATTCTGTTGTTTTTGGGTGGTGAGTTCTGTAGATATCTGTTAGGCCCATTTGGTCCAATTTTAAGTTCATTCCCCAATATCTTTGTTAGTTTTCTGCCTCAGTGGTGTGTCTAATACTGTCAATGAGGTGTTGAAATCTCCCACTATTCTTGTGAAGTTATCTAAGTCTTTTGTAGGTCTCTAAGCACTCGCTTTATGAATCTGAGTGCTCTTGTGTTGAGTGCATACATATTTAGGATAGTTAGATCTTCTTGTTAAATTGAACTCTTTACCATGATGTAACAATCTCCATTTTTTTCATCATTGGTGGTTTAAAGCCTGTTTTGTCTGAAATTAGAATAGCAACTTCTGCTTTTTTCTGTTTGCTTAGTAGATTTTTCTCAGTCCCTTTACTTTGAGTCTGTGGGTGTCATTGCATGTGAGATGAGTCTCTTATAAAAAGCACACACTTTGGTCTTACTTCTTTATACAACTTGCCTCTCTGTGTGTTTTAACTGAGGGCATTTAGCCCATTTAAATTCAAGGTTAATATTGATATTTGTAGGTCTGATCCTGTCATCATGTTGTTAGCTGGTTATAATGCAGACTGGATTGAATAATTGTTTTATAGCATCAATGGTCTATGTACTTAAGTGTGTTTATATGGTGCCTAGGAGAGTCTTTCCTTATTTCCATATTTAACACTCCCTTAAAGACCTCTTGTAAGGCAGGTCTGATAGTAATGAATTCCCTTAGCATTTGCTTGTCTGAAAAGGATCTGATTTCTCCTTTGCTTATGAGGCTTAATTTAGCTTGATACGAAACTCTTGGGTGGAATTTCTTTGAATATAAGGCATCCAATCTCTTCTGGCTTGTAGGGTTTCTGCTGAAAGGTCCAGTGTGAGTCTGATGGGGTTCCCTTTGTAGGTGACTTGCCCATTCTCTCTAGCTGCCTTTTATATTTTTTTCTTTCATTTTAACCTTGGAGAATCTGATGCCTATGTGTCCTGGGGATGGTTGTTTTGTGTAGTATATGGCAGGGGTTCTCTGCATATCCTGGATTTGAATTTTGGCATCTGAGAGAATTTGAGGAAATTTTTATGGATGATATCCTCAAATATGTTTTCCAAGTTGCTTGCTTTCTCTCTCTTGCAGGGGCACCAGTGAGCCATACATTTGATCTCTTTACCTAATCCTATATTTTTCTGAGTTTTTATTTATTCTTTATTGTTTTTTTTTCTTTATTTTTGCCAGACTGAGTTATTTCAGAGAGCTGGTCATCGAGCTCCGAGATTCTTCCCTTAGCCTGGTTGGTTCTACTAGCAATACTTATAATTAAGAAATTCTTGAGGTGTGTTTTTTAACTGTGTCAGTTTAGTTTAATTCTATTTAAGATGGCCATTTTATCTTTTATTTCCTATTTGCTTTTATTATATTCCTTAGATTCCTTGAATTGAGTTCTGACTTTTCCTTGAATGTTCGTGATGTTCATTCCTATCCATATTCTGAATTCTGTTTCTGACATTTCAGCCACTTCAGCCTGGTTAAGAACCATTGCTGGGGAACTAGTGTATTTGTTTAGAAGTAAGAAGACGCTCTGGCTTTTTGAGCTGTCAGAGTTCTTATGCTGGCTTTTTTCTCATCTGTGTGGGCTGATATTCTTTCAATCTTCAGAGTTCCCTGTCCTTTGGGTTGTTTTTTTTTAATTATTGTTGTTGTTTCTTTGCTTGCTTGCTTTTATGTTCTTTTATGCCCTTGAGTGTTTGTGGTATAAAGTGGGTTCATTCAACTGGCTTAAATTTTAGTACACTCCTCAGTTTTGAAGAAGCCCCCTCTGATTACCATCTTTGTGTACAAATTTCTTTTGTTGGATGTCCTGGTTCACAGGGCTCCCTTGGATAGAGGCTGCAGTTTGAAAACTGCCTTCCTTCCTCTTCCACTTGAAAGGAAGTGGTTTTACTGTGAGCTGATTAGCAACCTTAATTCCATGTACTTTTTTTTTTTGAGCTGGAGTCTTGGTCTCAGCTCACTGCAAGCTCCGCCTCCCGGGTTCACGCCATTCTCCTGCCTCAGCCTCCTGAGTAGCTGGGACTAAAGGTGCCCGCCACCACGCCCAGCTCATTTTTTTTTTTTGTATTTTTAGTAGAGATGGGGTTTCACCGTGTTAGCCAGGATGGTCTCGATCTCCTGAACTCGTGATCTGCCCACCTCAGCGTCCCAATTTTCCATGTACATTCTTTATTTCCCCTTGCTATGTTACATAACATATACATAGGATTCTGAAATTAGAAAACAAACATATTTGGAGAGGGCTGTTATTCTGCATACCCCACCTATTTTTGTGAATGACCAACCCATAAGCCAAAGCCTAATGTTATCCTAGACTCCTGCTCTTCCTTAACTCTGAACACAATATGTTACCAATACTTATTACTGCTATTCTCTGATTTTTCTTAAGGTATCTTATCTTTGCCTTCTCCAAAATCTCTTATGTCTTCTCAAACATAGAAGGTCATGTTTTCATCACACTTCTAGCTCAGGTAACAGAGGTAGCCCCCTAATTGTTCTTCCTGTGGTGTTGCACCATCTTTTCTTCCATAATCTCCATCCTCCTTGCACATTTCTACATCTGTCCTCTACTCTGCAGATACAGATAGATAGCTAGATAGCTAGATAGATAGATCCAGATCTGACCACTTCATTTTTATGTAACCATAGCAATGGCTCTTCACAACATCAGGCTGTGAAGGTCAAATAGCCAAGACTGCCACTCAAAGCCTTCAGGCCTGGCTCTTGCAAACCTATCCACCCTCCATTTCCAACACACTTTCATATGCCTTATGTCCTAGCCGCAACACATTCTGCTGAGTTCTTCTTTAAATGATGCTGCTTCTTGCTTTATTTGTTTTTGCAGTCGATACACGTATCATGTCAAATGCTTGCCTTCCTCCGTCATCTTATTTCTTGCTATCTACACACATCCTTCAAGACTCTGCACAGACAATTCTTCCTTCAGAAGACTCTCCCAGTTAGGGTGGAGAGCTAGCCTGTGTTCACAGAGTACTACATTTCTATGAGAATACTCACTCTGTCGTGTTATAATTATGGTTTACTTGTCAGTCTCCTTCATGATTTATTTGAAAAAAAGAACTATGACTTTCATTTTGTGCCATCAGAGCTACGAAGTGATTGGTAGAAAGTAGATATGCAGAACTTGCTTAAAGAATGAAAAAGTCTTGGGGATATAAATATATTCTGAGAGTTAAAGGAATATTTCATCTGGAGATTGCTGAGAACAGTACTGGAGCTAATCTAGTCTGCTAAGCTTTCCCCAAGTAGAAGCAGAAATTTGAATCCCCGACTTCCTAAGAACTGGACAAGAATTCAGATGCTTTCTATAAGAGGAAGCCAGGAAAACATTTCCTCTGGCTCCAGTTTGACCCATAAACCAAGAAACAAGCTTATGAAAGGCAGCAAGGATGTGTCTACTACATAAATTTTACAAGAGTTAAAATGACGTTTCTCTCTTGTCTCAACTCTTAATTGACTGCTGATGGTCACTGGGGTGCTTATACAGCCTCAAGGCTGGCTCCATTCTGCTGCCATATGTCTCAGTTGTAAGCTCACTACAAGTTCCATATGGCTGCTTAATTCCAAAGAATCTAAAGTGTCCTCATGTTCCATAGGGCCAGTTGAGACAAATGACTTACCTTATATGGTTCGGGTTTGGACTAACTGAGAAATGAAATAAATAGCTGTACCCCAAATCTCTCAAAAATGCTTTTCCTTTAATAGAGAGGCTGCTATGGGCAACTGGCATCTCTGTCGCACTTTACATGTTTATCTACTCTCTAAATAGAGAAGACATATTTACTCTTAAAATAATGGAAAGGTCACATTTTATTTGTACTGAATAAAAACACTAACATAATTTCTACCAAGTTAATGCTCAATTCACTATTTCTCTCCCAGTATAAATAATTATCCTTTTTATTTGATGATGATGATGATGATGATGATGATGATGATGATGGAGCTATGCTGCTGTACTTGGACACCTTATGGTAAGAAATTACTTATATATTTATTCAATCAAAGATTTTTTTAATTCAATTTAAAGATTTGACAGTTAATCACCTGATTTATTCTTTCAAGCGGACCCTTTAAATCTTCATTTCCTTTGCTCTTCTTTCCATTTTATAACTGTCCTGCAGTGTCCTAGTCCTCGATCTTTGCAACAATCTGCCTTCTCCATTGTAAACAGTGCTGGAGAATTTGCAAAACCATGCAACTTGGCCTCTTTACAAATTCACTGCCTCTCAGTTCTGATGGGTTCTCTATCTATTTCAGTCTCTTTGTTGTCTTCTAAATGCTCCTATCTTGTTGCCGTCAACAAAAACTCCAAAGTCTTGCCATTCTCTTCATGATTGAAACTCTTTTCCTTTTCCTCCACACTCTCACTCAACTTCCTGCTTTTTATATCCACAGACAAATCAGTGGGGCCACCGCATCCTTATTCTCTTCAATCTAGTCTGGAAGGATTAATTATTCCATTGAAGACTAATTCATTCAACTGTGCTGCTGAAAACCTCCTTATCTTCTCAAGGGACTTTGCTTTATCTGTTGACTGCTTTGCCTTGAATTATGATCCGCTCCTTCTCTACTTGATCTTTTTCTTACTGAATGAAAAATTCAGGTCAACATACCCTCCTATCCATACTCTCTTTATATTCTACCAATCTCTTTAACTCTTTTGTCATCAGAAGATCTTGAGCCCTTTCTCTGTACTTGCTGTCTTCACTTCTTTTTTCTTTCCCTGTCCCCACTTCCACCTCCATTTACTACCTTAGAGAATGCACTGTTATCTTTCATGAAAATTCATGTTTTCCTTTTATATCTCTGTCATCAATGTGGGCTTCCTTTTCTCTGGCTGTCTGTTACATTATCATTATTTCTCAGATATTGCAAAATGACCAAAGCTAATTAGGCAATTCATAATCCTAGGTTTCATTTTTTGATAGGTAATGGTGGTCATTCTACAGTAGGAATTTGCTAATTCCTCAGCCCTGCTACTCGTTATAAAAAAGCAGGGCAGGCATAGGACAAATTCTGCACAAATACAGCCTACAGACATTTATTCAACAAATGTTCACTAGCAAAACAGGCACTATACTGTTCTCTATAAGACTGATTTGATCTTTAATTTTTATACTGAAATCTATCTGCTTCTTTAGTTTCATTGGACACTGTGATTTGAGTGATTTTACATGCATGTATGTATGGGGTGGGTAAATGGTATGTGAGCCCTTATGTGTTTATGTTGGCATGTCATGAAACAGGTGGAAAATTCAGTGACAAAAATATCAAACACATTTCCACATTCTTCTGTGCTAACTGCAAGAGGAAAGGGAGGGAGGGGAGACAGAAATATCTCATTTTATTGAATTCTATTCATTTGAAAGTGCACTAGCATTTAGAGCTATTTGTGAATAAGTTGCAAGAACATCTGCTGATGTTTGTTCGTGAAAATTATTGGGCATCTAGGAATTAATTATGATACCTTTTTATTTCTTTTTATTAAACTTCCTCTAGATCATATTTATATTTTTTCATTTGAGCAGAATTAAGTCTTATTTAACCATATGTCACATTTATAGTGATTTGAAATTGTTAAATGGGATGTCATTAATTTCTGAAAAGAATTATTTATGATATACATAACATTCCAATGTAATTAACTGAAATGATTATGAAATCACTTATAATCTTTCAGCTTACAAAATGAAATGGTTTTCATTGTTTATATTTCTCTTAGTACATGTAAAACAGCATATCATTCTTTATAGTTGTAACCATAGCATATATAAAATATCTTTTGTAACATTAATATTTATTTATCTTTGTTACTATTCTGCTTTTATAACTACTATTTCTAGTTGTAACAAATTATGTCATATAGTAGACAAATATCTTCTTCTTTACTTACTTATACCCCTATTTCTTGTCATTTGCTAATGCTCATTATTTGCTATTATGAATGTGTTGTGCTAAACATCTCTATAGATAACATTTTCTTTCCTGTTGGATTATTACTCAAAATAAATTTCCAGAAATTATATTACTAGATCAAAATATGGACATTTTTATGATTCTTGCTGCATACTGTACATTATTTCCAGAAAATTCAAAAATATTTTAATAGTTATTTATTGATTATATAGTAAATTTCAGGAAACATATTGCTACTAGACATACAGAAATGAAAAACAGAGTTCTTTTCCTAGGGGAACTCATTCTATATTTTCTGCTTGGGTGCTTTGACTTCTGCTATGGGTGAGCAAACCATTTATCAACCATTAGTGGGCTTAACAACTTTAAACTATACTACAGGGCTACAGTAGCCAAAACAGCATGGTACTGGTACAAGATCAGAAACATAAACAAATGGAACAGAATAAATAACCCAGAAATAAGACTGCATGCCTGCAACCATCTGACCTTTGACAAACTTGACAAAAACAATCAATGGGTAAAGGATTTCCTACTTAATAAATGGTGCTGGGAGAACTGGCTAGCCATATGCAGAAAATTGAAACTGGACCCCATCCTCACACCATATACAAAAATCTGCTTAAGATGAGTTAAAGACTTAAATGTAAAACCCAAAACTATAAAACTCTAAAAGAGAATTTAGGCAATACCATTGAAGACATGGGCACAGACAAAGATTTCATGACAAAGACACCAAAAGCAATTGCAACAAAAGCAAAAATGGACAACTGGAATCTAATTAAACTAATGAGCTTCTGCACAGCAAAAGAAACTATCAACAGAATAAAGAGACCACCTACAGAATGGGTGAAAATTCTTGCAATCTATTCGTCTGACAAATGTCTAATATCTAGCATCTATAAGGAACTTAAACAAATTTACAAGAAAAAAAATCCGCATTAAAAAGTGAGCAAAGAACATGAACAGACAGACACTTCTCAAAAGAAGACACAGATGTGGCCAACATACACATGAAAAAAAGCTCAACATCACTGATCATTAGAGAAATGCAAATGAAAACCACAATGAGATATTATCTCACACCAGTCAGAATGGCTATTACTAAAAAGTCAAAAAACAACAGATGCTGGCGAGATTGTGGAGAAAAATAAATGCTTATACACTGTTGATGGGAGTGTAAATTAGTTCAACCATTGTGGAAGACAGTGTGGCAATTCCTCAAAGACCTAGAGGCAGAAATAACCATTTGACCCAGCAATCCAATTACTGGGTATATACCCGAAGAAATATAAATTGTTCTATCATAAAGACACATGCATCCGTATGTTTATTGCAGCCCTATTCACAATAACAAAGACATGTAATCAACCAAAATGCCCATCAATAGTAGACTGGGTAAAGAATATGTGGTACATATACACCATGGAATGCTATACAGCCATAAAAAGGAACAAGATCATGTTCTTTATAGGGACATGAATGGAGTTGGAGGCTATTATCCTTATCAAACTAATGCAGGAACAGAAAACCAAATACTATATGTTCTCACTTATAACTGGGAGCTAAATATGAGAATACATGGACACATGTGGGGTAACAACACATGCTGGGGTCTGTTGGAGGGCAAAAGGCAAGAGGAGGGAGAGGATCAAAAAGAATAGCTAGTGGATGCTGGGCTTAACACCTGGGTGATGGGATGACCTGTGTGGCAAACCACCAAGGCAAATGTTTACTTATGTAACAAACCTGCACATCCTGCACATGTACCCCTGAACTTAAAAGTTGAAAAGAAAAATAAAATAAAATAAAATAAATACACCACCACCACACACACAAAAAGAAAACCTTTAGTGGGCTTAAGTATTATATGAGGTGTTTCAATTAAAATGAAGATTCTTAGGGCCACTCTTGCACATATTCAAATTAAGAAGCCTTGATTATTTCAAATTAATGGCACCTAGGTTACCTTGACTTTTCGCAATCATCTCCAGGTGATTCTGATACTAGTGGTCCATAGACCATGATTTGAGAAACACTGAGTTATATGCCAATGACATCCAAACCTGTATCTCTTGACCTGCCCTGCCCTAAAAGCTTCAGCTCAACTGACTTTAGAGATAAACATATCCCCAAAAAAACTCACCATCCTTCTTTTTAAACATTGCCCTCTTTCTGCATACAGGAAAATCAATAGCTTCTCCATATTGCTGCACTTGGATTTTATCATACAATGCCTACTTGTGGGGGGTGTTACTTATAAATAAAATTTTATATGCAGATCATTTAATTAATTAAGTCCTTAAAGTAGTCCCTGAAAATGGAAGACAATCTTCAAAATGTCTTGTTTTAGATTAATGACCCTTCAGTTACCTATTAAATTTTACTCTTGAAAATTTTCCATAAATAACAATTCTGTAGTAAAGGTTCAAATGTATTTTGGGAAAGTATATTTGTCCACATATTATATATTGTAAATATATATGTGTATCTGTATACATATACAGATACGTATAGACATACATGTAATGAAGACCATTCTTATTAGAATAAAAATGAATAATCTGAAGATTTCAGATAAGAAACCATACTACTTACATATTTATTTTAAAAATTAAAATAGGAAGAGGCTATTTGAAACTTGTTAGAAATGTCCTGCATCTATAGATTAAACTAAAACAAAATAAATAATGTTATTTTTGTCTTTCACAATAACTTGTATTACTATTTTAAAAAAATATTTTAATTTATAGGATATATGTGCACAACGTGCAGGTTTGTTACGTATGTATACATATGCCATGTTAGATTGCTGCACCCATTAATTCGTCATTTATATTAGGTATTTCTCCTAATGCTATCCCTCCCCCATCCCCCGACCCCACGACAGGCCCCAGTGTGTGATGTTCCGCATGCTGTGTCCAAGTGTTCTCATTGTTCAATTCCCACCCATTAATTCTCTCCTCTTTCATAATTCTAGTTTTCTACTGAGTATCTCTCTCTCTCTCCCACTCTCTCTCTCTCTCTCTCTCGCATACACACACACACACACACTCTCTCTCTCTCTCTCTCTCTCACACAGCTATTTCTTCTCTGTTCTGGTTTCTTTAATTTGTACATTAAAAAATAACATATAGCAACACCATATACCTTTTAATCCTCTGTGCACCTTTACATACCATTCTACCTTGCTACATTTATCTTCACCAGTTCAATGAAATAGCTCCCGTAACTATCACAAAAAGTACTTATTTCTTGATTTATTTGACCTCTATGTGTAGTGGAAAATTTAATCCACTTGACATAGATTTGCCAGAGTTTATTCATGTTATCAAAAAGTGCATCTAGTCATTGCCCATTTAATGAAATATTTTAAGAAAGTTTCCTTTCTATTGATTTCTAGAACATGACTCTCTTCTGGTTTTTCAACTCCTTTTTCCATTTCTCCTTATCCTTTTGTCTACTTTTCCTCGGCTGTAAAGGCACTTCTTTATTCAGCTATATAAAGACCATTCCTGTTTTTCAGAGCTCTGTCTTCAATCTCCATTTCACTCTGATCCTCCTGGGTTAATCTTATATACTTCAATGGTAGTAAACATTATTTATGTATGTTATCATCTACCTATTCTATTATCTGCTACTGAACACAGATTTATGTATGTCTGTGTTTATTAAGTGTACACAATTTTATTTCCCAAAGATACCTCCAGAAAAGCTAAACCAATTATCTAATCATTACCCTACCACCTAAATAGGTCTTCTGTATTCATCTTTCAAGGAATACTATTTCTAGACCAAAATAAAACTGAACAAGAGCAACAACAGGAGCTAGATCGTTTTCCTAACTCCCCACATACAAAGTGAGCAAATGAGCAGCTCGAAGGACATACTCATGAAAAGGGTATTGGTTTGGTGTTTAGCAATAGCCCACATGAGTGAGAAGGCTATGAAGCAGAAAAGAAGGCTTGCTTCTTTTTACTGCAGGCCTGTTGCTTTGTATATCATTAGGTTAGAATAGGTGTTCTTTGGCATTCAAGAGTATACCTATTCCCTTGAATACACAAGTGCTTCTCTATGCCATTTCTGATGGCCTTATCAGAACTGTACCAGCTTGGCAGTAGACTTTCAAACATGCCTTGCCATTTGTGGCCTATCCTAGCCTACTTTTGCAAGTAATCAATGATATCTCATTCTTCTTCCATTGCCACCTACCCATCATGCAGTTTCCTGAGCAAATCATGTTCCAGGTTTCATCCATACCATTCTATGCTACATTTTCTATCTAGATACATTTCCTCCATCTTTTCTTCTTCTTTAACTGGCTCCATGTGTTTCTCAATCTTCACTTCTAGGAAGCCTTCCTCTCCTTCCCCATTGTCTCTAGTCGTGGTTGGATACTATTTCTATGTAACTTTCTTTGCCATACCTTTTGTTATATCATTATCTAATTTCCCTTCTGGCCGTATACACTACCAACTTCTTGAGGGAAGTGATGGTGTCTTTTTTGTCTAAGTCTTCAGTGCTAAATAGAGTAATTTTTGAGGTAGTTGTCCTAATATAGAATATTTTACTCCATACGTTAACGTTATTGTGAAATGTAAGCTCAAGAGTTTAATGACTCATGGAATTTTCTGCCCCATTCATAAAGCATCTCTTTCAAGTTCTAATTCCCAAGCCAAGAACTGAGGTGAGTCCATGTCAATATATTTAAACAAAATTTACTTTGGTTACCACCAATTCTAAGTGGTCAGTGGCATTTTTAGAAGATGTTTGCATTTTGGTTACACAAATAGATAACAGAATTTACACTTAAAATATTGCACTTTGTGGAACATAATGGTCAGAGAGATGGCATCGAGGCTTCCGTGGGCTCATTACAGATGCCTGTGGACATCTAATGGTGGTTAGACTACAATTCTGCATTTGACACACACACAGGGTTTTCATGTCCGCTTAAATAATTATAAACAGAAATGTTAGCAAGAAGCTAAAGTGGAACTCATGACACTGAGGTCTTGGAATAATGTTATGCTGGTGAAACATTAGCAGCATGGCTTGGTTTAAGGTTTTGAATACTTGCTACTGCATTCCTCTGATTAAACTAGTTTCACTCATGATATTTATCTTTAGAAGTAGCTACAGCTCTTGCTCTTATATTTCCTTTGGTCTTACAATATTCTAAATCAACAGTATAAATATCATCTTTATTCTCGACCCATAACCAATTTAAACTTTACAGTCATAATAACTTACTCTTTAGATTGGCACTTTTTAACTTTATGGCTTACTATGATAACAATGATTACATTTTTGCCTTCTTTCCAGGTAAAACAATAAGAATTCCAAACGGTATTTGATAAATTATTTACGATACCCTCCATGCACAAGAAATCAATACGAATCATGGGTTCCCTTTTTTACAAAAGCATGTAAGTCCTGGTGATGTTTTATGACTTACTCGTGGTACATGCTCTACAGATCAGTAACAACCAGTAAAGCAACTTGGCAGCTGTATAACTACTTGCAGATTCCTAAACATACCAAACCCAGTGGCAGGCATGGTAATAAATCATTGAGAGTTAAGAACATTTTTTTCTTAAAACATTCCCAAATGGAATTTTCCTTAAATGTAAACTTTTTTAAAAAAGAAAAAGAAACAGTTATAAAGAAGAAAGTCTAATCTCAAACAATAGTTTTATTTATTTCAGTATATTTTTCAAATAATCTATATATATGTGCAGTCGTTTAAATAATATATACCCACACACAACAAAACAAATCATAAGTTCAAGCTGTAGACAGTGAAAACATGTCTTAGTCATATCCCTTCCCTGTCTCTCTTTTTATTCCAAAGTGAACCAGTTACTGGTTTCTTGACTGATAGTTAAGACCTGTGTTTGTGCATTTACACATTTTTCCATGTTTAAAAGATTGAAATTCTTTCTAGTTTCAACTCAAGATTTCCAGCTACTGAAAGAAGGTTGCTATTAGAATAATATCTATTTTCTTTTTAAAGAAAACCACAAATTCTGAGTCACTATCGGTCCTAACCAGTTATTTCCCCTTAAAAGAGAAACAAATTTGTTTTAGTCAAAACTGGCAATACATGTGAGAAACACATAAATATTTAAAGAAACAGCAAATCTGCAAAGTAAAAATACTGATATTGGCTGAACTCTCAAGTATATCTTATGTACAACATTTGATGCCTTTTTAAAAGTTATTCTGGAAAGTCTCTTATAGAGGCCTATTTATGAAGTAAATTTTAATGCTTCATTTTGGAAATACCTAATGTGCTCAACTTCTATGAAAAAGGAAACTATTGTTAACAGTGTTGGAATATTATTTGAAGGATAAAATAAAGTAAAATACAAAGATAATTTCATCTTTCACTTCAGGAAGTGCTCTGATTACTTGTGAACTGTTTTAGTTTTCAAATCTAATGTAAATCCGCAGGCAAAATAGAATATTTATAGAAAATAACAAAGAGGGAGTCATGTTTGTTTTTATTATCTGCTAATGATAAATATTTAGGATCAAGAATTTATTCAGTGAATAACTTGCTTAGGCATATAACTGCATTTTGGAAAATATAGGGCTTAGGAAACTCCTAGAAAAGTACAAATAATTAATTGAAAATCGCGTCTACATCCAATCACAGGGATAAATGGATCTTAGGAAAATTGTAGTTCCCGTGGTCAGGATGTTTTTCATGATGGTGGCAGTTGGCCTCTTGGGAATCTGAGAGATTGTCCAAAAGCTGACTAACAGGAAGACAGAAGTGTAACTGCAGCACAAACAGACAGGAAACAGCTATGTTAAGAAAACATTTGGTAAGGGCTACCACATAGACTTTGTTCAATGCGCTTCCAGGTCATTATTCACAGAAGTTTTCCAAATTTTTATTCTATTTCTCCTATTGTAATTACCATTTCCCCTTGTAAATAATGTTCCTCTTATTATTTTTAACAGCCATATCATTTCAATGGTGTGGGCTGTAACACATTTCTTTCACCATTTTCTTAGTGTTGTTTTCTTCTTATTGAAAACTGCAGTGATATTTTGAATGCAGCTATGTCATGCCAAGAGTAAAAAAGTAAGTGAAATTACTGGATTAAAATGTACAAACTTTTAAATGGTTCTTAATGCATAATTAGATTTTCTTTCCATGCAGGTTTTTTCTACTTACCTTACCACCAGCAGTGTACCAGGTTTACCATCAACTCCCTAATATTGACTGTAATCAAATACAGTTAGTTTTGGCCAGGTGCAGTGGCTTGTGCCTGTAATCCCAGCACTTTGGGAGGTTAAGATGGGTGGATCACCTGAGGTTGGGAGTTCAAGACCAGCCTGGCCAACATGGAGAAACCCCATCTCTACTAAAAATATTTTTATTGGCCCGCACCTGTAATCCCAGCTACTCAGGAGGCTGAGGCTGGAGAATTGCTTGAACCCAGGAGAAAGAGGTTGCAGTGAGCCGAGATTGCGCCACTGTACACATGTATGTCCAGTTACTTTTTGACATATATGCCAATAGAATTCAATGGGGTAGGAAAAAACTTTTCAACAAATGATCGTGTAACCACTGGTTATCCTTATGTTTAAAAAAAAAAAAAAATCCAATACCACTGCCCTCCAGCCTGGGCCACAGAGCTAGACTCCTTCTGAAACAAAACAAAACAAAACAAAACAAAACAAAACAAAACAAAACAAAAAAAACGAAAACAAAACAAAAGCAAAAACAACAAAAAAAATACATTCGGCTTTTACCTTGATGGAAAAATGATGCATCTTTTTAATATAAGTTTTTTTCCCTATGGAAATTATCAACTTTGTAAACAATTTTTTTAAAAATCTGTGTGTTAACAACTAAGATCTTAATTATTTTCTAATAAATTCTTTATAAAATGTAACTATTGACATTTGTGTTCATGGTAGTTTATGAACACATTTTTCTCATGCCTTTTTAAATTATATTTTTCCCTGATAGAAGTTTGACATTTTTATTTATTATAATTGAATAACCTTTTAGTTTGTAATTTTCTTTATCATTTTAGGCCCAGAAAGATTTTTATTGCTAGAGATTAACTAAATATTCAATCAGATTATTTTGAGTAGGTTTTTAAAATTAGTTTTATACACTTTGGGAGGCCGAGGCAGGCAGATCACCAGGTCAGGAGATCGAGACCATCCTGGCTAACACAGTGAAACCTCGTCTCTACTAAAAATGCAAAAAATAAGCCAGGCGTGGTGGTGGGCGCCTGTAGTCCCAGCTACTCGGGAGGCTGAGGCAAGAGAAGGGCATGAACCTGGGAGGCAGAGCTTGCAGTGAGCCAAGATCTTGCCACTGCACTCCAGCCTGGGCGACAGAGCGAGACTCCGTCTCAAAAAATAATAATACTAATGATAATTTTATATAATAAATTGTTAAAAATTGCTAATATTAATTTTGTTTTGGTGTAATCTGTGAATCAATCTTCCTCAAAATTTACGCAATTATAATTAAATTAAAAGTTAGTAAATAACTTTTTGTTGCCCATTGTTTAGAATGCTTACTTTATCATAAATCAAATAACACATAATAAAATTATTTTCATAATTATTTCCTAAAATTTTTTGTGACTCATTGGTACCTATGTGTGATAATATTCTGAAGTTTTAATTATTTTGCTTTATAATCAGTTGTAACATGTGCAAAATCTTTTCATCCTAAGAAGGTTTTCACAGAGCAAGGTTTTAATTTTGATGAAATCCAATTTATCAAAATTTTCTTTTATGGTTTGTGATGTTAGCATCAAGTCTGAGAACTCTGTCTAATCTTAGATCCTAAATATTTTCTCCTACATTTTTCCAAAAAATTTGGTTTTACATTTTGTGCTTAAGTCTGTGATCCATGTTGAGTTAATTTGTGTACTGGGTGTGAGACTTAAGTTTATTTTTTGCAAATCAATGTTCAATTACTGCAATCTTTTTTTGCTGAAAAGACTTTCCTTCATTGAATTGCATTTTCGCCTTTTTCAAAATGTAGTTAGAAATATTTGTGTGGATCTATTTTTGAGTCTCTACTTTGTTACATCAGTGTGTCTGTCCCTCACTCAACATGACAGTTTCAATTACTGTAGCTATGTTTCCAAATTGTTTTAGCAATTCTTGTTTCTTAGCTTTTCTATATAAATTTTATAGTAACTTTGTCTACATCTAAGAAAATTCTTTTTTGATTCGGATAGGAATTTTGTTAAATTTGTGGAAGACATACATTCTGTACATATTTTCTTAAATTTAAGCCTAAGTATCACATTCTTTGAGCCTTTGTAAAAGGTATTGTATTTTTTATTTTGGTTTTCACATGAACATTGCTAGAATATTAAATTATGATTGATTTTTGCATTTCAATCTTATAGCCTCTGACCTACTAAACTCACTTATTAGTTCTAAAAGATTTTATGTAGATTCCTTGGTGTGTTCTATATAGACAATATGTCATTTGCAAATATACGGATTTATTCCTTCCTTTCTGACCTGTATGTCTTTTATTTCCTTTTCTTTCCTTATTACTGTAGCTAGAACCTGCAGCACTATATTAAGTAAAAGTGGTAAGAATACAAATCCTTGCTTTGTCTTCAACCTTAGAGTAAAGCAGTCTTTCACCAAGAAGCATAATATTAGCTATAAGTATTATATACATGACTTCATCACATTAAGGAAGTTTCCCTCTATTCTTAACTTGCTGAGCATTTTTCTCATGAGTATGTTTTGAATTTTTTTAGTTTTTTTACATAAATTGAAATGATCATGTGAGTTTTCTTCTTTAGTTTGTTAATATGGCAGAGTACAGTGATTTTTTAATTTAAACCAGCTTTGCATTCCTGGGATACAAATCAATTGGTCAAGGTGTATAATATTTTACATACTGCTGAATTCTATTTGGTAATATTTTGTTAAGAATTTTTGTGTCTATATTCAGGAGGGATATTGGTCTGTAGTGTTCTTTGTTTTACTGTGTTTGTCTGATTTTGGTAGTAGGGAAATACTAGTTTCATAAAATGAACTGGAAAGTATTCCCTCTTCTTTTATTTTCTAAAAGAGATTGGGTAGAATAGGCATTAACTCTTCTTTGAAAGTTTTGTAGCATTCTCTGGTAAAATTATCTGGGACTAGAGATTTCTTTTTGGTGATTTTTTTTATTACAAGTTAAATTCTGGGTGACTTGTGGTACTGCATATATTTGAATGCTATTCCATTTCATCTACATTGTCAAGTGTATGTGTGAATTCAAATTATTCATGGTATTCCTTTATTATTAATTTGATGTCTAAAGAGTGTGTGGTGGTAATCTCCTGTGTTACTTCTGATAGTGGTAATTGTATCTTCTCCTTTTTTATTTGTTAGTCTTATTAAAAGTTTGTCAATTTTATTGATCTTTCCAAAGAACCAGCTCTTTCCGTGTTCTTTTAATAGAGATTTCTTTTATTGAGTCTATTGTGTTTCTATTTTCAACTTTTTTGATTCTTGCTCTTATATTTCCTTGCTTCTGTTTGTTTGGGTTTATTTTGCTCATCTTTTTCTAAGTTCTTGAAGTAGGGCCTTAAATTATTGAGACATTTTCCCATTTCTAATGTAGTCCCTTAGAAGTTTGACATTTTTATTTATTATAATTGGATAACCTTTTAGTTTGTAATTTTCTTTATCATTTTAGGCCCAGAAAGATTTTTATTGTTAGAGATTAACTAAATATTCAATCAGATTATTTTGAGTAGGTTTTTAAAATTAATTTTATATAATAAATTGTTTTAAATTGCTAATATTAATTTTATTTTGGTGTAATTTGTGAATCTATCTTCCTCAAAATTTAACTAACCAATTATAATTAAATTAAAATTTAGTAAATAACATTTTGTTGTACACTGTTTAGAATCCTTACTTTATCATAAATCAAATACTTAACACATGATAAATTATTTTCATGAATTTTTTTGTGGCTCATTGGTACGTATGTGTGATAATATTCTGAAGTTTTAATTTTAATTTTAATAAGTTTACCTTTCAGCATTCCTTTAGCTACCTATTTAATCCATGGACTATTTAGAAGTGTGGTTGTTTCCAAGTGTTTGGAGATTTTTTTTTAATCTTCCTGTTATTGATTTTTCATTTGATTCCATTGTTCTCAAGAATACTTTGTATATGAATTTTCATTATTTTAAATTTTTTGTTTTATGGCCCAGGATATGAGTTATCTTGGTATACATTTCATGGTCACTTAGAAAGAATATATACTCTGCTGCTATTTGTTTTGGTGTTCTGGAAATGTTGATTATACACTGCTAGTTAATGATGCTGTATTTTTGTATATCCTTGTTGATTTTTTGGCCTAGTTCTAACAACTGCTTAGAGAGAGATATTGAAGTCTCCAAATATAATTTTGTATTTGTCCATTCATCTTTTCATTTCTGTAAGTGTGGGTTTCATATATTTTTCAGCTCTGTTTTTTTTTGTGTGTGTGTGCATACAGCTTAGAATTGCTATGTATTTGTTGGTGGAATGACCTCTTTCTTAAATTATATAATGTCCTCCCTACCTTTGGTAATTTTCTGCAGTTTGTATGGTTTGGCTGTGTCCTCACCCAAATCTGAGCTTGAATTGTAATAATCCCCATGTGTCAAGGGCAGGGCCAGGTAGAGATAATTGAGTCATGGGGGCAGTTTTCCCCATACTGTTCTTGTGGTAGTAAATAAGTCTCAAAAGACCTGATGGTTTTACAAATGGAAGTTCCCCTGCAGAATCTCTCTCTTGCCTACTGCCATGTAAGATGTGACTTGCTCCTCCTCACCTTCCACCATGGTTGTGAGGCCTCCCCAGCCATGTAGAACTGTGAGTCAATTAAGCCTCTTTCCTTTATAAGTTACTCAGTCTTGTGCATGTCTTTATTAACAGCATGAGAGAAGACTAATACAGTGGTTTAAAGTCTACTTTATCCAATATTAATACTCTAGTTTCTTTTCATTAATGTTTACAGGATGGATCTCTTTGTTTCCTGCCTATATTGTATATTTTAAGTGAGTTTCCTTTAGACAGCATATAGTTAGGTCATGTTTTTTAATCCACTGAGCTTCTACTCTGTTTTATAATTTGTGTATTTGGACCACTTACATTTAATGTAATTATTGATATGTTAGAGCTGGAGATCCAAGGAACAACACAGTAGTGAGTTCCCAGGGTTTTATTTTTGCCTCATATATACCAGACTTGGAACTAAAGAAGCCAACAACTGAAAATACTACAGGAGATTTTAAAAAGAAAGGTGGGGAGTGAAGAAAAGAAAAGAAAATAGCAAGAGCAAAAAACTCTCTCTCTAGTCAACAAGGAAAGGGCAAGCTCTTATTTTTGCTGGTTTTGTCTAACATCTGGCAGGTGAAGAAGGGAAGTTTATTTCTTGTAGCTATCAGGTGGGGTTAGAAGTTGGAGTTCCACTAGTGGGAGTAGGGTTTAGGTCCCCACTCAGCCTCTGCTGATAACAAGGGGAAAGAGCTTATTCTTGCTGTGAGGTAGGGGTAAGATTTCTGACTCCATGTAGGACCTTCATTGATCTCTCCCTGGCTAAGAGGGGTAGAAATGCCTCATTATTATCCCCATGTGACTACCAGCCATATCACTACTGCTGGGGGGGTGATGAGAATCCTGACTCCTTCATATGTTTTCTCCTACAGCACCTCAATAAAGAGGAGTAAGGATGGCTCATTACTGCTGACTGGGACTGAAAGTCCAGGCTCCCCTTCCCATGGTCCCCACTGACACTACTGGGGGACAGCTACATTGGTTACTATCAAATACGATTAAAATTCTGGTTTCCTACTTGGCCTTTCTGATACCAATTTGGTGGTGATGGTGGAGGGAGTGGTAAATTGGAATGCCCCATTATAGCTAGGCAAGGATGGATATCTATGTTTACCATGCAGCCGTTGCTATCATGAGTGGGGATGGGGAAACATTTTTGTTTTTCTCTTTGTTTTCCTTTTTTTTTTTTCCTCTATGATGTTAAGCTGAAGTAGTGTTTATTTTCTAAAAGTTCTCTATCTTGTTAGGTTGCCTTTTCCTTGTCCTTTGATTAGAGAGTAGTTTTTGTTGTTTTTCTCTTTTCTCTTCTCTATCTCTCTCTTTCTCTTTCTTTTTATCTTCTCCTGTGGTGTTTTTAAGCTGTTGACTTCTTAAGCACCAAGTCCGGTATTTATGAGGCAAAAAGAAAACCCAGGGAACTCACTATTCTGTTGTTCCTTTGATCCTCAGTCTCAGATGGCCTGGCTTCTTCCCTTCACCTTTCATAGTTTTCTTATGTTTGTTTTATGTATAATGTACAGGGTTTTTAGTTGTACCTAGAAAAGAAACAGGAAAAATATATCTACTCCATCTTCTTAGAAACAGAAGCCTGAAAGTACCTAAGACTTTTTAGAATCTATAAAGTATAACATTTTAATATAAAATTTTTAAACTTTTAGGAAAGAGCTAAATGCATATTTTATTAGTGTATTAATTCAATGTTACTTAAGAAGACAAATCTGCCACAGAATTACCTAATCACTGATGAAATAACCATGGATCTTATTCAGTAATGTCTTCTTTACTTTGATTTGGAAATGACCCAATGAAAAATTAACATCAGGTCCGCCATAGAAATTGTCCAAAGGCTGCAAAGTTGGCTGATTGAAGAATCTCTAGGGGTATCATGTTTTTTCCATTTCTCCACTTTCTTAAAATTACACTAACATTCCTAACTTGGTCCAATATGATTTCATTTGGGAGGAGTATAACTGTAAAGATAAAAATTCCAGAGCTTTATATCTGGAGTTTTCATGTTCTATTTGCTAACATGTTTTACATTATCTTTCTTTTTCCTTTTTTTCCTTACGTCCTAATTGGACTCATGTAAAAGTGAAAATTCACTCAGCATTGCTTACATGAAGCCTCTAACTTGATGAGAGAGCAAGTTGGTTAAAAAAATAGAAGCTTATTTGAGAAATGAGGAGTTAGCATTGTGCCTGTCGAGGCCTTCCTCCTGTCTAGCACATGGACCATCGTAAATGGCCTTGCGCCTGGGTGAGTATGCGGACATTGGGCTAGAAGGAGCCCATGAAAAGCAAATTTTCCTCAGGTATGAATGCTACCTGTGAATGTTTGTTCTTGGAAGGAGGCCTTTCTTTCTGCTCGGAGGCCAGTGCCCAACTTTCGGCCTGTGGGAAGGGCTACTTCCAAGGCCACACTCAGCCCTACTGAGATAGTTCCACTTCATCAGCAGTGGAACAATGATATCTAATTATCTGCCCATTTGTACGCCTATTTCCACTCACTTACCATAAAGAAACTACATTTAGTAATAAAATAGCTCATTCTTAACCAGGGCAAAGAAGATATTTCAATAACTCCTTTAGGAAAATAAATAGTAGTTCAAGGTAAGTTCAATCTTAGTAAGTTTTAGATGGGTCAGAAGATAAAATAGTTTGGGTATATCATATATATATATATAGAGAGAGAGCAATTATATATTTTATACATATAGTGATTTTATATATATATATATATAATAGTTTGAAGATATACATACACACACACACACACTCACACACACAAATAAACATCCTTCAGTCTGCCATATCACATATATGCAATATCATCCGATAAGCAACCTAACCATCTAAATATTTTTTAAGGGCACTTTCCTGAAGATAGCTAACCACTGTCTATGTTAATTTTCCTTCTTGCACAATGCTTCAAATGTTTGTTTAAGTTGCAGCCACTTTAGTATGCACAGCAGATTTTTCAAAACAGTGAGCTCTTACAGTTTTTTTCGATGTGCTCAGTATGCTTGTGGGAATCATTCATATTTAAATATTCCCCATTGAGAAATCAGCTCCTATGGACGTAAACTTTGGGACATCATTTTGATTTCTTTACCTTCTGTGTTGCTCTGTGAAGAACTACAATAGGAAACAGAAGAAAACACAATATTGGTATAGGTTATACAAGTTATTATTTAAACTCCTTTGACTTCTAACTAGAATGCCTTAGTTTCTAGTCATGTGACATTACCAGATATTACTTTTGTGTGAAGTTTATTTGCAAAAGTATCACAACAGAGAGAAGACAGGAAATTTGGATTTTGCTTTAGATATTTTAGTTCTGTACATATTTCAAAAAAGCTGTACATGAAATATATGCTATTAAAATGGGAATATGTGAGTAAGTAAGGATTGACAACTTTTGAAAAACTATAAAGGAAGAGAGAGGGGAGGAAAAAGACTAATCAAAAACAACTCTTTCCTTTTCCCCAAACTACCTTTCTAAGAAGAAACCATTATGCCAGGTTAATTGGTCATTGGGTGTGAGAATTCAATGACTCTCTCTCTCTCTCTCTCTTCTTTTTTTTTTTTACTCTGTCTCCCAGGCTGGAGTGCAGTGGTGCAATCTCGGCTGACTGCAACCTCCACCTCCCTGGTTCAAGCAATTCTTCTGCCTCAGCCTCCCGAGTAGCTGGGACTACAGGCGCCTGCCCAAGAGTGATGAACTGTGCATCAGGAACTCAGCATGAGTATAAACATCACCCTCTTTTTTATGCAGTTTTTACTCAGGTTTTATTTAATGCACTGTTTCAACTTTGTAGCTATCACTTTAGTCAGGCACTTAGATTCTCTGTTATGTGAGTATTTATATTGCTGGACTGCAACTCAGAGAAATTGATATCTGTTCTTGTCAGTGGACATTTTGGAAAATAAGTGCATGACCAATGGTGGTGATTATTATTACAGTATATAACTAATTGAATTGTTGTTGATCATTTTTCTTGATACAAGTTATAAAATGTTAACATCCACTTAACAAAACATTTCTTCACTCCTGGGAAGGAAAATAGAAATGTGCTCTCCTTGCACGTAAAGATAACAGAGTCCATTGCCCATTACAAGTTCAAATTCACATCTAGTTCCAGTGTCTCGCCAGGAAAAGGCAGGTGGAGATGAAAGACTTGAATGAAACAAACAAAAAAAAGCCAGCCTGTTATGTGGCACATTGAAGCAAGCCTCTGGTTTCCTTGCCTTAAAATAATTTCTCACTTTGCAGAATTGAATATCACATTATAATTAACCATCAGGCGATTTACAACTGCTTGTAGATAATGAAATAGCATATTAATGTAATCAAATTATACAAAACTTTTTTCTTTTTCAAAACTGCTTTCATATGCATAATCTCATTTGTTCCTTACAGTATCATAAAATATAGGGAAATGTTATTTTTCTCATTTTTCAAAGGAACTTGATGTTCTCAGAATTGATTGATCAGATAAGAAAACACAGTGTCAGTCTGGAAACCAGGCCTTCTGATTCCTATACCTTGTCTAGTCTCCTAATCAACAGATTAACTCTCATTAATTCCAAAATAAAATCGCTTAAGGCTGAGTTCCTGAAAATAGAGCAGAAGACAGAAATTATTTTGCAAATGATTTACTGAGGGAGTGATCTCAGTAGAAACATCTAGGATTGTGAAGAATGCAAGACAGAGTAGAGGATGAAATCAGCCAAAGAAGAGGGCTCAAGAGAAGTTTGGCCTCAACCTGATCACACAGGAGGCTCCAGAATATGAATTGCTCCAGAGATTTTCCCACCCAGAAGTGAGAGAGCTGTTGTAAGGACTCTCTCCCCTTCACTTAGTCATTAGTTCTGAACACCCCTGAGAGTGGAGTGGGGTGCGCCTCCCAGGCAGAGACAGATGAGGTGGCTCCCAGAGTCAGGTAAGGACAACACTCGAAGAGGGGTGCAGCTGAGAACAGCAGCTGGGACAGGTGCTTCATATCGCTAAAGGCACCTCAACAGAATCTGCTACTGATAAATAATTTTAATTTTCTTTTGAGCTGTTTAATTTTTAATCTTATTGTGAATAATTTCAAGTACATACCAAAGTAGAAAGAATAGCACAGAGAACTCTAGTACACACACGCCTATTATCAGTAAGAATCAACACGTGGCCAACTTTGTTCTGTCTGTGAGTGTTGAGTTCTTAGATAACAGAGCTTGTCATTCTCTGTATGATAGGAACACCAACATACATAGCATAATTTAAATAATTATTTTAATTGAAATATTCTAGTTAAGAAACAGTTTAGAATACTAGAGAGAGACTTGGATTTATGATATAATGCTATGATCCTTTGTAGCTTAAAACACATTGTAATTTTCTACTAAATGTAATATAGAATAAACAGTTTATGTTATCAAATGCATTCAGCAGTTTTGTACTAGTTCTCTAGCGATTGTTTACCCCAGACAGATCCCAAAGTGCAATTTTTATAAGAGCGGTCTTCAGACCATTACAAAACAAATGGATAAGCCAGTTGGAATCCTAAGGCAAAAGAACTTGATGGATTCCTGTTACTCATAAGGTTTTTTTATTTTATTTGAGTCTTGCTTTGTCACCCAGGCTGGAATGCAATGGCACAATCTCGGCTTACTGCAACCTCAGCCTCCTGGGTTCAAGCGATTCTCCTTCCTCAGCCTCCCAAGTAGCTGGGATTACAGGCACCTGCCACGACACCTGGCTAATTTTTGTAGTTTTAATAGAGACGGGGTTTTACCATGTTGGCCAGGCTGGTCTCAAACTTCTGACCTCAGGTGATCAGCCCGCCCCAGCCTCCCAAAGTGCTAGGATTACAGGTGTGAGCCACCACACCTGGCCACTGTTACTCATAAGATTAAGTCCACATATTCAGATATCATGCAAGGGTCTACATAATCCTGCTCCAACATCCTGTTGTATTTCACTTTTCTCAAGTCTCCCATATACATGCTGTGTTCTCGCCACCCTGAACTGTTGTTCCTAAGTCAGTGTACCTTTTGGTGTGGCTCTGGGCCTTTCAATTTTCTAGTTCTCTGCCTAGATTTTTAGCCTCCATATTTTTGAATGGAAAAGTTAGTCCTAGTTCAAAATACAACTCAAACATCATGTACCTTCAAAAACATTTTCAGCCTTCATTTTTCCTCTTTCCAGTCATTTTTTTTTTGTCTTCATCCCCTTTGGTTTTCATCCCACACCCCCATCCCCATCTTTCCATAGGCAGAGTAATTTCTTTGCCTCCAGTTAATGGCCTACATTCCCAGAAATACCCAGGACTGTGTCTTTGTGCCTCATTTACATTTGCACCAATTGGGGACCTAGAAAATGGTGCCCAATAAATGCTTGTTAAATGAACAAAGGAATAGCTCCTCCTTTGAGTCCCTTGACATTTGTTATATATATTTACTATGTCTCATACCACATTTTATTGTGAATATTTGTTTCCATGCCTGCTTTGCCTATTGTCTAACTCTGAGTTTCTCAGAAGCAGACTATAAGATAAGGATTCTAGAACAAGTAGCTTGTTTGCGACTTGATATCAGGAAACGTGATTAAGGTGGTGGAGAAACAAGATGAGAAAAGAAAAACCAGCACTGTGGGCAGCCGGAGCTTAAATCTGATGGGGAACTCTGGGAATTTTTAGAACATGGACTTTAGTGTTATCCCACCTTCGAGAGATTGATTTAGGGTTGCTTCAGGAAGGTATTAATTTCCAGGCCTTCAGCATACTCCACATAGGCAGAGTAGGATTTGGTGGCCAGAAAAAGCCCTCAGATAAAGAGATTTAGGTGCTGGCTGTTGGAAGTTAGTATAGTATGCACAAAAACGGAGGTGCCAATGGGGATATGAGTGTGGGACCAAGAGCACCTATTATACTTAAGGATTGCATGAGTCACTGGTTTTGATCTAGATCTAGTCTTCTTTTATTATATCATTTTAAGCTAATGATAATATAGCCCACTAATTAAATGCTATACAATGAATGAATAAATTGATAAATGAATGGTATAGTGAATGGCTCTATTAAGTTACAGGCATGCTAAGTTTAACCAGGCTTCTGGGTCTACTGAGCATACCCCAAGACCATACAACAAGCCTGTTCTGGAATGTGATATACTCTCCAAGACTGACAGATATTAAGACTCTCAAAGTGAGTCCCTTCCAACATATATGAACCACTGCAGTGCCACCGCAGCTATATATGGTAACTCTACTCTTCAATCGTGGCTTGTCAGTTGAACCTATAAAACGGAATCATGAAAGGTAACCTAACACATTCCAAACTTTTTCCCAAGCCCATTTTCCATTACGTTTCCAATGTGCGGTTATTTCAAGTGAAATGCAATCCATATGGCTCATTTACATTTATATCTCTAAATATTGCTTTATAAAAACACGTTTATGTCTTCAGGAACATTTTCAAACATATTGAGTATATTTATCTTTGCCTGAAGATAATCTGACCTAGAAAAATGAAGTGATTTATGTGTTTTGGGCTCGAGTTGGGTATACCGTTAACATAGCCCAGATTCCACCATTAATACTGTAAAAAGGAATGAGGAATTTTGATCACAGTTACCATATCTAGAAAATGACTGTGATTGTGATAATTTGGTGTCAAAAACTTTTGCTTATGAAAAAAGATTCATTGCAACAAATCTTTTTTATATTAATTGAAAGATATGTGAGCAGATTCTCTGAAATATTTGATATAAAATTATTTGTAAGCATATGCTGAGAATATTACCAAAAACAATGAAACTATCCATGGACCTTAAAAAAGCATGCAGCAAACATCAGCAAAAATTTGGAATAAAACTTACACTTTTATTCATATCATGTTGAGTTTTATGTATGTGTGTGTGCATGTGTGTATATACATTTATACAGTGTGCATGTGTGAGAGAGAGCATGTACACATATACACACACACACACAATGGTGAACTTGTATGTCATTTTACTTATAAATACAATGTTGTTGCTATAGCCAAAGCTATGTTGATATCATGTACCATGAAGTTGTTATGCTTAGTGACAAGGTAGGTCACCTTTTTTATTTTCTTGAAATCTATGAGAATTAAACATTTTATGTTAAAGTTTTTTCCAACACTTTCTTATGAAACTTATCACAAGTAGAGAAGAGTTAAAATAAATTTACAGTGAACACCTGTAAACCCATCACCTAGATGCTACCATGAACAATTTACTTTTCTTACCACATGGCTATGCATCTCTCCATCCTTTCCATCACTCTTCTCAGTTTGTTTATTTCAACATAAATCACAAACCTCAGTACTTAAATATTTCAGCACAATAGATTTTACTATACATTACCTTTGAACAAGACCATCTTTTAAGTTAAGTAATAGTAACAATTTTCATATTATTACATTTTGTAGTCTTTTATAGTTTACAAAATATCGCAAAACAACCTTATGAAACACATCATAAAGATTTTATGTTCCCATTTTGAGAAAAAGGAAAAGAATGTAGTTTTGTCCTAGTTTATTAAACTAATAAGTAATAGATTCTATATATAGATCGGGGTCCCCAACCCCTCAGGGCCACAGACAGGTACCAGTCCACCGCCTGTTAGGAACTGGGCTGCCCAGCAGGAGGCGAGCTTCCGGATAGAGATCAGCGTTTCACCTGTATTTGCAGCCGCTCTCCATCACTCACATTATGGCCTGAGCTCTGCCTCCTGTCAGATCAGCAGTGGCACTAGATTCTCATAGGAGTGGGAACCCTATTGTGAGCTGGCATCCGGGGGATCTAGGTTGTGCACTCCTTATGAGAATCTAATGCCTGATGATCCGAGGTGGAACAGTTTCATCCATCTCCCAACCCTGGCCCATGGAAAAATTGTCCTCCATGATACCAGTCCCTGGTGCCAAAGTGGTTGGAGACCACTGCTACAGATCACCAACAGAGGTCTTATGTTTTCCAGTTCAATTTACAATCAAGCATACTGAAAGGCTGAGGTGTTTACACTAAAGATATATGGGTAGTTTTGTTAAATTTTATAGTTATTTTTTAGACAATATTATACATTTTGCTTCAACCATCAAACACTTTAGAAAACTCAAAAGGAGAAATTCTGTAATATTTACCCATATTTTCACTCTTCCAGATAGGTTAAGATTCCTTCCTTTTATTGTTTCCTTTCTGTTTTAAGAACTTCTGTTAGCCATTCTTTTAGGGTAGGTGTACTGGTGACAAATTCTCTTAGTTTTCTTTTCTTTGAGAATTTATTGATTTCCCCTTCATTTCTGAAGGAAATTTTTGCAGGATATAGAATTCCTTTTTCACAGTTCTCTCGGCACTTGCAAATGTGCCACTTCCTTCTGGACTTTGTGGTTTCTGATCAGAAATATGTTGCTATTCTAATTTTTTTTTCCTTCCAGGCAGTTTTTAAGATTTTTGTCCTTTAGTTTTTAGAAGTTTGATTATGATGTTTCTTGGCATGGCTTCCTTGGGTTTATCCTGTTTAGAGTTTGCTAAGTTTCTTGGATTTTCAGGTATATGTCTTTTATAAATTTGGGAAATTTTCAGTCATTTTCTTTAAATAGTTTTTCATTCCCATCCCCTTTTTTCTTCCTATGTGGGGCTCCAATGACATGGATGTTAGGTCTTTTCTTGTAGTCCTATGGGAGTAGTCCTGTTTACGATTTTCAGTTTACTTTACTGTTTATTGTTCAAACTGGGTAATTTCTATTGTTCTGTAATCAAGTTCACTGAATGTTTCTTCTCTCTCCTCCATTCCACTGTTTAGTCCATTAATTTCTTGTTTTTAAATGTTTGATTTTTTTTAGTTCTAAAATTTTCGTTAGGACTTTGAGGGGAGTTGAGGCTCCCCACTAGGTTTTCAGTGATACCAACATGCTTGCAAGGGAGAGTGCCTAGTTACCACTCTCCACATGACCTTCATTAATACCTTGGTTAGAGGTAGACCTCATTACTTCTGGAAGGTACTAAGAGTTCTGTGTCCCACCTGGCTTCATCTGATAGTAATCTAGTAGGGAGAGGAAATGATGCCTTGTTACTTCTGGTTGAGTGTAGAAGTGGAGACCTTGAGCTTTCCACTGACACCATCTGTACAGACCTGGGAACTGAAATACCAGCTCCTCACTGACTTTCTCTGATATCACACTCTGACATCACTTTCATCTGAGAAAGATATGCTTTGTTAAAGTCAGGACAAGGGTAGAATTCTAGTCTCCCCATTTGGTCTTTGTTAACATGGGTATACAGTCAAGTATGTGTGCGTGTGTGTATGTGTGTGTATTATGCATCTTCCATTAGATTTATCCATAGAAACATGATTTTTATAGTATTGTAAATATCATTTTAAAAATAAAATTTTTTGATTAATTTTTTGCTGGCTTGTAGAAACAGAATCAAACTTTACTTGTTGACCTTGTACTCAACACCTTACTGACTTCACTTATTAATTTGTATATTGCTTTTAGATTTTTTGAACTTTCTAAGTGCTAAAAATGCCACTATAAGCAATAACTGTTTTACGTCTTCTTCTTCAATATTTATGACTTTTATTTATGTTGTCTTTGCATATTGCACTGGCAAAACCCTTCAGTATAATATTGATATAAGGCATCATTGTCTCTTTTTTTATTTCACAGGATGCATTCAATAAGTTACTATTAAGTATAATATAGGCTGTAGTATATTTTCTTTATATATATATATATACTTTATGAGATGAAGGAGGGTCTTTTTATTCTTGGTTATTAGTTTTTAACATGAATAAATATTGCTTCTTATTAAATACAACTTCTGCATTTCTGAAAAAATATCACTTTTATCATTTTTTTTGTCTTGGAAGAAATATATTTGCTTATTGAAAAGCACAGAGGATTTCTTTAGTGTCATTGCTGATTTTGACTATAGCAGTGTCTTTCTAGCTATAATAAAATAAAACAAAATCTTGACTGCTTGCTCATTTGATTTTAGATATATTTTCTCTAGCTTACTTTTGTTTTCTTATACTTGTTTATTTATTTCCTTTTATTATACTTTAAGTTCTGGGATACATGTGCAGCTTGGTTACATAGGTATACACGTGCCATAGTGGTTTGCTGCACCTATCAAACTGTCATCTACATTAGGTATTTCTGCTAATGCTACTCCTACCCTAGCCCCCTCAACCCCCCACAGGCCCTGTGTGTGATGTTCCCCTCCCTGTGTCCATGTGTTCTCATTATTCAGCTCCCACTTATGAGTGAGAACATGCAGTGTTTGGTTTTCTGTTCCTGTGTTAGTTTGCTGAGAATGATGGTTTCCAGCTTCATCCATGTCCCAGCAAAGGACATGGACTCATCCTTTTTTATGGCTGTATAGTATTCCATGGTGTATATATGCCACATTTTCTTTATCCAGTCTATCAATGATGGGCATTTGGGTTGGTTCCAAGTCTTTGATATTTTGAATAGCGCCACAGTAAACATACGTGAGCATGTGTCTCTATAGTAGAGTGATTTATAATCCTTTGGATATATACCTGGTAGTGGGATTGCTGGGTCAAATGGTATTTCTGGTTCTAGGTCCTTGAGGAATCGCCACACTGTCTTCCACAATGGTTGAACTAATTTACATGCCCACTAACAGTGTAAAAGCGTTCCTATTTCTCCACATCCTCTCCAGCATCTGTTGTTTCCTGACTTTTTAATGATCATCATTCTGGCATGAGATGCTATCTCATTGTGGTTTTGATTTGCATTTCTCTAATGACCAGTGATGATGAGCTTTTTTTCATATGTTTGTTGGCTGCATATTATGATCAGGGCAAATTTCACTGATTTCTAAGTCACCCTTGCATTCATGGACTAATATTCTTTACAGGTAATGCTTTTTTATATGTGGATATCAAGGTTACATTGACTTCTAAAATGAGTTGGGAAGTGTTTCTTCATTTTCCATAAGGAACATACGAAAACATTTATAAGTGAAGTCATTTAGAGCTAAAGTTTTCTTTTTAGAACAGATCGTATAATGGACTTGATTATTTTAGATGTATAGAACCATTCATATTTTCTATTTTTATTGTCTCAGCTATTTTAAATTTTATTTTTCAAGGAATTTATTCATTTCACCTAAATTTTCATGTTGATTGTTGTAAAATTGTTTATACTATTCCATTGTATTTTTTACTCAGTAGGCTCTCCAGTGATGTCTCTTTTCATGGTGGAAAATATTTTATCTATTAGTGCAGTCTAATGTTACGTGTCATAGACAGGACTATCTCTATTTGTAACATAGAATTCCTAAGAATAGGTTTTGGGGGCGTGGGGTTGGCCATTTTTGTCATTAGCTGGTTGAACTTAAACTTCCTAAAATATTCAGATATTAAACTAGCTTTTTCATAATGAAAGTCTCCTTTATACCCATTCATGATAATTGAATTTTAATAAAAATCTATTACTTGTTGCATAACATATAAATAGGTATGACTGAAGCAAAAATTATTTTTTTTCCTGATTTGTTGTTTTGCTTCCAAAAATATCATAGAAAATACTATGTTCATACATTGCATAACTTCATGGTAAAATACAACTTCCTGTGTGTTTTTTTTTTCTTTTTGATACGGAGTTTCGCTATTTTTGCCCAGGCTGGAATGCAACGGTGTGATCTCAGCTCACTGCAACCTCCGCCTCCCGGGTTCAAGCGATTCTCCTGCCTCAGCCTCCCGAGTAGCTGGGATTACAGGCATCAGCCACCACGCCTGGCTAATTTTGTATTTTTAGTAGAGATGGGGTTTCTCTGTGTTGGTCAGGCTGGTCTCGAACTCCCAACTTCATGTGATCCACCTGCCTCAGCCTCCCAAAGTGCAGGGATTATGGTCGTGAGCCACCGCACCTGGCCTCAACTTCCCATTAAAAAAAAAAGTTTATTATTAAAATTTTAATAAAGACTCAAAATAGATTTGCTGTGAAAAAAATCAACCTTGCATCTGTTTTACTTACTCTCTACTGTTCGCTTTTAAAAGTACTTTCTTCATCCTTCTAGCTACTGTTCTAAGCATAAATGTCTTTCTATGACTTTTCAGAGAAATATTACTGATTATAAATATATTCTGTAATACACTATGTAAGAAAGGCAGAAGAAGGCTTCCTCAATCAAATTTCTAGTCAATCAGGTATTATTTTAAAAGTTTCTATATTGTTAACATATTGCAGAAGAAGGCTTCCTCAATCAAATTTCTAGTCAATCAGGTATTATTTTAAAAGTTTCTATATTGTTAACATATTGCTGGAGTATAAGTGAGGGACAAAAGTTATTGGCTATCATGCTTGGCTTTAATGACTTATATTATTTTACTAATAGAAAATTAATATCTAAAACACCTCAAAAATAAGACAGAGTATAGTAAAGTATATTTTTTCATGGAAGTCATGTTATGATATAGGGTTGGCTAGTCTTGAAAAAAGACTTTAGAACCTTTCAATTAATCATTTAAGAAAGGCCATGAGCACATTCATGCCTACATGTTGCTGGAAAAATCTATTGAAATAGGTGCAAATTGGCAGCATACTCATAAAAGTGTTGTTGAAATTCCACGTCAATCACATAAGGTAATATGTCTAAAAGGATGTTGCTCACAACTGGTTAAAAAAATAATACAACTCTAGACAACTAACAAGGAAATTATTTTGTCTATATTGGGCTAGGAAATAATTGTTTTACTAAACTGAGTGATTTTTATGGAGCCGAGTCAGCATATCAGTAGCTCTTGTCTGGATCATCGTAATTCATTTTTCACTCTGGAGAAAAGTCTGAAGGCATAGCAGAATACTCAACAATTAAGGTAAATCCCAGATTATTAAAACAGATCATGAGTCCATGTACAGAGTCCAGTGGTGGCATGGAACCTGAAAAATAGACACAGATATTGCTCTCAGATTTAGAAACATGTAACCCTTTAAATAAAAATACAGAGTTTTTGGAACAATATCTAGAACTTTAAAAATCATTGCTCATTTTTATTTTTCTTGGTCTTTAGATAAAAGATACATAAGGGCTACCATAAGGCATTTAGTAGAGTTAACATAAGCATGATTCCTTATCATTTCACCTGAGAAGAAATGATTACGGCATATAATATGCTTGTGTAATCTCCAGGACAATATTACATAGCAATTTTATAAAAACTCTTTATTCTTAATATATAATATTCTGCTTCTTTGAAATTGAGATGGTGATATAAAATTTAAGAAAAATAATAGTCTTACCTCTTGTAGTTTCAAAGTAAATTTGGGATGATAAATATTTGAGGAAAATCAGCTGTGCTATCTTTTGAGGTTAAGAATCACCAAAAAAAATGAATTGTTGGTGCAAATATAAAATATTATCACTACTTTGGAAATCTGTCTGGCAATTTCTATCCTATCACCCAATTATTTCACTCTTAAGTATATACAGAAGTGAAAAGAACACAGTACACACACACACACACAAAATGTGTACAAAAATGTTTATAGAAGCTTTATTCAAAAATAGCCCCAAGCAGGATATAACTCAAATTTCTATCAACAGGAAAATGGATAAACAAATTGTGGCATATTCATTCAATGGAATATCACACACTGGTAAAGAAAGAACACAGTACTGATGCACAAAATAACACATACAATTTTTAAAAAATATTATGCTGCATGATGGAGCTTGCAACAAAAGAGTACATTACTGTATGATTCCATTTATACAAAGTTTAGGCACAGGCAAAAATTGGTCAATGGTGATAGAAATCCAAAGAGTAATAGTCAAGGGATTAACTTGAAAGAGGCATGAATTAATCACTCTGGCAATGAAAATGTCTATCTTGATCTGGTTGATGGTAATAACCAGCCGTGTCCTGGTAAACGTTTTAACAACTGCTCTCTGGGGGACAAAAAAAAAATGTCCTGCTTTCCAGCATTTGCAAATTTCTGTGTTTTAAATTCTGTTAGTGTGGTTGATCTCAAATTACCAACTTGACATCACTGAAACAAAGCCAGGAAGGAATGTGCACAATCAGCACTTATGAGCCGTCAGGAGTCAGCCTTAGTGCATCACTGGTTGCAAGGGTGTATACATTTGCCAACATTCAAGTTGCACATCTAAGATTTGTACACTTTACTGTACTGGATTTTTATTTCAAAATTTATTTTTATAAGTCAAAATTTATTTTATAAGTCAAGAAACTTATAAAAAGGAGAAAAACATGAGAAATTCCTCTGACCCATTTAGCAACCTGAAATCTCATATTGAAAGATTCGTTCACTAACATCACCTTCATTGCTTCACTAAGATATTTATGAAGTGTCTAAGTTTACTACATCATATAAAGTGGATTATAGAGATGAATATTCCTAATCCCTTAGTGAATTTAAGGTATAATTAGAGAAATATAAAAATACATTCAATAGTTGCAACATATTGTAGTAAATGTAAAAATGAAGTATGTACATACCAAGTATCAAGTGTTATAAGGTACATCTAGTAAAAGAATAATAGAAAAGAGAACTCTTCAAAGTATTTTCCCCAACTTCTTGCTTTAACTGAAACCTTATTCAAAGTTTATCTGTGTGCAAGTGTTTTGACATTTCCCTAGCCCTGTGATGCTGCTATGTGACCAATATTCTTATACCTTCATGAACCTGTGATTTTTCTTTATCATTCTATACTTCTTTTTTTTTTTCATTCTGTCAACCAGGCTGGAGTACAGTGGTGCAATCACAGCTTACTGCAGCCTCCATCTCTAGGGCTCAAGTGATCCTCTGACCCCAGCCTCTGGAGTAGCTGGGACTATACGCAAGTGCCATCACCCCAGGCTAATTTTTCTTTCTTATTTTTTTTAGAGATGGGGTCTCACCCTGTTGCCTAGGCAGGTCTGGAACTCCTGGACTCAAGCAATCCTCCCACCTCATCCTCTCAAAGTGCTGGGATTACAGGCATAAGCCACCACTCCTGGCCCATCATTCTATACTTCTAATAAGTACCCACCTTTAGGTCACATACTACATTCACTGGGAACTTTCCCCCTGCTTACAATGGTCTTCTAGACCCCAAATCCTCCCACCCTAGGAAGTGATTTCAGCATCCAGCAGTCCAAGTCAGGAGTCACTTAATCCTTATGCCCTTCACTTCTGTTCTACCTCAGCTCTTGTCTTTTAGGTGTATATTGCAGCATTGTTTGCTAGAATTTCTACAACTTCAAACTTGGTCAACTTTCTATCTCAAACTTCTATTTTTCCAACTTTCTCCACAACTTACTGCTCACACCAGTGAAAAGTTATCATAGGTTTCAAAACATGTTTCCAGTCCCCTGTACTTGCCCTCACACCTTCTCTGGAGTTAGTCATTCTATTTCAGACTTTCCTCCCAAGGTTGATCATTTTCTAATCATCTGCTACTGGTTTTAATAAATATTAATTGAGTGAATAAATGAGGGTCTTCAATGCGGATGCCAGAAATAAGCATACAGTAACTCTGCTAACACAGTGGTTTCAGGTAAAAGCCATGACCAGCTTAATTGTGAGTTGATATTAAATTGTATTTAGCACATCGTGATAAGGTGGGTAAATATATCTTTGCAGGAAAATTAAAACATGCCTATATGCTACTTATCTGGATGGTGACAATTTATTCAGCCTTAAATAATAGTCTTTAAAACTGGTGGTCTTTTTGTATTCTAAAAATTTACAAGTTACAGTAAAAAATCTTTTTCAAAAATTTGCAAGCTAAACTTATTTTTATTTCTTGATATCGCATGTTATCTTTATTTAAGTTGTCCATGCCTGATCAGGCTTCACAAATTCTCTGTTAACCATTCAAGAAAGGTGGTTATTTAAATATTACTGAGCGACAGCAGTGCCACATGCTTGGTAGGTACTTTGCCAACAATTTTATACTTAGTCTTTGTTTTTCTTGAGGACCCTGTGCTATAACATCAGATGTTATTAATTTTAATTTATAACACATTAACCTGCTTATCCTGCCTCTAAAGTGACACAGCGTTAAAAGTGCATTTCTGAGGCTATTCTTAAGAATTTGAATATAATTATTACAGCTATCTCACATTCTATAAGAGTTTCAATATCACCTATTTTCAAACTAAGTTACTATATTGTTTAAAAGATATAGATTATCCTCCAGCCCCTGACTTACATGAGAAGACATCTATAGATATATACAATGTGTTTGTTTATAAAGAAAAATTAACATTTTCACCTAAGAAATATTAAAAAAATAAAATCTATCTTATTTTTAATATTTAAAACTTTTTAGACCATCAAGTTATAATTATTCTATAAAAATCTGAGAAAGGTTTTGCTAGTAAAAGTATATTGGAGCATAACAACAGGAAATAAAATGATTCTACCTCACCTGCTGATAAAACTTTGCTTTGTGTATATTATTAATAGGAATAGGTCTTTTTCACTGTAAAGTGATGTAATTGGCGTACCCTGAGAGATCTGATCGAAAATCCTCAACCAAACCCACATTGTGCTTTCACAGAGGGTGTTCTGGAGGATCCATCACAGACATTTTAACAAATTCACAATATTTTTGTTTTATGTAATTGGTGACTTACATAAGTGATTATATTGTACCTTTTATTAATACATTGACCAATAAAATAATTAGAGGCTACTTTTAGCGCATCTTACCTGGCCGTGCTGAAGAATACATTGTCAGTCATTCCAATTTCTCTTCCTTCCTTCCTTCCTTCTTCTCTCTCTTCCCTCCCTTCCTTCCTTCCTTCTTCTCTCTCTCTTTCTGAATAAACATAACATATACATATATATATAAGCAAAAAAGATACTAAATCAACTATCTAAGAACATTCATGTTAATGGGATTTTTAAGTATAAATTTAAACTGAGATTCATTTTTTATATTAAAATAACACTCAATAATTTTTGTCTGTTCAAATTCTGGTTTAAGAAACAATCAAATATCTTTTCTGTATTGAGTCAGCATCCTACGAAGTTTTGAAGCAACACAGAGTTTATTTTGTATTCAGTGTACTTTATATTTGAAAATGAACTCCAAACTATGTTTATATGCATGTGGTAGGAAAGGATAATATTAAAAAATTGGATTAATCCATAATTTCTTAACAACCGATCTAACAGTATTGGTACCAGGAAAGGATTCTGCTGCTAGCAAAGCATCTAGTGAGTTGTTAGCACAATGAAGTGTGTCCACACTTAATAATGCCAAGGCATATTGATAGGAATATCTTCAGCAAAATATTAAAAGAGTGCATTTGGTTAATGAACAAGAAATTTATTTGTGCACACTCTCAAACTTAACCTTCATATTGTGCCCTTAAAGTGACACAAGCATTAAAAGTGCATTTCTGAGGTTATTCTTAATAATTTGAACATAATTGTTACAGCTATCTCACATTCTAAAAGAGTTTTCAATATCAATTATTTTCAAACTAAGGTACTATATTGTTTAAAAGATATAGATTATCCTCCATCCCCTGACTTACATGAAAAGACATATGTAGATATATGAAATGTGTTTCATATATCTACAAACTTTTTTTAAATTTTGTTTGTGGCATGTGGTTGGATATTTATGGAAAGAATTAATTCTAATCACCAAAAGGACTTTCAAACCTAATGACATTCAACTTAAAACAGAATAATGACAAAGTTTCTCATGTAAACTCAAGAAAAGTTTGTCCTGTCATCCCGAAATTATCATAATGGAATTTCATTTTACCTTTTAAAATCTCACTCTGTAACTCACGGGTTAATGCCAAAAAGTTTTCGCTTTGTTTTGTTTTGAATTTTCATTTATGTGAATTGCTGAAGTTTGCGAAATTCAGAAGGAAATCTCTGCAGTACAGATTTTGTTAAAAGATTTCCAGTATTTCCTGCATCTGTTGGGTGGAAATGGTACCCAATGTCACTTTTACAACTACTTCAGTGAAAAACAGAGGTGGAGAGAATCTAAGTTTAAAACAATGGAGAAAAAATGTTGGTTATTTTTAAAGTTAACAAATGTGTTTCAAGCCTAGTTCCTGCAAAAGTTGAAATATTGGTTATTTCTTATCCTATCTGAATTCTTTTAGTCCCTTATCCCTAAGTTGAAAGTAACTTCAAGGAGGTAATTTTAATTTCTCATTACATGTGCATTCACATGCCCTCTCTTAGTTTCTAGCAATTTCAGCTTCCAGGTACTATTAATTTTTCTATTAGTCTATAAACCATAGTTAATTAAGAAAAAAATCCTGTTTTATTGTATTACATTACAAAGCCATTGTCATTTCAAATAATTTTTAAATGCAAATACTTGGAACTAGAAATTAATATGGATAGGTTCATAAATATTTTCTAAACCTTTTAAACATCGTAATAGCAATAGGAAGAACACTTGCAATAAGGAGTCTAACTTCATTTTTTATGTTTGACTCCGGACAGCTTTCAAGCCCCATTTTCTTCTTTTGTACCATCTGGGCAAGCTGATAAGAAAACTTAAATACACTCCCTCCCTCTTTTGACATTAGTGAAAATTTCAAATCTTGAAATCCCTCAGGTTCTGAATCTTTCCCCCAATTACTAGCCACTATAAAGACACAACCTACACTCTCTGTCTCATTTAACCCAGCCCAAACCTGCTTATACCTGACCTGTTCTCTCCAGGAGTCCCTCCTTAAATCGTCCTTCTGAACAGGCACAGTACATTTTACCTGATTACCTACCGATGGGGTGCTTCAAGAGCCCTGCCACGACACACAATATTTGTAGGTAAGATCTTAACCACACCCAACTTTCTCTAGGCACACAGGTATGATATTCCATTGATGACCTCAACCCCACAGCTGGATTCATCCCCTCCCACTCCTTGTTGACTTCATCCCTGCAGGTGTGTTTAGGTCTCATGATGACATCACTTCCACAGCTAGATTCATCTCTGATGATGACTTCAACCCAACAGTTGGACTTATTCTGGATGGAATAATCCACAACCTTAAGTCTCATTAAAAAACCTATAAAATGTATTTTCCAGCCCCAACCACTGTTAGCTTATTCTCTCCTCCCTTTGCTTCCTACTTCCAGACCACTACATTTCTAGCCCCACTCCATGATATAACATTATCCACCATGAAGGCATTACAAAATAATGTTAATGTAGGTGTCACTTATGGCCAATAGCTGGTATTTTAAAGCATACGAATTGTTGCATATCTCGATTACCTGGCTATAAGGCAATTTTTCTAGCTGTTCTTAAATAAATTTTACAAGAGTGAAGCCTGCGTCCTGTCTGTCTGTTCAGCTGGCCACATCTTCAAATTTAAATCTCACTTGCTCACTCTGCTGGTGTCTTTTTTTTTTTTTTTTTTTTTTTTTGAATACTAACTCCATCCATTCAGGATGGCCTCCTATGTATCCTAATCTAAATGCTTACTGGCAACATATTAATTCTTGGTTACTCATGCAAAATGCTAAGTTTAAGATCATTTAGACCCTTTTGTCCCTAAGGGTTGTTGCTTCACTGCCCTAAATACTCCTCATTTTAACGCTTGTTCTTTCCTTCACCTCAGACTTTTCTTCTTTAGTTCATTTATACTCTCTGCATTTTGGCTGTAAATATAACCTTACAATGTTGCTGAACGTATTCAGGCCCTGGCATTTTTGTGGTGTGAACACACTTAATTGTGCCATCAACTCACTAGAGAGGCCTGCTGGCAACAGAATCAAGTGCTGGTGCTGAAGCAGTTAAGTCACTGGTCAAAACACACTGGTTTGATCCAATTCTTTGATCTAATTCTATTCTACCGCATGCATGTAAACATATTTTGTTTTGTTGTACTTTGTCAGCTCCTTTGTTTTCAGATTCTTGAAACTGCTGATCATGCCTTTTTCTGCTGCTTACACAATATCAGAGAACACTGGTTGTCCCATTCCCTCCCTCAGTTTGTTGTTTGGCTTCCTGCTCATCTCCAGTCCTGTTGGACTGTCCACTTCCCTTGGATTTTGGTTTCACCTGCCCCTTCATCCCTCTGTAGATACCTGATCCCCTGCCTGCATGGATTTTTTCTATTATGTTGCCCTTTCCCCTCTACATCCATCATTTACACAGGGCCTTGTTGACTTAACACTTTCTACCCCCAGTTCTTTTTTTTCTCCAAAAACCACATATTCCCTCAATAATCACTCAGATTGTCACCAGTCTCTTTAATGTCTTTCAAATGATTGCTCTGCCAGGATTTGGAAAGTGTGGATACCTCTGGTGACATCACGGTGTGCAGGGGGAGCCTGTTGCCCATGCAGCCCCACATCATGTGCTCTCCTTGTTAAAAGCTGCTACTTTCCTATTGCCTCTAATCCTTTGCCCATGTCGTTTGGGTGCTGTCGGCCATACCTCTGCATCTGGGACAACAACACATAAACCAGTGAAGCCCCTTGAAGCTAATAATACTGAAATAAAGAACTTTTGTTGGGATACTGGAAAATAAGTCATTTCTTTTCTGTTGGGCTTGCTGTAAGATTAGTTATAAGCTTGGAGATTCCTTGCAATTATCTGGTCCCTTGGGAGGGAGTGCTTCCATTGTCTCGTGTCATGGTGAGAAAGGAGATCCAGAATGGATTCCTAGATTTATAAATCATTGTCAGTTGTGCTGCAGTGGAAGCCAACAGCATGTGAGCTCACGGAGGGACTGTATGCAGAGTGAGAAAACTTTCAAAATAGAACTTTGGAGGAAAGTCCAATATTTTATGGTTAGGTTGAAGAAGAAAATCCACAGTAGAAAAGAAGAGAGTAGCCAAAATAAGTAAGAAGAAAATTGGGAGCCATAGCCGAAAAGAGGCAGAAAGAATGTGTTGAGAAACAGGATAAAATCAACAGGGTTAAAATCAGCTGAGAGGCCAAGTAAATTAGAAATGAAAACTGGGTTGTCTTTGGTGATTTTGGAAAAAGCTACTGAAGTAAACAGGTGGGAAAGAAATGAGAAAGTGGAGATAGCAAGTATATCTATTCTTTCACAAAGTTTGATTCTCAAGGGAGAAAAGTTTACTCGTTTTATCTGGTCTCAGGTACACATTAGGAACAAAGAATGGACCTCTACTAAAACTTTTTGACAGTAATTTCCATTGTTAAAAGAGGGTCTGGTTAAAAAAAAAAGGAATTTTGAGTTGTTGAAGTAATAGGAGAAGAAAAGGTAAGTGAGATATATGAGGGAAATACATTTTGAGTTGTACCTGCTTGTTTCATCATCCTCATAACTAGTCAGTATCTTCCCCAACTTTATCTTAAGCTCTGTGAGAGAATGTGCAGGAGCAGGAAGCAGAGTGAAGCAGTCACACATCCCACAATTGGGAGTTAGAGTGTCTGGGTTGAAATTTTGGCTCTACTGTTTTCTAGCTGTATGATGGTGGGAAGGTTATTCTACTCTGGATCTGAATTTTAGCCAAGTAATACCTTTTTCTAGTGCTATGACCACTAAGCAAGTCTGGAGTAGGCAGATATTTAGAACTGTATCAATCACAAATTATTATCATTATGGAGATGTAGCCTATTTTGCTTATAATCACATTCATGGTGTTTAGCACAACACCTGTATATAGCAGGCACTGAAAATATTTATGTATTAAATGGATGAAAGACCATTTGAATGAATGGATGATCATTTTTCTATATATTTGTGAGTACATCTGTATCGGCATTATATGTATATGTATGTGTGTATACATATATAGAGATAAAATTATCTTTTCTTTATGCAATAAGACATTGAGGCAAACACATTAAAAATGTAGAGGTGGTAAAAGACACATTTTTAAAGCTATACAATCATTAATTTTGCAAGATGTCAGAAATTTCAAGGAAATTCTTAATGAAAAGCCATGGAGATGTTTCTATGTAATGAGGGACAAAAGGAAAGATAAGTGGCATTTATTCCTCTGCCCTGTTACTTTGGCTTTATGTCAACAGCTTAAAAGGTAATCAGCAAGTGGCTGATTTCACAGGAGCCTTAAAAATGAAAATGATTCTTGCACATTAAAACAAAGATACTGAAGATTAAACATACTGAAAGAAAAAAATAAAGAACAAAAATAATCATATTGTATTATAGATGATAATATCTCTTCACTTTCCTGAAATCAACAACCAAGATGGCCATAGGGTATTAGGATATTGCTTTGTGTACTGATGATTCTCTGCATTCGATACATATTTCTAGTGTTAAGGAAATTTAGCAGTGGCAGCCAACTGGGAACTTCTGCCAAATAAAATCATAAAATGCAGAAATTAAAAGAAAATTCAGGTCACCTGACTCCAAGTTCAGTGTTCTTTCTTTGCCTGTATTACAGTTGCTCAGTTTGAACTAGTTTGTTCTGTGGAGCTTGTTAGGCAAAGAGAAGAAAGCATTTACTAAATGTGGTGAGCTGCATTCAGTAATGTATACATTACCATTTAAATTCAAAAGAATCTTTTACTTTTTTCATATTTAAGACAAGGTAATTGCAAAACTGAAACTCAGTGCCTTCCCAAACCAACATTACTCATTGAATAGCGATTACAGATTTATTTAATAAGTATTCAGTAAACTCATTTTATGACTGAATAACTGGGAAAAATGATGTTTATTTTTCACTTAAAAATGTATTGAAGTCTAATTTACATACAATAAAATGTTCCAATTTAAAGCGTAAGTTCAATGAGCTTCAGCAAACAAATACAACCATGTAGCCATCATGCAGAACAAATACAGGATATTTGCTTTACCCCAGAAAGTTCCCTCCTGTCCCTTTCCATTTGTCTCTTTCCTTCATCCCAAAGTCAACTGCTATTCTCACATCTAGTATCATGTGTCCTTTTTGCTTGTTTTTTATGGAACAAGCAAAATGGAATTCATTCAATTCCATTTTATGGAATTCCAATCATGCAGTATGAACTCGTGTTTTTGGCCTTTTTCACTCAACCTAACATTTCTGAGATTTTTTCCAAGTTGCTGCATGTATTAGTAATTCATTACTTTTAATTGCTGAGCAACATTATATTGTTAATGTATTATACAGTTTGTTTTTTTGAAATTTTCCCATTGATGGACATTTGATTGTTTTGTTTTTATTGTTTATTATGAATAAAGTTTCTATGAGCATTCTTGAGTTAGTTTTTTTGTAGAAGTACATGTTTCATTTCTCTTAGAAGTGTAAGTGATGAGTCAATGGGTAGGCATGTTTTTAACTTTATAAGAAATTGCCAAAACTTTTCTCAGACTGGTGGTATAATTATACACTCATACAAACAATGTATGCAAATTTTGGTTGCTCCACTTCCAACTTATGTTGATATTGCCAATCTTCTTAATTTTAACCATTGTAGTGGATGTGAAATAATATTTCATTATGCTTTTAATTAGCATTTCTCTGATGACTAATGATGTTGAGCATCTTTACAAATGCTTATGTTCAAGACTTTTGGCTTTTATGTATATGTCTGTAACACATCTTCAATTAACTTTTATATATGATGTGAGTTAAAGGTAAAGGTTTTTGGTTTGTTGGATTGTTTTTATTTTTAAATGTAAGGATATCCAGTGGTTACAGGATCATTTGTTGAAAAGTCTCTTCTTACCCCATTGAATTCTATTGGCATATATGTCAAAAAGTAACTTGACATACATGTGTGGATCCATTTCTGGACACACAATTCTATTTCATTTATCTATTTGTCTATTTGTATGAAAATACTACATTGTCTTGATTACTGTGACTTTATAGTGAGTTTTGAAATCAGGTGCTATAGTCCTCTAACTTTGTAATACTTTTTCAAGATGGTTTTGACTATTTTAAGTCCTTTGTATTTTGTATAAATTTGTATTAAACCAACATCTTAATGTTGAGTCTTCCAATCCATGAACATGGCATATGTCTTCATTTATTTAGGTCTTCTTTAACGTCTCTCTATAATGTTGGAGATTTTCAGTTTAGATATCTTCTATACTTTTGTTAAATTGTACTTTTGTAGAATTTTTAAGTTTTTAATATAAACAATAATGTTATACAATAAAAAGATTTTTACTTCTTTTTTTCAAATACACATACTTTTTATTTTTTTCTTGACTTCATGTACTAGGTAGGACTTTCTTTACAATATTGAGTAAAAGTAGTAATAGTGGACATATTTACCTTTTCCTGATCTTTAACCATTAAATATATTAACTAAAGTCTTTTTTATTGGTGTTCTGTTTTGTTTATCTTTACTTTTATGAAAAAAATTCTCATTTTTTTTGGTGGGAAATGTTATTACATATTGCTGTTGACTTATGGCAAATAATTTTTTTACATTTATTGAATGGTCTACTTTATTCTTTTAACAGCAAATCACATTGATTGATTTTCAAACTTGAATTTGTTTCATTCTTGATAACTATCTGGAAAACATGCTTGATCATTTATTATGTATTATTCTTTTTCATATTGCTGGATTTTAATTTGATAATATTTGGTTGAGAATTTTTGCATCTCTGTTCAATAGTGCTATTGTATCATAATTTTATTTTCACATGTTATCTTTTTATTTGAAATCAGTGTCATTTTGCCTCATATAACATGTTGGGAAATTTTTCCTCCTCTGTTTTTCGTTAGTGTCATATTGAAACTATTTCCTTTTTTTTTTTTTTTTTTTTTTTTTTTTTTTTTTTTGAGATAGAGTCTTGCTCTGTTACCCAGCAGGCTGGAGTGCAATGGCATGATCTCAGCTCACTGCTGCCTCCGCCTCCCAGGTTCAAGTGATTCCCCTGCCTCAGTCTCCAGAGTAGCTGAAATTACAGGTGCCTATCACCACGCCCGGCTAATTTTTGTATTTTTAGTAGAGATGGGGTTTCACCATGTTGACCAGGCTGGGTTTGAACTCTTGACCTCAGGTGATCCACCCGCCTTGGCCTCCTAAAGTGCTGGCATTACGGGCGTGAGCCACCATGCCTGGCCTGAAATTATTTCTTTTTAAAAACCTTTAACAGAATTCACCAGTAAAACCGCTGATGCCTGGAATTTTTTTTTCTGGAAATAAAGGTTTTAATCATAAAGTTTCACATCAACAGGCAAACTTTTTGCATGAACAAGTAAAGTAGAAAAATCATCTGATCATATAAATATATACAGAAAAAGCACTTGACAAAATTTAATGTCCATTTATGATTTTTTAAAAAAATCTCTCAATAAACTAGGAATAGAGGGAAACATCTTTAATTTGATAAAAACATCTACAAAAACCTACAGCTAACTTCATCCTTAATAGTGAAAAACTGGATGTCTTCCTCTTAAAGTCAAAAACAAAGCAAAACGCCTTTCTTGCAGTCTCCAGTGTCTTCGGAGAGCAAGATTTTGTACTTTTAAGAAAAACTTATAGTTATGATTATCAACGGCAGGCATGTTAGCTTGATCTTAAATATTCTGTCATTAATGGAAGATAGAACCCTCTTGATTTTTTTAAATGGTATATTCAAATAACCTGAGATTCACAGAAAATTTCAAAAATAGTACCAGGAAGTGTCATATACCCTTTATCCAGTTTTCCCCAACGGTTACATTTTACACAATTATGGTACAATATCAAAACAACAATGTTGTCATTGATGTGTGTCTGTGTGTGTGCATGCGTGTGTGCGTGTATAGTTCTGTGTGATTTTTTTTTTTTTTGAGATGGAGTCTAGCTCTGTCACCCAGGCTGGAGTGCCATAGTATGATCTCAGCTCACTGCAACCTCCGCCTCCCGGGTTCAAGAAATTCTCCTACCTCAGCCTCCCGAGTAGCTGGGATTACAGGTACATGCCACCACACCTAGCTAATTTTTGTATTTTTAGTAGAGATGGGATTTCACTGTGTTGGCCAGGCTGATCTCAAACTCCTGACCTCATGATCCGCCCACCTTGGCCTCCCAAAGTGCTAGGATTACAAGTGTGAGTCACCGTGCCCAACCAGTTCTCTGTGATTTTATCACATGTGAAGATTCTTGTAACCACCTGCAATCAAATATGTCATCAATTATGTGTGCAGTCAACTATGCCATCACCATCAATTCCTACCTCTTGCTTCCACTTTATTTTCATAGCCATCCACTGTCCTCTAACCATCCACGACTCCTGGCAACCACCAATCTGGTTTCTACACTTATAATTTTGTAATTTGAAGAAGATAATATAAATGAAACAATATAGTATATGACCTTTTGACCTTTTAAGTTTTTTTTTTCTTCTCAGCATAATGCCTTTAAAATCAAATTGTGGTATATGTCAATAGCTCGTTACTTTTTACTGTTGAACAGTATTTCATGGTGTGGATGTGACATTTTATTTAAGCACTTACCCAATGAGAGGCATTTTGATTGTTCCCAGTTTTTGTTTTTCTTTTCAAAATGCAGTTGCTAGGAACATTCCCATACAGATTTTTGTTTGAATGTAAATTTTTGTTAATCTGGGAGACTTGCTCAACAGTATGATTACCGAGTCTCGTGATAGGTGTGTGTTTAGTTATTCAAAGAAACTGCTAAATTATTTTTCAAAGTGGCTCTCCCATTTTATAGTCCCATCAGCAGTGTATGACATGAGAAGTCCACTTTTCCACTGAATCTTTTCCAGAATTTTATATAATCAGTATTTTGCTATTTTAGTTGTTTAGTGTATATTTTGTGATATCTCATCACTGTCTTAGTTTGCATTTTCCTAGTGGCTAATGATATTGAGTATATTTTCATGTCTTTTTCTCATCCACAAATAAATGTCTCTTTGTGTTCTTTGTCTATTTTCTAATTGGATTGTTTGTTTATTTGGTTGAGTTTTGAGGGTTCTTTATAAATACTAAATATGATTCCTTTGTCATATGTATCTCTTGCAAATATTTTTTCTCAATCTTTTCATCTTCTTAACAGGGTCTTTTGCAGAACAAAAGTTTTGAATTTTAGTTAACTTTAATTTTACAGGTTGATATGGTTTGGCTGTGTCCCCACCCAAATCTCATCTTGAATTGTAATTCCCATAATCCCCACGTGTTGGGAGAGGTGCCCGGTGCAAGATAATTAAATCATGGGGGCGGTCACCTCCATGCGGCTGTTCTTGTGATAGTGAGAGTTCTCACAAGATCTGATGGTTTTATAACGGGATTTTCCACCTTTTGCTTGGCATTCTTGCTGCCACCATGTGAAGAAGGACGTGTTTGCTTCCCCTTCTGCCATGATTGTAAGTTTTCTGAGGCCTCCCCAGCCATGCTGAACAGTGAGTCAGTTAAACCGCTTTCCTTTATAAATTACCCAGTCTCGGGAATGTTTTTATTAGCTGCGTGAGAATGGACGAATACCCGTTTAGGTTTTTTTTTTTCTTTTCACTTTATGGATTATGTCTTTGGTCATGTCTAAAAACTCTTTACCAAGCTTTAATTCTTAAAGATTTACCCTCTGTTTTCATATAAGAGTTTTACAGTTTTACATTTGAATTTATCACTCATTTTGATTTAAAATCGTCTGATGTGTGAAGTTTAAATTAAGGTTCTTTTTTTTTTTTTGACCTGTGATATACAAAGCAAAGACTATTCTTCATTGATAGGGATTTTTGATAGAGATTTTCTTAAACCTATATCAATTTAAAAAGATTTGACATTTTCACAATGTTGAATATTTCAGTTCATGAACGTGACGTGTCGCTACATTTATTTAGATATTCTTTGATTTTTTTAAATCAATGTTTTATAGTTTTCAGTATATAATTCCTTTGTTTTGTTGATTTATACTTAAGTGTTTAGTACTCATTTAGCTTACTTATTGTTTCTTTAGAAATAAATAAACATCTCATTGTTAATAATTGAAAATAGTATTATGTTTTACATTTTGTTTTTTGCTTTTCATATATTCATGGCTGTTTACAGAAATAAAATTGATTTTTGTATGCTGATCTAGTATCCTGTGACCTTAGTGAAATTAGATATTCGTTCTAACAGTAGCTTCATAGATTCTTTGGGATATTCTACATAGACAATCATTACTTCTGCAAACAGGGATAGTTGATTTCTTCTGTTATGACCCTAATGCCTTTTATTTCCTTTTTATGCTTTCTTACATGGGCTGGAACTTTTGGTTCTATTTTGAGTAAGGGCAGATGTGTTTGCCTTGTCCAAGATCTTAGGAGAAAAGCACTCAGTGTTTTTCCATTACATATGATATTAGATGCAGGTTTTTTGTATTTGAAGAGTTTTTCTCTGAACTGTAATTTTCTGAATTATTCTCTCATGAATAGACGTTGAATTTTATCAAATGTTTTTTGTATCAATTGTTACAATTATGTGATTTTTCTTTTTCAGCCTGTTAATATGATAAATTATATTGGTTGTTTTTCAAATATTCAACCAGCCCTGTTTTCACCCAGTTATACACTACTCGGTCAGGGTGCATAATTCTTTTTATATATTGCCAAATTTTATTTGCTATTATTTGTTCAAAAATTTTTACAGCTATACTCAAGGAATATTAGTCTGTGATTTCCCAGTTTGCTTTTCTTTTTTTGTACTGTCTTTGTCTCATTTTGGTATTAGGGTAATACTAGCTGCATAAAATAAATTTTGAAGTGTCATCTTTTCTATTTCTTATAAGAGATTGTAAAAATTCATGTTAATTCTTACTTAAACATTTGGTAGAATTCTTTAGTGAAACAGTTCTAGAGATAACTCTTTTGGGACTTTAAAATTCTGAATTAAATTTTGAAAATATTTTTAGAGTTACTCATTTCTGGGCCACCAGACACTGTGGTTTTTAAAGAATGTCATAATTTCTGGGAGCTATACTTTTCTTCCAGAAAGGACATGATAAGAAGAAATTTCTGACTTTGCTATTACTTTTCTTTCCTCACTTCATATTTATAATTGTGTTTTTCTCCTACAGCAGCAGTTTCCAAGCTTTATTTTTTTAAATAAGATGGGGTCTTGGAAGACCAATGTAAAAAACAGATAAAAGAAGTGGTGAGGGTTACCAGGGCTCTGTCTGGTATTTGCTCCTGAGATCTCTCTTTGAAATGAACGAGGCTCCTCTTTAGGACACTCATCAGTGTCCCTGGTCTAGGGAAACAGAGCACCTGAGCGTGAGTTAGCAGAGGTACTCTAGAAACACCTCTGCCACAAACTTTCTGTGTGACTTCAATTCAGTCTCTTCATTTCTCTAAGTTTCATTATCCACTCTGTAGAAGAAAGCATTGAAACTGATCAGACATTCACACACACAATACACCAAACACACAAAAAAGTATATGCAATATTTCGTGCCTGTGAATATGTGTGTGTACTTTTCTGATACAATGTTCAGAATTTATATTAAGTTCCCAATAAGGTCTGTGACCTAAAAACGGTTAGGAAACAAGAAACTAGCAAATGCTCTCTATTCCATTCTAATTTAAAAAATTCGTGATTCTAAGTTATTATGTTATAAATGTGATAAAGCCGTAGACTACTATGGTTTGTATTTCCTAGAATTTTATTATTTTTCTTTCTTTTATTCACATTTTTATTTGATTCTGATAATAGTCCAATAACATGGCAGGGCAATTATTTTTGTATCTATTCTATTGGAGAGAAAGAGTATACATGGCTTGCTCAAGGTAGATGTATAGATATTGGTAGTGAAGCTTGCAAATGACCCCAAGCCTCTGGCTTTAGATCCACAATTCCTTTTTCTTACCTCATGCTGCTGCCCCCACATACACCAAATAAGAATAGTTTAAGAGTCACTCTGAGGGTAATTTTCTGCTAACATGACCTGTGGTCATTTAATTCACTTAGTGTAAGGTAAAGTCAACTTAAATTCTAAGAAGGTAGAAGACAGTTCATTAAATTTACTTCCAAGTTACAGCTGAAGCCACTCTACCATCTATAGAGGGTAGGTAAACCAGAACACAGGCAGAAATAATCTGAAATCTGTTTTAAAAAACATTTGGGTTATTATAAAGGGTATATCTTTTTTTAAGTTTTGCTTTTCTTTAAAATTTGCTATCATGTTTCAATTTCATATTATTAGGAAATACTGTACTTTTTTTTTTTTTTTTTTACCATTTTTATGCTACAAGTGAAAATCTTCCACTTCCTAAATTTCTAACCACTTGGCTTTCAAACTCTCAAAGAACACTACCTTTTAGAATAATGACAGGGAATTATTGTAAAGTATAAGTATTAATAGCAATCTTGAAATAAACTGAAAGTCCAAAAGAGGTGGTCGGGAAACTATATTTCATCACTTTGGCCTCACTGTTTCTGACAAGAGTTAAATCCACTCTTAAAAGTTTGTAAGAAGAAAAGCTACATAGTCTGAAAATCTACTGTTATATACCACATTCCTAAAAGTTGTTTATGGAAAGGATTTTTTCTCTCCCCTCAAAATTTTAACTTAAAACTCTGTCCTGCTGAGTGGACTTTAAAAGGAACTGAGAAATACAAATTCAGATTTATAAAAGAAACTATTCAAAAGAGGTGCTCTGTGAAGTGATTGTGTCAAAGGAGTAAAGTTACTGAATATACTGAAAGGTTTTTAATGGGCCCCTCTCTTTCTTCTTCCAAAAATGTCTACAATTCCTAATTAGAAGTTAACAGGGAAAATTAAATTACTGTTTTCACAATGTGAAAAAGTCCATTGAAAAAGTCAATTGCATATTAAGGGAAACCTATCTTGGCACTGCACATAAAATTTCTAAAATGATATAAATTTTGATATTCTGTGTATATTTCAGATAAAGCTATTGGTATTGTTCCTGTTTTAAAATAAATAAATTAGTCTGTTTATGTTTGTTTTTATGTTTTTCAGGAGTATTGTTAACTTCATTAACTAACTTTTAGAGATAAGCTTCAGGATAATGAGATTTGAATATACACAATTGTCCCATAAAAAGAAACTGTCATAGTTCACAGAAAGCCATTTCCTTTGAGCTTCATTGCTGATAAAGAAAATGCAGAGAGAGTTGCCTTTCAGCTAAAAAAAAAAAGGACCATGCTTCAGCTGACATCTGGTAAGTAGGGAAACTCGTCTGCCCTTTGAGCAGTGGAATCTGAACTTCAGTGCTTCAGTGAGTAGAGGTCACAGTGAGTCCAAATCTTTTAAAATTCTCTCAGCCTCATTCAGTATTCAGAAATCCATCACAGTGGAACTATTGTTGTTGGTCTTGCTCAAAAGCTTCAGTAAATATGCATGCCAATATTTGTGGGAAAAGTTAGTAATCTTCTTAGCGCAGGAGAAACAGGAAGACAGTTTTCTTAGAACTCATAGAAGGAAAACTACTCAAAGCTTTTATTTATTTATTTTTCTAGGTAAAAAACACATAACAAAATTTACAATCTTAACCATTTTTAAGGATGAGTTTGACAGTGTTAAGTATATTCGCATTGTTGTGAAACAAACCTCCAGGATTTTTCATGTTGCAAAATGAAACTCTATACCTATTAAACAACAACCTTCCTTTTCCCCCTTTCTCCAGCCTCTAGTGACCACCATTTATTTTGTATTTCTATGAATTTTCTTACTTTAAATATTTCATACAAGTGGAATCATACCGTATTTTTTTTTCTGTGACAGGCTTATTTCACTTAGCATAATGTCTTCAAGGTTCATTCATGTTGTAGTTTACGACAGTATTTCCTTCCTTTCTAAAGCTGAAAAAGATTTCATTGTATGAATATAACACATTTTGTTTATTCATCCATCCATCAATGGATATTTGGGCTGCTTTCACCTCTCAGCTATTGTGAATGGGACTGCTTCAAAGTTCTTATTTTATTCTACTTTTTAAATTTAATTTAATTGTTTGGCTTACACAAAAAAAAAATTGTGGGAGAATATATTTGGTTAATTAGCTAATAGTTTTGTTTTGCTGTAGAAGTAACCAAAATAGTAAATGTGCATACATTAATTTTAATTAGCTAGTCTCAATTTCTTTAAGAACAAAATCAAAGAGGGAAATGTAGTCCAGAAGAGGAGGCTATAAAAATTGGGACTGGGGGTAGAAATTGGGAAGTTGGGGCAGCAAGTGATAGGTGTTGCCTTACCTGTCTCAAAAGCCTAGTGACACACACAGGCATAGGAGATGAGTCCTTCAGGTCCTGAAAGTTAGGAAGTTATGAAAGGAGCCATCGCCTAAAGCGAGGGCCTTTAAAGTGCTGTACCATCAATGAAAGAGTGGGCAAAAACAAGTCCACACACCTGTAGAGAAAGAAAATAAGGGATATTATCTGACCAGGACTCTGCTCTGGTTAGGCAAGGAAAAATATTATCTGGGATTTGTCAAATTTTTCCCACTTCTCACATGAGTTTTGTGCTTGAATTTACATAAGTAGGCTGAGAAATTAACACAAAAATGTAGTTCTAACCACACTAAGTATTGGTGATAATATGAAAGGACTGGAATTCTCTTACACTGCTAGTGGGAATGTAGAATAGTACAACCACTTTAAAAACTAATTTGCAGTTTAGTGAAAACTTAAATGCCTGCCATATCATCTAGGCATTCCACTCCTAGGTATATATCCAAGAGCAATAAAACATAAAGGCACATTCACATGAAGGCTTGTACATAAATATTCACAGCAATTTTATATGTAAGAGCCTCAAACTGGAAAAAAATGCAAATATCCATCAACAGGTTAATGCATACGTAAATTGAAATACATCCATTCAATGGATCATTCATTCACTATCACACAGAAAATAAAGGAATAAACTATTGATACAGACCACAACATGGATGATTATAAAAATCTATTTGCTAAATGAAAGAAACTATACAAAAGTAATGCATATGATATGATGTCATGTGTATAAAATTCTAAAAAGTGTAAACTAAATCCAGAAATAGAAATCACACTGGTAATTGCCTGGGGCAGGGGTAAAAGGAGGGATGGGATGGAAAGTAGTACAATTAAACTTTAGGAATAATAAAAATGATCATCTTAATTGTCTTAAAGCATTCACAGGTGTTTAGAGATGTCAAAACTAGATACAATTGTATACTCTAAACAACTTAAATTTATTATACCATAATCAAATTAAGTAAATAAACAGACAAATAAATAAATGTTTGGGGAAATGTAAGCCTTAGGAACCTAATTTGCATCAATCATTTAAAGTAGGTTACATTCACAAAAGATTAAAAATAGGGCTACCATACGATGCATCAATCCCACTGCTGGGTATATATACAAAAGAAAGGAAATCATTATATCAAAGGGATAGCTACACTCCCATGTTTGTTGCAGCTTTGTTCACAATAGCCAAAATTTGGAAGCAACCTAAGTATCCACCAACAGATGAATGGATAAATAATATGTGGCACAAATACATAATGGAGTACTATTGAGATATAAAAAAAGAATGAGATTCAGCCGTTTGCAACAACACAGATGGAACTGGAGGTCATTATGTTAAGTAAAATAAGCCAGGTACAGAAAGACAAACATCACATGTTCTCACTTATTCATGGGATCTAAAAATGAAGACAGTTGAACTCATGGAGAAAGAGGGCAGAAGGATGGTTACCAGAGGGTGAGAAGAGTATTGGGTTGTGTTGGCAGGGAGATGGGGATGTTTAATGAGTACAAAAAAATATTAGAATAAATGAATAAGTCCTAGTATTTAATAGCATGACAGAGTGACTGTCATCAATAATAATTTAATTGTACATTTTCAAATAATTAACAGAATATAATTGGATTATTTGGAACACAAAGGATAAATGCTGGAGAGGATGGATACCCCATTTTCCATGTTGTGATTATTATGTATTGCATGCCTGTACCAAAATATCTCACATACCTCATAAATGTATACACCTAATATGTACCCCCAACAAACTAAAAAGAAAAATTATAAAAAACAAACAAAATATAAGTTACATTCATAAAACATATTGCTAATTTAAGAATTGCTACTAAAGCTGGATAAATAGTTGTCACATAAAACTTGAAAAGGTAATTTAAACTTCATGGCAAAAAGAAAATATAAAAAATAGACAAAGGAGAATAAAATATGTATTGAGAGGTGTTTTTCCTGCAAAAATCAATATTTATTTTTAAGTTATCTTAATTAAACCACTTACTAGATATTATAGAGCAAGACAAATAAAGCAATGTAACAATGTCCTAAAACACACCCATCCAGGTGGAACAGATGTATATCAGATTTATGTATAGACTATATATAGCTGGCCCTTCTTATTCGTGGGCTCTGCATCCATAAATTCAACCAAATGTGGGTAGAAATATTTGAAAAATACTGTGTCTGTAATGAATGTGTACAGTCTTTATTTTCTTCTTGTTATATCTAAATGATATTGTAGAACAACTATTTACATAGTATTTACATTGCATTAGGCATTGTAAGTAATCTAGAGATGATTTAAAGTATATAGAAGGATGTGCATAGGCTATATGCGAATACGCCATTTTATTTTATATCAGGGACTTGAGAGTCTGCATATTTTGTCATCTGTAGGAGGTTTTGGAACCAATCCTCCATGGATATCAAGGGACAACTGACCCAAATACATATATGCACATACATACACACACAACACACGTGTGCACACACAAACACACAGCCAATGTCTCCTGCCCCAGTAAAGATATAACAAGGGATTATTACTCAGAAAATATAATTAACATCTACAAATGAATAAGCAAACGGCAAAGAAGTGAATGAAAATAAAATAAACATGGGAGCAATTTACAAAAGAAGAAATCTACATGGCCAATAAATGTGAAAAGTTGCTTAATTTTGTAAGCAATCATAGAAATTCAATTTAAAACAAAAATTAGGTGCATGAGACTGATGAAATTTTTTGGAAATATCACAAAACTGCATGCTGGCAAAGAATTGTCATGTTTATGGTAGCAGAGTAAATTGATACAACCTCTATGGGAAGCAACTTAACAATATCTAGTAAAATTAAGATTTGTATGTCTTAAAATCCAGAAATTCTATTTCTAGGGATATATGCTATAGAAACTTTTAAATGTATGCCTGATAAAACACACTTTTTTCAGCATTATTTGTAATAGCAAATATCTGAAGCATCTTAAATACCCATCTCAGAACAAACAAATGAAATTGCAGCATATCTATTGTCACAAAAACAAACTAGAAAATTTATCTAGAAAATTTATCTATATTTTGAGCACAGAACTCAAAATATAGGTCCATTAAAAAAGCAATTTATAATCCTATATAAACATTATGATACCTATTACTGTGTATATTTATGCATGGTAGGTTTGTGGTAAAAATATAAGACAAACATATTATTGAAAATGATAAACACTAAATTCACTATGGTGGTTACATCTTGATATGGACTGAATATTTTTGTCCATCCAACATCAATATACTAAAACTTTAATCTCCAATGTGATGGGATTTAGAGATGGGGCCTCTGGAAGTTAATTAGGTCATGAGAATGGAGTCCTATGATGGAATTAGTATCCTTATAAGAAGAGACAAGAAAGAGTTTGTTTCATCTCTCTCTACACTTTGCCATGTGAAGATACAATAAGAAGATGTCTGTTTGCAAACCAAAAACAGGGCCTTCACCAAGAACCCCACTATACTGGAACCCTGATCTTACACTTCCAGACTCTAGAACTGTGAGAAGGAAATGTTTGTTGTTTAAGTCATCCAGTCTATGGTATTTGTTACAGCACCCCGAACTTACTAAGTCACATTTACAGAAGGAAGACTGGAGAACTGCATTGAAAAGAGATATACATACATAAGTTTTAGCTGAATCTGTATTGTTTAATTTCTTAGGAACAAATTTAAAATGTCTCAATCCTGTATTACCAAAGGTTTAGACTGATTAGATATAGATTCTTGAAAGTGTTCATAAAACAACATCAAAAGAATGAGTGTATATGACAATGTGACTTTAAAATACTGTTTTTCCATCACTCACTTCTGTTTCTGTATGTTTTGTTGCTTGACACTGTAAAAAGAAAAATATGACGTATAGGAAGCTTGGGTAGATATGTTTGGGGATACCCAGGCACACTCAGCATTTAATCTGTGCTGGTTTTCTTTTGCACATGCTGATTCATTGTTGGAAACGTTCATGCAGACTTAGGTAACATAGGCTGTGAATTTTACAGGTTATGGACTACATGAAAAGATTGTGACAGGTTTGAAGATTTTTGCTTGGTTTTCTAATTCATTGACAAATCATTCATGTGGTAAAGTTAAAGTGCATGTAAATTTACCTTAGCTATCCTTAGCTAATGTTTTGACCTCCTTGTGAAAATTTCATAAAAGTTCTCTTTACTTCATATTTTTCCCTCTAAATTAATAAGCTAGTAAATTACTAGCTTACTAACATTCATCTTTCTAACTTTAAGTATTTCACATTTCCATTTTAAAATTAATTCCCACTGTTATCCCAAGAGGAACCATTATAATTCTACTTTGTTGACACAGTCTCATTATGATAAAACTTTAGTGTGCCTAGCTTGAGACCTCAGCTTTTATTTGCTGACATTCATTCTCTGAAGACTATATAAAGCATTATATTTGGTTTATCAAATAAAAGCGTGATGAGTAACTTTTATTCAAATAAAAGTTAAAATATATAAATATAATCTTTCAAGTTAAAGATTGATGTACTAAGTATTTAAGCATGAACCAGCTCATTTGCAAGAAGTTCAGGAAATTTAGATACTTCGAGGATATGTGTTAAATTTTGGTCACAGCATGCATCTTCCTTCTCCAAACTATGTTCCACTGACACACCATATTTAATTGGTTTTTAAATAAATGCTCTCTTTGTAAGTCCCCAGCTGGCAAGAAATTAAGCAAAATCAATTATTTAACTTTCTAACTCAAATAACTTTTTGAGAAATTTAGAAAATGCTTCTTTGGCAAGAGTTGTTATAGTTTCCTCAAAAAATACAAAAAGTTCAAGAATATTTTAGATATTCAGAATTGGCTATTTTTTTTAGCTTGGTTAAAATAGAAAAGCTTGCATTTTATATTTCTTTAATGAGGTACATATTACATTAACTTAAGTGAGACAATTTCAAAGATAGACTTGCAAATACCATAATAGTCTGCTACAGATTAAAGCTAATACCTTCCAAATGGTTGGAAACTCTTATACACTCCAAACATTACTACCATCCCAAAAAGTAATCCTGGGCTTTACACAAAGAATAGACTTTAAAAAAAATTTTTAATGGCATTGCATGCTTAAACCTCATTAATTTTGATGTAAAAAATGCATCAAAATGGACCTTTCCTACCATTGGCTTAATATTTATTGTTTATTTTACCAGTATGGGTGAGATAAATAATTTCTGGAAAAAATTTGTTCATAAGATAATTCTTTTGGGATATTAATTAGGGTTTTAAATGAAGCAATGCATAATATGTGAATCTGAAATAACTATGCATTAAATTTTTCTCAGTGTATTCAATAATTCTGGTATTGAGCTCTTATCCATTATTTGATCAAGGAATTTGTTGTGTTACACTAGGCAGATGGACAGAATTTTTGTGTATGGTACAAAAGGACAATATTTTTAATTTTCACTGGTTTATCAGAAAATTAAATTATATATACAGTAATTTATTAAAAATAATTATTTCCAATATGTAGTTCTATCAATATTTTATTATATAATATATGCAGGTTGTAGACGATATCTATGAAGGTCTTTCATAAAATCTATGAGTCTTCCAGGTATGTTCATTAATATTTCTTCCATCAGTCTTGACTTTACAACTGAATTTAAAGCCTCATAAATCTTTTGGTGTCCTGAGAAAATAGAAGAATCTAATTAAATATATGATGTTTGCAATTGTTTCAAAACAGACAAATCTATTATTTTAGAAAAACTTATTTCTCCTAAAGTTATATAAATATGCCTAAGGGTCTTTTGATGATGGCCAAATAAACATCTTTATTCTTTTGCTTGTATCTAGAATATGAGAACATGTAAATATCCAAATTTAATAAAATTGTATTAAGTTCATTGACAAAAGCGCTGGGCCATTCCCCAGTTGTTTAACTAGTTCAGGTTCAGGAGTTAAAGGTTTAGGAATTTTAACTGGTTAAACGTTCAGGAGAGCACGGAAAGGTTAGGCTAAGGCATAACCTTATTTCTGTTTCCTCAGTGGATTAACAAGAAGCATTTAAATTGTGACCAAATCTGTTTATAGAAAATGTACTTATTATTTTAATTATAATTTAACTAGTGTTACACTAAGCCAATTAAGTGTGAGTGACAAACTGAAAATGTTATTTCTATGAAAACTAAGTTGAAAGCTTTAGACATATTAAAAATATTAAGATGAATTGGTACAGATATAAATGTTAAATTTAATTTAGCCAGACAATTATAAATATAGAAGAAAATAACATAAACATCTTAAATAAGTCTGCATCCAGAGGGCTTCACAAGTGTCTTTAATTGCTAGCTCATCCTTTTTAGATGATGACAAGTCTTTTGATAAGGTTTGTAGTTTTAGTTTAAATGTAACAAGAAGCCACTAGAGAATTTTAAGCAAGAATATAGTAAAATCTAATTTATACTTTAAAACGATCACTTTGTCTGCTGTATGGAAGAAGCAAGAGTAAAACAAGAATAGAGGATGCTGCAGAATCTCAAGGATTGACATGACAGCAATGAAGATGGTCATCTGTGACTTGATTTGTTATCTTCATGTTTATATGGCTTGCATAAATAGAGTAGAAGAAAGAATAATTTAAAACAAACTTCTAAACTTTGGGCTTAGCATCCCTAAGTTTAGGAAGACTAAGGGAGAGTTAGGTTTGGAGTATTAGGCAGACAGGAATGAAGTGATTAGTTTTGAACAACAATGTCAAAGTCAGAAGCCAATAGGATATTTAAGTGCAGCTGTCAAGTAGGCAGATGGACATAAAACTCAAGATCTCAGTAGAGTGGTCATAGCTGGAGATATGAATTAAAAAATCATTAGCATATAGAGGTACTTAAAGCCATAGGTCTGGATAAGTCCATCTAGGGAAAGGACAAGGCCAGGAAAGAAAAGACAGATGAGAACTGAGATAGAAGTCATGCTTTCATTAAGATATTGGGCCAGGAAGAAAGACTCAGAAAGAAAAATAAACAGCAGTAGCCAAGAGGCTAAAGGGAATTAAGCAACCACATGGTAATATAAAGTTAAAGAAAAGTTTTTTTGAGAGAGAGGGTGGACTTGATAATTTAAAAGGCAAGAAAAAAGTGAAGTTTTTTGTGACTTAATAATGTAGTAAGAGATCTAGTAAGTTGTGGGGACAAAGCCTCGTTGGAATTCCTTAAAAGTAAAGGCAGATAAATAAGTGGATCCCACAGATACATAGATAACTCATTAAGTGAATTTTGCTATGAACTGAAGAGAGAACTCTGACAACTGTAGAGGAATACAAAGTCACCACAAGTGTGGAAGAGATCCAATGTTAAGGCATGTTGCTATATCAATAAAAGCAATACAGGTTGAGGGAAATTTGAGGATGCAGAAGAGAAGTGAGATAACAGAAGTAAAGTTTGTGAACGAGTTACAGAGATAGGATGCAAGCACAGTTGCAGTGACTGGCCTTAGATGAGTGAATATACACTCTTATTTTCCTGTGAAAGGAAGAAATGTCAAGTAAATGAGTTCAGAAGCATCCATGAGTGCATTTACAGTGGTGAAATGAGTCCAATCCCATTTGACTACTTCCTGGTTCAGAGCACTGCCCCAGGGCAGACTGCCTAGGTTCAGTTCCTTAGCCTGGCCTCTGAGAGCTTTCTAATCTAGGGCAACTACTTGATCCTTCTGTGGCTTAATTTCCTCATGTGTTAAGTGTAGGGCTACCTTCTAAGGTTGTTGTAAGGACTTACTGAATTAATAGATCTAATATACTTAGATTAATGTCTTATAATTCTCTGTTTAAGATGAGCTAGCAACTGAGAATGAGGAGACAAACAGAAGAAGATTTTGGAAAGGTTTGTTTTTGTTAACATATCATTTATTCTGATTATCTCCCAGGCACAATTTTAAGGACTTTAAATACACGAATGTATTAAATACCTCCAACATCTTAGTTAGACCATTCTATAAAGAAGAAAACTGAGGAAGAGAAATTTTAAGTGACTTCCTTAAGATTACATAGCTGGTAAGCCACAGAGGTGGGGTTCACACTAAAGGAGTCATCACAGCCTACAATGGTTTTCTTAAAGGCAATTTTTTTTTACATTTGTATTGATAGAAATAATATATAATGTATAACCAAAAAAGATATACAAATAGAAAATAAGCACATAAAAAGATGTTCAATATCATTAGCCATTAGAGAAATATACACTAAAATTACAATGAGCTATCACTACACACCTATCAGAATGGGCAAAATGGATGAAAAGAATGATAACACTAAATGCTGGTGAGGTTGCAGAGAACCTGGACTATTCAGGCATTGCTGATGGGAATGTAATATAGTACAGCCACTCTAGAAAATAATTTGGCAGCTCCTTTAAGAATTAAAAAATAAACATACCATACAACCCCAAAATAGTACTTTTAGCCATTTATTCCAGATAAATGAAGACTTATTTCTGTGCAAGAATGTGCACATGAGTGTTCATAGCACCATTATTCATAATAGCCATAAGCTGGAAACCACCCAAATGTTTTTTTAATCGGTAAATGGTTAAAGAAACTATGGTATATCCACATCATGGAATATTATTCATCAGTAAAAAGGAGCAGACTGTTGATATACACAACAATTTGGATGAACATCAAGGAATTATGCTGAGTGAAAAAAGCCAGTCTCAAAAGAATACAAACTGCTTGCTTCCATTATGTTACATTTGTGAAAGAACATAATCAGAGATATGGAGAGCAGATTAGTGTTTGCCAGGAGCTAGGGATGAGGAAGATGGATGCATGACTATGAAGAGAATCTTATGGTGATATAACAGTTGAGTATCTTGATTGCAATGGTAGTTACACAAGGCTACATATGTGATAAAATTGCATAAAACTATGTACATGAAATAGTGTATGTGTAACCTAAAAATCTGAATAAGCTGTATGTATTGTATAAATCTCAGTATATTGGTTTTGCTATTTTAACATGTGTGTATAAGATGTTATATTTAAGGGGAAGCTGTGGGAGGAATGCATAGGAATTCCCAGTACATTTTTGCAATCTCCTGTGAATCTATACATCTTTCAAAATTTAAAAAAAATTAAAATACATATAGAAAATACAAAAATGCACCAATTAATGTATAGTTCAATGAATTTCCACACATTCACAGTTCCACACTGCTACCATCTAGATTAAAAAAACAGAATAATTCCAGCACCCCACAGGGTTTCAATGTGCTCCTTCCCAGTCAATAATCATTCACTCAGAAGTCTATCACCATACTGGCTTCTATTACCATTCGTAAGTTATTCCTGATTTTGGAACTGTACACAAATGAAATCATATGTTATGCTCCCTTTGCATCTGGCTTTGATCCATGTTGGTGCATGCATCGGCCGTTGTTTTTTTTTTTTTTTATTGCTCTGTGGAATGCTATTGTGTAAATATACCACATATTTTTTGCTTTGCTATTGATGGACATTTGGATTACTTTCCAGTTTATGACCATTATGAGTAAAACATCTATGATTGTTCTTGCACATGTATTTTGTTATACACACACACACACACACATATGTATGTATATATTTTTGGGAATGTGCCTAGAAGCCGAATTGCTTTAGTAGATTCAGCCAAGCAATTCTGAGCTCATTATACTTCCACTTGCAAAGTATAAGAGATCCAATTGCTCTATCTCTTAGCTAACTTATAGAACCTGCAATTTTAACCTCTATGCCATATGCAGGAGTTAACAAAAAAAGATGTGAAATAAGTATAGAGGAAAGTGGCAAAATGACTTTGCTTGGAAAGTACATAGAACTATTGACAACAGTAAATATCCACTTGAAATTTCTTGATCCTAATTTTAAGAGAAAATGAGTGGTCCTGGTTGTGTAATTCTCCCCCATCAAATTCATCTGCTTAAATGCTAGTACTGGTTGTTAGATTTAATCAGTGTGCTTTACGAAAAGCAATTAGAACATATTAGAGTCTTTTGAAGCCCTAAACAACTTATACCTAGAAGTTTTTAGATGGTATCAACAAGGAGAAATGATGCATGCTTCAACAAATGATGATCACTATACTTGGGGTACTATATGTTTCTTCTTGTTTCTTTTTTAAGAACTTCAGTATCTCTTTTGCATATTTTTAAATTTTTATGTATCTTTTTAGAGACTTTGCAAACTTATTGTGTCTCTCAAAACCTACTTTAGCCCATCCTGGCAAATAAAATTGTACTAATATATTATTGGTTATCCATTCATATATCTCGTTTTGCTTGCTCTTTTTTATCACCAAAGGCCATTGTTTGATATTCCCTATAGAACTTTGTATAGTTTAAAGTTTACATGTTCTATAGTACATCCATTATCTTCTCTTTCAGAGCTTTTAGACACATAAAAGGAGTAAGTGTTATTATCATGAATTTCTGATTCTAGCTCTCCACACGTTTGTTCAATTTATTCTACATTCCTGAGATTTGGAAGGTTTCCTTGAGACTTCCTTATGGAGATGCCTTTGGCTTGTCATAGTGTAACTGCTAAGAAGACTTACTCAAGGAATGTCTTTTAGGAAAACAGGATAGTCTTTTTTTTTTTTTTTTTTTTTTTTTTTTTTTTTTTTTTTTTTTTTTGGTGAGCGGTGGAATGGAGTCTCGCTCTGTCGCTAGGCTGGAGTGCAGTGGCATGATCTGGGCTCACTGCAACCTCCGCCTCCCGAGTTCAAGCGATTCTCCTGCCTTGGTCTCCCGAGTAGCTGGGATTACAGGCTACAGGCGCACACCACCATGCCCAGCTAATTTTTGTATTTTTAGTAGAGCTTGGGATTCACCATGTTGGCCAGGATGGTCTCGATCTCTTGACCTCGTGATCCACCCGCCTCGGCTTCCCAAAGTGCTGGGATTACAGGTGTGAGCCACCGCACCCGGCCGAAAACAGGATACTCTTAATAATTTTTTAACAAAATAGCTATTGATAAAGGTATTACATAGTAGTTCTGAGTTTCATAGGAAGTCAGCTCATTTTTTTCAATTATTATCATCATCTTGGATTTCAGTATCTTTTCATAAATGAACTTGTTTGAAGGTTATCTCTGCATGCATGCAGGTGTTTATAGCTGTTAACTGCAAAAAGTTTCATGATTTTGTTGACTGGATTGTTTAAAAATATTATTTTAATCTCACCATGTAAAATTCCTGACCAAGAACTTTGGCTAGGATGACTTTAATTTATTCTCTTATGCTCTTCCTCAATCATATTGATTTAAGTAATTAAAAAAATTTCATTGTATGCTAAATTTTTCCTAAAATATTATAAAAATTAAAATGTTATTTTAAAATAGTCTACCACATACCTTTTTATATACCATGATAACTTAAAACATAGAAATACTTCCTAATGTTAGAATAGGTCCATCCATTGTATTGGGTGATATTATAATTTTTAGAGGATTTAGTGATTACCTCTGATGAACACCCTGTGATTTAGCTTGGATATGCCATATGATTTTGAAGGTAGTTGAAATGCTCTAATAGGCAAAAAATATCAGCTCAATAGTAAGTTAGCTTTTTAACATAATTTATAAAAAACAAAAGTTCATCCCTCAAGGCTGCTGCTGTCTCCTGCCATAAAAATTGTTCATACTACAATATCATTTAATATTTTTATTGAGAACATTTATGATAGTGACTTTTTAAAACAAATAAATATTATAGTAGAGTTCAAGTTTCCAGATGTAAGAAGGAACAAGTTTTTACTTCCTCCTAACTTCAAAATCACAGAACTTATCTTATTACTTTTTATTACTTTGGAACAACTTGTTTTGAGGCAGAGGAATTATTATTATCTAATGCTGTAACTCCTATTCCATAAAACTGCCAATTTGATAATTGTCAGAATTTATTTTGGGGAGAGAAGATCTTAAATGGCAGGACTGAGACTGAATCTATTCTCAACATTTGCATATTTTACAATGCAATTGGTTACAAAAAAATGGAAACTTACTCTGATTTGCTTAATGTAGGGTCACAGAGTCAATGGGCAGCTGAGAACCAGACCTGGCATCGAGATAGATTCTTACAGCCAAAAAGCCAGAAGCACAACGTGTATTTTTTTAGCAGAAACAGACCAGGTCTTCTGAGGCTTTAGGACATAGACTCCTCTGCAGCCTTGAAAGAATTCTTGCTGTTTTTCATTCTTTGTAACATTCACTTCAGAGACAAAGATCTGATTTGGGGCATCCGATGAGCTGATGCTAAGTCACGTGCATATACACTGCCTACCGGGACAGAGCAAGAGAAATTCTCACTCTTCTGGTGTTGGTAGTGGGAGGCAGATCATTGCCTTTCAACAAGACAACACGCAGTAGGAAGCTCCTCCCAAACAGGAAAGAAGGTTGAAATCCTATCCACTAAAAGAAGATACCCAAACTTACAAATGACCATTTCTCCATTAAAAAAAAAAAAAAAAAATATATATATATATATATATACACACACACACACACACACACACATATTTATGTATAAATTAAGTGTGTGTGTATATATATGTACATGTTAAAGGAAATTAAAATGGAGACTAAGCCTGAAGAAGCCCTTAGTAGGCCAAGCCAATTAGGTCTCCTAAGTGGCCTAAACCTTGCTTGATTTGCAAACGTAAGCAAAACTTAACTTGATCTATTTCTAGTAAACACCTATATTAAGGAAAGACAGAACTTAAGTTCAACCAGTCAGAATCCACCAGCAAACTTATGTAAGTATATATAACTAGAGGCTTTTCAATGGGATAGACCAAATAAGGCAACTGTATAACTATAACCAATCAAATATTTTCTTTGCTTTATTTCTATGTTTCCTCTGGAAAAACCTACCCCTTGAATTCACCAGTCAAGCTTCAGAACCACTTCTGGTTTGGAGCTACCCAATTCACACATCGTTGTTTGGTTAAAATAAACTCTTTAAAAATTTCATTGTGCTTCAGTTTACCTTTTTAACACATAGAAATATAGATGTATACTTTATATACACATTTCAGAAGACAAAATTTCTTGGGAAAAAAAAGCCTGTTTTTCTGATTTTTAATGTTATGATTCTGATGTACCATAATCAATATGCTATGATTCTTTTTCTCGACTGTTCCAAGCCATAATATTCTGGAGAAAAACTTTCTGACTGCTGGTTTCCTTGAATTCTATAGAACGAATCAGTGTGTTCACTATGTGCAATATATATATACACACACACACACACACACACATATATATGTATTTTAAAAATAAAATCATCTGATACCCAGGAAAAAAGCACAATTGTTCCATTATTTCTCTTCTCAAACTGAAAGAGTGAGGAGAAACTAGAGTTGTTTATTTTAACATGGAAAGGGTAGACCGATGCTGTCACAGGTGCTATGGGATCTGTACCATATATGTGACCCTGATGTCCCGAGAAAGCTCCACCACATGCTTCCATCAACCCTCTCTTTGTCAGGGGTCTGCTCACTCTGGAAAGACACTCTGCGGACAGAGCTAACCTTTCCCAGCTGTGCCTTGATCTCTGACTCCTTTCATTCAGCACCTCGCCAGGAAGAGGCTCCAGGGTTTACAGCAGCTCCGGCCACAGGGGGCCTGGCTAATTAGATTTCTGCTCTCTGTTGATTTTCAAATGATACAGTTTAAAGTTCTGGTACAAAGTGACTGTTTCTCATACTAGTGCTGCATCTCAGAAGGAGAACCAGAATCTCTACTCTACTATAAAAGTTATAAAATGTGAGTTAATTAGTAATTAGAGATGAGACAAAGTAGGAGACACTATGTAATTTAAGATAGTAACCAGTTGATAGAAAGAAACATAGACTTATGTACCCTAGAACTTAAAGTATAATAAAAAATATATATATATGAGACGGAAAGTTGCCTCAAATCCTTCACAGATGTAGTCAGGGCGACTTCAAAACAAAAGTAGAAAATGCATACATCCAATGTGATATAGGCATATTTTAGCTGTAATCGAAGCCTGCCTTTCCTTTCCCTTTGGAAGCCCTGAGTCTTTGTAGGATTGGGTTAGGAGACAGGACACCTGCTTTTCATTTGAGAATTGACAGGTCATCAAACATTAGTGGTTTTTGCTTAGTTCTTCACATTCTTTTCTCTATTCCAATTTTATTTCCCTTCTGTGCTCTTCACTGTAAATTAATTCTTCAGCCAAACGTCCAAACTAGTTTTTACTTTAAGAACCATCTTTTTTCTTACCTTTCTGTCTTCATGTTTTTCTCTGTTGTTATTCTATTGTCCTTTCGTATCCCTCAGTTTTGGTGAGTCACTCACTGCCCCCCCAATTTCCTGCTGAGCAACCCCAACAAATGCAGTCCGTTTGCAGCACCTGCTCTTAACTACAAAGAAGAAAAATACAATTCAGAACAAACCTCATTATTTGTAAGCAGAGATGTAAGAGGAAAAGTATTCTATTGTTTTTATATTCTCGGGTACTCTGTATCTGACACAGAAGCAGCTTTTATATCCCTTAAACAAAGGGAGACTAACAGGAAATAGTTCTAACCAGGTATAGAATGACCAACTTCTGCCCACTGTGGTAGTTACACAGAGAGTACTCACATTGCTGAAAAATTATTTTCCCAGAGTTTTTTGATAATGAAATACATTTCATCCTTTCTATTGCAACCTCCACCATTAAATTCCAAAAACTTCATGAAAATGATTAGGCAGAGGGTAGGTAGATCCACTTTCTCTTGACATATCAAAGAAAAGTTCATTTTTTTTCTGTTTAATTTTTTTCCTTCTTTTCCTCTGCCTTCACATCACTGGATCTCAGAGAGGTTAAGTTACCTCAAGTACTTTTGGAAAAATGACAAATAGATAAACACATGGAAACGTGACAAATAAACACATGGAAAAGTGACAAATAAACAAACACATGGAAATAAAGTTAGCCATAGTGGTGGCAGGATGTTCTGATTAAAGAAATAGAAATTTGATTCTAGGACTCTTTACTCCTTCAATTTGAGCTTTCTTCCAACAATAATGAAATGACCTCCTTCTCTTTTTTAAATTAATGTTTTTAGCTCAATTATCTGTGACAAGGATCACTTCGCAGCTTGGGTGAATTGTGCCAGGATTGTTGGGCGAGGGGAATGGGCTTCCATGCCTGGCCAGCAGTGTTTTTGCAGCCTCTGGCACATCGGAGTACTCCCCAGGGCTGAGGGATGGACACTGTAACCATTCTGCAGGCTGTGGTATGAGGTGGGATACTCTTTACTAAAGATTCTTGGGGAAAAAAAAAATCAGTGGCAAGGCTCCTAAGAGGGACTTTCCCAGCTTTTCTTGGGATAAGCCTCTTGGTAGCCACTAAGTAGAGATGGGAGCATCTAACTTCCAGGGAACATTCCCTACTGGTTTGAGGCCTGCAGCCAAGTAAAGGGAAGATCAGAACAATCTGGTTCAGGCTCATTATTGAGAGGAGTTTCCAGAAATCTGTAGAGACACAAGGTACACTGTATTGGCATCAGCTACGTAATTATTTGTGCATAATTCATTCCACAGTTATTTATTGCATATTACCAAGGTAGTAGCTTTTAAGGTTTCCTTTCATCATGACCACAGAAAAGTGATAAGGTATATATTTTACATGGCAACATAATCACAGTTATGACTGAAACAAATTTTTACAAAACAATAACCTTATCTCTCATACTCATATTTTGCATTCTCTTCTATGTTATTAAAAATAAATAATGGTCAAACACAAACTTTTTCCATGACCCACTCACTAACGGGTTGTGTGATCTAGGTTGAAAAACACCCGGCTAAAAGGCAGACAGTGTATTAGATGCTGGGCTTATAAATATGAATTACAGATGATTCTAATTCTTAAGAAACTCAGAGTCAAACAGAGGGAAATGACTAATGCCACACAACTGGAAAACCGAATTCTATTTATTATGATAGAAAATAATCAAGTGCTATTGGAGAAAATTGTTTGGGTACTTACCTTGGGAGGGGCAGTAGGACAGTAGATGGAAAAAGGCTTTCTGAAGGAAGAGCCACCTGAACTGAGCGTTGAATAGTCAGTCAAGTGAATCATGAGGAGGAGGGTCATGGAGTTTCATAATCAAACAGCATGTGCAAAAGCACAAAGGGTGAGCAGCTTGATGTGCAAGGAGAGGTATGAGAGGAGGACATTTGGAGAAATGAAGCTGGTCCCAATGTCATCACAAGGGTCCTTAAAGGTAGAAGCTGGAAGCAGAGGTGGCCAGAGAGATGCAGGGTGAGGACACGATCTATTATTTCTGACTCTGAAATGGAGGAAGGGGGCCATGAGCAAATGTGAGTGGCTTCCAGAAAACCAAAAACATGAGGAAACAGCTTACGGAAGGATTGCAGCCCTGCTGACACCTTGATTTTAGCCCACTAAGACCTGTGGCAGATTTCTGCCCTACAAAGCTACGATATAAATTTGTGTTGTTTTAAGACACTAAGTTTGCAGTAATTTGCTGTGGAAACCATACAAAACTGTTAGAGTTGGCAAAGTTATTTTGTTGGGGTAGATTGCAGGAAAGGTGACAAGGCAAGTCTAATTCATCATGGCCTGCTCTCAGAGCCCTCTCTCAGGATGTTCTAGCTGCATTCCTTAATTAGCCTAACTCTTTCCTTATGTTCTACAGGCACTGACTCACTCAAATCAAATTTATTAAACAAATTTTACAGGTTTTATAACTTACTTCTGCATTAAAATTGCTTCTTTTCCCGTACTAATTTGTATACCTTTAAAAGTAGGCATTAAGATACCTCTCTCAATGTCAAGGTTTATCTATTCAAACTTATCATCATCATATTACAGTTGTGCATCAAATTATAGAAGAAATACTTTTGAAGATCACAAACTACATTGAAACATTCAGTTAAAAATAATGTCTACATCAGCTCATAAATTGAACTATTTAGTGGACAGATGCAAAAACTTGACAGTATATAAAATCAAACGGATTGTCACTAAAGTTCCTTTTGCACTTAATTATTTTATACAGTGATAACATTACAATTCAGTCTAATATTCCTTGAAAATAAAATGCAAATTTAAATTCACATGTTAAGTCCACCATATATCTCCTTATTCAAATTTAGTAGAAGCTAAATGTAGGAATTCAAATATATACATTAATTTAACTGTCATGTTAAAATTGTACAACTTGACAAACAGCAGTCACTTCTACATGCCTTATGGTAGTGTTACTTCATAAAAAATTCTGAGACATTTTTGTTTCCTCCAATAAAAGCATTATATGACAAGAAGTATAAACAAGCAAATGCTTTAACAATGACTTGTATTTTATTTTAGTGACTGATGAATTTTGAGCAAATAATCAGAACTTCAGTTTTTTCAGTTGTTTCAATATGTATGTAGATGAGTCATGCAATAATTTCCCTGAAAATTCTGGACCACCCTAACTGTCATGTCGCTTCCACATCAGCTACAGTCCCAAGGGAAAATCCATGAACTTAGCCATCACCAGGAAACACTCTACCTTGAAAACCACAAATGTAACTTTACACTCTGAGTATAATCTTCCATGCTTCAGTCTTACTCCAGCTTCCCTCACATATCTGCTTTTCAATCTAAAAGAGATCCTTATTCCCTGTTACTTTCTTTTATCCCAGCTTATTAATGCTTAATTCTGTGTGTGTGTGTGTGTGTGTGTGCGTCTGTCCTACCCACCAGTAAATCTCAACACTTCTTCAGCTTACTTAGACAGAGAGTTAAAAATGACTCAACCATATAGACCAGTCCTGCAAATTCTTATCTATAATCCTGGCGGTAACCTTTCTGTTATTCATGGTGGATTCACCTATGCCGCCATAACAAATAAATCCCCAAATCTCAGTAACCTAAAACAATAAGGCTTACTTTCTGCTCATGTTGTATTCTGGTAACACTTGATAACCCTCTTCCAACTTATAGCTATTCCACTCTGGAACACATGGCCTTTAAGAGTTTTATAGCCAGGAACAAGAGAGCATGGAGTAAGTGTACCCCTTTTAAACTGTCATATATTAAATATGACACATCACTTCAGTTTAGATAAACCTAGATACATGAATGCTCAGGCGATGTAGAGGACAAGGTAGATGATGTTTGCTGAACACTAACAGTGTCTGCCGCATGTGGTTGGCCCAACTCTATTTTCCTCAATGTGTATTTCCAATTTTCACCACTTTCCTTAAAGCCTTAAGTCAGCTTCTGTCCCTTGCCATTCTCTGTAAACTGACCCTTTGTTCTTCCATGAGAACCTTGAAGGTTTAGATTTAATCTCCCTCCACTTTACAATCCCATTCATCTCTTATCACTTCTATTCCACCTCATGCCTTATCTATCTTCACTTTTTCTCATCAAGACAATGCTCCCTAATTTCTTTATTGATTCTCTATCTTTAGACTACCTTTTCAGCTCATAGGCATGGATTTTATACCCTAAATATTTCTTTAATTTCCTATCTACTTCCTCTTCTCATCTGAACTTCTTGCAGTTCTGGATTCTTACACCCATGATACAAATGTAAACTAGCTTTTGCTCTCGTTAGTTTTTTGAAATTTCACTTGATGAAATTCAAATACAAGGGATATTTCCACCCTATCTTTCTTCACTTAACTACTGCATTTGACCCTGATAATTCATATCTAGTTTTGAAAACTTTATTTAACTTACATTAATAAAAGATATACTATTTTGAGCCGGTTACTATCTTTGCTCCTCACCTCCTTCTTCTTAATAGGTTTTTCTTCACCTGCCTTTTAAATGTTGATATTCCTGGAGGGTTCATCCTCAACAGCTGATCTTTTCGTTTTGTACTCTCTCTGGGAGAAATTGGCCCAATTTCATATTCTCTAAGACCAGCTGTAGGAAAATCACTCTAAAATCTATTTTCCTATTCAAGATCACTTAAATGACTTTAAGACCTTATATCCAATTCCTGTTTTACCATGCCAATCTGAAAGTGTACTTCCTCAACACTACCAGTCAATTCATGCTTTTTCTTAAAGGCTGTATTTCGGATGGTGACAACATATTTCATCCTGACACCAAAGGAAAAATCCTTGTCAATACCTTCTTCCATATCACCAGTGGAAGCCTCCACCTCCTCTATTACCTGCCCAACGACCCACCAATGACGATGGCCTGTCAGTATCACTTAGTGTATATTTCTTAGATCTATCTGAAACCATTCCTAGTCCTCCTCCATAGTTCAGATCACTTCCAGTTCTCAATTTACTTCAGCCATAGTCTCCTAAATAATCTTCCTCTTTCTAATCCTGCCTTCCTAAGCCTATTTTGCATATCCACAACCTCAGGTAATGTTACTTTGTTTCTTAAAATTCTTCAATGACTTCTGGCTACCTACAGTATAAATTTCAAACGCCTGAGTAGAAAATATACAAACCTATTTTATTTGGTCTTTGGCTGCCAGCTGAGCTTCTCCTCTTTCCTATGTTGTGTGTTGTATTCTTACAACATCGAGCTATTGGAAGAGCAGGAGCACACCATGCTGTTTCCTGTGTTTTTGTTCATGCTGCCCCTTTCCCTGGATGTACCTTCTCGCTTTCTCACTTGCCTACGTTCTCCTATCCTCCTTCCCAGTCTTCACATGAGTGGCACTAGTCTGCAAGGTTCTTTGCTCATGTGCCTCCTTAAAGACTTCTGATAAACCGTGTATTTCTTCAAACATTTTCACTTTGGTATCTTAAAATTTTTAATCATATGATTAAGAATTTATAAAACATGTAACTTTTACTGTTGTGTAAATATTGATATTACAGAGCAGCAACTACCAAACTAGCTGACTTCCTGATTTGGTCAGCCAAATCAGGCCTACCACATTTTTGGAAATAAAGTTTTATTGAAAGACAGCAATATTCAATAATTTGCATATTGTCTCTGGTCCCTTTTGTGCTATAGCAGCAGACTTTAGTAGTTACTACAGAGACTGTGTTGCCCACAAAATCTAAAATATTTGCTATCAAGTCCTTTACAGAAAACATTTGTGAAACCCTTTTTTAGAGTAAAACTTTTACTCCACTATTTAAAATGCATCCATTCAATACAATCCATACACCACAATGAGTCAAAGATACCATTATTTATTTTAAAAATCAATAAACAAGCTCTTTCATGGCCAGAAATTATACATAGCTATTTTTCTCCATGAGTTAAACTTCCATTTCATTTCATCACCTGTATTGGTCAAGGGTCTCCAGAGAAAGAAAACTAATAGAAAATATGCATATACAATGAGATTTATTATAAAGAATTGGCTCATGTGATTATGGAGGATAGTAAATTCAAAATCCACAGACCGGATGTCATATACAAGCTTGAACCCAAAGGTCAGCCAGCTGCTGTAGAGCCAAGAAGACCTATGTTGCAGTTTGAAGGTCTTCAGGCCCTCAGGTGAGACATTTCTCTCTTACTGGGGGTGAAGAGTAGGGTCAGCCTTTGGTTCTATGCAGGCCTTCAACTGATTAGATGAGACCAGCTCTGTTAAGGGGGAGCAATCTGCTTTATTTAGTCTATCAATTTAAATGTTAATCTCATCCAAAAACATCCCCATATAAACACTCAGGAAAATTTTTGACTAAATATCTATAGGGGAAACACATGGCCTAGTCAAGGTGATACATATAATTAGCAATCACACTACCTAATATTAATTTAATGTATTTTATGTTTAAAATCTTTTTTTTTTTTTTTTTGAAATGAAATGTTGCTCTGTCTCTCAGCTGGAGCGCAGTGGCATGATCTCGGCTCACTGCAACCTTCACCTCCTGGGTTCAAGCGATTCTCCTGCCTCAGCCTCCCGAGTAATTGGGATTACAGGCATGCGCCACCACACCCAACTAATTTTGGTATTTTTAGTAGAGATAGAGTTTCACCCTGTTGGTCTCAAACTCCTGACCTCAGGAAATCCTCACACCTCAGCCCCACAAAGTGCTGGGATTATAGGCATGAGCCACTGTGCCTGGCCTAAAATGTTTTACAGATCACCTTATCATACTTCTCTGTAGTTAAAAACATATGCATATTAATATTTTAAATTAAATTTGTTTTCAGTCATTATGGTCTAAGTGTTATAAATTTCTTCAGGATTGACATATTACAGTAATTACTTCTACAAAATTGATCAAAATAAATTAAATTTTTGATAGATTATTAAATATAAAATCTAAAATTTTATTAGGAATGTATGTCCTAGTAACATGGACAGCTGCTTATTCTTCAAATAGTTCAAATAAATATTTAGATTAATAGTACTTAATGCATGACTGAGAAAGGATTCTTTCTACATCAATTCTAGTACTACTTTTCTTTTTTAAAATTTTCCTTTAAGTTCTGGGATGCATGTGCAGAACGTGCAGGTTTGTTACATAGGTATACATGTGCTATGGTGGTTTGCTGCACCTACCAACCCATCATCTAGGTTTTAAGCCCCACATGCATTAGGTATTTGTCCTAATGGTCTCCCTCTATTTACCCCCCACACCCCAACATGCTTTGGTGTGTGATGTTCCCCTCCCTGTGTCCATGTGTTCTCATTGTTCAACTCCCACTTATGAGTGAGAACATGCAGTATTTGGTTTTCTGTTCCTGTGTTAGTTTGCTGAAAATGATGGTTACCAGCTTCATCCATGTCCCTGCAAAGAACATAAATTCATTCTTTTTTATGGCTGCATAGTATTCCATGGCGTATATGTGCCACATTTTCTTTATCCAGTGTATCATTGATGGGCATTTGGCTTGGTTCCAAGTCTTTGCTATTGTGAATAGTGCTGCAATAAACATACATGTGCATGTGTCTTTATAGTAGCATGATTTATAATCCTTTGGGTATATACCCAGTAATAGGATTGCTGAGTCAAATGGTATTTCTGGTTCTAGATCCTTGAGGAATTGCCACACTGTCTTCCACAATGGTTGAACTAATTTACACTCACAGAAACAGTGTAAAAGCATTTCTATTTCTCCACAGCCTCTCCAGCATCTGTTGTTTCCTGACTTTTTAATGACTGCCATTCTAACTGGCATGAGATGGTATCTCATTGTGGTTTTGATTTCCATTTCTCTAATGACCAGTGATGATGAGATTTTTTTCATATGTTTCTTTGCCGCAAAATTGTCTTCTTTGGGAAGTGTCTGTTCATACCCTTTGCCCACTTTTTTATTTTTTTTCTTGTGAATTTGTTATATTCCTTGTAGATTCTGGATATTAGCCCTTTGTCAGATGGATAGATTGCAAAAGTTTTCTCCCATTCTGTAGGTTGCCCGTTGACTCTGCTGGTAGTTTCTTTCACGGTGCAGAAGCTCTTTAGTTTAATTAGATCCCATTTGTCAATTTTGGCTTTTGTTGCAATTGCTTTGGTGTTTTAGTCATGAAGTCTTTGCCCATGGCTATGTCCTGAATGGTATTGCCTAGGTTTTCTTCTAGGGTTTTTATGGTTTTAGGAGCCCAAAAACTCCTTAAACTGATAAGCAACTTCAGCAAAGTCTCAGGATACAAAATCAACGTGCAAAAATCACAAGCATTCCTATACACCAATAATACACAAGCAAAGAGCCAATTCATGAGTGAACTCCCATTCACAATTGTTGCAAAGAGAACAAAATATCTAGGAATACAACTTACAAGGGATACGAAGATGCTCTTCAAGGAGAACTACAAACCACTGCTTAAGGAAATAAGAGAGGACACAAACAAATGGAAAACATTCCATGCTCATGGATAGGAAGAATCACTATTTTGAAAATGGCCATACTGCCCAGTAATTTATAGATTCAATGCTATTCCCATCAAGCTACCATTGACTTTCTTCACAGAATTAGAGAAAACTACTTTAAATTTTATATGGAACCAAAAAAGAGCCTATAAGGCCAAGACAATCCTAAGCAAAAAGAACAAAGCTGGAAGCATCATGCTACCTGACTTCAAACTATATTACAAGTCTACAGTAAGCAAAACAGCATGGTACTAGTACCAAAATAGATATATAGACCAATGGAACAGGACAGAGGCCTCAGAAATAACACCACACATCTACAGCAATCTGATCTTTGACAAACCTGACAAAAACAAGCAATGGGGAAAGGATTCCCTATTTAATAATAATAAAAGATGCTAGGAAAACTGGCTAGCCACATGCAGAAAACAGAAACTGGACCCCTTCCTTACACCTTATACAAAAAATTAACTCAAGATAGATTAAAGACTTAAACATAAAATCTACTTTTCATTTTTATAGTGTGAATGATAAGGAATCTTGTTTCAATATAGTAATTTCACTTGACTTTTTGTCATATACCTTCATATCATCTTTTGTTTGACAGCTTGATTAGGTATTCTAACCCTTTGAAATCAAAGAATGGAAAGCCGCCTGCATATAATGGACTTACTTGGATTGTGCCTGATATTACCATATAAAATAAGCTAGCATATGTGTCTGCCTTTCCTACTGGTTTGTGAGTTCCCTAGAGGACAAGAACAAGGTGGTATCAATTTTTGATTCCACAGTGCTACATAACGTTTGTCACATAATAGGTGTAATTTAGTAAAAATAAAATAAATGAATATATTGTAGTTTGTTTTATAGTCACTTTTTTTATTTCCAAAGGTAAATAAATAGTAAGTCTAGCACAAGGAATAAGTAAATTAGGTGACTGCCTACATTTAATTAAAAAATAGATTTCCCTCAAATTTTATATTTATATAAATTTTTCTTTTTTAAACAAAGAATTGGTTACACAGCTGTGGGGTGGGCTAAGAAAATCTGAAGTCCACTGGGGAGACAGCCAGGAAGGAAAGATAGTGAAAAGGCTAGAGTTCCATGGCATGAGCTGAAGCTTTTTGACCACAGGCAGCAGCCAGTCAGTAAAGGAGATTGGGAAAAAAAAAAGGGGAGCAATTTTACACCAGTCACTATTAGAGACTCTCGGGTCAGGGAAAGTCTAAGCCTTCTTTTAAAAGTCCTTCCAACAGATTAAGCCCTGCCCATTTAAAATAATCTCTCTTTTGATTAAAGTTACCCCATGGAATTTTAATTATATTCATAAAATCATTTCACATCAGCATTTAGATTAGCGTTAGAATAACCGGGAGAATATGTGCTCCTGATGCAAAATGGTGGCTGTCTCTCTGCCATCTTCCATAAGACACTATCCCGTGTAGCTCATCCTATCTGGAAACACATAAGAAACACATAAGACTTCTGTCTCGGAAAGGTAGTTTGGCCTAACTATACGGACATGTCAGAAGGCCATCATATCCTCCTAGTACTTTGATAAAATTAAGCAGAAAATTCCATATGTATTTGAAAGTAGTAATTAAATGAACTCTTTGCTTCCTAATTTTTGGATCAAATAATGTCATCAAATTCAAAAATGAGCTTCTTTTCTCTTCTCATCTGTCTTGGCCTGGAATAAAGTTTTACGAGTCTGCAATCACAGCCCTAGTAGCAGGAATAAGGGCAAAACAGGAATAAGGACAAAGAAGAGAGAAGCAAGGAGGACAAATGCAGTCAAAGTCTTCATTATGAAGCCAAGCACTCAATGGAATCAAGTCCAATCAGTTGATTAATCTCTTGGGACCATCTTCTGAGAAGCATATGATATGGTTTGGTTCTGTGTCCCCACCCAAATCTCATCTCAAGTTGTAATCCCCACATGTCAGGGGAGGGGCTTGGTGGGAGGTGATTGGATCATGGGGGTGTATTTCACCCTTGCTGTTCTCATGATAGTGAGTGAGTTATCATGAGATTTGGTTGTTTGAAAGTGGGTGGCACTTCCCTCTTCACATGCTCTCTCTCTCTCTGTGCCACCATGTGAAGCAGGTCCTTGCTTCCCCTTTGCCTTCTACCATGATTGTAAGTTTCCTGAAGCCTCCCATCATGCTTCCTGCTAAACCTGTGGAACATTGAGTCAATTAAACCTCTTTACTTCATAAATTACCCAGTCTCAGGTGATTCTTTATAGCAGTGTGAAAATGGACTAACACAGCATATAAACAACTGATTCTTAGGGCACTAAGGGGAAGATAAAGAATTTATCTGACAGACTCATTTCATATTAGTTCTTCTCAAGAGCATTATTCTCCATTTTCATGTGGCTAATTTGCAGAGGGCCTGCATGATCCTGCTGTTTCTCACATATTAGCACTAGCAGGTAAGCCTGCAGGTAGGAGACAAAAGTTTGAGCTGTGGCACGAAGGTGATCACTGGCTCACCATGGGGCAGAGCACTATGGCAGCAGCTGAGATGGAAAATTGGTCCAAGGTACCAGAGACAGACAACAATGAGAGCATCTTAAGTACCAGGTAGCCCTTCCCAGACTTATTTGTTGTCTATGTTCCCCAAGACACCTGTCTTACAGCAGTAACTCTACAAACACAAGGCTTCAATAACCTGACTTGTATTCACAGTGGAAATAATATGAAAGGTTTGAAAGTGACTGTTAGGAAAGCAACTCAGCCATGGGGAGGAGCTCACAAGACATGCAGCTGGTCTTCTGAGATTATATTCTTGTCTGAGATTGATTATCTTTACGCCACTTCCCTGCTCTTGAAGAAGGATTATGTGCAGAACCTGGGCTTCACTTCTGTTTTTGAAGGGGCCCCAGCTACACATGAGGAGAACTTTTCCAGAGTACAAAATAATGTCTATTCAGAGCTAATATATAAATTAATTGCAGAGTTGAGTAAAGTAACACCTAAGCCATCAACTTCCTTTTAACCTTGACTCGACTCATTATATTCCTTGAGACCCTTCCCAGAGCCTCTAACAATGACAAACAAGGTTTCCTCACTATTGAAGACAGTGTCCACGTGGAAAGTATGATGGTTTCAAGTAGGCATTGTTCCATAAATAACTCTTGAAGGAAATAGTTAGAATGGCCTGTTTTAGCCTGCAGCAAAAGCAGTGATAATATAGAAGTCAAATTCATTTTTCCCTAAGACTAGGTATTTCTTTTAATCCTGTTGCTAGCTAAGTAAATACAATCTGAAAGGAAACTGGGACTAAGAAGAAAATCCCTTAATTCAGAAGCTGAATGAATTATTCCTATGTTAGTATGGTAGGTCTGCCATATAGACTGGGTGGCTTAAACAACTGAAATTTACTGCTCACAGTTCTGGAGGGTAGAAGTCTGAGATCAAGGTGTCAGCAGGGTTGATTGCTCCTGAGGCCTCCTTTCTTGGCTTGTAGATGGCTGACTTCTCCCTCATTCTTCCTCCATGTGTGTCTGTGTCCTAATCTCCTCTTTAAGGACACCAGTCATACTGGATCAGGGCCCACCCTAACGACCTCATTTAACCTTAATTGTCTCCTTAAAGTCCCTGTCTGCAATTAGTCACATTCTGAGATACTATGGGTTATAGCATATGAATTTGGGGGATAATGGGAAGAACAATTACATGCATAACAATCTCTGATTAATAAAATGACTGAATTTTACCTTAATCATATATTTGGTTTTATGTTTTAATGAAGATCTTATTTTTCCCCTCATCCTCACTCAGACCATGGAATTATCTCATTCTAGGTCTAATTCTAAATTGCGTCAGGCTATCAAGAAAATATTTTATTAGCCTTCCTGTGCCCTTGCTTCATGCCAACATTGCTAATTGCCAAATGTAGCCAAACTGCTCTTTTTAAATGGAAGATTTTATATATATATATATATATATATATATATATACACACACACACACACACACACACACTCACATATACATATATGTGTGTGTATATATATGCATATATATACATATGTGTGTGTATATATATGCATATATATACATATGTGTGTGTATATATGCATATATATACATATGTGTGTGTATATATGCATATATATACATATGTGTGTGTATATATATAAAATTACACAGTAAAGGTTTACACGAAGTTCTGTGTATATGTGTGTACCTATATTTATTTTGATGACTGATATATACATATATATCACAGCTCTCTCTCATAAGTAGGGGAATCTTTATTCTAATGTTTTAAATTGGAAATTGCCAGCAGAACATGACAACACCATATGTCCCTTAGATATTTTGATTATCTTTGCCTACTGCCAATCTTTAACTTTACTCATTCTCTCTTTACTTGCCCCATTCATCACATTACGTATGGATATAATCAGTCATCAAAATACATATAGGTATGCACATATAGAGATAGCTTTGTGCAAACCTTTACTGTGTAACTCATTGTACAGTATTTGTTGTTTTGTTATTGTATGTGTTCATCTCCTGTGTCAGTTCATGAGTTCCTGGAGGGCAGGGACATATTTAATTAAACTTGGTCTTAGGACCAAACACAGTGTTGAGAATGTGTACACTGGTCTCCTAATAAATGTTGAATGAAGAATGAAGATCAGTTAAAAATCATACATCAGTGTTTGCTGCATTTCAACTGATTGTAGATTTTCCTTTAGTTGGTATAAATGTCCTCCAGACTTTTTGGTGAGCATGAAGGAATTGAACAGTAATTTGATTTTATTTATGTCTTTAGTAAAGAATGTTCTCAACATCAGATGGGGAAAAAGAATGGGATAAAAGCAAGAAGTTTAAGCTTTTTGAGCTTTCTGTCCTTTAATGTTCAAAACAACTGATACTTTCAATCTATTTCCTTACATTCGATAAATGTCAAAGTTCTGTGCGAGGAAGCATCTTGTTCTATTTAGAGCTTCTTTTCCTGTGCAGGAAGCTGCTTTTCCCCCTCACCCCTCAGAGATCGGGGTTGTGTACCAACAGACTTGTGTCTTGTCTTTTACTATTTACTAACTCTTCTAGCCAACTCTCTGCGTTTTATTTCAGTATCAGCAAGGAAATCACACTTGCTGGCTGTGATTTGGAAATGCTTGTCTGTTAACTTTCAAGTTTCTAATACAGATGGTTAGTTCCCATAAAACATCTTCCACATTTGACCAAACATACCCATTGGAGATGATAAGGCATTCCTCTTTGTGATACTCAGCATCAATGTCATCCTCTTTCAAGTGTGAGTTACATGTATTCATGCACAGAAAGAACATAGTTATTTACACTTAGATGTGAGAAATCATATCAATGCTAAAAGTATTTTACAGCACATTGTTAGCTAAATAGACCTTACCCTGTGAGGATATCTATAAATATTCCCTCGATGCTAAAGGACAGATAAGTAAAAATATTCATCTAAATTCACCAGAAATTGTTATAGAAAAACTGGCAATATGAGAACAAATGTTATTTAATAGTGCCTAGATGCACCAGATATTTCTAGAGACACTCCACAGAGAATGACTAAAAGTCAATTCAATTAAAACCCAAATGCTATATAAATGTACAACATACACCATAGGTTAAAATAGCACTTAATTCCACTCAGACAATTTTTTAACTATAACCCAGAAGTAGTAATGGTTCAATCCTTACTTTCCATGTGGAAGATTAAACAGATTTATTGACACATTTAGATGATAATCACAAACATTTTGTACCCAATGAAGTACAAAGAAATAAATAAATGCAAGAAAAAATGTACTTTCAAACATAGACAAGGTGAATTTATCTTTTTGCTGATAAGTGTGGCCCAGGAAATAAATGATTCCAAGCCTTTAAATGTCATCCGAAATATAACTAGTCTATACAGGCTAAGGAAAAAAGAAATAAAGCTGGTTAAATAAATGTTGATCAAAAAATGAGTAATTATACACAGCATTTATATGTCACTTATTTAAAAAGTACTGGTATTACTGCTTGTGATACTATATTATGTTTACAAACTTATTTCATAAATACTTCTTTTAATAATGATGAGAAACCTAGGAGGTAGATGTTATTATTCCTCATTTGCATATTAAAAATTTGTGCCCAAAAAGGTAAATCAGTGACCTAAGATCACACAACTAAAAGTAGAAGAGCTAAACTTGAGCGCTCATCTTCTGTATTCACCGTAACACAGATCTCTCTCATAAGTAGGGGCTAGAATCTTTCTTTTTAATGTTTAAAGTTGGAAATTGCCAGCAGAACACGACAACACCGTGTGTCCCTTAGATATCTCCATTATCTTTGCCTACTGCCAATCTTTAACTTTGCTCATTCTCTCTTTACTTGAGAGAGATTCATCACTTCAGCAAATCATAGAGCTGAAAGAGACTCAAATCTCTTCTTTAGTGTATGAGAAAACCAACAGCCAGAGAAATAAACCTATTTTGTTGTAGATGATCTAAGTAATTATTAGAAAATTTTGAACTGAACTTAGTTTTGCCAATTCCTATTGCATTCCCAATCAGTCTCATAGGCATTCAAAAGTATCTATTGAAAATCTGTTCACTGAGGTGTTGCAAAACTTCTCTGACTTGTAAGTGCTCTACACCTCAGGTGGTGAAGTCAATTTTTCTGACTTGTAAGTGCTGTATACTTCAGGTGGTGAGATATAAAGATATAAAATAATTAATAAAATGTCCTTGACTATAAGTTCACTGACACACTTTGGAGCGAAGGGAAATCAATGCAGGCTGAGATTAATGAAGGAGGTAAAGCAGAGAGGCTGAGCCTTGATTAACACTGATGGTGGGAAGAATTATGATGGGGATGGGGTACAAGACTATATTTTAGAGGAAGATAACAGTTTGACCTTCACTTGTATGCACAAACTTTTTATAGATGCTCAATTAAATTGTGACCAATTGATACACTTATTGTTGCTACAAAATATAGGCTTTGATAATGACTGTTAGGTGGAATGTTGAACTGAGTAGGGCGTAATGTACAAGAAGCTGAACAGTGCACGAAGGACAGTGGAGTTACGGCTCAGTATTGAACTAATGCTACGGAAACATTGCTTTTTTTTTTGTTTCTCGGACTTGTGAGAACTTTGCTTTCTGAAAGTAGAAGAGAGAATGGTCAGGGAGGTAAATGTTTCCATTCAAATGGTGGCAGTGCACAAGACAACTGAGTTGAAGGAGAAATCATTGGATCTTTCTGAAGATCCTGTGAGGCCAGACTGATTATGTAGCAATTATTGATAACTTGTTTGGTAGTTCCTACAAGAGCTTAGCCAACGATTTCTAATTTTTAAAAGTAGATTACAAAAACGACAAGTTGCTGCTCTAATGGGAATGCCCATGATGGTTCTCAGGAGTCAGTAGGGGGAGGAGTCTGGCTGGAGCAGATGGTTTATATTCACGTGGAGAAGGAGATAGGGTATCACTGAGGTGGAGGAGAGCCTGATGAGCAAATCCACCAGACTTTACTGGAATTTTTGGTATTGTTTATGGTAAAGCTGAAGTTAAAATGGAATTTAGTCCCATTCCATTTTCCTGTTTCCTTAAAATACAAAAAGGGAGTGGGGGTGGGGGGTTGGGAGGGCAAGCAAAACAAATATAAATCACTGAACTTCACATACAGAAAGAGGTAAGATGGAGATTCGTATCCATCTAGCGTGCCCTAGAATCCAAACCTTGTTACCTTGTCCTTCGCATATTTTAATGGACAATATATCTTTTGATAGGAATCAATGGACCTCAACTATATGTATAATAAGCAGACTATTTCTGGTTTTTGGCAGAGCCTGAAGACCAAGGGACCTATGAATCTTCAAAGAGCAAAATTTAAATAATGAAATGGAAATGATACTAGTAATACAAAGGGCCTAAAAAGGCATTAGTTTTATTAGAATCACTCAGTTAAGCCAATGAGTGAAGAAAAGCCAGATGCAAATATACAGCAGAGAATAGGTGAAGATGCATTTGATGCAAGACCAAAACCCTTGCAAAGAAAATGTATGCATTTAAAATAATAGAATATTATAAGTTGTTACATAACCCATATTCCAAAATATATTAGGAAATAAAGAAAAAAGATACTAACAGAACGAAATTTGAAAATTAACATGACTATATGTAATTTCATACCTATCTAAAGAAAAGAGCATTAGAAATCCTCAAACAATCCTATAATTTCACAATACTGTGACTTTTTAGTCCATTTTTTAAAGCATGAGCAACATATAACTATATTCTTAAATAACAAAATTTCTAACAACATTTAGAACATGCTGTAATTGATAAATTATTTGTCCCTCCAACTGAGTGGATTTTGCTGAAAATGCTCGTAGAAAAACAAATAGGCTCAAAGTAGAGCTCTTTTCAACAAGCTAAAGAAAAAAAAATGGCTTGCATTATAAAATATAATAAAGACATCTTAGGGCAAAAATGTTAATGAAAAGAGTTTGTCATCATTTTGAGGTAAAAAATTGATGAAAATTATACAGTGTGCCTATAGTCTGGAAAAATGTAACTTTATGAAGACAAAATAAAAATCTTAAAGTAATTGAAATTGTATGGCAAGTAGAAATGTAAAGGCAGAAGAACAAGACAAAAACAAAGAATGCTATACTTTTCTTCCTAAGCATTTTGGTAACTCATTAGAAAATAATATGTAGAACTCTTCAAAACTTTAAGGCAAAGGCAGTAAGTGGAAAATAAGAATAGATTAAAGGAACTTGTGTTTATGTGTGCGTGAGAGAGAAAGAGAGCAAGAGAGCACAGAATCAACAAATACGGCTTTGTGGCTAGATTTGAAACAACTGCAAGTTGATCTTTCAAGCTCAATGGTAAGATGACCATGGAGTTTTAAATGAAAACTTATACTCTATAGGGACACATACTTTCTTTCAAGTATAACATTGCATAGTTGTGGATTAGTAGTGCTGTGAAAAGTTGGCATTGCACAGCTCATTATGGCAGATTAATCAACCCATGGATCAAATCTCACCTCTCTTTTAAAAGTCTAAGTTTTATATTTCATGTTATATAAAATGTAGGCACACTTTGGGGATACTTAAAGATCCAGAGTCACTTTATGAAGTACACTAAGCAAACACATTGCATAGTGGTTTTATGAATTTATACATTCATTTAAAATAGAGTGAAGAAGAAAAAGGAATTTGAAGAGAGAAAATTTTAAAAAGCCCTCTTTGTTGTCAATAACATGATTATGATGAAAGAGAATAATAGCAAAGGCAGAAATGAAATGGTGTATAAAAGTACATGAGAGACAGACTTCTAAGAGTGCTGAAAGGATAGATTTGGAGTGGAAAACAGTGGGATATTGGTAATTTAAATTCCATGAATAAGATTTAATTTCATTAAAATATCACAATGAAAATATGATAAGTTTGTAGAATCAAGCAGCTCTCTCCTGAAACTATGTTATTGAAATGAGAAATTTTATCAGACTGTGTGCTATCCCGAAAGAGCACTATGCATGCATTTCTTAAATTTCATTGATGTCTGTCTCTCAGATTGCTAATTATGAAAAGAGAAGAGGCATAAAAGCATAAAAAAAGAGGATGGAGAACATAGTTGTTACTCATTTCTCATTCCTCTCATTTTTTGCATCTAATATTATGCAAGGCTTAAAGACTAACCAACTAACTGGTAGAATGAAGAAACAGTGGGAGAAAAGGGGAGGAAAAAGAAGAAGGAAATGTTTTCTTGTGTCTTAGCTATAAGTGACCAGATTGCTTCAAAATATAATTAAATTTTATGGTAGAAGAGAACATTTGAAGCTGGACTCCTTGAAACACTTTTCAGATGATTATTTTTGACTCTTTCTGTGAACCTGCATAGGATAAAGCACACCAAGCAATTGCCTCACGCTGCCTGAGATCATTCCCACCTATAAATGGATAGAATTGGTACAGCAGAGTTCACTGATATACTGCTTCTCCTGTTAATGGGGTTATAAACAATAAAAAATACTCCCAGGACCAATATTTTTCACAAGTTATAGAACACCAGGCAAATCTCAATTTAGACAAATAACTACTGTACTTTACATTTTCAATTTCTGACTCTTCCAATTCATTTGACTATTAGGTCGTCTGTGATAAAGTGCTGTTGCTAGGCAACAAGGGTAGTCAGTGAGACTCATGAGCATGAGGAGATGCTGCTGAAGCACTTACAGAAACCTGTATTTGTCTACAAATATCCAGTGCCTATCACTGTCTTCATGCTGAGAATCACAAATGATAGCACAGCCTATTAATAATATTAACAAATGAACAATCGATTTTGATGAAAATTATTCTGAGAAGGGGTCCAAAGACTTCACAGACTCCAAAGAGTTCCAGGCCACATAAGAGGGCAACTCATAATCACTGGATTAGAAACAATAAGAGTTATATGAAATTAGAATAAATTTTGGAAGGTCAGAAAGTTTACCTACCTATGTAAGATGTCATGCACAAAATGAAATTTTGGGGTTCAAGCAATTTAAAAATATTGATGTGATAAGAATTTTCCATCAGTCTTCCTCAGGGAACGTATGCAAGGCCAACTCAGACTTAGAATTCTGGGTCATATCTGCTTGTGTTTGAACATTTTCTGCCAATGTTTTCCCACCACTCTGCATTGCATTTCTTCCTGCTCTTTCAGACATGGCTGTTATCATGTACCATCTTCGAATGTTTATCTATGTCATTGTATTATCAGATCAAACACTATTGTATTGTCATTTCTTATTTGCTATTTCTGCCACTTTTCACATACTCTATTAGTGATCTTTCTTTTTTAATATATTCATGTTAAGGAGATTTTTAAAAAAATCATTAACAAAGAATAAATGTAATATCCTTATCTATTCAACTTACTGAAGTACATTTTGTTTTAGTTTTTTTTGTTTGTTTGTTTTAAGAAGTTCATTTTATATAATTTAGCTATTAGGTTGGTGAAAAAGTAATTGAAGTTTTTGCCATACTTTTAATGGCAAAAACTGCAATAATTCTAATCCTCAGTTCAAGGCACACTGTTACCATTGGTGTGTTTTATCTGAGGCTATAAGTGTTTCCACTTCTTCCTCTCCTTGTGGCTCCCCATCACCCATAGGAACAAGTTTAATGTGCTTAATATATAGCTTCAGTATGAATATATTATTTGTAGTATGTTACTTTGTTTTGCAAATATTCTGTAGTCTCCTTTTCTTTTTCACTTTTTTCCTACTCAACACCATGTATTTGGGACCTGGTCATAACGAAATATAACACACACACACACACACACACGCACACATGCACATCAACTCTAGTGCTTTTGGTTGCTATATAGTGTACTGTGATATATTTTCACCACATGAGGTTCTTCCAAACACCCCCAGAAGCTGCTCCACTGAACATCCATATCCACATCTCATGGACTGGTGGGAGAGAATCTCCGGGACATAGTAAGAAGAGGGAGCACAGGGTCAAAGGGAATATGCTGCTATGCCATTCTTTAGAAAGGCTGCACTTATTGACATGTTTATTATTAATTTGTGAAGGTTTTTATTTTCTCACATTAAAAAACTTAGTATTATTATTTTTGTTTTTTATTTATTTATTTTTCCATAAGTTATTGGGATACAGGTGGTATTTGGTTACATAAGTTCTTTAGTGGTGATTTGTGAGACTTTGGCACATCCATCACCTGAGCAGTATACACGGCACCATATTTGTAGTCTTTTATCCCTCATCCCCCTCCCACTCTTCCCCACAAGTCCCCAAAGTCCATTGTATCATTCTTATGCCTTTGCATCCTCATCGTTTAGCTCCCATATATCAGTGAGAACATACAATGTTTGGTTTTCCATTCCTGAGTTACGTCACTTAGAATAATAGTCTCCAATCTCATCCAGGTCACTGCAAATGCTGCTAATTCATTCCTTTTAATGGCTCTGTAGTATTCCATCATATATATATATATATATATATATATATATATATATATATATATACACACACATATATATATATGAGGGAATATATATGTGTGTGTATATATATATATGACGGAATATATATGTATATATATATGACGGAATATATATGTGTATATATATGACGGAATATATATGTGTATATATATGATGGAATATATATGTATATATATATGACGGAATATATATGTATATATATGATGGAATATATATATCACAGTTTATATATATGTATATATACAGATATATACATATACATATATTTACATATATACACATATATATGTATATATGTATATATACACATACATATATACATGTATATGTATGTATACATATATGCATATGTATATGTATGTATACATATATGCATATGTATATGTATGTATACATATATGCATATGTATATGTATGTATACATATATGCATATGTATATGTATGTATACATATATGCATATGTATATGTATGTATACATATATGCATATGTATATGTATGTATACATATATGCATATGTATATGTATATATATCACAGTTTCTTTATCCACTCTTTGATTGATGGGTATTTGGGTTGGTTCCACGATTTTGCAATGGTGAATTGTGTTGCTATAAACATGTTTGTGCAAGTATCTTTTTCAAATGATGACTTCTTTTCCTCTGGGTAGATACCCAGTAGTGGGATTGCTGAATCAAATGCCAGTCCTACTTTCAGTTCTTTAAGAAATCTCCAGTGTTTTCCATAGTGGCTGTACTAGTTTACATTCCCACCAGCAGTGTAGAAGTGTTCCCTGTTCACCGCATCCATGCCAACATCTATTGTTTTTCATTTTTTTTATTATGGGCATTCTTGCAGGAGTAAGATGGTATCACATTGTGGTTTTGATTTGCATTTCCCTGATCATTAGTGATGTTGAGCATTTTTTCTTTTTTTTTTTTGGCCATTTGTATATCTTCTTTTGAGAATTATCTATTCATAACCTTAGCCCACTTTTTGATGGGATTGTTTTTTGCTCACTGATTTCTTTGAGTTCCTTGTAGATTCTGGATAGTAGTCCTTTGTCAGATGTATAGATTGTGAAGATATTTCTCCCGCTCTGTGGGTTGTCTGTTTACTCTGTTGACTGTTCCTTTTGCCTTGCAAAATCTCTTTAGTTTAACTAGGTCCCAGCTATTTATCTGTTTTTATTGCATTTGCTTTTGGGTTCTTGGTTATGGAATCCTTGCCTAAGCCAATATCTAGAAGGATTTTTTCCCACTGTTATCTTCTAGAACGTTTATAGTTTCAAGTCTTAAGTTTAAGTTTCTAATCCATCTCGAGTAAGCCCTTTTCTTTCACAGCTGGGAGGCAAATAGCCTCCAGCAAGCCCCTCTCACTCTCCACCTGGAAACAGACTCTGGGCTCTTGGTGGGGACATGGTGGGAGTCAGATAGCCCTTCAGTTTGCATGGGAGCTGGGTGAGGCCTGTGACTGCCCACTTTCCACCACTTTCCCGGCAACCTCCTTGACTCCGCAGAGGCAGACATAATCCTCCTAGGTATATAACTCCAGTGACCCAGGAGTCTCACCCCCATCCCCCACAGCAGCTGCAGCAAGACCCACCTAAGAAGACATGGCTAGCCCCACCCCCACTTCATGGTCCTTCCCTCTCCACCTTGGTAGTGGAAGACAAAGGGCATGTAATCTTGGGAGTTCTAGGGCACCACCCACCACCGCTCCCTCTCCACACTACTATAGCTGATGCTTTCTGGAAAGTGCCATCTCTTGGCAGGAAGCCAACCAGCACAAAAATAGAGCACTAAATCACTAAAGCTAAAAACTCTCAAGGAGTCTATTGCACCCTCTGCCACTTCCACCCAACATGCTCTGGTATCCCTGGCTGAGAGACTCATAGATGGTTCACATCACAGGACTCTGTGCAGGCAACCCCCAGTACCAGCCCAGAGCTGGGTAGTCTCACTGGATGGCTAGACCCACAAGAAAGACAACAATCACTGCAGTTCAACTCACAGGAGGCCACATCCATAAGAAAAGGGGGAGAGTACTACATCAAGAGAACACCCCATGGGACAAAAGAATCTGAACAACAGCCTTCAGCACTAGACTTTCCCTCTAACAGAGCCTACCCAAATAAGAAGGAACCAGAAAATCAACCCTGGTAATATGACAAAACAAGGCTCGTCAACACCGCCCAAAAATCACACTTCTTCACCAGCAATGGATGCAAACGAAGAAGAAATCCCTGATTTACCTGAAAAAGAAGTCAGGAAGTTAGTTATTAAGCTAATCAGGGAAGGACCAGAGAAAGGCAAAGCCCAATGCAAGGAAATCCAAAAAATGATACAAGAAGTGAAGGAAGAAATATTCATGGAAGTAGATAGCTTAAAGACAAACAATGAAAAATTCAGGAAACTTTGGACACACTTTTAGAAATGCGAAATGCTCTGGAAAGTCTCAGCCATATAATTGAATAAGTAGAAGAAAGAAATTCAGAGCTCAAAGACAAGGTCTTCGAATTAACCCAATTCAACAAAGACAAAGAAGAAAGTAAAAGAAAATATAAACAAAGCCTCCAAGAAGTCTGGGATTATGTTAAACAACCAAACCTAAGAATAACTGATGTACCTGAGGAAGAAGAGATTTCTAAAAGCCTGGAAAACAGGTTCAGGGGAATAATTGAGGATTTCTCAGCAGAAACCCTACAAGCTAGAGGGCATTGGGGACCTATCTTCAGCCTCCTCAAACAAAACAATTATCAGCCAAGAATTTTGTACCCAGGGAAACCAAGCATCATGTATGAAGGAAAGACAGAGTCATTTTCAGACAAACAAATACTGGGAGAATTCTCTATTACCAAACCACCACTACAAGAACTGCTAACAGGAGCTCTAAGTCTTGAAACAAATCCTGGAAACATATCAAAACAGAACCTCTTTAAAAGATAAATCACACACGACCTATAAAACAAAAATACAAGTTAAAAAGCAAAAACAAACAAAAAAGTCAAACTACACAGGCAACAAAGAGCATGATGAAAGCAACAGTACCTCAAATTTAATATTAACATTGAATGTAAATGGCCTAAATGCTCCACTTAAAAGATACAGAACTGCTAAACGGATAAGAACTCACCAACCAATTATCTGCTGCCTTCAGGAGACTCATCTAACACATAAAGACTCACACAAACTTAAAGCAAAGGGGTAGAAAAAAGCATTTCATGCAAATGGACACCAAAAGCCAGCAGGAGTAACTATTCTTGTATCAGACAAAACAAACCTTAAAGCAACAGCAGTTAAAAGAGACTAAGAGGGACAGTATATAATGGTAAAAGGCCTTGTCCAACAGGAAAATATCACAATCCTAAACATATGTGCACCTAACACTAGAGTTCCCAAATTTATAAAACAATTACTAATAGACCTAAGAAATTAGATAGACAGCAACACGATAATAGTGGGAGACTTCAAAACTTGGTATTACTGAACGTTAAAAAATCTGTGTTCGTTTTATGGAGAAAAGTAGAACCCTATCTGTATTTCTCTGACTTTATCTATGGTTTTTCACTGAATAGAAATGACTAATTTTGATGTAGTCAAATTAGTGATTTTTTTTTGGTCTTTTGGTGTGTACTTTTGCATTTTATTGAAGAAATTTCTACCCCAAGATCACAAAGATCTTCTACATTTTTTCTATTTATATTATAGTTTTACTTTCCCATTTAGATTTTTTTAATTGATTTGGAATTTACTCTTCTATGTTGTTTGAAATAGGGTTCAACTTCTTTTTTTATATATGTTAATGAGCAGTCCATATCTTGCTGCCCAATGCACATGGAAGCCAATACCATGGCACCAGTTTTTGGGAAAAGAAAAGGCTTTACTACAAATTGACTGGCAAGGAGACAGGAGGAAATGCTCAAACCTATCTCCCTGAGCTGGGGATTGGGTCAGGTTTTATATGATAGGGTAATGAGGTGTGATCTGACTGGATCTTGCAATGAGGTAATGCTGGGAGGCATGACCTTACTGGATCCTGCCAAGAGGTAAGACTAGGGCTCAATCTAATTGAATCCTGGATCCTGCCATGCAGTGTCCATTTCTTAATTCAGTCCTCATTCCTCAGTCTGTACACTTAAGTTGCACCTTTGATTGTAGGTTTGGTTTATCTGGGCATGCTCAGGGTAGGTGATCCTCAAACTAAGGGACCATGGTAACTGAAAAACAACTCACAACTTTGTTACATAAAAGTTGAGCCAGATTTGTCTGGGGCTGTTACACTTAGAGAGCCAGTATACCAATTCAATCAATTAAAACATTAATCCATTCCTCCATTGATCTGTATTGTCACCATAATCACATAACTCTAACCTAATCAACTATAAATTTGTTTCTGGGTATTCTTATTTTTGCTTGGTTCTGTGTGTCAGCTTCTCTACCAATACCACCATACTTTTTGTTACTATAGCAAGTATGACTTAAAAAGTGGTAAGATGAGTCCTCCTCTTTGCTCGTCTTTCTCAGAAACTTCTATGATAAAAAAAAGTTTATTGGACACATTTTTTAATATAAAATTTCCTATGCTTGAACCACACCAAAATGCAAGCATATAAAATAATTACATTAACTGACTCATTGAATGCCAATGCAGAATCAGACTCTGCTAGAACCACGAACACCCACTAACAAGTGGTCTTAGGATATGTTAGAGAAATGAGAATTGGTGCCAGTATTCTAACATTTCATTCAGAAATTAAGATATGTGTCTTGAAGTTCAGCCAGCGATGTACACCTCAATAGCCTCTATGTTATCCATCACTACTGAAAACATCATGTGAGATAGAGTTTATTAACTCACTGCCCAAAATCTTTTTTAAAAATTAGACTTTATATTTTTCAGAACAGTTCTAGTTTCACATCAAAATTGAGTAGAAAATACTAAGATTTCCCATACAGACTCTGCCCCACACAGGCATAGCCATCCCTATTATCAACATCCCCCACAGAGTGGTACATTTATTATAATTCATGAACCTACATTGACACCTCATTATCATACAAACTCTATAGCTTGCATTAGGGTTCACCTTTGAACGGTCTATAGATTGGACACATGTATCAATCATGATCATATCCTACAGAATAATTTTACTGCCCTAAAAATCCTCTGTGCTCTGGCTATTCATATCTCTCTCTTTCTAATCCCTGGCAACTGCCTATCTTTTTTACTGTATCCATAGTTTTGCCTTTTCCAGAATGTCATGTAGCTGGACTCATACACTATACAGCCTTTTCAATTGGCTTCTTTCGTTTAGTAATATGCATTTATGTTTCCTTCATGTCTTTTCCTGGCTTGATAGCTTATTATTATTTTTTTTTAGTGCTCTATAATTATCCATTGTCTGGGTTTACCACCATTAACCTACTGAAGGGCATCTTGGTTGCTTTAAAGTTTTGGTAATTATAAATAAAGTTGCTATAAATATTTATGCACAGGTTTTTGTGTAGACATAAGTTTTCAACTCCTCTGGGTAAATATCAAGGAGTGCAATTCCTGGCTTGTGAGTATGTTTAGTTTTGTGAGAAACTGACCAAAAGTCTTTCAAAGTGTGTATAGCATTTTACATTCCCATTAGCAATGAAGGAGAGATCCTGTCACTCCACATTCTCACCAGCATTTTTGGTGTTGCTAGTGTTCTGGATTTTGACCATTCAAGTAAGTGTGTAGTGGAATCTCATTGCTTTAATTTTCATTTCCCTGATGACATATGATGTGAGGCATCATTTTCTATATTTATTTGCCATCTGTATATATTTTTGGGTCTGGTGCTTGTTAAGCTGCTTGGCCCATTTTTAAAATCAAGTTTTTTTTTTTTTCTTATTGAGTTTCAAGGGTTCTTTGTATATTTTGGATAACAGTTCTTAATCAGATGTGTCTTTTACAAATATTTCCTCACAGTCTGTGGTTTGTCTTTTCACTCTCTTGATAGTGTCTTTCACGAAAAAGATATTTTTAATTTTAATAAAATCTAACTTGTCAATTCTAGATTTTGGTATTATATCTAAAAAGTTATCACAAAACCCAAGGTCATCTAGATTTTCTCCTGTTTTATCTTCTAGGAGTTTTATAGTTTTCTATTTTAAATTTACATCCAGATTCATTTTGAATTAATAGGTTATAAAATCTGAGTATAGATTTGTTTTATTTTTACATGTGGATATCTTATCACCTTTGTTACAAAGGCTAGTTTTCCTTCTTTGCATTGCATTTGCTCCTTTTTCAAAAATTACTTGACTATATGTCAATTCCTGGACTCTCTCCTCTGTTTCACTGACCTATTTGTCTATGCTTTCACCAATACTACAGTGTCTTCATTACTGCAGCTTCATAGTAAGTCTTGAAGTCAGGTAGCTTTATTCCTCCAAACTAATTGTTTATTCCTTACATATCCTCATGGGTATTCTGGCTATTCTTTGTATGTCTTTTCATATAAACTTCAGAGTAAGTTTTTGAATATCCACAAAATAACTTGATAGGATTTTGATGATAGGGATTTCTTGAATCTATAGCTCAAACTAGGAAAAAAATGACATATTGACAATATTGAGTTTTCCTACTCATGAACATGGAATGTCTCTCCATTTATTTAATTATTCTTTGATTTATTTCATCAGAGTTTTTTAGTTTTTCCCATGTAGATCTTATATATATCTTGTTAGATTCATACCTAAGTATTTTTTGAGGCATGCTAGTATAAATGGCATTGAGTTTTTAATGTCAAATTCCACTTATCATGGTGTATAGGAAAACAATCAACTTTTTAATATTAACCTTACATTCTGCAACTTTACTATAGTCACTTATTAGTTCCAACTTAAGTTTTGTTGACAGTTCTTTTGGATTTTCTACATTGATGATCATGCCGTCTGTGAAAAAAGTTTAATTTTCTTCTTCCCAGTCAGAATATCTTTTATTTTCCATTCTTGCTTTCATGCACTATCTAGGACTTCCAGTAATATGTTGAAAAGGGTGGTAAGAGATGGAACATCCTTAACTTACTCTTGTTCTTAGTGAAAATAATTCTAGTTTCTGACTATGAAGCATGATGTCAGCTGTATACTTTTTGTAAATATTCTTTATCAAGTTGAATAAATTTCCCTCTATTCTTATTTTACAGGGAGTTGGTTATTTTTTTAATGAATGACTGTTGGATTTTATCAAATGTTTTTACTGCATATTTTGATATGAACATTTAAATTGTTTAGCATATTGACATGATAGATTACATTAATTAATTTTAAATAATGAATGAGCTTTGCATACCTGAATAAATCCCACTTGGTCATGGTGTATAATTCTTATTATATATTATTGTGATTTGATTTGCTAATATCTTGTGGAGAATTTTTGCCTCTATGTTCATAAGATATATTGTAGTTTTCTTGAAAAGTCTCTTGTAAATTTTTGGTATTAAGGTAATATTGGCCTTATAGAATGAGTTACAAGTATTGCCTCTGCTTCTGTCTTCTGAAAGAGATTTTATAAAATGGTACAATTTTTTTCCTTATATATTTGGTAGAATTCACCAGTGAACCCCTTCTGGGCCTGGTATTTTCTATTTTGGAAGGTTATTAATTATTTTGACTAAGTTTATTTAATAGATATGTTTACATACACATTGTCTCTTTCTTCTCATTTGAGTTTTTAAAAAATATGTCTCTCAAGGAATTATTTCATTTCATGTAGGCTTTTACATTTGTGGGCATAGAGTTGTTCATAATTTTCATTTATTACTCTTTTAATATGCATGGGATCCTTAACGATAGCCTCTCTTTCATATCTGATATATGTATTTTGTGTTCTGTTTCTTTGCCTAATTAGTGCCTTATCAATTTTGTTGATCTCTTCAAAGAACTAGGTTTTGGTTTCATTGATTTTTGTCTATTTCATATTTTTAATTTTATTGATTTCTGTTCTAATTTTTTTCCTGCTTACTTTAGATTTAATTTGCTCTTCTTTTTCTAGTTTCCTAAAGTGGAAGCTTAGATGGTTGATTTTAGATCATTTTAATTTTTCTAATATATGCATTCAATGCTGTAAATTTTCCTCCAAGCAGTGCTTTCACCGCATCCCAACATTTTTAATGAGTTTTTATCATTTTTGTTTCAAAATATTTTTAAATTTCTCTTGAGATTTTCTGTTTGACTCATGTATTATTTAAAAGTGTGTTGTTTAGTCTCCTAGTATTTTCAGATTTTCTAGCTATTTTTCTGTCACCGATTTCTAGTTTAATTATATTGTGGTCTGAGAGAATTGTACAATTTTTTTAAAACTTGTTAGGGTGTGTTTCATGGCCCAGTATGTGGTCTATCTTAGTGAATGTTCCATGTGAACTTGAGAAGAATGTGTATTCTGCTGTTCTCAGATAGTCTATAAATTCAATTATATTCAGCTGATTGTGTTGTTGAGTTTAACGTCCTTGATGATATTCTGCCTGTTGGATCTGTCCATTTCTGATAGATTGGCATTAAAGTCTCTGTAATAGTGGCTAGTTCAGTTTTTCCCTCAGACTTTTTTGATATTCTATTTTTAGTCACATACACATTAAAGATTATTACGTCTTCTTGGATAATTGGCTTCTTTAGCATGATTTAATGCCCCTCTTTTTCATTTATAACTTTCTTTACTCTGAAGTCTGCTCTATCTAAAATTAATGTAGCTATATTCCCTTTCTTTTGATTAGTGTTAACATAATATACCTTTCTGCATCCATTTCTATGCGTGTTTTAATATTTAAAGTTGATATCTTATAGACAACCCACTTTAACATTGGGCCTTATTATTTGATCCTGTCTGAAAATCTCTGTCTTTTAATTGGTATGTCCAGATCATTGTCATTGAAAATGATTACTGATACAGCTGGATTAATATCTATCATACTTGTTACTGTTTTCTACTTGTTAACCTTGTTCTTTGTTCATGTTTTCACCTTCCACCTTTTTTCTGCCCTTCATGGTTTTAAACAAGCATTTCATATAATTCAATTTTCTCTCAATTCTTAGTATATAAATTATATGTTTAAAAAATTTTTAAGTTAAAAAAACCAAGGTTGCCCTATATTTTGCAATACAGATCTAGAACTAATTGAAGTCCACTTTTGAATAACACTATACTGCTTCATGGGTAGTAGGAGAAACTTATAATAACAAAATAATGCTATTTCTTCCCTCTCATTCCTTATATTATTGTGGTCATTCATTTCACTTATACTAAGCATATACATATGCATAAGCATACATAATTGAGTTAATTGCTGCTATATTATTTTGAATAAACATACTTATTAAATGAATTGTGAATAAGAAAAAAATTAAATTTTTATTTTATCTATACCAATTCTGTCTATAATGTTCCTTCTTTATGTAGATATGAGTTTCTGACTGGTATAATTTTTCTTCTCTTTAAAAAACTTTTTTAAACATTTCTTATAAGGAAGCTCTACTGGCAACACATTTTCTCAATTTTTGTTTGTCTGAGAAAGAAGTCTTAATTTTTTCCTTTAGTTTTTAAAGAGAATTTCATCAGTTACAGAATTCTGAGCTGACGTTTTCTTCTCTCAACACTTTAAATATTTCACTCTACTCTCTTTGTGCTGCATGATGTTTGGGAAGCCAAATGTAATTCTTTTCTTTGCTCCTCTATAGGTAAGATTTTTTTTTCCCTCTGGTTTCTATCAGGATTTTTGGTTTTGATTTTCTACAGTTTGAATACGATGTTCTCAGATGTTGGGGTTTTTATTTTGCTTTGTTTTGAGAATTTTTGGCATTTATCCTACTGTTAGTGTTTTTTGAGCTTCTTGGAACTATAGTTTGGAACACTTATTTTGGGAAAATTTTCAGTGATGAAATATATTTTCTGTTCCTTTCTCTCTTCTTTCTCCTTCTAGTATTCCCACTAACATATGCCATACCTTTCATAGTTGTTCTGCAGTTCCTAGACATTCTGTTCTATTTTTTTCACTCTTTTTATTCTTTGCTTTTTAGTTTTGGAGTTTTCTATTGAGATATCTTAAAGCTTAGAGATTCCTCAGTTGTATTAGTCTAATAAGCCCATCAAAGCTTTCTTCATTTCTGTTACAGTGTTTTTGATTCTAGAATTTATTTTTATCTTCCTTAAAATGTCCATTTCTTTGCTTACATTACCCATCTGTTCTTGCATGTCATCCACTTTATCTATTAAAGGCCTTAACATATTAATCATAATTGTTTTAAATTTCTAGTCTGATTATTTCAACATCCCTGCCATATCTGAGTCTGCTTTTGATGCTTGCTCTGCCTCTTCAAACTGTGGTTTTTTTGCCTTTTTGTATGCCTGGTAATCTTTTCTTTATAGGTGGACACGATATAGTGGGAGAAAGGAACTGATATAAATAAGCCTTTAGTAACACAGTGGCAAGGGAAACAAGGGGAAACACCGTCCTTGTTTCCCATACCTTGCCACTGAATTACTAAAGTCCTACAACTAGGTCTCAGTCATAGTGAGCCTGAACTTCTGGACTGTGAACTTCACAAGTGCTTCTCAGTCCACCCTCCCACCTCATGTAGGACAGAATGGCCAGAGTAACTGGAATTGGGTATTTCCCTTCTCTCCTGTGGAAGGCTAGAGGGGGCTGGAATTGAGTATTTCCCTTCCTCCAAGTGGAAGATTAAAACTGGCTAGCGTTGAGTACTTCCTTTCCTCCATGTTATTTAGGCTCTGATAAAACCAAAGCAGGTTAGGATCTGGTTAAATCATTTCTTTTGAGGGCAGACCTCATTAAGAAGAACAGAATGCTCTGACAAATTTCAAGATTATTCATTTTCCCCTCTCCCTGCCAGGAGCAGGAGGGAATTTGTCTTTGCTATTCACTGTGAGAAACTGGTTGAGTTCCAGGAAGTAAGACTCACAAAAGTGCATGCCCCACCTTCCGTAACTGGTCTCTGAAGTTTTTATGTCTCAGACTTGTCCACACAGAGACTCCGGCAATTTGTTAATTGTGGTTCAGATTTTTCCACCCTGGCTCTGGTTCCTGTGGACATTTGTAATCAGATAAATTGTAGTTCTCTGTATTTGCCTGTCTGACTCCAATTTTGTGGGCAGTGGTTTGCCCTGTGACCTTGCTTCTCTTAGGGATCTAAGATGAGTTGTTGAATTTTAGTTTGTTCGGCTTTTACTTCTTGTTAGGACAGAAGCCTCCAAGCTCCTTATATGCCAGGCCAGAAACAGAAAGTCCCTAAATTCTTTTGATGCCCTATTTCCTCTCTCTGTTGATGCTGCTACTAATTTTACCTTGGCTAGCAAAAAGTACAATCATGCATCGTTTCATGATGGAGTTATATTCTGAGAAACATGTTGTTAGGTGATTTTATCACTGTGCAAATACCATGGAGTATACTCACACAAACTTAGATGGTATAGCCTACTACACACTTAAGCTGTATAGGGTAGCCTATTGCTCCTAGGCCATAAACTGGTACGGTATACTATTGTACTAAATAATGTAGGCAACTGTAAAATAATGATAAATATTTGTATAACTAAAAACAGCTAATTATGGAAAAGATATAGTAGAAATACAGTTTTATAATCCTATGTAACCACCATCCTTTATGTGGTCTGTTTTGACTGAAACGTTATGCAGTGCATGACAGTATATGCAATAGTTTGATAGATATGAAGACTGTTATACATTATATATTTTCCAATATAAAAGTAGTGTTTTATAGATAATAATACAGTCTTATATTGCATGATGCTTCATACATTTATGCAATAAGACATATTCCTTCCTTGATTTTCATGACAAAAAAACTCTGACTTGAAATGAATTATCTCAATTACAAATTAGAAATCTGAGTATTAGTGTGGTTCTCTTATTTTTTCTAGATCACATAGTTGAGTGAAAGGCAGAGTCAGAAATGAACCCTATGTCTCTACTCCTGCAATAAGCTGAACTATATGGCCCACATCATGTTTTAATATTATTTCATTACTTGTATTGGCAGAAAAGCCTTGTCTGCTCTGGCATATTACATTGCAAACATCTACAGGCCACAGATGAATGTATCCGAATCTACTATAGTTTGTTATACCACCAGTAATTCTGGCTAAGAAAGGTAACCGTGAATAATGTTTTAATGCTTGATTCATGAAAGAATATACTATGGCTGTCAGGCAAACTGGATTGTGGTAACAAAAGCATTAATAATCCCCTATTGACAATATTGTTCTAATATTACCAAGAATTCATTCTCCTTCTTAAATCCTTTTATTCCATGGTTCAGCTTATATCGTTATAAATTCTCTGGATTTGGAACAGTTATGCCAGACCTGCTAGGCATTTATAAAAGCTTTCCCTCGCAGACAAAAGTTTGAAGCACATGTTATGAGACAAATGCAAGAAGTACTATGGTATTTGTGAGGTTCAGAATATTAGAAACATATGATCACTGATGACAAACAGACTAAGAAACACTAAAAATGTGCACAACATGCCTGATTTTTGAAAGCTGTAATGAGGGAAAATTGAAAAGTCTTCATTTGTTGCCACTATTACAAAGAATCTTCACACAAAGATGAAAATAACAAAGGAATTTAAGTACACATATAAATACTTAAAATACTTATGGACAAAACAACTATAAAACAATTAAAACCTGTCTATTTTTTTTTTACTATTCTTGAACTATATATTTTTCAATAAATAAAATTATCTTTACCTTTTTGAGACAGGAAAAAGCTTATGTTGCTCAAAAAGTGTTATAGATACTAGATGAAAAAAAGTTTAGAAGAGTAGGTAGAGTTTGTCACCAGTTCTTTTTATTAAATGATAGTCTATAAAGGGAACTAGTGATACAGATGAATAACAATGAGAGATGGCATGCAGAACTAAGTGAGAAAACCTAGCAATAGTTTTAATTTTGTTCAAATGAGCTGCATTAAACATCACTGGTATCTTGTGAAGATCAGCAGATCTTCAGGTTTCTGCAAATCACTACAGCTTGAAACAATCGCTGTCTCCAAATGATTCTCTTCTCTCTGTTCATCTCCAGGTGACAAGTCTTAGCTCCTGCACCTCTGTAATTTTCACTCTCTCCATTACTACTGTCATTGCCTCAATAACTCTTTCTCCAGAGTAATTCTATGCCATACTAAAATAGCAAATAATGTAGCCTCCTAACAAATCTTCCCACAACACCTGCAATCTATTTTACACATCACACTCATACTAATTCTTATGTAGAACAATTCCAATGAAGATATTTTTGGTCTCTAATAAAAAATGGCAACCAAATAAATGGCCTGAGGATGAATTTTGTATAGTCTTGGTATTTTTACCATGCCACTCTGCCAGCTTTTTATGCTGTGCCTCAGTTATGTATGCATGGATTTTAATTGCCTGAGTAGTCTCCAAGCAACACAAGGTGAGGATATATTTCTAATTGGCCTTTCTAGCCACCACATTTGTTGAACACTGAGTGCTTTATTTTTGTCCTAATCCAGGTTAATTCACATGCTTTCCAGCCACAGTTCATTTGCTTCAAATTTTTATTATATTTAAATATTTGACGTCGGGGATAACTTGAGGTATAACGATGGAAAAATCAAGAATTTCCCTTCTTTTCACATTTGTGACATGGCACAAATTTCAGGTACTAGGATTTAGTTAAGTAACTTCAATCTACCAACAACACTGTTTAAATTTCAGTTACCACCGTGTATTACCTGTGTATAATTTCGTAAGGTACAAACCTCACTGCTTGCTCCCAGTCCACAAATCGCTATGTAAATAGCAGAAGCACATCATGATCAGGGACCAATCATGTCACTCCTTTCAACGTCTGCCAGTGATTGGTCACTGCACATATATCACTCAGCTCACCCACAGATAGCCTCCCAGTGACAAACTCATGTGACATTTTACAAAAATGGATAATCAGAAGAAAGAATTGACTAACAAAGATCAAAGTGCAGCAAATAAATGAAAAGTGATGAGGCTGGAAGTGAAATCTATAAATAGAGTTATAAAAAAAATAGCTGAATGTGGAAATGTTTACATGGCTACTGTTGGATAGACTCTAGATCTGCAGCCAGGAGAACTTAGTGAAGGTGAATTCACTGATATATATGAAGAGCTTGGTTGTGACAAACAGAATGACATCTGGCCGGGTGCGGTGGCTCATGCCTTTAATCCCAGCACTTTGGGAGGCCGAGGCGGGCAGATCACGAGGTCAGGAGATGGAGACCATCCTGGCTAACACGGTGAAACCTTGTCTCTACTAAAAATATAAAAAATTAGCTGGGCGTGGTGGTGGGTGCCTGTAGTCCCTGCTACTCGGGAGGCTAAGGCAGGAGAATCGCTTGAACCCAGGAGGCCGTGCTTGAACCCAGGAGGCAGGAGCCGAGATCGCGCCACTGCACTCCAGCCTGAGCTATGGTGAGACTCATCTAAAAAAAAGAAAAAAGAAAAAAGGAATGACGTACTAGAGGAAGTGAGGCCAACAAAATTCTTCACATTAAAGGAATTCTGAGATTTCACAATATTGAAAGCACTTACAAAAAATGTCAAGCATATATCCAAAGTTAGAAGCATAATTCTCTAGGAAAGATAGTAGCTCTCTATCCTGTTTTACAAAAATAAAGCAAGCAATGTTCAAACAACCTTTGATAAGTTTTTCAGAAAGAAATGAAACATTTTATCTTGATGTTTCTAATGGTTTAAATCACAACGTATCAGGTAAATACCAGTTTTACAGGGTTTTTCATGTTTTATATATTTAAAACTGACACTAAGAGGGTTTTTAATGTTTTGACAAAAATTTCTTATAGATCACAGAATAATTGTATTTTTTCCCATTGATTACAAAGATCCTTTTGCAGCTTCAGTTTGTATGATTATTTTCACAGTCCCACACTACTATGCAAAGTGAGAACTGCCTGTGTGTATACATATACATATATCCACACACATATACATACACATATATATGTAAATGTGTATGTGTGTGGTGGTGATATATGTGTGCATTTGGTATTATTACTCTTGGGAAATAAAAATAAGAAATCTTTTAAACTGAAATTTAGATATATAGTTTTAGCAGTCATTCTTAAAATAGCTAAGCCCACAGGAATTTTACAAATTATGAATTACTAAAAAAAGAACTGTCATAAAACCATTATTTTTTAGCATAAAGATTATATTACACAAACTTAATTGGAGCTACCCAGAGATTATCTTTTTAGTCAAAAGATAAAGAGTTTGAAAGTTTGCTTTTCAAGAGACTTTTAAAGTGATTATGCAGCCGAGTACTGAGCTCATACAGTCTAGTGTAGTTCAACCTCCCTGGCAAGTACACACAGCATGGCAATACAGCAGAGAATACTCTCTGGTGTCTCCCACCAAAAAGAATACTAACTGGTTTCTACAGACAATGTAATTCAGCTACTCATTGGAAGCCTTAAACACAATCATTAGCTTCCTAGAAATAGGCTCCTTAGCACATTTCACCTGCTGTAATTTTTCGTCCTTTTTGTCCTTTTTTGTTTTGTTTTGTTTTGTTTTTGTTTTTTTGGTTTTTATTTTATTTATTTATTTTTTTTAAGATGGAGTCTTGCTCTGTTGCCCAGGCTGGAGTGCAGTGGCACGATCTCGGCTCGCTGCAAGCTCTGCCTCCCGAGTTCATGCCATTCTTCTGCCTCAGCCTCCCGAAAAGCTGGGACTACAGGCACCAGCCACCACGCCAGGCCAATTTTTTTTTTTTTTTTTTTTTTTGTATTTTTAGTAGAGACGGGGTTTCACTGTGTCAGCCAGGATGGTCTCGATCTCCTGACCTCGTAATCCGCCTGCCTGTTTCTTATAGATATAAACAAACCAAATTCAATAATAGAGTGCGTATTGCAATCCACTGTGCAAATAAACATACATTTTTCCTTAATATTGAGTCTTCGCAGAACAATAAGTTGCCAACATTTATTTCAAGGTTAAGGTTTCCAACAGTTATTCACCTATGCGTGTATATGCCATTTTAACAAACCAAAACAAAACAAACAAAAAATCTTTTATGTTACTAGACATTTTGCCCACATAAACAGTGAATGTTCTTTAATAAATAGATTGGGGAATGGAATTTTCAAATTATTTCAATACTCTTAGTGACACAGTTACTATACATGTACCTTCAAAGATTAGCAAATTTCACAGAAATGGGAACCAATAACATTGCTTTCAGTATAATTCTTAATGAAGTCAAAGGTATTTTAAGTGATTCTTCATGAAGAATGGTAATTGTACACCTAAGGAAATACAATACTAGTTAATGAGGATATCTGGCTGGAATGAAAAGATTGCCAGATTTCAGTACGTACTGTTTATGAAAAATGTTATTTAATTTTCAGCAACTGCTATTTGAGAAGATTTATGTGGTTTAGGAGATTTTGTCCAACAGCTATTAAAAAAGGCAAAAATTGCCCAACTGTTTTAGGCTTACACTGAGACTGCTTGGGGTTCTAGTGTGCTCTGAGGAGTTTTAAATTGTCCTCCCTAATATAAACCTTTAAAAATTACATATGTACCACCCAACCCATCACCTACCTATTCACGCATAATCTATTATGCCTATCAATTCTTGCATCAATGCCTGACTTCAAGAAGACCCATAAGTAGCTCCTAACTTTGTAAACTGCATTTCAATCATTTCTAAATAATTTGTCTCTTAAGCATGTAAGGGATAGGCCCTTGTTTTTATATTCCAAAACTTGCTAAAAGAACCATCTGCTCTTTCCAAACTCTTACAAGCACCAGTAAAATTCTATTTGATACCTAACTTAAAAATAGGTGATTTATTAAACTTAGGATTTGGCTTCTGGAACTTATCTCCATGTACTTTAAATGAATAACTCTACCAGACCTAGGAAATGTGAATTTGTTGTGAAGTAGTCAAGAAGTTGACATAAAAGAACTGGAGCCAGTAATTCTGTGTCCATTGCTTAAAAGCTGGGTGATGTTTGTAAAGTTACATAAAGTCTATGCTTCTTGGTTTCTTTATCTGTAAAATGGGCATAATAATTTATACTTCATTTTGCTGTCAAGAGGATTAAATTAGATGACACATCTTTATGCTTACAGACACATAATAAACACTAAAATATTGTCAAATGAACACTAAAATATTATAATAGGGCAACCATGTAATTATGATCAAATTCTGTCCAGAAGTTTGCTTAGGACAGATGCTAAACTATAGAGGATATAGGGCTTAAAATAAAATTTTCCCAGGAAAACCATGATGTGTGATGACCCGAGTTATTATTATATTGTTGTTTTAATTATTTTTACCTAGGCAACTGCAACTAATCTTTCTGTCGACTCACCCCATCTTACATCTTTATCACAACCTATCTAAGATGATAGCATTAGCAAGTGAAGTGGGGTAGCTAAAACGTATCCAAAGACTCCATGGATCCCTGAGAATGCAAGTGATTGCTGGAGGGGGTCAGTTCAAGCAGTACTATAGACATGATGATGGCTGTAACTCAATTCATAGTGACCACCACAAAAGTGGGTGACCCACTTTCTAGACCTGAGCTCTTTATTAGAAACCTTTTTATCTTTTTCAAAGGCTTCATTACCATTTGTTTTATTTACACAAATCTAGGGTTATGAAAGTTCAGTTATAACTCAAATCATTATGTGAATTCCAACTAATAATTATGTGCTTTCAGCCAAACTCTATGGTTCTTGTGAAAGCAATTCGTCGGGTGAAATAATTATTATCCGTGAAGCTCATTTTGCTCTTCAGATTAAACATTTTCTCATATTTTATAGCTACAAACTCTAGAAATACGATGGCATTTTTCTTCCTGGAGCTAGAAAAATGTAATAAGATATCAAGCATGCTTATGCAACAATGGTGCTGGCAGCTGGATTATGTCAAAATTCCTTCATTTATTACTTCAGATTTACCACAATTATGGACATTTTTTAAAACTAGCTTGCAGAATTTGAACGTATTTTACTTCTATAACCAGAGCACACTCCAAACAGATGGATTGAGACAATAAGACTATTCACTTGTGAATGACAGTTGGGGCAATTTGGGGGCAGTATGGGAAGTATTAGGGCTGCTGGAAATTTCCTCCTTATATATTAAGCTTTGGAGCTGAAGAACATTAAAATCTTTTTTTATTTTTCTGACTAGTGATGGTAATCTTTTTCACTACTCTAGTAGGCTAATGTCAGGTTAGGACAAAGAAGCCTAGTCATCAGCTAGTATTCACTTAACCTCTCTGGAGTTCAGTGTCCTCTCCAAAATAGAAGTCGTAGTAAATGCTCTTTGAGGTCTGCACTGTATCTGTGATTCTGTGCTTCTAGGGACTTCATGCCAATTTTGAAGAAACCAGTCATACTTCTGAAATAATAAATTTTGCAATTGTATGCTGCTATGTGAGCTGCCATCAGAGAAAACTGAAGGAAGGGACATGAGGTTACTTAGAGTCAAAACCAAAAACCTCTGTAATCATGTAGCAGCCCCTTCATGTTGTACATGTTCTGAAAAATGTTTGTGATAGGAATTCTGGGCATCTTTATTTAAGATCAAGCTCAATAGTGTCCACACTGTTGACATTTGTAACATTTGTCCTGAGTTACTCTTAGCACTAATCAGTTCATGTGCTGCATAGGTTCATGTGTGCATGGAAATTCTTCAAATCTCAGATCCTTAGCATTCCTTAGAGACACTCCATACCTATGTCTGTTTCTCAGGTTTATCCATTACACAGTTATGTGAGGAAATGGACTTGTCATATAGACAGTCTCATTCACTGCATTAAGTCCAGTCTAGCTTTAATGGAAGAGTTGATGAAGTTGGTTTCAATCAATAAGGTGGTCTTAGCTGGGTGTTATATTGGAAGATTAGGCAGAAAAGAGGCTTCTCTTTCCTTTGCAGATTTTAATGTATCTTTTTCTTTAAGCCTCTGATCTCTGAGACTGAGCCTTCATTTTACTGTTACATGTTTTTCTTTTCTTTCTCATGTAAATGCCATCATCCTGATCTTTCTTTCAGGATCACTAGTAATATGGCATTTATCTGGAACATATTTTCGAATTGTATTTTAATGGCATAATAATACAATTTCCTATCACTGTAGATAAGCTTTTGCCAAATGTTACCTTCAGATTACTGAAGAATTTATACATACAATCATATCAATTAGTAGAGTCATAACCTCATCCCCAGACACCTATCAAAGGTGAAGAAAAACAGGACCAAGTCGTACTAACATCCAGGTCCAAGGGAATCTAGAAGTTACTTAGTGTCTGCTAAGACTGCAGAGCTTCATTACATATCCAACTAGGAACACTTCAAACTGAAAGAAATTTTAATATGATTGTAGCTATAGAACAAACATTTTATAACTCCAAGAATAATATGCTTTTTTGGTGAGCTGACATATCCTGGCCTGCTTTTCTGCATGAGAAAGCTCCAGTTTCAGTACATTAAATTTACGATGCCACTGGGCCTGCCTAAGGAATTTAGGAAAAAGACACATGATGCCCTAAGCTGAAATCTCATCTTAAAAACCAAGCCCATTTTGTGTAAAACTCAGCTATGTCCTTTGGTTTAAAACAACAACAACAGCAATAACTACTCAGCATTGACCCCTTTTTCAGATCAGGGAGCTGAGATCCATTTCACAATTTGCTGAGAATATATCATTTTATCCCTTGTGACTTGGGCTTCAAATTTTATAACCAATTAGAGGTTTCATTAAGTGTCATGTCCCATGAATTTGATTCCATGTCCATTTCTTACTTTTTTGCCAACTACAGCAACCTTTAAATATTTCCCTACCATAAAATTATGCCTTGTATAATAACTCCCAAAGAAATCCAAATTTAAATTTGGTCAGTTATTTTCACCTTTTTTTTTAATACAAATAATATTCTTACCTTACTAAAAATGATGAATTTAATTTGAGACACACGTACCAATATGAGACTCCAAGACAGGAAAATATTTCCTGATGTTTCTCCAGCAAATGCTGCCAGACTTCCTGGGCTCCCTTGTCATGCACTGTGGAATGTATCTTGTTTCTCACTGTGCAGCCTCAGAAGCCCTAGGGTATACATTTTTATATACTGGAAAAGTTTAAAACACAGAAAGTGTTGCTAAAGTAGAAGGCACTAGGCCTGGAAGAAAGAATGGTAATTTGGGGAAAAAAAGGAAATAAACAGTCTTCCTTTTGGGGAGTATCTGGAAGGATTAGGAAAGAAATACCAATACCATAGAAAAAGGTATATGCATCAATGCGTGACGTGGCAGATTAAAGAGAACTCTGAGTATTTCTTTCAGGTATTTTGTCAAAAGTCTGAATTGTGAATTGGAAGTCTTTTCTGGAAAACAAAAACAAAAATAAAAACCTTACTCTTAAGCTTTGAAACCAAATAATTTTACTGTTGTTTGTTGCTAGGTAAGGGCTTGGCACCATGCTTGACACAATAGTAAGTGCTCTTAAAAACACTTGTGGAATATATGAATGAATACAGTCAGTAGAAAAAATGTAGTTAGAAACTGTCAAAATAAGTATTATCAAGATTTCATTTATTCCTTTTTTTTTTAAGATGGTATCAGCTTTTTCCATTCATTGTAAAGTTCACATCAACATTTCACCTAATGATCTTCATAATAATGACCATTGTCTGAAACATTATTGAAACATTTTTTGGGGGGGATTTGAAAATAATTTTTTAATTCCATAATTTCTTTTGTATGTATTAGCTAAAATTATTTTGTATGGTATTTTTTTCTATTGTTCTATTATTTTTTTCCCATTCCTTCAGCAGTATCACTATGACTTAGCAATATGTCTTCATGTCTGGTAGAGACACGTTCTCCTTTGCTCTCTTTATAGAAATGATTGTATCAATTTAAGAATGTTATTCTTCCACACTTAAGAATTAGTTTCACAAGTTCCTCCAAAGGTTTGGCTAGATATTTCTTTGTTATTACATTTAATGCACAGATTAATTTGTAGGGAAATTTGTAGTGTTACATTATAATGCTAAGTTGTCTCATCCATTAACTTATCACTTGATTTTCTTCAGGTCTTCTTTAATTAACTTCTAACAGAATTTTAAATTTTGGCCCTAAAGGCTATGTGCATTCTCAGTGAGACTAATTTCTAGATAATTTATAGATTTTTGTTTTATGTAAATGGTATTGAATTTTCTACTATGTTTTATTTATTGATTAAAGATTGTGTAAAGTAGTGATTCTCAGTCTACTTGAAAATAAGTTATTCGGGCAGCTTTTAAAAGATAAGGATGCTTCGATCATCTTCCTGATCAATTCAATCAGAATTGAGTCTACATTAGTAAGTGGTTATTATATGTCTTTGATATATTATACCTTTTAATTATTTGTATTATTCTTATGGTCCCTTATGATGTTTTTTACTTTAAAGTCTACTTTATTTAACATTAAGATTGTCACATTAACTTTTAAAATTGCTGCTTCTGATATATGTTTTTATTCTTTGACTTTTATACTTTCTGTTTCCTGATGTTTTAAATATTTTTCTTGCAAATGGTGTACTGTGGCTTTTTAAACAAATCTGAAAACTTCTATCTTTTGATTCTTTCATTTATATTAAATTTATTCTTACCCATTTGTTAACTGTATTTTTATGTTGGCCATCTTATTTTGTATTTTCTTTTGTGCGTGTGTGTGTGTGTGTGTGTTTGTGTGTGTCTGTGTAACTCTGAGCATTCTGAGTCCCATGGCCAGATAGCAAATCCCAGCTGAAGTTTATGAAGTTTGTGACATCTTTCTGAGGCCACCCTGATGGTAGCTCTTGAATTGGTCCTCGTCAGAGCAATTCTACACAATTCTAGAAAGCATTCTACACGAGCAGAATGCTCTTCAACTTAGTGCACTACTAATTTGGAAACAGTTTGCTATTTCCTTTCTATCTGTGGTCTTATTCCCTTTTTTATCTTTCTTAGATAGCTTTCCTGTTTTTCTATAAATGCCTTAGGACCAATGATTCTCTAATCTCACTGTATGTTGTTATTATTGAGAGAATATTTTAAAAATGTCAATGCCGGTGTGCCACTTTAAGGCATTCTAATTTAATTGGTGTTCTAGGAATTGGTATTTTTTAAAAAGTCCCCCCACCCCTGGGAATTGTTATGTGTAGCCAGAGTTGAGAACCACTGTATTACAAATGTCAGCTTCCCTGGTTCACAATGCTTACCTAACATGAGGAACAAAAGCCTGGGCCTGGGCTCTGCTCTTCCTGGGAAGTTTTGGGAGCTTCCTACACATGGAGAGCTATTTGTGGGCTATGAAGAGCCTCAGTTCTGGACCTACCTGACAAGCTCCAGGCAACTTTTGCAAATGTAGTGGAGAGGGTGCTGCCCTGCTCAGACACCCAACTAGAAACTTTTGGGTTAACTTCCACCAAGGCAACACAGAGAAAGGGGGTTATAATAAGGCAGAAGGAAAACTTTGTATTGGGCTCATACCCTATATGGTCTCTCCCTGGCTCTCTCTCACACTAGGCTTCTGTTTTTGCCCTACCCAAGGATTTAGTCTCCTTCTTCCATGGGTCTCTCAAGATTTCTTTTTAAGTGCCAGTGTGGCTTGAGGTTCTGTCAAACTCTCCTGTGTGCTCTCTTCAATGCTGAATGCTTGGTTTGGGACTGTCATTTTCCCTCACTTCTTTCTTCCGTCCTACACTGCCTTCGTCCATCTGCTACTGTTTATAGGCTTATATGTCTTTCAGGCTAGTCTGTAATCTGCTTGAGGGCCAGAGTCTCCATCTCTGTAATTATCCTTTTCTCTCTGTCTAAAAAGAGGCTTTCCTCAGTGTTTAAAATTACCTTTTTTCCCTCCTGCTATTTTCAAATATTGAGGTTCTCTAACTTAAACAGCATTGATTTTACAAGTTTCAATTTAAAGAATTAAGTAAATATTGAACAATAGCATATATATTAATTTAAAATATAATAGTTTTTTTAGTCATTTAATAGGAAGTGTGGCTATAATTAGGAAGTGTGTCTGTAATTTTGTATGGCTTCTCGGTACTTTCAATGAGCTTGTAAATATCAACTTCTTCTTAGCTTGTCATGTTTATTACTATTGACACAACTCAATATAATATGTTTATTTAAAAGTCATATTTTTATAAAGAATATAGACCTCCAAGTTCGTTTCCTGGCTTATTACTTTATACTGCTGTTATAATACCTCAAGTGTTTTATTACACTCCACAATCTAGAAAGAGAAAAACAAACCCAAGCTTTGGAGGGAATAAACCAAGTGCAGGGCATAAGCAGGAGCTTCATGAAAAAGGATTTGATGCCTTCAATTAGTCACAGAGGATGAAGAAAGAAGGATATAGTGCATGGTTAAAACAAACAAACAAACAAAAATCCTATCTTGCAATAGGTTTTAGAGCAGGCCTGGAGTCAATTACATGCCTAAAGACACCAAGGTTGTCCTTGTGGAAAAATCAGCCTGAGATAAGAGTTTATCTCTGCTAGGAGAAAAAAAGAAAGTTCTAGTTGAATCTATGAGCAATTTGGTGAACAAGGAAACCAAAGAATGGTGGGGAAGAGATTGAGAAAGAGAGATTGAGAGAGAGAGGCATTGAGAAAGACAGGGAGAGAAATCAGAAGCACTTTCTGTAACTATATGATCTTGTTGGGAGAATTTTATGTTTTTCCGTTTGAAGAAATGTCACAATTTAAATAGAATTTGATCAATTTCTAAAGCTTCACTTTCCTTTGATTATGCCCACCACATTTATCCAATGTGGTTGGTTCAATAATTTTTTCTTTATATTTGTCATTTTTATACTAAAAAATCAGAGAATAGCTATAAATAAAAATAATTTTGTTTTGTAACATCAGGATGAGATATTAATTTATCTTTGGAAAGAATAAAAAGGCAAATTTCACATACCTATAATAGCATATGCATCATTATGTTTTATTAGTTTGAAGCATTAAATATCTTTTTTTTTTTTTTTTTTTGAGATGGAGTCTCGCTCTGTCGCCCAGGCTGGAGTGCAGTGGTGTGATCTCGGTTCACTGCAACCTCTGCCTCTCAGATTCACGCCATTCTTCTGCCTCAGCCTCCCAAGTAGCTGGGACTACAGGTGCCCGCCACCATGCCTTGCTAATTTTTTGTATTTTTAGTAGAGATGGGGTTTCACCGTGTTAGTCAGGATGGTCTCGATCTCCTGACCTTGTGATCTGCCTGCCTTAGCCTCCCAAAGTGCTGGGATTACAGGCATGGCCACCGCACCAGCCAGCATTAAATATCTTTTTAAATTCAAAGGAAACAAGTTTAAAAAGAATAAATTAATTCTAAGCAAATTTTTTATTTGTTGAATTTCTGATAGCTAATGGGACATTTAGATTTAAAGTTTATTCTTGTTCTAAAATTTGAAATAATTTAGGCTTTATACATGATTTTAAGACATTCAGAAATAGAAAAACAGTGTGTATTTAATTGATTGGTGAACTGAGCCAAAAGATTATAGGCAAAGACTGTACAAGTCAATTTTAAAAGAAATGCAGAAATATTAATCACCACAGCCTATGTCCTGCTTCTAATTAACAAATGAAAATTCCTGAAAAAAATCGACAGACTCATATTAATATAGAATGCTCTGGAATAGTAATTGTTGTATAGCTTATTTTGAAAAAGAAAATATTGTCTTTTCATTCATGTATAATTTGAACATTTTAAACAAAGTAGAATACTGTCCATTGCAGCTGTTTTCCCCAGACTAAGGTGTCTATTGTTTTACAAACTAGATCTATCAGGAGCTATGTACCTGGCTGAAAAGAACCAGATAGTCAATGAATGCCTCATCTCTTAACCAGCAAGTCAGTTTATGGATGATTCAGTAGTCCCTCAATTCCTTGGATTGAAAACCTGGGCATTTTTTTCTCAGTTGATATATGTGTCTGCTTTCAGAATCAGAATTTGCCTAAAGCTCTTAAGCAGAAAGATAAGTACAGATACTTTATCAGTCAGACAAGCATGTTGGAAACTTTCAGACCATTGGTTCTATGATGATTAGCAACTTTCTTAAGTTTTCTGTTTTAGATTAGTCTTCTAAAAAATAACGAGAGAGAATTTGTATAAATTACATGACAGCATTCATTTATCTTTAAAATTCTACTGTATGACTAAAGGATCTCATTCCAGAAAAAAACAGTCACGGGAATTATTCATGTTGATCAGAAATTGGCCAGAGATATATTGCTCTCAAATTGGGACGCTTCATGAATAGACTCAGCACTAAAATTGAGATTAAACTAGAAGGTATGTGCTTCCCCTTTTTTGGTTAAAATCAGCAGTAAAATCAAAAGTTGTCTGAAAAGAAGTGTTCCAAAATCCAAAGACATCTATGACTTGTAGTTGTTACACTTGGTGAATAAAAACAAATGACAGTTTTATTATAAACCTTAAGCTAAATCCAAAACTTGATGAATACAACCACTGCTGTGTTTTGTTGACATTATTACCATATGTTAATTACTGAAGAATAACTCCATAGGTTGCAATAATTGATTGCTTTCTTCATTTATATGAATGCCATTGTTCCAGATGTTTTCAGGATTCACAGCAAGAGTATCCTGGACTTAAAAAGCTGCCAGCACAGGCATGATACGTGCTCTGTGAGCTCAAACTTCACAGTTGGGCTGTAGCATGCTTACTAACTTATACCCAATGATTTAGACTCATAAAATGCAACAAAACTTTTATTTAGATTTGAATGAAAGTTTAGCTTACCTTTTGGTATAAAGATTTCAAAAATAAACTATTTTCATTCCTTTTTTGACTTACCATATTTTTCAGTTTTTAGTAGAATCAAACTAAAACAATCTGCATAAATAGCAGGTTAACCCAAAATAAAGCAATTATCCAGGGCCATAAATCTCATAACAAGAATTTTGCAAGCAAAGTTTTGTCTTACTGATATATGAAGATCTTAGGCTGTGTATTTGGGTAGGGCTGGCATTCATCAAACATTAGAAAAAAATAAAAGAATAATTAAAACACTGCAAATTCGCATCGCAAAAATGATAGAAACTATGAGGCGTTTCTAATCTTTAAAATAATTTCTCGGCTGGGCGCAGTGGCTCATGCCTGTAATCCCAGGACTTTGGGAGGCTGAGGCGTGTGGATCACGAGGTCGGGAGATCGAGACCATCCTGGTTAACACGGTGAAACCCTGTCTCTACTAAAAATACAAAAAATTAGCCGGGTGTGGTGGTGGGTGCCTGTAGTCCCAGCTATTCGGGAGGCTGAGGCAGGAGAATGACATGAACCCAGGAGGCTGAGCTTGCAGTGAGCCGAGATCATGCCACTGCACTCCAGCCTGGGCGACAGAGCAAGACTCCATCTCAAAAAAAAAAAAAAAATTATCTCTTTTTTGGGGGTACGTTATGAAAACAGTTAATTAATTAAACATCTCTTTTCTCATCACATTCGTCCAAGCACAGCTCCATTCTTTTCCCAGAAAATTTATTTCACTGTGTGTCTTTATGTTATCTTTCAATGCTATTTTGACATAAATCCCATAATATTGTTCAAGTTATACCTTAAGAATTTTCTAGGGTCCTCTGATGCAAGAAAACAATATTTAATATGGAGAATTTTTTTACTGTATTAAAGATCAATAACCTACCTACAGAGAACATCAAAATACCTTCAAACTTTTAAGATGGAAAGTGGTGTATTCATATATACATTACAAAAATAAACAAAGCAAAAGTATGTCTCATAAAAAATAAAAAGGGGCAATCTCAGAAAAACTATAAATACATGTCATCAAAAAGAAGTGAATATAGTAATTGACTACTGTGAAATATAACTATATTTCTATATATAGTATAAAACTCTAAACACCTAAGTATTGTATATGTATTTTATAAATTTTTATATTTTATTTTTATGAAGGAATCTATACAAATGAATTACAAGCAGTGAGTCCCTTATCCTTTTCCTACTCTAGACCTATTCCACACAAATAAGCACTTTCATCTTTTTAGGTCTTTCTTTTGGAAAATATCTGTCTAGTTCTCCACCCACCATTTTAGTCACTGACTGTCTTTTACCACAACAGATGAGAAGTTATTTCCTTTTTGCTAGACCTCCAGCTCCCCTCCTCTCATATGTGGGCTATATCTTTTTCTTACGTTTTAGTTTATTTTTGAAAATGTTGTTTTGTATCTGTAGGTAATACATTAACTTCATATTTTATGTTTCTTCAAGTACAGATGGTCTCTTTCATGCTCCACACTATGAAATATGAGCACCACCTCCTCTTGACCATTCTTTTCATAATTGTGGACAAATATTTTTTATTAAAGACCCAGGAGTGACTATGATTTCATCCCTTCTTCTGCCATATTCTTGTCCCTCAAAGTTTCTCATTATTCCTTTAAATATACTATTTATAATAAATACATCCTCTTTTTTTTTTTAAATCAACCTATTCATTTAATCAAGTATTTTATTTTTTCTGAGACCTTCATCTAAGGCTCTATATCCTACTTTGACCCAAATCAGTAATTCTATACACTACATTTTCTTTCCTGTTTCCTGGATTCTATGTCATTTCCATTCTTTTACCTTCCTTTCCTTTGTCCTTTTTTGCTTTGTAAACTCTGTTTTGCTGCAAGGCATTGAGACGGTTTGAAGAGGGGCCAGAGATTCTGCATTTCTGGGTGATGCAGATCTTATTTTGCAGAGAAACACTTTGAGTATCAATTTCCTAGACCAGTGCTGTCTGGTAGAAATAGAATGCAAGCCAAATATATCATTTTTGAAGTTGCTGGTAGCTACATTTTAAAAAGTAAAAAGAAACAGGTGAAATTAATTTTAATAATACATTTTATCTAACCCAATATATCCAAACCAATAGCATTTCAACATGTAATCAATATTTTTAAATGATTCAAAAAATATTTTAATTTTTTTTTTGTACTAAATCTTCAAAATCTGGCACACAGTTGCACTTCACAGCGTGTCTCAGTTTGGCCTCACCACATTTCAAATGCTCAATAGCCACATGTGGCAAGGCACCACTGTACTGTAGTGGACAGTACAAGCCTAAAGAATCTCTTACATGTGTGCACTAGGATCTATAGATGAGAATATTCACAGTAATATTCTTCAAAATAGCAAAACAATGGAAAAACCTAAATACCTATTGATGAGAGACTAAATGAACAAATTATGATAGGTAAACTATGCAGAAATGAAACTGCAACTTCCCATAACAGAGATACACTTAGAAACATAGAGTAAAAAAATAAGTTGCATATAACTATGTTTATTGTGATGCCATTTTTTAAAATTCAAAGACATTCAGAAGCTAAACAATATATTATTTGCAATATATACATACGTGATAAAACTTAAAAGCATTAAAGTAAGGGAGTGATAAAACTAAAGCTTCTGACTGTGGTTCCCTGGCTGGGTTGGGAGAGAGAGTAAGGACTGTGGAAGACAGAGGACTGGGATGGGAGGAGCACACAGATAGCCTCAAGTTCTTGGTAGTATATTAGCTCCTGGTTGGGTGGTGTAGTTGGGATGTTGCGTTTCATATAAATACATTTCAAACCCTTAACTTACTGCTTTAGCCGAGGTTCCCCAGGAAAATAGAGCCTGAGATAAGGGCTGGCATGCACGTAGTTTGCCTTGAGAAATGATTTCAGAAAAGAGGATTGGGGTTTTGGAGAGAGAAAAACAGGGAAAGGGGAAGGCCAATAGTTATTGAAGACAGCTGGTGCTCAAATCTGCCAGGACCTCCTGTGGAATCAAATAGAATATGCTTCGGAATTTTAGCTGATGGGGACGAGAGATGCATTCATCATTAGTTTTTGTCTCCCTTGGTCAAGGCTGCCCCATGGGTTATTCACTCTTCCCACTTCCAGGCTGGGCAGGAATGAATGCCAGGTCGCTTCCCACATCCCTCCCAGGTAGTAACTTCAGAGAAGCCCGAGTCCCAAGGTGAGAAGCTAAGTCAAGATGGTTGTGGAAGGAATAACTGGAGGAAAATGAAACTCAGCGACTATGAGACTGGAGACCAGAGCTGTTTAATATGCTTACCTGCATGCTACATATGTTCTTGTGTGTGCATCAAACCCATTTAAATAGTTAACCTATTTTAATATTATTATTAAAAAATAAGAGGAAACAGTTGCATATACCTTCCTTTCTTCCCAGATAGAATATTAATACATAACAGATAGTGTAGTGTCTGTAACACGGCCTCAAGAACTTCCATTATCTGGCCCTTGTGACTTTTCAGACCTCATTTTCTAACATTCTTCATTCTTTGTAGGAACCTAGAAATTGTCTACTGATGTTCTCAGAATTCCCCCAATCCTGGAACTTACTTTAGGGCTGTCACTCTTCCTCTTCCCAGGGCACTCTTCCCAGTGGCTCACCCCGCTCCACTGTGGTCTGCGTTCATCTGTCAGTTTAGCTGAGCAGTCTTTCCTTACCACCCTACCCACGCATGAACACTGCCACCCTGCCCGCTCATTCTCTAGACTCTTGTGCTGCTTCTCCTTCCATGGTATTTATCAGTACCTGGCATTATATTATTTAAGGTTTTTTTGCTATCTCTGCCACTGGAGTAAAATCTCCACGAGGGCAGGAATACCTTTTATTTTGTTCCTTGACCCCAAGGGCCTAAAATAAAACCTAACATCTACTGTGTGCTCAATGAATATTTTTTAATGCCCTCTTCTTCCTCATTATTAAAAAATAAACCATACCCCAAGCTAGCTGTCTGTATTAATTTCAAATTCATACAGATTGAGAGATCAGTTGTTTAATTTTATAAAATTTTTAATTTTCTATCTAAATCACATTTGATAGGATCGATCAAAGGCTCGCAAAATATCACTTGCACTCTTTCAAGAACTCAAATCCAGAACAAGTGTTTGCAATATATGGCCTCTTTGTAAATAGCTGTGACTTTTATAGAACCTAAGTTGACCTTTAAGTTTTAATGAAACCTGAAATTGGATAAATTCACATGGCTTCAAGCCTGAGTGCTTTGCATGGTAACTGCAAGTATCACATAAAGTGGTCACCAGCACTCGCAGGCAACACCTGACTTCCCTGGGAAGGACATTTAGGTGTGAAGAGTTACAGCTGAGTGGTTATGGGATTACTGAGGTGACATCGTCTATGTCTTTGTGAATTAAAGCTGTGTGAAGGAGAAATATGTTTTATCATTTAAAAAATTAAATATCAGACTAATATTTTTATATATTACTTCATTTAGCCCTAGGTTGTCGTGATATTTTAGTTTCCATTCAGCAGTTTGGGTACTGCTTAGAGTTGGTTTCCCCCTAACAAACAGTACATTTAAAACCAATGTAAATGTTTTCCATATAGATCAATGCTTTATATAAGCATATTTCCAGTATATAATCCACATGGTCTTGCTCACAGGGCATATTGGAATTAGACCTGCTCAGTGGCGATGGCCAACATAAATAACAATGATGATATTTACACCAGAAAATTGCAACTCTAGGGAGTGGAAGAGTAAAGGAACTTTAGCGTTGGTACCCAGGGCACCTACCCAGGTCTCCTTAGGGCTGAGTTAATGTCTATGGAGTTTTATTTTTGACCTGGGCTACAAATCATGGGTCTCTAAGAAGAAAGGACATGTACATGCAAGGTTGGCGAAGCTCTGCCTCAAAGGCAGCAATTACATTCATTCATGAATAGGGCCCTACATATTAGAACCTAGTAAAAATCTGTTGATTGAACTAATTAAATACACAGTAGCAATGATCAGTTCAATACTAAAAGAAAATCAAGAGCATAAATTTAGGTTTTACAGCATTAAAAAACTTGTTCGAGGCCGGGCGGGGTGGTTCACGCCTGTAATCCCAGCATTTTGGGAGGCCAAGGCAGGTGGATCACTTGAGGTTGGGAGTTCAAGATCAGCCTGGCCAACATGATGAAACACTGTCTCTACTAAAAATACAGAAATTAGCCAGGCGTGGTAGCTTGTGCCTGTAATCCCAGCTACTCGGGAGGCTGAGGTAAGAGAATTGCTTGAACCCAGGAGGCGGAGGTTTCAGTGAGCAGAGATCATGCCGCTGCACTCCAGCCTGGGTGACAGAGAGAGACTGCGTTTCAAAAACAAAACAAACAAACAAAAATTATTTTAAAATATATTTTCTTTAAAAAAGAATACTAAAGTTTGTAAGGGTTTTTTATTCACACTCTTAGACAAACGCCATTACCACTTAGCCTCAAACTAAAGGATGAGAACAAAAACAAAGTAAAACGAAATATCAAAACATTTTTATTGGTACAAAACAAACTCCTTTCTCATTTGAGGTACTACATATATGCGTGCATGTGTGTGCACTTTTGTGTGTATATACAATAAAATAATCTCTTAGTAAATTTAGAAAAATAATATAAAAACATAGCCTGAATCCTGAAAAGTAATTAAAAGTAATTTGATGTTAAAAATTTCCTTACAATTGTTTTGCCACCATATTATTTTCCAATGAATTGTTTTGCTTTTGTAATTTTATTTCAAATCTGAGAATTCAATGAATCCATACACGTAACTTACGCCAAAGGGTGCCTATTTAAAATAATAGTTTCTTTCTTAACAGGATTTGCCAATAATTGGCATGTCTGTATCTGTACAGATAAAAGAGAAAAAAATACTATAGTCTTTCTAAGTTAAGGCAATATTTAATCAAAGAGTATAGGATAGAACTGAAGAGTACTAGTAAAATTTTAGATTTTAAGTCTTTTTAGCTTGTGTGGCAGTATAGAGTTGAGTTCTGTAGATACACAACTCTCATTTCCTTTGCTATTTCATGCCAAGTATTTTGGCTGCACCATCCTCAAATATCAATTTAGAAAAACATGTCTGTCAGCAGCTCATTATCTCATCAATTTAAGCTACTATATCATAAATTTGTTATAAACTGCAGATGGCCTCAAAGATTGTGTTGACTGTATAGAAAATATGTTGCATGCTTTCTAAATGTATAGCAAAATAAGAAGCTTTTCCTAAGTCAAGACTGTATTTCAATGAAAGCCAGGAAAATATTTGGATTATAATTCAAATGCTCTCACCGGTCTTCTAGGAAACAGTATGTTTTTCAATAAAAAAGTAGTTCAAGAAAAGATCTCCATAAAATCACAAAATGCTTTTAGGATACCATGAAACTCTGAGAGCTATCTCCCAACTACATGACCCAAAATAAAGTCAACATACATAGACAAGAGTAATGTGAAACCCTTATTTCCATGGTAACGGCAATGTTTTAAGAAATACTTTATTGGCTCATTTACCTAGTGCAGAAAAGAAATTTCAGGCAACAAGAGGGAAATACTCACTTGAATAGGTATCAAAAAGGTTCCAATGTAATTATACAATAGGCCACGGTAACAAGTAGTGCAGCATCTATTAATGAATCACATTTTATCAGCTTTCAGAATATTTACTATGATGCATTACATGTCTTCGCACAATTAAATTTTTAAAATTATATTTTATTGCCTTTAAATACTTGTTTGATAGACGATATAATCTTCAGCATTGTGCATGATAATAAATGGTACAATAAATCATATGAATAGTATGGAGAATTATATTTAAATATTAAGACTTTTAGTGAAATTCTTAAGAAGGTTAATTTTGAAAATGTTAGCAAAGACAATTCTACATTGAGTTCTAAATGTTTCATGTGATTGAAAAGATGAGAAAATGGCCTTGTACATAATAAAATACATTGAAGCTTACAACAAACGAGTCCTACGGAATCAAAAGTGAATTTATGGTTTAGACAAGAGGCCTCAGGACTAGAAGAAACCAATCCGTTGGCTTCTATTCTCACTGGCCGCAATATTTTGAACAAGTCTTTAAACATCTCCAATCTTCAGATTCCTGGTCTGTGAACTGAGGATCTGTGACAAAATTGTATCTTAAAGACCTCTTAGCAATAACATTCTATGATTCTCCTCTGAAGAGAGGCAGAGCATTGCTTATTTTTCTCCTATTGAACCCAAATTTCTGGTTCCTACTCAAATTCAACATTCTTAGAAGAATTATTATGTGTATTGATTTATTATGTTCTTATAATTTCTTAGACAATTTTACATTTAAAAACTTAGCAAATATTAGTTCCTTTTGCTTGGGGTGTGTATGTACGTATATGTGTGTTTGCACCAGAAATGTAGCTTGCATAACTGCAACCATTGTGTACCTCGTAGATTCTATCCTCTGCTTTTTACTTTTAACATTATTTCATAAGCCTACTTCCAGGTATGAGGATGAAAATAGATTGCATACTTGAAAATAGCTTGAAACCCTAATATGTATTTCAGAGTTTAGGTCCTTTTCTCCATTTGGATATGAGTGCTTCAAATTCTCAGCTGTGATTTATCATATCACTTCTATATCTAGCAGGGAGCTGCCTGCTGACACTGAGTAAAAATGAATAACTAATTAAACTAAACTTTCTTTACCTCTTTTATCAGATGTTGAACAAAGTGCTTTGTATATGTCATTTCATTTATTAATCAAAACTAACTTTTCAAAAAAATACTATCATCATCTAATTTCTCAAATGAGAAAAATGGGGCTCAGAGAACTTAAGCTGACTTTCCCAGTTTACCCAGCTTGTAAGAGGTGGCACTGGTTTTGTCATCCAAACAGTAAACTTAGCAACTTCACTATACTTCAGTCCACTTTAAGAAACATCTATATATTAAGTGACATTCTATCTTATTGAAATTTCATATTTTTTTTTGCTATTGCCTTGTGGATGGACAGCATTAGGCATAATCCTGAAACTAAACATACAATAACCCTTTGTGTGTGCATGTATTAATTATTTCTCACACTTGAATACTTCAAAATAATGAATAAATACAATGTGTTATAGATATAGATGGAATATTATTCAGCCTTAAAAACTAATAAGGACATTATGACACATACTACAACATTCAGGAAACTTGAGGGCATTGTCCTAAGTGAAATAAACCAGTCACAAAAGAACGAATACTGTATTATTCCACCTAAATGAGATACACAGAGTATTCAAATTTATAGAAACAAAAGGTAGAATGGTAGCTGTCAGGGACTGGAGGGAGGAAGGAATGAGAAGTTAGTGTTTAATAGGCACAGAGTTTCATTTGGAGAAGATAAAAGCCTCATTTGGAGAAGATGATACCCTGACAATATGAGCGATGCCACTAAACTGCACACTTAAAAATCATAAATTTTATGTTATGTGTTTTTACCATAATAAAAAAGAACCCCAAACTAAGAAAAAAAGTCTAAATGTTATTGACTGCTGCTTAATATTTCCAGATCTTTTCTTTTGTTGTTATTGTTTTTAAGGCACCTGGAACAGGTTTTCAAAACTTACCCAGCTGTTTCAAAATAACACGTATTGATGTGTTGCAGACCTGAGGAAGTACAACTTATGAATACCTGTTCTTATAAACTGGCCAGATTGACCTTGAAGCATGATGAACCTAGTGACATGTGCAATAGTGTTATGGGGGTATGGTGGGTGGCATAAGGCAGGACAGAAGTGAGTTTTGGGGCATCGATCTTTCCGTAGGGCTGGTCTCAGTCAGCAATCATAAACCATGCAGTATCCACAGAGACTCAGTGAATTAAGTTTAGCTTTACAGCAGGATCAATGTGCAAAGAGAACCAACCTAGTGGGTAGGGTTTGACCTTAGTTGGAAAATAATAACTAACTAAAGTCAGACAGAGCAGCACCTTATGTTCTATTCAGACATATCCAGCAAGTGGCAGCAAGAATTAGGAGCCAATTTCCAGGGGAGGAGTAGGAATTGATGAGCTCTAAAGTCCTCAAACTTGTCAGGAAATCAAAGTGTACTTACACCTCTCTTGGGTGCTGGATTGCAAGAAACAATTATTTGATGAGTATTGCAAGGCTATTTGGTACCCAGGGCAGATAATTAACAAAACGAACTCCAAACAGGAAGACTACTTCCAAATTTGTTAAACTAGTAATATGCACCTATCACCTTTTAAGTTGGGCCACGGTTTTCTCAATGGCTTTGAAGATATTATTTTCTTAAGCTAAGAGTAGGGAGAAAATCTGTCTTCCAATTAAGCAAATTATTTTCTTTCTAGGCCTTTTTACTACAAGTTAACTAGGACAGTTAACTTGTAGTGAATATTCAGCAGAAAAGGCAACATTGAGTAGTTGGAAGAGCTTGGCTATAAGGCAACATACACAGATTTTCTGACAGTAACTACAGCATACATGCTTTGGATGAATTAATCCTTAAAATACTCTGCAGTTCTACATTTCTATGATTATGACAAAAATTTGTGATTTGGAGTTGCAAATAGAAAAGAGTTAACTGACTTCTTATTACGCTGTTAAGTGCAGTAATTTTTTTCCAAGTATATTCAATTGAAATGAAAATATTACATATAAACCAGAAGAGATAAAAATTAGGTACAATACATTTAAATCATGTTTAAGAAGAAACTAAATATTCATACTTTAAAAAATAATTTGAATATAATATATTAAAAGAGCTTGATTTTTAAATTTCTGCCTTTAGATATCAAGCACAGAAATGAATTATATTATTTTTCAGGTAAAATGAAAACCTTGGGTAAAACGTTAATGTGGCTTCACATTGTTAATTCCCTTTAATAGAAAACATCAAGGGCATGATATGTGCTGGACACTGTGCTAAGTGTTAATAATCTGAAGATAACACAAGGTACCATATTTTCCCTCTAAGAGGTGATATGCTAGGGGAGAAAAGGGTACTTCCATGGGAACACCTAAGAAGACACTGACCCCAGCCTGTGGGAAGTGACCCATGAGAATGGAGCCCTTTGTCTGATAGAAAAGGTGGGGAAAGCCGGTCCAGACAGGGGGAACAACATTTAAAAAACTACAGAGGCTTGAAAACATACTCCTCCCTTACGGAAATACAAATATTCATGAAACGTAAGATTTAAAGTAGGTAATAGTGGAAAATGAGCCAGAATAGGTAAGTAGGAGGTAAAGAAGCTTTGTTTACAGAGAACTTGGACTTTTATTTTATTGAAAATACTAAAAGGAATATAATGATAATAATATGAAATAGTTTTGCATCGCCTTTGGTGTGGCCATGAAAAGAACGTAGATGTTGAGACAATTCCTGACCAGCTATCTGGGGATTTACTGGAAAATTCCTTCACTTTCATGAACATCAGTTTTGTCTCCTTTTACTGATTTATTTTTTATCTGTTTGACTAGATGATCTTTAGGAATGCTTCCCATCCAAAAAATTTATGAATTCAGTCCTGTCAGGGCTTTACATAAAGTCAAAATCTCATACATTTATGACTTTAAAATTTTGCTTGAGGCCGACATGGAAAAGAATTTGTCTTTCTGATGTCAATGGCTATGAAAGATAATTGCATCAGAAAAAAAGTGGAGTGGTAGGAAAAATACAAGTTCTATCTCTTTTTCATATTTTATAATTGGCACAGTAATTATAAATATATATGTGATACAAGTGATGTTTCAGTACATATGATGTATAATAATCAGATCAAGGAAATTAGCAGATCCATCACCTGAAACATTTATCATTTCTTTAGACTGAGAATATTCAATATCTTCCATCTAGTTATTTGAAACTGTATAAGACATTATTTCTAATTATAGTCATCCTACAGTAATACCGAATATCTTGTGGTTCAGAATCAATGTGACACCTTTTGTCATTTTATAGACCTAGTTACTGTTTACATTGTCATTTAACTTGAGACAAGATTTTAAAGCACTTCCGGAAAGTTAAGGTTTACTAACATAGTAACAATATGAAAACCTACTGATCAAACAATACAGAACTCAACAGATGTTCAAAAGTTTTTGATACACCTAATGCTAGATGACGAGTTAGTGGGTGCAGCGCAGCGCACCAGCGTGGCACATGTATACATATGTAACTAACCTGCATATTGTGCACATGTACCCTAAAACTTAAAGTATAATAATAAAAAAAAACTAGTACTTAACACTTAATCAAATTCATAGTTGATGGTAAATATCAACAATCCAAACAAAGACTAACAAAAATTAAGTTAGGAGTTGTGCTTTTGAGAGAGGACTGCATGCCATTTAACCACTTAAATCAGTCGATAAAATTAAAACTAGCTTACAACTTTCCTTATTGTATTTTAAATTTGTAGTATTCAATATAAGCTTTCTAACCTTATTTTCTAATATAGTTGTCATCCTTTAAGAAGTCACAATTTAAAATGTTTAACGGATAATTTTTTTTCTAAATTACTAGAAGTTTAACTTCTATGAAACCTAGGGAAAAAGGGGTCCTTCTATCGGGACTATGAAATTTGTCAGTTTTGGAGTTAAAATAAAATTTTCAACATTCATGCATATATATTTCACAAATTTGAAATGGAAAAGTACATGCAAATTTTACTTTCCATCTAAATATTAGATTAAATACTATTTGGCTGGCATTTGGTCAGCATTTATAATATTGTTGATATTGGCTAATATCCCTTTTAGGTATTTTGTTGCTAATGTCAACAATTGTTAAATGAACATTGATTGTTGAATTGTTTTGCCTTAGATCTCAGACATTACAAGATTGAAACAATGACTCAAAATTGTTTTTTGAAGCATAAAATGGGAGAGAAAATAGTAATAGATGTTACAAATGATGACGTTGTCGTAATTATAAAGAGGGTAAGAAAAGATTCCCTTACTCAGCTTTTATTTATTGAGTTACCCTTTAAGAATCAGCTTTTTCAGTAACCTTACCTGAATCTATGTTCTAGGCTGAGAGCCTCTCATCTGTGCTATGTTAACATTCTGCACAAACATCAGTTGTTGCACTTATTTTCTCTGTGTGTGTGTGTGTATAACATGTTTACTGAGTTTCTTTTTTTTTTGAGACGGAGTCTCGCTCTGTTGCCCAGGCTGGAGTGCAGTGGGGAGATCTTGGCTCACTGCAAGCTCCGCCTCCCGAGTTCACGCCGTTCTCCTGCCTCAGCCTCTCGAGTAGCTGGGACTACAGGCGCTCACCACCAAGCCCGGCTAATTGTTTGTATTTTTGGTAGAGACGGGGTTTCACTGTGTTAGCCAGAATGGTTTCGATCTCCTGACCTCGTGATCTGCCCATCTCAGCCTCCCACAGTGCTGAGATTACAGGCGTGAGCCACGGCACCCGGCTGTCTACTGAGTTTCTTTAAGCAGGGATTATGCCCACTTATGTTAGCTGCCTAAGCACTGTCTAGAACAGTGGTCAGTTAAACTAAATTGTAGGAGGAATAAGATGTAAACTGGATCTTAGGATATCATAAAATGCATAATGCATTGCCTTCATAAAATTGTGGAAGTTGAAACCTGTGTCACAGAGAGGCAATGTCAAACAGGAAATTAGTATTTGGGGCATTCACAATAGACCACTATCTGGTATCCAAATTTTCAAGTACTCAAATTCCATTTTATTAGTGAACACCACATTAGTGAGTTTTCAGAAAATGTGTTTCTACTAACTAAGCTCTCATAAGGCTTATCAGAAATCCAAATGTATCACTTCACTCATCTTCAATGAAGGATATATATTTCTAATAACTAGCAATCAATCAGATGTGGTGTTTCTCTCCCTCAGACATCATGACATTCAATTTACATACCAGTGCAACTAGTCACCAAGAAATGCTATTACAAATTCCTCCTCATCCTTCAGGACCTTCAGGACCCTTTGGCTCTTAAATTCCTCTCCTTTAAGGTGTCTTCCCTGGTACCTAGTTAGAGTTACATCCCCTGGTTACATGCTTCTATAACACTCTCTATACTTCTCCTACTGAACTTATAACAACAATGACAAGCAGGTAATATTTTTCCCTAATGGGTAAAGCCTATGACTGCCTTGCCCACTTCCATAGCCCAAATCCTATGTCAGTCACATAAGTGAATAGAGAATTTATCGACCTGGAAACATTTGACTTTTTGCATTCTATTTTACTACTCTTTCAACTCAGTGTCATATCTAAACAGCCAATGGCCACCTGATAATAATATTTTGTTGTTATTTTAATCAACACATATTAAATGCCTTCTACATGTGGCATAATTCTGGGACCAGGAAAGTTTCTCTCTTCATGAAACTTACATTTCTGGAAAATGGACAGAGAAAACAAACGGAAAATGGACAGAGAAAACAAACAGAAAATATCAGATAGTAGTATGCTGTGAAGAGATTTAAAACAGGGTAATAATGTACTAGACAATTCCTAGCTGCTCAGTGAAGGCCTCTCTCAGGGTGGCATAAATAGTGGCTCACGCCTGTAATCCCAGCACTTTGGGAGGCCGAGGCGGGCAGATCATGAGACCAGGAGATCGAGACCATCCTGGCTAACACGATGAAACTCCGTCTCCACTAAAATACAAAAAATTAGCCAGGCGTGGGGGCAGGCGCCTGTAATCCCAGCTAATCGGGAGGCTGATGCAGAAGAATGGCGTGAGCCCAGGCGGTGGAGGTTGCAGTTAGCAGAGATTGCGCCACTGCACTCCAGCCTGGGTGACAGAGCGAAACTCTGTCTCAAAAAAAAAAAAAAAAAAAAAAAAAAAAGGAGACGTGAGTGATATGGAATAACCACCTCTGCAAGGATCCAAGGGAAAGTTTTCTAGGTCAAGGAATAGTCGGTTCAAAAGCCCTGAAATGGGATTCAACTTGTACAATATTTAAAGAACAATCACAATATAAAAAGTCAGTGACACTGGGAGGAAATTGACAAGAAGAAAGTAGTGCAAGATGACACTAGAGTATTAGGTAGAGACTAAATGCTAGAGGGTTGGGTTGTGCGGGCCAAAGCAAAATTATGGGTTTAATTTTAATTGAGATAGAAATACCTGAAGGGTTTTAGATAGGGAGGAAACAAGATCTGATTTATGTCTTAAATCAAATTCCTCTTCTCTTTGGAGAATAGAATATAGAAGATCAAGAATGGAAAGAAAAATCAGGAGATTATTGCAGGAGTCTAGATTGAAGATGTTAGGATTAAGCTAGTGAGAGGGAAAAAGGAGAAGTGGAAGACATATTCAAGGTGTGGTTTTTAAGTAGAAGTAGATTAGGTGTAGTACTGAAGAGACCAAGAATAATCATGGGGAACACTTGAATTTTTAGTGTCCAAGAAATGCTATTACAGATTCCTACTCATCCTTCAGGACCTTCGGGACCCTTTGGCTCTTAAATTCCTCTTCTCTAAGATGTCTTCCCTGATACCTTGTTAGAGTTACATCTCCTCGTTACATGCTTCTATAACACCCTCTATATTTCTCCTATTGAACTTATAACAACAATGATGGTTTACCAAAATGGAGAAGACTTGAGGAGGAGCAGGTTGGGGGTAAAATGCAAGAGTTACCCTTATGGAGTTTGAAAAGTATATATATATACGTACATATCAAGAAAGATTTTGTATACAAAAGTAAGAACTTTCTCAGAAAAAGCAGAGCTGGAGATGTAGATTTGGGAGTTATTAACATGTGGATGCTATTAAAGACATAAGCCTGAATTTAGGTCATTTAGGGGCTACAGATGGAGAAGAATGGGTTATACAGGACCTAGACCTTACCAGCATCTAAATTAGTCCAGCCACTGTAAAAGCAGTCCAGAGATTTCTCAAAGAACTTCAAATAGAGCTATAGCTTGACCCAGTAATCCCTTTACTGGGTATATACCCAAAATAAAATAAATCATTCTACCAAAAGACACATGCACTCACATGTTCATCATTGTATTATTCAAAATAGCAAACACATGGAATCAACCTAGATGCCCATTAACAGTGGGTTGGATAAAGAAAATGTGGTATATTTATATCACGGAATACTATGCAGCCATAAAAAAGAAACATGTCATTTTCAGCAACATGGATGGAGCTGGAGGCCATAATCCTAAGCAAACTAATGCAGGAACTGAAAAACAAATACCACATGTTCTCATTAATAACTGGGAGCTACACATTGAGGACATATGGACACAAAGAAGAGAAAAACTGACACCAGGGCCTACTTATGTAGGTACTATCAGGTACTATGCTATGACCTGGGCAATGAAATAATCTGTATATCAAACTCCAGTGACATAAAACTTACCTATATAACAAATCTCCACATGTACCCCTGAATGTAAAATAAAAGTTTTAAAAAGCATATTATAAATTATATATATTCTATTTAAACATTAAGAAAATAGTAAATAAATAAATATGTAAAATTTCAAAATTAAAGTCAAACTACAAAATAATATATTAATTGATTTTAATTATTTCAATGATCACATATTCTAAACTTTTCAAAGGATATCACAGTCTTTCTTTTCGTTATTGTTTGAAAACCAAATACTGCATGTTCTCATTTATAACTGGTTGCTAAATGTTAAGCACACATGGACATAAGTGTAAGAATAGACACTGTGGACTACTAGAGGGTAGGGGGAAACTGGGTTAAAAAGCTACTTACCATGTACTAAGCTCACCAATTGGGTGATGGGATACATATTCCAAACTTCAGCATCATGCAATATTCCCATGTAACAAACCTGCACATGTACCCGCTATATCTAAAATAAAAGTTGAAAAAAAAAAAAAAAAGACAGACCTGAGCCATTCTAAAAATTAGAGGCACACCAGGGAAAAAATGAGCCAGCAAAGGAGGCTGAATGATCTACTAGAGAGGTAAAGAAAAACAAACAAATCCCAGGAGAATGTATCACAGAAAGGAAGAAAGGGTTTCAAGGAGGAAACCTGACCTCTGAATTATTTGCTGATGCCATACGCCCTCTTTTCAAAATTCATTCTTCCTTGGCTTCCATGATTCTGTTTTGCCTTGGCTCTCCTGTACACTCCCTGGTCATTTAAGCATCTCCCTTATTAGTGAGTCTACTTTTTCCTGTGTTTTGAATGTTAATGCAATCTGAGATTTTGCCTTGAGACATTTTTCTTCTCACTTCTTATTGTTATTCTGAGAAATTTCATCTTCTTTCATGACTTAAAGTATTGCTTTATGTGAATGATCTCTAGATATCATTCTAGCCCAGAGTCAGAGGATATTAAATAATACATTAGTGAGGTCAGGAAATTGAATTCTAGGCCTGTCTCTATTGGCTACTTGCTGTGTGTTTTAGGGAAAGTAACATAAGCCTTCTAGGCCTCAGTGCGTTTTATACACTTCCATGAGGAGGTGATGAGATAAACAATTGCCTTCAGCTTTCCAGCTCCATTCAGGTCTTTTGAAAGGCAAAATAGGAGAAAAGAAATATATGTCAGTGTAATAATGTAATTGTTTTTTTCTCTTTCCATGTATTCTCCCTCTTGCAATCTATTTCAGTGTATGACTATCTCTTTTCTACTTACTTGACATATTTCCTGATTAACATACTTTTTTGGAAAAAATCTGTATTTTCATGAGACATACAACTAAGGTGTACTTGATGAGTTTAATGACATAAGAAGATTTGGTGATGAAACTCTGCTAAACCATTTTGTACTTGGACAGGAACTATTGACATAGTACAATTCACTGGAAATGTAAAAAATCCTTGTTGATGGACTGAAATTAAATTGTATGTAACAAAAATAATTTATAATTTTTAAAAACTGCTCATCACCTAAAGAAAATGGGACTATGAGAAATGAGAGGCAAAAACACCATTTTGAATGAAGACAGAGATAATCATGTAAAGGAAAATAATCTAATAATAACTTTTCTGTCTTTAGTGATGTAAATTTTCTAGTCAGGAAAGTTACATTTGTTTCTTTTTACTAAGGGAAAGGCCTAATATGTTATCCCAGAAGAAAGTTTTCTTTTCAAAATGACACAGTATAAGTCCTATATGTTAAGGGTTCTGTTACAAATATTGAAAGGACTTTCAGATTTCAAAAACTACAGGCATGCATCTTATTACTATAAGTCAAAGCTAAAGTGCAAGACCAACAATCAAGAGTGGACATAGCATGACAATATCTAATTATTTCCACCTCCGATCCGTGTTTCTCAAATTAACTTACTCTTAATGTCCACTAGGGAAACTTAGGTCCATTATATGACCTTTATACAAATCCCTTTCATTGTTCCTGTAATAATCAAACTGGTACTGCAATCATGTCAAACAGTAGCTTCAGGGAGTCTTATTTTTTTCTATTAGTTATACATAGGAATTCTTTGCAACACGTGGGCCAGGCTATCCTTTGATTTTCTAAGGCCTAGGCTGAATCATGAAAGCAAGAAAGTAATTATTCCATGTGTGCCAAACTAAAGACACTTATAACCCCTTTGCCATAATATTTCCCAAGAGTTAATGTAAATGCATTAATCATTCTGCCAGGAGCTGAATTTATACTCTAGTTTGCATAAATGCATCATGACCAGAAAGGCATTTTATGTTTCAAGACGTCACCATTATGATGTTTTAAACAGGTCTCCTTCCCTCTTTGGAAGAAGAATTTAAAACATTTATATAATCTAATCTAGTTTCCTAAAATTTGCAATAATTTGTTTGGCCAAGTTAAACATAAAGAATTACAACTGCTTTTGTAGATTTTAACTATTTTTCTAAAATATAAACTAGAAAGTCACTCCCTCAGACAACGCTCATAGATTCCCATAACTAACAGTATTTATTATAGCAAAGTTAAATAATACTATTGTATTATTACTGTAAAGTTACCAATATAATTATAATGCCTGTTATTGATTCATTTATTTTATTGCATATACATTTAATGAGTGCAATTATAAAGCTTGAGAGAGAAGCATATAGTTTGTGACTAAACACAGGGTTAAAAGTTTAATTAAGTTTGTCCCTATGACAAATTCAGAACATGTGCAATTCTCATATATCTATTTATATCGTGTTATGTTTTAAAAATGCCACATGGTTAATGTTACTCCTTGTAGAGATTCTGATAATTTAAGAAACATTAAGTAAACAAATCATCAGTAGCAGATATAATTCATACATATAATTACTATCTCCCTGTCACATGTGTGTCAGCATTTTTGAACTAAGGCATAACTTAGATCTGATCATATGCTTGCTCATTTATTCTCTGGCACAAATAAGTCATCATATATAAAACTCTCTGATCTTACCCTTAGGGAAATATACATTAGTGTTTATACATAAGAAATTGGGCACCTGGGTTGATAGGAGAGAGATGGTTCACTGGGCTATGAATGGTACCTGCCTGCACCTCTTTTCAGCAGTCAAGGCAAGGTGGGTGAGAGGAGGAAGAAAATCCCTGGGGTGCAGCTACAGCAGTCATGCACCTGGAATTGTTGTGTATGGAAAGGTCAGTTGACCTGGGGTGATGAGTGGGGTATGTCCCATGTGGCTGTGTTGGGTCCAAAATACTCCGTATATTCAAAGCAGAGAGGCAAGGGCAGGACCTGCAACTGGAGTCATTCATGTACCTGGGCCTTTGATATAGCCTGAATGAGCAATGTATCCAATCAACCTATCACTGAGTCCAGTAAAGCCAGTCCTCCTCAGCCATCTGGGATGTCAGTCAGACCTCTGACTGGAGTGTGTGCTACAGAAGAACCTAGCACTGCTGCTTTCCTATACTTGGCTTCTCTGGGGACCTTACAAACCATAGCCTGGTTCCATGTTGATGTGGGCCCCAGTGAAATCTGTGCCACCCCTTATTCTGCCTACCCCCAACCTCTCGCTCCCATGCAGCTCTGTAAGAGTTTTGCTCATAACAATGGTTCCTTTAACTGCTGCTGCCCTGGGCTTTATGCTCTGAAGGTCAGTGAGAGACAGCCTAGCTGGCTTATTACTTTACAGAGTCAGCTCCAAAGTTAGTCTGTGAACGAGTCCCTGTTATGCCATTAATTGGTTAGGGAATTTTGAAGTAAGCCACATAACATTTTTAAGACTCAGTTGCCTTATCTTCAAAATAGAAAAATTAATAGTAATGCCTCATAAGATTTTAAATAATTAAATGAAACCACAAACAATGTCTAACTCTGTGGCTGGCACTGAATAAACAATGGAGAAATGACACTTGTCTTCTTTTTCCTTTATCTCTCAACATAGAACACTGTTTTCCCAACATTCAGCTGAGTGTAGTTTTTAAGTAGTTTCTAAGTGATTGCACATTCATACCTAGACTGAGAACATGAAAACCACTCCAAGATGAGCTTGGGAAAAAAATGAAAACCACTTCTTAGAAAAGCCATCTATCCTTCCCCATCTCTTTCTCAACCTTACCTTCATCATTTCCTGTACTCCTTCCACGCTGAGACCTCTGTCCTTCCTCAGTTGGCTCTTCCACATCACCCTTCTTGCTTTCACCTCTTCTCTACTTTGTAAATTCCTTCTTTTAATGCAACACAAATGTCTTCTCTGTAAAATCATCACTGATGTTTGAGAAAGAGTTGAAGTCTCTCATTTGTGCTCCAAGAATACTTTGTACACATTTTTCAGTACCCCCTCATATAAACATTATTTGATTCTTCTTTTGTGAATTTAAGGAAACATCACATTAATGGCTGCTTTTGATGTTTTAATTCTCAGAAATATAAACGTCTTCCTTTGAACAAGGAAAAACCAACATTAATACCATCAGAAACTTAAAACATATTGTAAAAGTTGAATATATTTCCATCTCACTTTGGAGCAACACAAATTATTTTCTGGACTTGTGCCAATTTTCATGATTGCAAGATAAGTACTTAACATCCAGTCTCACAGTTCCTTTAGTTCAGCTAACTTCTCTGCTTGTCTGTCTGTTTGGGCAGTATGACCTACAAGCCTTAAGTTGATGATGACAAGGTTTATGATGACAATAAACAACATTAAATACAATCATTTGACCTTTGAAATATGTAATTAGGCTAACGAAAACATTCTTCTTTAATTCTGGCTTGGTTCTTCTCAGGGCCTTCTGGTATCCAAGTAGCTGATTCATTCCTTAAATGCTACCTATAAATCCTTTGAGGATCTGGTATTGAACTTGGGTAAAAGTTGAATGCATCTATAAAGTAAATATTGAGCAATATAGTAGGCTCTTTCAGCATATTGTGAAATAGGTTGAACAAAATAATTACTTTAAAGGGCAATGCTCTTTCTTATGGTTTCCTTACCTGTACTTAATCTGATAGCATTTCTAAGTGACTTGCTTTCATCAAACCTTCACAAGGCATTCAACCCTTCACCAAAAAAAAAAATCGTTCAAAGCCATATATCATAGGTTTTTATGATACATAATTAATGCATAATTATAAATTATAACATCAAGAAAAGAGGCAACACCAAGTTGGGGAACAAACACAACTAACTCTTATTAGGCACCATTGCTAAAATCTAGCGGATGTAGGGAAATGAAGGTTAGTTACAACATTTAGTGCCCTGTGGATATCACTCAGCTACGATTTGTACAGGCAATAGAGAGCTTTCTTTAGAACTGAAAATCTATCCATCATACGTGCCTAGGTTAAAGACATGTTTTTGGGGTAAAATCATATATTCATATAATTTATTCATATAATTCATTTATTCATTAAGTTATGAATAAAAGGATATATGATTCATTTATTCATATAATTTCATTTATTCTTTTATTCATATAATTCTTATAAAACTCTATGAACAATTTATATACACTGAGTTTAGATGTGCCACAAGAATTAGTCAAAATCTTTCTGTTAGATGAGTAAGTCCAAATTAGAATGGAAAATGGCAGCTGTCATATTGGATCTGACACAAAAGGAAGAGAGATGGTAGAGTGGAGTGGATCTAGGAGGAGACTAGATTCTAGTCCTGGTGTTACCAGGACAGATAATGTGATGGCTCTGAGCCTCTTGTGCAAAGTGGGGATCACACTTGTCCTAACACATGATTCAATGAGGTGATGAATGTGGCAACCTTATAAAAGCTGAAAGGTGCAATTAAAGATATATGATTCATTATATCTTACATATTATATTTAATCCATAAGAAAACTGGCTTTTAAAATGGAAAACACCATTAGATAGTTTTCAAATGTGTTAGTTATCAAAGCGTTGTTGCAAATAAAATCTTATATGAAGTCCCAATATCCACTGTAGATAACAGCAAAGAGATAACACCAAATCGATCTGCCCAAGGAATGTCTAATGTTTTATTTCAAGAGGCTTCCTCTCATCTGTCAGGCAGCCCTTAAGGCATCTTCACTCACTTTGAAGGTGCCACAAGACACAGTTTAACACCAGAGATCCAGGCAAGCATTTGCAGTTTGCAGATAAGGAGACTAAGGACCAGAAAGGCCTAACAACTGATCAAGAGAGACTTGGGGATATAGAAAGTCTTTGCTTTCACTGTCAGCAGTTCCCCCTTTTTGGCACTTTGCTCACATACTGCCTTCTAATAAACAGCTCTGCTTAACATGTTACTGCATTTGCTGGTTCACTGAAAGGTACAGCATCATCAGCACTGCATGGAAGGCCAGCCATGTTGAGGTATAGGTTATTGATTCTCCACACAACTCTTAACCATCTGCCGTGTGCCAAGACTAAAATATGCTGCTCAATTATGTTTGTTTTAAATAAGCCAGGTTTGTTTATATAAAATGTCAAGATGATAAAATTTCTAGTATCTCTTGAAAATTTTTGGGTAGTAGAGACAAAGGACACAATTTCTATTTTCACAGATAGCAATATGTAATTCCATATACTAAAGCAATCTCAATCATTGTCACACTATCACACACACACAGACATGAACACCCAAGGCAAAGAAAGAAAATTGCTCAAATGCATAAGGTAAAATCTTTCTCAAAATATTATACCATATTTTGGTATATCAGTCCTAGCCAGTTAACAAGTGGGACTCTCAAACTAGAAAAGGTTACCATATGCGCAGCAAAAGACATTTGTATGTTTTTATTTTTCATGTTAGTGGATTTCAATGTGAAAATGATCACTTATGACCAAATAAGTTAAAGTGCCTAAATTCTTAAAATAATAAGAGCCAAATTAGAAACAAGTATTTTAAAATTATGTGTAAAACTGTTCAACTTTATGAAAATAATATAGTAGGTTAATTTTTGAATGTGGCAAACATTTATTTGAGTAAAATAAGAGGAACCCTAAGGAATTAGAATGTAAATATGCCCAGAAATAATACTTTAGTAAAAAAGGGAATAGTTTTGATCCAGTGAGAGAAACTAGAATTAAATTTATGTTGTAAAAATATAAACAAAGGATAGAATCCAATGTGGTTAACTAGTATGTAACTGTAGAAAAATAAATTAGCAGAGGAACTTTAAAGCACAAACCATGTGACAAAGGGAACAATTTTAAGATATAAAAACAAGCAAAAACTAAATGGAAAAGGATAATTAAGAAACAAATAACAATAAACATTATTAAAGTCAATTAAAATTTTGCCACTGATGAAAAATGAGTTTGACAATATGTAGGGGGCAACAGTTATATCTTTGGCAAACTCTGTTACAGAATATATTTGTCCATTGTAATTGGAGTTTTTTACTGATGAAAAACTCCATGTTTAATATATCCTTTTATTCATAACTTGATGAATGATAGCTTCCTCCCTAAAACTTGATCTGTTCAGAAGCCTTTTTCCAAGTTTTCAGGCAGCCCTACCAAATGTGTCATTAAGTAATAATGTTTTTTACAATTTCAAGTATGTTTGTCCTGGAATTTCTCAAATTGACTAATTCTTACCTCTCTTTATTTCTCCTCACTTTCTCCAGCATTTGCTTTTTTATATTTGAGATGGTGAACCTCTACTGGAATATGTGTCCCCTCATGTTTTTCTTTCTTTTTTCTTCTGAATCAAAATAGAAAAGCAGACCTAACTTGGCACAGTTGAACATGTCACACAGTAGAGTGTAATTGAATGACTTCTTTCACGCAGTAATATGTTCTAGATATCAGCTGTGATTTAGATATACAGTCATGCATCACTTAACAATGGGGATACATTCGGGAAATGCATCATTAGGCGATTTTGTCCTTGTGTGAATATTATAGAGTGTATTTACATAAACCTAGATAATGTAGCCTACTACACACAGAGGCTGTATGGTATAGCCTATTGTTCCTAAGCTATGAACCTGTACAGCATGTTATTGTACTGAATACTGCAGGCAACAGAAGCACAATGCTAAGTATTTGTGTATGTAAACATAGAAAAGGTATAGTAAAAATATTGTATAATCTTATAGGACCACTTTGACATATGTGGTCTGTAACTGACTGAAATATTTTGCAGTGCATGACTGTATTTAAGGCTCATCTGGAGCTAATAAGGTATTAATTTCTCATCCTAATGGACAAAGTTAATGGTGCACTAATTTGAGATCAATTAGAATGTATGATGTAATACTCTTCTGTAAAAATGTTTTCCTAAAATATGTTTTGTGAGTTTAGGATAAATTAGAAATTCCTTTATTAATTAATTCTTAATTATCTAATAGTTATTGAAAACCCACTTCTTAATTATAGTGCTGTGGATGATAAAGATGAGTCAGAGGTTTTATCAAGGGAGACAAATACATGTTCTCACAACTCTATTACAAAATGAACAAATTTAAATTTTATAAAACAGACACAGTTAAAGAGCTATGAAAAGATCTTTGCTCCCTATTCATGAATTTTTCTCTCACTCGTGCTATCCTCATTTGGCTGGGGCCTGTGTCTCTCAAGTCACTGATGGATTCTCTTCCAATGTCCCTTAGACAATAAAAAATGTACTGGATTGGCAATCTTCCAGCTTTTTTGTCCCGAGGGCATTAGTAGCACGGAGAGGAGAGTTAAAAACTTGACTCTGACTGATTTTCAGTAAATGACCTCTGTTCTCTGAGAACACGGAAATGCATAACCCTAAACGGCTAATTGGTCTCATTCCCTTATGTTATTCATGGGAGGAAATGTTCTGCTCTTTTGTCATAAAACAAAGGTCATAACTCAAATGCTTTCTAACCACTATATTTCCAGGATGTGAAGGTTCATACTGTTAATTGAATACAAAGTAGATATGACTTAGATTCTTATTCTTCACATATTGACTTTTGTTTTGTTTTGTTTTGTCTTACAATTAGAACACCACACAGAGCAAAGGTTTTAGCAGTAGAAATACCCTGGGTATCATTCTTTATGGCCAAGACTAGGGTGAGATGAGTGAGGAACATGTCTTGGACACAAAATTTAAGGAGGCGCTGCGAAACTCAGTAATCAAGATAAAAATATACAGTGTAATATTTGTAAAAATAAAAATTAACTTAGAAAATCCATAATGAATTAAAACATCATAATTTTAAATAAAGGTACATCAGTGTCAATGAATTTTTCTTTTGCCTTAAGCTATGGCTCAGTGTGACCCTGGCATCCTCTCTGAAGCTTCAATGTCAATGGCCAATGTTGAATTGGTCATTCATTTAAGGTTCATTTGTTCAATGAATGACATACTAAGGGATAGGCCTGTAGTAGTACAGCTAATTAAGCAAATTTTGTCAATTTCATTCCAAACTTAGTGTGCCTTGAACTGATAGAGTTGATAAATCATTTTAATGATATGGAGAATTCACCATAATTACTCATGTCTTTCTCAGCTTTGTAGTTCTCCTTTTGTTGTTTTTCTCCTCTTGTGGTTTTGTTTCATACAAATTATATCTGACTTTTTTAGGTACTAATTTCATTACATTTTGTAATAGTTTGTTATTGCTTTCCTGATAAAATTTAGTAGGTTTATTTCTTCTGGAGAACTTTGTAAAATCACTAAGAAGACATGGAACATGATCAAAAATTTAAAGCTCTGATGATAAGCCTAAACTTAAATATCCTCTAGGATAATTTACTATCATTGCTAAAATTTAGCATTGTTTACCACAATAGACAATGATTAACCTTAATTTGTCTGTCGGTTTCTTTGCTTTCCAAAGTGAATGATTGTAGCTTTATGGTGAGACAGAAATACTCCCAGTATAATATATTTGATGGCATTTATAATCCCAAACATTCCAGTTCCTTCACTCTTTCAAAATTCTGAATGAATTCATGTCATCTAGCTCCAAAACCAGTATCAAATATCATAGCACTTCAGGTGAAAAGTAAGAACCTTACCTACTCTCCTGGGGTAAAATCCCCATTCCTCTCTCCTGATTTTAATGCTATTGTTGTTATACATTTTACCTGTATACATGCTACAAATACAAAATATATTACTACTAATTTTGTAATAGAAACATAATTTTGTTTTAGAGTAATCAAAAATAATAAAAAATTCCTATTATAATTACCTTTATTTTAGCCATTTCCAGAGATCTTCACTTCTTTGTGTATACTGTAAGTCCTCACTTCACATCATCAATAGATTCTTGGAAACTGCAACTTTAAGTAAAATGACATAAAACAAAACCAGCTTTTTTCTTATCAACATAATAAAGAAATAGCATTGAACTAAATGACATTATTCTAGGACCTACTGTCCATCATTTCACATAAAGTCTTGGTTTCCACGTACTTATCCAAGATGCTAAATGAGAACTTATTATACTTAATTTTTCTGTGTGGTATCATTGCTTCTGTCTAAAAACTTTTGTTTAAAAATTTGTAGAGGGTTTTACAGTTAATAATTCTTAATTTTTGTTTGTCTAGAGAAGGCTTTATTTCTCCTTCATTTTGAAAAATATTTTCGCTGCTCATAGAATCCTGAGTTCACAGGTTGTTTTGTTTTGTTTGCTTTCAGCACTTTAAGAATGCCACTCCTTTGACTTCTTGGTTTGAGTAGTTTCTGACAAAGGATCTGCTGTAATTTCTATCTTTAATGTAGCACCACAGCTAGAGACCACTGGTCTCCCAAGAAGATTCTTCTAGTATTAAGTCTTGGCACTCAGTATGCCTACATGGATTGAATCTATTCAAACATAAAAAGAAAAAAAAGCAATAAATGTGGGGCTTATAAAATTTTTCTAAAAAATAAGAAAATACATAAAGCATACAAAATTAGATGAGGAGATAGGATATTTTGATAGCATACCCCAGAACAGATAAGAACATTTTTGGTAACACCTTCTTTGAACTTTGTAGAAAATTAAGGGAAACACAGACAATGTAAGAGAGAGAATTGAATGGCATCCTTGCTCTTAAATGCTATAGGTCTTTCAAAGTCAAGAAAGGAAATACGAGTATAGCAAATTTGATATCAGAAAAGGCTTTCAAATGCCTTCATCTTCATCTTCCACTACTTTAAATTAGGATACATTGGTGGTCCAGAAACAAATCCACCCATATACAGTCAATTGATTTTTTATAAAAGTGCAAAGAACACACAATGGGGAAAGGACAGTCTCTAGTCTCTTCAATAAGTGATGTTAAGAAAATTGGATGTCTACATGCAGAAGAATGAAATTGGATACTTATCTCACACCATATATAAAAATCAATTCAAAATGAATTAAATACTTAAACATAAGATCTGAAAATGTAAGACTACTAGAAGAAAACATAGGGGAAAAGGCTCCATGGTCTTGGTCTAGGCAATGATTTTCTGGACATGATCCCAAAGCACAGGCAACAAAAGCAAAAATAGACAAATAGGATTGCATCAAACTACAAAGCTTCTACATAGCAAAGGAAGTAATCAACAAAGCAGAGAGTCAACCTATAAAATAGGAGAAAATATTCACAAACCTTACATCTGATAAGGGGTTGTATTAGTCCATTTTCATGCTGCTGATAAAGACATACTTGTGATTGGGAAGAAAAAGACATTTAATGGACTCGCAGTTCCACAATCATGGCAGAAGGCAAGGAGGAACAAGTCATATATTACACGGATGGTGGCAGGCAAAGAGGGAGAGCTTGTGCAGGGAAGCTCCTGCTTTTAAAAACCATCAGATCTCATGAGACTTATTCACTATCACAACAACAGCACAGGAAATACCTGCCCCCATGATTCAATCACCTCCCACTGGGTCCCTCCCACAACACATGGGAATTCAAGATGATATTTGGGTGGGGACACATATCATTCCACCCCTGACCCCTCTCAAATCTTATGGCCTCACATTTCAAAAGCACTCATGCCTCATTTCAGCATTAACTCAAAAGTCCACAGTCCAAAGGCTCATCCAAGATAAGGCAAGTACTTTCTGCCTGTAAGCCTGTAAAATCAAAAGCAAGTTAGTTGCTTCCTAGATACAATGTGGGCACAGGCATTGGGTAAATACAACCATTCCAAATGGGAGAAATTGATTGGCCAAAACAAAGGGGCTACAGGCCCCATGCAAGTCCAAAATCCAGTGGGGCAGTCAAACATTAAAGCTCCAAAATGGTCTCCTTTGACACCATGTCTCACATCCAGGTCACATTGATGCAAAAGGTGGGCTCCCACAGTCTTGGGCAGCTCTACCCCTGTAGCTTTGCAGGGTATAACCCCCCTCCCAGCTGCTTTCATGGGCTGGCAATGAATGTCTGCAGCTTTTCCAGGCACATGATGCAAGCTGTCAGTGGATCTAACATTCTGGGGTCTGGAGGAGAGTGGCCATTTCCTCACAGCTGCACTAGGCAGTGCCCCAGTAGGAACTCTGTGTGGGGGTTACACTACACATTTGCCTTCTGCAGTGCCCTGGCAGAAGTTCTCCATGAAGGCCCCACCCCTGCAGCAAAATTCTGCCTGGGCATCCAGGTGTTTCCATTCATTTTCTGAAATCTAGGCGAAGATTTCCAAACCTAAATTCTTGACTTCTGTGCACCTGCAGGCTCAATGCCATGTGGAAACTGCCAAGGCTTGGGGCCTTCACCCTCTGAGGCAACAGCCAGAGCCGTACCTTGGCCCCTTTTAGTCACAGCTGGAGCAGCTGGGACAGAGAGCACCAAGTCCCTAGACTACACACAGTAGAGGGACCCTAGCCCTGGCCCATGAAACTATTTTTTCTTACTAAACCTCTGGGCCTGTGATGGGACCAGCTTCTGCAAAGGTCTCTGACATGCCCTGGAGACATTTTCCCCATTGTCTTTGGGATTAACATTCAGCTCCTTGTTACTTATGTACATATCTGCAGCCAGCTTGAATTTCTCCTCAGAAAATGGGATTTTCTTTCCTATTGCATTGTCATGCTGCAAATTTTCCAAACTTTTATGCTTTGCTTCACTTTTAAAACTGAATGCCTTTAACAGCACTCAAGTCACCTCTTGAATGCTTTGCTGCTTAGAAATTTCTTCGACCAGATACCCTAAATCATCTCTCTCAAGTTCAAACTTTCACAAGTCTTTGTGGCAGGGGCAAAATGCCTCCAGTCTCTGCTGAAACATAACAAGAGTCACCTTTGCTCCAGCTCCCAAGATCCTCATTTCCAGCTGAGACCACCTCAGCCTGGACCTTATTGTTCATATCACTATCAGTATTTTTGTCAAAGCCATTCAACAAGTCTCTAGGAAGTTCCAAATTTTCCCCACATTTTTCTATCTTTTTCTGAGCCCTCCAAACTGTTCAACCTATGCCTGTTACCCAGTTCCAAAGTTGCTTCCACATTTTCGGGTATCTTTTCAGCAATGCCCCACTCTACTGGTACCAATTTACTGTATTAATCCATTTTCATGCTGCTGATAAAGACATACCCAAGACCAGGAAGAAAAAGAGGTTTAATGGACTCACAGTTCCACCTGGCTGGGGAAACCTCACAATAATTGCAGAAGGCAAGGAGGAGCAAGTCACGTCTTACATGGATGCCAGCAAGTAAAGAGAGTGTGCTTGTGAAGGGAAACTCCCATTTTTAAAACCATCAGATCTTGTGATACTTATTCACTCTCATGAGAACAGCACAGGAAAGGCCCGCCCCCATGATTCAATCACCTCCCACCGGGTCCCTCCCACAATGGGTATTCAAGATGAGATTTGGGTGGGGACACAGCAAAACCATATGAGGGGTTAATATCCAAAATATATAAGGATCTCCATTCAATAGCAAAAACAACAACAACAACAACAAATAACCATATTGAACTGGGAAAATGACTTGAATGGAGATTTCACAAGGAAACCATACAAATGGACAACAGGTATATAAAAAAATATCACTAATCATGAGGATAATGCAAGTTATACCACAATAGGTATCACTTCACATCTGTTGGGATGGCTATTATCAAAAAGAGAAGAGATAACAAGTGTTGGTGAGAATGTGGAGAAGAGGGGGCTCTTGTACGTTTGTGGTAATACAAATTAGTATAGCCATTATAGAAAATAATATGGAGATTCATTAAACAATTAAAAATAGAAGTACCATATATGATCTAGCAATACTACTTCTGGATATATATCCAAAGGAAATGAAATCAGTATGTTGAAGAGATATCTGCACTCCCATGTTCATTGCAGCATTATTTACAATAGTTTAATAAAGAATCAACTTAAGTATACATCAACAGATGAACGAAAAAATGAAATGTGGTATATATGAACATTGGATTAATATTCAGCTTTAAAAAGAAGGAAGTCCTGTTCATTCATAACAACATGGATGAACCTGAATGACATTATGTTAAGTGAGGTAAGCCAGGCACAGAAAGACAAATACAGGATGATTTCCCTTATTTGTGGAACCTAAAAAATTGAACTCATAGAAGCAGAGAGTAGAATGGTGTCTACTAGGCACTGGATGTTCCAGAACGACTGAGGAGATGTTGGTCAAAGGGTACAACATTTTAGTTAGACAGAGGAATAATCTTAAAGACTTATTGTACAGCATAGTGACTACAGTTAAGAACAATGTATTATATGCTTCAAAATTACTAAAAGAGTAGATTTTAAGTGTTCCTACTAAAACAAAATGATAAGAATATGAGGTAATGCATTTATTAATTAGCTCCATTTAGCTATTTCACAATGTATAGCTATTTCAAAACATCGTGTTGTATACCATAAATACATAGTATTTGTCAATTTAAAAAATAAAGGAAAAAAAGAAAAAATAAAGAAAATAAAAAAGAAAATAAATGATGGAGAAATTTATCAGTACTTCTTTTATATAACTTCCATAATACACCAGTGCTCTCTCAGGAAATGGAGTTGTACACTGATTTCTGTCACTTTTCATACGAAGTTCTCACTATCTGGCAGAAATTCCTTTACATATATAAACTATTTGGCATGGTTTCTTAATTTTTAGACCAATGAATTTTTTGCCCTACCTTCTAACTTCTAATTTCTCCTCAACCATTTCAATCAGATGCTGGAAGGGATCTTTGTGGGCCCTTTTGCTACTACACTTCCTAGAAATATGTGTAACTGATAAAAAAAAAATTAAAAACCAAAAAAAAAAAAAAAAACTAATGCCAGGAAGAAAATAACAGAAAGATTGTGATCTCCTTTGAAAAGCTTAGAATCTGTGGTCATTGAAATAATTAAAATTAATATCTCTTTTTGTAGTTTGACTTTAATTTTGAAATTTTACATATTTATTTATTATTTTGTTAATGTTGAAATAGAATATATTATATATAATTTATAATATACTTTTTGAAACTTTTATTTTACATTCAGGGGTACATGCGCAGGTTTGTTATGTAGGTAAGTTTTATGTCACTGGAGTTTGATGTATAGATTATTTCATTGCCCAGGTCATAGCATAGTACCTGATAGTATCTACATAAGTAGGTCCTGTTGTCAGTTGTTCTCTTCTTTGTGTCCATATGTCCTCAATGTGTAGCTCCCACTTATAAGTGAGAACATGTAGTATTTGGTTTTCAGTTCCTGCATTAGTTTGCTTAGGGTTATGGCCTCCAGATCCATCCATGTTGCTGAAAAGGACATGATCTTGTTCTTTTTAATGGCTGCATAGTATTCCATGGTGTATATGTACCACATTTTCTTTATTCAGTTTACCATTGATGGACATTTAGGATGATTCCATGACTTTCCTATTCTGAATAGTGCTGCAATGAATATATGAATGCATGTGTCTTTATTGTACAATGATGTAATTTCTTTGGGTACATTTCCAAAAATATGAGTGCTGGGTTGAGTGGTACTTCTTTTTTAAGTTATCTGAGGTCACCACACTACTTTCTACAATGGCTGAACTAATGTACATTTCTACCAGCAGTGTATAAGCGTTCCTTCTTCTCCACAAACTTGCCAGTATCTGTTGGTTTTTGACTTTTATATTATTTTATTATTTTATTTTTTGAGATGGAGTCTCGCTCTGTCACCCAGGCTGGACTGCAGCGGCACAATGTTGGCTCACTGCAAGCCCTGCCTCCCGGGTTTACGCCATTCTCCTGCCTCACCCTCCCAAGGAGCTGGGACTAGAAGCACCCGCCACCACACCCAGCTAATTTTTTGTATTTTTTAGTAGAGACAGGGTTTCACCGTGTTAGTCTGGATGGTCTTGATCTTCTGACCTCATGATCTGCCCGCCTCAGCCTCCCAAAGTGCTGGGATTACAGGCGGGAGCTGCCGTGCCCGGCCTAGACTTTTTAATAATAGCTATTCTGATTGGTGTGAGATGATTTCTCATTGCGGTTTTGATTTGCATTTCTTTAATGATTAGTGATGTTGAGGTTTTTCTTATATGCTTGTTGGCCACTTGTATATCTTCTTTTGAAAAGTGCCTGCTCATGTCCTTTGCCCAGTTTTTAATGCGCTTTTTTGTTTTTTATTTGTTTAAGTTCCTTATAGATTCTGGATATCAGACCTTTGCAGGGTGTATAGTTTGCAAATATTTCCTCCCATTCTCTAGGTTGTCTGTCTACACTGTTGATAGTTTCTAGCTTTGCAGAAGCTCTTTAGTTAAATTAGTGTAATTAGGTTCCACTTGTCAATTTTTCTGCCTCAATGATCTATCTAATACTGTCAGTGGAATGTTTAAATCTCCAAATATTATTGTGTGGTTATTTAAGTCTCTTTATAGGTCTCTAAAGAACTTGCTTTATGAATCTGGGTGCTCCTGTGTTGGATGAATATTTCTTTAGGAAAGTTATGTCTTGTTAACTTAAACCCTTTATGTTTATTTAATGTCCTTTTTTTAACCATTGTTGGTTTAAAGTCTGTTTTGTGTGAAATTAGAATAGCAGCTTATGCTTTTTACTGTTTTCCATTCACTTGGCAGATTTTAATCCATCCCCTTACTTTGAGCCTACGGGTCTCTTGAAGAGAGCATAATGTTGGGTCCTGCTTCTTTATTCAGTAGCCATTCTGTGCCTTTTAATTGGGGCATTTAGCCCATTCAATTTCAGGTGAATATTGATATGTGCAGGTTTCAGGAACACTTCACGAATTTGTATGTCATACTTTCACACGGGCCATGGTAATCTTCTCTGTACCATTCCAATTTTAGTACATGTGCTGCCAAAGTGAGCACTACATATTTACTAAGACGGCATTTTAATTATTGGAATTAGAAACCATAGATTAGTGAGAAGAAGAAAAAAGTGGCAGCAATCTCAATTCTCAGAGATAATAATTATTGTCCCATTAGTGTAGTGCCTTCAAACTTTTTAAACTGATTTTTAATGTCACACCTCCCTCCACAAAGTAACAACACATCATGAATATTTTTCCCAGATTCATTAGGGTTTTTAAACTTTATTTATTATTATTATTATTATTATTATTATTATTATTATTATTATTATTATTTTGAGACGGAGTCTCGCTCTGTCACCCAGCCTGGAGTGCAGTGGTGCGGTCTCGGCTCACTGCAAGCTCCGCCTCCCAGGTTCACGCCGTTCTCCTGCCTCAGCCTCCGAGTAGCTGAGACTACTCGGAGTAGTGGTGGCGCCCGCCACCATGCCCGGCTAATTTTTTGTATTTTTAGTGAGACGGGGTTTCACCATGTTAGCCAGGATGGTCTCAGTCTCCTGACCTCGTGATCCGCCCACCTGGGCCTCCCAAAGTGCTGGGATTACAGGCTTGAGCCACCGTACCTGGCCCCTTTTTGAACTTTTAAGTTCAGGGGTACATGTGCAGGATGTGCAGGTTTGTCACATAGGTAAACATGTGTTATGGGAGTTGTTGTCAGTAGGTTTTTTTTCCTGATCCTCTCCCACCTTTCACCCCCCACCTTCTAATAGGCCCCAGTGTGCACTGTTCCCTTCTATGTGTTCATGTGTTCTCATAATTTAGGTCCCACTTATAAGTGAGAACATGCGGTATTGGGTTTACTGTTCCTGTGTTAGCTTGCTAAGGATAACAGCCTGCAGCTCCATCCATGTTCCCACAAAAGGCATAACCTCCTTCTTTTTTTATGGATGCATAGTATTCCATGGTGTATATATACCACATTTTCTTTATCCAGTCTATTACTGATGTGCATTTAGGCTGATTCCATGTCTTTGCTATTGTGAATAGTGCTGCAAAGAACATATGCATGCACATGTCTATATAATAGAATGATTTATATTCCTTTGGGTATATCCCAGTAATGCGATTGCTGGGTCAAATAGTATTTCTGTCTGTAGGTCTTTGGGGAATTGCCACACTGCCTTCCACAATGGTTGAACTAATATACCCTCCCACCAACAGTGTAAAAGCATTTCTTTTTCTATATAACCTGTCAGCAACTGTTACTTTTTGACTTCTTACTGGTGTGAGATGGTATCTCATTGTGGTTTTGATTTGCATTTATCTAATGAATAGCCATGTTGAGCTTTTTTTCATATGATTGTTGGCCACATGTATGTCTTCTTTTGGAAACTGTCTGTTCCTGTACTTTCCCCACTTTTTAATGGAGTGGTTTCTTTTTTCTTGTAAATTTTCTTAAATTTCTTATAGACATTTGATATTAGATCTGTGTCAGATGCATAGTGTAAAATCTTTCCCTTTCTGTAGGTCGGCTGTTTACTCTGTTGATAGTTTCTTTTGCTATGCAGAAGTTCTTTAGTTTAATTAGATCCCACTTGTTAAATTTTGCTTTTGTTGCAATTGTTTTTTTGTCTTAGACAAGAAATTTTTGCCCTTGCCTATATCCTGAATGGCATTGCCTAGGTTTTCCTTTAGATTTTTTATAGTTTGGGGTTTTACATTAAGTGATTAATTCATCTTGAGTTGATTTTTTTGTGTGTGGTGTAAACAAGGGGTCCAGTTTCAATTTTCTGCATATGGCTAGACAGTTCTCCCAGCAAGATTTATTGAATAGGGAATCCTTTCCCCATTGCTTGTTTTTGTCAGGATTGTTGAACCTCAGATAGTTAAAAGTGTGTGGTCTTATTTCTAGGTTCTCTTTTCTGTTACAATGATATATTTGTCTATTCTTCCACAAGTAGCATGCTGTTTTGGTTACTGTAGCCCTATAGTGTAGTTTGAAGTCAGGTGGCATGATGTATCCAGCCTTGTTCTTTCTGCTTAGGATTGCCTTGATGATTTGGGCTTTTTTCTTTTTTTGGTTCTATATGAATTTTAAAAGTTTTTTTCCAGTTCTATGAAGAATGTCAATGGTAGTTTAGTGCAACTATCATTGAATCTATAAATTGCTTTGGACAGTATGGCCATTTTCACGATATTGATTCTTCCTATCTATGAGCACAGAATGCTTTTCCATTTGTTTGTGTCATCTCTGATATTTTTAAGCAGTGGTTTGTATTTCTCCTTGTAGAGGTCCTTCACTTCCCTTGTGATATGGTTTGGCTCTGTGTCTTCATCCAAATCTTATCTCAAATTGTAATCCCCAGGAATTGAGGGAGGGACCTGGTGGGACGTGATTGGATCATGGGGCCAGTTTCCCCCATGCTGTTCTCATGATAGTGAGGTAGTTCTCACAAAATCTGATGGTGTAAAAGTGGCAGTTTCCCCTGAACACTCTCTCTCCCCTGCCAACATGTAAGATGTTCCTTGCTTCCCCTTCACATTCTGCCACTATTGTAAATGTCCTGAGGTCTCCTCAGCCATGCAGAATTGTGAGTCAATTAAACCTCTTTTGTTTATAAATTACTCACTCTCAGGCACTATCTTTATAGCAGTGTAAAAATGGACTAATACAGAGAATTGGTATCAACAGAGTGAGGTAGTCTGTAAAGATAACCTGAAAATGTGGAAGCGACTTTGGAACTGGGTAACAGGCACAGGTTGGAACAGTTTGGAGTGCTCAGAAGAAGACAGGAAGATGTGGGAAATTTTGGAATTTCTAGACTTGTTGAATGGTTTTTAACCAAAATGTTGATAGTGACATGGACAATGGAGCCCAGGCTGAGGTGGCCTCAGAAGGAGATGAGGAACTTACTGGGAACTGGAGTAAAGGTCACTTATGCTATGCTTTAGCAAAGAGACTGGTGGCATTTAGCCCCTGCTCTAGAGATCTGCGGAACTTTGAACTTGAGAGAGATAATTTAGGGTATCTGGCAGAATAAATGTCCAAGTAGCAAAGCATTCAAAATGTGACCTGGCTTATTTTGAAAGCCTTCGGTTATATGTGTTCATAAAGAAATGGTTTGAAATTGGAACTTATGTTTAAAAGGGAAGCAGAGCATAAGGTTAGGAAAATTTGCAGCCTGACCATAAGGTAGAAAAGAAAAACCCATTTACTGGGGAGAAATTAAAGATGGCTGCACAAATTTACATATGTAAGGAGGGGCCAAATGTTAATTGCCAAGACTATGGGGAAAATGTCTCCAGGGCACATCAGAGACCTCCATGGCAGCCCCTCCCACCATCACAGGCCTAGAGGTCTAGGAGGGAAAAATGACCTCATGGGCTGGGCCCAGCATTCTGTTGCTCTGTGTAGCTTCAGGACATGGCACCCTGTGTCCCAACCACTCCAGCTCCAGCCGTGGCTAAAAGGGGCCAAGACACAGCTCAGGCCATTGCTTCAGAGGGTGAAATACCCAAGCTTTGCCACCTTCCATGTGGTGTTGGGCCCACAGGTGCACAGAAGACAAGAGTTAAGCTTTGGAAGCCTCCTCCTAGGTTTCAGAGGTTGTTCAGACATACATGGAAGTCCAGGCAGAAGTCTGCTGCAGAAGCAGAGCCCTGATGGAGAACTTCTACTAGAGAAATGCAGAGGGGAAATGTGGGTTGGAGCCCCCATACAGAGTCGCCACTGGGGCACTCCCTAGTGAAGCTGTGAGAAGAGGGTCACCATCCTCCAGACCCCAGAATGGTAGATCCACCAACAGCTTGCAGCATGTGCTTGAAAAAGCTGCAGGCACTCCATGTCAGCCCATGAAAGCAGCTGCAGGGACTGTATCCTGCAAAACCACAGGGGTGGAGCTGCCCAAGGCCTTGGGAGCTCACCCCTTGTATCAGTGTGTCCTAGTTATGAGACATGGGGTCAAAGGTGATTATTTTGGAGCTTTAAGATCTAATGAGTGCCCTGCCAGGTTTCAGATTTGCATGGGACCTGTGGCCCCTTTGTTTTGGCCAATTTCTCCCATTTGGAATGAAAACATTTGCCTAATGCTGTATCCCCATCGTATCTTGGAAGTAACTAACTTGTTTTTGATTTTACAGTCTCATAGGCAGAAGAGATTTGTCTTCTCTCAGAAGATACTTCGGACTTGGACTTTTGAGTCAATGGTGGAATGAGTTAAGACTTTGGGGGACTGTTGGGAAGGCATCATTGGTTATTGGTTATGAAATGTGAAAAGGACATGAGATTTGGGAGGGGTCAGGAGTGGCATAAGTTTTGGCTCTGTGCCCTCACCCAAATCTCAACTCAAATTGTTAATCCCCAGATGTTGAGGGAAAGACCTGATGGGGGGTGATTGCATCATGGAGGCAGTTTCCCCTATGCTGTTCTCATGATAATGAGGGAGTTCCTTAAAGATCTGATGGTTTAAAAGTGGCAGTTTCCCCTGCATGCTCTCTCTCTCCTGCTGACATGTAAGATGTACTTTGCTTCCCCTTTGCCTTCCGCCATGATTATAAGTTGCTAGAGGCCTCCCCAGCCATGCAGAACTGTGAGTCAATTAAACCTCTTCGTTTATAGATTAACCAGTCTCAGGTAATATAACAGTGTGAAAATAAATTAATACACCTTTTTAGCTGTATTCCTAGGTATTTTATTCTTTTTGAGACAATTAAGAATGGGAGTTCATTCATGATTTGGCTCTTGGCTTGACTGATGTTTGTGAATAGGAATGCTAGCAATTTTTCACATTGATTTTATATCCTCAGACTTTGCTATAGTTGCTTATCAGCTGAAGAAGCTGTTTGACTAAGGTGATGGGGTTTTCTAGATGTAGGATCATGCCATCTGCAAACAGGGATAATTTGATTTCCTCTCTTCCTATTTGAATAACATTTACTTATTTTTCTTGCCTAACTGCCCTAGCTAGAACGTCCATACTATGTTGAGTAGGAATGGTGAGAGAGGGCATCCTTGTCTTGTGCCAGTGTAAAGGATACCATTACATTATTTCACATTTGCTATTGTGATGTAAGATATTTTCTAATTATTTACATCAGCTATATCTTGTTTTCTTGATTCTATATTAAGCTCTCTGAAATAAGATTTATTATAATTTTTTTCATTCCCACATCAATGATACAGTGCTTTGCAGAAGCTATTTGTCAAATCTAATTGTTTGAACTGAAAGACAAACAGCACATTTTTAGCCTCTTATTTAAACCAAATAGGTCCTAATCACATGGATTAGTTTTATCTGGCTGGAAATTCAAAATGATATTTTAGGATGCTTGAGTATCCACTAATACAGTTAACTCTATTGTTTATGAGTATTAGATCTCCATGAGCTCATACTAAACAAATTACACAGAAGTTTCATGTTTAATGAAACTTAAGTACATGACACACGTACTTAAGAGCTATATTCCCAGATGACCCTTTGTAAAAGTAATACCTATCTATAAACTCAAAAACAATATATTAAATCGATTGTCTTTCATAGCCTTATCAATACTGGAGATAAAAATCTTCTATATCTGTTACATAAGAGTAACAATGGAATCTCATTAATTCTTTTAATTTGTGTTTTTCTGATCATATATGAAAATGGGTATTTTCTAATTAAGAAGTACTCATGCAATTCTTGTGCTATTTTTTGAGGTATTTATTTCTTTATTGATTTATTTTTTATTATGAAGGGTAAATCTTTGTATTTAAACACATAAGTGTGTTTTCTGCTTTCTCACTTCTTGCTTTGGTGCCATGCTATGGAAGTCTTTCCATATGTTACAATTTAAAAAATCATCACCTGAATTTTCTTAGCATATTTTGATCTTCAGTATATATTTAATATCTTTAATAAATAAATAATAAAGAATATTTTATGGAATGAATTTATAATGTATAATGTTGGGATATAACTATCTTTATCGAAGACTAGCTACTGTCAAATGGTAGCTTGTTTTACTGAACACTGATCTTTTCCTCAATTATCTGAAATATGATCTTCATTATATGCTAAATTCAGACTCAGTATTCTGTTCTACCGTTCTATATCTACTCCTGCAATAGCATGTGTCTTTAATAAATGTAATTGTGTTATACACTTCCAAGTGAAATTTTTTTATATAATTGCAGATTCACATGCAGTTGTAAGAAATGATAAAGGTCTCATGAAGCCTTTACTCAGTTTTCCCTAGCAATAATATCTTGCAAAACTATAGTCCATTATCACAACTAAGATGTTAAACTTAATACAATCCACAAATCTTATTCGGATTTCCTCAATTTTACTTGCACTCATTGTCAGTGTGTTTATTTAGTTCTATGCAATTTTATCATATGTATGAGTTTGTGTATCCCTTAGCATTGTAGAAACACACAATAGTCTCACCACAAGGATCCCTTATGTTGCCCTTTTATACATATACTCACCTTCCACTCCCCTCCCTTCACTAACCTTTGTCAATCCCTAATTTGGGCTGCATTTCTAAAATGCTGGTGAGGATGCAGATAAACTGGATCACTTATGCATTGCCAGTGGAAATGTAAAAAGGTATAGCCATTCTGTAAGATATGCAGTTATCATATGACCTAGCAATTGTGTTATTGAAGTGAAATCTCATTTTAACTCAGAGAAATGAAAACTTGTAGTCACACAAAAACCTATACACATATGTTCATAGCAGCTTTACTCATGGTAAACAAAAAATAAGCAGAAATTACTGATACATGCAACAACCTGGACAAATCTCCAGGAAAATATGCTGAGTGGAAAAAAAATTCCAAAAGATTACATATATATGACTCCATTTGTGTAAGTAATGTTTTGAAATTATAAAATGTTAGAAATGTAACACAGATATTAATAATATTTGTTGCTGCATGACCCTCAAGTTTTTCTAGAACTTTTCTGCCTATAATCATAACTTTTCATTTCAGATTAAATTATAAAATCTCTTTATCATATTTCCCAAATATTGAATTGTGGTAGGATTGAATTACTACATCAAATTCTGGAACTTGACCTTATGATATGAAAGACTGTTGTGTGAGACTTGAATAGTACCTTGAACTCTTCAAGTGTTCCTTTATATTGCTCAGTAGGATTCATGCATTCATTGATGGTAGTTTTGTATAGTTCTTGCTAAGTAGATTCTCAGTCACTTTATATAGATTTCCTTTTACTAACTCCCTTGATATGTTTTATATATATGGGGACCATTGATTTTTGAACATTTATTTCATAAAACTTTACACTATTCATTACACATCAAATATGCTAGGTTTTTTCTCTTATGTTCATGATTACTGAGCCCCAGGGTTTACATATGAGTTGCATGCACACTTTTGGAAAATTAGATTTTTCTGCCTATATTATTAAATAGTCCTTAAAACATTATTTACATGACAGATTTTTAAATATTTAATAAAATCCCTTATTTAAATGTTTAATTCACATATACAGATGCTAAATTGATGTACAAAACTTTGATTGCTATTAGAGTTGAACTTCATTTTTAGTTTCTTAGAGAAGACATGGAAAATCACATCAAAGCTCTTTGGGAGATTGGAACATGGATTGTAGATTCAGACACATCTGACTAAGTATCTCACTTCTGCCACTGACCAATTATGAGACTTTGGTCAAAATATTTAACTTTCACTGAGTCTTAGCATTTTCATTCATGAAGATAAAAGCATCTATCTTTTCAGTGTTGTCATATATATTAAATGCATACAAAATATTTGGCACAGTGCCTGATATAGAGTTAGAGATCAAGAAACAGGTTATACAGTCCTATTTGTTAATTCTCTCTCTCTCTCTCTCTCTATCTCTCCCTTTCCCTCTCTCCTTCTCTCTCTATATATATATGTGTGTGGGTGTATAAATGTATGTTTATAAGTGTGTGCACATATATGTAACATATATATCATATCATATATGAAGATTTATCATAATGAACTAGACGCTGTTTTAACAGGTCTCTTCAAAGTCTATAATATATAGTCAAAGGATATAACATATTAATGCTTTTTTTGTTTTAGGAAGGTTTTTAGTCTACACACAGGTCCACCAGTCAGCATCATGGAGGTTGTGTCCAGTCCAACTCCTGGCACACCATTCACACAAACTACAATGGAACACTGCCCTTTGTATCTCTGCAGTGTGCAATCAGCAGGGTCAGGATTAGGCTGATAAGGGTGATGCAATTAAATATTAACTAATACTTATTTAATATTACATACATTAAAATATTAAATATTTCCGTGTAATTAAATATTTCAGTGTAAATGTCAATTACAAACTGTTTTTGCCTCAAGCTCTGGTATGACTGCATAGCATTGTTATTGATCCTGTGTTTACATACATTTTTAATATTTTCTTGATAACTTTTTTGCATTTTTTTACTTTAAAAAATCTTTTTAAAATATTAGGCTAAAATATTATTTATTTCAATTACTGAGATTTTTGGTGACCCCTTAAATTTTACTCCCAAGGCAAGTGCCAGACTCATCTCACCCTAGTCTCACCCCTGACAATCAGCACAACTTTGCTTGGTGAATCTAAATATGAAGCTATAAAATAATGATAATATTGATAATCCAAAACTTGCTCTTCTCTCAGGCCTTTCTCTCTCAATAAATGGCACCATGATGCACTCAGGGCAGAAACCTCAAGAGGTATATTTAACTGATCTTTCTTCCTCTACATCGTGCATGTAATCCACACATAATGTGGATATGTATAATTCACATGTAAACTAATCTAGCAAATTCTGCAACATATATTCTACATCCACTTTTTATCACTTACCTAATACCACTTTAATCCAAGCCTAAACTAACTTTAATCCAAGCCTAATCTTTCTTGTTTAACTCAAGAAGACTGAGATAAAATTTTATAAAATTTAGCTCAAACCATGTCATTTCTTTCATGCTTTGAAGTGACATGATTTGTGACTTGCTATACATTTAGGGCTTATTTTTTACAAATTGGCTTTTACAGTCTAGATTCCAGGTAAATACAAAAGCATCTATATTCTAATCATCCTAGTCCTAGAGTAGCTTCCCGTTCCAACAGAATAAAATTCAAATTACTATTTATGTCCTAGATCATCACAAAACCTGACTCCAGCCCAACTTCCCTTATCATTCCTTACTAGTCTCAGCCACCCTCACTCCAATCTAGCCACGGCACCCTTTTATTTGTACCAAATCTTTGAAATTCAGTATATATTTCACACCTGAGGGATATCTTAATCCATACTATTTACATTTTGGGCTTAATAGCCACATAATGAGCAACAGAAGACCAAGGGGTGAAAAATTAAGCTTTTATGACAATTACTTACAGATTTCCAGCAGAAACTCTAAGGTAAAATATTGTTTACCTGAAGAATTACTTATTTGCTTTAGAAGCAAAGCGTTAGAGACAAAAAATTAGAGAGAAATGCAACTTGAAGTATAAACTAGCATTTTGTGTTCTAATCTACATCTATAATAGCTATTAAGAGATTGCCCACCCATTAATTTGCTAAATTTATAAAGTATTTGTATTAGTCCCTTCTCACACTGCTATAAAGAGCTACCTGAGGCTGGGTAATTATGAAGAAAAGAGGTTTCATGGACTCACAGTTCCACAGGCTTAACAGGAAGCATGACTGGGGGGCCTCAGGAAACTTCCAATCAAGGCAGAAGGTGAAGGGGAAGCAAGCACTTTTTTCACATTGCAGCAAGAGAGGGAGATAGTGAAGGGGGAAGTGTCACACATTTTTAAGCCATCAGATCTCATGAGAACTCACTCACTGTCATGAGAACAGCAAGGGGAAAATCTGCCCCCATGATCCAATTACCTTCCACCAGGTCCCTCTGACCAGTGGGGATTACAATTGGACTTGAGATTTCAGTGGGGACACAGAGCCAAACGATATCATATCATTTATGATATTCCAGGCACTTTAGAGATTAAGCACACACTCAAAATAGCCCTATGAGGTAGATATTTACTGAATTTTCCCATTTTAGAAATGAGCTTTAACAGAAGCTTAGAGTTTAAGTAGCTCATAATGGTTATGCAGCTTGTGAGAATTGTTCTTTGGCAGTGAGGCTCTGCCCACTATACACACTGCCTTCCTTCTGAAGCCATCCCTTTCCATTTTCTAACAGTTTTTACTGTTAGATACTTACTTCTTATGCTGAAGTTGATCTTGTAGTTTCTACAGTTGGTATTGGCTCTGCTTCTATCACATTCAGAGTATGGCTAATTCCTCTCTCACATTACTGACTTTCAAGGATGTGAACACAACTATCATGTCTTTCTTAATTAATTCTCCTATATTCTAGATCATCCATTCACAAAACAACGTAGTTTTAAATAATCTCACCACCCTGGCCACCTTGTTCTGTACATGTTTCAATTTGGAATATTTTTTATAAAGATCAGTACCCATAATTGACTATCATCCTCTATATGTGGTTTGGCCAACTAAGAGTAATTTTCATGCTATTCCATCTGCCAAAAATACTTATTCCCTGAACTCATCTCTTTCTATTTGAATCTTTTACTGGTCCTTTAAAGACCTGGTTTAACTGGCAATGAAATCAGTTCTGTCCCTATAGCCTGAAATCTCCTTTAACTTCTCTAACGTCTGAGCACGGCACCTCTCTTTTGGTGTGATCATGCTCTGCTTTGTATTGTGCTTGCCATTTGCATGCTTTATCTCTCCTAGTAATGTTACTGTATTTGAGGGAGAAAATCAACTCTTCATCTTTCTATTTTCCATAGCAAATAAAATACTTCACTTTCTTTTTTTTTTAACTGCCACTTATTTATTTTTAAATACAATTTAACATATGTGTCAATTTGCTTCTTTTTAAAATAATTTACATGTGCAGAATGTGCAGGTTTGTTACATAGGTATACACGTGCCATTGTGGGTTGCTGCACCCATCAACCTATCACCTACACTAGGTATTTCTCCAAATGCTATCCCTCCACTAGCACCCCACCCCCAAGCAGGTCCTGGTGTGTGATGCTCCCCTCCCTGTGGCCATGTGTTCTCATTGTTCAACTCCCACTTTTGAGTGAGAACATGCGGTGTTTCGTTTTCTGTGTCTGTGTTAGTTTGCTGAGAATGATGTGGAAAGCATTTCATCCATGTCCCTGCAAAGGACATGAACTTATCCTTTTTTATGGCTGCATAGTATTCCATGCTGTGCCACATTTTCTTTATCCAGTCTATCATTGATGGGTATTTGGATTTGTTCCAAGTCTTTGCTATTGTGAACAGTGCTGCAATAAACATATGTGTGCATGCGTCTTCATAGTAGAATGATTTATAATTCTTTGGTTATATACCCAGTAATGGGATTGCTGTGTCAAATGGTATTTCTGGTTCTAGATTCTTGAGGAATCGCCACACTCTTTCACAATGGTTGAACAAATTTACACTCCCACAAACAGTGTAAAAGCATTCCTATTTCTCTGCATCCTCACCAGCACCTGTTGTTTCCAGACTTTTTAATGATTGTCATTCTAACTGGTGGGAGATGGTAACTCATTGTGGTTTTGATTTGCATTTCTCTAATGACCAGTGATGATGAGCTTTTTTTCATGTTTGCTGGCCACATAAATGTCTTCTTTTGAGAAGTGTCTCTTCATACGCTTCACCCACTTTTTGATGGCACTGTTTTTTTTATTCTTGTAAATTTGCTTAAGTTCCTTGTAGATTCTGGATATTAGCCCTTTGTCAGATGGATATACTGCAAAAATTTTCTACCATTGTGTAGGTTGCCTGTTCACTCTGATGCTAGTTTCTTTTGCTGAGCAGAAGCTCTTTAGTTTAATTGGATCCCATTTGTCAATTTTAGCTTTTGTTGCCATTGCTTTTGGTGTTTTAGTCATGAAGTCTGCCCATGCCTATGTCCTGAATGGTATTGCCTAGGTTTTCTTCTAGGGTTTTTATGGTTTTAGGTCTTACATTTAAGTCTTTAATCCATCTTGAGTTAATTTTTGTATTAGGTGTAAGAAGGGGTCCAGTTTCAGTTTTCTGCATATGGCTAGCCAGTTTTCCCAACACCATGTATTAAATAGGGAATCCTTTCCCCATTGCTTGTTTTTGTCAGGTTTGCCAAAGATCAGATGGTTGTAGATGTGTGGCATTATTTCTGAGGCCTCTGTTCTGTTCCATTGGTCTATATATCTGTTTTGGTGCCAGTACCATGCTGTTTTGGTTACTGTCACCTTATAGTATAGTTTGAGTCAGGTAGCACGATGCCTCCAGCTTTGTTCTTTTTGCTTAGTATTGTCTTGGCTATACAGTCTTTTTTTGGTTCCATATGAAATTTAAAGTAGTTTTTTCTAATTCTGTGAAGAAAGTCACTGATAGCTTGATGGGGATAGCATTGAATCTATGAATTACTTTCATAATATTGATTCTTCCTATCCATGAGCGTGGAATTATTTTCCATTTGTTTGTGTCCTCTCTTATTTCTTTGAGCAGTGGTTTGTAGTTCTTGAAGAGGTCCTTCACATCCCTTGTAAGTTGGATTCCTAGGTATTTTATTCTCTTTGTAGCAATTGTGAATGACAGTTCACTCATGATTTATCTCTCTGTTTGTCTATTATTGGTGTATAGGAATGCTTGTGATTTTTGCACACTGATTTTGTATCCTGAGACTTTGCTGAAGTTGCTTATCAGCTTAAGGAGATTTTGGGCTGAGATAATGGGGTTTTCTAAATACACAATCATGTCATCTGCAAACAGAAACAATTTTACTTCCTCACTTCCTATTTGAATACTCTTTCTTTCTTTCTCTTGCCTGATTGCCCTGGCCAGAACTTCCAAAACTATGTTGAATAGGAGTGGTGACAGAGGGCATCCTTGTCTTGTGCTGGTTTTCAAAGGGAATGCTTCCAGCTTTTGCCCATTCAGTATGATATTGGCTGAGGGTTTGTCATAAATAGCTCTTATTATTTTGAGATACATTTCATTGATACCTAGTTTATTGAGAGTTTTTAGCATGAAGTGGTGTTGAATTTTATCAAAGGCCTTTTCTGCATCTACTGAGATAATAATGTGGTTTTTGTTATTGGTTCTGTTTATGTGATGGATTATGTTCATTGATTTGCATATATTGCACCAGCCTTGCATCCCAGGGATGAAACGGACTTGATTATGCTGGATAAGCTTTTTGGTGTGCTGCTGGATTTGGTTTGCCAGTATTTTATTGAGGATTTTCGCATCAATGTTCATCAGGGATATTGGCCTTATGAGAATTCTTATAAGATAATCCATTCTCAGTACATATGGTAGCTCAGATAATTGATTCTTTAGCACTCTTCCAAGTATCTGACACATGATAGAACCTTATGAAATATTTATTCACTTACAGAATAAAGCTAATAATTTTATATTCAGCATATTTAAGTGATACACATTTAATATTTGAAAAGTCCTGTTCCTCATAACAAACACTACATGTTTTATTAAAACATATTATCAGCCATTTGGATTCTTCCCCATGATATCTAATAACTGTGGAAACATCTGAGTCACTTAAATATTTCCCTTACAATAAAATATTTTTAATTATATAAACACCACCTCAAGATTTCTGTAACTACATATAAAACAAAATCTAATACATTTATAAAGACATTTGCAAAATCCCTGGAGTTAAGGGATACTTTATGCCCAAAGAACTAAAGAAAATATGCATATAGACACTTACTGTAACATGAGTAGCATTCAGTTATTATCACTTACAGTTACAGCCGGAAGATGAAAAAGAAGCACTTTATCATTTTGGATTTAGACCTCTGCTGTCAAAGCAAATGACAGAGTCAGAATCTGACTGTGCTGGTAAGTTTGTTGTAGTTTATCTTTAAACAAAATTGGACACTTTCTCAACATTGACAGTTTACTACTGGGAGAAAGAAAAACATGAAATTTAAAAGTTTAAATCGCTATCTTTTTTTTGTTATATTTTTACATTAAAAGATTGACAACACAAAAGCCAAACCTGGCATCACTCTCTCGCATCCATGTGTTTTTATGTGTTTTCTATGGTTATGTTCAAACAGTGGTACATAGTTTGGAAGACATTATGATCATTCCTCAGCATAGTACTTTGCAGTAATATATAATTAACTACATATTTTTGAGATCCCTAATGTTCACTTGCTTTGCCAAAAGCCACGGTAAAGCTAGAATTAAACCCATTTAGGAGAGTCTTGAAAGGGAGGGGTGTACAGCAAATAACTCCTAAGAAATCCAGCTCTAGAGTTTAGCTCTTGCTTTGAAGCACAGGTCACCTAAACTCAGTGAAATCGAAGTCCTGTGGTAGTGACCTGAGAGTTCTGTGCTCTGGGCCTTGTGAGGAGCATTAGCACATTTTGAGACTGCACACTCTGAAGTGTGAACAGTCCCAGAAATGGGAGCCAGGAAATTTGCATATAGAGTGAAGATTCCATTGTCTGAGTGGAAGCCACTCTTGCTTTGCTTCAACCCCTGTAACAATCAGTCAAGCCAACTGTTTACATGCTCTCCGTTATGTTAGTGTTGGCTAGGGAATGGTTGTTGCAAAGAGATTTTCTTTCAGCTAATGCTCTGGGGAACCGTGGGAGTTCACCAAGTTGACAGTTAAACAAGCCAGCCTTCTCTTTCCAAGAAACAAGAGAGTGACTCATGGGCTGTTGAGGTATATATGACACTGAGCCAGGATATGTAGCCTGGACCCCAACTCATCAAGTACAGTTCCCAAGTGAGGGAGAAGGCAAAGCAGAACAGATAAGACTGGAAAAGAGAAAAAAAAGAGTCAAAATTATAGAGTGTGAGTGTACAATGTTTTATATATTCCTTTGCAGATAAATAGGGCCTCACTGATTGTTTCAAATAGGTCTCCTTTCTAGACTCATCATTTTCTTATTAGGATCTACTTCTTAACCTATTGGGAGTGGGAGGAACTATACCTTTAAAAGCTAAAAGGCTACAGGTTTAGAAAATGGCATATGATTACCACTACCTACAAGACTGTCTTCAGTACATAGCACTGCTGTTATAAAATCAAAATTATGAGCCCAGGTTAATGCAACTGATTATAACATGAATTCAGACACATCAGGATAAATCTCATTCTTCAAAATATAACAGTTAAATACAGGAAAGGTATTCAAGCAGCAACCATGCAAATCTCCTCTGGAATTTATGTGATTTTTTTTTTCAGGTGAGCTTCTCTGGTTTTTTTTTTTTAATAAGTGTTTATTATATTTTAAGTTCTAGGGTACATGTGCACAACGTGCAGGTTTGTTACACATGTATGCGTGTGCCATGTTGGTGTGCTGCACCCATTAACTCATCATTTACATTAGGTATATCTCCTAATGCTATCCCTCCCCCCTGCCCCCACCCCACAACAGGCCCCGGTGTGTGATGTTCCCCATCCTGTGTCCCAGTGTTCTCATTGTTCAATTCCCACTTATGAGTGAGAACATGCGGTTTTTGGTTTTTTTGTCCTTGCGATAGTTTGCTGAGAATGATGGTTTCCAGCTTCATCCATGTCCCTACAAAGGACATGAAGTCATCCTTTTTAATGGCTGCATAGTATTCCATGGTGTATGTGTGCCACATTTTCTTAATCCAGTCTATCATTGTTGGACTTTTGGGTTGGTTCCAAGTCTTTGCTATTGTGAATAGTGCCTCAATAAACATACGTGTGCATGTGTCTTTCTAGCAGCATGATTTACAATCCTCTGGGTATATACCCAGTAACGGGATGGCTGGGCCAAATGGTATTTCTAGTTCTAGATCCCTGAGGAATCACCACACTGTCTTCCACAATGGTTGAACTACTTTACAGTCCCACCAACAGTGTAAAAGTGTTCCTATTTCTCCACATCCTCTCCAGCACCTGTTGTTTCCTGACTTTTTAATGATCACCATTCTAACTGGTGTGAGATGGTATCTCATCGTGGTTTTGATTTGCATTTCTCTGATGGCCAGTGATGATGAGCATTTTTTTCATGTGTCTGTTGGCTGCATAAATGTCTTCTTTTGAGAAGTGTCTGTTCATATCCTTCGCCCACTTTGTGATGGGGTTGTTTGTTTTTTTCTTGTAAATTTGTTTGAGTTCTTTGTAGATTCTGGATATTAGCCCTTTGTCAGATGAGTAGATTACAAAAATTTTCTCCCATTCTGTAGGTTCCCTGTTCACTCTGATGGTAAAGGTTTGAGTTTGACATGGTCTGCCAGGAATAAGGCCCAATTACATAGCATATATCAATCTCAGTAGTTTCAGGGATAATTGATGGTAATAATGAGTTAGACAGTATCATATCAGCTCTGAACTTATCAAGGTGTTTTCTTTGTTCAGACTTGAAGATTTGTCTTCTATTCATATGATCCAACAAAATATAGTAGCTAATGCAGAGCTTAAGAGTTTAACAATTCAAAAAACTTGAATCTAAATATAAGAATGCACTTTGCACCATATACTGCAAATTTAACCTCCAAAATTGATATCGAGGCTTGAACTAGTAAATATATTGGACATCAAATGTAGAGAACAAATTGTTTGGACAGGCAGGCAAAAAACATCAAGCATCTATGTGTTGAGAAAATTCAGGCTGTCCACAGACTTTGCAAGAGTGACATTTATTGCAAGAGAACCTACAAGACCCTCAAAGGAAATTGCCTTAGTCCCTTTAGGATCCTAAAAGAGAGTGCCATACTCGTTGGTTTATAAACAATAGGAATTTATGTCCCAAAGTTCTAGAGGTTGCCAAGTCTAAGATCAACATGCGATCAGATTCATTTTTTGGTGAGGCCTCTCCTCTTGGTTCATAGACAGTACCTTCTTGCTGTGTTTTCATATAGCAGAAGGAACAGGGGAGCTTTCTGGGGCCGTTTTTTAGAAGGGCACTAATCCCATTCATGAGGGTTTTACCCTTGTGACCTAACTACCTCCTGAAGACCCTACATCCTAATACCATCACATCAGGGATAGGTTTCAACATATGAAGTTTGAGGAGGCACCAACATTCTGTTAATGGTAGAAGTAGATGTGAGATTTATATCTAATCAAGTTGTCATGCTAGTATAAATACTGCATGCAGAGAATTTTGCATATGTAATATCCACGGAAATATTATTCCCATGAATCCTACGGAAGAAACTTCAATAGAATGAACTTCAGCCAACCAAAGGGTAACTGGAAACACTAGGGGAGAAGAATTAGTCTCAGATTTGGTATCAGAAAAAAACAAACAAACAAACAAACACCTAACATTTTTCTTTATACTAGATAGTCACTTAACAAAAAAAGAGATTTAGAAATGTTAAAAAAATTAAATTAAAAAGGGATGAGTAAAGGTATGCCAACAAATGCAAATATACAAACAAAAAAATATAGGAGTTGCAATCTTAATATCAGTCCAACGGGTACTTCATAACGATAAAGAGAACCATTCACATTGAAAATAGACAGTTATATATATTTATGCACCAAATATGATAGTAGTAGCATCTATAAAACAGAAATTATAGACGATGCAAGGAGAAATAGAAAGTAGTATAATAAAAACATTAGTTTACTACTCTCATTTTATTACAGTGTGAATAAACCATAAAGATGTTAAAGACATTTAACATTTAATGAAGTAATTTTCTATCTGTCCATCCATCTATCACATATCATAGATCTATCTTCCCATTTGCCTATCTGCCTATCTATCTATATATTTCATAAATTCTACAGAGAAAATGGAAAACTGTCTCTTTGGTAAAAATGGAAAATACAGCCTGCTTTTAAAACATTCACAAAAATTGCCTATATATTAGGCCATAAAAATAATCAATCAATCAATTCAAACTTCAAAAAGTATACAAATACATATACATTCAATTAAAGTATAACATATGTTTAAATATGTATATTTATATATTCATATATATGTATATATGTGTGTACATACACAATTTTTACAAGGCACCAAATGAACTGCAGCCTCCTTCTCACCTTGATAGCTCTCTGCCCTTCTTCTTCGATCTCCCCAGTTCTCCTCTCCTCTCTATTCCTGAATACATAAACCACGTTCCACCACAGGGCTTAAGTCGTATTATTTTCTTGGGATGCCCCACCCCAGATAAGCATGTGACTTGCTTCCACCTTTTGTTAAGCTTTTTATGTGTCAGTTCAGTGAGGTCTTTCTTGTTCATATCTAAAATTTCAAAATTTCAAATTATGTCTTGACACTTTTTACCTCCATTTGTCACTTTTCAGCACTTCCTTTTATCTAATATATTTACATACTAACATACTAGTATTATAAATCTTAATTATTTTCTATCTCCCCCACCATGACATAAAGTCAAGGATTTCTGTCTGCTTTGTTCACTTTTGTATCTCTGGTTCCTAAGACAGTGACTGGAACTTAATAAATGCTCAATGAGTATTTGTCAAATGAGTTTCTGAAAGAACAACCACTTAGAAGAAATGATAAAGATCAAATTTAAGATATTACCAAAAAACCCCAAATATCTAGGAATAAACCAAATAAGAAATGCCAAGATCAACATTTAAAAAAAAAGCACAAATAAAACTTTAAGTTATTACTAAGTAACACAATGGTAGCTTGGAATACGTGATTTTTGGTAGGCAGAATTATAAATTATAATTAAGGACCATTATAAATATGTCAGCTCTTCCTAGGCAAAGTAATACACTGAATGCAATACCAACAAAAATACTAATAGTTCTTTCGTTGGTGGTGCTTTCTAACAATATGATTCTGAAATTAATATAGGAAAAAAACAACAAGAGTAAACCTAGAAATAACACAAAAGAGTAATGAGTACTGATAGCTTTGTCAGATATTAAAATATAAAAACATTATTGAAAGAGTGACATTCTATACAAACTTTTTGCCATTTAATTATGCTTATATAAATTGTTAATATTTTTGCTTTTTTCTTTATCATTTTTGTACTTGTATTTGAGAATTTTTTTCCAAATTTACTATCTTTCTTCTAACATTTTTCTTTCTTGGACAATTCGTATTCACATGAAATTTATTTCAGCATTATATGCAAAAAGAATAGTTATTACTTTTTTCTCCAGAAATCTTAGCAATTTCCATGCAAGCATTTATCAGTTCACATGTTGACTATGTGCTGCTTTTGCAAATATAAATTTCATTTATGTATGTAATCACACACACGTATATATTCATATCTATATCAATGTCTATATGCTCTCTCCCACTGCTTTTCTCTCTGTAGGAGTCAGCTAAGGAAGGTTTCAAAGTTTGTTTTCTTTTTTTTTCCTCCTCACCTCCTTTTTATGCTGTCTATTCAAAAGTTGTATTTGGTGATTATTTACACATATCTAACTAATGTTTGAAGACAAATGAGTATGGTGGGGGAAGGTATGACAAATTATCTGGTGCCAAGTAAACGGTAGTTTGTAGCCTAAACATGCATTTATAGATATTGTTCTGGGAAATTTGCCAAAGGGAGCATTTTGCTTAGTAAGTTTCAAGAGTGATTTTTTTTTTAATGTCAACAAGCAAAACAAAAGGAGGTTCCTAAAAAACAAAGGGCAGAAAAGTGGAATCTTTACTTGACTGTTTCAGGTAAAAAGAAAGGAGAAAATTATCTCTTTAGTAGAATATATTCATATTTTAAATAAATCTTCAGCTTTTCATACTTTGGGACTACTAAACAAAAAAGACATATTTTTGCTTTATTTATTTATTTATTTATTTATTTGCCCCCATTAAGCAGTTGCCTGTAAGAGGCAAACAGTTTCAGGATAAATTAACAAAATAATATTCTTTCACCTATGAAATCACTTGACTTTTCTCTTGAAATAATTCATTAATATATCAATGAATGAGTTTTATATTACTTTATAATAAATGACCTCAAGCTGTCACGGCTTAAAACAACAACTATTGCATTTGCTCATGATTTTCTGATGAGAAATTTGGGCTGAGCTCAACTGAGTGGTTCTTCTACTGGTCTCATCCAGGTTCATTTCTGTAGCAAACTGGCACTGGATGGTGCAAGATGTCCACCTCATATGTCTGGTAGGGGGTCGTACTTGTCAGCTGGGCTACACTAACTTCAACAGATGAATCTAAACTTCTTCACATTATGGTTTCAGTGTTTTCAGAGGCAAAGAGTGGAAGTTGCAAGGTCTCTTGAGGCTTAGAAATCGCAAAGTAATTTCTGCCACATTCTATTGGTCAAAGCAAGTCACAATGCCAATCTGGACTTAAAGCAAGGAGCAGACTCTACTTCTTAATAGGAAGAGCAGCTAAGTTACATGGCAAAGATTGTGAGTATAGAAATAGGAGGAACTGGCCGGGCGTGGTGGCTCATGCCTATAATCCCAGCACTTTGGGAGGCCAAGGCAGGCAGATCACGAGGTCAGGAGATCGAGACCATCCTGGCTAACATGGTGAAACCCCATCTCTACTAAAAATACAAAAAAAATTAGCCGGGCGTGGTGGCGGGCGCCTGTGGTCCCAGCTACTGGGGAGGCTGAGGCAGGAGAATGGCGTGAACCCGGGAGGTGGAGCTTGCAGTGAGCAGAGATCGCGCCACTGCACTCCAGCCTGGGCGACAGAGTGAAACTCCGTCTCACAAACAAAACAAAACAAAACAAAAGAAATAAGAGGAATTATCACGGATCCCTGCAAATAATTTACCATAGTTATTATTATGAGAGAAAGTTAAAATCTATGAAGTTTTAATAATAAATCATTCTGTGATTGAGGTAACAAGTATATTTATTATATAATTTAATCAATTAAATAAACTTCAGAATAAACAATTTGATGATTTTTCCCAGAATTTAGAATGTCAACTAAATCCCTTTCACTTTCCACGTGTGTATGTGTATGAGCATGATGTGTGTGTGTGTGTATGTGTGTGTGTGTGTGTGTGTGTGTGTGTGTGTGTGTGTTTGGGTGTGTGTGTTTGAGATTTGGCCTAAAACCTGCCATGGAATAAAACACCATAAAGTTTTTTTGTCAGTTTAAAAACTAACTTAGAACTTACATGTGGGAGGTGGTAGGGAAGGTAATTTGCCTTCGTGAGGTTAACATCAAGTGTTTTTATTTATTTCCTGACAGTAATTAGAAGATGGGATGAATAGTTTTTATAAGGTATTTGTGTTTCTAGCTGATACCATTTCACTTCAACATAGAATTATGTAGAAATGAGGTGTGCTTCTCTTTTACAATTAGGTTATGCATTGACTCAATGCCACCTGAGTGGAGAACAACTTCTTAAAAGTAGTTAAAATGTTAGATAGTGATACCTAAGTGCTTAGTCCATTCTGACCGATTAAAATTATTTAATATATATAAATAATGGCAGAATTGTATTTTATAGTAATGAAGAACACAAAGTAAGCCTGGCTCTAGGAAAGGGAAATGGCTCACTACACAGGACCTGAGACTTTGCTTGGGCTTAATATACATTAACTGTCTTGTTAAAAAAATAAATAAATATTAAGCTAGCATGATATCTTCTCTTTCCCCACACAGACTTTATACACAGTTGACCCTTGAACAGCACAACAGGACTGCAGTTGTGCACTTCTATGTAGATTCTGTTCAACAAAGCACCGATGGAAAATACAGCATTTACAAGATGAGAAACCCGAGTACACAGAGGATCAATCTTTGGTATAACACGAGTTCCACAAGGCTAACTGTGGCATTTGGGTATGTAAGGATTTTGTTATACGCAAGGGACCTGACGCCAATCCTGTACATATACCAAGGGATGACTGTATAATCTATTGTTTATTACCTAATCCCTTCACTTTTGATACTCAGCGAGGTTAAGAATGTCTTGTCCAAAACCACTTAGTTGATAATAAAGAGGCTAAAAACCCAAATCCCTTACCCAACTACTAGAGCAGTACTTTTTCCTCTTTCTCAACCATTCAGAGCTCACATTGAATGATTTCATATTATCCTGACTACTTGACAGTTCAGTTCTTCCTCTTCTAGGCATTTGACCAATTCCACCCAATCCTGTTCCATTTTTGTTTGATGTGGGTGGAACAGGTGTAGGGGTATCAATGGCAGTTTACAGAACTCTCTCCCTTGAGAACATTTTAATGATATTATAAAAATTAATTTACTTTAAAGTATGAGCACAGTTAGCCCCATGACATTAAACTTTTTTATTAAAATAAAGTGTTTTATTCAAGTCAATTAATTTTTGTAGCATCATTCAAATTTTATCAAGAAGTTAATTCTTTAAATAGTCATCAGTACAACATATGGTGTAGTAAACATTGGTTTATTAAAATAAAATCTTTCATTCAATCCAAATGGCCAATTTCATTATGTTTATCATTAATTATTTGTGTTTCAGCATTTGAGAAGTTGAAGAATTATGTATGTAAATAAGTTTTATGTAGAAAATAATTTTATGGAAAATAATTTTCACTTCAGGCACATTAAGTCAATAACTCAGTTACAAGTTTGCCTATTGTATTTCACACAATCATATATTTTATTTAACAGTCATTATAGAAAAGGTATTTTTCAGAGGGTGTATTCATATTAGGGTGAAATGTATCTAGTTGTCATTTTATAGCAAGATTAGCAATTTCAACAATATTGAATCTAACGTACACATTAGTTGTATATCATTCTCAATGATTTGAATGTGCTATGGTTCTATATACATGCATTTCTACTTGAACTTTCTCCAGTAAACATAGATTATTAATTCAACAAATATAAATTGCAATCAATGGAATGAAGCTTTGAAAATGGCAAATTGCCAGATGAGAGTTTTTGACAGAACCATGTAAGTTTTAAGAGATAAAAAATCATTTATAAAAATAATACATAATATTCACCCTCCCTGGATAACATAGCTTTGCTTTTTTTAAGTAAATGTAAGAAAAAAATTATTAAAATATTTTAAGCAAAAGTAAGGATATAAGTAAAAGAAGACTGGGTCAAAAAGAAGAAGTTGTGGGTAGAAGAGAAAAATGAAAAAAATATATACTTTACCAAAAAGTTCAGAATTATCACTGAGCATATTTATGCCTAAGTATTACATATAATCTATGATTAGAATCAGGAAACAATGTTATGTCAGACTTCCTGTATTCACAAAAATATACCAATTGGAAGAGTGACCATGAAGACATTCTTTTCTAATGATAGCTAAAACTACGGCTGAAATTGACAAATAATCTTTAAAGACAGAAGCTTTTTTATTAAATGTTTCATCTCAACATTGGTAATGTTATTTTCCACTGAAAGAATGTTCATTTGTTCAGTGCCGCTACAAAATATCATGAAAATTAAAGCTATGATGTAATATTTTGAGTTTTTTAGCACCCCTAAATTCAGTTTGGAGAGTACATGTGTATCCAAAAATGCTGTTCCCATTTTTAAATTTGTGTTTTTCTAACATTCCTATAGTTGTTTTGGTAGTGACATTGATTGGAATTATCTCCAAACTGTTTTTTGTTGTTATTTCTAGCAATAATAAAGATATGATTTGTAGAAGCACCATTGTCCCTTGCCTCATCACTGTTACCAGATTATTCCCTCTTTTCTAAGGAATTGAGACTTTCTCCAGCCTTTTCAGTCATTATTCTAACAAGACTTCAATGTTCAGTAGTGTTCTTCATCCCAGTGGCTTACATGGGGATCTTCTTAGACAGAAACTCCCAGAGAAATATCAAGGATATGGACAGTGCTACCACGTAGAGAGATCTCCTCCAAACTCCAATACTGAGTTTCAGATGGGGCTCCTCACTATCACTGTGTAACTTGATGAGCCAGAGGTCAATGTTCTTAACCTCTTCGACCTGCTTCTGCTCATGTTTCAGTACTTACAGGAACTTCTTAAGTTTCTATTCAACAAATGTTAGCTACTCATTGTCTTTATGTTGTTGTTGTTATTATTATTATGAACCAGGCAATCTGTTAGCTACTGGGGATATAACAATAAGCAAAAGGACATAGTTTTTGCCTTCATAGAAAGAAAGAGTATAAGTTATCCAGAATGTGTCATAAATAAGATAAAATTTCCACAGTTTCAGTCAGCTTTCAGCTGCACACATTCAAATTGATGCATGTAATGTCATCATAAAAGAATACTTTTGCACAGATCTCTGTTGGTCCCTTAGAATTCAGACCATAACTACCTGACTCCTCCCCCTTCCTACTAGATAACATTCATTGAGTATTATGTGCTAAGCACTACTTCATCTATTTTATGTTAGCTTTTAAAAATCATCACTGTAGTCCTGTGAAGCAAGTGGTATTAACTTTATTTACAGATGAGAAAACTGAGGCGCAGGATATTTTAATGACTTGCCCAAGACCACAAAGCAGGCTTCAGACCATAGCCCATATACACATGGGAGACAGGAAAGTAATCAGAAGGCTCATTACCATGGAAGATATAGGTGGTATAGTCAGTAGAATTGATGCAGAATACATCATGGAACAAGATTATAATTACTGTATTGTGTCTCAAAGCTAAAATTAGGAAATAATGGAAATCTTCAAAAATGGGAATAAAGTAGGATCTAAATGAACAATGAAACACTATATAGTACTGAAAATTACTGAGAATGTTTAATGGCACAGAAAGAAATCATATGACATGTTGAGAGAAGATAAAAAGAGATTACAGGACAGCAAGTAGAGTTTTGTATAAAATTGCATGTATGTGTGTGGTTGCAAAGAGAAATACCTCAAAATACACTCACCAAGAATAGTTACTTGGGAATGTTGAGATATCCTCTAAGCTTCACACTTCTGTTGGTACCTTTGTATGACATGTGAGCTTATTTCTACTGTAATAGTATCAATTTTACAAAAAATAAAGCTATATATTAAATAACAAAAGTCATAATAAAAAGTGGATTCTGAGTGCAGATATCTAGGTCCTGGTCTCAGCTTTGCATCTAGCTATTGGTACGATCTTGAGCAAATCACTAGAATTCTCTCTATCTCAGTTTTATCAAGTTTTAAAAATAAGCTTTGCAATTTTTTTTTCTTCTAGATACTATGACTCATTTATTCAGAAGTCGCTTGGTTACCTATGTGTTTGGCGTGGGGCTGGACTACCAGCTTGGACTAACTTAGAAAACTGGGAAAAGAACCAACTTGCCTCAAAAACAATTTCTCCTCTTTCTCTTTATCCTTTTTCCTCTATTTAGACTGCTACATTAATAATGAACCTAAGCTACAGATAAACAGAATTCAATCACTGTGGCCAAAAGACAGGAACTTAGCTGTGGTCAGTCTCCCACATCTGATGTCCTCGTGGTAGAGTTCAGGGTTAGAGACTAAGCTGAAAGGAAGGATGGGACTAGGAAGAATTGCATAATCAGACCTGCCATATCCACACACAAATGGCCAAGTCCAGCCAGAAATCTTCACAGCTGTTTGAATAATAAAGTGGATAAATGAGAAGAGGCTTCAGTAAGTTAGATCAAGCAAGTTCTCAGTACCCAGAGCTATACTGGGAAAAGCCGTTAGATAATGATAACCAAATGTATTTTCCTTGACTGTTCTATAGGATTCAGGAGTGTTACTAAATTGTGCCTCCAAATCTTAAAAATAAAAGCCTCAAAATCTATGTCATCATGTATTAATTTATTTAATCATCACTTACTGAACACCTACCTATTGGTTGTCAAGGACTATATACTAGGATGCAAAAATGAATAAACTGTGGCCCTCAGAGTGAGTAATACATTAAGGAAAACATATATATATATATATATATATATATATATATATATATATATATATATATATATACACACACACACACACATATATATACACACATATATACACACATATATATATATATACACATATATATATATATATATGCAGATATTGTAATGTAATGTGGCAAGTGCAGTGATGGTGGACAAGAAAGCCACAGGAGCCCACAAGAGAGAAGGTCTCTAGATCTCAAACCCCTAGCAAGAACAGAAAATAAATTCCTTTGTCCTACCAAAAATTAAGCCACCATCCTCCAAAGTATTAGGAAGATGTGAAGATTCCAATAGGATAGATGTTTTCCCCATGAATTTCTGTTTACTAGAAAGGGTTTTATAAACTATAATTATTAATAGATGTTACCCAATTGAGAAATGTCTAACTAACCCCAGACAACTCCCAAAATCATGGGTAAAGACCCATAGTTGAAGGCTTAAAACATTTCCAATTCCCCACAAACATACATGCACAGTAGGACCTGCAAGAAAAACTTCCTTTGGCCACTGTAGTTTAGTTTTATTTGTTTCCTAGGACTGTAGGAATCTGTATATTTGTTTCCTAGGACTACCATAACAAATTACCACAAACTGGGTAACATAAAACAACAGAAATTTATTCTTTTTACAGTTCTGGAAGCCAGATGTCCAACAGTAAGGTGTCAGCAGGCCATATTCCCTCCAGAGGGCATATGGGAGATTCTGATCCTTGTCCCTTCCAGCTTCTGGTGGTGTCAAGTGTTCCTTGACTTGGGGTTCCAATTTCTGCCCCTGTGGTCACATTGCCTCCTCCTCCTCTGTGTATGTCTCTCTTCTGTGTGTCTCTTATAAGGACACTGGCCATTGGATTTAGGACCCATCAGACTATCCAGAGAAATTTCCTCAGTTTAAGATCCTTAATTTGCTTAATTTGGTTACATCTGCAAAGACCCATTTTTCTTTCTTTTTTCTTTTTTTCTTTTTCTTTCTTTCTTTCTTTTTTTTTTTTTTTCCTGAGACAGAGTCTCACTGTTGCCACCTGGGCTGGAGTGCAAAGGCGTGATCTCGGCTCACTGCAACCTCTGCCTCCCAGGTTCCAGCAATTCTCCCGCTTCAGCCTCCTGAGTAGGTGAGATTGCAGGCACCTACCATCATGCCCAGCTAATTTTTGTATTTTTAGTAGAGATGGGGTTCCACCATGTTGGCCAGGCTGGTCTTGAACTCCTGACCTCAGGTGATCCACCTGCCTTGGCCTCCCAAAGTGCTGGGATTACAGGCACCCGGCCCAAGGACCCATTTTCTAAATAAGGTAACATTTACAAGTTCCAGGGATTAGGACTTCATATCTGTAGGTGACCGTTATTCAGTTTCCTACACTGCCTGGCTCAACTCACATTCAAGCTTGAAATTGTTCTTTGGTTAATTCTTTAGCATCAATAACAGATTTTGTATAGAATTTTAGAATCTTTCAGTGAAAACAGAAGGTCCTCTTTGGAAAAGTCAGGAGGGACTAGTCCCGTCTGGTATCACCTGATTGAAATTCCAAAAATTGGAGAACCAAGAAAGAATTCTGAAGGAATGGAGACTTGATCATCCCAGTAACAATTTTAGAGACACATACATTTTGAGAAGGCTTCCAGGATTTCATGGGTGGCTTTTACGAGTGGAAAGCAATTTGTTCCTGGTAGAGATGGGACATCAAATGAATTTTTCACTGTAGGCAGTGAATAATATATTTATCAGGCCATCTCTTTAATTTCTAAGTGAGTGGTTTGATAGACATCCTAACTCTCAGGTCATATCCTTCCATACACTATGTCCAGGGACAGTGGGGAGTTAAGTTGAAAAACATTTTTGTAGAAACCAAAGAGTTCAACTGATACCTTTAGTACACCTTCTTAGCACTCTTAAAAAACCTTATATGTTACTATCATTCACTGTTTACATTTAACATCTTTATTATCCACTGATAAACTTCAACCAAGTGTATGACAACCTACATCCAAACATATCATTTTAAAAATACAATGGCTAAGAAATGTTATACATTGTTTCTCATTGCATTCTCTGGAAACTTCATTATGATTTGGCAACATCTCATAATACTAGGTCACTGCCTATGTTCAGTCACCTCTAGTGTTTATAAATTAGTTCAAGTATTTCCAGAAGCAAGAATATTAAATCACATCCAGGAGTTATTTTTACATGGCATCAACAATTAAAGTCACAGCTGAATCTAGTTTAACTACTGTTTAAGTCACCCAGTGGGCAGCGCCAATAGATTGTAAAGTCCTTTATATTTTTAGCCACATTCTTTGCATGAATAGCTGTCTACATTTGCTAAGATAAAACTACTATACTTCATTTAACTTTTCTAAAATAGATAATGCTTTGATCTACTAGAAACCCAGTGGCATATGATTTATTACATTTTTGTAATATATACTATGTATCTCCAAAGTAATTTTGAAGTGACTTATAGTACTAAACATGTTTAAGAAATATAATCATTATTTAACAAGAAAAGTTAAAACAAATAGGAACATAGATACAGGGGGACCTAGGATAAGACTATTTTGAAGGGAAGGCATCCATTTAGTTCTAAGCTTCTTGACAAAAGGATACATCTCAGTTTGTAATTAATAGAATGCAGTAGCTACTGCCTATTGCCAGCTTTCCTTCTCTTAGAAGACTCTATCCTTTGACCACATATGACCTAGTTTTGACTCTTCACAGTTTTCTATCCTTCTAATAACAACAATTAGGTCAAGAAATGGAAATGTTAAGGGAATCAGCATTTATCTTTGCGACAGTTACATTGACTCTGGGCAATGCCAGCACTTCTTGCCCACTGAGTTGTTAAATTTGGGCTGCAAAGAGCATAATCAACAGACACCTGGGGAAGTCAGTTTGCTTTAAGAGGATGAGGTGTGAACAGGAAAAGACAGGCCAAGATTGTTTGTTTGTTTGTTTTTTAATCTGAGAGAAAAAGAAACTAACAGCAAGAGAGGGAGAGAGGCAGAGCACTGGATAAGAGGTTATCCTACTTCAGCCCTTTGAAGCCCAGTCCTTGCATCTAAGCTATGGACTCTGTGAGCTGCCTCAGTGTCTTCAGCTTACTTAAACCAGTAAGTCATTTTTTGGTGCTAAAGTTAGCTCGAATTTGACATCTGTTACACTTGCAAACGAACAAAAAGCCCCATCTGATATTATTATATTGTTCTCATTTCTAATAGGGAATTTGTTCAACTTGATCTGAGGAGATGTTTTTCTTCCCCTAGGATAGAATTCTGGGAGACATTGAAATACTATTCAAGAGGATCCTTATTAGGAAAAAACAAAAGTTGGGGAAACACTGGATAAGTTGTCCCATTGAAGTTGCATATCTATAAAATGGTTTAAATAAAAGAATATTTGGTGAAAATATCTTTTTCTATTTATTGCAAAACTACAGCTGGACTTCTCCAGTGTATCCTCGAAGTTTTTTTTTAATTTTGTTTCATCAATAAGAATCATCAAAGTGAAGATGCATCAACTAAAAAGAAAACTGTGTTGCTCCATAAAGCAGTTTAAAACAGTAATGGATTCCAGAAAATTAATAAACTTAATTTTAAATTTAAATTAAGACATTAATAAAAAAGTGAGATTTTATTCCTTTTGGGGCCCTAGGTGTGTGAGAAGCATTGCTGATATTCTGTCATAAAGATTTAGCAGTCACGTCTCCATCCTTTCCTTTAAGCTCCTATCCCACCTTACTATAGAATTGATTGCAAGGGATGCCTTCACATAGAATTGCTTGTTTTTCCTTGAAAATGATGTCTGAATCCACTCAAGCTTTTCCACAGATATTTAGTTTATGTTCTAAGGTTTTCTGATATAAACTATGAGAAGTTTTGTGCCTAAAATAACTAGTCTAATCCCCTGAGGAATGTCAGATTCTGATTAGGGCTAGATTCTCATAGACACACTAGGGAAACAGCTCAAAAATATCCTTCAAAGAATATTTAATACTTTGCTCAATGCCATCATGATTTATATTAAGATCCCACAGCAGCCTGAAGACCCACCTCAGCTATGTTAGCAAATATTATCATTTGAATAGGGTTTAGGAAATTTCTAAACTTTTCTCGTGTGCTCAGAAGATAAGTTTATCTTAGGTAATTATGTTGGTTGTGTATGTGTGTTTCCACTACAGAATAGCAAGGTCTATTTTTAAAGTATGGCTTATGGACTGAATCTTATGAACTTATAGAGATGTAATTAGTCAAGTGTATCAATGTTGACTGGTGTTCTTATGAATTCTCCCTAACATTTTAGATTTATAAATTTAGAGTGGAATGTTTTTAAGTAAATATATTATTCTAGGAAGTTCCAAATTATCACAAGAATCACCTTTTTATCGCATGTATGCAAAAATAAATCTTAGCCTTTGCACTGTTTACTGAAACATATCTAGCATACATATTGACACTGACACATTAGTATTGCAATTATACTAACTTTATTAGTAACAACATTTCTACTCCCTTAGGACTATGGACTCCTCATTGGAATGTTAAAAGAATATAAGATGTTTTTCTGATCATTCCCTTAAATGCTTGTTTAAAGGAAAAATTATAGCTTAACTACCATAAATTTTTTCTAAGCAAAGACAAAATTATTTCCTGAATAATTAGATGTGTTGGTAGATGTAGTTCTTTTTTTAAAAATAGTCCATGTCACAGTCATTGGTCACTAGTTTTTTATTAGTTAAATTATCTTACTTTTCAAAAACAGAAAATATCATGTACTTAGACTTGTTATAGATCTATGTATCGTTTCATCTCATAGAACACTGAAAAGGCTTCTTTGTGGTTTATGTTTGACCAAACAAAGTTTTGTGTTTTTTCCATTAGTTAATAGTCGTGTTACTAACATTTTCTAATTATAGACTCAAAATAAATGGACACCACATCAACATTTAAATCATGGCATCTATTTAGGTTGGGTGCACAACAAACTTCTATATCATAAGCATATTCAGCTTTTTTACAGATAACATTGAACAATGCTATTAATATCTGTATGTAGATTTTTTCATTTAGGTAAAATATTTTAGTTACATAAGTTTTCTTTTTAATTGATGTGTATTTGATTATATGCCATTTTGTAGTTATGCTTACATGCCTTGATATAATATTGTTGAGGTTCATTTATCATAAAGTTAATACGAACTGGTTTTTATTTAACAAAGCTCCTATCCAAGGCACAAATGAGCTCTTAGTTTTAAGTTGCCTAATCAAAAACACAACAGTTTTTAAAAGCCTCTTTCTAAACAATGAAATCCATATAGTATCACAGAAGGCCTAGGGAAAATGCATTCATGAACAATTTCTTACTTCAGTGTACCATCATTATAATGTCGCACCCCATTGCTTTGGCTGATAACATGCTTCAAGACACATTTACAACTTAATTAAATGATTTTTTACCTTGTAATCTCTGAACCATTTCTGATAAAAATTTAACTTCTTGACTAAAATGTGATATACACATTTCTGACCTCTCTCTGTTCTCTCTCTGTCTGCCTCTCTGTGTGTGTGTGTGTGTGTAACTCTTAATATCTGTAGATTAGCATTATGAAGAAAGAACCTAGGAGTGAGGTAAGCATAAAGTTTAGTATTAAGGAATTGAAATAAAGGCAGGAAAACTAAGAATTTGAATAAATTACATGCAATTAGAATTTGTATAAATTATATGCAATAACATAGTAGGAACAATGGGATGTGAGTACAGAGATAAGAGAGGAAATCCATTAGGCAATTCCAAAACAAGAAAATTAGGAAAGACAATAGTGTCAGCCTCTTGCAGATTAATTAAAGAATGGGAATTGAGCCAATGTTCAAAAGGAAAGAACAGTCCTATAATCTTCTTTTGAAAGCAATGGCAATGAACCATTTATCCTGTTGGTTTTACCTTGGCCCAGTGCCCAGACTGGACAATTAATAAAATATTCTTGCCATGGTACTGGCAACTTTATCTTGCTGCTGTTAACAGAATGTCATTAACAACTATATGCACAGATCTAATCTATATTCTAAGTTTAAATGAAGTGAAAACAATCAATAGCGCAATGGTAATTGTAAAGAAATCATCCTAGAACAGAGACCAATCTCTGCCCCTTCTTGGGACATACATGTTGAGGAGAAGCACAAATCAACATCATTATTTTCATTACAAGGATCATGTTTACAAGGAAATATCCAGATGATATCTCAGTATCTGAATCAGCAGGACAGATTACTTGTAGGACTCCAAACGATTGAATGTTTGGGGGTCTACATTCACCACACTGGTTGTCATTAATATACAGTCAAAATGGACCAGATAAACATTTTTCTTTTACCAGTAATAGCAAGATATTATAGAGCATTCCGTCCTATTCCAATAAGCTATTCCTAAATTAGAACCAGAATTTAATATTCTCCCTATTTCTCTAAGTATTTTAAAGATTAAGTGAGCAAAAATACGGTAGAATTTTTAAAATTACAAAGGGATTTTCCAATATACCAAGTATGGCATCTCTATGGTTTCATTATAATTTACTTTTAATCCTTAATTTATTTTTGCTAATAGTAACATTATTATCTTAAATATGTATTTTTAAATAAAATTCATATAATTGAATGATTCAACATATTATTTGATGCAACAAATTTGGGTTTCTTTGCTGTTCCTTTTTAGAAAAAAACTATTATAGTCACTTATTTCTGAAAATTCTTATACTGTACAATGTTAGCTGTAACTGGGGCCATTTAATCTTTTTCAAAATCAGGGTCCTATCCAAGAACAATAAATCACTCTCATTATTTCAGTCTTACTATATAAATACTAGAGAAATGTTGACAATTCAACCACTGTCTTTCGTAACCCTTTGAGTCACTACAAATAAATAAATACATTGCATGCAGTCTAAACAATATGATTGTAAATTTATGATAAGGGTACATTTTCTTTCTATCATCCTAAATTTTAGAGTTTTTACGTAACATCAATGGTTCACCAAAACTGAAGGTTTGATGAGTGTGTTGAATTTCAGTGAAAATCAAATTTCTTTTCCATATTGCTTTATATTAGATAATAAAGACTTTAAAAGGTTGACTTGGCAAATAATATTATTTGTTACTTTTTATTCTAATGAACAATGGAGATACACTCCCCTGTAATCTAAATGATTTTTGTAATGGTGGAAAAGATGTTTTGTTTGATTTTTAAACTAACCATTTATATGAATAACCATACCAAATATGAAAATGAGAATACAAAATTCTGACGATTTTAGTTTTGCTACAATAATAGATTAGACTACTCATCTGGAGATTTGATTATGTCCATAGGGCTAGAAACACGCACATACATGCATTTACAGAAAACAGAAGACAGAGGCTGTAATTAGCTATTGAAGTGTGACCTCATTATTTAATGCTTTAACAAGGCATGTATCTACTCAGATAGCTGGAATAATAATGATGGTAGAGCCCTCCAAAGCAATGCACCTCATTTATATATCCATGTGGCAGTATCGTTTCAAGGAATACATTTTGAAATAACAGTTACTTAAAAATCTGTAGTTTACAGCAAGGGTTGAAGAGAAGCTACAACTTTTCCAAACCCAGCCTCTCTCCCTACGTATTGGGCCATTCTCACATTGCTAGAAATACCCGAGACTGGGTAATTTTTTTTTTTTTTTCCGAGACAGAGTTTTGCTCTGTCACCCAGGCTGGAGTGCAGTGGCACGATATCAGTGCACTGCAACCTCCACCTCCCGGGTTCAACCAATTCTCCTGCCTAAGCCTCCGGAGTAGCTGAGATTACAGGGGCCCACCACCGCGCCCGGATAATGTTTGTATTTTTAGTAGAGATAGGGTTTCACCATGTTGGCCAGGCTGGTCTCAAATGCCTGACTTTGTGATCCACCCACCTCGGCCTCCCAAAGTGCTGGGATTACGGGTGTGAGCCACGGCACCCAGCGGAGGCTGTGTAATTTATAACGAAAAGAGGATAAATTAACTCACGGTGCTGCAGGCTGCACAAGAAGCATGGAGTTGGCATCTCCTTCTGGGGAAGCCTCTGGAAGCTTACAATCATGGTGGAAGGTGAAGCAGAAGCTTGTAAGTCACACAGCAAAAACAAGAGGGAGAGAGAGGGGAAGGTGTCACATACTTTTAAACAACGAGATTGCATGATAACTCATTATTGTAAGGACAGCATCAAGAGGATGGTGCTGAACCATTCATGAGAAATCCACCCCTATGATCTAATCACCTCCCACCAGGCCCCACTTCCAACATTGGGGGACTGCAATTCAACATGAGATTTGAGCAGGGACATGTATCCAAAACGATATCACCCTGCTTTACTATAGTTATTGTAAAATCATTTTCATGAAGAGGCCTAAAGATGCTTATCATAAAATTAATACTCTTAAAAGTACAATGATACTGAATCTTCAGAATAATTAAGATTTTGGGGGGCTCAACTACACTAGTTTTAACTATTAATTTATGCACCATTTATTTTAACCTGCAATTTTTATTTTTATAGTTGTTCGAAATAATGAAAACTGCTTCTGATGGTGTAAATGATAAATTCCTATACACTGTTTTACTAGAAGTAGTTCTTTTAGCAATTGTATGACAAAACAAAGGACATTTCTTCTATACACAAAAGCTATCTTTTAATCCACAGATTGTTGTTGGCTTCTGAGATACTAGGTACAAATATTTAGCTTAGCCTCATAAAATATCGCCACTGAAATTAGGTGGAGTTCTGATTGATTTAATGCTGAAGAATGTGGTTTATTATAGCACAGGCAACTGAAAAAGTATATGAAATAATTAAAATTGGAATCAGACACACCCATAATGCTCACTAGAAAACAATATAATTAAAACCACACGGATATATCATATGACCTTGACCTAAATGGAGTCAGTCTTGGACAATTCAGCAAGGCCTGTTTATCTTTGCCTTTTAATATTTTTGCTCATCCTTCTTCAGTACTGAGAAGAAAAGCAAATGGCTTATTTTTATTGGAAAGCACCCAAACATCTGTACATGGGTTTCTACTCTACTAACCATCCAACTAGAGCTTGGGTCACTTCCTAAAGTATGTGCAACTCTGTATGCCTGTATGCAGACTCAACAAGGTGGGGCAAAATCTCATTTAATTTAGACAGCATGGTTATGTAACTTAATTAAAAAACTCTTTCAAATATTACATATTCAAGTTTAAACTCTTCTATTTGCCTGTAATTCCTAACGTTTAATGATTGTTTACTTTTAATCTAAACTATTTGTTATGTACTTGCTAATAAAAAAGATAATTCAATTGCTGTTAGTATTTTCCTACCTTCTCTTTCCATCCCATTTTGTCCTCTACCACAAGAGGCCCGATGCACATCCACGCAGACACCACAGCCTGCATGTTCAAGGTCTTTTCACGTCCCTTTAAACGGCGGCCCTGTAGCCATCCCTCAGGCCTAGAGTTGCATATACTCTAGTGTGTAATCTGCCATCGGAAAATGGATCTAGGGAGGAAGACTGCAAAGACTCTGGAACTGAGCTTGGGGCACTTATGCCAGAGTTCCAGGTTCCTGAACTATGGTTTAGAAATGGCAGCAGGCAGTTACAGCCTCTGAGTAAGTTCCCTTGATCTATAAGATGTCTTACCCTCATAAGAAGGGGAAGACCAGAAGAGGATAAGAATAGACTCCTTTAAAGTATGGACGCCCAAGGCAGGGCCACTATTACCTGGGAATATAGAGATACAGGAAATGAGAGTCACAGTCAAAGAGAGAGTGAGCTGTGCCACCCCTTTGGAGAGCTCTAGTGGAGGCAGCTCTGAGTGAGAGGTAGACTGAGCCAGACTTTTTGCACTTAAGCAGGGAGCTAGAGAGAGCAGGATTAAACTCCTATATATTATAGATTGGACTTCTTGCACTTCTTATATTCTTTGTATTTAAGCCCTTAGGTATTGGTTTTTCTTAGTGTTATGCAATATATTTTGTATTTTTCAGCCTATCTTAGCTGTGCTGTAGAGAGCTATCAATACTTGAATCAGTACATTTAAAGGGGTCAGCATCTCCGGGTGCAAGTGAAATGTGACAGAAATAATCAAAGAGAGAGGATATTAGGGGGAAGTGAAATTGAAGAGAGCAAGGTCCAGATCATTCAAACTTTGTACAAAGATAACCCTGAAAGTCCTGAGTTTAATTAAGAGATAATTTCACTTCTCTCACTTAACTTGTAATTTGATTTTTATATCACTAAATTAATCTGCATAAATTTATGATACAGACAATTTCCTAGCTCAAAAGGGATATATGTCTCCCTATTACCCACTATATCCTGTCTAATGCTTCTTTCACTCATTTAATATTTATTCATCATCTACTGTATATCAAGGACTGTGCTAGGCAATGGAAATACAAAAACAAACAAAATAAACTTGGTCCTGACCACACTCAGGATGCAGTAGAGATGCTAATAGGTAAAGATGATAAGTACTGTGTAATCATAAAGAAAAAGAATAGAGTGTTAGGGAGAAAGTAGGAGACAGAGAAAGTAGGAAATGGGAGAAAGCAGGAGAAATAAGTATTGGGGAGAAAGTAGGGGAAGGAGGAAGGTATTTGCCAACTTCAAATAGGGGAGACTACATTTAAGCAAATACATAAGAAAGAGAAGGAATCGACATTCACAAAGGAGGAAGAAGAGTGTTCTAGGAAAAAGAACAGCATATGCAAAGTCCTTGAGGTGGGGTTATTTGTCTTTTGCAGAAGTGAAAGGACAGTGATCCTAGAGTGTAACAAAGAAGAGGGAGAATGATGTTGGTATTGGCCAGGGACCAAATTAGGCAGGATTTTTTGGCAATATTCAGGAGTTTGATTTTCTTTCTCACAACAAAGGATTGTCATTGAAGAATTTTCCACAAGGCACTGGCATAAACTGTTTTATATTTTATGAAACTCTCATTTGCTGTGTTGTGAAGAGTGAATTAGAATGGATCATGAGTTGATCCTAAAGTACTATGGAAGGCTGGAATAGGCCAGTGAGAAACCATATGGTTTGGTTTTATTTCACAATAGAAATTAGGGGAATTAGGCAAGTTTGAGATATATTCTGGAGGCAGAATCTGACCAGTTATGTGAAATTTCTCCACTAAGCTGCAGTTTCATAGATACAAATTTGGAAGAAAATAAATCATTGGGATTTTTCTGGGGAGATCACAAAAGCAATAAAAATATTTACTGACAATGATTAGAATATGAACTACAGAATTCAAACTGGAAAAGAACAGATGGAAAGAGAGGAGAGGATTAATGGATGAAAGGAAAATTATGGGGTCAATAAGTGTGAAATGTGAAATTTGTGGAAAAAGAGTAATAGTGTTGATATGAATCTGTCAGATTGTTTGTTTGTTTGTTTGTCTGTTGCATGCCAAGAAGCCAACTGCATATCCCTTAAATGTTAAAGGGAAAACTATAACCAAATCTTGGATAATACATAGCAAAACCTCATGGAAATTCTAGAAGAGGCTCATGAGATGACTCAGTGAAACCACCACTCATTTCTGTTTATCTTTGCTCATTTGTTTTTCATCAATGTCCAAGAGATAGGCTTTTTTTCTGACTTCAAAGTGTATTAATATATCTCTAATTATCATTCACCCACATTCAGAGGACAGGGTAGATAAAACATATTGGAAAATTAGAGAAGTAACCATGTATCAATAAACCATACAGCTTGAGTAAGAGAGCTAGAGGCCCAAGAGGTTGTAGTTGGAGAGTGGAATGTTAGAAAACTGTGAATTCAGAAACAGCGCAATTTCAGATGACAAGAAGGTGTGATATGGGGTGGGAACGGAGTACTGCAAGAGAAGTTCTTGTCAGGGAATCAAAGCTATTCATTATCTATTGAGCAAAGTAAGAAACAAAGGATTTTTCCTGCCTGGGGTGTGGGAAGAGCTAAAGAGCAAGAATCAAAATGAAGACTGCCAATCAGAAGACCAAACTGGAGGTCATGGAAAGAACAGACAGGGAATTTTGTGGGTTAAAGATGGTAAATTTTTAATCTTAAAGGAGCACTGTATTTTATGGAGCAATGGAGACAAATAAGGAGCAATGGGGACACACAGCACAGGTCTCAGCCCCGCACTGGCCCCAGTGGCCTATCGTTCCCTTTATCCCTCCAGGTTTCTGCATTATCCCTTGCAATTCTCCTATATCTTCTGATACCTTTGTATTTAATCCTTTCGCAAATGAACTCTTGTTGGAATTTGGGTGTATCATTAATTTCCTTTTAGGACCCTAAATGATCCAACAGTTACTCTAAAACATCTTGTTCCCATTTTTCTCTTTCATATATGTTGGTAAATAACAATTGTATTAGTCTGTTTTCACACTGTTGATAAAGACATACTCAAAACCTGGCAATTTACAAAAGAAAGAGGTTTAATGGACTTACAGGTCTACATGGCTGGGGAGGCCTCATGATCATGGTGGAAGGTGAAAGGCACATCTCACATGGCAGCAGACAAGAGAGCTTGTGCAGGAAACCTCCTCTTTTTAAAACCATCAGATCTCATGAGACTTATTCACTACCATGAGAACAGCACAGGAAAGACCTGCTCCCATGATTCAATTATCTCCCACCAGGTCTCTCCCACCACACATGGGAATTCAAGATGAGATTTAGGTGGGGACACAGCCAAACTATATCAATAATGATTAAATGTTGGGTAATTATAAATAACCCAAAACTGTGTATATATCATCTAATACTAGATATGCAGTAGATTGTGCTACCTCCATATTAAGGGCAAGGAAACTAAGGCTCAGGAATGTTAAGTTGTGTAGTCAGTAAGTTGCAGAACCAGTCTGAGTCCAACACCTGTACTCTTAAATAAAATTGCTATACCAATTCTGACAAGGGGAACACCAAGAAGAGAGGGCCTCATCTCTGCCCATAAGGAGAGAAGCATATTTTTGGTTAAAAAATTAATTAATGTATGTGTGTATGCAGGGACGTATGAATGTATGAATATGTATACAGACACATACACCATACACATATAAAACTTACAAGTAATAAGTGATGATTTTCTTGGGTAGATGTAAACAGCACAAGTGTTTAAAAAAAGTGTATGTATTCTAACGAAGAAGGAAGACAAAAGAAGAAAATGGTATACATTCTAAACAATGAATGTTATTTGTTTTTTATCTACAAACAATGTGCCTTGTATTCTTTGGAAATGAAAACTACTAGAGTTTTTGAAACTTTTAGTTATAAAGGATGTGCGTGTGTGTGTCTGTGTGTCTCTGCAGTGTGTGTATGAGTGTACGTGCGTGTATTCTTCAAACAACAAACTCGTTGGTTGGTATAGAAAAAATCCACTTGAAAACTTGCCTGAATTTTATCAAAATAGGTCATGGCTTTGTGAAGTTTGCTTGATGCAAGCAGCATTTATTTTAGAAGTAGGAAGGTTAAGCCATTCTTTGCATATAGATAGTCACACAGGAAAATAGCTCAGTAAATTCAAAGCATGAAGAGCAAAGTTGTTATGATTACATTCTATTTCCATTTCATCTGACCTTACGGTGTGTGCTCATTATTTTCTGCTGCTTATCCAACCCATTCCCTAGTCCCCCTGAGTCTGAGGTCAATGCAATGGCATTTCCCCTCGAGAGCATTATTACCTCACACCCTATAATTGGCTAGTGGAATTAAAGAGATTGTGGTTATGGGAACAGAAAATTCCCCCTTTGACAAAAATGCAGAATTGTCATCGTTTGATTTACTTTTAGCCATTCAAACATTATTCAGTATTACAAGTTAAAAAAACATTATTTTATTATTTTTTCTAAACAAAATTTGAGATGTTTGCTATAAAAGTGGGCTGGCTAAAAACGATTAGAAAATACATTAACAACTTGGAGAAATTCCAGATACTATCAATCCAGACACTTTTGTTGTAGAACAATCCTTCGACATCATTTATAATTCATGGGAGAGTTGTTTTCACATAAGGGAAGTTATCTTCCAAGGTCATACAGAAGAGAGCATACAATATCTGACACAACAGAAACTGACAGAAGGAGTGTTCTTGGGGTTTTAAATTTGTCATTTTATCTGTAAAAACACAAATATGTTTTTTATAAAATAGCCCATTTATGATATGGCATTTCTGTTGTCAATACTTTACAGAAGGTGAGAACAGTAGTTGGTGTATTTCAGGGAAATTTTTGAATCTTTTCTGACGATACCAGAACTAGAAAACTAAGTTGAAAATCCTACCATCCCCAAAGTGCATCTCTTAGGAGCAGAAGCTGAGGTGCATAAGTTTTTCCTTGGTAATCTTGTAAACAATAACTCTTAACCACTGGTGGCAAGGGGATGTGTCCATTCAGTACCATCAAAGACAGTTGAAATCAAAGAAACTGAAAATGGACGTCAGTTGGGTAGAGGCTACCCACTAATGAAATCTAATACAGACATTGATAAAAATAGCTTTCATATTCATTGAAATTGGATAGTTCATATAGGCTTTTTTCAATTATATTTTAGATTGTTAAATAATTAGGTACTGTTACTTCTGATTACTTGGCAGAATGCAAATAGAAATCTTACATACATGCCATGCCCTAGAGAGAAAGAGCAGGTAGAAAGGAGAGGAAGATGCAGAGGGACAGGGAGAGGGAGGGAAAGGGAGGAAGAGAGAGAGAGAGAGAGAGAGAGAGAGAGAGAGAGAGAGAGAGAGATTAGGAGATGGCAATGCGCAGTGCAGCTAACATTCTTGTAGAATATTGAATATTTAGCATCCTTCACACTTTCTGAACACCAAACAAGATTTCTGGGGTCAAGATTATTCCAAGTACAGACTTCCCTTTGTTTCATTCTAAGGCTTAAAAAATGGCCTTTTTTTCTTAGGACAGCAGCATTCCTGAAGGCTACAAACACAAGAGAAGGGAAAATGTTCATGAATCAAATCAACCAAGTTGTGTTTGTGTGTATTCTATGAACTGTAGACAATGTGGAAGAAACAAGAAGTGTATAAGGGACTATTTTGAAAACTGAAAGAACTGAGCTTTCAGATGCCAAGAACACCAAAACATACAAGGCAACTAGGGATCAGCCGGAGCACAAAGTCCAGTGAAATCTAAAACCTCACTCTTCGGGGAGGCTGAAGACTTGATCCAAATTGTACCTCACTTTTCACTAACATGCTGGGCTCCTCTACCTTGGGTAACTTTAAACCATATGGACCTCAGCTGATTAATCTATTAATGAGGAATATGTTCTAGATTAGGGATTAGCATGCATGCTGGAGTCTTCCCTGTTCCTCCACCCACACCACCAATAGGCTTGGATGGTCACACCTTTTCTTGTTGAATCTAAAAATGCTGCATGTACTCTGTTTCATGTGTATGACAGAAATATAAACAGGAAGATGGGAAAAGAAGGTCTTAAATTATAAACTTTTATGGTAAACAAACTGGTTTGGATTAATCTTATCCTAAATCAACTGGTTTCTTAATATCTACTATGCATGAAAATAACCCTGGAAGATTTTCTTTTAAATAGCAGTGTTCAATTCAAGCCTTATCTTCAAAACTCCAAATTCAGTTGTTTTGGGGACAGAACCTGAGTATCCCCTTTTTGAAAAGCACCTCTCATGAATCTTATGTCCTGAAAGGGTTAATAACCATTAATTTGAAGGGGGAGTGGACCTAAAGGGATCAAAACAGTCACACTGGACAATACTTCCCAGGTAAGCATAACAAACAGAAGAGAGAGAGGGAAATACCAGGAGAGCTTGCTGTGGTATGTCTCTGTGTAGGAGGAAGGGATTTTGTTGGGCTTTAAAGGTTTAAGCAGGATCTAAATAAATATTGAAAAGGGGGGAGAGAAAATTTCAGATTGAGGAAGCAGAATAGATAAAAACCACAAAAATGAAAAGCAATGTCATGAGCAGAAAGATGTTAAGGCTGCTCATGTTGTGAGCTATGAGAAATTAGATCTGCTAAGTGTAGGGAAGATATTGAAATTGACCAGCTTTTATCCTTTGAAGGTTCTTTGAATTGTTCCTATGCAACTGACGTAGGAGTGTTACAAAAGCATTCAACCTAAATTTTAAGTGACTGAATAAATAAGTTTTAAATACTTATAGAAAAAAAATCAGTCTTTTGATCTGACCAACAGAGAAGCCCTTACTCTAGTAGGAAATGCTGGTAACTAGAAATTCTGCTCTTCTTGTTTAGATCCTAGAAGGAAATATAAATTGCTTCTGAAAATGTTTTCCTATGAAACCAGTGTAAGAATTCCACAACCAGTGAAACATAATTTAACTTAGTGCTAATGTTAGAGAAAACCCATACCATAAGGGTTCTTTCTTTTTTTATAACAATGTTGAAACCACTGGGGCAGAAAATGAAATTATTTTATACATCATTATGTCACCATAAAGGCTAACAGAGAGCTTTATAGAATGTGAGTATTCAGTACATGTATGAAATTAACAAAATATAATCAGTTCAGGGTCCCTCTGTTTTCTTTTCCAATTACTGCTTTTTTGTTTTCTAGCATTTGAGTTCTCATAGCTGCATCTTTTTCCTAATTAAAGCCTTTTTGTTTGCTGTTTTCTCAGCCAACATAAATCATCCATCCAACAAGCTTCTCAGTTGAGGAAACATTTCTCATTTAGGATACATACAGTTTAGGATACATTTCTAAAGTTATTTGTAAGATAATATGAGCTCTTAAATAACTTGAGAAAAAAATCATTTAACATGATGTAAAGCATGATAGATATACCTAGACCATGAAAAAAGAGCTTTACACATAATTTCTTTGCTATTTAACTTTGGGTTTTCTAGGCTGCTAAAAATAACCCAGGCACACCTGTGTTATTAATTGATACTTTATACTGTAGAGTTTGGGTTATACTGTGTTTCCACTTAAGTGTTGATGGCTAGGCAGCTGCTTAAATTTATCTGGTACATTTGAATGATTTCAAGTTAGCAGCATTTTCCATGATTAGCACAGTAATAATAATAGTAACTCATGAAATGTAAAGCTCTTCATTTAGTTCTGTCAGTGATAGATCATTATTGTTAATCTTGGCCTTTCTGCTTCCAGTAACTGCCACACAAATAAGAGATTGCATTAGGTAATAATAATAATAATAATAATAATAATAATAATTCAACAGAATCAATGCTATGCATAAGCATAGAGAAGTTGTTTCTCAAACATTTGCTACTCTCCCTTTTATAGGCAAGCTGGAAATCATATTTTTTTTCCTACAGGCTGTAAACATTCATGAAATGTCTTAATGTCACTCAGTATCCTCCAATTTATATTTTTTAAAAAACATATGTTTATGAACCCAAAACTGAGAGTAATTCAGAAGTTTGGGGTTTGGATCAGAATAGGCCCAGACAGCTGGTGTCAGCTTGGAGGGTCTCCTAAAGAAGGCACATTCAAAGGAAAAAAGTTTGTTTTCATTGTGAATGGATTCCACTTAGATCAATAATTTCTCAGTATTAAACTAAGCCAAAATTTTCCACTTCTCATCCAAATTGCTGTTGGATTTTTTTTTAAACTCATCCATCATCTTCCTATCTCACATAATACATTTTCGTTTTATTATGTATTCCCTTCTAGCCTTTTAACCAGTAAGTTTTTTAGTCATATGCTATGTATATATGAGTATTCTGTAAACACAAATATATTTCTTTGTATATTTAGGAAATAATATTAGCATTATTTCAATATGGCAAAGAAAGAATGTCCAGTCCAACTAGCCATCTGTTAGACTAGATGTTTTTATGCTACATCCCTGTAGGGATTGTCTGAGTCAGGCATGAATACTCACAGTGATGAATAATTCACTACCGCTGGAAATCTTTGGATAACTAATTCGTATTTGAAAATTCTCTCTACAATGTAGTAGGATACTTTCTGCATATCGTTCTCTCTCCAGTCTTTAACAACATTAAGATAGAGTCTAATGTGTCTTCCACATGCTAGTGTACATGCTAGTCACACTTCTTGCAGTAATTCCTCATATGACATAGTTTCCAAATCTATCCCTTATCAAATAAATTTCTTCAAGACATTATCTTTCTAATTACAGAAAGATGCATCTATTCAGAGATGCAAGTATTAGAGTATGTAAGCAAAATATGTAAGGCAAAGTATTAGCTTGGATTTTTGTTTGGTTTTGTTTGTTTTTGGTCTTGTGTCCTTCTTGTTGACTGTATCAAAGTTTACCATTGAATAAAATGACAAGTTATGTAGTTTGGATGTTTATCCCAGCCCAAATTTCATATTGAAATGTAATCCTCAATGTTGGAGGTGGGGCCTGCTGGGAGATGTTTGGATCATCGGGGCGAATCCTTCATGAATGGCTCGGGCCATCCCCTTAGTGATAAGTGACCTCTCACTCTCAGTTCATGGGATATCTGGTCCTTGAAAAGTGTGTGGCACCTTCCCTCCTGCCCCCACTCGCTCTCTCTCTGTTTTGCTCATGCTTTTGCCATGTAACATGCCTGCTCCCCCTTTGCCTTCTGGCATGGTTGTAAACTTCTCAAGGCCTTCCACAAGCCAAGTAGATGTTGGCACCATGCTTCCTGTAAAGCCTGCAGAGCCGTGAGCCAGGTAAACCTCTTTTCTCTATAAATTACTCAGTCTCAGTTATTTCTTTATAGCATTGCAAGAATGGCCTAATACAACAAGGTTGCTAGCCAGTTGAACAGATACTGTTAGTTGTTCACCATAACTCGTGTTCACTACAACCATGGTTTATTCTTACCAGTTGAATTTCTAATGTATTCAAGTATCTAGCATGAGAGAAGATATCTCTATCCTGAACTTAAGGTTAAATCAGAGTCCATGTTAATTATGATGATTTGTTTTCCTTGTCAGAATTGATTAAGGAGTAGCCATGTGACCCAGGTCTAGTCCATGAGATGTGTGAGAAGCCTGCTGTGAGGGAGTAGGGAGACAGGCTTCTGAAAAGTTTTTCTTACAAGTGAAAAGAGAACACATAAAGGAACAGATTCTGTGGGACACTATCTTATCTGCCTGTGATGGCTGGAAATATGACAGCCTTCTTGTAAGCATGAGGTGGATTGAGCAGATGACAGACAGACACACAGATGATGACAAATCAGTTCTTTTTCATTTGTTTTTAAGGTTATTGAGATACAATTTAAATAGAGTAAAACTACAGATACATAAATCTATGAGTTTTGACAAATGTGTATAGTCATATAGCAATATCACAATCAAGATATAGAATAGTTTTATCACCCCAACAAGTTCCCCATGCCTCTTCATAGTCAATCATCTCTCCCCAACCCTGACCATTGGTAACCACTGATATTTTTTCTGTCATAGTTTTGACTTTTTCAGATGTCATATAAATAGAGTTATATAGTATACAGCCTTTGAGTCGGGATTTTAAAATTTAGTATAATAAGTTTGAGGCTCACCCATGTTATTACCTAAAACAGTAGGATGTTCCTTTTAATTGCTGAGTAGTATTCCATTTTATGGACGTGTAATGTGAACATTGGTTCTTAATGGTATTCAGCCACAGAATTAACCAGATTGAAAGCCATCCTACTCTGGGACACATTGATAGGTGAGATTTTTTTTCTTTTAAACTATTTTGGTATTTTTTGTCCAACTCATTCTAGCTGATATATCAGATTGATCCATTCTACCACAAATAATGTCAAGGATTGAGTTCAAATGTAAGATAGCATGTTGATTCCTGCTGAGCATTTCACCTAAATGCTGAGTCATTCCAAGTAAGTTTGTCTAAAATTACTATCTATAGCCTGTTCACTTAAATTCTATTTTAATAGATTGGGCACACAGTGGCTGTCAAAATTTGTTTTGGCCCTGATTTTGTCATTTAATATGTATGCTATTCTATTGAGTTTATCCTGCTATAGTTTGGGTGAGCCTACCATCTTTTATTTTATTTATTTATTTATTTATTTATTTGTTTGTTTGTTTTTTTGTGAGAGGGAGTCTCGCTCTGTCATCCAGGCTGGAGTGCAGTGGCGTGATCTTGGCTCACTGAACATCCCAGGTTCAAGTGATTCTCCTGCCTCAGCCTCCCGAGTAGCTGGAATTATGCCACACCCAGCTAATTTATGTATTTTAGTAGCAAGGTTTCACCATGTTGGCCAGGCTGGTCTTGAACTCCTGACCTCAAGTGAGCCACCCGCCTCAGCCTCCCAAAGTGCTGGGATTACAGGCGTGAGTCACCGTGCCCGGCCGACCATCTATCAGCTAATACAACATATCTCTATAACAAAAATTACTTACATTGAAATCCAAGCATATTGTCTTTCATTATATTTTTTCTTTCTTTTTAGGCAATGCATTTACCCTTCTCAATAGAGATGAGCATATTATTCCAATTGTTTTTAGATTTTCCCCAAACCTATTTTTCTCTTTGGAATGCTTGTTCTTAATAATGTATAGAGCTAATCTAAATTAATTATTCTCCATACTAATGTTCAATTATTTGGGCAAAATTTAAGATGTTTACACTCTGCTAAATATTTTACTTATATTCTCTCAGTTAGTCTTTACAATTATTATCTCAACTGTACAGATGAGGAAACTAAGGCTTAAATCTCACATCACCCAAGGTAACATGCCTTAAATAAAATTATCTACATTCAAATTTACAAAATGTCAAACAAATAAATTATTTACAACAATGTGTTTTCCTTTTCAAATATGACTTTTGTAGCTATAAGGAGAAGGTTTAATTTTATTTCATTAATTTCTCAATATTTTAAAAAATAAATATATCAGTCTTCTACATTAAAACCCAATGGCTGCATTCAGTATAAATGTATTTATATGATTTTGTGTCTATTTCATATTTTGCAAATTGTTCTAGCTAAAAGCAGAGTAGTATCAATACAAATGATTATCTATACATATGGTGGCCCCCTAGCATCTAACAACATTCTTCAATAAGCCTCTACATCTTGTCACTCATGTCCTGAAATACAGGTCTATGTCTCAATAGATATAATAGTTGTATGCAGCTGCTCTGCCATTTGTTTTTCCTCATAGATGGAATATTGAAGCCCCAAATCATATACTAAAAGGACACTGACAAAACAGAGAACCTTCTGCAGGCACTTTACAAAATTTCATTTATGACATGATACAACACCATGAGGTTATTTTCTAAATCATCTGTTTAAGCAAGGGCATCAGTACCCTTTCATAGCAAGACATAAAGCAGGTTGCCCTGGAGAGTTCACTGGTATCCCTGCCCAGTGGCCATTTTCCCACTAATTTGCTTTTACAGTCAGTCAGGGTATTCAGTCCTGTCTCCATTAATCATCTCCAGGGGAATGAGCCAACAAAGGTTATGATGCTCTGTTTTAGGATGTCAGTTTTATTTGTCTTGAATAAAAAAAATCTCCTAGACAATTAGCCATGGCAATTCCAAAGCTGACAATTGGAGGCCTTTCTTCAATTTAGGAAAGAACCCTGGGAAATGACAAGAAAGACCACAAAGTAAGGGAATTTCCCTATTCTAGTTATGCTGAGACTAATGTGAAATGTGTACAGGAATATCTCATAGACATTGTGGGTTCAGTTCCAGACAACCACAATGAATCAAATATTGCAATAAAAAAAGCTACACAAATTTTTCGGTTTCCAGTGCATATAAAAGTTACACTATAGTGGCCGGGCACAGTAGCTCATGCCTGTAATCCCAGCACTTTGGGAGGCCGAGGCGGGCGGATCACGAGGTCAGGAGATTGAGACCAACCTGGCTAACACGGTGAAACCCCGTCTCTACTAAAAATACAAAAAATTAGCCGGGCATGGTGGCGGACACCTGTAGTACCAGCTACTGGGGAGACTGAGGCAGGAGAACGGCGTGAACCCAGGAGGCGGAGCTTGCAGTGAGTGGAGATCCCACCACTGCACTCCAGCCTGGGTGAGACAGCAAGACTCTGTCTCAAAAAAAAAAGAAAAAAAGTTACACTTTAGTATAGTGTGCGATAACATTATAGCCAAAAATGTACATACTCTAATTAAAAACATTTTATTAAAAAATGCTAATGATCAGCTGAGCCTGCAAAGAGTCCTTATCTTTTTGTTTGTTTGTTTTTTGGCTGCTGAAGGTTGAGGTTGCTGTGGCACTTTCTTAGGATAACAATAAAGATTACTGAATGCAATAGCATGCAATGCATTTTGATAACATTTTACCCACAGCAGAATTTTTTTTCAAAACTAGAGTCAATCCTCTCAAACCCTGCCACTGCTTTATCAGCCACACTTACGTAAATTCTAAGCCATTTATTGTCATTTCAACAATGTTCACAGCATCTTCATCAGGAGTAGATTTCATCTCAAGAAAACTACTTTGTTTCCTTATTTATAAAAAAAATCTCCTCATCCGTTTGCGTTTGATCATGACATTGCAGCAATTCAGTCACATCTTCGGGCTCCACATCTACTTCCAGTTCTCTTGCTATTTTTACCACATCCACATTTACTTCCTCCACTAAAGTCTTGAACCCTTCAACACCATTCATGAGGGCTAGAATTAACTTATTTCAAACTCCTGTTAATGTTGATATTGTGACCTCCTCCCATGAATCACAAATGTTTTTAATGGCATCTTTCCAGAAGGTTTTCAAGTTCAATTTACTTTGACCAGATCCATTAGAGGAATTAATATCTATGGCAGCTACAGCCTTATAAAATTACTTCTTAATCCATGGGCTGCAGAATGGAGGTGTTATTAGGCACGAAAACAACATTAATCTTCTCATACATCTTCATCAGAGCTCTTGGGGCACTAGCTGTCTTGGCAGTGAGCAGCAATATTTTGAAAGGAATCTTTTTTTCTGAGCAGTAGGTCTCAACAGTGGGCTTAAAATATTAAGTAAAACACGCTGTAAGCAGATGTACTGTCATCCAGGCATCATTGTTCCATTTATAGCACACAGGCAGAGTACATTTAGAGTAATTCTTTAGGGCCCTAGGATTTTCAGAATGGTAAATGAGCATTGGCTTCAACTTAAAGTCATGAGCTGCCTTAGCACCTCATAAAAGAGTAAGTCTGTCCTTTGAAACTTTGAAGCCAGGCAGTGACTTCTCCTTTGTAGCTCTGAAAGTTCTAGATGGCATCTTCTTCCAATAGAAAGCTTTTTCATCTACATTGAAAATCTGTTGTGTATTGTAGCCACCTTCATCAAACATCTTAGCTAGGTCTTTCTGGACAATTTGCTGCAGTGTCTACGTCAGCACTTGCTGCTTCACCTTACACGTTGATGTTACGCAGACAGTTTTATTCCTTAAATCTTAGGACTTATGGACCAACCTCTGTCAGTTTCCAACTTTTCTTCTGCAGCTTCCTCACTTTTCTCAACTTTCATAGAATTGAAGATATTTAGATTCTTGCTCTGGACTAGGCTTTAGTTTAAAGGAATGTTGTAGCTGGTTTGATCTTCTATCCCGACCACTAAAATTTTCTCCATATCAACAATAATGCTGTTTTGCTTACTTATTCATGTGTTCACAGGAGTAGCACTTTAATTTCTCTTAAAAACTCTTCCTTTACATTCACAACTTAGCTAACTGGTTGGGGCAAGAGGCCTAGATTTCAGCCTATCTTGAGTTTCAACATGCCTTTCACAGTAAGCTTAATCATTTCTAGCTTTTGACTTAAAGTGAGAGATGTGTGATTCTTCCTCTCACTTGAACACTTAGAGGCCACTGTAGGGATTTTAATTGGTCTAATTTTTGTTGTTGTTTGTTTGTTTTTGAGACGGAGTCTCACTCTGTTGCCAGGCTGGAGTGAAGTAGCGCAATCTCTGCTCACTGCAAACTCCACCTCCCGGGTTCAAGCTATTCTCCTGCTTCAGCTTCCTGAGTAACTGAGACTATAGGTACATGCCACCATGCCCAACTAATTTTTTTGTATTTTTAGTAGAGACAGGGTTTCACCATGTTGGCCAGAATGGTCTCAATCTCCTGACCTCATGATCCACATGCCTCAGCCTCCCAAAGTGCTGGGATTACAGGTGTGAGCCACGGGTCCCAGCCTCCTTAATTGGTCTGATTTTAATATTGTTAAAGTTAGAGAATAGGGAGGCCCAAGAAGAGGGAGAGAGACAGGGAAGTGGTCTGTCACTGAAGCAGACAGAATATGAACAACATTTATTGATTAAATCTGCTGTCTTATACGGGCACAGTTCATGGCACCCTGAAACAATTACAATAGTATTATCAAAGGTCATTGATCACTGATCACCGTAACAGATACAATAATAATAATAAATTGAAAATCGTGTAAATTATCAAAGTGTGACACAAAGACAGGAAGTAAACACATGCTGTTGGAAAAATAGTGTCAATAGACTTGCTCAGTCATAGTTACCATAAAACTTGTGTCTGCAAAAATTCAGTATCTGCTAAGTGCAATAAAACAAGTTGCCCATAAAGAAGTATGCAAACAGGATTCTTACTTCATGAGACAATTGCTTCACCTCCAAGCATGAATGTCTTCACAGTAATAATGACGGATGCCTCTGCTGTAGCTTTCTGAAGCAGATCTATTATAAACAAAGTGATTTGAACCCATTAGCAGTAAAGATGATCAGCCTATTTTTTAAATAGTAGATAGTTTGATTTTCCTCAATTAACTTGAACAGATACGGCACTAAGGAGAAAATGTATGCATAGTGCACAGAAAACTATTTTGGGAGAACTGGGAAATGCATTCTTTGGGGAACGCACTCTGTTTCAAACCCAGTCTCTGACACTTACATCCAAGTAATCTCGGCCAATTCCAGAGTTTCTCTGTGCCAAAGGTCCCTTATCTTATCTTATAGAACACAACGTTACCTACCCACCACATAGCGTTACGGAGAAGATTAAATAACATATTTCATGTAAAGTGCAGAGAACTGTATATAGCACATTATAGATGTTCAATTAACAGTAGCTATCATTATTACTGTGGCAGTTGCTGTTGTATATGTGAATTACAGTTCTACTTTTAGACATCATTTGGAGCTATCTGTACCTTGTAGGTATCAGAATCATCAAATCATTCGGATTCCACAAATACTACACCATCTAAATCAAAAGTAAAAAATCCTATGTTTTTGAAACATATTTTTTCAAGGAAAAGACTTAAAAATAATAAACTTTTTCAGATATTTAAATATAAGATACATAAATATTCTGTTATTCAGCATGAAAATGTGCTTTCTACGTCGTGGTTTCAGTTGTTTTCAAAATATATTTGTTCTCATCTAGAAGGCACTGATAGAGAAACAAACAAACAAACAAAAAAAGGTAAAATAAGAATCACCCTTTCTGCATTTCCATCTGAGGTACCGGGTTCATCTCACTAGGAAGTGCCAGACAGTGGGCGCAGGCCAGTGGGTGCCCGCACCATGCGCGAGCCAAAGCAGGGCAAGGCATTGCCTCACCTGGGAAGTGCAAGGGGTCAGGGAGTTCCCTTTCCGAGTCAAAGAAAGGGGTGACAGACGCACCTGGAAAATCGGGTCACTCCCACCCAAATATTGCGCTTTTCAGACCGGCTTAAAAAACGGCGCACCACGAGACTATATCCCACACCTGGCTCGGAGGGTCCTACGCCCACGGAATCTCGCTGATTGCTAGCACAGCAGTCTGAGATCAAACTGCAAGGCAGCAGCGAGGCTGGGGGAGGGGCACCCGCCATTGCCCAGGCTAGCTTAGGTAAACAAAGCAGCCTGGAAGCTCAAACTGGGTGGAGCCCACCACAGCTCAAGGAGGCCTGCCTGCCTCTGTAGGCTCCACCTCTGGGGGCAGGGCACAGACAAACAAAAAGACAGCAGTAACCTCTGCAGACTTAAATGTCCCTGTCTGACAGCTTTGAAGGGAGCAGTGGTTCTCCCAGCACGCAGCTGGAGATCTGAGAACGGGCAGACTGCCTCCTCAAGTGGGTCCCTGACCCCTGACCCCCGAGCAGCCTAACTGGGAGGCACCCCCCAGCAGGGGCACACTGACACCTCACATGGCAGGGTATTCCAACAGACCTGCAGCTGAGGGTCCTGTCTGTTAGAAGGAAAACTAACAAACAGAAAGGACATCCACACCAAAAACCCATCTGTACATCACCATCATCAAAGACCAAAAGTAGATAAAACCACAAAGATGGGGAAAAAACAGAACAGAAAAACTGGAAGCTCTAAAAATCAGAGCGCCTCTCCTCCTCCAAAGGAACGCAGCTCCTCACCAGCAACGGAACAAAGCTGGATGGAGAATGACTTTGACGAGCTGAGACAAGAAGGCTTCAGACGATCAAATTACTCTGAGCTACGGGAGGACATTCAAACCAAAGGCAAAGAAGTTGAAAACTTTGAAAAAAACTTAGAAGAATGTATAACTAGAATAACCAATACAGAGAAGTGCTTAAAGGAGCTGATGGAGCTGAGAACCAAGGCTCGAGAACTACGTGAAGAATGCAGAAGCCTCAGGAGCCGATGCAATCAACTGGAAGAAAGGGTGTCAGCAATGGAAGATGAAATGAATGAAATGAAGCGAGAAGGGAAGTTTAGAGAAAAAAGAATAAAAAGAAATGAGCAAAGCCTCCAAGAAATATGGGACTATGTGAAAAGACCAAATCTATGTCTGATTGGTGTACCTGAAAGTGATGGGGAGAATGGAACCAAGTTGGAAAACACTCTGCAGGATATTATCCAGGAGAACTTCCCCAATCTAGCAAGGCAGCCCAATGTTCAGATTCAGGACATACAGAGAACGCCACAAAGATACTCCTCGAGATGAGCAACTCCAAGACACATAATTGTCAGATTCACCAAAGTTGAAATGAAGGAAAAAATGTTAAGGGCAGCCAGAGAGAAAGGTCGGGTTACCCTCAAAGGGAAGCCCGTCAGACTAACAGCGGATCTCTCGGCAGAAACCCTACAAGCCAGAAGAGAGTGGGGGCCAATATTCAACATTCTTAAAGAAAAGAATTTTCAACACAGAATTTCATATCCAGCCAAGCTAAGCTTCATAAGTGAAGGAGAAATAAAATACTTTACAGACAAGCAAATGCTGAGAGATTTTGTCACCACCAGGCCTGCCCTAAAAGAGCTCCTGAAGGAAGCACTAAACATGGAAAGGAACAACCGGTACCAGCCGCTGCAAAATCGTGCCAAAATGTAAAGACCATCGAGACTAGGAAGAAACTGCATCAACTAACGAGCAAAATCACCAGCTAACATCATAATGACAGGATCAAATTCACACATAACAATATTAACTTTAAATGTCAATGGACTAAATTCTCCAATTAAAAGACACAGACTGGCAAATTGGATAAACAGTCAAGACCCATCAGTGTGCTGTATTCAGGAAACCCATCTCACGTGCAGAGACACACATAGGCTCAAAATAAAAGGATGGAGGAAGATCTACCAAGCAAATGGAAAACAAAAAAAGGCAGGGGTTGCAATCCTAGTCTCTGATAAAACAGACTTTAAACCAACAAAGATCAAAAGAGACAAAGAAGGCCATTACATAATGGTAAAGGGATCAATTCAACAAGAAGAGCTAACTATCCTAAATATATATGCACCCAATACAGGAGCACCCAGATTCATAAAGCAAGTCCTGAGTGACCTACAAAGAGACTTAGACTCCCACACAATAATAATGGGAGACTTTAACACCCCACTGTCAACATTAGACAGATCAACGAGACAGAAAGTCAACAAGGATACCCAGGAATTGAACTCAGCTCTGCACCAAGCAGACCTAATAGACATCTACAGAACTCTCCACCCCAAATCAACAGAATATACATTTTTTTCAGCACCACACCACACCTATTCCAAAATTGACCACATACTTGGAACTAAAGCTCTCCTCAGCAAATGTAAAAGAACAGAAATTATAACAAACTACCTCTCAGACCACAGTGCAATCAAACTAGAACTCAGGATTAAGAATCTCACTCAAAGCCGCTCAACTACATGGAAACTGAACAACCTGCTCCTGAATGACTACTGGGTACATAACGAAATGAAGGCAGAAATAAAGATGTTCTTTGAAACCAACGAGAACAAAGACACAACATACCAGAATCTCTGGGACACATTCAAAGCAGTGTGTAGAGGGAAATTTATAGCACTAAATGCCCACAAGAGAAAGCAGGAAAGATCCAAAATTGACACCCTAACATCACAATTAAAAGAACTAGAAAAGCAAGAGCAAACACATTCAAAAGCTAGCAGAAGGCAAGAAATAACTAAAATCAGAGCAGAACTGAAGGAAATAGAGACACAAAAAACCCTTCAAAAAATCAATGAATCCAGGAGCTGGTTTTTTGAAAGGATCAACAAAATTGATAGACCGCTAGCAAGACTAATAAAGAAAAAAAGAGAGAAGAATCAAATAGACACAATAAAAAATGATAAAGGGGATATCACCACCGATCCCACAGAAATACAAACTACCATCAGAGAATACTACAAACACCTCTACGCAAATAAACTAGAAAATCTAGAAGAAATGGATAAATTCCTCGACACATACACTCTCCCAAGACTAAACCAGGAAGAAGTTGAATCTCTTAATAGACCAATAACAGGAGCTGAAATTGTGGCAATAATCAATAGCTTACCAACCAAAAAGAGTCCAGGACCAGATGGATTCACAGCCGAATTCTACCAGAGGTACAAGGAGGAACTGGTACCATTCCTTCTAAAACTATTCCAATCAATAGAAAAAGAGGGAATCCTCCCTAACTCATTTTATGAGGCCAGCATCATTCTGATACCAAAGCCAGGCAGAGACACAACAAAAAAAGATAATTTTAGAACAATATCCTTGATGAACATTGATGCAAAAATCCTCAATAAAATACTGGCAAACCGAATCCAGCAGCACATCAAAAAGCTTATCCACCATGATCAAGTGGGCTTCATCCCTGGGATGCAAGGCTGGTTCAATATACACAAATCAATAAATGTAATCCAGCATATAAACAGAGCCAAAGACAAAAACCACATGATTATCTCAATAGATGCAGAAAAAGCCTTTGACGAAATTCAACAACGCTTCATGCTAAAAACTCTCAAGAAATTAGGTATTGATGGGACGTATTTCAAAATAATAAGAGCTATCTGTGACAAACCCACAGCCAATATCATACTGAATGGGCAAAAACTGGAAGCATTCCCTTTGAAAACTGGCACAAGACAGGGATGCCCTCTCTCACCACTCCTGTTCAACATAGTGTTGGAAGTTCTGGCCAGGGCAATTAGGCAAGAGAAGGAAATAAAGGGTATTCAATTAGGAAAAGAGGAAGTTGAATTGTCCCTGTTTGCAGACGACATGATTGTATATCTAGAAAACCCCATTGTCTCAGCCCAAAATCTCCTTAAGCTGATAAGCAACTTCAGCAAAGTCTCAGGATACAAAATCAATGTACAAAAATCACAAGCATTCTTATACACCAACAACAGACAAACAGAGAGCCAAATCATGAGTGAACTCCCATTCACAATTGCTTCAAAGAGAATAAAATACCTAGGAATCCAACTTACAAGGGATGTGAAGGACCTCTTCAAGGAGAACTACAAACCACTGCTCAAGGAAATAAAAGAGGATACAAACAAATGGAAGAACATTCCATGCTCATGGGTAGGAAGAATCAATATCGTGAAAATGGCCATACTGCCCAAGGTAATTTACAGATTCAATGCCATCCCCATCAAGCTACCAATGACTTTCTTCACAGAATTGGAAAAAACTACTTTAAAGTTCATATGGAACCAAAAAAGAGCCCGCATTGCCAAGTCAATCCTAAGCCAAAAGAACAAAGCTGGAGGCATCACACTACCTGACTTCAAACTATACTACAAGGCTACAGTAACCAAAACAGCATGGTACTGGTACCAAAACAGAGATATAGATCAATGGAACAGAACAGAGCCCTCAGATATAACGCCGCATACCTACAACTGTCTGATCTTTGACAAACCTGAGAAAAACAAGCAATGGGGAAAGGATTCCCTATTTAATAAATGGTGCTGGGAAAACTGACTAGCCATACGTAGAAAGCTGAAACTGGATCCCTTCCTTACACCTTATACAAAAATCAATTCAAGATGGATTAAAGATTTAAACGTTAGACCTAAAACCATAAAAACCCTAGAAGAAAACCTAGGCATTACCAGTCAGGACATAGGCATGGGCAAGACTTCATGTCCAAAACACCAAAAGCAATGGCAACAAAAGCCAAAATTGACAAATGGGATCTAATTAAACTAAAGAGCTTCTGCACAGCAAAAGAAACTACCATCAGAGTGAACAGGCAACCTACAAAATGGGAGAAAATTTTTGCAACCTACTCATCTGACAAAGGGCTAATATCCAGAATCTACAATGAACTCAAACAAATTTACAAGAAAAAAACAAACAACCCCATCAAAAAGTGGGCGAAGGACATGAACAGACACTTCTCAAAAGAAGACATTTATTCAGCCAAAAAACACATGAAAAAATGCTCATCATCACTGGCCATCAGAGAAATGCAAATCAAAACCACTATGAGATACCATCTCACACCAGTTAGAATGGCAATCATTAAAAAGTCAGGAAACAACAGGTGCTGGAGAGGATGTGGAGAAATAGGAACACTTTTACACTGTTGGTGGGAGTGTAAACTAGTTCAACCATTGTGGAAGTCAGTGTGGCGATTCCTCAGGGATCTAGAACTAGAAATACCATTTGACCCAGCCATCCCATTACTGGGTATATACCCAAAGGACTATAAATCATGCTGCTATAAAGACACACGCACATGTATGTTTATTGCGGCATTATTCACAATAGCAAAGACTTGGAACCAACCCAAATGTCCAACAATGATAGACTGGATTAAGAAAATGTGGCACATATACACCATGGAATACTATGCAGCCATAAAAAATGATGAGTTCATGTCCTTTGTAGGGACATGGATGAAATTGGAAATCATCATTCTCAGTAAACTATCACAAGGACAAAAAACCAAACACCGCATATTCTCACTCATAGGTGGGAATTGAACAATGAGATCACATGGACACAGGAAGGGGAATATCACACTCTGGGGACTGTGGTTGGGTCGGGGGAGGGGGGAGGGATAGCATTGGGAGATAAACCTAATGCTAGATGACGAGTTAGTGGGTGCAGCACACCAGCATGGCACATGTATACATATGTAACTAACCTGCACAATGTGCACATGTACCCTAAAACTTAAAGTATAATAAAAAAAAAAAAAGAATCACCCTTAATAAGTATATTTTACTGAATCACCAGAGAAATATTCTTCCTGTCACATGGCTTTTCCACACTTTTCCGTTTGAACTATTTCTTACATCTCTTTGCCTTTGAACTAAAAAAAAGCATAATCAAATATTTATAAATAATAGCAATGATATGCTAGGTAATATGTGTGGAGTGCACATAAACGCCCAACACTACTGTTTCATGTGTATTATCTTGTAAGGTCTTCACAATGAATGTATGAGGTCTTATTATTATTGTCATTTTTTAGATGGAGAAACTAAGGCACAGAGAATTTTGAAAACTTGTTCCAATGTATCTAGTAAGAAAAAGGGCTGACACTGAATCCCTGTGGAGTATGCTGTTAACCAACTGCACTTCACTTCCTCTAAAGCCAGCTGTCCAGAGCATGGCCATAGTGCCACACTCCCACTGATTATAACTGTCCACTTGGCTTGACTGGCCGTCTAACAATAATCTTCCGGTTATTTTTTACAGAATTCCATTTTTACCCATTCTAGTTTTTTTCTAAATATATTTTATATCAAAAACAAACTCTCATAAGCACAAAAAATGAAGGTTACTCGAGTCTGATTTCCTTCACACCCACAGGTGTGGTGAATGAACCTTCCATGTGCAGACGGTGAGTCAAAAGAAACATCTGTATATCGCTAATGTCTAGATTTGCTAAATTGGACTATAAACTAATTGAATCAACTACTAAACACATCTCCACTACTGAAACACCTACCTCATTCAGTTTTGTCACAGTTTGGTGGAGATAAGTGATTACCATTATGATGCCTTCACTACACTTCTGGAATTTCCATTTATATCTGAAAAACATTTCTTTGTGTTTCTTTTTAATTCTCCTTGGAGATGAATAGTCACATGTCAAAGGAAAGGGATTAAGTTTTGCATAAAGCCAAAATTCATTTAAACAAAAGGATAGAAAAAGGAATACTTTAGCACTATGGCCAAAGAAAGAGAGACAAAATAAGATAGAAAGGGAAAAGAAAGAGAGAAAGATAGCAAATGGAAAAAGAGAAAAAGAAAAAAATGTCTTCTCTGTATGGTTATAATAGATCCAGAATGTGATTCTGAAAAAAGAGTCACCAAGAACATTTTGAGTGGTATTAAATTGCATTCACTGTAATATGTGCGTAACCTCCACAGATGATAATGTCTAGAAAGTAAAAAGCAATTTGCTAAAGCTCTGAGAAAAAATACTCTCAATTTTATCTTATTTTACCTTTTTTTTTTTTTTTTTACAGGCACTAAGTAAAAACTCCTATGTCTTTGAATCTCCATAGAAGATCGTGAAATAGTGAAGAAAAGGAGTTTGTTGGAATGTGGACTTGTATTCAAACCTGTTTGTGTGCCCCCCTCTTGATTTCTTAAGCAGCCAAATGCCTCATTTCTGCATACTGTTATTCTTCCTTGGGCCTGCTGCTCTGGAATTTTTGACTCTAATCCAACTGCAACTGTGGAAAGAGAGTAGTTTTAATAATAGTGGAAACTTACTGTTATTATTCAAACTTTACATCATCCTGAAGCAAAAATATTTGTTTGTAAGATACAGCCTTTTGTAAGCCCACATTATCTAACACTCTATTCTTAGGTTCAATTAGCAAAAGCACTTGCTTTCTTTTCAGGGTTTTTCTCACCTTTCTCAGCTAGATCACTTCCTAAACTGTATTCTTCACCATCCTTCCCTCCTCCTAGCCAAATAATTTTAGTCTCAGGAAAGAACTCTTTGGGTTGTATTGTTTTATGGCAGGATCAGTTTTGCTAATTCTTCCTGAGCATTCTCAAAGTGTGGCTTTTTTCCAAAGCTGAAATGCAAAATAATGTGATTTCCGTGGTTTCCTGCATGATCCAATTTAAGGCATTTGGAGTGCTTATATTTTATAGCATTAAATGGTATTTCTTAAATTTTTAATTGAAATAATCCCTAAAAATTATTTGCATGGTCAGTAATAGATGTGGTCAATTAATGAGTACCATTATAAACATGTGGTTACGTAACCTCTAAACCCAAAGATTTATCACAAATAAATAAAGTAGAATCCAAATCCTATGAGAACAAATTACATGCCTCTAGTTTCCCTTTGGAAACAGCTGTACTGAATCAGGTGGATGATGAAGGCCAACTACACTTGGCTTTGAGAGTTGGCTTTAATTAGCATCCATGACTCTCACTAAAATTTATGAGGATAAACTTTCTTTGGACATAATGGTCCCTGCTGTTTTGTTATCTCATGCAATGCTCGTTGGCTTCCGTATTCAAAGTGCTGTAATATGCCCAGGGCCTGTGTAGAGAACATTGGTAGCATCTTCTTGCTAAGGCTTTTCAGGGTTGTAGGATATTTTCTCAGATATATTTAATAGCAAATTTCCACAGAATTTATGAATCATTAAATTAGATGTTTTCTTGCTAGGCAGAAGTAATGTGGGGAATCATTCTGAGTAAAATCCAACATTAAAAAATTTATTATGTGTATTTTCACAAACATTTATACCAGATGGCAGTTACTAAAGGCGATGTAGTTTTATTTATCATAAGTACTAGATAGGCTAAAGTTTTTCAGGTAGTCACCACTATCTGAAATTTGAGATAAACTTAAGCTCTGTGAGGTTCACTTTTATCCTGAAAAGAGGAAAGTCTTTGCAGACGGCTTCAAGACATGCACCTGGGATCCATGAACCGCAATAGTCGTATACTTTCCATTAATTGGCTCTACCTAGAAATTACCCGATGGTGCTCAAAAGATTGGCTGGGATTACTTAATAATCTATAGATGGAGGTGAGACCAAGTTTGATAGGAACCAGTGAAACTTGCTCAGATTATTCAAGAATGTTATAGAATGTGAAATTCCATTCAAACCTACTTTTCAATAGAATAACAGGCTCCATTGAGTAACACTGGCTTGTCAAATAATTTAATGTTTAGTTATTATTAAATTATTTTTTAAGAAAGTTAGAAATTTTCTGATTTGAAATGAAGTAACAATCAGAAGAACTTAAATCATACCAAATGGGCCACCATTTAATTAACTGATTCCATTTTCTTGTTTAACATTCTCATTAATTTACTTATGCCACTTTTGGAGGCCACTTTTAATTTCTATTGAACATGAATAAATGGATAAATGGGTATTTAACAAAGGCTATACGTAATTAGTAGCCTTTACCAATAAATTGCAAACAAGCACCTAACTGGACTTCTTTTCCCATCTCAAAGGAAAAAACCTAAATCACTTTACTCTGAGAAATAAAACTTCATCTGTGAATGTTTGGTTGGGATCTCAATATTTTGCCATTTATAAATAAGATCAGAGAAGCCAGGAGTATATCTTATTTTGATTATTTTCAAGTACAGCTGTTAATTTTGATAAATTTCTATTACAAATAACCATTGAAAATTTTGAAAATACGATTAAATGAAAAATATCCGTAATCGCCAAGGCATAACTACTCTTCATATTTTGGTATATAGCCACTCAGACGTTTTGCTGTATGCGTAACTGTATATAGAAGTATATATGCATTAATGTATAAATTATAGATCTATAAAATCAACAAAGCAATAAGGTAATTAAATGTATAATACAAAATATGGCATAATAAAACATTTTGAAATGAAAACAATTATAATTCTATACTACTACAATTGTTCCCACTTTTAATCTTACCTTCTGGTCTGTATTCATATTGCTACTTAATTATAATTATAAAATTCGTACTTCAACAACTACTTTGATAAGAAAATTGTAACTGCATTTCTGTTGTTTTAAGGGAATTATTTTTTACAAACATTCATTCCCAATTCATACAGGAAGTGAAAAACCACGGCATTTACCTCAGAGGCTTTTTGGGTGACAACTCAGTAGACTTATGAAAAGCAATAACATAAAAAATTCCAAATATCTGATTTCCATGTGGGAAGCAGCTGTTCTTTTTCATGCAATTGAAAGAAAATAAGAAAATCTGTGTGCTCTCTACTCTACCTGGCTTTCTCTGGCTCTGACCATTGAAATCTCATTCCAACTCAGAGGCATCTTTGAGGGTTGGTGATAATAAAGATGCACTTATTAATATTTATTTTGTGACAAGCACTGTGCTATGCAGTTTACAGGTATAACCTAATTTAATTCTCAGAACAGCATTTTAAAGACTAAGAAACTAAGGCTTAGAGAGGTCACATATCTGGTCCACAATCACACAAATAATAAAGGGTAGAGCCAGGATTTTTTTCTCCTTGATGCCAGAGCTTGATCACCAGCACTGTGTTATCCTGCATTCCTCTGGGTAGGTACATTCCACTGCTGATTGGGAGATTAGTAATTGGATGTCTTCTGCTGGAACCTCCATATCCTATCAATTGTCCTCCTATAGCTTGGGGTAAATACTTGTGGCTTTCAGAAAGTGGCCTAGCCTTGGGAAATCTACTCCTGGGAAAGCTCTTGACACACCTTTTTCCCCTAGTGATTCATTATTTTTTTTTTTATTATTATACTTTAAGTTCTAGGGTACATGTGCACAGCATGCAGGTTTGTTACATATGTATACATGTGCCATGTTGGTGTGCTGCACCCATTAACTCGTCATTTACATTAGATATATCTCCTAATGCTATCCCTCCCCCAGCACCCCCACCCCACAACAGGCCCCGGTGTGTGATGTTCCCCATCCTGTGTCCAGGTGTTCTCATTGTTCAATTCCCACCTATGAGTGAGAACATGCGGTATTTGGTTTTCTGTCCTTACGATAGTTTGCTGAGAATGATGCGTTTCCAGCTTCATCCTTGTCCCTACAAAGGGCATGAATTCATCCTTTTTTATGGCTGCATAGTATTCCATGGTGTATATGTGCCACATTTTCTTAATCCAGTCTATCATTGATGGACATTTGGGTTGGTTCCAAGTCTTTGCTATTGTGAATAGTGCCACAATAAACATACATGTGCGTGTGTCTTTATAGCAGCATGATTTATAATCCTTTAGGTATATACACAGTAATGGGATGGCTGGGTCAAATGGTATTTCTAGTTCTAGATCCTTGAGGAATTGCCACACTGTCTCCCACAATGGTTGAACTAGTTTACAGTCCCACCAGCAGTGTAAAAGTGTTCCTATTTCTCCACATCCTCTCCAGCACCTGTTGTTTCCTGACTTTTTAATGATCACCATTCTAACTGGTGTGAGATGGTATCTCATTGTGGTTTTGATTTGCACTTCTCTGATGGCTGATGACGATGAGCATTTTTTCATGTGTCTGTTGGCTGCATAAATGTCTTCTTTTGAGAAGTGTCTGTTCATATACTTCACCCACTTTTTGATGGGGTTGATTTTTTCTTGTAAATTTGTTTAAGTTCTTTGTAGATTCTGGATATTAGCCCTTTGTCAGATGGGTAGATTGCAAAAATTTTCTCCCATTCTGTAGGTTGCCTGTTCACTCTAATGGTAGTTTCTTTTGCTGTGCAGAAGCTCTTTAGTTTAATTAGATCCCATTTGTCAATTTTGGCTTTTGTTGCCATTGCTTTTGGTGTTTTAGACATGAAGTCCTTGCCCATGCCTACATCCTGAATGGTATTGCCTAGGTTTTCTTCTAGGGTTTTTATGGTTTTAGGTCTAACATTTAAGTCTTTAATCCATCTTGAATTAATTTTTGTGTCTTGGCTAAGTACCTTGAACTAATTCCCCATGCAGACTCAGTCATTATCTACTTCTACCTTATTTCTTCCCCCTAGATCTGTTTATGTCTTCCCTCAAATCAACCTGCATATACTTATCTCATCTTCAATTTCTTAGCCATTTGAGACATTTGAGGGGTCCTCAGAAATTTCCAAAGCGAGTCAGTTCCCCAAAAGCAGTCCATATAGTTTTCTAGTTGCTGAGGTCAACATTTTTGGAGTCGATTGCAACACAGTGAACACTTGAAAAAATGAATGGATTTCACCTCACACTTTTTGAAGTATAATCATTTTAGGATGCTACTCATTACTTCGGAAATAGAGTGCTCAATAATGCAAGCCATTTTTAAAATGATACTTAAAATTTAGCTGATATATTTTAATAATCCATGTTATATATTAACACTTGACCCCAGAACTGAATTCATCTCAAAATTATGAAATAATTATGGAAGTTAAATAATCAAATAGGCAATAAGACAAATAAAACAACTTATATATACATAAACACACACATATACATACATTTCACTTGTTTTGGTCTAGGTCAATTTCTGACTGTCAACATTCCATACCTTGGCTATGTAACATCTTATACAGAATGTTCAGAAGCAAAATAATGCAATTTTTGGCTTCCTATTTCCTTTTAGTTGTCCTGATTTCTGAGGTTTCTTCCCTGCCTGAGCTAGGCTATCGATAGTTTTTTAACCTATGATTACAAGGTCAAAAATCAATTTCCCCAAAGTGGCCGAAAATCGATTTGTTATTGTTTTAGATACCATATATAAGTGAACTCATGAAGCTTTAAAAATGTCAAATTCATATAAACAAAGTAGAATGATGGTTACCAGGGGCTGGAGAAAGGGAGATATGGGAAGATGCTGATCAAAAGGTATAAAGTTTTTGTTATTCAGGATAAATAAGTTCTGGAGATCTAATGTACAACAATGTGGCTATAGTTAACAATAATGTATCATATTGCATATGTGAAATTTGCTAAGAGGGTAGATCTTCAGTGCTCCTACCAGGTAAAAAAGTAACTATGTGAGATCATGAATGTGTTAATTAGCTTGACTGTAGTGAATATTTAACAATGTATGTATACATACATTGTATACATATATCAAATCATCAATTTGTACAACTTGAATATATGCAATTTTTAATTGTCATTCATACTTCAGTAAACTTGAAAAAAACATTTACTTGTTGTTTCTGGTAGCATTTTTTATTTTCTTCTAAGAATAATGCAAAAAAGTACCATGAAGAACAATAAGAGGTAAATAAAATCTCAAACCAAAGAATTATGTATATATTCATAAATTGAAACCTTATCAGAATTAAACATCCATTGACCATGTTGGTCTCTAATACTAATGTGAATCCCATCCAATCACATTTAGAAGATGTATCTAAGATCAAGTGGATCTTTTTAAAAATTTCACATAAAAGATGACTTAAATCAAATACTGATTAATACACAAAGAAAGGAAGAGACATGGGCAAATTTAAGGGCAAAAAAGAAATTTAGGGGGGTGGTGGTGGTTTATTATGACCAGAGATAAACCCATCTATTTACAGCTTTCAGGGAAAGAAAATATTTTTTTTCTGACCACAGCTGAAGAGAGATCCTGACAGAGCTTTCCTGCTCCCCATCTCCCATGTCATCAGCGTATTCTGGGAGAGGAATCTAAGGTGGTTTTCCAGCTAAGTAGTTACAGCTGTTTCCACAGTTTCAGTCAGATGGAGTTTCTGTGCATATTGACTTTGGCTGAAATCTTTCCCTGGAGCCCAGCAGCATAAGAGCATTTGCTCTGAGGCCTGGGACTCTGGACAAACATTCCAGAGTTTCTGAGTTCTTAACATTAACATTTGATGAATTCTTCTCTTAATTTCTTCTGGAGAAAAGTGAAAGATACTGGATGACCCCCTTTGCCCTGTGACAACCATAATATTTCCCCCACACAGAATTCTTATCCTTCTTTATATGTAGCGAAAAACCTGAAAAAATAATAATGTGCACAAACCACGCCAATTCATGAAACTATGCATTCTTTTAAATACGTTTCAACACATCTTGACAGTTTTCTGAAATACCAGACTCCTTTGAAGTTTTTTTTTTAAATGAAAGAGAAAAATAGGCTTTAAAACAAACCCTGAAACAATTGTGTCAAGGGCTCTGAGAAAATCTGAAATGTAGCTACAGAGTTAATTAAGGAGGTCAGCTGTCATAATCATACTGAGGTAGAATAGCACTTTTTAATGTTATTTTGTGAACCTTTCAAATATAGTAAATCTAATGCCTACTTTCAGTTACTTTCTATTGTGGGTCCTCATATTAATCATGAGAGGCAAAATTAAAGATTGATTCTTCAACATATGAGAAATTGAACAAAAAAAATTATAAAGACATCTTTAGGAAAAGGTTAATGTTTGTTAACTGGCTGGCATCAAATAGGTCCAAACACATAATGGATGAAACTTGCCTTCATTTGGTATAGTAATAGAGGCATATAGGTTTTGGTTTCTATTGCAGGATTTCAGTCATAAATAAGAGAGAACATTCTGACAAAGGTTATGGAATGATAACTTGGATAACAAACAGAACCTTAGAATCATTTGCCTAGCAAGTTCTAAAAGTGTGCTTTTAAAAATTATTTTAAAGAGTCAGCCAGGATAGTCAAGGTAGGTATTAAAATCATAATAAATAGCATTTCCAAGTTTCATCAAGTTCACTACTATAATTAGGTAAGGGTATATTAAAACATAAGATGGCTACCTGCATGGTAAATTTATTTTATATGCACACACATGCACAGATTGACAAATTTTATATATCAGTACAGTACCTTATATGCTTTTATGTCTGAATTCTTTAGAAAAGAAACTTTGTTAGGTCATAGCCTTTGTTTTTTATACTGATTTGTTAAAGCACATAGCAAATAACAGAATCTGTAACTATTTTATTTGCAACATTATTCTAAGGGTAAACAAATAAACTACACATTGTTAATATGACTGCTGTTGTTTATACCCCATCTATTTAAGGATAACTAACAGCTTATAAAGTTAACCAATCTTAACTTGGACAGCATAATGTGATGTCTAAAAGTGTGGTCTCAGGAGATAGGTTACCTGGGTTCAAGTCGCACCTCCTCCCTTTACTAGCTGCTTGACACTAGGCCAATTATTTATCCTCTATACCTCAGTTTCCTCATTTGTAAAGTGAGAATAAAAATTAGATCTAATTCCTAAACTTATAAGTATTCAATAAGTATTGTACTCATAAGTATTAAATTTGTATTTAATTTAAGATGCTTATATATAAAGCACCAGGTATATAATTCACTCTCAATAAAATAATAATAATTGTTGTCTTTCTATCACCATGCAACTCACCCCCTAATTAAGAAATCTCTTTTTTAACATCAATGTCTGTGATCAACTAATGTAATATTAAGTATTAAAAGTGACTTAACACTTTCTGGAAGACCCCAGGGCAGTGTTGGATAGCCTTAATGGTTAAAAGTATTATTTTTTGATTTAGGCAACATCTATTAGATTGGCGCAAAAGTAATTGCAGTTTTGCCATTAACAGCAACTACTTTTGCACCAATTTAATACTTTCCGAAATTTTCTAGCTATCCAGATCAATTCAGATCATTTCTACTTTCCTCACTGAAATGATCAAATACTTAAAGTCTTCTTTAATTCCATCTCAACCCCCATTCATACCTACTTTCATCCAGACCAAACACTTTGTGCACTCAGGTATTTCTCTTATTATATGATTTTTAACAGTCTCTCCCCATTTTAGTATCAAGGTTTGAAAACTCTTAATTTTTTCATCCCTGAGCCTAGCAGGTATATTTCTTTTCTCTGACTTCAACAGTTACTTACGTTGACACTGTTAACCTTTTGGCTATATTACTTGGGGTCAAATAAAACTCAGTGTTACCTTTCTTATAATTTCATTTTTATAAATCAGCCTCCCATAATTTTTTTCATTGTATTGATTTTGTTTAAGTGCATCGTCTCTAAGACTTCTGTTTTTAAAAGTGACAGAGTAGCTTGTATCAAACCAACTCACTGACCAAGAAAACCTGTAAAAGCTGGATAGAAAACAACAAAAATGACAACACAACATCCATGGTTGTTGCAAACATTAGCCATCAAAAAAGACAGCCCAACTTGAGAGGTCAGTAACACTAGGAGAAGAAAAATGTATTGAGGTGGGTGGGCACATTTTTCATCGCTTCTTTCTCTCCAGAACAGTAACAACCTGGAGCTTTAAGCAGTCCCACACGGTTATGGAAACAAAAATTCCAATTAAGAGCTATCAAAGCAGGCAAATCCTGGAGAACAAAGGAGCCACAGAGAAGTGAGTCTCGTATTTGGTATGCCTTTTCTTCCCAATTTCTTCACCCAATTTTTTAGGCTATGAAATGGGCCTAAACCAAAGCTTTAAAGAATTGAGAAGGGAATAAACCAAATGAAAAATGACTACTGAGAGGCCCAAAAGCCAAGCAGAGATTTTGGCATTTTACGGGACTGGGGAGGGAAAAAAAAAAGTGTCGTTTGACTTGGCCAAAGAAGAGGAGCCTTCCTTTGTAAATACCTTAGACCTTCAGTTAAGACCCCTAAAAGTCTATGATAGGGTGGGAGCAGACTGGAAATAAATCAATCTACATAGACCTTACAACACAGTGAACAATTATCTCACTTCTTAAACTGATTCAAGATAATCTCTAACATCAGAGCCTGTATAATTTTTTAAACAAAATATCTGTAATGCACTTGAATGGACATCTAGGATGAAATATATATAGATTGAAATAAGGAAAACCCAGAGAAAAATAGGCAACAGACAGGCTGTAGGCAAGAATGACATTAGAGTTAGATATATGGATTTTTAAATAACTAATAAGTAAAAAAAAAGATGTATAATTTAACCCCAAATTGAATATATACATATATATAAATCAAATGAAAATTTTAAAACTGAAAAAAAAATCTGTATCTGAAACTATAAAATCAATAGATAGACTAACAGCATGCTAGACACAGAAAAAGAAAGGATTAGTAAACTGGAAGATAGGTTACTAGGAAACATCGAGACCAACGGATGAAGACAAGAAAGAATGAAAAATAAATGTAAGCCAAAAACATGTGAAATACAGTTAGAGTGAAAAGATAAATACAAATACATTAATAGAAGCAAAAGAAGAGAATGCAGAAAATATAGGAAAGGAATATTTGAAGATAATCTGCATAAGAATTTTCTCAAATTTCAAGCTGCAGATTCAAGAAACTCTGTGACCCTCAAGCATTAACTGCCATGTCTAAGCACATCATGTTCACACTGATAAAAACCAAAGGTAAAGAGAAATTTCTTAAAATCAGCTCCATTCCCCAAATGAATTCCATATCACCATAAACGGACCAATAACAATATTGACAGTTGACTTTTCAAAAGAAGTGACAGAGCTAGAAAACAAGAGAATGATATTTTTCCAGTATTAAAAGAAAATTACAGCCAACCAATAATTTTGTACCCATTGAAAAACATCAAACGTGAAGATAAGTGAAAGAATTCATCAGCAGAAGACACATGCTGAAGGAAACACTAAAAGGAGACTTCAGATTAAAGGAAATAATCTCTACTGAGACCACAGAAAAACAGAGAATTATAAAAATTCATGGGAAATGTAAATACGTGGGGAAAACTCAATGAGTATTTATGCTGCACAACAATAATAATATCTTTTGAGGTTTAAAATGTACATATAACTCAAATGCATGATACAAGCACAAAAGGCTGGAGAAGGTAAAAGGGACTAAAGTGTTTTGAGTTTTTTTTAATTGTCTTGGAAAGGTAAAAATAACAATTTGTTGTTGACTCTAGTGCCTGGGAAAAGTGAGTCTAGGCACTTCTCTCAGTCTTTTCTCTTGAGGTCGGTTGGTGTGTCGGGAGGTCACAGTTTTATCCATGGCATTGTTGGGAATAGAGAGGTTATTGTCTAAGAGTTCTTCGCCTTGATAGGTTGCCCATTTTCTGGTCCTTAGCTAGAGAAAGCAGCCATTTGTTGGGGCTTTTTGGTTTATTTCCCCTGATGTTTCTGGGTTGCCAGCTTCTTCAGCTCCATGTCTGGGATATATGTGGCAAAAAAAAAAGAGAAAGAAGCCCAGAAACCTCATCATCATATGTCATTCCTTGGGTCCTAGAGTCCCTAGCCACCTAGCCAGTCTGACTTTTCTCCATCTGTTAAAGCCTCTCTCTCTCTCTATATATATATATGAATCCTTCTTATATATATGATAAGCCTTCTTATATATATTTTATGTGTGTGTATATATAGAGAGAGAGATAGAGAGACGGTTACACACTCACACACACACATGCACACACAATGTCCCAAGTTTTTAGTCATATTTAGTTGGAGGAATGGGGAAAAGCATATCTACTCGATTTTTTTGGAAGCAAGATTTCCTCTTAGTATAGCTTTCATTCTTAAAGAATATTTTTGCTGTAATAGAATTCAGGGTTGGCAGTTGTTCCCTTCAGCACTTCAAACATTTTCCATAGTGTTCTGGATTTATAATTTTTTAATGAAAATGTAGCCATCATTTTAATATTTTTCACTGTATGTAACGGTTATTTTTTCTCTGGCTGCTTTTAAAATTTGATTTTTACCAATGGCTTTTAACAGTTTTACTTTGACATGCTGAGGTGTAGCTTTATTTTATTTATCCTGCTTGGAATTTTCTGAGCTTCTTGAGTCTCTAGATTTAATAATTTACAATTTTGAAAATTGTTGACTATTTTACTCTAAAATATCTTTGTATTATTCTCCCTCTTTTCTCTTTCTTAGATTTCAATAAGACATATGTTAGACCATGTATAATTATCTCACATGTCCCTGAAACTGTTAGCTTCCATTGCTTTATCTCATTTACATAAATAATTTCTACAGTATATCTTCATGGTTATTAATTTTTCCTCTTTTGCTAGGAAGCTCATCCAGTGAATATTTTATTTTATACATTGTATTTGCAGTTCTAAAATTTTTATATGTTGAATTTTTATTTTGATGTTTCCTACATTTTCATTCATTATAGACATATTTGACTTTATGCCCTTATGTATATTTATAATAGCTGTTTATAAATCCTTGTTTGCTAATTTCAATGTGTCATTTCAAGATTGGTCTTTTATACTTATCTTTTTTCATGAGAATTCGTCACATTTTTTTCTGATTCTTCATATGTTTAGAAATTGTGAATGCTATGTTGTGGAGCCTATGGATTGTTTTATTCCTTGAAAGAGTAATGCTTTTTTTCTTAAAGCAGGCAATTAACTTGATTGAACTCAAACTTCAAATTCTGTCTCCCGGTGGTAGTTCAAATTTAAATTCAATTATTTTACTCCCTTATCTAGGTTGTTTGTGTCTTAATTGCATGTGTGTTTCAGAGTTAAGTCAAATATTTGGGGCAGATTTTTACACACAGTTAGGATCTTTTCCTATCTCTGATTCACCTTTACAGAGTTTTCCCCTTGATTTCAATTGGTTACAATTGCCCTTAATTTTGACCTGTGATTCTGTGAGCCAGAGAAACTGCAGATGTCTCTGTCGAATTTTAACTGCCACTCATGGAGCTAACTTTATTCTGATCTGAATGTAAAAATCATAAAAATGAGTAATTCATCTATGCCATAAATTCTTTCAAGTGTTCACTCTGCTCCAAGATACCTCTAATTCTATGCACTGTTCCACTTATTCTATAGTTGTTTCCTTCGATTTAGTACTGAGTTTATGCTAATTATCTGCAGGATGGTAGGATTCAATAGAATCTTACTTTATCATGACAGATGTAGAACTTCATTAATTAAATTAGAGTGAATATATATCAATACTGATTGTTTTGTTAAGAAAATCTTACTGTATGTTACCGACCTACAGACACATAGACCAATGGAACAGAATAGAGAGCCCAGAAATAAACCCAAGTATCTATGGTCACTTCAACAAGGCCATTAAGAAAACACAATGGCTCATGCCAGTCATCCCAGTGCTTTGGGAGGCCTAGGTGGGAGGATCTCCTGGGACTAGGAGTTCCAGACCCGCTTGGAAAACATAGTGTAACCGCCATCTCTACAAAAATTTTGAAAAATTCACCTGGCATGGTGGTGCGCACCTGTAGTCCTGGCTACTCGGGAGGCTGAAGGGAGGATCTCTTGAGTTCAGGAGTTCAAGGCTTCAGTGAGTTGTGATCACATCATTGCCTTCCAGCCTGTGCCACTGGGTGACAGAGTGAGAACCTGTCATGAAAGGAATAGAAAGGGAAGGGAAAGGGGAAGGGGAAGGGGAAGGGGAAGGGAAAAACTCAATGGAGAAAAGATGGTCTATTTGATAAATGGTATTGGAAAAACTAGATATCCACATGTAAAAGAATAAAAGTGGACCCTTATCTTACACCACACACAAAAATGAACTCTTAATAAAGACATAAACATAAAACCTGAAGCTGTAAAATTCCTAGAGGAAAGCCTAGGGAAAAGCTCCTTGATATTTTCCTTGGCAATGATATTTTTTATATGACCCCAAAAGCACAGGCAACAAAAACAAAACAAGTGTAACTACATCAAAGTAAAAAATCTACAAAATGAAACGGCAGCCAGTGGAGTGGGATGAAATATTTACAAACCATCTATCAACCAATGGAGTGGTACATAAGAAATTCACCTGACTCAATAGCAAAAAAAAAACAAGTTTTAAAAATGGGCAAATGGCCTGAATAGACATTTCTTCAATGAGGATATACAAATGGCCAACAAATATAGGAAAATGTGCTCAACATGACTAATCATCAGGAAGACGCAAATCAAAACCACGACGAGATAACAACCTCACACCTGTTAGGATAGCTATTATCAAAGAGATAAGAGATAACAAGAGTTGGCAAGGATGTGGAAAAAAAGGAATCCTAGTTACACTCTTGATAGGAATGTAAATTAGTACAGCCATTGTGTAAAACTGTATGGAGCATCCTAAAGAAATTAAAAATAGATCTACCATATGATCCAGCAATCACTCTTCCTGGTATATATCCAAGTGAAATGAAGTCACCACTTCATGAAGATACGAACTCCCATATTCATTGCAGCATTATTCATTACAGCCAAGAAGTTGTGACATATGTATGCAAACACATACATACACATACAATAGAGTATTATCCAGCCTTAAATGAAGAAGGAGATTCTGCTGTTTATAACATAGCTGCACCTAGGGAGCATTATACTAAGTAAAATAACTCAAAGGAAGAAAATCACTGCATGATCTCACTTATGTGTCAAATCTAAGTTTTTTTAATGAATATATAAAAATAGAGTATAAAGGTGGTTACCAGTGTTGGGGGCTGGGGAAATGGAGAGATATACATCAAAGGGTACAAAGACACAGTTGTCTCAAATGAATAAGTCTAGAGATCTAACGTAGAGCATCAGGACTATAGTTAATAATATTGTATCACATACCATAAATTTGTTAATGGGGGTAGATTTTAGTTACTCATACCACAGAAAAAAGAAGAAAAAGCAACTGTGAGATAACGGATATGTAAATTTATTTGACGGTAGTAATCATGTTGTATGCCTTAAATATATACAATAAAAACAAAAACACAGAGACCATCTTACTGTGATATCTAATAAATAAAATAAATACATATTTGCTTGTTTTTTTCTCCTAATCTCAATCTGCCGGATCTTTCTTTCCTCTTCTCTTTTTCTCAAGGTGATATCTGAAGAGGTCCCAGGGATAATGTTTTGAAAAGTACTATATAAAATTATTTCTAAGTTATCTCTAAATTATCTCAATTAAATTTTATATAGAAGAGATATTATTGAACCAAAGTATATTTTAATAATAAAATAACTTTTAATGTTTATTAATAACATTTTGTTTATTAAAAAATTAATTGAGATACTTCAGAGATAACTTAGAAATAATTTTACGTAGTACTTTTCAAAACATTATCCCTGGGACCTCTTCAGATAACATCTTGAGAAAAAGAGAAGAGAAAAAAAAACTGGCAGATTGAGATTAGGAGAAAACGACCAAATATTTATTTATTTTATTCAATAAATGTAAGTATTTAACAATAAAAATACATAAATTTCACAAACTTGAAGAAAATATTTGCAAACAAAAATAACTAATGATATAAAATAGTTCACAAGGTCTTCCAAATCAATAAGGAAAAAAAAAAGGAAAACAGGATATTAAGAGACAATTCAGAGATACGAAAACTAAAAGGATAATAACAACTGCATGGCTAAAAAATTCTTAAATTTGTTAGTAAACAAATAAAAATTAAAACAAGTTGTCACTCTATCAAATTGAGCAAAACATAAAAAGCTTGATAATACTAAGTGTTGGTGAAAATGTGTAGCAACACACAGGAATTTTCATGTGTTACTGGTGAAGAAAAAATTGTCATGACCTCATCGAAGAAATTTGGTAAAAATTAGTGATGAGAAGATAAGCCTAAGCTATGAACAAGAATATCACTTCTATGTATATACCCTAGAGAAATCCTCAACCACAAGGATATCTTAACAGGAATTTTATAGCAGCCATAGTTTTTAAAAACAAAACTTTGGAAAGAATAAAAATATTTATTAACAGGATGTTATGGGCTGAATTTTGTACCCCCAAAATTCATGTCAAACTCCTGACTCCCAGTATTTCAGAATGTGACTATGTTTGGAGACAGTCTTTAAAGAAGTATTTAAGTAAAAAGTAGGTAATTACAGTGGGCCTAATTCAGTATGACTAGAGTTCTTACAAGAGGGAGAAATTTGAACACAGAGGTGTACCAAGGGAAGACCATGTGAAGACACAGTGAGATGATGGCTACAATGAACTGAATATTTGTGTTTCCCCAAAATTCATTTGTTGAAATCCTAACCCCCAATATGATGGTGTTATGAGGTAGGGCCTTTGAGAGCTGATTAGGTCACCAAGGTGAGGCCCTCGTTAATGGAATTAATGTCCTTACAAAAGGAAGCTAGAGAGGTCCCTCCTATTTCCACCACGTAAGAATATGAGAAGACGTCTGTCTGTAGCCTGGAAAATCACCCTCACAAGAACTCAAACATGTTAGCACCCTGATATTGGACTTCTAGCCCCCAGAACAGTGAGAAATAAATATCTGTTGTTTATAAACCAACAAGCCTGTGGTACTTTGTTATAGCAGCCTGAACTAAGACAAATGTCATCTACACGCCAAGAAAAGATGCCTCAGAAGAAACCTGCTGGCACCTTAACATCAGACTTCCAGCTTCTAGAACTGTAAAAAATAAATGTTCATTGTTTAAGTCATACAGTCTATGTCACTTTGTTATGGTAGCCTTAGCAAGCTAATACTGAGGGTTAACAATGCATCTTCGTGTATTCATTTATTACTATAAAACAATTAAAATTAATAAATTAGAGCTAAAGCTGTCTTAAATGCATATATAATTTTGAGGGAAATAAGCTGGAAAATGACACATATATAAAATGATTTATAAAAGTATTAAACACACAAAACTCTATAGTTTCTATATACGTATGTATGCAGTTTAAAAATAAAAACATTTATGAGAAGATGGAGGAAAGAAATGAAATTGTGGTGGTAAATATTGAGAGACTCTACTGTACGTGGGAGAGAGAGGAAACAAGTCAGCTGAAGCCAACATGCAAAATATAACATCTCCTTAACCTAGATAGTGAGCACATGGGTGTTTTATAAATTAAATTCTATACATGTAAGTTTAAATATATAACGGTATAAAAAGTAGAGGTGGAACATCATTATCATATATTGACTCATTTTATATAATCCCATTGTTAATTACTCTCAAGACTTACGGCAGCAATTTTCATTTAAAATTATTTCTTGAGGTATCTTTTACAATAGGATTTACATGACTAGAAGTGAATTGTGTTTCTACATTACTTATAATGTCATAGAACAAAGATAGCTATAAGCACCCATCAAATGGCTGCTACTATTTCTAAGATGGTACAATTTTAGAGATGACTTAAATTCCAAGTAAGGAATAATAAATTTAAATGACAGAAAATGTATACCAAAAATTCTACTTTTTAAATCTCAATTTTCTAAGCAGTGTTGGTTTGCATGTGATTTGCATTACACAGGTTAAGCATTCCTAATCCAAAAATAAAAATCTGAAATGGAAATTTTTCCACACCTGACCTTAGGTAGCGGGTCACAGTCAAAACATAGTCACACAACATACAGTTTATTCAGTGTCCCCAAAAGCAAAAAGACCCTCCCAGCCACCTTCAGCTGCAATATATTTCTTCTGTTCAAGTCCGAATCTCCCCATGCAATCATGCCTACAAAAAATAATAAAATTGCATGTGTGGAGGCTGGATGTACCAATGATTAACTCCCCAGGATGCCCTTCAAGGGGCTAAGACTTACGTGTTTTAGTGTGTTTTGTTTTGTTTTTATAGACAGGATCTCACTTTGTTGCCCAGGTTGAAGTGCAGTGGCCTGATCATAGCTCACTGCAACCTCAAATATTTGGGCTCAAGCAATCCTCCAGCCTCAGTAGCTGGGACTACAGGTATGCACCACCACACTCAACTAATTTTTAAAATTTTTTTTTTAGAGATGAGTACTCACTATGTTTCTCAGCCCGCTCTTGAACTGACCTCAAGAGATCCTTCCACTTCAGCCTCCTGATTAGCTGAGATTACAGTTAGCCACTGTGCCTGACTAACTCATCATTTTTTTTGTTTATTCTCTGTTCTCTGATGTAAAGATATGTTTCAAATGTCAGGAAGCCCTATAATAGTGATTTTAAAAAATAAAATAAAAGAGGCAGCATACATAGCAAAGAAAGTCAGACCGCTGGGGAAAATGAACAATGGTGTAAGTGTAAAACATCTTAGAGCAGATGACGGTGTTGGGATGACCTCCATATATGACCTAAAGAAATAGAAGGATAAACCATTGAGGTTCTATGGTAAAAGCAGTGAACAGAGGTAAGGAAAAATAGAAAAACACTGCATAAAGCTAAAAATGAAGGTCTTAATCATGTATTGAAAGTGTGGAACTGCTGGTGTTGCAGTAAACACATGCTACTTGATGGTATGCTGATCATGAAACAAACAAAGATATATCACAATGAACTTTAAATGGAAGGGAACTGTGAATATTCAACGGGCTGACTGTAGAAATTTAAGAAAAGACACAGCATTAAATTTTTAAAGATTCACAGTGACAATACATCTACTGACATGAAGTAGTGGAGAAATTCATTGAAGACTTTGCCAAGATCATTGCTGATGAAAATCTGATGCCAGAACAAGATTATAATGCTGATAAGACATCATTGTTTTGGTGTTATTGTCCATGAAAGACGGACTACAGCCGATGTGTCAGCCCCCACAGGAATTAAGAATGCCAGGGAATAACTGTGTTGAGATGTGCTAATGCTGCAGGCACACATAATTATAAACTTACTGTGATAGGCTAAATCTTGCATTACAGCTATTTTCAAGGAGTGACTTTCTTACCAGTTCATTGTTACACTAACAAAAAGGTATGGATTACCAGGGACATCTTTTCTGATCGGTTTCACAAATATTTTGTATCAGTGGTTTGCACTCATTGCAGCAAAGCTGGACTGGATGATGACTGCAAGATATTGTTATTGCTTGACAACTGTTCCACTCATACTACAGCTGAAATTCTCATTAAAAATAATGTTAATGCATGTAATTTTCCCCAAATGTGACTTTATTAATTCAACCATATGAAAAAAGTATCCTTAGATCCATGAAGAGTAAACACATAAACACTTCCTTGAATAGCATGCTAGCAGCAGTGAACAGAGGTGTGGGTGTCAAAGGTTTTCAAAAGAAGTGTAGCATGAAGGATGCTATATATGCTATTGCCAGTTCTTGGAACACAGTCACTAAAGATACAGTTGTGCATGCCTGGCATAACATCTGGCCTGCGACTATGTTCAGTGATGGTTAGGAACAAAGCAATGACTTTGAAAGATTTTGTATGTCAAATGAGAAAAAAATTATGTTTGACCCCATTATATATGCAAAATATACCTTCAGAATCCATCAAGAATCCTGCAAGAAGCGGATATCAAAGAAGTTTTAAATACTAATGATGAGACAGTTGTTCATTCATTGATGGTGAAATTGCCTAGATGGTTCTGAAGCAAGGTGATCATGAAAAAGTGACAATGAAGGTGGCCTTTTTAAAACTGCAGAAAAAGTGCCTATTGACAATACGGTTAAAATGTGTGATGGGCTTCCTGAAGGGCTAAAGCAGCATGCATTCATAAATGAATAAGGAATCATGTCAGCTTATCAAATCAAAGAGAGACTTCTAAGACAATAAGTCATTGTTAATGAGGCAGATGATCCTGAAGGAAACATTTTAAAAATCCATCCAGCAGAATGCCTCCTCATCCCCAGAAAACTCACTTTCTGATCCCTCAGCCCCTCAACTGCTTCTAATGTTTTCTCTCAAAAAAAAAACAAACAAAAAAAACTTTGTATGGTAACCTTTTAATCAAAACAGCATAGTAGATGGAGGCTGAAAGCCTGCTGTTGTTGGTTGTTACTGCTGTTTAACAGCTGATACAGGTATTCTGGTGATGCTACTGGATTGCTTAGTTACCCTGAAAACATTTTTTCATTGTGTTAATAACATCACATTTTTTATTGTTAAGTACTTATATGTGAATAAGGATGAGAAAATGATTATCAGTGGCATACAAATTCAGTGTCAGGAAAGATGTGATGCCAAACAACCACAGATTGTCAACATGGGTGGCTGAGATGGTGACACCAGTACCCTCTGATGGTTCAAGGTACACATACTTTGTTTCATGCACTAAATTATTAAAAATACTATAGAAAATTACCTTTGGGCTACGTGTATAAGGTGTATATGAAGCATAAATGAATGTTGTGTTTAGACTTGGGTTCCATCCCCAAGATAGCTTATATATAGGCAAATATTCCAAAATCTGAAAAAATTCAAAATCCAAAACATTTCTGGCATTTGGGATGTGACATCCTCAACCTGGATTAATATTTTTCCTCTTACTTCTTAAGTAATCGCTACTTTCTTTTAGCTGCTTTAAATATTTCATTTACAAAAGGTGGTAAAACCATTGTTAATTTTCTTACATTGCTGTCATCCTACCAAGCAGCTTGGTGAAAAAACTCAATGACTAATGTGGAAGAAAAAAAGAGAAAATTTTTCTTCCATAACTAGATACAGATTAGACACAGATTAGAAATACTATTATTAGTAATTATAATATAATCAACTTGATAAATTGAGTGTTTTTAAAAAGTTACAATTAAAAATAAAACAAAAATTTCTCCAAGTCATTCTTAGCATTAGAGATGTGTATTTTAAGATGTATTTTCTGATGGGTTCAGCACAGATCATGTAACATTTAAAAGACTCACAGGGTAACTTCTGTATTGCACAGCTATAGGGCCATGAGAGAATATTTTTATTCCCTAGGCAAAGTCAGTCTATTAGAAACTTTTAAACCTGATGTTTAGGATGAATCACATGCTGGAATTGGAAAGAACTCTTAAAGATAATTTAATTTAACCACCTTACTATAGTGATGAGGAAACTGAGGCTCCCCAGAGTCAAGGGTCTTGATCAAAGTAGTAGAGGAAGTTGGGGGCAGAGCCAGGAGTTAAACTCATCTATAATCTATACTTTGACCTTTAAAAAAATAAAAAGCCTACTTCATTTAATAGATGCTGACATTAAATGCTCAGTTCTTTTTTACTTTAAAAGTCCTTCTGGGAATGCTTAGTGCGATTTCTGTGAAACTTACTTCTGGGTTCTGAATGCAAGCTAAGTGTAATTCTAACCAGCTGACTTTGTGTATGAAATCACTGGCACTTTCCAGTGTAGGTTCCTTTGAAGGTGAGCAGATTTTCTGCCAACTGCCAAATTGGCTGGGCAAGCATGGGCACTGAAAACTACCCCACGGATTTTGGAAACCTGTCCAAATCTGTGTCCCTTCCTTCCTAAGCGTCACTAGCACATCTGAAGTTTGAAGAATGCAGTTAAGGATGGTGAAGGGCAAACATCCCTTCTAAGGTGATCACTATTTCCACCTTCTTGTTCTCATTCCTTTCTTTCTCCACTCTTAAATAATATTAAGAGCTGCCAGTTTACTGCTTTGATGATAAAAACGAGTCACACAAATAGATTTCTAAAACAGTCTAAAAACATTTTCTGAATGCCTACCATATTCAGGCAGTATGCTAAATATATCCAAAAGCATACAAATATACCATGAATCCAGGAGAATCTAGACAGCCCAGGTCTTCCTCCAGATTATTTTGACTCAGAATCCATTGTTGGTGGCATTGACAGTCAGTACCTTTTCTCATTCCCAATAATCTGTCATACTTAAAGATGGTAATCCAGTGTACATAAATGTATTTGCAAATTTATGTAAATACACCCAGATCATATTGACAAATGGAGATCCCTGCCTATCCTTTACATAGAGTCTTTCTTGGAATCTAACGGATACCCCCGACGAATCTACTGCCACCATTAGCATCACTACTACACCTGCAGGCCTTCAAAGATGCACCTCAGCTCCACGCAGAGTAAAAGAGGCTGGCTCACAGGAAAGAGAAATCAATGGAGGAGGCAGGAGAGTGAGGAAGGGAAAACACCTACCATTTCTATATGATAAGCAGAGGAAGCAAGGAGGTAAATTTTTTAAATGACTTATTTTTTTATCAGAAACAAAAAATAATTTCTTACTTTTTTTTTTGATACAGGGTCTCACTGTGGTGCAGGAGGGAGTGCAGTGGTGTGATCATAGCTCACTGCAGCCTTGACCTCCTGGCCCCAAGCGATCCTCCTACCTCAGCCTCCTGAGTAGCTGGGAGCACAAGTGAGCCCGACCATGCCTGACTAAATTTTTTTTTTTTTTTTTTGGTAGAGAAGAGGTCTCACTATGTTGCCCAACCTGGTCTCAAACTCCTAGGCTCAAGTGATCCTCCTGCCTCCACCCCTCAAAGTGCTAGGATTACAGGCATGAGCCACCCTGCTGAGCCCCAAATTTTTCACTTTTCTTGAGAGCATCAGTTAAGCAACTTATAAAGTTTTACCTATCTGTATTAAAAGATATAATATCAGTACAAGCAATTATGTCTGTTGTGTCTCTATTTTAAACAAAATGGGCTATGAGAGTTACTCATACAGAGCAAGGAGAGGATTTCTACCTAAAATTAATTAAATCATAAAAAGAAAGAGCTTAGAACTAACTACTACCATTTGTATACTCAGCAAATATTTTAGGCCTATTGGCGAAGCTATTTGTAAAATAGAATTTGATGAAACATGAATTATATCTATCTTAAATTTAGAATCTAAAATATTACTAAGAATGATTAAGCTGTCTAATGTATATTCTGTTTAATAAAAATTAAATAGAAAAAAATACATATATTAGAAAACCATTTTATTTCCATATGGACCTGAGACTTAATTAACAGAACATCAAAATAGTACTGAGAAATACTTTACCAAGTGCTCTGATCTCAAGTCGATATAGTAATTACCTTTAAAAAATTAAGTACAGTATCAGAACAAGAGGGATTTTAAAGAGGTAAAAATATCTAAGAACTATTATAAGTTTAGAAATTGAATTGAGAATAATACTTGAGATACAATATGGTGGTTCCTCTATGCAAAATTAAGCAATGTTTGTTACTCATAAAAGGTTATTTCCTGTTTGTCTGCTTGTTTTTTTTCTCCAAAGCCTATAGAATAGGATCTGGCTTTATAATGGATTTAATAGAGAAACAACACATAGTTCCAGGCCTTGAGACTTCCAAAGTTGGGTGTTGGTTTGCTCATTCTAATTATTTTAGTACTGCAGTAGGTCAAAATGGAAGTATGTTGAGTAGGCTCTGGGGAGTTAGAGTGGAGCGGGCAGAGGACAATCTTCTTGCTGAAGGACATAGCACTTAAAATCAATATATGCCTTAGAAGGGCTAAATCTAGGCATTCACCTGTGACAATGATCTCTCTTAATCAGATAAAAAGATACCTTCCTTCCAGAAAAATCAGAACCTAAAGTTATTAATCACACTGAGGTGCAGAGGCGGTAATGAGAAAGGAGTGATGGCAGTGCCATATGTAGTTACTTTGCCACTGGCTAGCTGTGTGACCATGGAAAAGTTCCTGTCCTTGTCTAAGTCACAGTCTCCTGTCTGTAATATGATGATTATAAGAGCACTAATTTTGGAATAGTCATGAGGATCAAAGGACAAGGCGAAGAAAACATGTAGCACAGTGCTAGGAGAAGCAGCAGACTCTTTATAAAGGGTAATTATAATATTTTATGAGTCCCAAGTCAAGGTAGAGGTTACAGAGAATAGAATTACTCTGCTCTAGAAAATAGGAAGAATTTGGCTTTCTATTCCCGAAAAAGAAGAGGCAAAGAAATGCCAAATGAGAAAAAGTGTGTGTGTGTGTGTTTGTGTGTGTGTATGTGTGAGAGCGAGCGAGCGAGAGAGAAGCTGCTCAATACAAAAAATAAAAACATTGACAAATTTAAAAATAGACAAATGCAAATAATGACATGTGCTCTGAGGAAAATATAAAATGCTAGAAAGAGCTGGAGGGTGGAGACTATCATGGATAGCCAGGGAAGTTGTGAAAAATCCTCATGGCAAGATGAAACTAATAATTTAAAGATATGGGGGAAGAGCGGTTCAAGCAAAGGGAAGAGAGCTTGTATAAAATGTGCTCAGCATTTCAAAGCAAAAAGAAATCTGTAATCCTGGAAACCAGAGAATGAAGACTGGTAATAGCTGAGACCAGAGTCAGATCACAGTAAGGCTTTAGATTTTATTTTGTTAAGATACAGAGAAAAATCATTGAACCTTTTAGTAGAGCTTGATGTAATCTACATTATAAAGCAAATATTTTAGCAGCTCTTGGCATGTAGTCTTAAAAGCAACAGTAGAACAGGTCCATTTTAATGGTTTCAGGAATCCATGAAACAGCTCACGGTTGTTTGGTATAGGATTGAGATGTAGAAATGATGAAAGATTGTCAGTTCAGATTCAGAATAGATGTTAAATGTGGGGCTGACAGGATACGAAGAAGAGGAAAAGTGAGAAGTCAACCATGACTGCCAGATTTTTTATCTAAGAAACAGAATAAATAAGAGTTGGGGAGTATTTAGAAATAAACAGGTTGAGGAAGAATGGATTAATGTAGGCAAACTGGTAAATAATTGTTTTTAGACATATTACATTTGAGAGGCTAATTCATCATCTAAGCAGAGATGTTGACTGGTAAACTGGATTAAGAAGACTGGAGCTCAGGGGAGAGGTTCAATTTGAAAATACAAATTTGGGAGTTTTCAACCTATATTCAATTTAATGCCATGGGAACTGATCTGATTCCTCAGGAAGAGAGTAAGTGAATGGTATACTAAGAGTTGGTCTGAGGTGCCAGCATATTCAGATCTCTGGAAGAGGAGAAGGGGTCAGCAGAATAGACTTGAGAATGTGTGGGGTTCTGGAACCCAAAGACAGAAGCCAAGTTTAAAGTCAAGCTGGGAAGAATGAGGGAGGGTCTCTCTGTGTCAAGTGATGTTAAAAGAGGAAGTTGTGATGAGGACAGAAATTGAATGTTGGTTTTTCCAAGATGGAGTTGATGATCATTATATGAATGAATTCAGTGGTGCAAGGACTATGACAGCCTGTGTGGAGTGGATTAAGGGGAAAGTGGGTGGTGAAGATGTGTAGACAGGGATTTTAATAGCCTTGTTTATTTAAACAAAAATGTATGCAGTTCCTCCAAACATAAAATGAATAAAAATAAGTTGCTTTTAGTGGCAATATGTGGGTGGTGGCAGAGAAAAAGCCTCTCTCTTTTTTCATCACACTTGCAGTCATCCTGAGACACCTTCATGCAATAGTTTGTCTCCAGGAATATACTTTGGAAATTGCCAGTCTCTAAGACACTTTCCAAATCTTTATGGAAGAACAGTGATTCCATGGTTCTGTAATAATGCATGTTCTTTTAATGATGCTGAGGCTTAATGGCAACACACCAGACACTGTCCCTATCCTTGGATTTTTCACAAGTTTAGTGAAATCAGATTAAGAAATAATAATGTGGCTTTTGTTTCATGGTGAATAAGGCTGGAAATAGCAACCAAAGCATTTAAATGACTGAAGAAAACTAACTCAATCAAGAAACTTTTCCCCAAAATGATATAAATATTTGATATGGATTTTTGACCATAGGTTCTCAGGCACATTCAGATCTCTATAGACAAGTCAGATGACTCTGGACAGTCAGGCAAACAACTCTATAGATACAGTGTGTATCTGTCTCCACCCAAATCTCATGTTGAAATGTAATCCCCAGTGATGGAGGTGGGGCCTGGTGGTAAGTGTTTGGCTCATGGGGGCAGATCCCTCACATTGGCTTGGGCCATCCCCTTGGTGATAAGTGAGCTCTTGCTCTGAATTCGCTTATTTAAATAAGATCTGGTTATTTAAAAGTGTGTGGGCTGGGCGTGGTGGCTCACGCCTGTAATCCCAGCATTTTGGGAGGCCAGGGAGGGTGGATCATAAGGTCAGGAGTTCAAGACCAGCCTGGCCAAGATGGTGAAACTTGGTCTCTACTAAAAACACAAAAAATTAGCTGGGCATGGTGGCGGGTGCCTGTGATCCCAGTGACTCAGAAAGCTGAGGCAGAGAATTGCTTGAATCCAGGAGGTGGAGGTTGCAGTGGGCCGAGATCGCACCACTGCACTCCAGCCTGGGCAACAGAACAAGACTCCGTCTCAAAAAAAAAAAAAAAAAAAGTGTGTGGCACCTCCCCCACAACTCTCTCTCTCTTGCTCCTGTTCTCACCATGCAATGTGCCTGCTCCCCCTCTGCCTTCCACCACAATTGGATGTTTCCTGAGGCTTCCCCAGGAGCAAATGCCACTGTGCTTCCTGTGCAGCCTGCAGAACCGTAAGCCAATTAAACCTCTTTTCTTATAAATTACCCAGTCCCAGGAACTTCCTTATAGGAGTGCAAGAATAGCCTAACACTATTAGAATTAAAGATAATCAAGAAGAGCCTATCTTTAATTATTTTCAGTATCAGAACCCATTCTGGACAAAGCTGCTTTTTAATGGCTCCTTTTGAACTATTCCCAGATGTGCTCCTTACACCATGGCTAACATAATGATACCTATTAAATAGCAAAAATATTCTTCTATACATGGGTTTAACTCATCCAAAAAAACTGCGAATCCTTTAGTAATTTCTCCTGTATATTTTTTCCATATCTAGTTTTAAATGACTAAGACCCACTGCAATTAGTCTCACCTTTCATTCAATCTTGACATACAGGAAGGTAAGAGTATATTTATTGAAGTGAGATGATGTGGCAGTGCACCACACAATTCAGGGTCTGCAATGACAGATATCCTGGGCTTTAAGAACCTCACATAATTCTTTCATAGTGTTAGACAGTGGTTGATGGCACTATGCAACGGGTTCCCAAACAAGGCTAATGATCATAAGAGATAATTATAGAGGGTAGTTGTGGAACTTCTTTTTCTTTCACTTCTTTTCATTTTCCCAGCACTGGTTGTCTGACGTAAAGATTTCTTCTTTTCTAAATTATAGGTATAGATAGACCTATAATTTAGAAAAGGGGGCCTAAAATTAAATCTTTTGTTATCATCGTAACTGTTAAAAATATGTTTATCTGCCTCTTTGTCTGTCTCTGAAAGACAGAGACAGAGACGGAGACAGAAAGCAAATATGTGCATCTAAAGAAGAAAAATGAAAAGTTTGGGCTAATTGGACTGATAATATTCCTTTAAGGGAAAGCAGTGGCCTATGTTTTGGAAAACTCTTTGACTTGTTATTTGCCTGTGAAAGATTAGGGCCTCCTGACCTCAGTCTAGAGGGATACCATTTTGTAAACATAATTAGTTAAATGGCAAAACAGAAAAAAGTAGCAGTACTTTTGGCATTGTTCCTGTCAATTAGAGAAGCTGAATAGACTAGGAAGAGAAAATAGCACAGTCTATTTGACTCTAGAATCAAGGGGTTCCTTGTTAGAACTATATTTAAATATAATTGGCTTCCTTTGGAATTCTGTGTATTATTCGTTCAAAACTTTATTCTGAGAAAACATTCATGAGCTTCATCAGGCCATCAAAGACACTTAAAAATTTTTTTAGACATACTACTCTAAGGAAAGATGTTTCTAAATGGCAGTGCTGAAAACTGGAGCAGTAGAGAAACCCAACAGGAAAGAGATTGCACAGTAAATTTCTAGGCATCACAGAGCAGTTATATTTGAAATAGTTTATTTTCTGAGCTCTAATTACCTTCCATCACTACCAAATCTCTGATTAAAAAGCTTAAAAATTATGAAAATCCCAATATTGATGCTCTTCAGTGGAGAGAAAGAAAGGGTGGTGGTTCTTTTTATTATTATATTTTCAGTTCTAGGGTACATGTGCACAACATGCAGCTTTGATACATAGGTATACATGTGTCATGTTGGTTTGCTGCACCCATCAACTCGTCATTTACATGAGGTATTTCTCCTAATGTTATCCCTCCCCCAGCCCCCCGCCCCCAGACCGGCCCCCGTGTGTGATGATCCCCGCCCTGTGTCCATGTGTTCTCATTGTTCAACTCCCACTTATGAGTGAGAACATGGGGTGTTTGGTTTTCTGTCCTTGTGATAGTTTGTTTAGAATGGTGGTGGTTCTAAGGCAACTGGCAGCAAACACGGAGAAGCCTGAGGGATCCCACAGAGACGTTGGGGAAGAGGGCAGCGCTGAATGATTTAGGCACAATCGTGTGGCAAATATCTTTATCCAAAATGTGCTAGAGGAAGAGCACCCGCAGGAATGGTAAGGAGGAAAGAAACTACATCTTGCTGTTGTGGGGCAACATGATTGCAAGAGAAAGACAACTCCAAAAAGACAGAGAACTTGGGGATGACCAGGAAAGAGAGAGTTTACCAACCAAACTTCCTGTTACCTACTTATGTAAAAGAGACCATATAACATATTGTAACTTGCTTTCTCATATTGGAGGACTTCTCATTTTTAATAAATATGTTTCTATATCATCCTCAATCCTAATGACTGTTGCCTCAATATGTGAATATACTCTAATTTTCCTTATCCTATAACTTATTTTTACGCATGTAGGCTGCTTCCTTTCTTTTAATGTTTATAAATGATAAGTGTCCAATGCCTCGTGTATTTGTTGAATAAATACACTGAATGCTACAATTAAGATTCTTTAAATTAAATTTTGGACATTTGTTCAATTATCTTATAATAAGTTATTAGAGGTGAAATGTTTAGTCAAACAGTTTGTATACTTCTTAATTGCAGCAATTACAAGTGAAAACCCCTTTATCAATTTGTTCTAAGTTTCCATTTGCATATGGCAATTGAGGCGAGTAGACTACTTTAATTAGGAGATAATGAAACATTCATAACAGCTCAGTAAATCTGCCTGTTGGAGTTTTGCTTAAAAATTTCATCTGGGCTATGTGTTTAAAGTAAAATATCAGCTGTCATTCTTATTTTATACAGTTATGAATATGGGCATGAAGTAGATTCATTTTTGTTCATATTTTTGTATGTGGAATATAGGCATAATAACTCCTACATTGAACAGATTAAAAGCTAAATTCATCTGCATAGAAGTGTTAATAGATCTTGCTTCAATGTGGACAAGCTATTCTGGACCTACTGACCAACTGCCATGTTAAGGGGTCCTTTCACTGAAACTTTGAGTTTGTCCTACTTTTTCTTATATCCCATATTTTGCCTGGATTATGTCCTTAGTAACAGCTTCAGGAACAATGAATATCAAGTAAAGTTCCTGAGTGCCTGTGTATCTGAAAACATTTTTATCTGGCCCTTTAACTTAATCGTCATTTAGCCTGATACATAACTGAGAGTTCAAAATAACTTTCTCTTAATACTTTAAGATGTTGCTTTATTATCTTCTACTGTTAAGACACTGTTAATGAGAAGTCCAGTTCCACTCTGATAGCTCTTCCTGTGCAGATAATCTATTTTTTCCCAGCTAGAAACTTTAAAAATATTCTCCTTATATTTAGTGAATTTCATGAAAATCCATCCAGCTAGGAATCTATCCTCATTAATCCTATTGATACTTAGCAGCACGAATCTGAAGATTTTCTTAAGTTTTGCTAACTATTCACCCATTCCTTTTTGGTTGGATGTTTTATTCCCTTTATTTATTTTATTCTGAATTTCCTATTTGTTGAATATTCTGCCTCTTAGGTTGATCCTTGATGTCTCTTGTTTTGTTTTTTTTTTTTAATTATTTCCCCTCTTTTAAACTATTTGTCTGAGCTGGCTCCTCAGTTTTATTTTCCTGCCCTTTGAATGTTTCATACCAACTGCCACAATTTCTATTCTAAAAACTCTTGGACTGATGGATTTACACAGAGCTTCATTTATAGTTGTATGACTAAAATATCTTCTCACTTATTTCTATGACTATTAATTAGATTTTTTTTTAAAATTCTGAATTATGTCTCTAATAGACAACCACTGAACATCACTTGAACTCTATGTGTGTGGCTCAACTACAGCAAGTCAGCAAGCTGCCTTTCTTCCTGAGAGAATGAATGAAGAGGGCTTTTGGGTTGGAGCACTAGTATCAGTAACATCAACAATTGAAATCCACCCACTCTAAAGAGCAGCTTTCCAATTGGATGTACCTAAGATGACACGGTTGTTAAATCAAAGCCATAATTATATCACAGTGATCCCGATTCTAAGACTGGTGCTCTTGCCCTTATACTTTTGGCTGAGTGACTTAACAGACATGATCATGGCCAATTAAATTTTTTATCATAAAATTTTAAGTATTTCACATAAGGCATCGGCCCTTTATAGGTTACCATAGTATGATATGTAATATAACTTATATAAAATTATATCATTTTTGAGGGTATGAGTCATTTACGATAATACATTTATACACATTTATAGAAGTTTTCATGTGTGCAAATAGTTTATTTAAGACATCTTAGTTTGAGTAAGCTCTACTGTGCCAAGAAGGCTGAGTTTTCCTTGAAATGTCAATGCTTTAAAGTCTAAGGAAAATATTCCACAGCTCCATGGCAGCTGTTTTCAGGGAAAATTATAGTTAGTAGTTTATGGTTGCCGTAGCATCCCCGTTAATACCATAGCAATGAGGTTTAAATTCTGTCAGAAACAAAAAGTCACTGTATTTGTATGGGCATTTCTACTTTGAAAGTTAAGGCTGAGTCAGAGTTTTCAGCTAGCAAGACTCAGATTTCCTACCTTTCAAAAGTACTCTCCAGTGGGGTGAGGGGTGTATCACCTGACCTGCCCACAGGGGCACCTAAGATAAATGTGCCAGGCAACAGGGGAGTCGGGGGGATACCTGTCATATGGAATCCTTGGCAAGTTTCACGCAGGGCCTTCCTGAGTAGCCAAAGGGCTTTAGGGAGAAATCTGAAAAAATGAATTTCTAGTGTAAGTATCACAAAAAAGAACTAAATTAATACACATTATCTTTGCAGCAGTTGACTTTCTCAGTACAGGCAATTACAGAGAAGGCTTACCCCATACTTTAGCCACACTGCTGTTTCTTCATGAGGACATCTGAGCTTCCCCTAAGAACAACCAAATGTCCACTTCCTCAGAGAAAGAAGTTCATAGTGCCACTGGGAAATTTAGCCTCTAAAGATTTATCAAACATATTCTGTGGAGGCTGTCAATTCTTGCCATCAGTTAGCAAAGCAGAAAAGCCAACAGCAATAGGGATTTAGAGTGCCATAGAATTCTAACTTGTCTTGAGGTCACTAAAGTTTTAGCCTCACTTCTTTTTAGTTAGCTGTTAGTTTCTTTGGTAGATTGTATTTTGAAGGAGTAGAGAATACATTTTAATAAACACAGGGTAGTAGACTGGATGATACATTTATGTGGAATGCCTCAGTGGAGTAAGAAATATAAAATTAAGAGCTAGAATGCAGACATCTTTAGAAGAAAAGTGGATAAGAGAATAAAGGACAGGAAACATATTTTAAATGACTCAACAACTTAAGCACAGTCTGAAAAACATTCAATAAGTATATGGTTGTTCAGGGAGGATATTAAAAGATCGAAAGTGTTGATCTGTGATTGGGCAATATCAGCATAACTATATTGACCACCCTGGAGGTAGAAATGTTTTCTGATTGGCCATTGTGAATATGCTTTAACATGTGTGTGGATGACAGATGTGTTTAGATGAGTCTCATCAAGAGGGCAATGTTTTCACTAATGCACTGGATTTGTTCCAGCAACAATGGAGGCACACCCATGAATAAAAAGACAGAGGCTTGGGTAGTGATGTAACTTCAAAATAAAAGGAAAGGTTGGGTGATATCAGTTTCTGAAACTTCCAATTAGAAGGAATAAGTGCATCCTTCTGTGCTTTCTATAATGCCATGTGTTGTGATGTGCTGTTGCTCAGTTAAGTTCGATAATACTTTTCCAAGAGTGATGCAGTGACTAGCTTCAGGAGAATTTTAATTCAAATGCAATGGCCAATATTGTACAGTGTCTCAAGAGATCAAATTCCATTTGGCAGTCTGGCAGATGGATAAAAACATGTTGGTCTACTTTAAGACAAAGTCACATTTTACTAAGTGGCAAAGACTGTAAATATTAATAGCTTAATAATAATAACTAATAATATTTAGAAAGGCAATTTTAAATTGATTCACCAAAAGATATTTAGGGCTGAAGAACTTAATTCTGCATTTGTATACATACTTAACTCCATGATTTATGTATTGATAATCAAAAAATGTATTTAGCCAGGTCAGTTAGACAGCCAATATAATTTAAATTTTGCAGCCTTAGATCACTCTTAAAGTATATGTTTATTATTTTATTATTAAAATAATCCCTAATCCTATTTCTATGTTATCAATAAGGACATTCTATAGCAGAATTCTAAGCAAATTCTGATGGCAGAGATTTCTTTCTTTCTTCTTTTTTTTTTTTTGAGATGGAGCTTATACCTTACACAGAAAAACAGGAAACAAGTTCAAATTTAAGAAATAATATAATAATTTTTAAAAGTTCTGAGAACAACCTCTGCCTCTTGTTTAGCCTAAAGTATGTCAATTGGCAAGTGCTTTTTGGATTACCAATACAAGTGAAAAAATGCTATTCAGCAAGATGCCGCCTGTCAGTCACACCCTGGTCCTTGGCCACCCCTGTGCAGCCAGCTACAGGACCTTTATGGATCACTAGGGGCCTTCACTACACTTCTGGAGAAGCTTAAGTCCTCTCCATGGAAACACAGGAGCTGACTCAACCCCCTCGCTGTGCATTTTTTTCATCCTCCACCCTACTCCCCCAACTATTTTTTTGTTTCGCTTGTTCCATACTGAGTAATCTTTTTCTGTCTTTTGGTTACACTCTTTAAGTCCTGTTCAGAGAGTTAAGTGCAAATGCTAGGCTCCTAAAAAGCCTATTTTCTGAAGTGAGTAAAAATTATGGGCAAAAATGAACAATATGAAATAACCTTTTCAGTGGGAACCTTGAAAGACATGTTGATATTTTAAAGAGCAAAGTTTGCCTTATCAAGCCCTGAATGCCTAAAGGGAAAAAAAAAAATAAGAAAGAAACAAGCTCTATGTCCTTTCCAAACTTTCACCTTACCTTGACAAATAGACTCTTGCTGTTACCCTTTGTATGAGTTTTCTACGGCTGCCATAGCAAAATGCTACAGACTGGATGGTTTAAACAACAGAAGAATTTTCTCACAATTTTGGAGGCTGAGAGTCTGAGTTCAAGGGGTTGGCAGGTTTTGTTTCTTCTGAGGCCTCTCTCCTTGGCTCCCAGGTGGTCGCCTTTTTGCTGCGTCCTCACATGGTCATCCTCTTTGTCGACTGTGTCCTAATCTCCTCTTTTTATAAGGGCACAGTGGTATTGAGTTAGAACCCACCCTAAAACCACATTTTAACTTAAGTACCTCTTTTAAGGTTCTATTTCCAAATGCAGTTGATGGCAACAGCTGCTGCCATTACCCCGGCTGCAGCAGAGAGGAGGGCTGGGGCTGCACACTCTGTGGAGTCAGTGGGAGCCCCACTCCTTCTGATTTGGGGCAGAAACTTCCCGGGTGCCACTGCAGCCGCCCAAACCTCAAACCTCGGCAGCAGATCCAGGCCCCCTGCTTCACGTAACAGGCAGGAGCCCCACCCTCCTGCAATACGTAGCGGGGCTACATCAGCCAAAACTGCAGCTGTGGATCCGAGCCTTCCTGTGCTCTTGGAAGGGGCTGGGAACAGGCAGGATCTGCCCTCCCTGGTGCAGTTGCAGCCACCCAACCCGCTGCTGCTGACCTGGCCCTCTCGCTCCACGAGCAGGCAAGGGCCAGGAACAAGCAGGAGCCCCGCCCCTTCCGAGTTGATGGGGCTGGAGCTCCCTGGGTGCAGCTGCAGCGGCCAGACCCACGCATCTCTGCTGCCTGCCCCCTGGCGGCTGGGAAGGCCCGCATGTCTCTTCAGGCTCCGGGGTATCTGATCCCGCTGCCCGGTCTCTCTCCTCTCCTGGCACCCGCTGGGATCTCAAAGCTGGGTTGGGGCCCAGCCCTTGGGCCATGAATGGCTGCAGGAGGCAGAAAGATTCCTGTGCCGAAGGGGGTTGGTCCCTGGTAAGGCCCCTCCTTCAGGAGTTGCCCCCTGCGGGTCTCCTCTGAGCTGTTAGAACACTCAATAAAGCTTCTCTTCATCTTGCTCCCCTTCCGCTTGTTTCCATACCTCATTCTTCCTGGATGCAGGACAAGAACTCGGGCAAAGGCACCACCTGCCACAGACGTTTCCACCTGCCACAGAGATATTCCACCCTAAATATCCTGTAACACAGTCACATTCTAAAGTACTGGGGGCCAATACTTCAACATATGAATTTGGTGTGTGAGGAGGGGCACAATCCAGCTAATAATACCCTTCAACAATATCTTAATGTTTATTATCTTTGATGATAATTTTTTATAATTGTGTCACGGTACATAATTGTTGCTATTGTACTGTTTAAAATAAAGCATTGCAAATTTTAAGACAAAATACCTTTTGTTTTGTTAGTGGACATTTTGTTACAGAAACATTAGCGATGTCTTTTTGTGTCTACATTATAATTTAGTTCAGATCCTTGATCAGTGTCCCTTTAAAAACATAGTATAAGTCTAAACTTTAAATCTTAAGATGTTACCTGTATTAAGTATCTAATATTTTCAAACTGACTGACGTCTTTATTCTGTAGAATACCTTCCAAGATTTTTGTTGTTTATTTTTTATGTGATATACGTAGTTACAATATTAAAGGATATAAAATTTCATAAGAAAGCATAAAAGGGAAAGAAAGGACATGGTAGTTTCTAAAGTGGGAGCAAGAGGAGGAAAAATGAAGAATATAGCCAGAAATGACAAAGAAGTCACTGTCAGATGGAGTACTAAATTGTCTACAGCTTGTGGGAGGCAGTGGAATGGCAGGTATCAAGGTCAGGTGTCCACAATCGTGTATGACACACGGGCCGTTGCTAACTTTAAATAGATTAATGATTGTGACCTTTCAACATGAGACAGTGAGCTTAATTTTTTTAAATCGACGGCAGGTTACATATTCATTTCATCTAAGGTGGTTTTCTGTGTGGCCATTTTTAAAAACTGTAGTTCCATATTATTTTGCTCATGTCCATAGTACAGATATCTAAAAATTAAAAACATATCCAATCTTAACACTAAGTGTGTTTTTCTTTCTTTTCTAAGCAAAAATTAAGAAGATAATAGTACTTTGATGGTGAATGTTGCCCAGGGCTTAGCCAGAAAAAAACAAGTCTTGTGGCACTAGTTGGAGTTACAGCTAGAAGAATGGACTATGCGGGAGGTGAAAGATATTTCCAGGGGACTGTTTATTAGCCTTGCCCTGATGAACATCTTTTTTGCATGGTATTCTAATGTTGCTAGTGTCTAAAAGGTATGTGATCTTTATCTACATTGCTTTGGATTTTCAACATGTGTTATTTTTCTTGGTAAGAATGCTAGAGTTAAAACAAAGGAACAAAACATGCTAAAGCACAAAAATTTGTTCACAAAGGCATCTATACCTCAATACAGAAGTCTATCCATTCTATCCATACATGCATCCATGAAGTTCATTTATGTGTATGTGAGTGGGTATTTTGTCTTAGCAATAGTATTTGCAATAAAAGACACATAAAGTCACAGAATTGCATGTCTTTCTCTTCATGTAATTTTACAAATTTACTTTTAAAATGGTCCCTGTGTTTTCTGTAAGCTAAGGTGATCTTTGTGAGGTTGATGAATAGTCACCAAATGTATTCATTGGCATCTGTTCCCAGAGTGTGTAAGTGCTTGTATAAGACATTTGTATAAGACATTTAATTTTACCCACAAAACAATATGTTACTTTAAAATTAATTGTGCAGGTGTCTTGATTACAAATAGCTCAACTATAGCTTTCATTTCCAATTTTATCTACATATTATCCCACCAAAGGAAATTACCTCTTGAGGTTTCAGAGGGATATCCATTTATTGCTAAGTTTTCTCTAGAGTTGTCTAATTCCATAGTGCCACCAATAGGTTTCTCATGGTACATTTACTGTACTGGTGGCGTTTACATTTGAAATTGGAAACGAGGGTGAATTTCTGATTCTTTTCTACAGTGATCAAATCTATAGTGATTTAAATTTAAATCTTGTTGCTCTAAGCAATACTGAACAAAGAAAAACAAAACAAAATTTACAATTGCTTATTTATACTCCATTTTGCTGAAAGCACTATGAGTGATACAGAGCTATGTAACACAGGACCTCTGAACCCAAGGAAATTCCTCTTAGGCCTGTTGTTCTCGGGAATGTTCTTCCTGGAGACTGTTCAAGAATGCTTTTTTTTTTTTTGAGATTCCAAGCTCTTAGGAGGGAGCTGGTTGGTGACTACACTTACTGAAGGGAGTACTATTCTCAACTCTCTTCAGTGTTCTCATTTTGGCCCATAAAGCAGGGAAGTGCATCATTTAGAAAAGGAAAGTGAGCATCCATGGCTTGTCTTAACTCTCTCCCAGAAAAAGAAGAGAAGTAACTTACCTGACTCATGGGACTAGGAGAAGGAAATGAGCCTGCTCTGCTCTACCCTGAGAGCTCTCTTTTTTCCTGACAGCAAAGTGGTTCTCTGCCCCAGGCAAGCCTTCACAAGACCATCTGAAAGCCATCTCACTCTATCCAGCTACCAGGGTCTGCTGTGTGAGGCAGGTATTTTCTGAGCGTGTGTGTGCTCTGCAGACACCAATCCTTCCTCAAGTGGGTTAGCCCTCAATCTAGATGAGACATAGAGGATAAGGTGGGTCACAGGGCCATAAAAGGCAGATTGTATTTCCACATCTAAGCCAGATTCTCCAAGCCAGCCTTGTCAAGAATAAAGCCAATAAATCTGATTACTACCTCTAATTTTAAAATTTTGTTTGAAATTTAGAGAGTAGAGATAGATAATACGTGTGAATCCTCAAACACTCATGCAACTAAACATCCAGCAATGGAAACTTAGAGTTCTCTACATAATCTACAACTTTTGACAAAGATACATGAACCTGGTAGTTTTTTGTTAATAATAAATTTACACTGGCTTCTCAATGAATAAATATGTCAGAAGACCATGAATTGGTATTCTGAAAGTACTGAAAAAATAAAATCACTAAGCAAGAACTCTGTCCTGTGAGAACATTCTTCCAAAACAAAGCTGTAGTTAAGGCATTTTAAAACAAAAATATGTAAGTTCAGAAAAACTTTATCTCTGGCACATTTTCACTAAAAGATATACCTCAGTCTAAAAAATAATAATAATGTCAGAGGCAAACGTGGAGATAGCGGAAAGAATAAAGAACAAGTAAAATGGTAAATATATGGGTAGACATAAATAAATATTGACTACACAAGTTTTGCTCTTGTTGCCCAGCCTGGAGTGCAATGGCATGATCTCGGCTCACTGCAACCTCTGCCTCCACGTTCAAGCAATTCTCTTGCCTCAGCCTCCCGAGTAGCTGGGATTACAGGTGCCCATCACCATGCCCGGCTAATTTTTGTATTTTTAGTAAAGATGGGGTTTCACCATATTGGCCAGGCTGGTCTTAAACTCCCGACCTCAGGTGATCTGCCCTCCTCAGCCTCCCAAAGTGCTGGGATTACAGGTGTGAGCCACTGCACCCGGCTGGGTCTATTGTTAATATTATATTTCTTATTGGCTATTACGGTAAAAGACAAGTTTTATTTCAGTTAATTCACTCAAATTAATTTCATGTGAATTCAAATAAATTTCAAAGGAGTACATACTACAGTACTAGGGTGAACAACAGAAACCTCAGTAAAACTATTATTTGTTTCTGTATCTATCCTAATAAAATTATTCATCAAAATTATAGTTCAAAGACCTGTCCTGAGAAAAAATTGTTTTAAGTATCTGCTTTCTAGAGTACCCTAACTACTCATAATCAATATTCCCCAAAATTGAAAAAATGCTAATTATATATATTATTATGCTATCATTAATTCATAAGAAGTCTATATGGTTTACAAAATGTATGTGGGGGAGAAAAGGTATAAATCTTTTTTCTATGCCATCTTTGTTCCTTGAAGTAGATGATGAAGTTATATGTTGTTATTCTTTATTTTTGTATAAGCTCCCCCTTCTTCATGCAAGTTTTCTGAGATGAAAATAACTCTAATAGGTCACTATAATCTGTTTCTACTCACTACACTCCTAACACCAAATGTATGGGGTTTTCATCCCACACCAACTAATTCTCCAACTTTCCTGACACCAGCTGGGTATTCAACTAATTCTTACACCCATTACCCAGAATTAGTGCAGACCCCTCCAGTTAAGGGTTCAGTCCTACAATGCTGCCTCTACTTAAATGCCAACTGCAAGTCCTGGGCATCCCATATTTCTGACCAACCAGCAATAAATCAGCTGTGACCTCTTCCTTGGGTTTGATAATTTGTTGTAATGGTTCACAGAACTCAGGAAAACACTTTACCTTACTATTACTAGTTTATAATAAAGGATATTATAAAGAATACAAATGAAAGGCCCAATGAAAATGTATATAGAATGAGGTCCAGAATGGTCCCAATCACAGTAGCTTCTGTCCCCATGGAATTGGGGTTCACAGCCCGCCATCCCTGGCACAAGGATTTTGTTCATCAACCCGGAAGCTCCCTGGACCCAGTACTTTAGGAGTTTTTTATGTGGGTTTCATCATGTAGGCATGGTTGATTGTAAACTCAGTTTTCAGCCTCTCTCCCCTCCCCAGGAGTTAAAGGAGTGGGGCTAAAAGTTACACCTCCCATTCTGAAGCTATCTAGAGGCCTGCCAAGAGTCTCCTCTTGTGAACAAAAGATGCCCCTCCCACTTGGGAAATTCCAAGGGTTTTAGGAGCTCTGTGCCAGAAAGCAGGGACAAAGACCAACCATACATTAACATCACTCATGATATCAAAATGTCACAGTCACCTCTTAGGTTATCACTACTCTCTTTGCCCACAGAAATTTTGAGTAAAAGTATCCTATGCCTCACTCTGTTGACAGATAAAAAATGAGGATGGAAGTGATTATTCCTTGCTGGTATCATTCATATTCTAGATGACGACTGGAGGCCACCAAATAGGCCTTATTTAGTTCAATAGCTGTGTTTCTTCCAGTGGCTGATACACCACAAGTTACTACCGTTTATCCTTTAACTCCTCTAAAGTGTGCTGCTCGGGGCCAGCTCAGTGGGCACCTCTGACCACTGCCATATCTGATGAGGCTTCTAGAGGGGGCAGTTATACATGAACAATTAATCACTGTATTCCTTGCCATCTTTTTCTATGCTGTGTGTCTCCCTCATTTTGTACAAAGTTGGCATTAATGAATGTGCTATTGAACATTCATTGGTTGAATAAATGAATAATGAGTGGAAAAATGAATGAAAATTGAGTTCCAGTAATAGAAGTTCAAACTCCAATTAGCCTGCCACGGACTAGTTTGACATTGGGCAAGAAAGTAAGTGTCTCGTGTGTAAAGTGGGAATAATAATAAAGATGTAAGTAGAAAGAGTATGTTATTTACCACTGAAAATGAGACACTTTTGATTGTGAAAAGGGAGCTAAATATAGAAACTATAAAAATGTTTTAAATGTTTATAAATTGACACACAAAAGGATTTCATTATATTGTGGGTCCCTATAAAGTGGTACTATTTAGAAATCATTTTAAAAATGAAATTATTTCTAGAAAAATTGTTTAAAAATTATAAATATTCATGTACACTATATCAAAATTTAAAAACTTTTTATATTTATTATTTAAACATAAACATTAAGCAAAATAACTATTCTTGATACACTCACATATTTTATCCAATATCATTCCACTTAAGTTTTTTTGAAAAATATACTTTTATTTGATATGATTATGTTTAAATTTTGGATAAAATTGTTAATGCCTTTCATTCATTTTTTTCTATAGTTCATATAAATTGTAATTGTAAAAATTTTTCTTCATAGATGTTGACATGCCTGACATGCTTGGGACAAATTCTGTTAAATGAAGAATAGTCTCAAGACTACATGTTTTGCATTAAAATGTGTATTTATTTTAGAACAACTATTTTGACAAATACTGATTTTAGGTGTGCATTCAGGGTAACTTTCTTATTGATTGATTGATTGACTGATTTCACTTTAACTTCTGGGATACATATGCTGAACGTGCAGGTTTGTTACGTTGGTATACATGTGCCACGGTGGTTTGCTGCACCTATCAATCCATCATCCAGGTTTTAAGCCCCGCATGCATTAGGTATTTGTCCTAATGCTCTCCCTCCCCTTTTCCCCCATCTCCCAACAGGCCCCAGTGTGTGATGTTCCTTTCCCTGTGTCCATCTGTTCTCATTGTTCAACTCCCACTTATGAGTGAGAACATGTGGTATTTGGTTTTCTGTTGCTGTGTTAGTTTGCTGAGGATGATGGTTTCCAGCTTCATCCATGCCCCTGCAAAGGACATGAACTCATTTTTTATGGCGACATAGTATTCCATGGTGTATATATGTCACAATTTCTTTATCCAGTCTATCATTGACGGGCATTTGGGTTGGTCCCAAGTCTTTGCTATTGTAAATAGTGCTGCAGTAAACATACGTGTGCATGTGTCTTTATAGTAAAATGATTTATAATCCCTTGGGTATATAGCCAGTAATGGGATGGCTGGGTCAAATGGTATTTATGGTTCTAGATCCTTGAGGAGTCACTGTACTGTCTTCCACAATGGTTGAACTAATTTACACTCCCACCAACAGTGTAAAAGCATTCCTATTTCTCTACATCCTCACTAGCATCTGTTGTTTCCAGACTTTTTAATGATTGCCATTCTAACTGGTGTGAGATTGTATCTCATTGTGGTTTTGATTTGCATTTCTCTAATGACTAGTGATGATGAGCTTTTTTTTCATATGTTTGCTAGCCACATAAATGTCTTCTTTTTTAATATATTTTTTTATTATACTTTAAGTTTTAGGGTACATGTGCACATTGTGCAGGTTAGTTACATATGTATACATGTGCCATGCTGGTGCGTTGCACCCACTAACTCATCATCTACCATTAGGTATATCTCCCAATGCTATCCCTCCCCCCTCCCCCCACCCCACAACAGTCCCCAGAGTGTGATATTCCCCTTCCTGTGTCCATGTGATCTCATTGTTCAATTCCCACCTATGAATGAGAATATGCGGTGTTTGGTTTTTTGTTCTTGAGATAGTTTACTGAGAATGATGATTTCCAATTTCATCCATGTCCCTACAAAGGACATGAACTCATCATTTTTTATGGCTGCATAGTATTCCATGGTGTATATGTGCCACATTTTCTTAATCCAGTCTATCATTGTTGGACATTTGGGTTGGTTCCAAGTCTTTGCTATTGTGAATAATGCCGCAATAAACATACGTGTGCATGTGTCTTTATAGCAGCATGATTTATAGTCATTTGGGTATATACCCAGTAATGGGATGGCTGGGTCAAATGGTATTTCCAGTTCTAGATCCCTGAGGAATCGCCACACTGACTTCCACAATGGTTGAACTAGTTTACAGTCCCACCAACAGTGTAAAAGTGTTCCTATTTCTCCACATCCTCTCCAGCACCTGTTGTTTCCTGACTTTTTAATGACTGCCATTCTAACTGGTGTGAGATGGTATCTCATTGTGGTTTTGATTTGCATTTCTCTGATGGCCAGTGATGATGAGCATTTTTTCATGTGTTTTTTGGCTGCATAAATGTCTTCTTTTGAGAAGTGTCTGTTCATATCCTTCACCCACTTTTTGATGGGGTTGTTTTTTTCTTGTAAATTTGTTTAAGTTCTTTGTAGATTCTGGATATTAAACCTTTGTCAGATGGATAGGTTGCAAAAGTTTTCTCCCATTCTGTAGGTTGCTTGTTCACTATGATACTAGTTTCTTTTGCTGTGCAGAAGCTCTTTAGTTTAATTAGATCTCATTTGTCAATTTTGGCTTTTGTTGCAATTGCTTTTATTGTTTTAATCATGAAGTCTTTGCCCATGCCTATGTCCTGAATAGTACTGCCTAGGTTTCCTTCTAGGGTTTTTATGGTTTTAGATTTAAGTCTTTAATCCATCTTGAGCTAATTTTTGTATAAGACATAAGGAAGGGGTTGAGTGTCTGTTTTCTGCATGTGGCTAGCCAGTTTTCCCAGCACCATTTATTAAATAGGGAAATCTTTCCCCATTGCTTGTTTTTGTCAGATTTGTCAAAGATCAGAAGGTTGTAGATGTGTAATGTTATTTCTGAGGCCTCTGTTCTGTTGCATTGGTTTATGTATCTGTTTTGGTACCAGTACCATGCTGTTTTGGTTACTGTAGCCTTGTAGTATAGTTTGAAGTCAGGTAGCATGATACCTCCAGCTTTGTTCTTCTTGCTTAGGATTGTCTTGGCTATACAGGCTCTTTTTTGGTTCCATATGAAATTTAAAGTAGTTTTCTTTCTAGTTCTGTGAAGAAAGTCAATGGTAACTTGATAGGAATAGCATTGAATCTATAAATTACTTTGGGCAGTATGGCCATTTTCACGATATTGATTCTTCCTATCCATGAGCATGGAATTTTTTTTCCATTTGTTGGTGTCCTCCCTTATTTCCTTGAGCAGTGGTTTGTAGTTCTCCTTGAAGAGGTCCTTCACATTAATTGTAAATTGTTTTCCTAGGTATTTTATTTTCTTTGTGGCAATTGTGAATGGAAGTTCACTCATGATTTGGCTCTCTCCTTGTCTATTATTGGTGTATAGGACTGCTTGTGATTTTCACATATTGATTTTATATCCTGAGATTTTGCTGAAGTTGCTTATCAGCTTAAGGAGTTTTTGGGTTGAGACAATGGGGTTTTCTAAATATACAATCATGTCATTTGCAAACAGACAATTTGACGTCCTTTCTTCCTATGTGAATACCCTTTATTTCTTTCTCTTTCCTGATTGCCCTGGCCAGAACTTCCAAAACTATGTTGAATAAGAGTGGTGAGAGAGGGCACCCTTGTCTTATGTTGGTTTTCAAAGGGAATGCTTCCAGCTTTTACCCATTCAGTATGATATTGGCTATGGGTTTGTCATAAATAGCTCTTATTATTTTCAGATATGTTCCATCCATACCTAGTTTATTGAGAGTTTTTTATAGAGAGTTAAAGGGGTGTTGAATTTTATTGAAGGCCTTTTCTGTATCTATTCAGATAATCATGTGGTTTTTGTCACTGATTCTGTTTATGTGATGGATTACGTTTATTGATTTGCATATGTTGAACCAGCCTTGCTTCCCAGGGATGAAGCCGACTTGATCATGGTAGATGAGCTTTTTGATGTGCTGCTGGATTCGGTTTGTCAGTATGTTATTGAGGATTTTTGCATCGATGTTCATTAGGGATATTGGCCTGAAATTTTCGTTTTTTGTTGTGTCTCTGCCAGGTTTTGTAATCAGGATGATGCTGGCCTCATAAAATGAGTTAAGTAGGAGTCCCACTTTTTCTATTGTTTGAAATAGTTTCAGAAGGAATGGTGTCAGCTCCTCTTTGTACCTCTGATAGAATTCAGCTGTGAATCCATCTGGTCCTGGCCTTTTTTTGGTTGGTAGGCTATTAATTGCCTCAATTTCAGAACTTGTTATTGGTCTATTCAAGGATTCGACTTCTTCCTGGTTTAGTCTTGGGAAGGTGTATGTGTCCAGGAATTTATCCATTTCTTCTAGATTTTCTAGTTTATTTGAGTAGAGGTATTTGTAGTATTCTCTGATGGGACTTTGTATTTCTTTGGGATCAGTTGTGATATCCCGTTTATCATTTTTTATTGTGTCTATTCAATTCTTTTCTCTTTTTTTCTTTATTAGTCTGGCTAGCGGTCTATTTATACTTTTAATGTTTTCAAAACAACCATCTCCTGGATTCACTGATTTTTTGAACAGTTTTTCATGTCTCTATCTCCTTCAGTTCTGCTCTGGTCTTAGTTATTTCTTGTCTTCTGCTAGCTTTTGAATTTTTTTGCTCTTGTTTCTCTAGTTCTTTTAATTGTGATGTTAGGTTGTCAATATCAGTTCTTTCCCACTTTCTGATGTGGGCATTTAGTGCTATAAATTTCCCTCTTAACACTGCTTTAGCTGTGTCCCAGAGATTCTGGTACATTGTCTCTTTGTTCTCATTGGTTTCAAATAACTTATTTATTTCTGCCTTAATTTCATTATTTACCTAGTAGTCATTCAGGAGCAGGCTGTTCAGTTTCCATGGAGTTGTGCAGTTTTGAGTGAGTTTCTTAATCCTTAGTTCTAATTTGATTTTGCCAAGGTCTGAGAGACTGTTATGCTTTCTGTTATTTTGCATTTGCTGAAGAGTGTTTTACTTCCAATTATGTGGTCGATTTTAGAATAAGTGCTATGTAGTGCTGAGAAGAACGTATGTTCTGTTGTTTTGGGGTGGAGAGTTCTGTATATGTCTATTAGGTCCGCTTGTCCAGAGCTGAGTTCAAGTCCTGAATATCCTCATTAATTTTCTGTCTCGTTGATCTGTCTAATAGTGACAGTGGGGTGTTAAAGTCTCCCATTATGATTGTGTAGGAGTCTAAGTTTCTTTGTATGTCTCTGAGAACTTGTTTTATGAATAGGGGTGCTCGTGTATCAAGTGCATATATATTTAGGATGTTTAGCTCTTCTTGTTGCATTGATCCCTTTATCATTATTTAATGCCCTTCTTTATCTTTTTTTGAACTTTTTTGGTTTAAAGTCTGTTTTATCAGAGACTAGGATTGCAAGCCCTGCTTTTTTGCTTTCCATTTGCTTGGTAAATCTTCCTCCATCCCTTTATTTTGAGCCCATGTGTGTCTTTGCACGTGAGATAGGTCTCCTGAATACAGCACACCAATGAGTCTTGACTCTTTATCCAGTTTGCCAGCCTGTGTCTTTTCTTTTTTTTTTTTTTAATTATACTTTAAGTTTTAGGCCTGTGTCTTTTCATTGAGGCATTCAAAAAATATTTTTTATAGGACAACACATACATCAGATAACTTGCTTCTATTTTTAGAACATTTGACTAGTTTAATTAAAGTGCTACACTTTTAGATTCTTTTCTATTTTTTCCACTTCAAAATAGCTATAACATTCTCTAAATAAAAAGATAAGTTTTATTAAATGATTCAGCCTGCAAATTAAGATATTCCAAGCAATTACAGATTTCCAAATAAATCTTCTGAAGAGGTCCAGTTGTTTAATTTGTTTGGCTCTCCCTCTTGCTTTTTTTTTTTTTTTTTAGAGACATTACATTTGAAAACATTACTTAAAATTTCAAAAGCTAAAAAGTTTTGGTACCCCATTTATCAAATACTTTGACTAAAAATTCTCAATTGACCTTGAAAAAAGCAACAAAAATCTTCAATGTTATTGCAGGATACTTAGATTGATTTATAAAGTAGTCCTTCAAAGGCTCAAACATTTCTAAAATTCAAATGCTGATGAGTAACAAAAACAAAAGTCATACAGTGCCATGTTAAAGTTTTTGTTGTTGTTGAGTCAAACTTTTTAATTTTGATAATGCATGGTTTAGTTACTCTATATTTTAAAATATTTGTATCTTTGTACATTGCCAACTCCCATTTATTTTGTTCAAATATTAAAACTTACTTAGATGGAATTAGTACATTGCAATTATGTATGCACCATAACCAAATATTACTTTACTCCATAAGTTTCCTAATTTAAAAAGTAATTTGTTATCATACTTTACCAAAATTTGCATTTGTACTATTATGATGAAGCTAATAAATTTAAGTTCAATGTTGAACTTTTTACTGGCTTTGAAAATTTAATTCATATCAACTATTTTATCACAGTAGAATGAACTTCCCAAACTTCTCTTTAATGATACAAATTTAATGAAAAATATAAAATTACTATTAAATGACTTTAGTCAACTTTTTATTTGAAACATCTGATGGTACCGATAGAAACCTGTTATTTAACTGCTTACAAATTTATTTATCTGATAATAAAGTCTACATGATGACACTATGGCTTTACTTTTTTATGACTCCAAGAAAATTTAGATTCAAATACAAATATAAATTCAAAAGTAAAATTAATTTAGAACTTTTTTTAATGCAGTCATTGTCTTCAGGTGCAGTTATTAAAAAAACTATTAACTTTTAAAAAAGATGTTGACACTTCATTAATTTGTGTCTTTTGGTCACATGGTCAATAATATCATTATCACCTCCATGGAGCACTTTGTGATGAAATATATTTTGTGGAAATTTGAGATCTTATATACTTTCTTGAGAAATATTAGATTTAATATTTAATTTTTCATTAAATGCATTATTTTTTACTTACCTGGTGCCCAAAAGTGTATTGCAAAATAAAAACAAAAATGTCCTACAAACAACTAAATAGAAAAAGAAATAAACGGCTGTAGGTTTGCATTACATAGTAAGTTACAAAACCATTCCACCAGGAGCCTTCAGTTGACTGTAATCTCTGCAAACAAACTCCAAAGGCACTCTTTTCTACCAATATTTCACCGGTATCTAACCTGTAATTCCCCACATTTCCCACCAGTTCGAATAGTTTGCAGCATCATGGCTTCACACATCACACAGGTTACTCGATAGGCTATGGGGTGGGTCTTGGCACCACTGGCTAGTAAATTAATGACTGTCAAAAGCAGTAATGCCTCGTACTTGTATTACTAGCAACTTACTCAATGATAGTTACTTGTTTCTAGCTCTTTCATGTTCAGTTACTTTGTTTTATTAACAAGTAGTTGTATACAAAACTTGGAAGAGAGGCATTACCTTTTATCCAGAAAGGGGCAAGAAAAGAGAGATAGATTATCACTGGTCATCTTTTAAATTTAACCTGGTGTTACATTGAGAACTCTGTTCCTTGCACGTGGTCCTCACTACTAGGTGAGATCATAGCAGGTACTGGGGATACAAAGTGGAGGAATAACAAATACACCCTGGATTGTTTTAATATACATCGTAATAAAACTTCATTAAATATGAATATTTTATATACAGTGTTAGATGCTAGAACTGCCAGGCACACAGTAAGTGCCCTATAAATGTTAGCTCTTATTATTACTGCAATATACATCACAAAATAAGTGTAATACTCTTCTAGCCTACTCTTTTTTGAAATTTTTTTGTTTAATTTATTTTTCTCTATAAATGGTGTGGAGATTATCAAGTCATCTTAAGTTAATGCATCTGTGTATTTAGTAGGGTATGTAAAAGAAAAATTTAGAAAGAAGACAAGAAAAAGAAGACTTTCTTAGCTTAGTGAGACTTAAAAAACCAAAACATTCTCTTGTCTCAGCAGGACTTGTCTATACTCACACATTACATTGTGAGATTTGCCTTAGAATTTGATTGCACAAACAAGTTGTATTTGTAGAGGTGAGAATGAAAAGAAAATTATTCTCCAAACTTGGATTGGGAAGAGGGTAGTTTATTTCTGAGCAGTAAGAATATAATCAATACCAAAAAAGTAATTTCATGTAGATATAAAAACTAACACAACCTGCTTGGAGATCTATTATTTTTATCATCTTAACTGTGATCCCTTGCATTCCTTCTCTGAGAATGAATTTATAATAATTGAAAGAAACAAACGAATTGTTACAATGCAAGTGAAAGAGCCACCTGACCTTCACATTCCCTACAGAAGGCAGACGACAAAATGATGCAACAAATGAAAGAAGTGAGGATGAAACTTTAATTTTCCTAAAAAATGCATTTTTTACTTCACTGCTACCAGAAAATGTATTGCAAAATAAATAATGCCCTAAAAACAACTAAACAGAAAAAGAAATATGTAGTGGTAGGTTTATATCACACCATAGATAACAAAACTATTCTAACAAGGGCGCTCAGGTGACTATATTCTCTACAACTGAATTCCAGAGGCAGTGATAGACATGATGAAGCTTTCAATCCATATAATACACAATATAGGGCCACTTTCCAAATTACTCTACTGTAGTTTATCCATCAGCTAAATAAAAGCAACAAGGTTTATATGATCATGTAATCTTCAGAGGAGAAACATAATAGAGCAAATATCCTACATTATTTACCTTGAACTTTCATGACTAAAGGAATGCAGGAATGCATAACTATGTAATAAATAAATATGTATGTAAAAATGTTTACATTTATGATTTACATAATACATAAAACTAGCACATTCTATCCTTCTGCATCTCCAATTCTGTTAAATGTGAATGAACAAAAATCATCTAATATCTGTCATCTTTTCTACTAAGAAAGAACACAATGGACTCTAGAAACATTACAAAATTGGCATCGAGCAAATATGGAGGTAGGAGGCAGGCAGGTGGGATTCTACTCTGGACCAGACTGAAGACTGGCTGAAACTAAAAAGAGGCACCAAAAGCACCCCTCCATAAGATACCCACCAGTGTTATGACAGTTTACCATTGCCATGACAACACCCAGAAGTTACCGCCCACTTTCTAGCTATTTCTGAATAATTTGCCCCTTAATTAGCATGTCATTAAAAGTGGGTATAAATACAACTGCAAAACTTCCCCTAGGCTGCTACTCTGGGCACGCTGCCTATGGGGTAGCTCTGCTCTGCAGGAGCAGTCACAGAGCTGTAAACATTGCTACTGCTTCAATAAAGCTGTTTTCTTCTACCAGCAGCTTGCTCTTGAATTTCTTCCCCAGTGAAGCCAAGAACCTGTCCTGCATCAAACAGATTAAACATTGAAGTTTTATCATTATTACTATTTCATGAATTAGCTCAGTCATTAATTGGGTAAAGTAGTCTCCATGTACATGAAGTCTAGGATATCACACATGAATTGCTAACACAGAACTTGCGAGACCTTTTGTCATCCTTTTCTCATTCTGGAAGCTACTCTGGAAACGTAAGGGATAAAGGAGCACCTTACTTAAAGCAACATGAGTGATTCATGGCCCCTAAAAAATTGTGACTATGACAAAGCATGTCTTACACACATCCTTCTTCACCTACCCCAGGGTCTTGTGGCTACCCAGGAGCCTCATGCCGTTTCCGCATCCCTTTATAGCTTTGCTTCCCAGAAAGACCCTTTCAGAATTCAAGCACTGCCCAAGCCTTCTCTAATTTGGGATATATAATAAAGTAAATAAATAAGTGACAACATAAGGTTATTTTAAACATTGATTTAGGTGTTATAAGTTAATAGTTTAAAGGCAACAACCCACAGCTGAACTAAAGGCCCGTCTGGTTATCCCAGTGAGGCTGTCTCCAGTTAAGCAGCAATCTCCCAATAAAGCCAAACTTTCCCTTGCCTCACAGGAATTTCAACCTAATAGAGCTTAGAACCTTAGACTAAAGTAAAGAAGATTTATCCAATTAGAATTTAAACCAACAGCCAGAGGGGAGAGAGAGAAGAATTAGGACCTTGTTGAAATGTTACCACACAGGCAGCTACTTATCTAACTTCTGATTAAATACAGAGCTAAATGAAATCTCTCTAGTTTTTTGTAATAAAGGAAACCACAAATTTAAAAAGGAATATGAGTGGGATTCTATTCTTAGGTATAATGAACCATTCTTTCATTCACTCTTTTAAAAATTATTTAAGAATTTCAATAATATTTCCAGTCCCAGTTTAGGGGAATAAATCATGAAAACAGATTCTGCCCTTGCCCTTGTGGAGTTTATAGTTCAAATGGTAAGAGGCAGACATTAATTAAGTGATCATACCACTATTACATGACAGTACAATTTTGATAAGTGCCATGAAGGAAAAGTGCAGGCACTATAGTGGAATACAATAAAAGAATTTGACATTGTCAAAAAGATCAGGAAGAACTTTGAGTAAATGATAATTGGGTTCAGATATGAAGAAGGAATAGTAATAATCTAGAGAAAAATGGTAGGAGAATGTATTCTAGGCAGCAGCCCTGTGGTAGGAGCAATTGCAAAGGCCCTGTGGTAGAAGCAGCTGCATAATGTATACAAAAATAAAGGTAGTAAGGAATGGTTGGAACATAGATATTAAGAAGCTTCATGAGATCAAGAGTTGGAAATATAGGTAGGGCCCTACAGCGAACTTTTGCTAAGATTGTTTTCTTTAATTATAGAAGGAAATGGATAGTCTGAAATATTTAATCTGGATGTGGTGATCTATTCAAATTTGCATTTCAAAAATATCACTCTGGCTGCAGTAATATTTCTATCCTGTATTTAAAAAACTGCTGATGACTTTTTTGGAAAAAATAAGGTCATTGTAGACATAGAGACCTACAAACTTTATAAGAAAAAATCTTCAGAAAAGGTTTAACTTCAAGTGTTCTACTTGTGTTTTGTCTGTTGGACTAAGAAGTTCTTACGAATCTATGAATCAAATCATCCCTGGCAAGTATTTGAATATTTGATATGACACCCCTGATGAACTGTCTCAAAATCTATGTGACTCTTCCAAGACCAAGAGACTTAGAAAATCAACAAGTAGCTTAATAGTTTATCTTTGGACAGATGTCACCATGAGAAATATCTTCTTTAATATTGATCTCACGTCTTTTTTACCTATTAGTCCCTATTATATTATGATCAACTCATAGTGATCAAAAAGTTGCCTAGGGGCAACTTTACATGCAGGCCATGATGGAAGCTTGCTCAGGGCATCATAAAGACCTCTGGAGAAGAAGAAACCAGGGCTCTGGGCATGGTGATCTCTGGGAGGTGGAGGCCTAGAACCACCAAGAAAGGAATTACAGTAGTCTTCCCTTATCTGCGGTTTTGCTTTTTGTGATTTCAGTTACCTGTGGGCAATCATGGTCCAAAAATATTAAATGGAAAATTCCAGAAATAACTCATCAGTTTTAAATTGCAAGCCATTCTGCATAGTGTGATGAAATGTCACACCATCCTGTGCTGTCCCTCTCCTTCCCACCAGGCACGTGACTCATCCCTTTGTCCGGTATATCCACACTGTAGATGCTGCCTGTTAGTTAGTTGGTAGCCATCTAGATTATCTGATCCACTCTCTTGGTATCACAGTCTTGTGCTCAAGTAGCCCTTGTTTCATTCAATAATGGGCCCAAAGTGCAAGAGTAATGATCCTGGCAATTTGGATGTGCTAAAGAGAAGCCATAAAGTGCCTCCTTTAAGTGAAAAGGTGAAAGCTCTCGACTTAATAAAGAAAAAAAAATCATATACTTACGCTGTTAAGATCTACAGTAAGAATGAATCTTCTCTTCATGAAATTGTGAAGAAGTACAAAGAAATTCATGCTAGCTTACCTCCTACCTCAAACTTCAAAAGTTATGGCCACAGGACGTGATCAATGCTTAGGAAGGAAAAGGAATTAAACATATGGAAAATCTGAACAGAAATTAGTTCTGACTGATGGCCATCGGGTTTGGTATCATACTATATGAGATGTCAGTTATCCCCTGGGGGTCTTGGACCATATACCCTGGAATAAACAGGGATCAGGGGAGGAATACTGTACCTGATTGTAATGGTTTATATACCACTAGTCTTTTATGTTGTTCAAAAGTGTATAAATTGTGTCTTCAGCTCCTTCAGTATAAAAATAGAATATATATTTTCTGCAATTCTGGCTTTTAGTGTTAATATGGTATATTTTTCCATGTGTTCACTTTTAATCTGTCTTCATTTTTACATTTAAAGCAATTTTCTTGTAGACAACATATACTTGAGCTTCTTAAATTTACATATTATTGCGATAAGAACACTTAATGTCAGAGTATCTGTCTTTTAATGGGAGTATTTGGATCACTCACATTTGAAGTGGTTAATAATATAATTGGATTAATATCTACCATATTCCCAACTATTTTCTATTTGTTATCTGTTCTTTGTAACATTTTTGCCTTGCAGTCCTTTTCTGCCTTCTCTGGTTTTAATTGAACATTTTACATAACTGCATTTTGTCCTTTCTCTTAGCATATCAGCTATACATTTAAAAAATTATTCAGTGCCCTAGAATTTACCATATACACTTCCAAAAAATCTAAGTCCACTTTCAAAGAACAGTTTATGGGTGACGCAGGTACTTTAAAACAGAGCACTTCAATTCATCCCTCTTTCCCTCATAATATTGTTGTCATTCCTTTCACTTATCCAGAAGCAATAATCACTCAGTACACATTTTTTAATGATTTTATTTTACCTTTGTTTATTCCTTCCCTAACATTATTCCTTTCTTTATGCAGATACAAGTTTCTGATCCATATCACTTTCTCCTCTCTGAAGAGCATCTTTAAACATTTCTTTCTGGCAACAAAATTCCTGAATTTTTATTTGACTAAGAAAGTATTTGCCCTTTACTTTTAAAGAATAATTTCACTAGATAAAGAATTCTAGGTTAGTGGCCTTTTTTTTTTCTTTCAACTGTTAAATATTTCTCTCTGCTTTCTTCTTAATTGTATGGTTTCTGAAGGCAAATTCCGTTAGAGGTATGGTTTTCCTTTTCTCCAGCTTCTTTCAAGATTTGCTCTTTGATTTTTTTTTATTTTTTTAATTTTTAAAAATTTTTAAATTATATTATTTTGTTTTATTTATTTTATTTTATATTATTTTATTTTATTTTATTTTATTTTATTTTATTTTATTTTATTTTATTTTATTTTATTTTTTGAGACAGAGTCTTCCTCTGTCACCCAGGCTGGAGTGCAGTGGCACAATCTCGGCTCACTGCAAGCTCCGCCTCCGGGTTCACGCCATTCTCCTGCCTCAGCCTCCCCAGCAGTTGGGACTACAGGCGCCCGCCACCACGCCCGGCTAATTTTTTGTATTTTTAGTAGAGACGGGGTTTCACCGTGTTAGCCAGGATGGTCTCCATCTCCTGACCTCATGATCCACCCGCATCGGCCTCCCAAAGTGCTGGGATTACAGGCATGAGCCACCGCACCCAGCCCTTGTCTTTGATTTTCTAACGACAGGCCTAGGTGTAGATTTTTTGGTATTTACCTCTCTCAGTGTTCTCTGAGCTCCTTGTTTCTGTGATTTGATATCTGTTATTAATTTCAGAAATTCTCAGCCATTATTACCTCAAATATTCTGCTTCTTTGTCTGTTTTTTCTTTGTGTATTCTCTTTTGTAATTATCCCACAGTTCTTGGATATTCTATTCCTTTTTTTTTTTTTTTTCATTTTTTTTTTCTTCGCCTTTCAATTTGAGAAGTTTCCATCATCGTATCTTCAGGCTCACTGATTCTTTCATCAGCTGTGTCCGGACTACTGATGACTCCCTCAAAACAACTCTTATTTTCTCTTTCAGTGTTTTTGGTTACCATTTGTTTTGTTTTGTTTCCTTTTGCTCCTTTTGATTTTCAGTGTTTAGCATTTCATTTCTGTACTTTCTTAGAATTTTTAATTCTCTGTTTATATCATTCATCTGCTCCTGCATTTTGTCTACTTTTTCCATTAGAGTTCTTAGCATATTAGTCATATTTATTTAACATTTCCAGTCTGATCGTTCCCAAATCTCTGCTGTTTCTGAATCTGGATCTGACGCTCGCTGTGTCTCTTCAACGTATGTGTCTTTTGTGTTTCAGCATGTGTTGTAATTTTTTTTTTGCAATTTGAACAGGATGAATTGGGTGAAAGAAACTGAGTTAAATAGACCTAAGTGTGAGGATTTAGGTTTATCTGGCTAGGAGTTAGGCTACATTTATTACTTGCCTGTAGCTGCAGATACTAGAAGCTAACATTTCCTTGAGTGTTCCTGTTTTTGTCTTTTCTATTGTCTTTGAGTTTCTCTAGAAACTCTAATTCTGGCCATTAAATTTTTTTAAAAAAATAATTAAATAATAGTTTCTGACATAGGAAAATACAACATGTATCCCCTTTATAACTAAAGGGAAACAAGTCCCATACTTTACTATCCATTATGCTTTTGCTTTTATGGTGCTGACTCTTAAGCATGTGCATGAAAAACTTAGGAAGAGACATTTTAAAAAGAACTCCATAGACCTTTTATGATTGATATTTTATGTGTCCCCCTGTTCTCTTTCTATGTGTTAAAATTTGTGGTGTTATTTCTTCTCTCTCTCTTTCCCTTTCTGCCTCTCTCTCTCTCTCTCTTTCCTTTCTCTCATTAAGACATAAATAAATGGGTTGCCAGAATTTCCTAGTTTAACCATTTTCAAAATTTATGCTGCTAAGAGTACCTGGTAAAGAATTCTCAACAGCAATAAGATAAATTGTTTTACTCTAATTAGGTCTCAAATTACAACCTAAGTAATTCGCATTCTAGGTGAATATAAGTTAATGGACACTACAAGAAAATGAAACTCTATTTAAAATTTAGCACAGCAGAATATAACTCTCTTTTCATTTCTCACTTATTAAACCATCAATTAATTTCCCTTAACACTCAGGACTCAGCATGGACAAGACTGGGTAATTTCAGGCAAACCTAGAGAGTAGAAAGATAATCACTTCCCACTGAGGGCTTTAAATGTTCACCAGGGCCCTGCTGTGTTTAATGCAGACCCAGTGCCCTGACCAGAGGATGGCTTTTTTGTTCCCATATTATGTTTTAAATCACTCATCTATATGGTTTTTAGTACTATGAACAAAATGAAATTTTCACCTATGAATTCAGGTCTTCTGGAATTTGTGCAAATATGCAATTACAAAAAAGAAAAGTCATTTTTTTTCTATCAACTTGGAATTATTGGCAAAGGATTTTCTAAACCATTATAAAATGTATTTCCAACTAGAAGTCAGCTAACTTGACTCACCTTGAACAGCTCCAGTAACGATCAAACTTTCTTTCTCACCAAGCAGCACATTTCCTGTGGACAAATTTTATAAAGATTGATCCAGTTTGTTTCATTTTAACTTCCATACATTACCCTTCTTTTCTTTTGTTTCTAGCTTCTAGTATCTCATATGGCAGCCTTTTAGAAAATAATATTTGTCATAGTCAACACCCATTAGCACAATGAATCTACTTTTCACAATAAGTATCCCAGTTCTCTTCATGGTACCTCATATTACATGCTTGTTTTATTCTGTCTTGTTCCCTCCTGAAGTGAAGTGCGGCACTCAGAAACGGACCTAGGAATCTGTGAAATCAATGGGCAAATTTGAGATTACATACACTACATTCTGCTTCTTCTTTGTATTTGAAACCTACTCAAAGACTGATCACCTCCTTGGCTAAATAATACCCAGTGGCAGAGAGTCAGGAAAATTACAACAGGAAGATGAGACCATGTTTGACATCTTATCTCTCTAAATCTTCCTTTTTCATGTCCCTCTGGATGCTTCCAGCCCATTAAAATTTTCATTTCTGTGTCCTATTGCAGCAGAAACCCAATCTCCTCTGTAGAATGTGGGTTAGTGTTGAGATAATTAGAAAAGTTAATCTCTCAGGCTTAGCTGGCAATGTTTCTCTGTCAGCATCAACCATAGAGCTGTGCACAAATTAGATGCTGTATACATTGCTTTAAATAAATGTCTTAACTTATGTAAAGTGCACATGTACTCAGAAAGCACTTAAAGGATGGCTAAAGAGGGAATATTCCAATTTGAAAAACACAGAGTTCCAAGCCACCTCTAGGACTGATATGTAGAAAGGACAGACATTTTCTAAACCAGTGCTATTCAAAATGTGGTTGCCTAATAGATATAGCAGCAGCATCTAGAAATTTAGTAGAAATGAAGACCCAAGGCCCCTCTCCAGACCTGAATCACAATCTCAAAGGACGGAACCCAGAATTTTGTACAGAAAAATTTTATGCAAGATACAATTTGAGAAGATGCTTCTCAACCACTGTCCAGTCTCTTTCTCTGTCCCCTTCATGAGGCTCTGGCTTCCTATTGACTTGGCATCAAACATGGTAACCTGAAAGAAGTGTGTGTTATTTTTAGCATTGTGTGTCTATAGTATTCACCATCTTCAATGTTAGCCTTAACTTCCACTTTCTTCTAAAGAACCTTCTCCCCGTTTACTGTTTGTGGTCACATCCCACAATTAATTACCTTCACACACACATTTGCAACATTATTCAAACTTGAATGCCAATTGTATCCTTCTTCATCTGTCAGGAATATATTAATATTTTAAAATAAATCCTAAAAACCCACCTTCTCCTTGACTTTCCTGACATACCTAGAAACCACACCGAGAAACAGATCTATTTTTGTATACCCTCATATCACATCATTCACAAATCTCTTGTGATCACTGCCACATTTTGCCATGTGTAATAAGTGTTCCTAGAAAGCAGAGACGGGGGCAAAATTGTGTATGCTAATAGTTAACCAGATCAGATAATCATAAAGAAGCAGAGGTAAGGAGAAAAGGGAGGAAGATATAGGGAAAGAGAAGAAATTAAACTCAAGAGAGTGAATTCCTGACATGGGTACTGCTTGTTATCAAGTACAACTAATTGGTTTTTCTTGAGGAATCATCCTCATAGAGCCCATATAAATGGTGCATCTCAGGACTCTGTGCAGAGTGCAGAACCGAGAAATAATTATATGCTGGCTGCTGTCTTCCACTGGTCAAAAGTTTGTTCTATGATGTGCTAATGCCCTCTTTCTTCTCAATTGCATTTGAGTCATTCTCTCTGCAGCTTGAAGTTTAGCACTAACAGGAAAGCTCAAGGATGGGAGGTGAAAGGGAGCAGTGAGGACAGTACCCAAGCACTGTCAGGTTCTGTCCATAAGAGATTAGTCTGAGCCCATTCAAAGCTGGCCGACTTCATGGCAATTGGCAATCAAAGGTGGATGAAGGTCCAGAAAGAGGTCATGCTGAGAGGATGTAAAGTGGTACTTAAAGATGTCTGATAGAAATTGTGTGCATCTCTGGCTTATCTGTCCATGGAGACCATTCTTGAGGTTAGACTTGGCATTTCATATTTTCACAGCGTCTAGTGTTTATTTTAAACATCAAAGGTCCTCCCTGAATGTGCTGCAGAAATGCAAGACTACCAGTGGCTTAAAAATGTTTGCTTAATTAATTGCACTGTAATTAATCAATTCTCTCTACATCAGGTATTTACAGCATAGAAACTTACTCTATAAGGCAAGATTCTTTACCTGTATTTTTTCACTGTGTTTCCCAAGAATCTAGAACAATACTTGGTACATAATGGGTATTCAAAAAAATTTGTTGAATGAACGAATCTCATCAAATTCCAAAGAAGAGAAGCACATGGTCTTGAACATACTCATAATTTGAAGAAGCCATTAATATCAATCATTAGAAAAGGTGAAAGGGGCATCTGTGACCTTGTCAGTTTTTCCCAGCTGTAAAACAGGAATAATTATAGGGCAGTGGAATTCACTATTATACAAAATTGGAAGCTTCTAGTTTAATTGTGCAGGACACTTGACCATAATAAGCCTTAGTCTCCTCATAGCCCTTATCTGTTAACTAGATTACATACTGTAGACTAGTTTTTTTTTTTTTTTTTAACAGAAGTTAACATGAGACTCCAGAACAGTACTGGCCATCAACATCCAGCTGTCAGATGTGAGAAGAAAGAGAGTACATGATAACAGGAAGGCTTTACAGGGTATATACCATGTCTGCTATATTTCTCTGGCCAAAACTCGGCCACATGACCACACTTAATAGCAAGGGAGGTTGGCAGATATAGTTTCACTATTTGTCTGGACTGAAAGAAAAAATGCTTAGTGAATAAATAGCTAATTTAAGCCACCAGAATTAAATAGTAGATTTCACATTGGCTTCTTCCTGTCTGTGAAGTTTGTGGGATACATTTTTGCAAAGACATTCCATGCGTTCCATGTAATTTCTGATATAAGGTAATCTACTTGGAGGGAGGTGATAAGGAAGCTCAGAGTAAGTTTTCATTGCATAGGTGTATGTGTCAGGCTATAATATTTAAAGCATATGGAGGTCTTTTTCAGATTTGGACAGAAGTGGGGGAGCACAAAGGAAGTGTGGTTATTCTAGGATCCACTATCAGACTTTCTTTGCAATTAAAAAATCTCCATATGCATGCCAGCTATTTTCATTTTGTGGGCAGTTGGGAGATGACTGCAGTGTCCTGGTACTGCGGCGAACAACCTGAATCCACAAAAGTTAGGGTGATCAATTGATCTGCAGTGCCAGCTTTGGCATATCTCCAGTAACCGCTTTGTTATATTTATAGTACTTTATTTTACAAGTATTGTTAATAACAACAATGGTTCTCACTTAGTACATTAACTGGTAGTGCCACCTAGATTTAATGACAAAATGGCAAATTAATTCATATTACATTTCGTTAAGGAATATGAGATAAATCCATGAATGAAGTGAAATTAAGCTTTTCTGGCTCATCATATTTAATTTTAGAAAGTCATAACTTTATTTTATTCTAGGTGAAATGATTGATAAGTAATTGTTTTTCTGACATACAAAATTTAGATTCAAAAGTACCACATTTTCATTTATTATGTTGTAATTATTTTGTATTAGAAACACCTTTAAATAATTATAGAGGCATTCATAAATCAATGAATGTTATGTACAGAGGGATTGCAAATTTATTATCACTACAGCATCTTACTAACAAAATGCAAATTAAATTAATAATTAAGAGTTTAGTTTTCATATTTAGACTCCCTCAGACAAATATTCTTTTAGTGTTTTGAAATTTTTAGATTATGAATGATGTGTAGAGTAAGTTTTAGACTACCCATTTTCTTAAAGGTAGGTCCCTTGCTTTTTCTATAAAACCCTTCCAAACCTGCCTTGGAAACTCCACTTTTTATACAGTTCACAGATGATTCCTATGATTTATAACTCAGTAACACAAATATCTTTAGAGGCATTGCTCATATGGATGCATATTTTAAACTCTAACCTTATGTTCCTTTCTATGTTTTCTTTTAGAAGGCGGAAGAGGAAAAATTTCAAACAAACATTTTAATAACAATATATTTTTAGGAACCACTCATCTTCTGCTTTTAGGGATTTATTTTTTTCCCTCTTTCACAGACCCCTCCCACCATAACATCTGCTCCCTCCACCTCCCCACTCCAATCAGCTCAACCAGTTATATTAAAATAAAAAGAAATTTATCACTAGATTTCTCTGGGTAGAAGCGAGGTCCCTGCTCCCTTGAGAAATGGAGCACTCTAACTCTACTCATCTTCACTCTTTGGCCACCAAGAATTCCATTGTCTGTTGTGTCAGACGCAAAACACAATCATGGTGATAGGGATCATCTAACGTATGAAAACTTTAACAGAATATATTAAAAATTAAACTATTCTGCCCTCATATCCTCGTCTCATTTACTTCATGTATTTAGTATTACACTTCAATTTTCTAAGTTGCAAAATAAGTACCCAGAGTATGGATGTGTCATATACTTTTCTTTTTTTAAAAAAATTGAGTATTTAATAAGTGTGCAGTCACCAGTAGTTGAATTGAACAGTTGTTAAATTGAGTAAATTTTTTCATGATTGTTTCAGTTTCTGTAAACCCTTTGGTAGCAATTTGTTTTTCCTATTGCAAAACAATACTCTGTATAGACTAAAACTACTTTAGGGTATATATTCTTATACTATTCACATGATGATAAGCTTGACAGATCAGCTGATATTGATTTGTTATAAAGTATTGAAAGAAATTTTCTTCTGTTTAAAAATTAATAAGGTGGTGTACTGGAAATATTTCCTCCAATATTAAAACATTGTTGTAGGCAGCATGAGGACATGAGTTCTTTGTAGCCCCAAATACTTTTACTTTAGAAAAGATGCCTGTGCTATGAAGAATCATCCTTTCAGCACTGCCTGTTAATTCCAATCTCACAGAATTAACATCAAGTACAGATTCTGTTTATATTTCTCTATAGGATTTTATGTGATTGTGAGAAGAAAGATAAAAAATTATTTTGCAAAGCGTGTTTTATTTCAAGTTCTGGATGAAAGTAAATCCAATCATTTTGATTACAAATATTTTCAAATAAATTTGAAATAGAAAACAGTCTAATATTCCTCCATATATGTACAAACAAAAAAGTGTCATGAACTTAGTGTAATAGCTGGAGGTCTTCACTAGAGGAAAGAAATTTTAATTAAAAATAAACTACTTTAATTCGTCTATTATTCACAACTGTTTATAAAACTATTGTGTCCCAGGAACTATACTAGACATAGGAATTATAAAATTTAAAGAGCTAGTCCAACTTTTAAGATTAAGGTGTAAGTAGGAAAAGGAGACACATAAGAAAACAAATTATAGCCCAGTATAACTGCAGGAGTAAAGACATGTCCAGAGCACTTGGAGACAGCATGGAGGACAAGCATATAAGCCTGCCTTGGAGTCAAAGTTTTAAGACTGGAGAAGTGATTATAACTTTCAGAAGGTTTCCAAGTGGACTAGTCCATGCATAGGTGAGAAGGAATATTCTAAGCAAATGGAGCAGCCAGTGTAAAGGTAGGAGGGAGCAAGACATGTTTAAGCAAATAAAGTTAGCTCAATTTTGCTGGGGGCAAAGGGTGGTGGTGGTATGCATTGAGGCTGGAAATGATGTTTGAACAACCTTGCATTTCAAACGACTGCTCCCACTGACATAAGTAATTCTTGCAGAGCTGTGAACATAGATACCTTATAATCACTGTGTGTAAGTGGGTATGCGTGCTTTAAAAATATCAGCTGGGAGGCAGTGCAGAGAATGGGTTGGGGAGTTGTAGGAGTGGAAAGATTATGCACAGGGTGAGTTACATTGAGGCCATTATAGTTATCAAGAGCAGGAGAATAGAGATGTTTAGAAGGTTGAATTGAAAGGGCTTGTTGATTGCACAGATGTGAGTAGAATAGAAAAGCGAGTATGAAATGACCGCTAGGTTCATACATGAGGTTAACAGGGTACATGGTGGTGCTATCACAGAGAGAAATAATGCAGATCTAGAAGCATGTGTGTGTGTGTACCTTTGTTGGAGGGTATGGATACAATATATGACAAAATCTTAAAACATGGTTAAATGGTTTTCAGGATTTCAACTTTTTTTCTACAATGTATATGGTTTTGATAGCTTTTAAGCTCCAAATTAAACACATCCCCTTCACTCCCATACCAGGAAGAGTTCCGTCATTATTTCATCCTGTATCTAGGATAGCCTATATGCCTATCAATTCAGAACCATCTGTGTATGATAAAGCTATCGCTTCCAATCCTGCACGTCTCTCTTGTTTCACCTAACCCTTTCTTGTCAACCATTTTCATCACTGTCATTGCTGTCTTGTCTCTAATCTCTAACTCTTTAAAAGAACACGGCTTCAAATTCCTCTTTCCAAATTTCTCCTGGTTCTCCTTTCATGATAGTCAAATAATATCAGTTAAAAGAACAGAAATATTTTCCCAACTTAGGGCATTTATACTTTCAGCTGATGAAACTCTAACGGGCATCTCTTTTTTTTTTTATCTAAAGCTTTACAGGTTGCCTACTTTCCCTCCTTCCCCTTTTTTGGGTATGAACATATTTCAGGGTTTTATCTTTCCTCTCTGTTCCTCTATCTCTTTATTCACAGAAAAATTTATGAAGTGAGAACTGAATTTAAATTTCTTAATTCAAATTCAGCCTCTGCTGAGCTTAACTTTTGTTCAAATGTTTATCCTGCAAGGCACAATGTTTAATACCTCAGACCCAAGTTTTCTGCTGTATTTAAAAGGGGATAACACATATTTGTAGAGTGTTGAGAGAATTAAAGGAAATGCTGTATATATAAAGCACTTAGTATAGTTCCTGACAAGTGGTAAGTAGGACATATATGTTAGTTTTATTACAAATATTGTTATAAATATTACTAGACACTTCAAGTCAAATAATTAGGAAATTTTCTGGTTGCTACACTTAGGTATAGTTTAGACTGATAATCTTAAGAGAGAGTGCTTTTTCATTTTTCATTTTAAGATTAACATTTGTTTGAGTTTGCTCAAAATAAGTGACATATTATATTTCTTTAAATAGTGAAAACACTTGTAAAAACAAAACTGTAATAGGTTAATTTGAACCAGTTTTCTAATTTCCATGAGTATTTTTATTATGTTTTCATTTCTCATAATCATATGGTCATAGAAAGAACAATCTGAGAGTTAACCAAATTAATAGTACCCATAAAAATTGTTAATTTGATGATGTGCTGATTTTATTATTAATAGTTTTTAATAAAATACTCTCCAATGGATAGTAACACATTGCCTATAATTTTATGAAAATAATGCAATGCTCAGAAAACACACTGGCATTTTCTTTTGATTACAAATCAGTGGGGTACCCTATAACTCAATAAAAAGTTTTGTGGAATTCATGTTTCATATGTTTGGATGTGCAACAAATACAATATTGATTTGTTGCCTACAGCGAATCATAATAACAAATACCAAAGGAAAAATGAAACTACTTGTCTCATTTGTATTTCACTTCTTATATAAAGAAAAATAGCATTTGCATTAAAAAATAGAAAATAAGCATTAGTAATGTGGAATGGAAGTCCTTAAAGATAAGAATATTATAAAGTACAGGCTGTTGGGCTAAAACGTTATCTCTGACTAGAACAAATGGTGTCATGGAAAATTACTGTAGTCTTAAGGAGATTCACATATGAGATAGCTGAACCACTGCCAAGAATATCTAAAGAACATACAGAACAGGAAAATCACCATAAATCTTAATAATGGACAAACAGAAATTTTCACCATAAAATTGAAATAAATACTGTTTTTTTCCTGCAAAGTTGTATTCACAGAATGGTTGTTTAGTTCTTAGAAAACTGCATAAATTTACTAATGTCATATCATTGTCTACTAGTCTTTTATAAAAAAATAAGGCAAAATCTGGTCATCAAGGAAATTCTATCAATATAGTTACATACAATCTCTAAATTTTACCGTGGAATTTATAAAAACTCTTGCTGTAGCCTTATAAATAATAAGAAATAATATATTCTTCGGAATAATTAGATTTTAATAATAATAGTAATCAAAACCGATAATGGGTCAATCAATTTAGTAAATGGAGGCTCTGTCTACAAATTTGTTTTATTCAATAGTTTATTCTTTAAAATTGTCATCAAGGTAATATGTAAATATTTAAGTTCTCATAGTACAAAGTAGTTTATGCTTACAAGCAGTAGTTCCTACCCCATCTCTCCCCACTGCAAACACACTCCCTGGAAGCAATAATCTGTGATTTCAGTGTTTAAATTAATTGCCTCAATTTTCTCTAAATGATTGTTCATAGTACCACTTCTTGATGTTTTAACTTTAGCCATCATTTATTGCTTATTATGCTGTGGCTGTAAAGATTTAGCTTACTTAAAAATCTGCTTCATCCTCACCTCTTCTTAATAAAGTTACAGCACTACTTTACTTTTTATGTCTTTAAAGAATATTCTTTAAACCAAGGATTGACAAACCATGGCCTGTAGGCAAAATCCAGCTTGCTGCCAGTTCTTGTAAATAGAGTTTTATTGAAACACTGCCTTATCCATCTGTTTAGGGTTCTGTATGGATAATTTCATACCACAATGCCTGGCCTGAGTAGTTGCAACAGAAACCGTATCACTTGCGAAGCCTACAGTATTTACTATCTGGCCTTCTAAAGGAAAAATTTTGCTAACCTCTCATTTAAACTTCTGTTTTTTTAAGTTTTTGTTTGTTTTTCAATTTTAGACAGTATATACCATCCCTTTATTGCTAGATAAGTATATCAATACCCATAATCATTTCTTTACTTCTCATACTTCTTCCACGCACCAACTTGCATGAGCCATAGTTTGACTTTTGTATTGTCAAGATTGATGACATTTAAATTCTACTCCATTATTATGACAAAACTTCATAATTCATCTGTGAATTGAACCTAAAAGTTAAAAACCAATACTTTTTTACATTATTATTGTGTGCATAATGCCCCATACATACTTCAGTAAATACATACTTCAATATCTACTTCAATGAGATTTCTACTCTGCCACTCAAGAAAGCATATGCAAATAAATTCTCCTTTGTGACATTCCAATAGCTGGTCAAAGGTATGCCATTTACTTTAAGTATAATCCATGATTGTGGTAGATATTATTCTAAGATGACCCCCAAGATCCTCAGGTCCTGGTGTATAGACTTTGAATAATCCCCAGTACAATGAGGGTGATGGCTGTCAGTTCTGCGATTAGATTATGTTATATGGCACAACTGACATTAAGAAAGGGAAATTATCTGGGTGGACTTGGCTTCATCATGAGCCCCTTACATCTAGATTTTGATTTCAGATACGAAAGAAGCAGAGCAAGAAGTCAGAGACACGTGTTCCTGCTGACCTAGGAAAAAGCAAACAGCTACATTGTGAAGGGCCAGTGAGGAGGGGCATCCTCTAGGGGCTGAGAGCTATCCCCTGCTGACAGCTGACAGCCAATAAGAAAACAGGGACCTCAGTCTTATAAGCACAAATAAACAAATCTAGCTTGGAAAAAAACAAACAACAAAACAAACAAACAAAAAATTTAAATGAGTTTGGAAGGGGATTCTCCCCTATGGCCTTCAAACAAAAACTTAGTTCTACCGACACCTTGATTTTAGCCTTGTGATATCCTGAGCAAAGAACCTACCCTGTTCCAGATGTCCCACCCACAGAACTGTGAGATAATAAATGAATAGTATTTTAAGAAGCAGAGTTTGTGATAATTTGTTACATAGCAATAGATAATTATTCCAACACTCATGAACTGAGTTTGGAGAGTTGAAGAATCCCTGAAGACAGTCAGGATATTTTTCTTTATCCTTTTGAGGTGGTCTTAAGATATGACCACAAACACTTTGATGCTCATCCTACAAAAGGTTGGGTTTAATTTCTCTCCACTTGAATATGGGCTGATGTTCGTGACTTGCTCCTAATGAATTTAATGTAACCTAAGTGATGCTGTGTGACTTTCAAGGTTGGTTAAAAAGTGATAGATGTCAAAAAACAGAAATAGCCAAAATGTCTTTCAGCAGGATAATGGACAAAAAGTACAGATTTATACTTTGGAATGTTGTTTCATGATCAAATCAAATAAGCTATTAATTAATCCATACAACAACATGGATGAATCGTAAGTACATATTCCCAAGTGAAAAAAAAATCAGTCCTGTGAGGCTGCATACCATATGATTGCATTGAAATGATACTCTGGAAAAGGGAAAACCATAGAGATGAAAATCTATCAATGGCACCAGCGCCTTTGGGAAGGGAGAATGTTGACTAAGATGAGTTGAAGAACTGAAGATGTTTTTATGACTAAGGAATGAATCAAAATGATACTGTTTGACCCCTCCTTTTCTCAAAATCCATAGGACTTCAAGGACTAAGAATAAAGCTTAATAGATGAATTTAAAAAAAAATCAACCAGGAATACAGGAGATCCCAGGATAGAATGCAGACTGTGTCAAAATAATCTAACTGTATTACAAACGTGTGATATAATCTCACTGAAAAGGGTGGAGAAAATAAGTATTCAGCTAAATAACTTTGGAAATGACTGAAAACTGGAAGAATAAAGACCAGGAAACTATACATAAGCATTGGATTGTTGCTGCTAAAGTTGTTTGTCATGGGAGTACAGGTTAAGAATTCTGAAATTCTGCACATATATACTAGAATTGAACAATAAGTAAATAGATGGCAGGTGGTAGAAGCCAGGTTTTTTCTGTTGGAGTTAGCAGTTACAGAGAAGCAAGGAGGAAAGGCTGGAATGAAGCATAAGGTACCAGACTAGAATCAGAGATATTTGTAGGGACTTGTGTCTAGCTTAATATAGATATTGATAGATATATAAAAGCAAAATTATATATATGTGTGTATATATATACATATGTATATATAATACACGTGTTAGTATGCATACATATATTTCCTTGCTCCATTTGCTGAGAAAGCCTAAAAGCAATGAGTACTCCAGCGTTCAGACAGTTTCTAACTCCATTCTCCAATAAAAGTAAGCAGGGCTCCTTTGAGAAATGTTTGGTTCTAGAGCTGGGAGGGAAAGTGTACAAGATGAACCTGGAGTATGTTGATGTGCTAAAATTTAGGGTATTGCTCAAAAAACAAAACAATGGCGGTAATTCAAAGGAACACTTTCTAACTGAAAAAATGCTTAATGGTCAAAGCTGAAACAATGTGAGCAACAAAATGAATAAGATATTGAATTATAACCCAAAGTACAAAATAAATATCTGTGAGTCTGTACCACTACGATTGAAAACTAAATGAGAGAGAAGACAGAAATCTTCCATAGAGAAAAATGCCAAATAATTTAGGTAGATACTGCACCCTCAGGGAAGCAGAGCATGAGTTCTTCCTCACATATGGGCTGTGCTTAGTGACTTGTGTCCACATAATATAGTATAGAAAGGAGGGAAATAAAATAACTTTACAACAGAGAAATCTGAAAAACAATACTTTAGTGAGGTGAACAAGGTTAACATCATCAGTGAGAAGATAAGTTCTCTTGCTGTATTATATTGGGAATGGCACTTCACCTCTGTGGTCTTCCTCTCTACACAAACATAACCCTGGTCTTAACATGAGAAAAATATCAGATGAACTCAAGATGAAGGACATTCTGCAAAATACTACCAGTAATCGTCAAAAGATGTTAGAGAAAAAGGAATACAATCTAAATAAATGATGGTGTTTCTTTAATAATAATATATCAATATTGGTTGAGGAGTTATGATGAATATAATGGATTAATTTAAGATGTTAGCAATGGGGTAAATGAATGCAGGGTATGTAGGGACCCCGTACTATCTTTCTAACTTTTCTGTTAATCTTAATTCTAAGACAAAATGTGTATTAGAAAAGAAAAATGGTAGCGTTTCTGTCTGCCTCTTTCTCTCTCTTTCTCTCTCTCTCTCTCTTTCTCTCTGGATATGTACCTTAGGAGGCCTGAGTTAACATGTAAGATGTCTAACTATCCCGAAGCCACTATGCTGGAAGGATCACATGGAGAGACCACATAGAGATACAAAGATGCCTGAGGAAACCCAGCTGTTCAGCACAGATGTTTTTTAGTTTTCCCGTTGCCCAGGCATGCGAGTGAGTGAGCTTTCCAAAGACTTTAACCCCAGCCTTTGAGCTGCCAGAGCTGACATGAAGTAGAACAGAGATGAGCTGAGCTTTGCCCCACCTGCAGATGTGTGAGTAAAATTAATGTTGCTGTTGTTTGAAGCCATGTTTTTTAAAATTTAGTTTTTACACTGACAAACAAAAATTGTATCTATTAGTGCACAACATGATGCACACATGATGTTTTGATATATGTATACATTGTGGAATGGCTACATCAAGCTGTTTCACATATTAATGAAGTCTCGAAATCTTGAAGTGGTCTGCCACACAGCACTAGATAAATGGAACACTCCTGTTTTCTAAGATTTTACAATGATACCTCTAGAAAGCATTTCTTAAGTATTACTCATTTTGTTCAATATTTGTTCAATATTTCAAAGTATTCAATTTTGGCTCAATTTTTTAAAGTATTACTCATTTTGTTCAATATTTGTCAAGCTCTTTTAGTTTAAGCATATCTACCATAGCTCTGGAAATATTCTTGTACTTTTTAAAAATAATTTTATCTCCATTTCATGTATGCTCCCTTCTCAGAAAACTAATTCAGTGCTGAGTGTCTTAAATGAATACCTTGTCATTGTTATCTTTTTCCTATGATTATGTGTTTTAATATATATTTGAGGAATTCCTTTGACTTCATCTTCTAACAATTTTTCAATTACTAATTTTGTAATTAGTAATTATTTCTTTTCCCTTGATCCTTAATTTGGTGAGTAATGCTACTCTTTTATTTTATGAATTTTATATATATATATATATATACACACACACACATACACATCTTTCTAAGAATAAATTGCCCTTCTACTTCTTACATTACTTTTGTTTTCTTTCACATTTTAAAATGATACAATAAAATATTTGCTTGATACCACTCTGTTCATAAATGAGTTTTATTGACAGGTTGCTTTTGCCAAACAGGATACAGAGCTGAGTGTCAGTCACTGTGCTTAAAATTTTCTAAATGCCAGAATATACTAGTTGCCCCATTTCTTGCTAGGCAGCTAAATTTATTCTGAGACTGATTTTCCTTTGGCTGTTTACTTAGTTGTATATATTTGCTTTGGTAGTTAATACCTGGCTTCTGGATTAGAGATGGAGAATTATTACAAACATAGGAACTTAATTATTCTTTCTCTTTCAGACCCACTTTTCACTCCAATCATCTGGGGTCACTTGCATTATTGCCAGGGGCAGCCTAGTTTCCCCTTTACCTGCAGCCCCCTCTGGATTCCATCAACTCATCTGTTTTTCATCTTTCAGAGATATTTTAAGTGTCTGCTGATGTCTCACTTTCTATTATGCTTATGGTTGTAGGATTAGATCATTTTCATTCATTTAACATCATTATAATGGCTATCAATGGATAGGAAATAAAAGTGTTCACTCTTGAATTAGAAGTTGACAACTTTATTACTGATCCAGGAAAGGATATTAATAAGATAAGATTTAAATGTTTATAGTGCATGAAATTGAAAAGGAAAGCTGAAGAGTAAAAGCCAATTGTAAAGGCTAAATTCATTGCCAGGTATTATTATTATTACTGTTATTTTTGTTGCAATTGCTCTCATCATCATCATCATTATTCCAGATACATATTTATTTGCTATAAGACAACCCAACTACTTTTCACTGTGTCCTCTGTTGCCATCCTAGTCTAAGTCACCATTATTTCTCACCTGGATTACTCCAAATGCCTAGTAAATGCTTCCATGCTTTTCCTATTATCCAGTGAAAACATGGTTATCAGAGTAATCTTTTAAAAATAAAAATCAGATCATAAAATGCTCCAATTGGTTTGCCAATCTCTTAGAATAGAACCAAAATCTTGTAATGAGCTATAAGCCTATATAACATACATCCTGCCTACAGTTTGACTTCATCTCATATTTCTCTTCTTTCTTATTTCCTATGCTCCAGACATTTTATCATTTGCTTTAATCACACTAGTTTTGGTTTAATTCCTTCAACTTGCCAAAGCTTGTCCCTAGAGCACCCTTTACATGGATGGCTTTTGCTCACCATTTGTCTCACATCCAGCCCCTTCCCATACCTGAGAGGCCTTCTTGACTACTGTACCTTATTAGAGCCTCCCTCCCAGTTAATCTATGTAAATCTTGATCATTTTTTAGTCTATATCTCTATGGACATTCTAGACATTCTATATTTATATATTTGATTACATGTTTAGCATTCATCTCCCTCAGAAGAATGTAGGTTACCTGAGGAAAGGGATCTTTATTTTCATTGTACAGAACCATGGTCCTGATACCTAATAGGGACTCAGCATAACTGGTTGAATGATAGGTATTGCATCTCTTCTTATGAAAAGTATACAGACTTTGAAAGTTTAAATAACACCCAAGTTCACACATCTGGTTAATGATAGAATTGAAGTCAATCCAAGTATTTAGTTAGGATTTGGAAAGTCCATAATTTTTTTAAAGCATAATGGCTCAATATAAAATACATCTATGTTCAGCTCATTTAACTAAGGCAAGTATTGGTCTCTAAGAGGTGGCCGTCCTCAAAAGGCAGTCAGAGACCCAGGTCCTTTCCATCTGTGGCTCTCCATTCTCATTGCTGTATCTAGCCAACAAAATGGAAAAAAGAGCATGGGATATTTTTGTGAATCAAGTGTGGAAGTGTTACATACACTCACATTCCACTAGCTAGAACTCAGTAATATAATTTATATAACTACATGTAACTGCAGGAAAGTTTGGGTAGTATGGTTATTATGAGTTAAATTGTGCCTTGCAGGCAAAGATTTCATGACGAAAATGCCAAAAGCAATTGCAACAAAAGCAAACATTGACAAATGGGATCTAATTAAACTAAAGAGCTTCTGCACAGCAAAATAAACTATCATCAGAGTGAATAGACAACCTACAGAATGGGAAAAAAATTCTGCAATCTATCCATGTGACAAAGGTCTAATATCCATAGTCTACAAAAACTTAAACAAATTTGCAAGAAAAAAAAAAAACCATTAAAAACTGGACATAAGACATGAACAGACACTTCTCCAAAGAAGACATTTATGTGGCCAAGAAACATGAGAAAAAGCTCTACTTCACTGATCATTAGAGAAATGCAAATCAAAATCACAATGAGATACCATCTCCCACCAGTCAGAAGGGCTATTATTAAAAAGTCAAGAAACAACAGTTGCTGGAGAAGCCGCAGAGAAAAAGTAATGCTTTTACACAGTTGATGGGAATTTAAATTAGTTCAATCATTGTGGAAGACAGTGTGGTGATTCCTGAAAGATCTAGAGACAGAAACACCATTAGATCCAGCAATCCCATTACTGGGTGTATGTATATACACCCAGTAATGATTTATAAAGAATATAAATCATTCTATTGTAGAGACACATGCACATGTATGTTCACTGCAGCATTATGCACAATAGCAAAGGCATGGAATCAATCCAAATGCCCATCAATGACAGACTGGATAAAGACACTGTGGTATATATACACCATGGAATACTATGCAGCCATAAAAAGGAACTAGATCATGTCCTTTGCAGGGACATGGATGGAATTCGAAGCTGTTATCCTCAGCAAACTAACACAGAAACAGAAAAGCAAACACTACATGTTCTCACTTACAAGTGAGAGCTGAACGGTAAGAACACTAGGCGGAGGGAGAGCATCAGAAAAATTAGCTAATGGATGCTGGGCTTAATACCTAGGTGATGAGTTGACCTGTGCAGCAAACCACCATGGCACACGTTTACCTATGTAAGAAACCTGCACATCCAACAAATGTACCCCAGAACTTAAATAAAAGTTGAAGAAAAACTAAATACATAATAAATAAAAAACATAAATAAAAAATAAATTGTGCCTTTCAAAAAATAACATTGAAATCCTAACATACAACACCTTAAAATGTGACCTTATTTGGACATAAGGTTATTGCAGATATTGTTATTATAGTTATGTTAGGGTGAGATCATACAACAGGATTAAGGTTGGTCCCTAGTCCAGTATGACTGGTATCCTTAGAAGAAGATGGCCATGTAAACACACAAATAGAACGCGACATGATCATGGAGGCAGAGATTGGAGAGATGCACCTACAAGCTAAGAAATGCCAAAGACTTCTGGCAACCACCAGAAGCTAGGAGAGAGGCATGGAACAGCTTTTCCCTCATAGCCCTCAGAATGAACCAAACCTGCCAATACCTTGATTTCAGGCTTCTAACCTCCAGAACTGTGAAAGAATCAATTTCTGTTTCAAACCACCTAATGTATGCTTCTTTGTACAGCAGCTGTAGGAAACATCCATGTGACCTATATGTGTGCCCAGGAAGAAGAGGAAATGGATTTTGTTGAATGTTGAGCAGCTGCTTCCATACCAAATCTGACTTCAAAATGTATGCTCTATGATGTTGCTAAACAAGATGAATTTTAATAAATGAAAATTGATTTAAATTCAAAATAAACATGCTAGTAGAAGAGTCAGGGGAAAACATGACTTTACAGCAGGACATGAGGGAACCAGCAGGAATCTGTGCTTGCCATGAGCTCTGTGTGAGTGATGCATGACATGAGAGAGATGAGATGATAGAAAACAGAAACAGATACCAGTGTGTCCAGAAAAGGCTTTGCTCTTTTTTTTTCAATATAACCATACCAGAAATATTGTGCTTAGAGCTGGAAACCTTAAAATAGGAGCTATGTAGATTCAGCAAAGCCTATACAGAGGAAACTATCTGAGGTGGAGAAGGAACTGAAAACTTTCCACTATTAGGACTGGGTGAACGGACGGGCAATATTTTGCTCAGAGACTAAGCCATTCAATGAGTGATAGTTTTTTGCAAGTATTTTTTTAAAAGAGAAACAGAGATAATCTTTGTTTTATTTAAGCCCAAAAGGTGGAGCTAGGACCTTTTGGTCTAATAAATTGCGATTAGAAAGACAGAATTTGACTCAAGATGAGAATGCACTTTGTAGCAATCAAAGTTTTCCCAAGGTGCACTATGTTAGCATCCAAAGCAACTAAGCTTCAATATTAGAGAAATGTTCAGAAGAGGCTCAAAAAGAGGAAGGACATCACAGTGTGAAGCAAGCATTGAAGGGCAAAGTGTGTTAGCTCAGCTCTATGTAGTCTTCTGCAGCCATTAACTTATTTTGGTAAGATTTTAGTGGAGTTCCTCAGTTTCACAGTTTCGTGGGTCAAGGTATGTTTACATGAAGGCCAAATTGTAGGATACAATATGGTGAAGTATGAGAAACTCAGAGTTTGGAGCCCTGAAAACCTGGTTTTAAATCAGACTTTAGTGTTTCCTATGTGTAGGTCATTACCTGTAAGTAAAGGTTTACTAATAATGCAAAAATGTGTGGTTGAAATCAGGGCTACAGCGAATTTAAGAATAGCTCTAGAGCCAAAATAATAGATGTAACTAAGGCTGTAGAAAAACTAATAGACGTGAATAGAGGCAGTTATCAAACCTCTCTGAGCCTCAGTTCCTATCTATACAATGGAGCTACAGATATGTACTCTACCTCCTCAGAAATGTGTCAATAAAGTTAGATAAATAAAAATGCATCCTTTCTAAAATATTAAACAAATGTCAGTTATGAGTAATTACATGGCTAATTAGAAGGGTTTTTGGTAAGTGTGTTAGTAGCTTGATTTTTGGCAAGCCTGCTGCCATAGTTGAATTGTTCATGTCTGTATTTTCCTTAGAGCAGATATTCATGGCACTTACAGCTTAGCAGAGAGATAGAAGTTCAATAAATTAACCAAATCATATCACAGTCATGAGCTGTCTCCTGGTTTATTCTCTGCATCGATTTAGCTGGGAATCCTCTGCAGAATATTTTCCCAATTTCAACAGAATAGTAACTTTTTTTTTCTTTTTTTTTTTTTTGAGACAGTCTCGCTCTGTTGCCCAGGCTGGAGTGCAGTGGTGCTATCTCGGCTCACTGCAAGCTTCACCTCCCGGGTTCACGCCATTCTCCTGCCTCAGCCTCCCTAGTAGCTGGGACTACAGGTGCCCGCCACCAGGCCTGGCTAATTTTTTTGTATTTTTAGTAGAGACGGGGTTTCACCGTGTTAGCCAGGATGGTCTCAATCTCCTGACCTCAAGATCCACCCGCCACGGCCTCCCAAAGTGGAGGAACTTTTCTATATAAAAGAATAAAATGGTTAGTTGTTAGGTCAACAATCCACAGGATTGGAAGGCTGAAAATGTTAAAGTGGCACAATTATACAGATTTAAGTAGAATGGGCCGATAAGATGCATCCTTATTAATGTCCATTCAAGGAGATATAGAAGAGACTCAAGGCATATGAGTTTGGAATTCCTGCATGTAGTGCCTTCATCACTCCAACTTTCCTCCTTCCTGAGAATATGGCAGTTAAACTTGTCCTTTTTTTTTTTTTTTTTTGGTTTGTGCAAAATTCCAGGGAAAAAGGGGCTCTTTGGATTTCATTAGGCCATTGTATGACATTGATCCTTGAGGATATGGGAGAAAGTGCCTTCCAGATTGAACAAAAACAGGCTTGTTCTAGTTTATAAGTATATACACAGTAACTTATGCAGTTGAACTTTCAATACAATGTTTTGTAGCTAAATCAGGGGAGCAGAATTATTTAATGGGGCCATGATTGTGGCTTGAGGCCATGTGCTCACATTTTAAAACTACATTTTCCCATTTTCATCTTATTAAGCTGGTACAAGTACAAAAAAATTAATTTTAATGACAAAAATTGGTAACTATTTGGAATATTTTAGAGTTACTTGTTTAAAAATGGTATATTCTCTATTTAACAACTAGGCAAGTAATGATAATTGGTGTTGCAGTCTGCGTCCAGCCAGGAAACTAGAAACTATTTAAAACTAAGAGAATTTGATGTAGCAAATTGATGATGGAAGAACTATTAATTCTGAGTGTGGTGAGGCAACCTCAAGATTAGCAATAAAAACATGCCTCCACTCCTAGCCTTAGGCTGGAAGAGATTTTACTGTAGTTCAGCAGCTGGAGTGACTCAATAGCAGTTGAAATAGTGGTAATTTTTTTTTATTCCTAATAGGAGCTGGAGCCATAGAAAAGATAAAGCTGCTGGAGATGCTTCCTGTGGGAGGAAGGCACAAAAATAAATACCCTGGCCTCTCCTTTTCTTCCATCCTCCAATCTCCTGCCAGTAACTTCTGTTGGGCAAACACAAGAAAAGCCAGCTAATTCAGGAGGCTAAGAATGCAATAGCTAGAATTCAGTCTCTGTGACACAGAGCTTAGCAGAAGAAAGCAGGGAATGGATCTGAGGGAAAGTCAGCCCAGTAGTGGCATGGATAGGTCTTCACGTGGATCCAACAGTCAAATGTATTTGCTCAAAATTTAATTATCTTTGCTGAACTGGGCAGGATCTTATTAAGAATTGTATTTTTAAATATCTTTGGTAAATGAGAATGAAAAAATGAAATCTTAGAAGAAAAATATAACATTTTAGCTTTGCTATGAGAAAAAAAATCCAAGGCAAGCAAACCATTAAATTTATGAACTTGTTCGTCTTTACCTGGGTCCTTAGGGTAATCTATTTGTCTCAACTAATGTGGAACCAGGTGTCAAAAACCTGATATTTATAGAGCTCCTGCACAGTAGTGATCTTTGTTTTTGCTAGTTGGTAGCTTCATTGTTTCTCCATGGACACCATCGTGAAATGCACCCCTTTGCCACAGACAGCACTAGGATAGAGCAATATCAACTAATCCCAAGTTTATGAAAAACTTTATGGCATATATTCAGAGCACATGACATCTTCATATTGAACAACAAAACAAACAAAAATTTAGGATTATGCCAGACCAAAACCTTTATGACCACTAGAGACAAATTAAAAAGGAAACCCCTATTAGATATTCCCTGTATATTGCTGCTTAATCTCAAAGCTTCTTGATGAAAATATATGGATGTTTTGCCTCCATGATGACAAATATCCAGATGTCTGGGAATAACCATAAGTTCCTTTAAATACTTTTTAACTTCCATCACTCTGTTTGGAGTGACAGCAACATAGCTAACATATGGAAATTACAGCTTGAATGACATAATGTAGCTAAGAACAAATACAACTGTTTTTTGTTTTGTTTTGTTTTCATAGTTTTCTGTTTTTGCACTTATGGGCTGTACTGTATTTAGACAGATAATTTTTAAAATGTAGAAGAACAAAAGAATAAACTTCAATACCATTGTAGTCAACCTTGAAAGAACAATACCACAAAGCTCATCTCTTGACCCTCAAACCTTGGAATTTCATGTATTTTTCCCTGGCCTCCTAGTGAGATCTCCTGTTCATTCTCTCATTAGTTGATCAATGCATTATAGCTTTAATGCACTGAATACTATTTATTGAAAATTAAATACTGTTTATTTCCATGCTAAGTATTTTACATATGTTTACTCTGTGGTAAGTGCTTGGAATCATGATATGGTGACCATTTTAGACGTAGGTGATATACCGGGAAAAATTATTCCCATTTTATGGAAGAGGAAACTGAGATTTAAGAAGTTTAGAGAAGTTATCCAAGATCACAAAATCTAGTAAATGTTTTCCTATGTTCCAGATAGGAAGTCAGGGCTTACTGTTGATAATCTTAACAAGTATATGGTTCTGAGTCTCCTGCGTTTATGCTCTTTGTTTCTCTCTTTCTCAAGAAAGATTTTAATTAATTTATTTTCATTGAGGTATAGCTGTCTAATTAGCATCAATATGTAGTGAACTGTGGGTATTAATTTTCTTGCCTATCAAGCATTCTTATTCATTTTCCCTGGTTATAGACCTATCCTTTGGTCACTTGGAATAGAAATAAAACCTATGCCTGGCCAGTAGGGTCATTCATGGTAAACTATAATCCAAGTAATAATTATTGGTCCATGCAGAGTATATGTGACACAAATAAAGTAAATTAGATTACCGCTATAGGATTAATATATGAATAATAGAATAAAGGGAATGTTCCTTTGTCTCTCTCTCTCTCTCTGTCTCTCTCTCTCTCTCTCTCTCTCTCTCTCTCTTTCATGATTATCAATAGGATGAGGTTGCTGGACATAGGAAAAACCCATTTACAGAAGAGAATGGAACATATATGCAAAGAGAATGAAAAATAAATGGATAGAGAGAAGAGAGAGGGGGAAAAAAGAGAAAGGAAAAAGAGAAAATCTCCTGACAGCACTAAATCTCCAATTTCAATCCCTAAGGCTGGTTCCAACAGATATTCCTTTTTTGTTGTTATTGTTCTTATTGCTTATGGAAATTTTAGTTCTATTTTTGATAATGCATGGAATTATGACAATTTATCCCTTGAAGTATAACTTATATTTATAAAAGATGTAAAGCCTTAAGCACATAATTCTCTAACGTGGTAACTCTTGGTGTTGATAAGACAACACTAAAGACATGCCTTTGTGCTGGAGGGCTTACCTCTCACCACATATGCTTGTTGACTTCTATGCCTTATTGCTTGGGGTTCTTTTTCTCCACTGAACTCAATTCTCTGGACCAGTTGCCTCACAGTGGGGATTCTGGGCTATTTTATTTGGTTGACATAATATGTAGGACTGGAATGCTTTTAGGTGGCATAGGGACTCTATTTATCCACAGTTACTTACAAGCATTTTTTGAACACCTTGCCTGCGTAACTTTTCCTGACCTTTAAGGCATTTAGTTTTATAATTCCTGTACTAGAAATTTTCTTGTCATCCTGCTTCTCCTTCAAAACATACCCATTTTACTCCCCAGTGCATCAAGACTTGACTCTCCTTTCCAAGGTGAAAACTTTTTTTTTCTGGTACATTAATCCATCTGAATATGTCAGCTGGTAATAATGTATGTTTTGTGGTTCCTTCCAGATAAGAGATATATAAATTGGAAGGTAAGAAAATGAATGAACTGGAAACATCATGCCTGAATTCCACAGAGAGAACAAAACTTAAATTTCATCATAAAAATTATCAAACCTAATTATCCAAAATAAATTAAATATAAAATTATTTCAGTTGGTACTCATTTTATAATTGTTGAGCATGCAGCTGATAAGGTTAAGCAGCATGCTACTAATGCTATGGATAGCAATCCCAAGCTCTAATCATTTTTTTCATAGATCAAACTTGACAACCACTGTATGAGGTGGTTTTGAAATTAATTGAGTATTGAAAATATAAATCTTAAAAGTCAATAGTGTATTTGTGATGGAGAAAATGGAATGGGAATTGACTTTTTAGTTTAACAAAATGGTGTTTAGATGGTTCAAGGAGACATAATGGAAATGAGTACTTGGACTCATCCAGTCTTCATTCAGATGAAAGCAATGAAAAGGCCAAGGGAAATAGCAGGTCAGGATATTGGCAAAGATATAATTGAAATCATAAATCATTGATTCTAAACTGGATTATGAGTGAATTTAAATAAAACTAAGGTTAATTAGTTCAGAAAGGTAGAATACATAAATAAAGAGATGGACCAATGAATAGATAGTAGGTTGGAAAGGATGGGTAGATGAATGGAATAATTATCATCTAGAACAAATTCAGGCATTTGTCAATTGACGTTATATGTGTCATTTAAAAAAACTGAAACAAAACTGAGATTTTTGTAGCAGAACTCTGAGAGAAAGCGAAGAATATTCTACATTTTTGACTGCTAAGGAGTTCTTTCTGTCAAGGCTCTAAACATTCAACATCAATTTCTACCAAAGAATTTTCCATCACTTTCTGTGGAAAAACCCTTGGCAAATTGTACTGAACACTTTAGCATGCTATATGGTATTTAATTATGGAATTTAATTTCAAATCACCTGCTTCTAGTCAGTTTTATATGGGAACACTTCCTAAATGTGCTACATTTAATGCAATATCTACTAAGTTTCATATGGTAGTTTTCTCATTTCAGATAGACACAAAGCTGACATTGATGGAATCTGAATGGGGTTGGTTTTCTTTAATGGGATTATCTACATTCTTATACAAATGACATCTATTAAGTGTATAACTTGCTAGGTTGTATGGTAGATATTGGGAATAGAAATTTTAATAGGAAATTGTCTCAGATCTTTAGAGCCCAGGAGAAGAGACAAGCCTATGCCTTAATGAATAGCTGTAAGCAGAGTGCACTGGATTTCAAAATTCAGACCTGACTACCTACTGCAATAGAGAGGGTTCATAAAGTAGGCAACATTTGTGCTAGGTCATGATGGATATGCCAACAAGGAATAATGTGTGAGATACACACTGTGTTGATCAGAAAATATTGTCATCTACTTCTTTTATCTTTTGGTAGAACATATCTACCACTTACCTATCTCTTCTCCTTCGGTTAGAACATATTTCTCCACTACATTGATATTGGGCTTGACTATGTGTCTTGCTTTAGTCAGTGGAAGGGAGCAGTCATGATGCAAGCAGAGCCCATAAATGTGCTAGCATGTGGCCCCTTGCATTCGATAATCTGCCAGAAAGAGAATATACTCTGAATAGCTGCTGGTCCAGGAAGAATGAGGAGGCACACAAAGCTGATCTAATTCCAACCTACCAACTGGAGCCAAGCCCAGCAGATCCCAGCTGAGCCCAGCCTGAATCAAAGCTGCCCCACACAACGCTTAAGTGAAAAACCAAAAATGTGTGTTGCCTTAAGACACTGCCCTGGGTTTTGAGACAGATTTTTATGCCTTATTATGCCACATAGCTAAATAATACACAGGGAAAGCCTTGCTGCCTAGAAAGACGAATACCATGTGAAGGAACGTAGCTATTACTTTGCTATGGTTACACTATGATTACACATTGAGTTACTATAAAAGAAAAGTAGGAGCTCGAAGACACAGTTTGAGGGCCAATTATGAAACTGAAGAGTTGGACCGAATCTCATAGGTGACGAGATGTGATCAAAGTAATTCTTTTTCACAGAAGGAATGACATAAGCATTCTCCACTGAGTTAATCTTGCAACTTTGTCTAGGAGGATATCTACAAGCAAACTCACTCATTCAATAAATATTAATGAGCATCAACTATGTGTCAGATATTTTTGATACATTAGTGAATGAAAATAGGTCTCTGCTCTTACCTCTTAGTGGAGAGAAATGGACAATAAACAATAGATATAATAAATGATGTACATAATATATCAAAAAGTGATTAAGTGCCAAGGGAAAAAATAACAAATAGCAGAGCATTGAAAAGAGGGTTGCAATTTTTAAAAGGTTAGTTGGGGTAGGTCTCAATGAGAAGGCAACATTATCTTGGAATCTGCAGTCAAATATTCTTCAAGACTGGCAGCTAACACAAAAAATACAAAAATTAGCTGGGTGTGGTGGCACACAACTGTAATCCCAGCTATTTGGGAGGCTGAGGCACAAGATTTGCTTGAACCCAGGAGGCGGAGGTTGCAGCAGTGAGTGGAGATCACGTCACTGTACTCTGGCCTGGGTGATAGAGCGAGACTGTCAAAATAAAAAGACTGGCAGCTAACATGTGGCTATAAACATCTAGCCAAAAAATTTATGTAAATGACTCTATAATTAAAAGTGTAAATTATTTCTTAGAAAAAGCTGGTGATTCATGTAACTGGTAAAGCGTCAGATACAGAGAAGTTGTAGGACGTCATGACTCCCACAATAACAGCAAAGATGTCTTTGTCAATATGTACGTGGTTCTATTCTGTGATAAAATGGTTCATGAATAGGCAGTAACTGCTGCTGCTGGGCCACCTGTCATCTTGTGATGAAACATATTTTCAGCACCATAATCTGAGTCTTCACTGGTGAGAAATGTTGGTTTATGTTCATCAAGGCGTGAAGCAGAACCTTGGCAATCCACTCCTACTCGGCCTTCTGGAAGGTATCTTCATGCTAGAGAATTCAAACACTGTGCCAGGCCCTTCTCCAGGAAACAGCTGAACCAACTCTGTTATGGTTTCAAGTTACATTTCATGTTACAAAAGATGGCATAAAATTATTTGAATATTTCATAAAGGGTGAAAATTCTTATTTTGCTTTACAGTGGACACAGCATGAATCACAATTATCTTCTTTTGTTTTGCTTTATTTTAAGTAGAATTATACTGGTGGTCACTGTACGATACAGATGGTGTGACGTAATCTTTCCCTTTTTAAAATCTCTTGGCCTTTGCTCCATGAAAACCAAACCATGAGATTGAGCCATGTAAGGCATACTGTCCCCAGGCAGGGCCAGTCCTGACAAGTACAGGGGCTTGATGAGGACTGGAAGATTCAAGTTGGCATGCATCCCTGAGAAAGGGATCCTGTAATCTCTGTTCCATTTCTGACATGAGTTTGAGGGAAGAAAAACTGATAGAAACTCCAGATAAATGTTGATTGTTTTCCAAATACAAACTGTATCCTCTTAACAACAATAATAATTTCTAAATAAAAACTATATCCCCAAACAAGCTTGGAAGTATTAATAACATTCTCAAGTAATTGCCTCTACCGCCTTGGTAGGGTTAGAGAGAAGACATAGATCATGCAGACATGTCCAGGGCAGAGAGGGCCTGAGGAAGAACCACCAAGTTGCCATGACCCTAGAGTGCCATGGGAAAGCAAACACGGAGGGGCTTTCTGGTCAAGCTGTGCAAGATGAAGATGCGGTTATTTTGAAGTACACCCATTAGGAACACCAGCCTCCTGGTAGACACTAAAATAAAGATCACAAATGCCAAATAGTACAAGGTAAAGCTCAGTGAAGGCCACTTTGATGGGGCATGGGAACCACCAAGCATATGTCTGCCCATGTCATGATGGCATATAGGTGCTTGGAATGTTCCAAGCTGGGGAGAAGACACAGGGACAGGGAAATCTGGAATTGAGTAAATTTAAACCTGAAATGATTAATAATACCCTACAATGTATACATCTACTTAAAGTTAAAAACATTTAAATTTTCTGCTACCAAATATAATAACTCAAAGTAAAGATCCAGTTAAACTAAGGAAAAAGGCAAAGGTAGTTACGTTTTTGTACACCTGAGTTTGTGGTTTGAAAATTTATATCTATTCCATTAGGAAATGCATAGTTGCAATCAGCACTTCAAAAATTTTATATCCCAGTTATCTATCAAGGGAGATGGCATCTGTTCCACTAAAACAGATAAAAGTCATAAATTTTATCTATTGCACTAATTCTTCCCAGAAGGGCAACCTGTGCCTTAATAAAAATATTGTCCTGAAAAAAAATACATTGTTTCTTCTAATATCTGTCTTCAAGCATGATGGAAAGGGGCAAACATTTACTTATCAAAGACGGATATTCATATTTGTAATGCTACAGCACATATTCTAAGGACAACTCCCTACATAATTCGGAAACACAAACTATAGTCTTGTTGTATGCATGGCATTCTCCCTGGTCACTATAAAGAGTGAATCTGATTCTTAGATTTTCTCACTTCCTCTAACTTGGAGGTTACCCATGGACTGGAATGGCAGTCCTATACATTCCTTGTTCTTCGGTCCCCCTCCTCTGCCTTTCTTCAGGTACCTGTTGGGAGATTGACATTGCACATAATTAAGGCCTGAGATCTGGACAGCATCCATTCTAGTATAGCTCCCCAGAGTCCCAACTTTGACCAACAACAGAATTCCTCGGCTTCCACTTGGGAAGTTGTTCTCTGTCTCTGTCTTGGCACTTGTTCCCTATTTTTAAATAAGAGATTATTCTTCACAAATCATCCTATGGATCACATTGATTCCCCAGGCCCATTCTATGCCAGCAGCTTCTTCACAGCTATAGTTCCTATAGAATACACACACACACATATACATATATGACTCTATAGATTGGATGTTTGGGGTTACTGAGGAGTTAGGTCAGTTTTCACAGCAGTTATTATTTGCTTCCTTGCATTTCCTGGCTTTGTAATCAAACATAATATCAATGTTAATTCCTTCTTAAAAAATGATTGCTGTAGAAAAAAATTCAGTAAGCTTTCTAAATTCGCCCTACATTTGGCTAACAGCAAATGAAAATTCTCAAAGTCTCATTTCTCTTATTCATAAGCATAAATCAGTAGTCAACATTTCCACCCAAGAATGAAAAAAGAAAACTGGTTCTTAGACCATTTTTCATGATTTTTAGAGTACCTAGGCATTTAACCAAAACAATACATGTTGGCTCAATTGCTATTTCTGTGTAGGTTTTAGTGAATCCTACATATTTAAGAGTTCAATTAAAACTGGTTTGGGGTTGTTTTAGAGGTAATAAACAGTGGTTAGGGAGTTTGCATCTCAATCAACTTAAATAATTAATGCAATAAGCAGTTTTCAAAATCTATCCCTTGATTTGGAAACCCATATACTAAGAATGCTACGTGATACTCCAATCCTCTAGATGAATTATGACTCTTTTCCTCAAAAATCTGCAGAAATTGTGTTGTTGCAAATACTATAGTTCCCCTTACCTGCAGTTTTGCTTTAGGCAGTTTTAGTTACCTGAGGTCAACTGTGGCCTAAAAATATTAAACAGAAAATTCCAGAAATAAACAATTTATAATTTTTTAACTGTGTGCTATTCTGAGTAGCATGATAAAATATCACACTGTCCCACTCTGTTCCTCCCAGGATGTGAATCATCCCTTTGTCCAGCGTTTCCATGCTGTCTACTCTACCTGACCCTTAGCTACTTAATAGTTACCTCAGTTATCAGATTAACTATTTCAGCATCACACAGCTTGTATTCAAGTTACCCTTATTTAATAATGGCCCCAAAGCACAAGAGTAGTAATGCAGGCAACTTGGATATGCCAAAAAGAAGCCAAACATATGTCAAAAGTAAGTTTTTAATCTCCTACTGCGCCTAATTTATAAATTAAATTAGGTATATTTATCATAGGTCAATTATCATAGGTATGTATGTATAGGAAAAAACATAGTATATACAGAATTAGGTACTATCTGCAGTTTCAGGCCTCCAGTGGAGGTCTTGAAATGTATCCCCCCTGGATAAAGGGGGACTATGGTAATATTTTGAGAAAAAGCCTGGGACTATTTTTTATTCTTCTTTTAAAAACCTTAGATTTATTCTGTCTCTCTCCATATAAAGCTGTGTATACAGATATATACAAATCTATATACATGCATGCATATATTTTATATATACTGTGTGTGTGTATATTTTTTTTTCCTTGAGAAGGTAAAATAAGATTTTCTTATGTTTTCCTTGGAAAAAAGTCTTTCAAACTATGCTCTTTAGTGTTTTTCTTAGGCTATATTTTCTTTATTTCTGGTGCTCAATCTGGCTGTCATTCCCTGTTCTAGATTTTCAATTGGCTTCAAAATAATGTGGCTAAATTATGCTTGAGATAACTCCTTCTATATATCCACGCAATGTTTGATTTCTTCCTTTATAACTTGAGCAGGAAGACTTGATATCAATATTATCTATTTAGCCATTCAGGTGCTTGAGGAGGAAGTAAAGAACGTTAAGGCCATGAGCATCTGCCATTTGAAAAGTCTCGGCAGATTTTTCTCTGTAATTCTTGCAGTCCCTTTTTCAAGGGCCAGTTCTGCGGAAGAGGGAGTGTGTCTTTTCTCATTTGTAAGTGTGGCCCTCAGGTATGCTACCTTATCAGGCACTCGGTAGGAAAGTCAATGAGAAAAGCAGCTTTTTAATTAATTTGGCTATTATAGCTTCTGATAAAATTAGTTGCAAGAAATTGTTCCTCAATCTTTTCTCTTTCCCTTCCTCCCTCCTTTCTTTCCTTCCTTCCTTTCTGTCTCTCTCCCTGGCCTTCTCTTTTTCTTTCATCTTTCTTTTTTTCCTCAGCTACTTGTGCCCAACTTCTCCAGATCAGGAGTTTCTTTCAACAGTAGAAGTAAGTTGAGCCGCTATGAGAAACCCAAGTTTAAGATAAAAGAAATGATGAGATGTAAATTCCCACTTTCCTTCCAGCCCCCTTGCTGAGGCTTTGGAGTACTGACAAGCAGCAGTGGAAAGGTTCTGAATGGAGCATTTCCAGCGTCTCCAGTATGTGTCCATCCTTTCACCCCCACGTTAAGCTACATTAGTGCTCACTCTCAGGTTTTCATTATATAATTATTCCTTCAAGGAAAACAATTGTGTCAAATCTAGGACTCTTCCCAGTTTACCAAAACTGCATAAAAACTTCAAGATTATCGGCCAAGTTTCTTGTATGAGGCTGCATTGTACCCTGGTCTCAACAAGTGGGGATATTGTCCCTAAAATGTTAGGAGTTTTTTGTTTTGTGTGTATACACAAACAGGAATGTATAAAATTATACATAGGTATTATACATACATATGTATAAAATTAAATTTGGGGGAAACCATTTGCAAGCTTGCACCTTTTCCAACTTCCCTGAATATAAATTCAGATTTTTTTAATTTTAAAAATTGTATGTTCAACTCATATTTTAAAATAATGATCCTTTTAGAAGGTACTTGAAATGAGATAGAACTGAATTTAAATCCCATTCGAGCCACTTGTATCAAATGGCAATGAGCAAGTTCTCAATTTAATGAGCCTAAATTTTCCCATATATAAAATAGAGGTAATATTATACATCTGGAAAAGTTGTTGTGAAGATTAAATATAACATATATAAAGCATCAGGGCTGAGTCTGATAAATAAAAGGTACATAATGAATAAATAATACATTTATTTGAAGTTAGTTGTTTAAATTAGTTATAAATTTTAAGTTCTACTTTAAGTGATTATTTGAATCATGATTCCTAAAATAGAATACTCTATTTATAAATGGTTGTTTGATACATGTCCTCAATAACTATATTGAATGGTGTTATTTAAATAAAGTGGGAACCAATTCTCTAAAGTCAAAGGAGACCAAACTTCCTTCTTCTTAAAAGAAAGCCTCTGTGAACACTGATCACAATGGCATTCTCAACCATTTCTCATGCTTTTCCTTTTCTCCTTCACAAACCTGCGGCAAATTAAAGAAAAAGTTCTGTGGTAATCTCCATAATTGTTCTCTCACTTTTGTGTTGTAAATAATCATTCTGTATACTCAGCAATTAAAGTGGCCACAGATAATTGCAGGTACTGTAGAAATAAATCACTTTTTTTAGGAAAGGATTTTTGAAATAGCGTCATCCCTTTAATCCTGTAACTTGAGATTCATAAACTATAAAACTTGAGATTTATAATCTATTATTTTGTTATTAGTTTATAACGAATGTATAACTAAGTTATAAAATATATTTAAGTTATAAATATATAATAGTATTATACTTTATAATGAGATTATTATTTTATTATTCCTTGGTGGTATGCACTGGATGCGTCTCTATTGAATATGCATGCTAGGTATCACCAAGGAATAATAAAATAATATTGTAGTAAAACTTTTTCTAACACAAGGTTTAAATTTCTTTTTATTATTATTTTAATGAAATAGAAAAGCCTAGATGTTTTTCAGGATGCTATGAGGTAAACAATTCTTCATGTTCATGCTTTGCACTAAACTTTTGAACAGTTTCTTTCAAATCAACCAAGAAAGGACTAACCCACCAACACAAAGGAGTTTATCTGATAATAGATATTCTTTTCTTTAAAAAAGTCTTTGTTTTCTGGGTTGATATTACTTTTGACTAAGGTCGATCAAGAAAAATGGTTACTTTTTTCATAAAGTAGCCAGACTAAATGGCCACTTTATTCATACATTTTCTGCTGTCTCTGTGCAAAGAGAGATTACTTTGCCATTTCCTCTGCTGATCTGTAATTTGGTTTTACTGTGAAATAGCCTGAGAAATGGCACTGTCCCAGGAGCTGACTGAGCTGGTCCCTGCCTAGGACAGGAAGTCATCGTCTAAGTCTAGAAGGAACTGAAAGAAGACAAAGAGTTATGCTGACTCTTTTATCAACCTACAAATGCCAATTAAAGTAAGATGACCTTATTTAGCACTTTTTGCTGTTGGCCACAGCTTCACATGTCTTATTTTCAATCCGTAGAATGAAATGAGGTAGGGATCTTTTGTGATCATGTAATCCTTTGCTTGCTTTCACAGGTCAGGGAACATGGGTAAAGGAGAATAAGGAGGAATATTGAGCTCAATAAGCAGCTGGACTAGCTGTATTGTTAAATCATTTCTATTTCTTTTTTGGCCTAATAAGCAAATCTCTATAATATATCATAAAATGTTCAAGCTAAACTTTGTGTCTGTGAGACTTTTTATCTCAAGGTTTAGAGGTAGAATAGAGTAGTGATCAAGAGAAAAAAACTATTAAGTCAGACAATCTGCATTCAAATCCCAGCCATACCTATTACTAGTTGTGTGACCACTAGCAAGTTACTCAATTCTTCTGTCTCTCGGTTTCCTGGCCTAAAAAATGAGGGATAAAATTATTACTTAACACATAAGATTGTTTTGAGATTCAAATTAGATAATGTATTTAAAGTACTGAATTTCACAGGTTATACTCAATACATGCCATCTATCTTTATTATTAAATTAAAATACTCCAAAATTGGCTCAGTGGAATATGTATCATAGTATCCATCTTCAAATACAGAATTTAAATTTCTAAGTCCATAGTACATGACTCATGAGGGGATACAAATATAACCCGTGAGCCTGAGAGCACCTGAATTCCAGATTTTTTGAGCTGAAATTCCTAAATAAGTGCTCCATTTTTATTTCTTTTTTCTATATTCACAGAAAAAAATGTAGCATTGTGCTTTTGAGAGATTAATAGAAAAATCCCACATCACTCCTGTAGTGAAGGCCCAGTGAAATGCAAATTAAGTGACTTGCCCAGAATAGGGTTGCCAAATAAAATACAGAACTGCAGTTAAGTTTAAAATTTAGATCAACAGCAAATAGTATTTTAGTATAGGTACGTCCTGTGAAATATTTGAAGCATATATATACTAAAAATAAATTTGAAGTTTAGAGTTAGGAGACTTTAACCGAAGGAGACCCCAAGAGTGAAGTTTTTCTATCCTTACCAGCATTAGTATCAAGCATCAGAAGAATATCCAATATTCTGCTTCCTGATTAGGAGTCACTTAAAATACTAACTTGTCTCATAAACACAAAATCTGGACTAAAAATTCTAAACAGTTTTCATTTTCCAACCATAATAAATATTTACATTTAAACAATTATGTTTGCTATTTGTTTTGTCCTTTAAAAGATACAATATGTTCAAGAATATCTCCCACGCATAGAATATGGGTGGGAGGGAGATCACCTCTAAAAGACAAATGGTAATACAAATCACTGTGCTTCCATAGTAACTGGTTCAAGAATGATATCATTAAGGGGTCTAAGGCGGTGTTTGCTTCAAAGATGATCTTATTTATAGAATGCCATGCCTGATGTGTCTATCAACAAACAAGCTGTTATTTACTTTTTGTAGCTTTTAATACCTTCTGGATCTACCATCACCCGCTCCACACTAATCTACATAACCTTCTTTTCTTCCATATCTCCCCTCCCTCCATAATCTCCCCTTCCTTGAAAACCCCCTCCTCTACCCCATTCTTCACCATCTCCCTCTTCTTACTCTCCCTCACTTGTTCCTCCTCCACAAATCTCCCCCTTTTTCACCACCTTAGCCACTCATCCCTCCCACCACCTGTTCTACCCTCCTCACCACCACCATCCTCACCACTCCCTTCACTATCTACTTACTTATTTACTTTTTTTTTATAAGAGGGCATTTCAGAGAGTAGTGGTTCAATTACATTTGTAACTTCTTTCCTGTCAGGAACACATTTCATTGGCACCTTATTGGTGCATGCTATCTTGTTCAAGTGGTTCCACTACTTTTTCTAATTATCTTGGATGGATCTTCATGAGCAGCAAGGAGATGTACAAAGGTCATAGTTGTCGTGGATGATAAACCATAATTCTTAGGCTGGTAAATTTTTGCTATGATTCAATAGCAAACATTTTGCTAAATTTTTCAATTTAGCAACATTCACATGTTTTCTGCAGAGATGTTTACTCATGTAGCACCATTCAATATGGTTATTGAAGAAAAATATCAACTAACCATTGATAAATAGAATATTCTATTTTAAGAATCATGGTACCAAATACTCAGTGACTTAAAATGAAACTTAAATTTATAACTAATTTAAACAAGTAGCTTCAAATTAATTAATTTATTCATTATGTACCATTATATGTCAAACATTGCTTTACATGCTTATATATGTTATGCCTAGTCTTCACAACTTTTCCAGATGTATATCACCTCTACTTTATATGTGGGGAAACTTAGGTTCATTAAGTCCAGAGCTCCTTATAGCCTTTTGATACAAGTGGCTTAAATATGATTTAAACTTAAATCTATCTCATTTAAAGCACCTTCTAGAAAGAATTATTATTTAAAAATATGAGTTTAGCATACAATTTTTAAAAATCTGAATTCACACTTAAGGAAGTTGGGAGAAGAAAACTAATAATTTCTGATGGAGAGTTATGGAGTTTGTTTGAAGTATCAGAAATTTCCAAATGGAATAGTCTAGGTGGCCTTGGGGACTATAAGAGTGAAGCTTGAGTAGACTCAGGTAGATTTGAGAATCATCTGTTTAGTTATAATTTTTTGAAAGCTGGAGAATAGATGGATAATGCCAGTGGAGAGGATGTAGAGAGTAGAGAAAGACAGACCAAGAGAGGAGCTGTGATGCCCTCATTTGGGGTGGGAAGACGAAAAGTGGGTCAAGGCCTGAAATGAGAAGCCATAGTGGCAGGAGGGCCACCTGGGCAATGTTATGTCAGGACAGGCAAGAAGGTGAGCTTATCAGAAAATAAACCATCAGTATTGCTGTGTCCTACAGGGAACCTGGGTAAGGTGAACTGTGAAAGGTGACAATCTTCAGTGGGCTGTGCTTCTTCAGGTAATACAGTAAAGGAAAAGGAGCAGGGGAGGTCAGGACATTGAAAACTTTTCTCTTACGTATATTATCCAAGACGTCCCAATGGTGAGATTTACTCATCCTAAAAGGGAGGACAATTATTAAGTTCTGCCTCTTAGGGTCAATTCTACTCAACAATAGGCCTTGGGTAATTTATCTTTGGCAACTACCAATCTTTCTGTGTTCACGTCAGTTTTCTTTTCCCCTATGTGCATAGGAGTAGAACACTCTCCTCTTTGTTGCAGGCATAGAGATATACTATTATTTGCTTCTCCTTTTCTGTGATTAACAGTGATCCTCTTTAATCATACTAATTATCTGTGCCATGTTATTTCACTTTTCAAATTAAAAAGAACTGCCACCTCTACTTTTTTGGGATTTAATTTTTCAAAAATTACTCCGTATTAGGTAATATTATCCCTATTTTATGGATGAATAACTTTAAATAGAAACTGCATATTATGCATTCACTCTGTACCAGGAACTCCGCTAAGTATTGCATGCCCTCAGTTTCATTTAGTTCTCATAAATTTAACAATAATAAATGAAAAAGGATAGTCAGTGTGGCAAAATCTCGTTGAATTTGAGTGATGGGAATATCGAGGCTCATTACACTGTTATTAACTTCATGAATATTTGAAATTTTTATGAAAAATTTGAAAATCCTGACAATTAGTGAATTTGAACACTTTTTCATGTACCTGTTGGCCATTTGTATGTCTTCTTTGGAGAAATGTCTATACAGGTCCTTTGGCCATTTTAAAATCAGATTGCTTTATTGTTATTCAATTGCATGAATTCCTTGTATAGTTTGAATATTAACCTTTTATCAGATTATGATTTGCAAATATTTTCTCCCATTTCATAGGTTTCAATTTCATTTTGTTGATCATTTTCTTTGCTGTACAGAAGCTTATTAATTTGATGTAGTTCCACTTACTTACTTATTTTTCTTGTTGCTTGTGCTTTGGGGGTCATATACAAAAATATCATTGCCAAGATCAGTGTTATGGAGAATTTTCTTAATGTTTTCTTCAAAGAGGTTCATGGTTTTGAGGCTTACATTTCAAGTTAACTTTTTTGAGTGGTGTAAAATAGGGGTTCAATTTTATTCTTTTGCATATGGATATCCAGTTTTCCCAACACTGTTTATCAAACAGACCTCACACCTGGGATGGCTGTTATCAAAAAGACAAGTGATAACAAGTGGCAGAAGGAAGTAAAGAAAAGGGAACTTTTGTGCACTGTTGGCGGGAATGAAAATCAGTAAAGCTGCTATGGAAGGCAGTAAGGAGGGTCCTCAAAAAATTGAAAATGCAATTATCATAGGATTCAGCAATCTCACTTCAGGATATATACTTGAGGGAAACAAAATTAGTATCTCAAAGAGATATCTGCACTCCAGTGTTTATTATAGATTTTTCTTTCTTTATTTAGAGACAGGGCCTTGCTCTGTCACCAAGTGTGGAGTGCAGTCACAGCTCACTTTAGCCTTGAACTCCTTGGCTCAGGTGATCCTCCCATGTCAGCCAGCTGAGTAGCTGAGACTACAGCCACACAACATCATGCCCAACTAATTTAGATGAGGTCTTACTATTTTTCCCTGGCTGGTCTCAAGCAATCCTCTCACCTCAGCCTCCCAAAGTGCTGGGATTATAGAGGTGAGACACAGCACCTAACCTCACTGTAGCAGTATTTACAAAAGCCAAGACATAGAAGCAACTCAAGTGTCTGTAGGTGGATGGATTAATAAAAATATTGTGGTATATTTATATAATGAAATATAATTCAGCCATAAAAAAGAAGAAAATCCTGTCACTTGTGACAGCATGGATGAACAATGAGGACATTATGCTAAGTGAAATAAGTCAGACAGAAAGACAAATCTGTGAAGCAGAATCAGAATGGTGGTTACCAGAGAGAGAAAATGGGGAGATGTTGGTCAAAGGGTTAAATTTTTCAGTTTTAAAATGAATACGTTCTGGGGATTCAATGCACGTTATGATGACTATGGTTAGTACTACTGTACTGTATACTTGAAATTGTTAAGAGAGTAGATCTTAAATATTCTCTGTGCACACACACAGAAAAGACATTTGTGTAAGGCTTCTAAGAGTGCTGTTTCAACACTAAAAAAAAAAAAAAATCAGTTGTGAAGCCTATGTTGCTTCATTTTATAAATGGAGAAACTGAGACTCAGGGAAGTTGAATTATTTGGCCCCAGGTATTTATACCACAGGTATATCCCATGGCAGTGTAAAACTGGGGAAATATGAAAAGAGATAAATGCAATGTAATGATTAACTGACTGATATCATGGTCATAGACATCTTACGGCTTTTGTCCACAACTTCTAACACTAACAAATAGCCACTTTGCAAGCACAGGAATATTCATTGACAAGCCAGGTGAGAGCACAACTTTGATTCAAAGACTGCTTTTAACCAGTATGCTGCAGTGCCTGTGTGCCCGAGACAGCATTTGGTGCCATTACTTACCTCATTTATGGTTCTCACAGCAGCCCTATAGGAAGGGCAATTAATATCCCAATCATGTAGATACAGTGCAAGGAGATCAACTTGCAGATTAGCCAGTTAAAAAGTGACAGTCTAGTTTATTTTTGATGTCAACCTTCTGGTTCTAGGACCAGTTTTCTTTCTCATTGAAGAAAACTCAGCACTTAGAAAGTTTACTTCAACCTGGCTCCAAGTCCTAATCTGTCACATAGAGCTATTTGACCCTACTAAATAATGTCCTTTTATGTTATTCTCATTAAACCATGGATTTTACATATTATCTTGAAAAAAACAAAATATTGATGGCAAAAGTTCTGCATATACTTACCCTCTGATATGATTTCATAGACTGGGTTAGAGGATAAATTTTTATTATGTGCCAAAATATAAAGAATTATACTAACCACTTCAAAAGTTCACAGAAGCATAAAACAGCTAGTAAGTCATAGATAAGCTAAAGATGCACTAATCTTCATGGTTTTTGTGTTTTTGCTATTCGAATTGGATATAGTTGAGCAAAATTGGTTAGATCATATATACTTTATCTTATTCCACATGACTCTAGAGAGTATAATTAAAACCAGTGATGGGAAGATACTTCAGCTGCTTATGAGAAACCACTTCCTGACAATTCAGATGGCCAAAATAATAAGAAGTACTTCTAAAGGTGTAGCCACGTCCCAAGTCAGTCACCATTTGCAGCAATATTGTAAAATAGCATTACATATGAATAGGCTAAAGGGCTAGATTTAAATACTCTCTAAACTTCTTCCCAATTCCAAAATTTTGGGATTTTTCTAATTAAGCCCATACAGAATGAGGTGATATGGAAAGAGATACAGATTGTCTGTGAAGAAGATTATACATGATGGAAGAGGTGGCCCTACTTTAAAATTCTTCCCTTTGAAGATCTCTTTGCCAATGTTAAAGCTGTTCTTTTAAGAGTTTGATGGTGATTCCATATTAAATCATACAATATATATCCTTTGGAAGTAGAATAAAATTGTAATAATAAGCATATCGTAAGAGCACTGTAGTATATTTGAATATTGAGTATAGAGGGAAAAAATTGTAATCAGGTACTGTCAGCAAACGTGGAACGATCTGAATCTGTCCATTACTAATTACATATCAAAGTGTATTTGTGTTGTGGTGAGAAATAAACAAATGCAATTTTAATAGTTCTCATTTTAATATTAGTCATCTGACAGTTTCTCTAGGTTGATTTTATACTGATTATGCTTATGGAAACATACAAATGTTGAACTTGGTGCATTTTTATTTACTATTGGTACAGCCTTTCTATTTAATTTCAAAGAAACATTTTTTTTCTGATTTATTTTGAAAGAATAATTATTAACAAGAGCTCTAGGGACACCTTTTCCAGGTCATTGCTTTTATTCTCTTTTAAGTAAACAATAATTCAGTGGAAAGCAATGAAAAGGGGATTCAATGACTTATTGGTGAGAAGAGAAAATTTTTAAAAACCTAACTCATTCCTTTGCTAGTATTCTTAATTAGAAAGACAAGGAGACATTATGATTTTGCACTTTGTGTAATGAAAACACCCAAGGCCAGGTGCAAAACTGGGGAAATATGAAAATAGGTAAATATAATTCAACAATTGGCTATGACGTTATGGTCATATTATGACTTTTTTCACAACTGCTAACAAATAACCATTTTGCCAGTACAGGAAAGGAGAGCACCAGATGAGGGATATTAAGAATCTTGAATTTTCCAAATCTGGGAATTTTCAATCTTCCTAGCTACTGATGAGTTAAATGTCATTCTTTCTTTTTGAATGTTAAAATTGCCCCCACAGAAAAACTTACTAATTTTGCATCATAGAGTGTATTGAATTTTATTAGATTCAATGGAATTTTTATACTCTAATTTCATAAGTTAATATAAATAAAAAGGTATTGGTAAAGATGATCAAGACATGTTAAACATTATTCATTCACTCAATTGATGTATATTTTGTATATTAAATTATTAGACAACTCTGTAAATAATTCTAATATGCCCCCAGGTTTAGAAATCCCTGGCCTGTATAAAATAATGCTATTCACGCTAACTTTTTGGTATCAAAACAGAACGCTAAAACAGCAACAGAGGAATCCCCAATATTTTTCCTCTTCCTCCCATTTCTATTGCCATGACATCACATCTGGCTGGCACTTACCCTAACTTCCACAGGAGCCTCCTGTCTTCCTTTTCTCTATGCTCTCTGTTTGGCAGTTAAAATACCCAGATTACTAAGCCTCAATCCATACTCTGGAGTGACTCTTCAGAGGATCTAATCCAGGCCAGTGACTTCAATCACCACCTTGACAAAGACAACTCACACCTTTCTATGTCCAAGCCATATCTCTTTCCTGAGGTTCAGACTCATATATTTCACTGTTTAATGCATATCTTGCAAATGATATATAAATGTATACAAACCCAACTTGTTTAAAATTACATATATCTCCCTGACTCTTCTAATGCCCTGAAAACCTGCCCTATCTAAAATTCTACCCTATGTAAATTCTATCATTGACTTCTGCTTTACTCAGTGGACTACCCTTCTAGTCATTCCATAAGCTGGGCCCATGAATCTTTCATTTTATTTATTTTTTTAACTGAACTTTTTTTTCAATATCTCCTATTTAACACACATTTATCTACTTCCTTTTTCTACAACATTGCATGTCTCCTCGTCTCTCCGCCTTTCTGGATGTCCGTCCCTTGATCCGGATAGTCTTCCTCTCGTTATCAACATTCTTGCTGATGGCCAATGCCATGAAGTACTTTAATCATACCCCAGGAAATAACCTTCCCATCTCTCTATCTCATATTCTTCATAATAATTTGCAACATTCTGTCTTCAATTACAGTGAAATGTAAACATATCTTACATAGTTAATGGTAGAAACTAGATTTCACTTTCATGAAAACATGACACATCCTGCAATAGCTCCACGAACATATAAAACTCTAAATAAGTAGTTACAAAAGGAATTAATCATTCCACTCTCTGAAGCTGTATCTTGCTCTTAAAGGTAATTTGTTTTCCCAACTGCTCAGTGATTTTCTGGGTATTTGTTTTTTAATGTTTGAAAATCACTGAGCAGTTGGGAAAAAAAATTACCTTTAAGAGTGAGACATAGCTCTATATATCTATATGTAATATAGAGATTGTAAATATTGAAAAATACAAAAAAAAATCAAAATTGCCTATTATCCCATTACCCTTGGATGAACACTTTCAACATATAGTACATTTCCTTCTGAATCCTATTCCTCTGCTTATGTTTAGGTATTTTGTATAGTTTCACATTGCATAGAAGTTTTTATAATATACTTTGTGTTTTTTTGGCATAAATTGTAGATTTTCACAATTTTTTTTTATTATACTTTAAGTTTTAGGGTACATGTGCACATTGTGCAGGTTAGTTACATATGTATACATGTGCCATGCTGGTGCGCTGCACCCACTAACTCGTCATCTAGCATTAGGTATATCTCCCAGTGCTATCCCTCCCCCCTCCCCCCACCCCACCACAGTCCCCAGAGTGTGATATTCCCCTTCCTGTGTCCATGTGATCTCATTGTTCAATTCCCACCTATGAGTGAGAATATGCGGTGTTTGGTTTTTTGTTCTTGCGATAGTTTACTGAGAATGATGATTTCCAATTTCATCCATGTCCCTACAAAGGACATGAACTCATCATTTTTTATGGCTGCATAGTATTCCATGGTGTATATGTGCCACATTTTCTTAATCCAGTCTATCGTTGTTGGACATTTGGGTTGGTTCTAAGTCTTTGCTATTGTGAATAATGCCACAATAAACATACGTGTGCATGTGTCTTTATAGCAGCATGATTTATAGTCATTTGGGTATATACCCAGTAATGGGATGGCTGGGTCAAATGGTATTTCTAGTTCTAGATCCCTGAGGACTCGCCACACTGACTTCCACAATGGATGAACTAGTTTACAGTCCCACCAACAGTGTAAAAGTGTTCCTATTTCTCCACATCCTCTCCAGCACCTGTTGTTTCCTGACTTTTTAATGATTACCATTCTAACTGGTGTGAGATGGTATCTCATTGTAGTTTTGATTTGCATTTCTCTGATGGCCAGTGATGATGAGCATTTTTTCATGTGTTTCTTGGCTGCATAAATGTCTTCTTTTGAGAAGTGTCTGTTCATGTCCTTCGCCCACTTTTTGATGGGGTTGTTTGTTTTTTTCTTGTAAATTTGTTTGAGTTCATTGTAGATTCTGGATATTAGCCCTTTGTCAGATGAGTAGGTTGCAAAAATTTTCTCCCATTTTGTAGGTTGCCTGTTCACTCTGATGGTAGTTTCTTTTGCTGTGCAGAAGCTCTTTCGTTTAATTAGATCCCATTTGTCAATTTTGGCTTTTGTTGCCATTGCTTTTGGTGTTTTGGACATGAAGTCCTTGCCCATGCCTATGTCCTGAATGGTCATGCCTAGGTTTTCTTCTAGGGTTTTTATGGTTTTAGGTCTAACGTTTAAATCTTTAATCCATCTTGAATTGATTTTTGTATAAGGTGTAAGGAAGGGATCCAGTTTCAGCTTCCTACATATGGCTAGCCAGTTTTCCCAGCACCATTTATTAAATAGGGAATCCTTTCCCCATTGCTTGTTTTTCTCAGGTTTGTCAAAGATCAGATAGTTGTAGGTATGCGGCGTTATTTCTGAGGGCTCTGTTCTGTTCCATTGATCTATATCTCTGTTTTGGTACCAGTACCATGCTGTTTTGGTTACTGTAGCCTTGTAGTATAGTTTGAAGTCAGGTAGTGTGATGCCTCCAGCTTTGTTCTTTTGGCTTAGGATTGACTTGGCAATGCGGGCTCTTTTTTGGTTCCATATGAACTTTAAAGTAGTTTTTTCCAATTCTGTGAAGAAAGTCATTGGTAGCTTGATGGGGATGGCATTGAATCTGTAAATTACCTTGGGCAGTATGGCCATTTTCATGATATTGATTCTTCCTACCCATGAGCATGAAATGTTCTTCCATTTGTTTGTATCCTCTTTTATTTCCTTGAGCAGTGGTTTGTAGTTCTCCTTGAAGAGGTCCTTCACATCCCTTGTAAGTTGGATTCCTAGGTATTTTATTCTCTTTGAAGCAATTGTGAATGGGAGTTCACTCATGATTTGGCTCTCTGTTTGTCTGTTGTTGGTGTATAAGAATGCTTGTGATTTTTGTACATTGATTTTGTATCCTGAGACTTTGCTGAAGTTGCTTATCAGCTTAAGGAGATTTTGGGCTGAGACAATGGGGTTTTCTAGATATACAATCATGTCGTCTGCAAACAGGGACAATTTGACTTCCTCTTTTCCTAATTGGATACCCTTTATTTCCTTCTCTTGCCTAATTGCCCTGGCCAGAACTTCCAACACTATGTTGAATAGGAGTGGTGAGAGAGGGCATCCCTGTCTTGTGCCAGTTTTCAAAGGGAATGCTTCCAGTTTTTGCCCATTCAGTATGATATTGGCTGTGGGTTTGTCATAGATAGCTCTTACTATTTTGAAATACGTCCCATCAATACCTAATTTCTTGAGAGTTTTCAGCATGAAGCGTTGTTGAATTTTGTCAAAGGCTTTTTCTGCATCTATTGAGATAATCATGTGGTTTTTGTCTTTGGCTCTGTTTATATGCTGGATTACATTTATTGATTTGTGTATATTGAACCAGCCTTGCATCCCAGGGATGAAGCCCACTTGATCATGGTGGATAAGCTTTTTGATGTGCTGCTGGATTCGGTTTGCCAGTATTTTATTGAGGATTTTTGCATCAATGTTCATCAAGGAGATTGGTCTAAAATTCTCTTTTTTGGTTGTGTCTCTGCCCGGTTTTGGTATCAGAATGATGCTGGCCTCATAAAATGAGTTAGGGAGGATTCCCTCTTTTTCTATTGATTGGAATAGTTTCAGAAGGAATGGTACCAGTTCTTCCTTGTACCTCTGGTAGAATTCGGCTGTGAATCCATCTGGTCCTGGACTCTTTTTGGTTGGTAAGCTATTGATTATTGCCACAATTTCTGCTCCTGTTATTGGTCTATTCAGAGATTCATCTTCTTCCTGGTTTAGTCTTGGGAGAGTGTATGTGTCGAGGAATTTATCCATTTCTTCTAGATTTTCTAGTTTATTTGCGTAGAGGTGTTTGTAGTATTCTCTGATGGTAGTTTGTATTTCTGTGGGATCGGTGGTGATATCCCCTTTATCATTTTTTATTGTGTCTATTTGATTCTTCTCTCTTTTTTTCTTTATTAGTCTTGCTAGAGGTCTATCAATTTTGTTGATCCTTTCAAAAAACCAGCTCCTGGATTCATTGATTTTTTGAAGGGTTTTTTGTGTCTCTATTTCCTTCAGTTCTGCTCTGATTTTAGTTATTTCTTGCCTTCTGCTAGCTTTTGAATGTGTTTGCTCTTGCTTTTCTAGTTCTTTTAATTGTGATGTTAGGGTGTCAATTTTGGATCTTTCCTGCTTTCTCTTGTGGCATTTAGTGCTATAAATTTCCCTCTACACACTGCTTTGAATGTGTCCCAGAGATTCTGGTATGTTGTGTCTTTGTTCTCATTGGTTTCAAAGAACATCTTTATTTCTGCCTTCATTTCGTTATGTATCCAGTAGTCATTCAGGAGCAGGTTGTTCAGTTTCCATGTAGTTGAGCGGCTTTGAGTGAGATTCTTAATCCTGAGTTCTAGTTTGATTGCACTGTGGTCTGAGAGATAGTTTGTTTTAATTTCTGTTCTTTTACATTTGCTGAGGAGAGCTTTAGTTCCAAGTATGTGGTCAATTTTGGAATAGGTGTGGTGTGGTGCTGAAAAAAATGTATATTCTGTTGATTTGGGGTGGAGAGTTCTGTAGATGTCTATTAGGTCTGCTTGGTGCAGAGCTGAGTTCAATTCCTGGGTATCCTTGTTAACTTTCTGTCTCGTTGATCTGTCTAATGTTGACAGTGGGGTGTTAAAGTCTCCCATTATTAATGCGTGGGAGTCTAAGTCTCTTTGTAGGTCACTCAGGACTTGCTTTATGAATCTGGGTGCTCCTGTATTGGGTGCATATATATTTAGGATAGTTAGCTCTTCTTGTTGAATTGATCCCTTTACCATTATGTAATGGCCTTCTTTGTCTCTTTTGATCTTTGTTGGTTTAAAGTCTGTTTTATCAGAGACTAGGATTGCAACCCCTGCCTTTTTTTGTTTTCCATTTGCTTGGTAGATCTTCCTCCATCCTTTTATTTTGAGCCTATGTGTGTCTCTGCACGTGAGATGGGTTTCCTAAATACAGCACACTGATGGGTCTTGACTCTTTATCCAATTTGCCAGTCTGTGTCTTTTAACTGGAGAATTTAGTCCATTTACATTTAAAGTTAATATTGTTATGTGTGAATTTGATCCTGTCATTATGATGTTAACTGGTTATTTTGCTCGTTAGTTGATGCAGTTTCTTCCTAGTCTCGATGGTCTTTACATTTTGGCATGATTTTGCAGCGGCTCGTACCGGTTGTTCCTTTCCATGGTTAGTGCTTCCTTCAGGAGCTCTTTTAGGGCAGGCCTGGTGGTGACAAAATCTCTCAGCATTTGCTTGTCTGTAAAGTATTTTATTTCTCCTTCACTTATGAAGCTTAGTTTGGCTGGATATGAAATTCTGGGTTGAAAATTCTTTTCTTTAAGAATGTTGAATATTGGCCCCCACTCTCTTCTGGCTTGTAAAGTTTCTGCCGAGAGATCCGCTGTTAGTCTGATGGGCTTCTCTTTGAGGGTAACCCGACCTTTCTCTCTGGCTGCCCTTAACATTTTTTCCTTCATTTCGACTTTGGTGAATCTGACAATTATGTGTCTTGGAGTTGCTCTTCTTGAGGAGCATCTTTGTGGCGTTCTCTGTATTTCCTGAATCTGAACGTTAGCCTGCCTTGCTAGATTGGGGAAGTTCTCCTGGATAATATCCTGCAGAGTGTTTTCCAACTTGGTTCCATTCTCCCCATCACTTTCAGGTGCACCAATCAGACGTAGATTTGGTCTTTTCACATAGTCACATATTTCTTGGAGGCTTTGCTCATTTCTTTTTATTCGTTTTTCTCTAAACTTCCCTTCTTGCTTCATTTCATTCATTTCATCTTCCATTGCTGATACCCTTTCTTCCAGTTGATTGCATCGGCTCCTGAGGCTTCTGCATTCTTCACGTAGTTCTCGAGCCTTGGTTTTCAGCTCCATCAGCTCCTTTAAGCACTTCTCTGTATTGGTTATTCTAGTTATACATTCTTCTAAATTTTTTTCAAAGTTTTCAACTTCTTTGCCTTTGGTTTGAATGTCCTCCCGTAGCTCAGAGTAATTCGATCGTCTAAAGCCTTCTTCTCTCAGCTCGTCAAAGTCATTCTCCATCCAGCTTTGTTCCGTTGCTGGTGAGGAACTGCGTTCCTTTGGAGGAGGAGAGACGTTCTGCGTTTTAGAGTTTCCAGTTTTTCTGTTCTGTTTTTTCCCCATCTTTGTGGTTTTATCTACTTTTGGTCTTTGATGATGGTGATGTACAGATGGGTTTTCGGTGTGGATGTCCTTTCTGTTTGTTAGTTTTCCTTCTAACAGACAGGACCCTCAGCTGCAGGTCTGTTGGAATACCCTGCCCTGTGAGGTGTCAGTGTGCTCCTGCTGGGGGGTGCCTCCCAGTTAGGCTGCTGGGGGTCAGGGGTCAGGGACCCACTTGAGGAGGCAGTCTGCCGGTTCTCAGATCTCCAGCTCCGTACTGGGAGAACCACTGCTCTCTTCAAAGCTGTCAGACAGGGACATTTAAGTCTGCAGAGGTTACTGCTGTCTTTTTGTTTGTCTGTGCCCTGTCCCCAGAGGTGGAGCCTACAGTGGCAGGCAGGCCTCCTTGAGCTGTGGTGGACTCCACCCAGTTCAAGCTTCCCCGCTGCTTTGTTTACCTAAGCAAGCCTGGGCAATGGTGGGTGCCCCTCCCCCAGCCTCGCTGCCGCCTTGCAGTTTGATCTCAGACTGCTGTGCTAGCAATCAGCGAGACTCCGTGGGCGTAGGACCCTCCAAGCCAGGTGTGGGATATAGTCTCGTGGTGCGCCGTTTTTTAAGCCGGTCTGAAAAGCGCAATATTCGGGTGGGAGTGACCCGATTTTCCAGGTGCGTCCGTCACCCCTTTCTTTGACTCGGAAAGGGAACTCCCTGACCCCTTGCGCTTCCCAGGTGAGGCAATGCCTCACCCTGCTTCGGCTCGCGCACGGTGCGTGCACCCACTGGCCTGCGCCCACTGTCTGGCACTCCCTAGTGAGATGAACCCGGTACCTCAGATGGAAATGCGGAAATCACCTGTCTTCTGCGTTGCTCACGCTGGGAGCTGTAGACTGGAGCTGTTCCTGTTCGGCCATCTTGGCTCCTCCCTCGATTTTCACAATTTTTAAAGCAACCAACTTAGCACAACTCTATTAATCATAAGTATAGACATTATCAACAATGTTTCTCGTGTTTTTAGAGTATGTGTTAGTAAACACCTAAAATACTCCAGAAATACTGCAGAGAAAGTGCAAATAAAGGCTCCAAGAAGAAATAAACTAAGTTCTGTTTATATTCCTATTACTCAATGTGTGTATGATTCAAGCTTAGGACCTGGAGGGTTCAGGAAATTTGTATTCATATTTCCAAGAATACAAAATAAAAGAAAACTATATTTGTGAAATAAGTGTGCTCTTTCAGTCATTCAAAAAATACTGAACAGCCAGTACCTTATTAAATACACAGTGAACAAGACATGCCAGGTGACTATCCTTAAGAAGCTTACATTCTAATTGGGGAAATGGTATGTGGTGAAACAAATAATTGAAATCATTACAGTTTGTCCTAAGTGCTAAGAAGAAAAAAAGTTGCTGTCCTAGAGTATAGCAAGAAGAATCTACTTAAGAATGGATGATCAGAGAAAGGACCAGCTACAAGAAGAGCAGAGGAACTGCTCCTGACAGAGTAGAAAGCATAGAATGCTGAGCAAATACAGGGGGCATTGTCTTCTAGTAAACAAAAGAAAGCTGGCCATATTTACCAAAGTTAGCAATAAAGTGAAAAGTAGTGTGAGGGAGTTTGAAGAGATGGGCAGGACTTGGATCATAATGGGACATGTGTTGATCTTAGCTATTACTCAAAAGTATATTTGATATATTACATAATTTATAGATTATATATTTACGGATTACATAGGGATATATATTATAAATAGATACCATATATACATAGAATCTGTAAATATGTATTTACTATACAAATATCTTAATATATAATTATAAATATATTTATATATAACTATAATATATAAATATTATAGATTATATATTTATAGATTTATAACACATCAACTACAAAACTTCCTTAGACTTTGCAATTCCACCTATAACTTATTTGTGTTTTTTTGTATATACACATATATGAAGATAGCAGTTAAAATCCACAAGTCTGATTATAAATGAACACATTTTTAAATTCAATCATTTATATAGCTCACTATAAAAATATAGGTATTTTTAACTTAGGGTAAAACAATGCAATTAATGCAGTAATGCACTCCAAAATGTTGATTGAGTATGAACCGCTGTTATTGCAAGGACAGGGATGTAAAATTCAAACATACTGGGGGAAATTTATACCCAATATCAATTACTGCTAGTCTATATTTTATCTTCTTTAAATAAACATCATTGAAATAGGAATCCATAGAAATGTAAAATAAGTCTGAATATCACCTCAACAAATTACTTTGTAATTTATGACACTAACCCCATTGTGTTACATTGATGATTCTTAAATGTAGAGATTATTCAGTCAATTGTAAATTTAGAGGCCATTTCTTACCACTCAGACATTCCTTGGCTGCCTCTTGCCCCAGCATATTGCAGTTGAATTTTGAACCTGCCTGAAGCTTAGTAAACCTGGCCCAAATGTACTTAACACTAGTGCTATGGTAAACACCCTGTCTTCACAGAAGGTATTCTACACCACATACCTTCAGTATGAATTGAGAATTCCAATTGTTCAGAGTTCACTTATTTACATGAATTTGTGTCTGAAATCTACCTCTTTTCATGGAGAATTTTTGATGGCTAAATTCCTTAATAATCTAGCAAAGTCAAAATATGTGAACAAAAAATATTAATATATGGGTGACAATGGAAAATATAAAAATGGTATTTCTTTTTTAGTTTCTTAGTGTTTGAAAGATATTGGTACCTGGGAGGTAAACTTCCTTCAAATTAGGAATTTTTTTTTTTGTCTTTCAAAAAGAGATACAGCATTTGAAGTGGAACTTAAAAGATTCATATTTGTGGGTCAGCAAAAGCAAGAAAGAGAGACACATTATGGTTTCAGAGCCTCAAGGCTTGCAGATATATGTAAATCCAGTAAAATTTAGACAAGTATCTAGATGCAGTAAAAGCTAGCTGCTAAAATTATTTTGTGTCTGAAAATGAAAAACTAATTTCTAAGAAATTCAGCATAGCTGGAATTTTTTAAAGAAGGCTTGAGAAAACATCGAAAATAGACCAGGATATTTTATACCTCAAAATTGAAGCAACAGAGACCTAAGCAACATATCAGCTTTGCAGAAATAATTCTTTACCTATGGGAAAATGCAGAATATGGTAGACTTGGTGGTCCAAGGCTGCTTTGACTAGGAGATGGAGTAAACTTTCTGGAGGAAGTGGCGCTGAATAAGGACTTTTAAAGAAGAGAAAGGTTATGTCTCATGTCTCTGTGAAAGAATGCTGGTAGGCATGTTTTGAAGAACTGAGCAATCATCCCTCATGGATCTCATGAAAAAAAAAAGGAAAAAAAATAGAAGATTTGCGTTAAGTCTTAGGGTAGTTGAATATATAAAGTGAATTTGTAAAATATTATTTTATCTTTAATAATTCACATATTGGACAGTGTTATTCCAAAATGGCATTCCTTTCTCAACAAGTATGTTTGGCATAATGTGCAAACAGCCAGAGCGTTATGCCAATGCTAGAATTGGATAAGTCAACCACTTACGATAAAATGGATTCAGGGTTTGGTGCCATGGCTCACGGCTTAATTCCAACACTTTGGGAGGCCGAAGTGGGAGGATTGCTTGAGGACAGAGACAACCCTTGGCAACAAAGTGAGACCCCCATCTCTACAAAAAAATAGCCAGGCATGGTGGCACACACCTGTGGTCCCAGCTGCTCAGGAGGCTGAAGCAAGATGATCTCTTGAGCCCAGGAGCTGGTGGCTGCAGTGAGCTATGATTGCACCACTGCACTTTAGATTGGACAAAAAGAGTGAGATCCCATCTCTAAAAATAAAAATAAAACAAATAAATAAAATAATGGATTTGAAGCATTCCAAAGGCCAAAGTGTCTTAAACAACTGAGCACACTCAGTTGGTCTTCTGGCCTCAAAGACCAGATTCCAAGCACAGGGTCATGTTCTTGAAGTAGAAGTTCTGAGCCTTAACCCACGGCTCCTGCTTTTTGTCTGTGCAATCTTAGGCAAGTCATTTAGCCTACTAGTTGACCTCCTCATCTGAAAACAAGAGTAATGCCTACAAAATAGGGTTGATGAAAGCATCAAATAAATATATATGTAGGTGCCCTGTGATGCTATTAATTACATAAGATCTAACAATTAATATGCTATTAAAATTATATTTAATATGTCAAAGCAATTCTTGATTTTCACATGGTTATCTATCACTACAGTATTTTTTAACTATACTCTCTTCTGTATCACTCATTTATATTTTGGAACAAGCAATGAAAGTGGCCTGACACTTGAACATTAATGTTCCAGCCCTCCATTACATGCAACATAGCATTCTTCTTCATTACCAACATATGCAGGCTGAAAGGCTTACTATGTACTTTATATTTTATCTTTTATAGATAGCATTTGTAAGTAGAAAAATTGAATCATCCTAGAGCAGTTTATGACAGCTTATTTGTTTTCTGCTTTTTTGTTTTTTGTTATCTCCAGTAACACTCTGATTTCATGCCACACTGAAGCATGATTTAGCATATTCTTTGTAGCTTAAAAGTAGCTAAGCACCCTTCCCTCCCACTATCGACCCCAAAGCTAGCTGCCATTTTTCAGAGTCAGCCAAAAGTGTGATGAGCTTGCAACAAGCAGGATTCAGAGAGATAACATCAAAGAGTATACTCAGCATTGCTGCACTGCATAACCCAAAGAAATGGCAAATGGCACATGAGCAGGAACTAATGGCTGATGTCTTATGGTGCATGACAGTGATTTTCCAATTGTTGGCCACATGGGTTTGGAGGTTATTATTTGGGAGATACATTCCATCCATACACAGAAATTATAATTACTGCATTATTTCAGTCTCAAATTATTTAAACCAGCTTTATTTGATTTGCTTTTCATTTCTTCTGAGTTTATAAAATAGATAGTTATCATAGATAAGTGTATGTGCACAAAAGTACATAAATAAAAGAGAGAATTAGAACCATTTTCAGATTCTATTTCTACACTGGTCAGTACATTAACTCAACACTAATAGTTTTCCAATCTCAGGACAAAAAGAAAAAATTTTATACTGAATTTAAATGCCAGGGTTTTTTTTCTCTCTTGCAGTGAAAGTTTTTCTGTTGGCACATAAGGAGAACACAGGCATGCCTTCTGTAATGAGTGAATGCAGGAGGATTCATTAAAGCATCTTTTATCAAAATTGAACACAGTTTCAACATTCACAAAATTACTATTAGTGGACTTATGGGTTTAACTCCTCTGAGGTAAATAAGCACTTTGATTCCATTTTAACTGCGAAAACATTTGCTAAGCGAGTCTACGACACTTCTATGGATAGTATCTGCTTCATCTCCCTGAAGCTTCTGGGCTATATATAAATCTCTCTTTTCTATCATTTAGTGCTACATAAAATAATGCTAGTAGTGTTTGCCTGTCACTAAGTAATAATTTTAGAGAAAATAAAAATCAAGATAAATGTAAAACATACTCGAATAATTTATTTAGGAGAGGAAAAATAAATGTTACTGTACACCTTGTTATTTTAGGTCCTCCCAACCAGCTCAACAATTGCTTTCAGTCTTTCACTGTCACACACACACACACACACACACACACACACACACACACACACCAGCCTCCTCCTATCTTGATAATTTTATTTTAGTTTGCTACTTAATTTGAAGTATTCAATCAATGGAGGCTAAAGAATGTTTATGTGAGCTGGTGATTCTAATGCATACTTGATTTCTATTTTTATGGAAAAATCTGGACAAGTCACAAGTTTCAGGTTTCTCTTTTATGAATTGAGTTTAGCAATTCTTTTGGCTAACTTACATATCCTGAACTCTGTTACAGGTTTGTACACACACACACACACACGTTCCACATATCACAGCAAATTTATTAACATACACGAATTATTTTTTGTAATTAGACTATTATTGTTATTAGCATTCTTTTAAAATATTCTTTTTTCATTTTGGAAATAACAAATTGCATTATAAACATTTCAGAAAAGGTAACATAAAAGAATTACCCATAATTTCCACAGACCAACCATTATAATCATTTTTATGTTTCTCCAATCTGAGACTAAAACTTGGATCTCAATGTCTCCAAACTGTATTTTTTCTGCTGTGCCCTCATCCATATATTCTAGAATTTCAGCCCAATTTACATTACCAAAGCCTTCTCAACTTATCTTTGAAACCATTGAAGAGGTCTTACAAATATTCTCAAGCCCCAAATTTGGGTAACCAGGAGGGATTCCATAGACCCAACAGTTCCTGGTCTGTGAGATGGCTGCTTTAGAAATGCACCATTCCCCTCTCACATTGACACTATTGCCATTGAGCCTGTTTCAAGCCTGCCAATAGCCGAAGCAGAAAAATACAGCATCACTGTATAGCTGACAATGCTTCCTGCTATTGCTGTCAAAGTTTCTGGCATCAACTTTGCTGAATCCACTCATGCTGATTTGCACTCTGAATCTCCCAGAGGGATTTTAGTAAAATGGCTAGGATTCTAGATTCCTCTTCCAAGATTAAGCATAAATCCATAAAGATGGGGCTAATAGCATTGAGGATAGTAGTGTTGGTGATGATACTGATGACCAAGCTAGTCATCATCAGTGGTGCTATATACAGAAGTAGCCCTTCCCTCCAGCATGGCCCACTGTCCTTGAGCCTCTTTTCCAGTTTAGGCAATTTGATGCCAGGCAGTATTTCAACAAAGGCAAGACCTATCAGAACTCTCAAGTAAGCACAAGTTAGGCTCATATCAGGACACTCCATTCTGTTGTATTCCACTCAGGAATACCATGTTCCAAGCACTGGGCTTGGGGCTAGGAATACAAAGTAAATAAAGTAGTTACAGTTTTATCCATACGGAGTTAATTATAGTTTTTGGCGGGAAGAGAAATGGTAAACAAATATTGGCAATATTGATAATGAATATCATAGAAAGCAAAGTATAGGCTGCCATGCGAACCTATAGAAAGAGGATCTAATGTCAGGCATAAACTGCAAATCAGCTGTCATGTGTGAGTGTGTGATTGTGTATGCATGTGGGGGGTGTGTGTGTGTGTGTGTATATATATACACACACAGTCCCATGTCCCTATTTTGCCCCAGGTATGACCATGCCATCACATAGAATGACTTCATGAATTTCAGTTGCCTACTCGGCCTCTGAAGGCAGCTGAGTTGGGAGTCCAGACCTAGTGAGTCAAAGAAGACATCACAGATGTAACACTTTGAGAATGAGGTGGAATTACCCATAAAATATGGGTGTGGGACACTGGAAAATAGTATTCTAGTAAGAAAAAAAGACCTGTATATACAACAAATAATATTCACAAAAGTGTCAATAATAAAAATCATTTCTATCAGTCTCAGGCACTGGTCTAAGTACTTCATACGCATTTTGTAATTTGGTCGTTATATCAATGACATAAAGAAAATACTATTATTGCTTAACATTTTAGATGAAGAAACTGTGATACAGAGGTCAAGTATGCCAAAGTTTATATACAGTCAGCCGATGGTTGTCTCAAGATATAAATTCATTTTTGTCAACTTCAGAGCATGAACTCTTAACCACTAACTACACCAATGTTTTTCAAACTGTGGGTTCTGATTCATTAAAGGGTCATGAAATCAATTTAGTGAACCAATTGCCAAGTATTTTTTTTTGTAAATATAATAGAAAGAAATGGATACAAATAATAGAGTGCATTATAGCTAAAAAATATTGTTTGGTAAAACTTTTGTTTCAGTAAAATATGTGCATGAGGGTAATGTAAAAGGTAACTTAATTTTTTTGGAGTCAATAATGTTTGAGAAAGACAACATTATTCTTATTGACTCTCCAGCTCTGACACAGAAAAATAAAATGAAGCCTAATGTCACTGTTGCATTAGAACAAACAAAGGACTATGAAAGATTTTTAGAAAGGCAGGTGGGACGTGCATGATGAAAAATTTTGTAGGTTGTGCTATAAATTTAAATTTAATCTAAGGGCAATAGAAAGATACTAAAAGATTTAGTTAAGAGAGCTATGTGGTATGTATTTTTCAAAGATCATTTTGAAATGAAGTGAAATAAAAAACAGAAATATTAGTAAGGAAAACATTTTAATTACCTGGAGAAGCAAAGTGATGGCTTTGATATAGGTGTGGCAGTGAATGTGGGGAGAGATGGAAGGAGGATAGAGGTATTTTGGGGGAAGAACTGACAAAACAAGTATAGGATCATTTGCTTTGCTTTTATTTGTACCTTGTTAATTATAGATCCAATTTTTAACCTGCCCATTTGTCTAACCATGAAAATTATTTGATATAGTAAAATATTATTTAAGATTATTTTTAAAATATGTAATATTCAGAATCATTAATTATAATTTCACAACAAAAGTAATGTAAACTAACTTTAAGAAATAAAATATGCACAAAAGAGTTTGTGTAGTAAAAACTAGAAATCAACCCTGAAGAAAAATGCTTGCATAAATGACACCTGTATTAACTATACGTATTATTCCTTTCTCAACTAGGTTGAGATAAAGGCTATATAGCTGCTCTGCTTTATGCAAAATCACTTAGACCTGATGTTCATGGCTGCATATAGGTTTGAATGGAATCCGAGACCAAAATTACAATTCTGTCTGGTAGTAACTTATATTACACTAACTTTAGTTCAAAAAAAAAACCAAACACCTAATTTTCTAAAACCCAAAAAAAGTGAGAGAGAAGGAGAGTGAGAGAAGAGAGACAGAAAGGAAGAAGGAGTGAAGAAAGGGACTGAAGAAAGGGAGGGAGGGAGAAAGGGAAAGAAAAGAGGAAAAAAGGAAAAAAGAAAGGAAACTTTGTAAATAAGTCTATTATTTTAAGGCCAAAAAGGTCAGTACTAACCTAATTAAATAACTTTTTGTTTTATCTTTTTTTGGTTAATTACTTAAATGCATGCTCGTATTTGCCTATATGGAACCAAAGAGCTTCTCAAAATCCTAAGCGATTTATATATCCTTAAAAAGCTTGGTTACTACACTTTATCCAATATAATTAAAACCAAAAATGATGACTATGCAATTTCTAGAATAGGGATAATAATACCTATATCATGGGCTTGTTCTGAGTACTGGGCGAATTTATGCTGCTAAAACAGTTTCTACATAATTAGTATTACGTAGGCATTTGAAAAAGAAAGGAAGCAAGGTAAGAAGGGAGGATGGTTACTCATTGATATTTCTATTTCGAGAAATATTTTCAGGAAAAAAAATGTAGGTTTGTTTATTTAAAAGATGCATTAACAATTGGAAGGGGCTGATTTTTATCAATGTGTTTCCAGAATTACAATGTTTTTAGTTTAAAAAAAAACTGTAGAAAGAATATTCGTACTGCTTCATCATTCTTTAAGGATAAGCCAGCACCTGTTAGCACTATTGGCAACATTGTTTGCACCACCCATTTAGTATGCTGATAATTGATCCTGAAGCTCCTTACACTGGAAATACAATCTGCATGCCTAGAATGACCCTCTAGTTCCATGACTGTTTCACTAACTGAAATATTTTGAGTTATAAAATTATTATATTTTAGTGTATTAATCATGTTTAATACATTTATGTGGAAAATATGTTATCCACTTTTATTTCCAAAATTATTTTTGTCTAAGGTTTTTTCCTTTGTAAAAATAAGATTCTCCTTGTTTTTATTTACATTATGAGGCAAGAAGTCATACTAAAATAAAGACAAAGTAGAGAACTTTCACATCAAAAAAGAAAGTTTGATAAATGAGCCTGACTAGAAGTAACTAGTTTTAAAGCAGTGCCTACTGCTTCAATTTGAAGGAAGAAATAATGAATAAGTATCTCTATATGTATAAGTACATAAACATATTTATGTATGCATACACACATATATGCACATGTTCGCATTATGTGAATTTATATTAAAATTAGTCATTCATATTTGTATTAGTCTGGACAAACATGCAAATATAAATATACATATATAATCATAGATGAAATAAAAATGATAGTATCATGTAAATAATCTATACTTGCATAAAAACCATAAAGTGTTTTATCTTGAGATGTCAGTGAAAACTTAAGAAGTCTCAGTTATGCAGATTTAGTCTATCTTATTTTTTAAATTAAACACAAAATAATAATAAGCATCATCATTTTCTGAGTGGTAGTCATTATCAGGTATTTTACTAGAAGTTTTCAACGTATTACCACATTATATCCTAAAACAATTCAGTGATCTAGGTAAAATTATTTCTTTTCAAGGTAGAAATAGTGAAGACCCGTAAGTTACAACTGAAGTATAAAGTCTCTCACCCTAATTTTAAAATATCTCATATTTTGCATCATAATGGATATAGCATTTTTTCAGGCAGAGCTATTTGAAAATCCAAAGTTTATTGTCTTTTCTTCACAGTTGACTCCTGTTGATGATGATGATGAAAGCGTCCTCTACGTTGTCTTCTGTTGCATTTTGTAATTGTACTACATATACCATTTTATTACATGCAGGTCCATTATCTATTTTTCTGTACCAAATAATGCATCACACTTTTACATTTGAGTATCAAATAAATTGCCACATGTAATGATATTTCCTTGTGGATATGTCTTTCCTCACCCAAAATACTGTATTTCCAATGTGGGCCAGAGACTATAAGCTATAAAGTGAAGTCTATAGCAGCTAGGTCAATGCAAAGGACACAGGTGTTCATTAAATACCCATTGTCTCATAAGATTATCTGTCAAGAATGTTACCAGAGGCATATAATAGTGTACCCAATCCTTCAGCATGAAACAACTTAGTAACTTTGGAGTACGTTTATTTAATCAAATAAATCTCTCTTCCCCTCAATGTTTAAATCATTTTTCTATTTAGGTATTAGTCAAGATTAATGGTATAATTTGTAACATTCATTAGCTTAACAGATAGACTTGGTGAAGATCATAGAATCATTGATTTATACAGATATTTTCCAACTCCCTTAACACATAGTATGTAAATATGAAAACTTTATGTAAAATACGCATCAAAAAATTGTACTTCTTGGTATTACTTAAAAAACAAAAGTCATTACTCTAGAGTTGGTAAAATTTAATACATAAATTATCAATAAAGGGCAATTTATCACTGATAGTTTTAAGTCATCATATAATGTAAGATTAGCTAAACAGAAATAACTTAATTAATATTAAAACTTGTTCACATGTGCTCACATATAATATATTAAGAGATACTTGTTTAAACATGTATTTTTGGCTGAGAGATCATAAAGTATATTTTTCTACATTCAAGGAAAGGACAAAACGAACAAATAACATTATTAAAGATGAATGGAAATTTTAGATAAATGAGAAATTCAATGTGAAGTAATTTACTTTGAGTGAGAATAACTTTCATTTCTGTGTAGCTACGAAATCTCAGAGGTCTTCTGATGAAGAAGCCCTTTAAAACACTGCTGCCTTTTCTAGCATGTTAAATGCTTGGACATAACCCAAAATAGTCCACATCCCTGTAAACTGAGAACAGGATTCATCATATACTAGGAATGCAGGAAAATGAGGCACAGAGGAGGAAAACACATGTGGGATTTCACAGGGCACATTATGAGTCTAAGTTGCTCTTTGTATTCAAACTTAAGATAAAAATCCAGAGCTTATAAAATCAAAAGGCCTGATACAATAACAAAAGCCATGAAGGGATTTTCAGGCTTCTTCCAATTCTGGTATATTGAATCAGTTCAAATGAAGAAGATGGATATTTAATTGGTTAATCCTTGAGTAAAATTTCACTTTTATACAGCTCAAATTCTATAGATAGAAAGTAAGGGGAAAGGCCAAATTTTTATTTAACTGATACTGTGCATGATTAAAGGAATCACTGAAATGATAAGCTTGACTTTATAGATTATTCATACAAAGATAAGGCAATTAGGCATAAACACATACATATAAGTGCACATTTTAGTCGTTCTCTCCCTCTCCCAACCCTCTCCCCTCTCTCTCTCTCGTGCTCTCGCTCTCTTTTTCTCTCTCTTCCCCTCTCTGTCTCTCTCTGTGTCTGTGTGTCTCTATCTCTAAAACCTGTATAATGAATCTTAGAACTATTGAAACTGTAGCTTTCATGGATTCCAGTGCAAACATGATTGTTTATAAACTATTTTCCCTATTATTTGTTTTGGGGACTATGTTACAGAGGGTTGAGTTTGGTAAAAACATAAACTTAGATACAGCTTTACTGTTATGAACTGCTTTCAGTGTATCAATTTCCAGAATCAAGGAAGAAATACAAGCTTGCTATAATGCCTGTCTTCCTGAAAAAGGCCTTTTACAGAATTTAACTAAACCTGACAATAATTTACCATATCTTCCTGAGTGAAATTAAATATAAGAAAAAAGCCCCTCCTGAAGAACTGCATTGCATAGTTCACTTTTTTAAGGAATTTTAGATGTTGATCATTTATCCTAAAATGTTTGCTTGAAATATTTAGTTCTTTTGAATGGAAAAAAATTACTTATTCCCTTCTTTATATATAAATTAGTCTAAATAGAAATTACATAAAATTTCAAAAGATTCATTCAAATCTTTGTCTGTTACTTTTTGTTATGAACAGCAATTTTTTAAAAAGTAATATAATAATTTTGCATTCTGGTTATTATTCAATACAGAATTACCTATTACGTGTTGTCTCTGGGGAAGTATAAAGAAGAAAACATCATTCTGAAAGTCAAGACCAAAAAAAAGAAAGTAGAATAAACTACCACAATTCTTTTTCTCAAACATTTAGTTACTATGTGTTTTGAATTATATCCCACAACTTCCTCTCAAATTAACTCCCTCCCTGTGGTTCACTTATTTGTCCACTCATAGAACAATTTTGAGTGTCTCCCATGTTTTATGTGTTAAGCTATTGTCTGAGTACATGGAGATTAAATGAGTGGTAGGCCTCACCCCCCAAAACATCTAGCAACTGTAGGAGACATTTAAAAACTGGCAATAAGAACATAATTGGAAAGGTGATCATGGTAGAGGCCCATAGTTACAAAATTTCTCAAGAGCACCTCACTTTATCCAAGAAAGTTAACAAAGTCTTCAAAGAAAAGATACAATTTAAAGTCTTTAATAGCAATTATTATTCAAGAAGTTTGAAATGTAAATTAACAAAAAGATACTGAAATGACTCAAAGGTGCCAGAGAGTATGCCTCATCAGAAAACTGCAAGAATTTCTATAAAGCTGGTTAAGAGTGATCTCTTGAGGTTGTAGCAAAAGATTAGATGGAAATGTAAGTAGGGTACAGATAATAAGGGCCCTGGTAAATATCTAAAACTTTGGACTTTTACCTAACTTCAAAAAGGAGCCACTAAATGATTTTAAGCATGTGTTAATAAGACTTGCATTTTAGAAATATCACTCTCACAACTATGTGGCTGATAATCCGACTGGGGTTGGGGAAATTAATTAAAAAGCTGTTCTAGTATTTTAGAGAAATAAGGCAGGTCTGAGCTAATGAAATCTAGTTGAAATGGGGAGCAGAGGAAAGATCTGAATGCTATGTGGAACATAGAGAAGATGGGACTAGGTGACAGATTGGATGACATAAGAGAAAAAGAAGAGTTTAAGATTACCCTCAAATTTCCAACTTGGAACTGAATGAATGTGATATGATTCTTTAAGATAAGAAATACAAGGTTTGGAAGTGAGTTTGGGTTGAAATATGGTGAGTACAATTTTTGAAATATTATTAGGTCTGAAACAGTTTCATATAACTAGGTAAAAATGTTGATTAAGAAACTGAAAACACAGGTCTAGAACTGAAGACAAAAACGTCAGTTGGAGGGTGAGCATCTGTAGTTGATAAAAAATATTTTTGTGGATAAGATCTGTGTAGAATATTCAGAACAAAATAAGCAAAAAGCTACCATCACATTACATTTCAGTGTGTTAACTATACATTAAATTTATGTCAGAAACATTTCTTAAAAGAAAGGCAGAGAGAGAATAATGAACCCAAGCATTTGTTATATTGATTTTCCCATTGAGAATATCAGAGTGTATTGATATGGTCATTGACATGACCCAAGAAGGAATAGTTTTAATTTCCATGTCTGTTAAGCCAGTACCTAAGCTCTCCTTCTCAGATGTTCTATTAAAGGTTCAGTGTCTGTCCTTTTATGTGTGATTTGGATTACCCATCTGCTATTTTATATAGAAGCAGAAATGAAATGGAGTGGCAAAATAACTTGTTGAAGTTCATCTGATATATTCAGATGAAAATCAGGCCTAAACATTAAATAAGGTTGACATTACATTTATCATTATTGTGAGAAAACAAAATGAGTGAATCATATTAAATACTGCAATGTATCAGCATGTATATTTTAAAGGCCCCAGAGAATATGACTTGGTTATCTTTGGCTAAAATAAATAACAATAGCAAAGTCACTCCTATGTGCTCAACAGTTCATTTCCTTTTGTTCCTAGGAACAAATTAATCTACATTTTCCAATGTCTTGCAGTTAGATGGGCTTGAATGATTAAACTTTGTTTAATGCAGTGTAGGCAAAAGTGAAGTAAGTCACTTCCAAGCAGCATTAGTTTCCTGTTGCTGCATAAGAAATTGCCACAAGCTTAGCAACATTAAAAAATACAAATTAGTCCCAGCGTGGTGGCTCACGCCTGTAATCCCAGAACTTTGGGAGGCTGAGGTGGGCAGATCATGAGGTCAAGAGATCAAGACCATCCTGGCCAACGTAATGAAACCCTGTCTCTACTAAAAATACAAAAATTAACTGGGCGTGGTGGTGCACACCTGTAGTTCCAGCTGCTTGGAGGCAGAGGCAGGACAACTGCTTGAACCTGGGAGGCTGAGGTTGCAGTCAGTGGAGATCGCGCCACTGCACTCCAACCTGGTGACAGAGCAAGATTCTGTCTCAAAAAAAAAAAAAAAAAATACAAATTAGGGTGGGTGCAGTGGCTCACGCCTGTAACAGATCACAAGGTCAGGAGTTCAAGACCAGCCTGGCCAATATGGTGAAACCTCATCTCTACTATAAAAATAAAAAAATTAACCAGATGCGGTGGCTCACACCTGTAGTCCCAGCTACTCAGGAGGTTGAGACAGGAGAATCACTTGAACCCGGGAGGCAGAGGTTGCAGTGAGCCAAGATTGTGCCATTGCACTCCAGCTTGGGTGACAGAGCAAGATTCTGTCTCAAAACAAAAACAAAAACAAATTAGTTATCTCACAGTTTCTTTAGGTCAGATTTTGGGGTGTGGCATGACTGGATACTCTGCTCATTATTTCCCAGGATATTGACAGGTTAGGGAGGTGGTGCCTGTTGTTCTTATATGGGGCTCCAGGATGTTTCACGTTCTTTGGTTGTTGGCAAAATTCATTTCCTGAAGCTGGAGGTTGAGATCCTAATTTCCCTACAAGCTGTCTGTCTGCTTCAGATTGCTCTCAGGTCTTTGTCATGTAGACCCTCTAGCTTCAATTCTTAATTTTCATTCTTCTATCTTAATTTTTTTTTTTTACTTTTTTAAACTTTAATTTTAGGTTCAGAGTACATGTGAAGGTTTCTTATATAGGTAAACTCTTGTCATGAGAGTTTGTTACACAGATTATTTCATCAACCAGTTATGAAGCCTAACACTCAATAGTTATTTTTGCTGCCCCTTTCCCTCCTCCGTCCTCAATTAGGCCCTAGTGTCTGTTGTTCCCTTCTCTGTTTTAATGAGTTCCCATCACTTAGCTCCGACTTATAATTGAGAACAAATTGTATTTTATTTTCTGTTCTTGTGTAAGTTTGCTAAGGATAATCGCCTCCAGCTTGATCCATGTTCTTTTTTGTGGCTGCATAGTATTCCATGGTATATATGTACCACATTTTCTTTATCCAGTCTATCATTGATGGGCATTTAGGTTGATTCCATGTCTTTGCTATTGTGAATAGTGCTGCAGTAAACATATGTGTGCATGTGTCTTTATAGGAGAGTGATTTATAATCCTTTGGGTATATACTCAGTAATGAGATTACTGGGTCAAATGGTAGTTGTGTTTTTAGCTCTTTGAGGACTCACCATACTGCTTTCCACAATGGTTAAACTAATTTATACTCACACGAACAGTGTATAAGTGCTCCCTTTTCTCTGCAACCTTGCCAGCATCTGTTACTTTTTGACTTTTTAATAGTAGCCATTCCGACTAGTGTGAGATGATATCTCACTGCGGTTTCAATTTGCATTTCTCTAATGTGCAGTGATCCTGAGCTTTATAAAATATGCTTATTGGCCACACGTATGTCTTCTCTTGAAAAAGTGTCTGTTCATGTCCTTTGCTCACAAACTAACTAATCCATAAAATATCTCATGGGTATTCCATTCACTTTCTCTTTCCTGCCTTCTGGCAGATGCAGAAACCCAGTGGAATCCTCTGAGGCCTTGAAAGATAGTGGACCCACCAGATGGAAGGACCATAGGTCCCTAAATGAGTATCGCTACCATCTACTCTCCCATCCCCCACCTTCTTGCATTGCTCTGGGAATGAGCAAGAAATAAACCTTTATTGCATTAAATTTCTGGAGTCTTTGTTACAGAAGAAAGCCTATTTTGGCTAATACATAAATAGGTATCAAATTATAATGGGACAATATGGTGATATATATTAAGAGCTTGCTGTTTTGCTGTTTTACAGCTTTTTATGTAGTCCTTCCTTTCCCTCATAATTAAGGTAGCATCTCTCACTTTCTATATGTGGTGGCCTCGAGCACAAAGCTTGATTTTGAGCCAAGCTAAATAGATTTTTTAAATTAAATGCGGACAGTAGTTTTAAGATTAATGTGCTTTTGATGTGCAATATGCAGCCTTTATAGAATAAAAAATGTTACTCTTGGAATTACAGATAACTGGCCTCTGCATATCAAGAGCAAAGTTGTGAGGTTCAAGATACAGGCTATGAATCATGCATCAGAGATTAGTGAAATACATTAGTTTTACTCACCTAAAAGGAGAAAAAGTATGATTGCAGAGGGAAGGAGGAAGATAGAGGGGAATGTAGTGTGATACTGTCTAGGTTTCTGGGAAGTAGAGAGACCACATCCCTGGAGAAAATGAAATCCTCATAGAGAACCCCCTTGTGCCACAGGAGGTTGAAATTGTCAAGAACTACAGCTGATGGAGGTGCTTAGGTGCATGCACCAGAATCAGTGGTGGAAAAGCACCTGACAGTTCTAAAGCATTCTCTAAAATAATCAGCTGGCTGACAAATTTGTAGGAACTGAGAGTGAGGACAGGGACCCATAGCACATTGGAATTTGACCAGTAGAGGGTAGGGCTGGGAAAGTGAAAACACAAGCCAATGCTGAAGACCAGGCAAGATCAATGACACCTTGGTGGAAGCTGCTAAAAATGGATGATGGCACTCACTGAAGACCCTCCCCGGGAAACAGAATAATATGTTAAGTACCTCCCCCATCATAATTTACATCACCTCCAGGGAGAGGGGGAGAAAATAAAGGAAGAGAAGAAGTACAGATTAATTTAATTTGAGTCTTCATTTTTAACCTGGAAGTCACTAGGCTTATGAATTGTCAATATCAGACTTTCCACAACTAGCTGGACTAGAGGCCCAAATAGAGGCCCAAATTGAGTCACTATGGAGAAACACGTAAAATAACATCTATGAAGACAAGATGTAATATTTTCCCTAAATGACTTGATGGAATACTTTTTAATTTATGTATCAATAGCTACTGATATTAAAAAAAGAAGGAAGAGAAAGAAAGAAAGAAAGAAAGAAAGAAAGAAAGAAGAAGGAAAGAAAGAAAGAAAGGGAGGGAGGGAGGGAGGGAGGGAAAGGGAAAGAAGAGAGAGAGAGAGAGAGAAAGAAAGAAAGAAAGAAAGAAAGAAAGAAAGAAAGAAAGAAAGAAAGAAAGAAAGAGAAAGAAAGAAAAGAAAAGAAAAAGAAAGAAAGAAAGAAGAAAGAAAGAAAGAAAGAAAGAGAGAGAGAGAGAAAAAGACTTCCCAAATAAAAACCTTCTTAACTTAATAAAGGAGACCTACTGAAGCATAGTGATTTTATGGCTTCCTATTCTTCTACCTAACTCTTAAATGTTCCCTTAGATTTTATCCTCTGCCACCTTTGTAGCATACTCCAAAACCCATTCTAAAGAAATCTCATCTAGTAGTGGTGTCAAGAAGATGGTGGAATAGGAGTTCTTTGGCTTCACCCTGCAACCTCAGAAATCCAACTAGCAACTATCCACAGTCAAGGCTATCATTGTAAATACCCCAGATCTTAGAAATCAGACTGATACACTCTCTTAGACTATAGAACCAAGAAAGCTGCTATTGAATGATAAAATGAATAGCTCTCTTTGACTGTGCTACCCCTCCTCCAAGCTGGCACAGCACCAGATAATTCCTCTGGACTCTCGGTTTCTACAATGGGAAAAGTGAGTTGGAGGCAGACATTCTGCTCCCCCACTGTTCTAGAACTGTTCATGTGAGGCTAACTCCTGTCTCATTCCAAAAGAAGCATTAGAAATACTAGCAGGGCTAGACTCCCTGGGGTCAGTTAGAAAAAAAAATGAAAGTGGGGCTCACAGTGACCAATGCACAGTTCTTGGTGGTTTTTCTACATTCCAGCCAACAGCAATGCCACCCCAAATAACCAGCCAATAGCATTGCGCTGAAGGAAACATGGTTCAGGGGTCTTTTAGAATTAAACGCCTAACCAATTTTCCCACAGAGCCTGGATACTCTCATTAGGTCTTCCCTAGAGCAAGAGGTAGCTATAGGTAAGCAATTACCCATAAAGGGAACATCTGAACCCACTCAACTCAAGAGGGTGCTCCAACTAAGTTCAAATGTTTCCATTAAGTATTCAAAGCATGGAGGCAATTGCAGGTCAGTAATTACCCACAGAGGGAGCATCTGGCCCCACTCAATGCCAACCACAGTGTGGTGGCTTTACCAAATCTTAGTGCTCTGCATAGGTATACCCTAGGCCAGGAGGCAAGCCCAAGTCTACACGTATCTGTGGAGCATAGCCTCTGGCCCTGCTCATGTTGTGTGGCCAAGCAGCAACCTAGAGACCTCATCCAGCCTCAGAACCCATCACATAGAAATGCCCAAGTACAGATTCTAAATAACAATACCACCCATTCAAGGAAGACAGCCTGCAACCCTGCTCAAACAGAGATGATTAGAGACCAGCCAGCATTCCCACCTGACAACAAAGTTCAGTTAGTGGTTTTAATGGACCATGGAGCACAACCAGCAATACCATTTAACCTCAGATCACAGAAATGATCCAGCCCAACTAGAAAATCTGACACCAAAGTCTGCTTTTTCATGTTGCTACTAGTCAACCCATACAAAATCCCAGGCTAAACTAAATAGTAAAGGCCTATCACCACCAAAGAACATCTGCAAAGGCCAGAGAAGACAGACATTTATCAAATGTACAGGCATAAATTCAAGGACACAAGGATTATGAAAACTCAGGGAAACATAATAATACCGAAAGGAAATAATAAATCTCCAGTAACGGACCCAGAAAAAAATGAAGATCTATAAAATGACATGTAATTTAGAATAATCCTCTTAAAGAAATTTAAGAAAGTATGAGAAAATACAAATACAAAATTCAATAAAATTTGGAAAACAACTTAGAACAAAAATGAGAAATTTGAAAAAGAAATAGAAGTAATAAAAAGCAAATACAAGTCATGGAGATTAAAATATAATAACTGAACTAAAAAAATTCACTAGAAGGCTTTAACAGCCGACTTAAGCAAAAGAATCAGTGAGGTCTAAAGCAGAATATTTCAAATTATCTAATTAGAGGAACAAAAAGAAAAAAATACATAATAAAAAAGAATGAAGAAGGCCTACAGGAATTATGGGACGCCATCAAGTGAACTAACCTTCGCATAATAAGAGGTCCTCATGGAGAAAACAGGTAAAAAGACTAGAGAGCATATTTTAAGAAAATAATGACTGAAAATTTCAAAATTCTGGGGAGATATTACTACAGGAAGCTCAGAGGTCACAATCAAACTCAACCCAAGGAGGACTTTACCAAGACATTTCATAATCAAATTACAACAAATCAAAGAAATAAAAATACTGAAAAGCAAAAGATAAGAAACACATCACATTGAAGACAGCTCTAATACAGTATTCAGCAGATTTCTTAGGAGAAACCCTACAGACCAGTAGAGAGAAGGATGGTATATTTAAGGTGCTGGTAGAAAAAAATGAAGAAACAAACAAACAAACAAAAATAAATAAAAAACCTGCCAACCAAGCACACTTTATCCACAAATATATCCTTCAAAAATGAGGGAGAAGTAAAAACTTTTTATGATAAACAAAAGCTAAGGGAGCCCATCACCACCAGACCTGTTTTATAGAAACTGTCAAAGGGAATTCTTTAAACTGAAATGAATGACTATTAATTAATAGTACAAAATAAGGAAGTAAAAAACTTGATGACATAAATCATATGTAGTCATACTAATTCTAATACTGTAAGGGTGGCATGTAAAACAATGTTATCCCTACTAGTGGGGTTAAAAGACAAATCTATTAAGAATAACTGTAGCTATAATAAATTATTAAGGGACAAAAAGTATAAAAACAAATATAAATTATAACATCAAAATCATAAAAGATGGGGAAGAGTGAAAGTATAGTTTTTGAATACTATTAAAAGCAAGTTGTTATCAATTTAAAGTAGCCTGTTATAAGGATAAGATATTTTATGTAAGCATTATGGTAACCACAAAGCAAAAATCTATTGTAGTTGCACAGAATATAAGAAGAAAGAATTCAAAGTATACAACCATAGAAAACCATTAAACCACAAAGGGCAATAGCAAGACAGAAAGAAACAAAAGACCTACAAAACAATCAGAAAGCCAATTATGAAATGGCAATAGCAGATTCTTACCTATCAGTAATTGCCTTGAGTGTAAATGGATTAAATTCTCCTATAAAAGATAGAGTGGCAGATTGGATTTCAAAAAATACCAGATCCAACCATATGCTGCTTGTAGGAGACTCATTACTAGTAAGGACACACATAGATTGAAAGGAATGGAATAAAAAGAATGGGAAAAGATATTCCATGCAAAAAGAAACCAAAGGGGAGCAGAGGTGGCTATAATTATATCACACAAAATAGACTTTAAGTCAGAAACTATAAAAAGAGACAAAGAAAGTCATTAAATAGTGCTAAAGGAGTTAATTTTCCAAGAGGACAACATAATTGTAAATACATATGCACCTAACATTGGAACATCTAAATATATAAAGCAATGATTTAATAATCTAAAAGGACAGATGGACTGCAATATTATAATAATGGGGCACCTCAGTACCCTACTTTCAATACATAGAAGGAAAATCAATAAAGAAATATTGTACTTCAATTACAGTGTAGACCAAATGGACCTAATATGCATGTACATAGCATTCTATCTGATAGCAGCAGAATATATATTCTTCTTAAGTGCACATAGAACATTCTCCAGATAGATTATATGTTAGGCCACAAAACAATTCTTAATAAATTTGAGGAGACTGAAATCCTATGAAATATTTACTTGGATAACAATAGCATGAAATGAGGAATCAATGATGAGAAATCTTGAAAAATACACAAATATGTGGAAATTAAACAACATGCGCCTAAAAACCAATAGGTCACAGAAGAAATCAAATAACAAATTAAAAAAATACCTTGAGACAAACTAAAATAGCAACATAACATGCCAAAACATAGAATGCAGCAAAAAGTAGTTCTAAGAGGGAAATCTACAGTGATCAATGAAAAAAAAATCACAAATACTCTAAAGTTATACCTCAAAAAACTAGAAAAAGAAGAACAAAGTAACCTCAAATTTAGCAGAAGGAAGGAAATAACAAAGATTATAGCAGAAATAAATGAAATGAGACTAGAGAAATAATTTAACTAAGAGTTGGGTTTTTTTGAAAAGATAAAATTGGCAAGCCCTTAGCTAGACTAGGAAAAAAGAGAGACTACTCAAATAAATGAGATGATAAATGAAAGAGGAGACATTGCAATCGATACAACCAAAATACAAATCATTATAAGAAACTATTGTAAAAAAAAGTATATGTCAACAAATCAGATAATCTAGAAGAAATGGATAAATTTCTCAACTAATAAAACCTACCAACACTGAATCACAAAGAAATTTAAAATCTTAATAGACCTACAATGAGCAAGAAGATTGAATGTGTAATAACAAGTCTCCTTTAGAGTCCAGAACTGATTAGCTTTACTATTGTATTATACCAAACATTTAAAGAAGAACTAATGTCAATTCTTCTCAAACTCTTTCAAAAAAAATCAAAGTAGAGCTAATAACTCCAAACTTATTTTATGAAGTTAGCATTACCCTGATAAGAGCCAGATAAGGACACTACAAGAAAAGAAATATATAGGCCAATATCCTTGCTAAATATAGATGCAAAAATCTGCCAACAAAATATTATATAACTGAATTCAAAAACATATTAAAAGAAAAATTCACCATGATCAAATGGGATTTACCCCTACAATGCAAGAATTGTTTAACATATGCAAATCAATAAATGTGATACACTACATTAACAAAATGAAGGATAAAAATCTCATGATCATCTTAACAGATGTAGAAAAAGCATTTGACATAATTCAATACCCTTTCTTGATGAAAACTCTGAACAGATTAGGTATAGAGGAAATGTACTTCAACCCAATAAAGGCCACATACGATAAACCCTTAGCTAATGTCATGTTCAAGGTTGTAAAGTTGAACGCTTTTACTTCAAGATTAGAAACAAGACAAGGAACTTACAGGCACTACATGCAGTTATAACTTTTCAAATATGAAAGCTCTATTTGATAGACATATTTGAAATGACTGGAAAAGAGGTAATTATGGTGAGAAAAGAACCCATGGGTGCCTGTAATCCCAGCTACTCGGGAGGCTGAGGTGGGAGAATTGCTTGAACCCAGGAGGCGGAGGTTGAAGTGAGCCGAGATCCTGCCACTGCACTCCAGCCTGGGTGACTGGGGGAGTACTCCATCTCAAACAAAACAAAACAAAAAACAAAAAAGAATGTAGGCACTCTATTGCCAGTAAAAAATACAGAGGCCTTAAAGAACAGATGTCATTCAGGGCACTCTTTTTGGGTCACTAGGTTAAGAAAAGGAGGATAGAGTTTCAAATTTTGTCAAAGGCAAACCATGAAGGGCCTTGAAGGGTGTGTCATGGGCTTTATTCTGAAAGAAAGCTTATGAGCAAGTTAAAGTAGAAAAGTGACATGGTCGGATTACATTTAGGAATATTATTCTGGAAAAAATTATGGAGAATGAACTGAGGTAGAGGTGGCCTCCCAAAGTGCTGTGATTACAGGCATGAGCCACCACGCCTGGCCACAGTGCCTACGTTCTTATACTCCCTTTCCCCAGTTAACTTTTGTCCAATGCATTAATTCTTATTTATCTTTGAAGATTCACTTCAAGCATTACATCCTCTGGATTTTTTTTCCCTGATAACTATCATCCAGAGGAAAGACTACAAAAATTATCCTCCCCCTTACTCAAGTCACCACCAAGAAGAACATCTGGTGATTATCTGTTTTCTATAGTGTTTCCTAATTCTTCTCCAGAATATCTGCTCCAATTTACATCTCCAGCAGCAGTGCATTTGTCTCTTTGTACATACAGGTTAAAATTTCTTCTGTGTTTTAGCCACTGCAAATAGTTTCTCCCACTTTTAGTTTTATCTTTAATATCTCTCCTAGAAGATAAATCTTCGATTGTGATAAAATCACACCCTTCAGCTTTTCTCCTTGTTGTTTGTACTTTTTGGAGTCTTGTTTAGGATATACTTCCTCATCCAAAAATACTCTGGTGACTTCGTCATCCAGATGCTCAAAATTCTGCCAATATACACCCTTTTTACTCATTTATTTTTCTCCTGCCTTTCTCCCCTGTCATCCTCAATTAATCCTTTCCTATTCCTTCTGGGAAAGTTCTGCTATTCAATCTCCAGCTCAGTATTTATTTATTTATTTTTTTACTGTATATATTTTGTCATTCAACCCATTCATTGTTTTTAAAAATTTATTCATTTCAGACATTTCCCAAAATGTCTGCATATTTTCTTGAAAATGTTTTACTTCATGTTTTAATCTTCTTTTATCTGTTGAATGTATTTATAATTCCAAGTTTAATTTTTTTATTATTTCTATTGCATTTGTTTTGCTTTTAAGGTAACACTTTTTTCCATAGTGATTTTTATTGCATTGTGTTTAAGCTTCTCAGTAACTAGGAACTCGAATTTTATTTGATCTATCAATTGCTTTGACTGATCTTTGTTATTCAGAAGAGTGACAAAAACCTGGGCTGCAACTTGTGCGCCTCTTGGTGAAGAGAGATAATTATCGCTTTGTATCATAGACTCATAGCCCTTCCAGCCTTGTCTCACTGCCAGGGAACTTGCAGTAACTCTCACTCTATCATTGCTTTCATCCTGGCCCCTTACTTTCTGTTCTTATTAGCTCATGCAGTGGGGAAAAAGGGTTGAGATGCAAGAATGTTGAGGAACTCCTCAGGCTGTGCCTGCTCACCGATAGAGGACCTCCGCCACAACTAGACTACAGTTCTCCCCTTTCTTACCTCAGAGTGGATGTTTTTATATTCCTGCCCATGGAATTGAGAGCTTAGGGAAAGAAAAGGGGCACGAAAAGAAAGGCCAACTCATCTTGCATTTTATTTGAGGCTCCTGGCCTTCCCTAATTTGAAAACTTCCCTACCTCCAACTACCCTGGTTCCATCAAGATACAAACACCTTTGGTCTCTCCAAGATTTTTCAGTTTTTTATTTATGGTTGAGTAGAGTTTCTCTGTTACTTTACACACTCCAGGGAGCAAAATTCACATTGCATTGTGTATTTCAGTGAGGTGTCATTTATTAAGAATAAAATGTGAATAATGCTCACCAGAATTTTGCAATGTGTGACTTGTCTCCAAATTCATCAACCTTTCTTACTGTCCAGTGACCGGTTCTACAGAGCAATGTAGGACCCTGTCATAGCTCACCATGTTGTCCAGAAGCAGAATAAACCACCAGTTTTTACATATAATGCTCCCTAACTACTGACAGTTTCTTTAGAATGGAGACTATTTCAGTCATTTCTCCATACCCAGCATATACTCAGTGTCTGGCACACACCACACATTTAAGAACTATTTGTTAAATGTATTTGTTAAATGAAATAGAAAGAAAAGGAAAAGCACTTTACTTGAGAGACATCGGAGAGAGGCAGAGATAGAGAAAAATTGACAGAAAATAAAGAAGGGAATAGAGATGGGGTAACTGAGAAATTTAGAGTGAATAATACCGCTGGTAAATTACGCTCGGTTTTACTACCATTCAACGAACCTCATAACAAGTCGTTTTTCTCAAACATATTCACAGGACATGTGTTTGTTATCAACTGTCAGCCAGAACAAGTAGCATCTCATATCAATCTCTATCTAATTGCAAAGAACCAATAAAAATCTACAACTTGTCTCATAACTGACTTTTAACAAGGTTTCAAAATAAGATTCAGATTGTCAAGAACTATTGACTTCAGTATCATTATACCACGTCTTTTTCCCTTGGAATAGAATTTAATTCAGTGATGTGCACATCAGTGAAAACGATTACTAAAAGTTAAATTTGTTGCTTGTTATTGTTTAGATCACAAAAACAGAAAGTTCATCTGTCTGGGGTAAATACTCTTCTGGCTGTAAATATGGCCTCCCTACCATCAGACCATCATCACTCATGCTCTGAATCTACAACCATACAGACACCATAATTTAGAGGACTATTGACAGAGCAGACTTCTCATGGAAAATCAATACAGTTTGTGTTTAATATGCATATCTTGATTCTTCTGGTTTATACAGTTGTTCCACTGCATTTCTTAACACTCTTGGAAATGAGAGGATGCAGAAAGATGGATTTCACACAGTGTTGGTAGAAATGTAAATTACTATAGCCATTATGGAAAATAGTATGGAGGTTCTTCAGAAAATTAAAAATAGAACTACTCATTAAGCACAAGCATATATTTTTTGGCTTTAAATCATAAAAAAAAAAACCCATAGCTTTTAAACGAAAACTTTAGAAGCACGAGGCAAAAATGCACCAGAACAAATCCAGAGGAGTTTCAGTTCCAAAATAACCTCAATACAAGGACGCTTTATCTACAACATGGGCTGCAAGAGAGTATGGCAAGTAGCAGTGTGCAAAATTCAAGCTGCCAGTTCACGACGTGGTTATAAAACGTTCCATCTGAACACAGGGAAAAGATTTGTATCATCTGTTCTACAGGGTAGTAGAGGAAGAAGAAGGTTATAGAATTGCATCTGCCCTAAGTATCCAGTAGTTTTGAATCAGGGGAAAAATTGATTAAAAGCTACCTATGGGGGAAAGAAAAAGGTTTTCTAAATTAATATTAATTGAAGTTAAGTCATAGGAGAATATTGTTTTGGGGGTTTAAAGCCTATCTAATTTCACTCTTTATTTAATAAGCTCTTGGTCATTTCTTTTTAATTCGTTTTTAGAAAATATGATATTACCTATGTACATTTTCCTGTAAGAAAGAGATGTAACCAAACTACATACATTTTATTCAGAATTTTCAGAGAGATTCAATTTTTTGCTATTATCAGACAAACCCATTTATTGAAATTGTGGTTTATATTTCAGGTAAATACAGTACAGAGTCATAGGAAAGCAGTCAGCATTAATCAATTTTCTGTTCTGCCTTAAGTTGGAATAAACATTCCTGAGTGATGTGAAGAAACCGCACTTTATAAGAGAAAGACGAGATCCAGATTTTTGTTTTGTTTTTATCTTCAAATCTTGTCAGATTTATCCAACTAAAAATTCTTTCTTTAAACCAAAACAGATATGGAATCCTAGTACATATATTTAAATTCTGATAGCTTTATCAAAACATGACTTCCTTCTTTTCTTCCTTCATTGAAATGGGGTCTCAGGCAGTTGCCTTCTTTAAGTCCATTTCTGTTGATTTAACGACAAAAGATTTCCATCATATTGTGCTCATAGCTTCTTTACAAGCAAACAACAATTAACTACATGATATAAGTAATAGTCTCACAGTATAAAATCCAGTCTACTTCACAAAATATTAGCCACACGCAGCCTTCAGAATAAAAATCTTTTCCTTCCAAGCTCTTCCAATTATGTGATACAAATATGTATATTTGTATGCATGTAGACAGGTAGATAGATATCATTTTATTTAAGTCTACTAAACTGTGATAGAAAGCAAAAAGCACAATATAACCTAAGTACAATATTGGCGTAAAATGAAAGAGTGTGAAGAAAATTTATCATAACTTAATTCTTACAAATAACTTTACATGAGTTTTTAAGCACTGGCAGAAAAATACTTTAAGTAGAAAAGTTAGGGAGCTCAGGCCAGGTGCGGTGGCTCACGCCTGTAATCCCAGCCCTTTGGGAGGCCAAGGCAGGCGGATCACGAGGCCAGGAGATCGAGACCATCCTGGCTAACACGGTGAAACTCCGTCTCTACTAAAAAATACAAAAAAATTAGCCAGGCATGGTGGCGGGTACCTGTAGTGCCAGCTACTCGGGAGGCTGAGGCAGGAGAATGGCATGAACCCGGGAGGCGGAGCTTGCAATGAGCTGATATGGCCACACTGCACTCCGGCCTGGGCGACAGGGCAAGACTCCATCATCTCAAAAAAAAAAAAGAAAAGTTGGGGAGCTTAGAAACCTATATTCTTTGTGTGTGTGTGTGTGTGTGTCTCTGTTATGTCTATATGTATGAATTGATTTACCCAAAGACATCATGTTTTAAATATAAATTATGAATATGTTATTATTTGAGATTACTAAGTATGTAGTCTAAAGAATGTGAAACAGGAAGGATTGTGAAGATTAAAACCCTGTTTGTACGAAGTATACAACTTCATGTGATTATTTGGTACATTTTAATTTGAAAAAAAATTAAATTATGAGTATAAATTTTTGAAAAAGTTAAAAAGCAAATAAAATTTTAAAATGTTTGCCTAAAATCTAACAGAAAAAGTTACTGTTACATAATGTCATATAGAATTCATTTTTAAAATACTACAAAATTAAAAGCTATATACATGTTTAAAGAAGAAAGAGCCAAACATTTAAATCATGTGATTGTAATAATTGCTATACTTACTTTTATTTCTCTTACTCTTTTTCTTTCTTAATGATTGAATATTCATATTCACTATAGTGTGATGAGATCATCTCTAACACTGTTGGAGGGACTGTGACTGGGGATACGCGGTCTGGAAATCAGTCAAGGGTCTCAAAAATGATCATAAATTTTGATTTATAATTTTGCTTTAAGAAATGTTTTTATAAATATGAAAAATACAGACAAAAATATTTTATAAAACATTCATGCCAGCCTTACTTGTATTAGCAAAACTTTCAACAGATAAAACATTAAATCATAGAGGAATTGTTGATTGAATTTTGAGACATCTAACTGATGGAATATCATGGGATATTCAATCGATCCAATATATGTTTTTGAAAAAATTGTGAAGACACAGGTAATTGTTTGCAATATATCATCAAGTAAAAAAAAGCAAATGTGTAAAAAATTATTGAAAACATACGGGCTAACTCTGACCCTGTAGAATATATTTTTTCATCTCTAAAAATGCAGAAAAATATTATTTTATCTAGTTCATAATCTTAACAGTGTGTATTAACTAAGATAGTACATGTGAACTAACTGGTTCTAGAACTTACACATGGTGAATCTTATGTAAATATCAGCTGCTGTTGTTAAAAGGTTAGCTTTTATTGGAGTATTAAGTCAGAAACAGGGTAGAAGGGAATTCTGTTCTTATTCAAAGAGTTCAAAGAAGTCTTTTCTTTCTCTGTATCTGCAGAAATCAATGATAACAAAAAATTTCAAATTTATGAAAGGGAAAGTAAAAAGTTTATCTTCCTGTTTCCCAGTAATGAATGAATTGACATTATCAACGTGGCCAAGACAATCAAACATCAGGTCTATCAGGTCTCGAATGAAGTATCAGTTGACAGCTGTGTTCACTAGCCAAAAGTAGAGTGAAAAGAGCCAGTTATCCATACATTGGGTCTAGCACCAGCCTCTGTGTATTTAGTTCCTTGTGATAGCCACCTGAATGCTCTCTACTGTGTAGGCACTTTGGTGTCTGTCACAAGAGTAGGTTACACTATTTCCAAGCCAATAGGGAAGTAAAATTGTGCCAAGGGGCCTGTCAGAGGCTCAGAAGTCACCTGAGAGGAGGCAAAGCTAAAAAATAGAATCCAAGGTTCTATTGGAGAGAGATGGATGCTCACATCAATGAACTGATGAAGGAGAGAGAGACACACAGAGAGAGAGAACAAATGAATTTCCTCATACAGATGTACTAGACATGATGAGGTGGGTTTGGTTTGATATTTAGCATGCACATAAGTTTTCTAATACTTCCCATCTTTTGAGCCCTTTTGCTTGTTTGTTTACCAAGAAATCTCTTAGTCAAGTATTGTATTCCTTATTTTACATACGTGGAACTTGATGTTCAGTAAATTTAAATGACTTAATGCCTCAGCTAGTAAATGCAGTAGCAAGGATTCAAAGAGATGCCTTGATTCTTCCAGTTTTCTCTTGACCCCCAGGATACTATAAATGTAGCTTACCTTCACTGGGCTCACAGATTGCAGTTCAGCAGTTCAGTTCACAATTTAGTTCACAATTTCCACATCCCTATAACATCTAAAAAGCTAATGCCCAGCCTCATAGTATTACAGTGCAATAGAGAGAGACATAGATGTTCATTCTCTGTTGTGATAGTTCTACAATGATGCATTTTACATGAAGCTTTCTCATTCACATCCACTTGAAGGAACTATTTCTGAAACTGCTTTCTTCTTGGAATGGGGTTAACAGATTGGGGTCCCTCCCAATCTGGAAGAATATAATGAGATCACAAGGTCAAATTCCAATGTCCCATTGAAAACAAATAAATGAAAAAAAATCTACAGAGTTACAGTTCTGATTCCACCTATATACATTAATTTTTAAGCATCTCATTTTCTTCTAAGATCACTTAACAGTTTTCTTCATGAATAATATTGGTGGATAATTACTTTTCATTTGTTTAACTTAAAAAAATTAAGATTTTTTTTTCCCAAATTAACAGAAGCAAACTTCAAGCTTCCACTTGTAGAAAGACCAGCATTAAGTAGCAGCTTTTTCAGCTCACACTCATTAAAGTTGTGATCATGTTAGGGTTCATTTTCTAGCCTCAACACCATTACATCAAGTACCGTAACACATATAGGACATAGGTATTTAGCTCTGACTTGAAATAAATATATTGTGATTGATCCAAGAATAGTCTAATTAAAAGCAGAATTATGGTATTAGATTTGGAAACGGTATGTTGGAGTTGTCTACACAGTCATTGCATCTTTTAAAAATCTTTTTTCAATTTCTCCCTGCCCGTTTCAAACTAATATTTATTATGTTTTTAGTGTCCCCTTTTTCTATAATATAATAAAGACCACTAGATGATAAACACATAACATTTGAAGTTGAGGTTATATGAACTCTATATAGGGATAGTCAAAACACTTTTCAGTTAGAGTATCTTGAATAGAATGAAAAAGGGATTGTTTTAGTGGGTTAGAAGGTTTCAAAGGGTGATTTCAATGGTCAGAGCCAGTTTTATCATTCTTTATAAATGGCAAGGAATTGTTATTAGAATAGCTCATCTCAAACTGAGACCACCTTCCTAGGTCTGCAGCATCCCGACAAGAGTACTTTTTATCAATTTTTATTTTGATGAACATCAAAAAATACTTTATTTATGTTGTGGATTATCTGATGGTCCTATTTTAATCAAATATCTCAAAAGAATTTCAGCTTTCGCATTTCTTATAATTGAGCCCAAAGCTGAAGGAACAAACATTTTGCAATATTTTGATTTTATAAATAGGTATTGGGTAATTGAACTATCACACAGCACCTGGTAAACTTGAACAGCAATGACAAAACACATGCTATGGCAGGCCTTGTAGTCATGTTTGAGAGAATTTATCACACTTTATTACAAATAAGTGTAGCAATAAATATGCAACAGAATTTTTCTTTTTTTAAGAAAATCAACATCAGGCATTCATTTAATTCCAATTTCAGCAATGCTATAATATTCAAATAAACAGGAAAGCTTTCCAGAATTATCAAGTGATATTTCATCAAACAGGTACTTAAGAATTTCTCACCATCATTTTTACTTGTTTTATTTAAGTAGGCAGTCTGGTGGACCTGAACTAACAAACAGGGTCTTAAGGTTTTAAACGATATTTTGATAATATAACTAGGCAAGCCAGTATTTTATGCATTGATATTATTAAATTCAAAATACAGAAATAGATTAAATGTAGACCCAGAGCTGAGATGCCATCTTCCACCATAAGCATGACATGGCGAAGAAGCCACTGGAAAGCATTCCAGACACCTGGGATCTAGTCACAGAACTTTCTCTCGCTGTGCTATTTTGAGGACACTATTTAACCTCCGTAAGCCTCAGTTTCAAAACCACTAAAGTGGCCGGACGTAAGATTATTTCGCATGTCTCTTCAAATTCTAACATGCTATGCAAAGAGATGCCCTAGGCATCTGATGTAAATTGATGCATAACATTTTTAGTTCTCCAAAATATGTAAACCCCATGAATAGTGTATTTTTTGTCATATTCCAAGAGTATTATTAATCTTCAAATTGAAGAATATGGTGAGTGATTCCAATGTTATTCTAAGTAAATACCTAAAAAAGCACCAGAAAATTCATTAACCACTATTATTTGAAGATTATGTTCCAGTAATCTTCTGAAAGCATACATAATAGGTATAATCCCAAATATTTTAATATGGTAGGTACTCCATTAACCATTACATTGTTTGATAAAGCTTTAAACAGTAGTCAGTTATTTCAAACAAGAAACATGCATGTAAACTTGATGAAGACAATATATGCATGCCTTGGTGTATTGAAGTGATAGAGATGAGTTACTGTGTCTATGTTGATGAATACTCAAAGTTTCTAGGTCCTCTGGGACATTAATTAATTAGAAAACAAACTCTTACTATTTTTATGAATAGCTTATCACAGGACACGCTTCCAACATACTTCTTCCTTTGTGTATAAAAAAATACATAACTATAGACCAATGGTTCTCACTCAGGAGCAATTTTGTCCTCCAAGGGATATTTGGCAGTGTCTGGAGACATTTCTGGTTGTTACAAACTGGGAGTGGGGTGGGGGAGTGCTACTGGCATCTAGTGGGTAGAGACTAAGGATACTGCTACACATCCTACAATGCACAGCCCCCCATGACAAAGAATTGTCTGTCTCCAAATGTAAACAATGCCAAGATTGAGAAACCCTGACGTAAACTGCAAGTCTCCATTGACTTCTGTGTCAAGTCTATCAAAAAGTCAGATACTTTTTTGTGCTTCCTCCCCTTACAAATCATGAACTTAAGGCTTTGATTCAACTAATAAAATTTTTCTTTGTATTTTTGTTTCACTCTATAAGTCTCAAATATATAAAGAATTAAAAATATTTAAAGTGCTAACATGGGAAAGTATTTCTGTTATTTGGCAGATTTAATAATTTTATTATATTATAAAAATTATAAAAATTAAGCCTAGAAAAGGCTTATTTTTTTTTTAGATTACTCTCAATATCATTCTATGCTTTTGACTACTCAGTTGAAGAAGCCAATGCAATCTTTCTTATTGCACTGTCGTTTTTCAGTGTGTGTAAACTGGGGTTGCCAAGGGTTCTAAAAAAGATTATTTGGAAGTATTAGGGTTAAGGAAGACTTAGTGTTGATGTTTAAAATGTGTTGTACGTGCTTATATTTATGCCTAGGTTTGTTCTACATGATTTCCCTTTTTAATTTTAAATTGGACAAATCACTGTTGGTTAAATTTAACTAATTTTTCATTAGCGTTTCCATTTTCTGAAGGCGTCCCAAATCAGTATCTGGGTAGACCATAATGGAGACCTGTTGGTGGCTCTAGAATTATTCTTGCAGGATTGCAGCGCCACCTACAGGGATCCATATGCATATCATTATTTGACCAACCGCGCTCCTAGCATTCACTGATGTACATACAGCCCAAAAGACAAATGGAAAAGTCTAGAAAATGAAATAAAACAAAATTAATAAAAACCCAAGGGAAGTGTTTACATTGTATCATGTGTCTTTTCAGTACGTACTTAACGGAGGCCTTTTGAAATCAACTAATTTCTTGATTTCCGACTCTGTAGGTAAATATTACTTTTCTGGATTCTTTTAACAAATTACTACATCTTTAAAATGAGAAAACTATACCTTTATTTAAGAGAAACGTTCTGAAAAGAAATGAATAAGTGTTGAATGATACTGAATTTTGAAAAATCAATATGAAATTGTATAGATTTGACTGGTCTGGAATTTTTTAAAAAATAAAACAAATCATTAAACAAATATCAAAACAAAAAGTTAATTGTAAGATGCCTTTGTTTTCCTTTTGCTATTCTCTTTAAAAAAATAGGTTTATTCAACTGCGGACTTTCTTTCTGTTGTTGGCAAAAGTCAGAATTTTCTAGATTTAAAACTCAAACTACCTATTTTGAATAATGATAACAAGTATCAAGTTCATGGTTTTGTCTCCTAAGTTCCTTTTAATTATGCATGCGGACTTTACTAATGGAAAACTGTTACACTGACCTGTCAGCACTGTGAGAACTTTTAGGAGAGTCCAAGGCAGATTTGAACCAATACAGCAGTGAGAATGTGGAAGATAAGTCTCTTGATGGGAGGTGGGGTAGGGAGGAGGGAAGTAGAAGAAGTATAAAAGAAAACATGTAGTAGCTCAGTAAGGAAGAAGTTGACATTCAAAATTCTGTCCCTGATCTCCTGTGGAGGGAACATTTAACTCCTGTTGGCCCAGTTTTTACACCAGCCAGAGAGGTAAACTTTGGTAATTGCATCATTAAAATCTGTCTGCCCACTCTGTATGTGCCATGCAATCGCACTCTTTGATGAAGTGGAAGAGGCATTGCTATAAATCTTTGTCATGAATAGAATGTTCATTGGTTCCTCTGGAAATTTTATGTAACATGGATTAAAACCAGGCTTTGTCTGTTCATATCAGGGAAGGAAAAGCAGGAGGAGTAGAAGGTATTTTTAGAGTAAAGACCAGCCAAGCAAATTAAATCAGACCATTAAGCTTAATGGGGTTTGAGAGACCAAGGGGCAATTATGAGTTCAAAATAATGACCTTCAATCCAACATGAAGAAAATATGTAATAGCAGAACTAACTCCCTCTCCTCTCTCTCTCGAGCTTTTAACCAGAAGGGCAGAAGGAATGGAGGTGGTAGAGGTCAATAATCAACTAAAATGACCATGCTGTTTAGTTATACAGCTTATATATGTATTATTCCAATAATATTAATTTCCTCCATTAGGATTAAAATAGCACATCAAAAGATAGTCATATGAAGCTTTCTAAGAACCCAGATAAAATAATTCTCAAAAAGTTCGCCCTGTAGGGATTTACAACTATTTATAGTCTGAAAGATGCCCACTAGCTGTGAATAAATTGAAAGCTGTTGGGGGTAGTGTCATGAAAATAATTAAAATAACTAAATGACTTTCATAGGATAATATCAGTTTTAAGAGTTGTAAGGGAAACCTTATTCTTTCTCTGTTCTGTTGTGCTGAAATAGGGTATATAAGACAGAGTAGGATGTACAATTAAGGGAATTTTTAAAATGCCCCAACATAGGCAGGTTGGAAGCAGAATTATGACTTCATGTCTATTTTCAAGATGGAGATCTATCTATATGTTCATGTTTTAATTTATTTTTATGTAGTTAATTGTTACTTAAATGTAGTGAATATAAAACCAAATCACTGAATGAAACCACCTTCATAAACCTTAATATCTAGTTTAGGTCCTGGTGACTTATGACTTGCAATATAGATTTCATGTAGAAATATTTACATAATGTTACTGCTATGCAGTTTTGTAATATATAAGCAGAAATGTTTTTCTCACTTCACTTTTGTCAACTTCAGCATTAAAAATAATCTACTTGATACCCGTTAAGTGAGAAAATACAATATTCATTTCATACATTTTAAGTTGCATAAGTCTATATTTTTGCATAACCATGGGAGCTGCTTATAAATAAACAGATTGAAAGATTTTATGATTCAAAAAAGCAAAATCGCTTTTTAAAAAGAAATATATCAGAAGGAAAATCAACATAAAATAATTATATAGTCTCTGCTTGGGATCAAATTTTATGTTTCAAATAATGTAAGCAAAATTTACAGAGACTAACATGCTAACTTGACACATGACTTGGAATACATTGGAAGTTATATCAAATTCTGGAACACCATTGATAAGAAAAATAAAATGCTGTTAAATATTCGATGCTACACATGAAAATGCTTTACTATCATTTAAAGCACTTTTTACTATCATGCCTAAAAAGTGCATCTTAAGAAAAATAAGTATGTTTCAACCATTTTTCTGGACCTCTTCTTTAAGATAGATTTTTAGAAGCCAGTCATATGTTATTTTACTAAAATATATTATCTTTGATTCAATCCTCTAAAAATGGATTTTCAAATATCTCTTCTATAAATATTCTGAGCTATAAAATGCTTTAAATGAAAAGAACAAGAAGAGTTATTGTTTACTGAGTAACAAAATCACTTTCTATTAGAAATAAGATTTTACTTCATTTATCTCAGTCTAAATAAAAAATAGTACAGAGACTAAAGGCAGCATGGTCTAGTGACTGAGCTTCAGTCTTGGCTATGCTATCTTTTATCTGATGACTATCTTTTATCTATGCTATCTTTTATCTAATAATTCTCACTGAGAATTATTTACCCTCACTGAGTCCCAGTTTCCCTATCTTAAAAATGATAATAATAGTAACAACAATACCTATATCATGGGGTAGTTTTGTGTGTGAGCTGACAAACATGTATAAAGGCCTAGTGTACTGTCTGACATGATAGATAATTAGTAGAAGAGGTCCCTCAACATGGGGAAATACACATAAATCCCAATTTTTATCTACAAATTGTGTATTCTTAGATATCTCTTCATAACTATTTATTCTGTATAATATAGATAACAACATGCAAATGCTTATTAAAAGTCCTAATGCATGCCAGTGCTGCTTTGGTTAGGCCAATATCTTGGTTGGAACAAGCTACACAATGTGTGGTAGCAACTCCAAAACCATTAAGACTGAGTATGTTAAAATGTATTTCACTGTCATTTGGAGTAACCATGAGCCCTCCGGCTCTCCAGGATAGCTCGCTTCCAAGGGCTGATACAAGCATTTACACAGCTTCCATATTTTAGCATACAATCTGGAACACTTGGCCTTCAGAATCAAGGTAGAAGAGAAAGTGGAAATAAGTCACACATGCCTTGAGGTACTTTTGATTGAAAGTGATGCATGTTTCTGTATACTCAGAACTGGTGGCATGGTCACCACCAAACTACAAGGGAGTTTGGGAAAAGAGTACTGTATCAGGAATATTCAGTGAACTGTATTGTCTCTGGGATGTTGAAAAAACAATAAAATCATCAACAAAGATATTTAATGTATTGTACATATTTTAACAGTTATGATCTTTTTTATTTTATGTTATTTTATTCTAGTTTACTTTAACTTCTGGGATACATGTGCTGAACGTGCAGGTTTGTTACATGGGTATACATGTACCATGGTGGTTTGCTGCACCTATCAACCCATCATCTAGCTTTTAAGCCCCACATGCATTAGGTATTTGTCTAATACTCTCCCTCCCCTTTCTTTCCACCTCCCAACAGGCCCCGGTGTGTAATGTTCCCCTCCCTGTGTCCATGTGTTCTCATCTCCTCACCAGCATCTATTGTTTCCAGACGTTTTAATGATCACCATTCTAACCGGCATGAGATGGTATCTCATTGTAGTTTTGATTTGCATTTCTCTAATGACCAGTGATGATGAGCTTTTTTTCATAGGTTTTTTGGCCGCATAATGTCTTCTTTTGAGAGATGTCTGTTCATATCCTTCGTCCACTTTTTGATGGGGTTGTTTGTTTTTTTCTTGTAAATTTGTTTAAGTTTCTTGTAAATTCTGGATATTACACCTTTGTCAGAGGGGTAGATTGAAAAATTTTTCTCTCATTCTGTAGGTTGCCTGTTCACTCTGATGATAGTTTCTTTTGCTGAGCAGAAGCTCTTTACTTTAATTAGATCCCATTTGTCAATTTCGGCTTTGTTGCAATTGCTTTTGATGTTTTAGTCATTAAGTCTTTGCCCATGCCTGTGTCCTGAATGGTATTGCCTAGGTGTTCTTCTAGGGTTTTTATGGTTTTAGGTTTTACGTTTAAGTCTTTAATCCATCTAGAATTAATTTTTGGATAAGGTGTAAGGAAGGGGTTCAGTTTCTGTTTTCTGCATATGGCTAGCCAGTTTTCCCAACACCATTTATTAACTAGGGACTCCTTTCCCCATTGCTTTTTTTTTTTTTTTTTTTTTTGGTCAGGTTTGTCGAAGACCAGATGGTTGTAGATGTGTGGTGTTACTTCTGAGGCTGCTGTTCTGTTCCATTGGTCTATATATCTGTTTTGGTACCAGTACCACGCTCTTTTGGTTACTGAAGCCTTGTAGTGTAGTTTGAAGTCAGGTAGCATGATGCCTCCAGCTTTTTTCTTTTTGCTTAGGCTTGTCTTCGCTATATGGGCTCTTTTATGGTTCCATATAAAATTCAAAGTAGTTTTGCCTGATTCTGTGTAGAAAGTAAATGGTATCTTGATGAGAATAGCACTGAATCTATAAATTACTTTGGGTAATATGGCCATTTTTATGATATTGATTATTCCTATGATCTATTTTTAAAAGTGGTTTTGATGCTGATTTAAAGCCTGTATTTAGATAAGGAGTGAACATGTTCTTCATGTGTTCTACTTGTTTAGAATTTTAACCTTTCATAGCATTTTTATACATATCCAGTTTTAAAATATGGGTGTAAATTAAAATATGTTCTGTAACAGTAACAAATTTTGTTTTACAGTTCTGATTTGAAACTAGCTTTTATCTTTCATAGTAGATAGACACAGCAAGATTAATGGTAATATTTGTACTAAAACCTTATATAAGCTTATTAAAAGTGTCTAATAATAAAAGTGTTTAAATACTAAAGGAACAAAAAGAGTTCCTTTTGTTGATGGATGATGAAACCAAAGCTTATCAGAGAAGAGTCATTATGCATCATTATATAAATCTAAAAATAATATTTTTCATGGGTTAGTGAGGTTATTTTGAAAATTACAAGTGTAGCCTTTTGTTAAAAAAAATTGTCAAGATAAGTGTCTCTGAGGCTTACATTGTCTATGATGATTCTTTGTTGACAGAAAAAAAGTCTGCATCATTCTTCTCAAAAATGAAATAAAATTTCAAGAAAGCATATCCTAATAACAGGGATAGAGGTGTGATGGTATCATAATTTCATGGAGCACTAATACAAATTCAGGCAAAATTGATCTCCCGTGTTTTATCTATTAAGCAACATTTGGGAATGTGGTTTCTTTCAGTTGAAATTCTGAGTAAAAAGTTCATCAGAGTTGGTTTGACCAGATCTATATAGTGTGCGTGCTTTGAACTGTCTGCTATCATGCCAGTGCTCCATCTTTAATTGAGAAGACACTTCAATGGCAAAAGCTTGCAGCTACTTCTTCACGTGTGTAATTTTCTCTGGCACTGGAGACTGTCTATGACTCTAGTTTGTCAGAGGAGCTCTTAAAAATGGGAAAGTTTTAACAAATTAACATTATTTATACTCACTGACAAGTATCCAATGTACCTTAGCTGGTTCACTAAAGGTGTTACCAAAAAGGGGTCCCTATCCAGACCCCAAGAGAAGGTTTTCATTCAAAAAGAATTCGAGGCAGTGACCATAAAGTGAAAGCAAGTTTATTAGAGAAATAAAGGAATAAAGAATGACTACTCCATAGGCAGAGCAGCAGCTTGGGCTGCTCGACTGATAATACTTAATAGTTATTTATTGATTATATGCTAAACAATGGGTGGATTATTCAGGAGTTTTCCAAGAAAGAGGTGGACAATTCCCAAAACTGAGGGTTCCTCCCCTTTGTAGACTATGCAGCGTAACTTTCTGACATTTCCGTGGCATTTGCAAACTATCATGGCACTCGTGGGAGTGTCTTTTAGGCATGCTAATGCATTACAGTTAGTGTATAATGAGCAGTGAGGAAAACCAGAAGTCACTTTCATGACCATCTTGTTTTTGGTGGGATTTGGGGCTGGCTTCTTCACTGAAACCTGTTTTATCAGCAAGGTCTTTGTGACCTGGATCTTGTGCTGACCTCCTCTCTCTTCCTGTGACTTAGAATGCCTAACCTCCTGGGAATGCAGCCCAATAGGTCTCAACCTCAGTTTACCTAGCCCCTGTTCAAGACAGAGTCACCCTGGTTTAAATGCCTCTGACATAGTGACAGGGGTTTTAAAGTCAGATGTTTTAAACTCAATTTGTCGGCTACTATTACCAGCTGTTGTATAAAGCTTCTCAAATCAAACCTATTGATGCCTCCAGATGTATGTCCAGGTTTAGCTCCTGAGAAAGTAGGATATGCACCAAATGTAATTTTGACTTTAGTGTCTATAGGCACAAGTAAATTACACAGGCTTCATCCTTACCAGAAAAGACTCCATCTTATTCAAGAGATTCTTAGGTACACTGTTGAAACCTAGAGGGTGGTACAAACATTTCTTATTCTTCCCATGTGGCTGCCCTTTGGTTATGCCAAAGTCCCTTTTGATTAAGCATTCAAAGTGCCCTTTATATTCCTATCTCCCCCCCCCCATTTTTTTTACATCTTCCCTTTCCCTCATACTTCTCCATCTCTACCCACACACAAGCACACACCTGCATGGGTTCCTGGCTTCCACTGGGCATCACTGTCACTGAGATACTAGTAACTATATCAGCAAGGTCAAGTCTTGTTTCACTCTGGTGCACCTTTTGCTTTAGAGTGAAATGAATGTAAGGTAAACTTTTGGCTTCACTAATATGAATTACTTCTCTCAGCATTATTCTGATGCATTATTACCTTAAAATCTATTCTTACCTTGCAGAAGACCTAAAGAGACCATGTGAACACTTTCAAGTCCTTTAAATGAAATGGAGAGAAACAGGATGAAGGAAAAAGGAAACTGGCTCACAACTATCCTCCTCCCACTAATTACCAATGACTTAAGCCCTTCGAATCAAGTCATTTTTCAGGACCCAAGAGCTATTGGCCCAAATATCTGGCAGTTAATCCTAACACATTTTATTTTATCATCAGATTCAATGTTTAATCTTCCTAAGATGCCAAAGTGATTAGTGATTATGACTCAGTACAAATGTGCTTAAATTACCAAAAATTTGAATTTTACACATTTTTTATTAACAGAGAAGCTGAGACTAAGCTGATATTTCCTGTACCAACACTAAAAGCCAACTATCTGGAAGTATTCATTAAAACGAAGAGATGATCATTTTTCTTAAACAATTGCATACCAAATCCAAATTAAACAATTTGCTCATTTATTTTTCCTGTTTCCTGATCTACATTTCAATTCCTCTTATTTAGGAATCTGTATTTACTCATAACTCTTAGCAATCATTAAATAAAACATAACATAAATAGAAAAGTAGTCTGACATATTATACTTCAAAGTCAGAAATAATATGCTAAATTTACTTTCCCAGTTCTCCTTGAAAGGATTCAATAAATTATTCTGAGAGTTATTTCAGGAGTATTGACTGAAGAGCATGGCTTTAATTTTCAGCTTTTAACCATAGCATAGAGGATCCTACAGAGATGTTGCTAACTCCTCAAGTGCCTTACCTGGACTGGAGAGTGGGGAGGAGAATATAAACCAAATAAAAACTACCTTTGTGCGCATTCATATACTGGTTTATCATTCAAAGTTTCACAGATAATAATCAACAATGTACAGGATAAATTTCTCTGTTGGGAGTTTTAATCGGTTGAAGAAAAACAGTCTCTAAGGATCTTATCAGTATTTGGAAAATACAATTACATCAAGTTTATACATTGACTCTACCAGTTCCACTTCTTCACATTACTTTGATTAATTTCTTCACACACACACACACACACACACACACTTAATTTTTAACTTTCCTATAGTCCTAAAAGTCAACGGCAAAAAATTTTCAAATATGAGAAGTCCATAAAAATGTTTAAATGCTGGTAATGGTTAAAATTAACAGACAAATCAATGGAAAAGAATAAATAGTCTAGAAATGGCTTCACTTACTGGAAAGTCATATATTATTAAGGACTTGACAAGTTTGGAAGGACAGGATTATTAATTATTGAATAAATGATGTTTGAAAAACTGGTTATCTTTTTTTTAAAAAAAGTAAAGGTAAATTTAGACCATTATCACAGTGTTACCAAATAAAATATAAGCTGATTGAGGTAAACATAAAAGTTACAGAAAAATTGGAAGAAAACAGAAATCAAAAAGTATCAAATGTCAGGAATGGCATGGTATCTAGAAGCAATGAGAAACAAACTAAATAAAAGATAAACAGCTTTGCATACACACACACAAACTAAAGTTTTTGAAGGTCAAAAAATATAAGGTAACAGATGAGATATTGGGAATGAATTTTAGGAAGTTTTACGAAGAAAATATATGCATTTCAGGCAAATACACAAGAGGAACATCAGACTAACATGAGCAACCGCATAAATAGATCATACGTGATTAAAAATAAAATACAGGTTAGGCATGCCTAATGCAGAAATCCAAAATCTCAAATGCCCCAAAATTCAAAACTTTTTGAGCACCAAAATTATAGGTGGAAAATTCCACACATAAGTACAATCAATAAGTGTGGATACTTCCACACCTAAGTACCATCTTTGCTTCATGCACAAAATTATTAAAAATATTGTACACAATTACCTTCCGGCTATGTGTGTAAGATGTATATGAAACATAAATGAATTCTGTGTTTAGACTTGGGTCCTATCCCCAAGAGTTCTGATTATACAAATATTCCAAAATCCAAAAAAAATCTGAAATTGGAAATGCTTCTGGTCCCAACCATTTTGAATAAGTAATACTCAACCTGTAATATAAAGTACCTAGTGATAAAAGAAAATAAAAATAGTCTAAGTTCATCCATATGTACTTTTAGATTATATGTAAAAATATTAACACTGTATATACATCAGACAAAAAGATCCTTTAATCTAATATACCTGTAATATAAAGTACCTAGTGATAAAAGAAAAGAAAAATAGTCTAAGTTCATCCACCTGTACTTTTAGATTATATGTAAAAATATTAACACTGTATATACATTAGGCAAAAAGATCCCTTAATCTAATATACATGCAAATTAAAAAGTGTGACATGATGATTCATTTTTTTAGCTATTAATGAAGCAAAGATTTTACAAATAAAAACATCCAATGCTGGTGAGTATGGACATTTCCAAAGACTGTTGCTAATAGTTTAAATATCTACTTTGGAAAGAACGTGACAACACTTATATAGCAATGTGTGAAAATTGAGCCCTTTGTAAATCAGTTTTGGTTGGGGCCCCAACATGATAGGTGATAAATAATCCCCTGTTTTATGATGAAGTGCTAGACCATCTGCAGGAGCTGCAGAGGAAGAGTCCAAAGTCAACAGAAACTCAATACATCATTTACCTCCTTGCTATATAAACAAAGGCCAAGAATTTAATTAAATAAGTGGAAGGCTTAAGAGAGGTGGTGTTTAGAGAAATATAGGGGTGCTTTTTTTCTTACTTCCAGAGTAGTCAGAAGTAATTTAAAGAAACAATTTAGAATCTTTAATGTGTTCCCTAAGTTGAGGGACAATGGAGGGTGAAGGGGTGGTCTCCTGAAGGAGCTTCTGATAAACCCGAGATACCTAAATGGAAAGAATGCTGAAGGGACCCGAAATAGCACTGTAGAACAACTCTCTCACTGACAGAGTGAGAGGTGTTTGTAAGGCATGTGATGGGAAATTGCTGGAGGGCTTGGTGCAGGGAGGTGAAGTGATCTGATTTATGTTTTTAAAAGCTTACTCAGGCTGAGGAGTGGACTAATGATAATAGTAATTGTAATGGTTAACTTTTTGTGTTCACTGGACTTGGCCATTGAATGCCCAGACATTTGTCAGACTATTCTGAGTGTGTCTCTGAGGGTGTTTCTGGATGAGATCAACATTTGAATCAACAGACTGAGTAAAGAAGACTGCCCTCCCAAGTGTGGGTGGATACCACTTAATCAATTGAAGATCTGAACAGAACGAAAGGGCTAAGAGGGAACGCCTGATTTCTCACTGCTTGAGTTGGACCATTAGTCTTTTCCTCTCTTCAGACTTTGTATTATTCTATTTTCATATGGCTATAGATAACTGCCTGAGACTGGGTAATTTATAACGGAAAGAGGTTTAATTGACTCATAGTTCTGTATGGCTGGGGAGGCCTCAGAAAACTTACAATCATGGCAGAAGGTAAAGGGGAAGTAAGGCACCTTCTTCACAAGGAGGGAGAAGTGCTGAGCAAAAGGGGAAAGAGTCCCTTATAAAACCATCAGATCTCATGAGAACTCACTATCAGGAGAACAGCATGGGAGAAACTGCCCCCATGATTCAACTGCCTCCACCTGGTCTCTTCCTTGACAAGTGGGGATTACAGGGATCACAGTTCAAGATGAGACTTGGGTCGGGACACAAAGGCTAGCCGTGTCAGACTTCAACTGAAAAATTACCTCTTTTTGAGTCTTGAGCCTGCTATCTTTTAGACTGGAACTACACCATCACCTCTCCTGGGTCTCTAGCTTGCAGACTACAGATTTGGGGACTTTTTAATCCATCATAATCGTGTGAACCATTCCTTTTATTAACTCTCTTCTTGGTTCTGCTTTTCTTGTGAACCTAATATGGTAAAAATAACAATATTATTAATATTAACATGGAGTGTTTTTTGTACTAGATGCTATCCAAATGCTTTATATTTAGATATGTCAATCTATGTAATCCCCACAACTCTAATAAAAGTTATTATTATGGTCACTATTTTAGATATAAAGAAATTGACACAACTAATTAGAAGCCGGGTCCAAGATTTTCATTTATAAAGTCTACTTCCAGCACTCACTCTTTGACCCCCTATACTTCATACTCCAGAGTGACTCCAAACAAAGACTATGGGTGAGTACAATAGTGGAATCAGAGAGACCATTACAAGGATCTTGACAGTTAGACAAGAAATAACAGTGACTGGGACTAGGTTTGGAGCAGATTCGAAGCATATTTTAGAGGTGCAGTATGAGAGACAAATGTCAAAAACACCAATGGATGATGTAGGGGAAAAAACCCTGAGATTTTTGGAGTTAATTTAATACTCCAACATACTTAAATTCTCCTGTCTTGTATATTAACTTGGTTTACAGTCTATTATAACTGTAACCGTTTTCACGTTTCATTTTAATACATTTAAAATTTTATGTATTCATTTAAAATTATATCTATGTATAGGTATATACATACACACATACATATTTCATTTGAAATTACATGCACACTTTTTGTTTAGGTGGTTTATGTGTATTTTTACTGAGTCTATAGTTATCAAATTCTCAAAAAAGCTGTGCCCTCATGAAAGTTTAAAAGCGTGAATTTTTAAAAAGTTTCTATCAGGAGTCACTAGCATACAATATAAATGCATAAACCCCATCAGAGCCAAAAAAAACTATCTGGTAATGTTCTTGAGTGGAAGCTTGATTACTAGAAATAAAAGTTGCTTCCAGCTTCTGGGATAGAGAAGATATTAAATGTAGTGGCCTTTATCAAGACAGAAAGGGGTGGGGAGGAGAAGGTTCGGACAGGGACAGAAGGATTGGTACAAAGAATCAGGAGTTGTGATTTAAACATTCTACGTTTGAAAGGGCTTTATGCTTCTAAGCAGAGATCCTGACTAAGTGGTTTCATGTAAGAATCTGGAGCTCAAGGGAGGTTACAATTCTGGAGAGTAAATTTGAGGATTATCATTTTATGTATGATATTTAAAGCCAAGACACTAGAAATGAAACTGGGAAGAGCATTTAAATAAAAAACAGAAGGCAGCTCATAACCAAGTCGTTCCAATATCTGAAGCTTGGAAATACGCGGCAAAATTACCAAAGGACAGTGAAAAGGAGTGGATATAAAGGTCAGATAAAAATCAGGAAATATTGGTATTTCAAAAGCCAAGAGAAGAAAGTGTTTCAAGGAGAGAGCTCAACTGTGGGAAATGCAGCTGAAGGAACAAGTAAGATGAAAGAAAAAAGTGACAATTGGCAAAGTGGAGCTGAGAGAGAGCCGTTTTGTCAGAGTGACTGGGAACAAGCCTCACTGAAGTGGACTGAGGAGAAGCAGACAGGAGGTGGAGGTAGTGACGTTAAGCAAGCATATAAATAATTATAACATTCATGTTACCAGTATTATTTAATGAAAATCCAAATCCTCTTTCATTAAAAATTTAAAAATTTTTTAGTAGGAAAGTCTCAATTGGAACACTGGTGTGTGCATGTGTGCATGTGCCTGTGGTGTGTGTGCATGCATGCATGCCTCTGTGGGGTGTGTGTGTGTGTGTGTGTGTGTGTGTGTGTGTGTGTGTAATTCTCCTTTGGCTCACTTGCTATCCCTGTCTGGGGTCTCTGAAACCACCACACGTCCATGAGTCACCAGGAGGACCCAAAGGACTCAGGACTTAGCATGTAGTCATACTTATGGCTATGACTGATTACAGTGAAAAGATGCAAAGTATTATCAACAAAGGAAAAAGGCACATGGGGCCAAGTCTGGAGGAGACCAGGCACAAGTTTCCAATAGTTCTCTCCCAATGGAGTCAGACAGGACATGCTTAATTCCTCCATCATCAAATTGTGACAACCCATATGAAATATTGCTGATTAGGGAAGCTATTAGAGACTCAGTGTCCAAAGTTTTTATTGGGGGCTGATCACATAGACATCCACTTCTTAGCACATACCAAAATCCCAGACTTGCAGAAGAAAAGTAGGTGTTTGACACAAATCACATGTTTGTAAAAAACTATTTAGGCATGGAGAACCCCTCTTATCAATTACAGAACGGTAGGAATTGTCCCAAAAATATACAATCCTAAAATCAGCCAACAGTCAACCCTACTTTCTAATGATAGCAATCTCAGGCCTGCTATGTTTTTTTTGTTGTTGTTTTGTTTTTTTCTTTTTTTTTTTTTTGAGACGGAGTCTCGCTCTGTCACCCAGGCTGGAGTGCAGTGGCGCAATCTTGGCTCACTGCAAGCTCCACCTCCCAGGTTCACACCATTCTCCTGCCTCAGCCTCCCAAGTAACTGGGACTACAGGCGCCTGCCACCATGCCCAGCTAATTTTTTGTACTTTTAGTAGAGGGGGGTTTCACTGTGTTAGCCAGGATGGTCTTGATCTCCTGACCTTGCGATCCACCCGCCTCAGCCTCCCAAAGTGCTGGGATTACAGGCATGAGCCACCACGCCCGGCCAGGCCTGCTATGTTAACTCTTTTCTGTACATCATCCAAAGTTGGTTGCATCTTCTCTGTGTCTAACATGATTTTAGCAGTTTTCTGAATTCAGTGCACACCCATCAGAAAGGCTTAACAAGGAGAAAGGTAATGAGTGAGCGAACATTATGTGGTTTCAGCCAGTTTATCCATGAAGTCTGACAGTCAAGCAGACTCATCCACCCACTCGAGGGGCAGAGCAATGGCTTTGGCTTTCAAAAGAACTGTTAAGGGCATAAGGAGACCAGAACTTAAAATAAATAGAATATCAAATGATAACATTATTATGTAATAGTGCTTAACAAGCCATTCTAGCTCCTACCTTTTATCTGCCATTCAAATTATTATATCTAGATACTAGTATTTCCCAATTGTTGGAAACAATGCCAGACAACACCCAGAAGATGGAAGGTCAAAAGAAAAAAGGTTGAGGTGTCAGTCACACAAAGAGACCTACCCTGTTCAAGACCAACTCTGGTTTCTGGTAGTCTATTCTAGGTATCTGTCGCTGCATAAGAAAAGATCCTACAACCCAGTGGCTTAAAGCAATAACTATTTTACCTTAGAATTCGTGTGCATTAGAACTTTGAGCAGGAGTTAGCTGAGTGATTCCTGTGTTGTTTATGAGTATCCCTTTGTAGTTTTCAACTTGTTTAGGTATGGTCTGGAGGGAACAAGATGTCTTTACTCATATGACTAGCATCTTGATGGTGATGGCTCAAACACCAAACTCAGCTAAGAATATTAACCAGGGCACCTTAACATGACCTCCTTAAGTGGTTGGTCTCAGGGTACTTGGACTTCTTACATGCAGGTCCAGACTCCCAGAGAGAACTTCCAAGACCAAGGTGGAAGCTTCAAGGCTTTTTCTAACATAGCCACAGAAGTTCCAGAACATTATTATTGCTATATTCTATCAGTCAAAGAACTCATTAAAGCCAGCTAAGATTCAAGGAAGGGGCAATTAGACTTTACTTCTTGATGGGAAGAGCAGCAAGCAATTTGTAGCCATGTTTAGTCTACCACATTTACTATTTCCAAATTTCTCCTCTATTATTGTGAACCATCGTTGTCTCTTGCCATGCTTTTATTCTCATTTCATTCATTAAAAGGCAGGGCACTATTTTTCAAAAGAAGGATAACTCCACTTCTCTAAGAAGTTGCTAGAAGACTATATTAATTAGTTTTTCCTTCACACCCATAAAGCACTGTTTATTTTGAAAAGCAAAGGACCTCCAGGAACTTCTCTTGGATCTATATATGTGAAATAATAATAAATTTATCTGATATGTAAATATGATGTAAGACGTATCTGGGTCTGTTCTCTAAATAGAATGGAGAATTATTTTTTCCCATAATAGCCTAGGGTTTAATTTAGTATAGGGTAACATGATAGGACAGGGAAAAACAAAATTCCTATAAGGGAAATGACATTAGCAAAAATATTTGAGGAAGGTGTTTAAAGTGATTCAAAATGTGAAAGTGAATTCAGCAGTCATAATAAATGACTATGTACAACCACAAAGCCATTAGAGGCTAGTTGGATTTTTTGTTTTAGGACTGGGATACCATGAACTAATTTGTATACATATATTAAATATCTTTTACATATTAAAAGTCACAATTTTCTTCTTCCTACTATTAATAATTATCCTGTTAAACTATTCACAAGATAAAATGATAACTAGTTTTCAACTAGAAGGACTTATCTATTTCTAAAGGCAAAACAAAGTAAAGAAGGTTCTTTTTCAATATCATTAGCAAAGGAGTAGTCTGTCTACAAACAAGCTGTATTATACACAATATCACAAAGTGTGCATTTGAGTTTTAAACATCATCCAAATTTACTTTATGTAGATACCACTTTAGTAATTACTTTAATAATTGCTGCATCCTAGCAACATACAATGCACTGCATTTCTCAATGCAAATATACCTCAGAGGGTTTATCTGGAAATCCACAGGAAGAAAAGAGACATTTGCCTTCTTAAGGGGAACTTGGCCTCTTGTCTCTCTTCCTCTTGGAATAAAACTGGAAATGAAAATGGAGACAGCGAGTGTGCTTATACTTAAAGCACAGCCCTGTCAATATGGGGCTAACTTGAGCCTTTTCATTTTCAACTCTCAGCCAAAACTAAGATGGATCTTAATTCTGAGTTTTATTTCAAGAATATTATGTACTGGGCCAGATGAAAAAGTGGTGAGATTTTTAACTTTTGAGCTAAACAGCTGCCATAGAAAATGTTCTTCTCTTAAACTAATCACCAGAAAGGCTGTTAGACAGTTACCTCACCTGTGTATGAGTATTCATTATCAAGTCAACAGAGAAATCAGTGGTTGATCTGATTTCATCTTTTCTGGATCTGGAAAACATTGCTATGAAATCTTTATTTGTGCCAACTTGCTCCAGAGCTACCTCAGGACCACGATTCCAAATGGCCAGGTGGGGTTCACCCACAAGGCCTCTGCTTGTCAGAGCCAGATCTGTACCCCAGCCCCCAAGCCCAGAGCCTTGTGGCTAGAGTCAAGTTGCTATGGGTGCCAGAGGCATCTGTCATTGTGATAAAGTGGCCTCTCTCACATCCACCTGACAGTCTCCCGCCTTCAGCAAGGTCTTTATATAACTCTGAGTGGAGTGAAAATAAAGATAAATACAAAGGGAAGAAAAGAGGCCTTTAAACTTGACTTTTAGTTTAGATTTTTATATTTTAAAAATTCACTCTTGACCACACACCATTCCCCTGATTTAGAGTTAATGACCCAATTAATGAGGACTCTGGCCTTTTTCAGTTAAATCAATCAGCCTCAGAGATAATGAAATGAGAAATGTGTCTTAGTATTTAAGGGACAACAGGATTTCTCAGTTATTTTCTGCAGGTTGAAATCTACAGTGAAGACTCATAATCTTCTTTTAGTGATGTTAGAGATTGGCTTTGTAGAGGTGTCAGGTTTTAACAAATTAAAAACAAAATAAAACAGGATGCCCAATTGAATTTGAATTTTTGGTAAACCAGGAATTTTTTAGTATAAATACATACTTTGCAATACTTTGAGATCCTAATACTAAAAAAATTATTCATTGTTTCATAGAAATTTAAACTTTACTGAGTGTCCTGTATTTTATCTGGTAACCCTCATTTTGTAAGTCTTTAAATATGTGTTGCATTTCTACAATTGAACTTAGAAATCTCTTTTGAATTAAATAGAATAATAATATCTAAATGGAGGAAACTTTTTAAAAGAAGAAATGTCATGTCACAGAAATCCTTATAAATACCCTAAAATCATTAAACATCACATTATTTTTATTCCCCTTTCTCCCCTCAATCAATAACTACAGGGTTGGTTGAAATGTAAGTGGTAGTTCAGTGGCCTGAGTATTTTATAACTTAGTCAAGAGATGAAACTGTTAATTAGGAAGAAATGACTCCTTGTTGTATGAAAAAAATCTGTTTTACTGGTATCATTGCTTGTTGTAAATTAACAGAAGGATACTCAGAAAATAAGGCAAGTGACAGAGAATGCAGAAGACCTGTGGGTTATTGGGCACTGTTTTCATATGGGTCAGTGATGAGAAAAGTCAGATGGAGCATTTATTCAACATTTCAGTATTGTCACAGAAGGCTAAGAGACCAATCCTAACTAAACTCCATTGTCATAATGGATACCTTATAATACCTTACATTAAATACCTTACGTTAAAATGCATGCTTTGCTGCTTATGGTAAATGGTTAACTGAACCAATAGTGGGCTACTGTATGTTTTATATTGTGTGTGTGTGTGCGTATATGTGTGTGTGTGTGTATGTATGTTTGTATATATGTATGAATGTGTGTATATGTATACATGTAGACACATATATATGTACACACATATACACTCATACACAGTTACCTCCCAGACCAATAATAGCAGCATTTTATAATAAATTTAAGTTATGGACCTATATTTAATATTGATAAATGCAACCAGAAAAATAAAATAACTATTACATATATAAGGCAGCCACAAGTTTTTGTATGTCAGTCCTTCAAAAATGTATATATCAATTAGCATTTGAGTGTTTTCTCTGTTTAAGTGATTAATCTGTTAACCTACAAAATTTAAAGTTGTTGGTGCTTCTTCTTTCCTTCCTTTTTCTCTCCTATTTTACAGTGTATTGCTTTTCTCCCTTCTACCAAACTTATTCATTTCTTGGAGAAAATAAACCCCATTTTAAGAAAAACAGCTGTAAGATTTTTTTCCGGGCATGTGTTATTGTGAAAATCGTCAAGGTAATTCATTTGAAGCAAATGCATTCACACTATCAGAAGAGGTTTATTAAAAGAAAGAGACATGAAACAAATTGACAGTATTAGTGATACTGTAAGAAAAACATTAACCTACATAAAAGAATACATAACCTCAGAACCAACCACTTGAAAGCAACAAGAACAACACTACTATTATTGAGTCTTCAGAAGTCTAGTATAACATTAAGTAAATTTGCATTTTATTATGAAATTAAATTAATAAATCCAATTTACTTTGAGAATATTCTATAATTTTAACTTTATGAACTCAATCTGGCTTTTGCTGCTACTAGAATCAATTAGTGAAATTTTGATTTTGTGTGTGTGTGTGTATGTGTATGCACAATACCGTTTCACGTCTATCAGTTACAAAGGTTATTGCAGTCCTATTTGTATGTCTCACTGAAGGGACTTGTGTACCAGTATTCTTTTCTTTGTTAATAACAATGAAGTTCATCGTCCTTGTTTTTTAGGAAGTAGTTAAATAGTAGGTATTAAATATACCTCTTTGCATTTAAAAGGATCCATGCACTTATGTCTGCTACCTTCACCTCATAGCAGTGAGGTAAGAAGCTATTTCATACACAGTGAGTCTTATGAAAAAATGCTTTAGGTAAGTAGATGTTGCCTTGAGTATTATGGTTTTAGAAAAATTACAATTAAAGCAGTGGAGATGGAGTATGAGAGGAGATAATATTTAACTAAGTGATAATTTATTTTGTTGAAAACTCAAAACCCCATTAGAGATTTCCACAAAGTTTCACACTCCTAATGATTCTAACTTTTCACACTGAGGGAAAAAGCTCTTGTTTAGGAATTTGACAGTAGAGCGTTGAAAGGTCATTTGTCAGCAGGGTCACTAAGTTGCAGAACTTGTTAAGAAAGCTTTATACTGCTTAGCCACACATTGTTGCTGTCTCAAATCCCAGGGGCAGAAAGCAAAAACAATTAGGCAAATTCTGGTTTAGCTGAGAATGACCCTTTTCAATATTTTGAAACACACATAAGTGCCTGTCAAAGTGTATCAACAGAATCTGTATTTAAAGATGAGAAGAAATGCTGCTGGCGATCCCTTCATCCTGACAACTGAGATTTAAGACCAATTCACCCATCTTTTGCCAGGGGAAAGGTTACTGAAGGAGGTGGCAGATTAATGTTGGAAAGCCCAATATTCATCTACATGATACACACACGTCTGCATTTACTCTACCTTGTGTATCCTCCTCATTTCATAAAAGTTACAGATCAGAAATATGCCAATTCACAACTGAGCTCATTATAGCTCATTCATATATTTTAATATATTTCCACTGAAAACTTAAAATCAAAATTAAGTTTCAAGGAATCATCTCTAAAAGTAATTCTTCCTTTATTATTGCTTTGGATTGTAAAATATTTTGTGTAAGCATGAGAGAGTAAGCATATGCACATACAGTGTGTGCATGCAGTGTACACATACACATGAACATATGCATGTAAAATCAAATTTTTGTAATAACTTTCAAATGAAGAGATAATCAGATGTGTGGAGCATCTCTCTAATTCTTTAGGAAGCCAATCTTAATTTTCAGATAAAATTTGAAAATATATAATAATTAAGAGTACAAAAGTAAAGGGATCTGTATAGAAAGAAGAAGGGTTATTGACATATGTAGAAGGGTCCCTCAAGTCTTCAACTCTGTGTCTGAACTCATGTGGAATGAAACTCACTAAGACTGGGGAGGTGGGGGGGACACCAGGAAACAGGCTGAATAATTCCCTAGGTTCACAGAGCTGAAAATATTTTGCATTCCAATCAGTCAGAAGGGATGAATCTCATAATATACTCATAGAGTGTTGAGTAGAGTCTAAGGAGGGTTTACTCTAGTCATGGGCTAAAAGAGCAAAAGACTAAAAACTGCTTTGGATTAACTTCAACAAAGCTTAAAAGAAAACTTTGAAAGGATCAACTTGATCCCAAATAGCTCAACTTAATGCTAAGCAAAACTCAATACTCTTTAAAGGCATACAACAAAATCCAGTAATCTACAACATAAAATGTGTTAGATAGAACATACAATCAAAAATTTTTAGGCATATAAAGAAGCTAGAAAATATGACAGGTGGAATATAATAATATCAATAAATATAAACAGACCTAACAATGAAGGAGATCATTAGAAGAGACTATAAAACAAAAATTGAAAATACTATAAATATGCTCAGGATTATAAAGGAAAATTTACACATAATAAAGAGGGAAACAGATTTTTTTTAAAAAAATGGAACTACTAACAATGAAAAATATAATATTAGAAATAAAAATACACTGGAGAGGATCAACAACAGATTAAAGAAAAGAAGAAAAAATTAAAAGATACAGAAGAAAAGATTAGTTAATCAATGCATATCAATAGAAACTAAGCAAAATGTAGTTTAGAGCAAAAACACATTGAAAAAAATATACAGATTATCAGCAACTTGTGAAGCAATATTAAGCTAACAAATGTGCAACTGGAACCCCAAAAGCATAGAGAATGATTGGTAGGTGGGGAAGGTGTGAGGAGACAGTTTAAAAAGATTGAAAAAATAGTGGCTGAAATGTATTCAGAAGTGATAACGAATATAAACCTTCAGATCCTTAGGATCTCAAAAGACTCCAAGAAAAATGAACATACAAGTATACAACAGTGCATTAAAATTACATTCTAAAAATGATGGCAAATGGAAATCTTAAAAGCTGCAGAGAAAAACACATGATATAGGGAAAGCCAAAGAAATAACGATAACATCAGAAATGATATCAAATCCACACAACTTTGTCAGAAACTATGCAGAAACTTTGTCAGAAATGTCTAGAAGATAAAAAATGGTGCCTTTAAATTAATAGGATAAAATAATCTGTCAACCTTCAATTCTATACCTAATGAAAACTTTTTTTCATAAATGAGGCAAAATGAAGACTTTTCAGACCAAAATCAAAAAGAAAAAAGGTGAGCAACTTTATTGCCATCAGACCCTCTACAGAAAGAAGGAAAATGATGCCAGATGGGAATCTGAATCTTCCCAAAAGAGTGAACAGTGCCAGATGGCTGGCTGTTTAAGGCAAAAATAATAACAGCATATTGAGAGGTTTATATCATATGTAGACTTAATATGTATGGCTATATTAGCATCAAGTCAGGGAGTGTAGATATGGAAGTTATATAAATGCTATTTGAAGTGATATGTTAAAGTGGTAATGATAAGTTAAAGATGCATAGTTGCAAAACCTATGGAGACAACTAAAATATAAAACAAAGCGATATCTGTTAAAAAGCCTATAGTGGAGACAAAATATCATAAAACAACGATTAATCCCTAAGAAAGCAGGAAAAGAGTAAAAATGACTAAAAAATGAATGTAAGATAGTACATTTAAAATTAAACATATTAATAACCACATTAAATTTAAATGGCCTAAGCATTCCAATTAAAATAGAGAAATTGTTGGACTGAATAAATGAGATTCAACTGCGTGTTGTCTACATGAATCCCAAATTAAGAGTACAGGTATAAATAAGTTAATACTTTAAAAATGTACAAATATATACAATGCAAAATATCACTTGAATAAATCCTTGAGGAGATGGATACCCTAGTCTCCATGATGTGCTTATTTCCCATTGCATTCCTGTATCAAAACATCTCATGTACCCCATAAATATATTCACTACTATGTACCAACAAAATTGTTTTAAAGCTTCAGAATAAGGAATATTACCAGTGTAAAGGGAATCAGCTCACAATGATAAGTGACTTGATTCACCAAGACATAAAAACCCTAAATATGCCTGCACTTAACAGTATAATTTTTAAAATATATGAAACAAAAACTGAAAGAACTAAAAGAGAAATAGGCAAAATCACAATTTTTTTTTCAGATGGAGTCTTGCTCTGTCACCCAGGCTGGAGTGCAATAGCGCAGTCTCGGCTCACTGCAACCTCTGTCTCCCAGGTTCAAGCGATTCTCCTGCCTCAGCCTCCTGAGTAGCTGGGATTACAAGCCCATGCCACCATGCTGGGCTAAATTTTGTATTTTTAGTAGAGATGGGTTTCACCATGTTGGCCAGGCTGGTCTCAAACTCCTGACCTCCGTTAATCCACCCACCTCGGCCTCCCAAAGTGCTGGGATTACAGGCATGAGCCAGTGTGCCTGGTCCAAAATCACAATTATAGTTGAAGATTTCAGCTTGTTCTCGGCAACAGATAAAAGTGATAGAAAAACTAGACAAAAAAATTCAATAAAAATGCAGAATACTTTAACAATACTCTTAACTAATTTTATCTAATCAGCATACAGAACACTCTACCCAACAACAAAAAAATACACATGCTTTCTAATTACACAGAATATTCACCAAGATATACTATATTTTGGTTTATAAAGCAAATCTGAATAAATTTAACCCTATTAAAATCATATATATGATATTATCTGGCCAGAATCAAATTCAATTAGAAATTAATAAGAAAAAATATATTTGTATCAATTTTAAAATGAACAACTAAATCATAAATTGAAATGGCTATCACAATACAAATTAGAAAATATTTGGAATGACATGAAAATAAAAATATCAAATGTGTTTCTCACATAAAGAACGGTAGTTAGAGGGAAATTAATAGTATCATAGCTTATATTAGAAAATAAACATATCAAATAAATGTTGTAAGCTTATACATAAGAAACTGAAAAAAGTAGAGAAAATTATTCACAAAATAAGTGGAAGAAGATAAATAATAAAGAAAAGAATACAAGTTAATAAAATAGAAAGCAGAAAAGCAATAGAAAAAAGTTGCTGAAGGCAAAAGTTGGTTCTTGGAAAATATCAATAAAATTTATAAATATCTAGCCAGACTGATTAAGAAAAAAGAACACAAATTAGCAGTATCAGGAAAGAACAGAAAAGCTCACAAATAATAAAGAAATGTTATGGACATCTTTATGCCTCAAAACTTGAAAACTTAGGTGAAGTGGACAAAGACCTTAGGAAACATAAATTAGAAGTTCACTGAGGAAGAAAAAGTAATGTGAAAAAGCTATATGTACAGGGAAATTGAACTCTTATTTAAAAGCCTTCCTACAAAGAAAATTCCAAGTTGGAGGTAATACAATGATGAGAGTTTTTTCAATAGTCAGACCACTGGAACTTACATGCAACAAAAAGGGGGAGGGGAGCAACATGAATTATGGCCCTTATTTCACATTATATACAAATATTAACTTTAATGTATCATATGTCCAAAATTTCTAGAACAAAAAGAGCAGAGTGTCTTTCTGTCATAAGGTTATATAAATATTTCTTAAATAGGCTACAAAAACATAAATCTTAAAAGAAATATAATTGTCAAATTAGATTTCATAAATTTTGTTTAAATGCTTTTCAAAATAGTCCATTAAGAAAATGACAAGGCATCTGATGGATTGGAAGAAAATAATTGTGCATTATATATCTGACAAAGAACTTGTACTCAGAACACAAAGGATTCTTAAATCTCAAAATGAGGAAACTAATGAACTTGTTAAAAATGGGCATATATTTGAACAAATACTTTAGGAAATAAGATATGTAAGCGGCATATAAGTATATAACGATGTTCAATATTATTTGTTATTAAAGAATGCAAATTAAAATTGCAATGAGATACTACCATTATATACAATAGAAAGGTTAAAATTAAATGTAACGACATTGCTAATTGTTGGCAAGAGTATTAGGGTTCTTCAGAGAAACAAAACCAAAAGGAAAATATATAAATACATAGAAAAAGATTTATTATGAGGGATTGGCTCATGAGACTGTGGAGGGTAAGAAGTCCCATAATATGTCATCTGCAAACTAGAGACTAGGAAAGCCGGTAATGTAGTTTCAGTCCAAGCCTGAAGGCCTGAGAACCAGGAAAGCCAATGGTGGAAGTGCATGTGTGAGTCCAAAGGCCCAAGAACTAGGAGCACTGATGACCAAGGGCAGGAAACAACAGATGTTCCAGCTCAAGAAGAGATAGCCAATTCATCCTTCCTCTGCCTTTTTGTTCTATCCAGGCCCTTAAAAGGTTGGATGGTGCCAACTCATATTGATAAGGGTAATCTTTATTCAGTCTATCAATTCAAATGCTAATATCTCTCAGGAATGCCCTCACAGACACACCTAGAAATAAATTCTTACCAGCTATGTGGGCATCCCTTAGCCCAGTCAAGTTGACACATAAAATTCATCATGATAGCAAAGATATGGAACAATTCAAACACAATGGTGTTAGTGTGAGTGCAAAATGGTACTGACCTTTGGGAAAATACTTTGGCAGGTATTTTTTTTTAATATGCAGAGATAAATACACATTTATCATAAGATCCAGTCACTCCACTTCTAGATATTCTCAAGAAAAAATGAAACATATGATCATAGAAAATTGTTTGCGAATGTTCATAACAGCTGTAATCACAATAGCCCCAAACTGGAACTAGACAAAATGTCCACTTACTTGTGAATGAATAAACAAACTCAAAACAATAGAATACTACTGAGCAATAAAAAAGAATGAACTACTGAAACATACAACATTGGTGTATTTCAAAAGCACTTTGGTGACTGAAAAAAATCAGACACAAAATACTACATCCTGTATGATTTCATTTTATGAAATTCAAGAAGCCAAAACTATAATGATGGAAAGTAGATAAGAGGCCAAGGGTGAGGTAAGGGGAAGATAGCCAAAAACACTTTTTAGATGATGGAAATTTGCCAAACAGTGATTTAGGTGGTAGTTATTTGACTACATAAATTTACCAATATCTGCTTGCATACTTTAAATGATGAATTTTGTTATATATACATTATATTTTACCACAGTTGTTTAAAAAAAGTGCTATCGTTCATTACATCTAAATATTTTTATAATAATTAAAATATATCTTCAAAGAAAAGCAGCCTTTAGATATATTTAGCTTTTTCATCCAGAATAAAGTGACAATAGTTCCTCTCTGAAATTTCACTAAATTTTACAGTCCCATGAAGTACAATACTATTATAAAATTTTGGTTTATGCATCTTCTTACTTGATAAGTAAGGTTGTCATCTTCTTACTTGGTAAGTCAAACATAACTGCCCAAAAGCAGAAATATTTCACATTGAAATAAGAAAAACTCAGAAAGTGTGAAGATTTTTTTTAGTAACACATTTTTTTCTAATTTGAGATTGTCTCTGGAGGCAATAGTATAGTCTGAGGCAGTTATGAAAACACAAATACAGATTGCATGGTAAAAGCTATAGAGCAAAATGAACCAAAGATGCTCAAAACCTCCCGAGAGGGATAATATCACTAGGGCACATGCGTCTAGCTGATAGGGTGGAAAGCTCCTGTTTCAGACCTTTATAATGAATTATTTTACAACAGGGCTATGTTATCAGTTGGTCCTTTGGGGTAAGCTCTTTGAAGAACATAAAGGACTTGCTTTATAAATCAGAAATCCAATTCAGTTAGCTGTTTCTTCAATGAAAATTGCATGGAGGCAGAATTTTACATGTTCATAAATGGGAAAGCAAGTAAAGAAGTGTAGAAAAAGCAAATTCAGTTAAACCTACATTTCAAAGGTCAAACATTTGGTAGATTCCATCCTCCAGGATTTCTTAGCAGAAAGAATATAGAGAAAAAAAGCCATTAAATAACAGAGTTTTTCAAAAGTCTCTATATTAAAGCTTTGTATGTCACTCTTTAGGTCTTTCGCATGCAAAAAAATTGGAGACATGGGCAGCATGTCAGCTTTTGGAAAAACACAATCTCTGCTGGATTTCCAGTTCTGCTACTTCTTATTTATAACATTTGAAAATATATTATGAATTTCATTCAATTTACTTGTCTATAAGACTGGAGAAAAAATTTCTACTTTTCAGTGCTGTTGAGATGAACATAGATAGTATATGGTGGCATTTAAGATTACTAGATATTATGTGCTCCTTATTTAATCTTGATACTTGTTTAGCCATATCTCCACCCATCACAGATTAGAAGCAGCAAATAAGAGACAAAGTATAGACAGAAAAAGGAAAAGATCAAATAAGATCTTTATAATGACATCATAAAAGAAATGATAATCAAAAACAAAAAGTGGAATTAAGCTGTCTTATTTCACACATGTCCAAAACTGCTTTATATCATGTATGTCCAAAATCATAGCAAAATAGAATGTATTGAAAAAGATACTTTTTTTAAATTCTCTGCTTGGTCAGATATACGATTTGTATCAGAATGTGGCAGAAACTGATTGAGACTGACACTCATGTTCCCACTTAAATTATCACTGAACAGTCAGGAAAATCAAAAGCAACTCAACAATCAGCAACACCGCGTGAAAAAAAAGGAAGAAAAGGAACTTCATACACCAGAGGTTAACTGTAATTCAACCACTTACATCATGAATTGAGAAGGATGTTTTGAAGGACACAACATATGCGTCAACATCTGAACGGGAACAAAGAAATTGTAAATACATAGCAAGCAAGCACAGAGGAAAAATAAGGAGGAAGAGAAGAGGGAGAAGAGAAAAAGAAAGAAAATTATCTGGAATGAGATGCTATTTCAGTTCTTTCATCTTTTCAAAAAACAGATAATTCATATTCTTATAATCTGTTCTACAGAATAGAAAGGTACAAGCATCCCCTTTTAAACCTATTCTATCTCTATCCCAGACACCCTCCTGACAAAAATTTTGCCTTTACAACATTAACAGTCACTTTGGAATACAATTTGTTGGTGTCTTACAAGGCTAAACATTGCCTTAGCATATATTCTGCCAATTATGCTCCTAGGTATCTATCCAACTGGTTTGAAACTAATGACCACACAAAATAATGCATGCAAAAGATTATAGCATCTTTATAATCACTAAAAACTGAAAAGAGGCAAGATGTTCTTCAGTTGATGAAAGAATAAACGAACAGTGCTACATCCATACTATTCAATAACAAAAAGGAATGAGCTATCAAGCCACAAAAAAAACACTGATAAATGTTAAATGTACATTGCTTAGTGAAGTTTTGAAAAGGAAATACACTGTGTGATTCATTTACCTGACATCTCGGAAAATACAAAACTTTAGAGACACAAAGCAGATCAGTGTTTAGAGTTTAGGGAGTAGAGAGGATTTGATAGGTAAAACACAGGATATTTTTTGAGAGCTGAGAAACTATTTGGTTTGAAAATGTTAGGGTGTATACTTAACATTCTGCATTTATGACACCCAGAGTACTTTACTGAACAAAAAATAAACCTACATTTATTCAAATTTTTAAAATTTATTTCAGAGATCAGGAAGTTCCAGGTTGGAATATAAACTCTGAGAAAGAATCTAACTATTACAAATGTATAAAATATCCTCACTAAAGGATGCTGTCCTAAGTAATTTTGGAAATGAGTAGTCTGTAAGACTAAAGACAAAAGCAACTGTCCGTAAGCTCTGTTCTCTAGTTAATAAAGTTATTTCCCATAGGAGTACAGGTTAACAGTTCTGATTATGCTATACACATATGAATTGAGATGCAGCTATACACACATGAATTCCATATGCTGGAATCAAACAAGTAAATTAATGGAAGTTAAGTTTATCACTGTTGAAGTGGGAGGTTACAGAAAAGCAAGAGGACAAAGTTAAAATGATCTATGTAATAATGATTACAGTTGGAGATATGAGCATGAACTCATGTTTAGCTTAATATAAATATAGAAGGTTATATATAGAAAATGTTTATACATATGTGTATAAACTTGGATCAGTATATACATATTTCCTTGCTTTGTCAGTTGAGAGGGCTGAAAAGCAACAACACTCCAATAGCAAAGAGCACACATAGCACTCAGATATTGGTTTCTGATACAATTCTTCAGTAAAAAGAACTAGATTACTCAGAGAAATGTCTTACTCTACAACTGAGGGAAGAAATATACAAGATGAGCCTGTAGCACCTTATAGTGCCAGAAAGTAAGCAAATGCTAAAACAAACAAATAAATACAATGATGAGTGTATGTCAAAGAAACTTGAGACAACTGAAAAAGCTCCCATGAATAAAACTGTAATAATTGGAGCAAGAAAAATATATATAGTATTGAATTATAATACAATATATAAAATAAATAGCCACGAGTTCATACTGATACGAACAAACAACAAACAAATACATAAATCAATGGTATAGAATGAACAAATTACCCATGCAAAAGAATTCCAAATAATTTATGTAAGTACTCTTCTTTCCAGGAAGTGAAGCAAAACTTCTGTAATATGGGCTGCTTACAATGACTTCCTTCCAAAAAGGGAAGTATAGAAACAGAGAAAAATTACTAGCTTTACACTGAAGAGACCTAACAAACTCTTCCCTCCACCAGATGATTAAAGTTAACATCAACAGCAATAAGTCATGTTGCTAGCCTAGCAATGTACTCTTAATATGAAGTGATAGGAAAGTAAATTTAATTCTGTGATATTCCTCCCCCAAACCCATAAAACAGTCAAATCAAAAAAGCAAACAAAAAAATCAAATAAACACAGTAAATAGACATTCTACAAAATACCTGACCAGTACTCTTCAAAAGTATCAAGGCCAACAAAAGCAAGAAATAACTGAGAAACTGCCGTGGCCAAGAGAAGCCAGAGGAGACATGACGACTAAATGTCATTTGGTATGTGAATCGGATCTTAGAACGGAAATATTAAAAGGACATTAGGTTAAAATTAACGAGATATAAATTAAGTATGGGTTTTAGTTAATCATAATGTGTTTATATTGGTTTATTAGCTGTGACTAATGTACCATAATAATAATGTAAGGTGTTAACAATAGGGGAAACAGTGTTGGGTGTATGAGAAATCTCTGTATAATTTTTGTTAACTTCTCCATCTAAAACTAGAATTTAAAACTATGCTAAAATAAAAAGCTTATTAAAAATTAGAGAAGTATCTAATTTATGAATACAGATGTAGAAATTTAAATATTTGCATTTTTAATAAAACAGTGCTTTGAAAGGCTATTTCACCTAAACAAGACAGTTTTATTCTGGTCATCAGAATAGAGGCACAGTGCAGCGCATTAATTATTCCCAGGAGCTTGGTCTTTCTCTTTCCCAGCTCTGCTACCTTGGTCAGGTTTTTAATTAGTAAATCATCTCAGAGTCTGTAAAACTAACACAATAACAACTTCCAGGATTAATGAGATAATGTGAGTAAGCTTCTTAGTACTATTCTGGTACATATTTAACACTAAATCTATGGTAGATTTGTACTATTATTCTATTATTATTTATTATTGTTAAAAATATCACTTTGGGAGGCCGAGGTGGGTGGATCATGAGGTCAGGAGATCGAGACCACCCTGGCTAACACGGTGACATCCAGTCTCTACGAAAAATACAAAAAATTAGCCGGGCATGGTGGTGGGCGCCTGTAGTCCCAGCTACTCAGGAGGCTGAGGCAGGAGAATGGCGTGAACCCGGGAGGCAGAGCTTACAGTGAGCCGAGATCACGCCACTGCACTCCAACCTTGGCAACAGAGCGAGACTCTGTCTCAAAAAAAAAGAAAAAAAGAAAATTGTTCATTTAAAATGTGCTAAAATTGTGTTAAAATCACAAAAGGCTAAACACAGGACAAAGGATCTTCCCCCAGAATAATAGTCATTCAATAAACGTTATATTACTATACATAGCACAGTTATATTTGAGATATCAAAACTTAGTTTATTAACATTTGACCTACTGCACATTATACTAGACACAAAATATGCAACAATGAAATGAGAAATTTTTAACCCACCTAAAATCTGATCATTTATACACTTACAGGTATCATTGAGAAAGAATTAACCCTTATTTAAAAAAAAATCCTTTCAATGATTTTCTAAAAGTCCTTGGCTAATTTCAACATACTTAATAAGAGCTAATTATATTTCTGTTATTATCTCACAGATAACATCTTTGGGAGTTTCAGGAAGAATGGTCTACTTTACATTAAAACTATGCAAGACAGGGAAAGGAATACAGATTAAAAGGAAAATTATAATCATTTTCATATCATAACTGAAACTCTGAAAGCGCTTACATTCCTCCAAACTTTGTTCTAAGAGATTTACATATATTAACTTAATTTGTTTAAGATTGGACTTACATGGTCTTAGAAGAGAAGTACCTGTACAGATCATGTTGCCAAGCTCTCTCATTTTATAGATAAGAAATATTCATCCAAGCTAAGCTAAGTTCTTCAGATCACACAGCTATTTAGCAAAGTCAAGGCTAGGTGAGCTTCCTTATCTGATCTCTACCCAATACATCTCACTTTCACTAATATTAAAATAATATTGTGTCAATTTGATTGGATTGAAGGACACAAAGTATTGTTTCAGGGTCTATATGGGTGTTTCTGGGTGTTGCCAGAAGAGACTGACATTTGAGTCAGTTGACTGGGAGAGGAAGATTCACCCTCAGGAAGACCCACTAACAATGTGGGTGGGCACAATCCAATTGGCCTCCATCTTTCTACCGTGCTGGATGTTTCTTGCCCCAAATGTCAGACTCCAAGTTCTTTGGCTTTTGGACTCTTGGACTTACACCAGTGGTTTGCCAGGGGCTCTTGGGGCCTTTGGTCACAGACTGAAGGCTGCACTGTTGGCTTCCCTACTTTTGAGGTTTGGGACTGAGCTACTACTGGCTTCCTTGCTCCTCAACTTGCAAAAGGCTGATCATGGGAATTCACCTTGTGATAGTGCGAGTCAATTCTCCATATATATGTCATATATACCAATAGCATACTAATAGACATATATGCTATTAGTTCTGTCCCGCTAGAGAACCCTGACTAATACATCTGTCAACTCACTCTCATAAAACGTATCTATAAAATTTTACGTGTTTACTGTTTCTCCCCACAAAAGCAACTAAAACATAGCCCAATGGATATAGGATCTGCGTTATATTATTCACTATCATGTCCTTAGCAGCCACATCATTCTGAATAAGTAGTTTGTGAATACATATTTGTTGGCTGAATGAATTATTTCTCAGTTTTCACCTCTGTCCTTGTGATGGTTTCATACATCCCAAGGAGACTGTCTGTGGTTTACACTTCAGAATGGCACTCAGATATACCTGGAGAATCAAGTCTCTTTGATGGTTAAGAATTGATCAATGCCAGACCAGTCTTCATGAAGCCCAATCTTCCTAGTCCTATAATGAATCACATTAGAAATTACAGGCCTAAAAACTATTCCTTTCCCATTAATAAAATAAAGAATAAATTCTGCAGTTGAACTACGGAAAGTCTCCAATGAGGGGCCTGAGGAAAAAGGAATAGAAAGTAGCATCATCATCAAATCTGAGCAAGGCTTTTATTTATACTAAGTTGATCATCAAGGAACAGCACCAGTTCTCCACATCATTAGATGCAGCCAGAGTCTATCCCAATTCCCTAATTCTTCTAGTCCTCAATGTTTCCCTTTGTGCAGCAATAACAGTGCTTTTTAGAACTTCATTATTCATATGCATTGAAGGTGCTTCCTTAAATCACTACAATACAGTTAGAAAAAAAAAAAAATTGAAATTGACCCCCCCACACACACACATATTGCTGCTGTTTAGAAGACAACTAAAATCTAAATAAATTCAAAGAGATTTAAAATGTCTCACTTCTTGGAAATAGTTGAGAAGAGTTAGAACACAGGCTAGTAAAATGACTTACAAACTCTACTTACTAATAGCATACACACAAGTTCTGGAAAACTACATTCACACAAAGAACTAAGCTTGCTCATTTTGCAATGCTATGCATTTGCTCCTTTACAATTTCTCATAAAAAGTATCCAATTACTTTATTTTTTTTTATCAAGTAAAAATTTTTGTCTCTCTATGATGAAATGTGTAATATATGACATAGAGATCCCTACAGAAGGTTTTAGGAGACATACTCTCCTAAGAAAATGAAGCAAGGGGCTCTGGTCTTTAGTCCATCATTTTTGATGCTGAGATCATCTTTGTCCAAGTCCATGTTGTGCATTCTAAGGCATGGTGGTCTGTTGCTCACAGCCTCCAATCCCTGCTGTATATCTCAGCAAAGAAAAACCACCATGGCTCCCAAGACTTGAGTTTAAGCTCCTCCTCTCAGTGTTGAGGCACACCTTTTCCTCTCTTGAATAATCCAACTCCTCTTCTCTAAAAGCTAGGAAAACAGATGTGTCTTTATATTTTTCTGGAAGACTTAAAGCCTTGGGTTTCAGGAAGGAAAGTTCCTGCCTTGTCCTTTTGCTAAGAGAAGTGAAAATGACTTCTCATTAGTGAAGATGAAACTACAGGGGGAGAAATTAAGTCATTCTGCCACATTCAAGTGATTCAAATTCTAAATAGAGATTAAGGATGTTTTATAAAATCATAAAGAAAAAATATTTTAAAATGTTCCCAACTATAGTATTTGATTAAACCAGTTTACTGAGATCCTTATGAGTTCTAGGTATCAGTAGAGTGGGTGATAAATCATTGAGAAGTTACCAGTAGAGTGAATATAATGTCACATACCTACATACAAACATACATACACACATATACGTGTGGATATATATGTGTATGTGTATATATGTGTGTGTGAGTATATATATACATATAATATAAAAATCCCGCATTTTTTTCAAAATAGTAATGTTAAGCTGTTAAATATCTTGCAAGCTGACTTTTTAAATTGCACATTCGAATTAACTCTTTCTTTTAACATGTAGTAGATATAATTGTTGTTCACCAAATTTTCCAGTACTCCTTTGCCTTCCATAAGAGAATTGCACTTCTCAAACACATTTAGATATAGATGGTCAATTTGACTTTTTTTGGCGAATGAAATATGAGTTGATGTAATGAGTCTTTCTTTTGTATGACAGCATTTTCAAGCCAGCATATTATCTGTCTCCCCACTTGGCTGGCCAGCAAGTTCCAGATTTTGTGGCTTTAGGATGGTTCAGACTTTCTCAGCCAAATCACTAAGTTGTTCTGTGGAGATCAGTTACCCACAGAGTCTCCTAGACATGTGACTTTGCTTAAACAACAGAAAAATTAGAATTGTTTTAAGCCACTGTGTCTTTTCAAAAATTTTTGTTTTCCTTCTGTTTCACTTTGTGGTGTTGTTTTGTTTTTTAGTTAACCCAGCCTAATGTAGCTGAATCTCACTACGATAATACCAATAACATACTAAACTCTGGTATTATGGAGATCTCTGTCCTCCAGGAGATAGAAAATAGTAAACTGGAGATAGTTTTCTCTAACCTGAGAAAACTGATTAGTCTCTAAGGCAGCAAAGGGACAACAATCAAAACATTACACTCAGAGTCCCCAGGAGTGGTCAGTTTCAGGAAACACTAAGCAAACTCACATAGAGTTCAAAAGAATGCTGATTTATATATTTGCAGTGATATCAAGAAGACTGGCCAATTCAGCCCAAATCTACTGGTAAGGCTTCTCCCTTCATTTAAGAGCAAGCTCAATTATAATGAAAACTCTGGTAATGAGAGTAAAGTCAGAGTATAGATATTTGGTTGCGTGATCTTAGTGGCTGCAGAAATTTACTTCCTTTGGTAGGAAGAGGGGTCTGCTTACTCAAGATTCCTGGCCATTGAATTTCACCCTCATAGTGAAGTAAAATACTGTAACAGTCTTACCCTAGAGGCTCCCTTTTCCTGACTTCTATGTAAACATATTCTTTGCTGAGATATTACTATCACTGATACAGCTACAGATTCCCCTTATTGTCAAAATTGGATTAGATTTTCTTTCCTTTTATCAACTTGAAATTATGAAGACATTTAAAGTGATTTCTGCAGGTAATTCGTATTATCCACTATATGTTATTCTCTCTATTCCAGCTCTTACAGATTGAGTGGTGCCAGACAATTTTCTCATTCAATAAGTATTGGTCACACCCTATGTGTCAGGCATGGTTTTAGGTGATGGGGATACAGCGATGAACAAATTGAACACCCTACTCATGGGACTTACATTCTAATGAAGGAGACAGATAATAAACAAATAAACATGTAATGTAAAATCAGTAGTGGAGAGTACTATAAAACACTTTAGTAATTAATCCTTCACCATCACAAATATTTTATTTGCAATGAACACTGGAATTTCTATAATCCTTTAAATAAAAATAAAAGATACATGTATAAAGTTTATGAATAGTATCCCATTTAAGGAAAACAATAAGTGCTAGTCGCACTATAAAGCTTGATCCACTAGCCAATATTTATTTAGAATGCCATATATCTATATATATAACACACATATATAAAATCATACAAAAAGTATGTGAGCCAAGAAACACTCTATAGAGTAAATAATTAGCACATTGCATGAATTTAAATTCAAAACACTTACAGAAGTGCTTTCACAGCTCAAAGCTGTTTCTGTGGATGAAACACCTAAAGAAAATGCTCCAGAGTATAGTCATATTGCTTCTAATTCCTGTTTCACTGTGTTATAGATAGATTCAGAAGGAGTTTACAAATAGCTAATCTGCAGTGCCTTGCTGATTTCTCTAGGAAACAAGATTCATTTTAATCAGGCATTATTTTAGGACAGGGAGTGTCTGGATGACAAAAAAAAATCACTAAAATATCTGCTACTAAATCATAGATTAGTAAGTAGTCCTATATCAGATGGCAAAACTGTATCTTGAGCCATCAAGAAACAAAAATGATGGGCCTCAGTGCATCCCTAAGGAACCTCTTAAATCACTGCCAAATTGATTTTCCTCTTCTCTAAATTTTCCTCTTCTCTAAGTGTAACTTCAGATATCTCTGAAGCAAACAAGACTATTGAGCAATTGACAAGCTGTTGCACACGAACTATAAAACAGGAAAAGGAGAGAAAATGTCTTAGTTTTTCCAAAAAGGGAGAAACAGAAAATATTAGGCTATTTCAGGCCTAAATCTGGGTATATTCTTAAATCTCAGCTCCAAATCAGTGTCATCCCATAGCAAAGGAAGCTGGTATTCTTTCCCTTGTTTTGTTCACACATTTTTTTTTCTTTTTTGAATGACAGAACAAAAAGTTAGCATAAGCCAACTTAAGGGCTATTATGTCTAGAGAGAAAAAGATAATCTTATCAAGAAGTTAGAAGAAGAGCCACCAGAGAAAACATGGCACCCAGACTGACATCCAAATTGGGAAATTGAGTAAATGATGCAAAATTCAGGTTGAAATTCAGCTATAAATAAAGAAATTCACTATTCCAGGTGTTGGTAAATGTTTTCTGTAAAGTAAATATTCTAGACTTTGTGGGCCATAAGGTCTCTGTTACAACTAATCAATTTTGATTATTATGTAAAAGCAGACACATAGACAATACCTAAATTAATAAGTGTAGCTCCAAGAAATCTTTTTCATAGGCACTAAATTTGAATTTTGAATCATTTTCATCTATAATAAAATATTTTTCCTTTTTTAAAACATTAAAAAATGTAAAAACCATTCTTTGCTCCCAAGCTATACAAACACATGCTACATACTAGATTTGGTCCATAGGACAGAATTTGCCAACCTTTACAATGTCCTAAAAACTTAACCAGGTAAAGGGCTATTTCAAAGTTTCTTTTTACTTTATGGTGCCCAGAATGTTTTATTTCTTATTGAGTCATGTACATGATACGTGAATAGACATATTTTTAAGTGAATACGTGACTAGGAAAAGAAAGTGATGTTTCTTATTTTAGTCAAGTCTGAGTGGCATGTACAGTCAAATATTTCATCATCTCGTGATACAAGATCCACACAGGACGAGCAGGGAGTATAAGTAGTAGATTAACTCCTTCAGAGCCAAAACTGAGAGTCTGGGGCACAGAGGTAAAATCATCAAGGCAATGCCAAAGTATGCATGAGACAGAAAGAAATGGCCATGCAACTGTAGAAACATTTTGATTATATTTAATATTTAACCACATCTTCAAAATATGGAAAGAATCTTCAAGTCCTCGCCAACAGTCAATTTCTACATTTTCACATGTTTATTCATTTTGGATTTCCTGATTTTTTATCTCTAAACAACTGTTTCTTCCAGAAACCACAGTACTAGAGAAAAAGAACTTTGCTTACAGGAGTGAATCCTGTCCAGTCCTTCGTAATCTGGGGACCTGAATCCTGGGGCTTCAGGCTGCTTTCTATGCTCAGAACTCACCCTGTGATGGGAAATCAAATGGTAAAGACCCTTGTTGGAAATCTTGATGGCCCTTTTATCTAGGAAGATATTGGCTAAGATTAGTAAAATGAATTTATACATGGGGGAAGTATTTTTGGAGGCTTCACTGTGCTGCAGAGTAAGCAACACCAAAACCAACAAATCAGAAACCTCATCTTCAAGAAATGCTAGCTATCTTGCTGGAAGGCTCAGAATTGACTGAAAAATAATTTATTTGCATCAGCCATTCTTCTTGTATAATCTTCATGTAATCTTCATAACTGTAGTTATGGTAGGCATAACTACAGTTGAATTCAGTGGTTTTCAAAACTTTTGTTTCTTTTTAAAGCAGCAGTAAGATTAAGACACTAACAGAAAGTCTCAAGGTATAAATCAGATTTATTTAAAAATCTAACAGAAAATCTCAATATATAAATCAGTTGAAGACTCTTGAAGAAGAGTCATCAAATTGACTCTGGATGAATCCATTGCTTGGAGTTCCCTCATCTAACTCAGTGACTGCTTAGGCTCTTTGCAATACAAGTTAATGACTGCTGATCTTTATTAACTTACTATTTTACCTTTGTCTTGGTTCTCCCCAGCCATATGTGGAAATGGCAATGTATTAAAATTTATCTCAGAATATAATTCTGCACAAATTTATTATAAAGTTATAACAAATTACAAATAAAATCTGTTCAAGTCTCTACCCTTTCCAATAACAAATAAGAGTCTTTCTATGTTTTTCACTGTGGATTACTGTTTTGTCTATTTTCTTTTTTGTGCCTTTAAGAACTTTGTTATAAAAATGAAATTTACCTTAATTTCAAACATTTGATTTTAGAAATAATCCACATAGTGTATTCTTCTTGCACAATTCACAAATATTCCTGTAGAAGACAAAAGCATAAGGAGAGGTAGTAGGGAAGACAGGGAGAGGGAAAGTTAGTTCTCACTAACAGGAAGCATCTTAGTGATTCAATTGCAAAGATTTCTAGAGAAACCAGGGATAGAGAAGCAACCCCCAACTGCGAACAGTCATGGGAAATGGGAAGATAGAAGGACATGCATAATTTAGCCTGGCTGACAAATTAGCATTTATCCAGTCTATGAATACACTGCTTTGGCCTGACCACAATTAAAGTGTCAGCTTAGCTTTTAATTCAAGGGGCATTATAAAGATCAGAAGAAAAAAATAACAGTTTCTAAAGTCTTTTATTCAGAGTACTGAAAACATCTTGAATTAAATTGAAAGAACAGCTCATTTACTTTCAACTACTCTTGCCACTTGTTTCCATAGACCAAGAGAAATGCAACATGGAAACTGCCTGGGACATTTTTTGGGACTCCAAGAATTATTAGTACCTGCTGATGATGATCATTAAGTGGTCTAAATTTTTGAAACATTAATTAGGGCTCCAATTGTAGTTTAGCCTGATCAATGTTAAATATAATTGAACTTAGTTTTTTTTATAAAAATCTTTGAATATAAGAAATACTGCCTTAAATATAATAATTCAAGAGCTCTTAATATAAACAACCTTTTTAAAACTAGAAAGCTGGTTCAGCAGAGGTTTAAAAATGCAAGAGGGTACATCTGGAGATGAAGTTATATGTTAATTTGCTCCCTGATCTCAAGTTGCTTTCTCAAGAATGCGAGGATTTAATTCATTGTAGATTATTTGGACTTCTTTCCAGGTTTTGTTTTCTCAACCTGGGAGATCATTCCTGGAGGGGATGAACAATAGTAGTCAGTTTCAAGAATCGTTATTATTTCAAATAGGAAACTTCTGAGGTTGTATTTTCATCCCAAATATGAGTGTGAATGTGTGTGTGTGTGTGCATGTATTTTTCTCCTAAATCATGTAATAGGATCTCCTGAGGATAGATTTGAAGTTAGCAAAAAGGAAGTTTTATTTATTTACTGAAATTTCTTAAAATCCAGTTCCCATTTTTCCAAGTTTTCAATACATTAAAAGCCTGTTATATATGTGTGTGCATATATGTATATATGTGTGTATAGATATATATGTATATGCTTATTTTTTTATTTTAGCATTAACTGTATGCCATTTGTGTACCTTTCTAAACTTAATTCTATGTGAAGGTCACTAAGAGTATATCAGCTCTTCATGTAGCTGATGGCACGATAAAATGTACCAGATAATGAGCTAAAAATGTATTTGGCTGTTACTGTAAAGGGTCAGAATATACTTGCAGAAGGGTCACTAAATAGAATTAATTCTAATAAAATAAGAATCTTATGGTGCTAAAAACAGCCAAATGAAAACTGAATATCAAGTCAATCACCAAAGTATTCTTACAGTGTTTCTCCACCACGATATTTATCCAATGTGTCAGCAGACACTGATAGTTCACAGCATACATGTCAAAAGTGAATAATAATAATAATGACCATCTAGATGATTGTTATATGCTTTAGAAGAAAAAAACACACATTTCATCATAAGAATCAAATGAACAAGTATGTTAATAACAAAAGAGCAGTATTTAAAGGGGAGATGAAAAAAGACTACACCCTGGATCATGGGTTTTCTCTTTCTTTCTTTCTTTCTTTCAACAGCTTAATTTAATTTCAGTGAGAAAATGGTGATTTGGGCCTCCTTCCAAGACATTCCTTATTTATTCCTCCCTGATGTCCAAGAATCCTACGATCCTAGACAAAAGAGTTGGAAGGAGGGGTTGATATGTTGGTGATAAGGGAAACCATTTTAATTTTAATTTCTCACTTTTAACACCTTCCCCTCCAAAAAAATAATAACGTAGTAAGTAAGTATAGATAAAATGCTACGTCATGGTGTTATGCTTGGCATAATTAGTGAGCAAAAGAAAGACACCATCTCTGTTACGAGAAGCTTGTACTCTAGGGTTAGCAGAGGCTGTGAAAAAAACACTGAGCCTCTTTGCCCTGGGAAGCCATGTAGGCCTTGGAGAAGATGAGACTTAGGGCCATTAACTTCAGCTGTAAGCAGTCTTATTTTGAGTTCCCTGGAGATCACCCTAAGCCTAATGGTACTTCCTGTGGTCCTCATGAGCTGTTGAATGGTGTTAAGGAAGTTCTCTACCAGACACCCACTTCTGAAGCCAGAAAGCGTTAGTGGGACACTGATAAAACAGTTTTTCAAAGATGCCTCTTATCAGGCTGAGGAAGTTTCCATCTTTTCCTAGCTTTTTGAGAGTTTTTATTTTAATCATGAATGAACATTAAATTTTGTCAAATATTTTCTTTACATCGATGCAGATGACCACACAGGTTTTCTTACTTACTTTGTTAATATGGGGAGCTACATGCATTGATTTTCAGACTGAATTTTCATTTCCTGGATAAAACTCAATTATGATGTATTTTTTAACATGTTGTTGAACCGTATTACTAAAATTTACTTAAAAATATTTGCTTCTATGTTCATGAGGGATATTGGTCAGTAGCTTTTTTTTCTTGTGATATCTTCATCTGGTTTTGGTGTTACGGAAAGGTAGTCCTTTAAAAATGAGTTGGAAAGTATTCATTCCTCTTCCATTTTCTGCAAGAGTTAAAGTACAATTGAAAATATTTGGTAGAATTCAGCAGTGAAGACATTTGTGCCTGAAATTTTCTTTCTGAGAAGATTTTAAAATTCAATTAGAGATACCCAGGTTTTTTCTTGAGTGAGCTTTGTTGAGTTTGGTAGTTTGTATCTTTAAGGCATGTAAACATTTTATCTTGTTATGTTTATTAGCATAAATTTGTTCATATATAAATCTTTTTCTTATCTTTTCAATGTTTGTTGAATCTAATATCACCAGTTTTTTCTGATATTGGTCATTTACGTCTATTCTTTAATTTTCCTAATGAGTTTGGCTAGAAGTTTATTAATTTAGTTGACTTTCTTAAGGATCAAAATTTCAATTGTACTGACTTTCTTCATTGGTTTTCTTTTTATCTGCTTTTATCTTTATTACTATATATAATCACAGGCATATACCTCATTTTATTGAGTTCCACTTTATTGAACTTTGCAGATTTTTTTTTTTACAAATAAAAGATTTGTGGCAATACTTTGTGTTTCATAAGGTACCACTTTTCCAACAGCACATGCTCACTTCATGTCTCTCTGTCACATTTTGGTGATTCTCACAATATTTCAAACATTGTCATTACCATTATATCTGTTATGGTAATCTGTGATCAGTAATCCCTGATGTTACCATTGTCATTGTTTTGGGGCATCTCAAACTGTGCCCATATAAGACATCAATCTTAATCAATAAATGTGTGTATTCTGACACACTGGCTCCACTGACTGGCCATTCCTTGTCTCTCTCCCTCTCCTTGGGGCCCTCTATTCCTCAAGACACAATATTGAAATTAGGCCAACTAATAACCTTACAGTGGCCTGTAAGTGTTCAAGTGAATAGAAGAATTCCATATATGTCATTTTAAATCCAAAGCTAGAAGTGATTAAGCTTATTGAGGAAAACATGTTGAAAGCCAAGATAGGCTAAAACCTATACCTCTTGTGCCAGACAATTAGCCAAGTTATAAATGCAAAGGAAAAGTTCTGAAAGGACATTAAAAATCTACTCCAGTGAACACATGAATAATAAAAAAGCAAAGCAGCCTTATTGCTGACATGGAGAAATTTTTAGTGGCCTGAAGTGAAAATCAAACAGCCACAACATCCCCTTAAGCCAAAGCCTAATCCAGAGCAAGACCCTAACTGTCTTCAATTCTATGAAGGCTGAGACAGGTGAAAAAGCTGTAGAAGAAAAGTCTGATGATAGCAGAGGTTGGTTTGTGAAGTTTAAGGAAAAACAGCCATATCTATAACATTAAAATATAATGTGAAGCAGCAAGTGCTAATGTAGAAGCTGCTGCAAGTTATCTAGAACATCTAGCTAAGATCATTGATGAAGGTGGCTACACTAAACAATAGATTTTCAACCTAAATAAAACATCCTTATATTGGAAGATCACATCTAGGACTTTTACATCTTAAGAGACGAAATCAATGTCTGGCTTCAAAGCTACAAAGGACAGGCTGATTCTCTTGTTAGGGGCTAATGTAGCTGATGACTTGACATTAAAGCCAATGCTCATTTATAATTAGGAAAATCCTAGGGCCCTTAATAATTATGCTGAATCTACTCTGTCTGTGGTCTATAAATGAGACAAAAAAAAAAGTCTGGATGATAGTATATGTGTTTACAGCATGGTTTACTGAATATTGTAAGGCCACTGTTGAGAACTACTGCTCAGAGAAAAAGATTTCTTTCAAAATATTATGTCTCATTGACAAAGCACGTGGTTACCTAAGAGCTCTGATGGAGCTGTACAAGGAAATTAATGTTGTTTTTATGCCTGCTTACAGAACATTCATTAAGCAACTCATAGATCAAGGCGTAATTTTAACTTTCAAGCCTTATTCTCTAAGAAATAAATTTCAGACCAAGCATAGCGGGGCTCACACTTGTAATCCCAGCACTTTAGTAATCCCAGCACTTTAGGAGGCTGAGGCAGGAAGACCTCTTGAGCCCAGGAGTTCCAAGACCAGTCTGGGCAATATAGGGAGACCCCATCTCTACAAAAAATAAAATCAAGTTAGCTGGGTGATATAGTTTGGATGCTTGTTCCCTTCCAATTTTTTTTTCTTTTTTTTTGAGATGGAGTATCACTCTGTCACCAGGCTGGAGTGCAGTGGCGCAATCTCGGCTCACTGCGACATCCGCCTCCTGGGTTCAAGTGATTCTCCTGCCTAAGCCTCCTGAGTAGCTGGGATTACAGGCGTGTGCCACCACTTCCAGCTAATTTTTTGATTTTTTTTTTTTTTTTTTTTTTTTTTTAGTAGAGACGGGGTTTCACCATGTTGGCCAGGATAGTCTCGATCTCTTGAACTCTTGATCCACCTGCCTCAGCCTCCCAAAGTGCTGGGATTACAGGCATGAGCCACCATGCCTGGCCCTTTCAAATCTTATGTAGGCCTAATAGGCCCCACCTCCAACATTGGAGATTACATTTCCACATAAGATTTGAAGGGAACAAACATCCAAAGATATTGGAGGTATTGGATCATGGGGGCAGGGATCCCACACAAATGCCTTGTCGCCATCCACTTAATGATGAGTGTGTTCTCACTCTGAGTTGATGCAAGATCTGGTTATTTAAAAGTGTGCAAGACTTCCCTCTTCTCTCTCTTGATCCCTCTCTTGTCATGTGACATGCCTGCTTCTGCTTCACCTTCTGCCATGGAATTAAAGCTCCTTGAGGTCTCACCAGAAGCAGATGCCAGCACCATGCTTCCTGTATAATCTGCAGAAGTGTGAGCCAAAATATACCCCTTTTCTTTATAGATTACCCAACCTCAGGTGTTTCTTTATAGCAATCCAAGAACAGACTAACATACAAGGTATGGTGGCATGTGGCTGTAGTCCTAGCACAGAGGAGGCTGAGGCAGGAGGATTGCTTGAGCCCAGGAGTTTGAGGCTTAATGCACTCCAGCCTGGGCAACAAAGTGAGACCCTGTCAAAACAAAAAAAAAGAAAGAAAGAAAGAAAAGAAACTCAGAAGGCTATGGCTGTCATAGATAGTGATTCTTCTGAAAGATGTGGGCAAAGTAAACTAAAAACCTGGTAAAGAGTCACAATCCTAGATGTCATTAAGAACATTCATAATTCATGGCAGGAGGTCAAAATATCAACATTAACAGGAGTTTGGAAGAAGTTTATTTCAACCCTTATAGATGACTTTGAGGAGTTCAAAACTTTAGTGGAGGAAGTAACTACAGGCCTGGTGGAAATAGCAAGAGAATTAGAAGAGGAATCTGAAGATGCAACTGGAGTGTTTCAATCTCATGATCAAACTTGAACAGATGAGGAGTTGATTCTTATAGATGAGAAAGAATGGTTTCTTGAGATGGAATCTGATCCTGGAGAAGATGCTCTGAACCTTGTTGAAATGACAATGAATGATTTAGAACATTTCATAAACTTATTTGATAAATCAGCAGAAGGGTTTGAGAGTATTAACTCCAATTTTGAAAAAAGTTCTATTGTGGGTCAAACGTTATCAAATAGCATTGCATGGTACAGAAATTTTTTATGACAGGAAAAGTTGATTGATGCAGCAAACTTCACTGGTCTTTTATTTTAAAAAGTTGCCATAGCCACTCTAACCTTCAGCAACCACTACCCTGATTAGTCAGTAGCTATTAACATCAAGGCAAGAATGTCCACCATCAAAAACCTTGGGATTGCCTGAAGTCTCAGATGATTGGTAGCATTTTTTAGAAAAAAAAAAAAAATTTAACTAAGGTATGCACATTTGTTTAGATATAATGTTTTGTATACTTAATAGACTAAACTATTGTGTAAATGTAATGCTTATGTGCACTGGGAAACCAAAAAGTTCATGTGACTTGCTTTATGGCAATATTCACTTTATTGCAGTGGTCTGGAATGAAACCTGCAATAGCTTCAAGGTATCTCTGTATATTTTATCTTTATTATATTTATTAATTACTATTACATATTTATAATTATTACTTATCATTCTTCTGCTTTTGTTGGATATAATTTACTCTTCTTTTTTAGTTTAGGTTAAAGCTAAGATCATTGGTTTGAGATCTTTCACCTTTTCTGAGTGTTTAATGCTATAAAGTTTTCTAAGCACTGCTTAAGTTATATCCTACAAATGTTGATATACAGTGTTTTCACTTTTGTTTAATTCAAAATAACTTTTCATTTCCTTTGTGTGTGTGTGTGTGTGTGCTTTTTTTTGGCCCCTGTGTTACTTAGAAGTAGGTTATTAAGTTTTCAAATATTTATGGATTTTCTAGAAATCACTTTGTTGTTGATTACTAATTCAATTTTTTCAGAAAACATACTTGAATTATTTTAAATTTATTGATACCTGTATTTTATGGCCCATAAAATTATGTCTTCAAAAATTTCTGTTTTCACTTGAAAAGATATTATTCTGCTGTTTTATGGTGGGGTGTCCTATAAATGTCATGTTGTTAACCTTGTTCAAATCTCCTGTATTCTTATTGATTTTCTGTCTACTTGTTCTATCAATTATTGAGAGAGGAGTGTTGAAATATCTGACTATAACTGTGAATTTATCTATTCTTATCTTTTATTTCTATCAGGTTTTGCTTCATAAATCTTAAAGCTCTAGTATTATGTGTATACACATTTAGATTTGCAATGACTTTTTATGAATTAATGACTTTGTCATAAAAGACCCTCTTTATCCCATAAAACGTTCCTTGTTCTAAAGTCTACATTTTCTTATATGAATATAGACATTCCATCTTTCTGTTGATTAATGTAAGCATGAAATATTTTTCACAAACTTTCGCATTTAGCATATTTGTATCTTTTATTTAAAATAAAGGAAGCAAAAACTATGCCTTATATAAGGAAGTATACCTTCAAGTAAGTTCATTCTACTTCACATACTGTGTAAGGTCTTTTATAACAGAATTCTTCCACTTCCTCTCCCTCTGCTTTTGTTCCTTTGTTTTCATATACTTTACTTCTACATGCATTATTAACTCTATTTAGTAGTGAAGATATCTGGGCTTGGCAATTTTCTTTGTGAGATTTTTAACTACAAATCCAATTAGCATTAAGAAAATGAAAAGGAAAGGCACAGAAGAAAATATTGACAAAATACAGACCCAGCAAATGATTTGTATCTGGATTACATGGAAAACTCAAAACTCAATAATTAGTAGATGAAGAGTCCAATAAAAATGTGTTCAATATTTGAACAGATACTTCAGCAAAGTTATGTGAATATCAAATAAGAACAGAAAGATTCTGAATATCATTAATCATTAAAATAATGCAAATTAAAACCACAATGGTAAAACACCATATACCTATTAGAATTGATAAAATTAAAAAGAATTACCATACCAAATATTAACTAGGATGTGGAGGAACTTGAACTTTTATATACTGCAGGTGGAAATGTTAAATAGTATAGCCTTTGAAAAACATTTGGCAGCTTAAGCATATACCTATAATGTGATCTAGCCATCTACCCAACACAAATAAAAGCATGTATTTACACAAAGATATGTAAATGAATGTTTATAACAATTTTATATGTGGTATGCAAAAACCTAGAAATAATCTATATGTACATTGACAGGTGAATGTATAAAGAAAATATACTCCTGCTATAGAATGCTACTCAGCAATAAAAGTAATAAATGATTAACAGATTAAACAAGAAGAATCAATCTCTAATTATGCTGAGTGAGAGAAAACTGTATGATTTTATTTTAGACAATGAAACCTAATCTGTAGAAACAGAAAGTAAATTAGTGGTTGCCTGAAGACATGGAGGAAAGAGAGATGGGTCATAAAGATGTATAAATAGGACTTACGGTCATTGATATGTCCATTTTCTTAATAGTAGTGATAGTTTTATTGGTGTATACATATATAAAAACCTTATCAGGTTGTATACTTCATAGATATGTGGTTTATTGTACTTTAGTTGTATCTCAATGAAGCTGGAAATAAAGTATTTTAAATTTTTTAAAGGTACTATTGAATTTGAAATCCATTTGTGTTTTGAAAAATTTCAACATTACTTTTATCAATAAAAAATGGAGAGTTTTATATTCTTTAAGTGTAATCCCAATTGTAAAATGTTTAATGCTTTAATAAATGATTTTACATTATTTATCACCTCCTGGCCTGAACCGTATGGCTTATCAATCACGGTCTTTTACAATTTTAAGAAAGCAAAATGAAAGTCCTGATTAGGAATTGTATGTAGTCACTTCAGATATAACATCCATTATTTAAAAAGAGAAAGCTGTGATCATGAATGAAAACTGACGGAAAGCTTTAATTTAAAAAATTGCATATAAATTTAGTGTGTAATACCTTCCTAATTATGTGTATGTTACTTTATTAAAATTATTTAATATAAATAAACCATGGCTTTTTTTTTTTTTTTTTACCAAGCCCCAGGTAACCTCTATCCAGCTTACTGTACAAAAATTGTCATTGCACTCTGATACAGTTTGGCTATGTCCCACCCAAATCTCATCTTGAATTGTAGCTCCCATAATCCCCACATGTCATGGGAGAGACCACATGGGAGTTAATTTAATCATGGGGGCGGGTTTTCCTCATGCTATTCTAATGATAGTGAATACAGCTCATGAGATCTGATGGTTTTATAAAGGGTAGTTCCCCTGCACACACTCTCTTGCCTGCCACCATGTAAGACGTGCCTTTGCTCCTCCTTTGCCTTCTGTCATGATTGTGAGGCCTCCCCAGCCATGTGGAACTGTGAGTCCATTAAACCTCTTTTTCTTCATACATTACCCAGTCTCAGTTATTTCTTCATAGCAGTATAAAAATGGACTAATATGAAATGAGCTAATTGTTTTTGGAAAGGTTAATCTTAATGAACTAACAGTGATTTAATAGTTGCAAATGCTAACTTTAAAAAAATAAAATACTGAAATTAGAGGTGTATTGAGTGATACATTTCCATTCCCATTATTAATTTAAAATATCCACAGAAAATGTAACTTAGATTTTGAACTCTGTATTGCATACTTAATTATCAAGAGTTTAAAACTGGGGTAAAATAAAGTGGAACAAAGAAACGTAAAAGAAGGAAAGCACAGGAATAGCTGAGCAACCAGCTCAAGAAGCCACAGCTACTCTGACTCATTCATATACTGGCTCAATATTGAACACATGAGTGTGTACAGAAGATTTTAAAATGTCCCACTGATATTTTCACATATACTTCAAACAGTAATTCACATATAAATTGCCATATATTGTTCATATATTTTAGTCATTAAATCTATTTTACATCTTATCTAAGTCATAATGATTATAGTGAATGTAGGCACAGATGCACATATATTTAGTCATATATACAAGACCGTTTCTCCTTTACAATGGAATTTTAAAATGTTTCAATTCGATAATGATACTATATCCCAAGCACTAAACACCAAGGAGACAAATATGGTATGACATAACTGACCCATAGGCCATCATCAGTTCATTAAAAGACACAATATGTAGGGCCTAAGCTAAGACAGGGAGGGTAAGGGTAGAAAAGAGCAGAGAGAAAGAAGCAAGACTTAAGCGTAGAATTAATAGATCTTGACAACCAAAAGGATGTTCATGGGGGTTATGAGATTGAGGAAGAGAAAGAGAAGATTCAATAACTGTTTGCATCAATTAAAAATAGTGTTTTTTCATAAAGATAGAGATTAAGAGGAAAAAAACAATTTGTGAGAACATATTTAGTTTGGTTATGGGCATGTGAAGTTCTTGGTGTAAGCATTTAATTCCAATCTGTATCTTACGAGGAGAGAGGCCAAGCAGGAAGTATGTTGATTTGGAATTTATTTATATATGTGTTAAATGTGGAAAGTAAAAAGTGAATGGTGTTGCTCATAGTATGAAATTCAGAAGAAAAAAGAAGCAAAGACTGAATTTCTAGAGAAAATCAGTTTTTTGAAAATAGAGAAATAAATGAAAGTCTGATAGAGAACAACCAGAGAAGGCAGAATCAGAGGGAGATAAAGTCCTGAAACATGAGTATGGTTGTTTCAAGTAGAAAGAGTAGGCTTAATTACCAAAAATGTCCAAGACAAGAGAAGAGGCTCCTGAATTAAACTAGTAAGAGGTGACTTATTAAACCTGCATAAGCCATAATTCAAGATAGATAGGATTTGGAGGCAGATCACCACTGGCTATAAAATCAAACTAGAAAGCCTTTGCCAGGATCTGTAGTAGACTTAAAAATTGTTTAATTTGCATCTTACCTCCCTTCTGAGTTTTGGGGGAGTCTCCATTATGTGTAGTGTTGGCAAGAGAAATTGCCCCACTTTTGTTACAGAGGCAACCAGAGTACAGGACATGTGATGAAGTCTTAGCTAATCATATACTCCCACCTAAGACTTTATATCTGGAGAGAATAAGCCAAAGACAAAGTGAAAGTTGTAATTCATTTGTAATAGTCCCACAACAGTGGAGACATCATCCTAGCTAGCCATGTTTCTCCTGGTGAAGATGGTTGCTGTATTTCTTATATCTCAATCTGAAACTGTCTTCTTAACGTATGCCTATTTTCAAACCTGTAGTCCAAGGTGCTGTTACGTCTACAAGCCCTGGAGAGTCTTTTAATAAGTCTAATTAGTTTTCATGTGCTAGGTGCAGTTAGAGTTTGCTGTATACAAACAGTAACCCTCACTAAAACAGCCTCAAAAAGTTTACACGAGAATATTTAGCTGTGTCTTTTCAAAATAAGTTTTTATTCTAGTTCCATATATTTGGTTTGCCTTTTAAACATCATGCTAGTCTTAGTCTTCTGAGATCCTCTCTATGTCTATAAAAAGTGCTTAGGGTATTCACAGAACTGAGCAGTGCTTTAGGATATTTCCCTTTACTTTCAGCTAAGATATATATTATATATATGATATAATATATATATATCTTATATAGATAGACATCGATAGGAGTAGTGTGTGTGGGTATGTGTGCGTGTGTGTGTATCTTTTAGTGGTTATTGTGGTGAAGTATTCCTTGATTCAATGTATATATTAAATTGAATGTTATTGTCCCCTACTATTATTTATTCTCCCCTTCCTCTTTTTATTAACAGAACTTCCCACATACACCCCTTTTGGCTGAGCTGTATGGCCATAAGCGTAGAGACTTGCAGCTGTATGTGGCCGTGAATGAGAGGTATGATCCACAGTCATGTGCACAGCTTCCATTTCAAATCTTTTAAAAAGGTGCTTGACTTCCATGTTCTCTTCCCACCTCCCTTGTGCTGGTGAGATATCTTTCATCCTGTAAAGAAATTTACTGGAATAAATTCTCTAGACCCAGAGATGGAAGCTTCACAGCATTTGTGGCAGTAGCGGCAGAAATGCATCACACATTTGAGTCCCTAGATGGCCTTGTGGAGAAACGTCTACCTGCCACCCTGGACTATTAGGTAAGAGAGAAAACCATTCTATTTTATTTATAAATTTTGTGGAGTGTCTTCTGAAAAACAGTTTAGAAAAGACCCTAAATAATACCTCCTATAAAGCAAAATTTTCCACCAAACCTAGTATATTCATATAGAGTCATGTATTGTTTCATGATGGGGATACATTCTGAGAAATGCATTGTTAGGTAATTCATTGGCCTGTGACCACCATAGAGCATACTTACACAAACCTAGATGGTATAGCCTACTATACACCTAGATTATATGGTATAGCCAATTGCTCCTAGGCTACAAATCTGCACAGCATGTTACTGTACTACATATGCAGGCAATTGTAACACAATAGTATTTATTTGTGAAATTTCTTTAGATATGTATATATTTTATACATATCTAAACATAGCACAGGTACAATAAAAATATGGTATTATGGCATTATAATTTTATGGGACCACTGTCATATTTGTGATCTGTCATTGACCAAAATGTTATTATACGGCACATGACTGTAATCTGGCACAGAGTATTACATAGATGTTTTGTCAAATATATCTATTTCTAGCTGAAAGATAAGCGGTGGGTCCTGCTATCAACTTGTAGTAAATACCTTCCTTGTTATGATAAGGCATCACACCCTGTTGCAGTCAAATTCTTAACCACTGCAGTTCCATCACAGACATGAAAAAGATGCAGGCAAGATATGGAGTGTCTTCATGGGGGAGATTCAGAAGCCATGGATGGTGTAGAAAGGTAGGTGAATTCAGCTGCATTTAGCATCCAAGGCTGCCAAAACTGCCCATGGCCTAAATGAGCTGTTTGGGCAGTTGTCTACAGGAAGGGTTGAAAGGTATGCTGATGACCATTGCAGTGTACATCAAAAGTGACAAGATTAAACAAGGGGCATCCAAGGTAATGAAGAGTGTTCAGAGATTATAGGCATCTATTGATTATTGCTTTCCTTACTCTTAAACCCATCTCCACCATCTTTTTTTTTTTTTTTTTTTTTTGAGATGGAGTCTCACTCTGTTGCCCAGGCTGGGGTGCGATGGCACAATCTCGGCTCACTGCAACCTCTGCCTCCTGGGTTCAAGCGATTCCCCTGCCTCAGCCTCCTGAGTAGCTGGGACTAAAGGCACGGGCCACCATGCCTGGCTAATTTTTGAACTTTTTGGGTTTCGCCATGTTGGCAAGGCTGGTCTGGAACTCCTGACGTCAAGTGATCCAGCCTCCTTGGCCTCCCAAAGTGCTAGGATTACAGGTGTGAGCCACAGTGCCTGGCCCATCTTCACCACCTTAATTTGCAATAATCTCTTGTTTCATCTAATGGTTGTTAATCTAATATAATGCCCATACCTTTCTATTCTATCCTCATTGCTCTGTTTGTCCTCAGGAGCATAGCAAACTAGGAATGGATAGGAGCACAGCAGATGTTAGAATCCATACCTGTGTAATCTCTGGGGCTGGTCCAGGGTGGGAACTGACCAGAACTAACCAGATGTCCAAGGGCCAGAGATCAGAATCACATCCAAGAGCAAGGAAGCAAACAAAACCATGACTTGTGCAGGTCGTGGAGGTGCAAACGCTTGGAGAAAAGTCTGGAAGAACACAAACTCTGGGCTAAGGCCAGGCCTAACAGGCTAAGTAGTGCAATGAAAATAATCACACAAATTGACTAGATAATACAACTGAAACAAGCAACTGTAGAAATTCGCAGTAGGAAGGAAATTTAGATGTCATTTAATTTATTATTTCTTATTTATTTATAACTGGAAGAAATATTCTTCAAACAAAACCTTATGAGGAACAGAACCATAGCTCCTGAAACTGTGTGAAAGCAAGAGAAAGAGAGTCTTTTGTCAATAGTCTGTCCACACATATCCAGACCCAACCCAAAGTTACAACCTGACCTCCACGATCACTTTCCCTCACAGGGACCGCACTATGGTAAGTAAATAATGGTAAAGCAGTTCTGGTTAAAGAATGGGTGGAAAGTCTCAAAGCAGTATAATTTCTATGGAGTCTCAGGAGTTTTTATATTGAAATGTGGAATTATTGATTTTATAAAACTTTCTTATTTTACAGAGGAACACGCCAAAGTTGAGAAAGGGTAAGATTCTTGCCCAACCTCAAGACCAGTGCTATTCTCTTCACGCCAAGGCAGGAAGATCACTGAAGCCCAGAAGTTCGAGGCTAAAATGAGCTATGATTGTGCCAACGCACTTCATCCTAGGCAACATAGCAAAACCCTATCTCTAAAATATAAACAAGTAAAATAAATTTAAAAATAATTGTGGCGTGTGGCAATTATTGATAATGCCTCATAGCCCCAAATTCATCCCTGGTTGCCTTCCCTGTGAAAATAAATCTAGGCCCTTCACCTTTATTTTTTTCTTTTTTGGCTATCATGATGCTAAACTTATCAGTAGAGGGCAATACAAAGACATTTCAAGAAGGCAGAGGCTTCCCTCCTGGTAGTGCACTTTTTCCCCACTGTCTATTCCACGTGGTTTTCACCATTGTCAAGGGCTTAGAGGGTACAGCTTTCACAGTGTGTTTTCTACAGTTCTTGACTCAGGAAACAATGGCATAGTGGAAGCCCCAGAAAAATCTGACCTGTGCGCTAGCCCTGTTAACTGCTGCCCACAACCCTGAGTGATATGAATGTAAGGGGTACTGTGGAGCTGATAATCAGCAAGCTTGTGGCATGACCTCCATCCTGTGTAGCCCAGAGCCACCCTACCCAAGCCACAAATAGAAAAGCTCTGGGTTTTGATGCTGACTCTCTATGGTCCCACTTCTTAGCCTAAGATCACCTGTGCCCTAGAGAGTTGTACCTACTTCGCCTGGTGACTGTGGACCAGCTCTGCAGGAAGCAATTTACCAAATGTCTCTGCGATCCAGTGGTCAGCAATTACACCTTCTTCAGTGTGGTCATAGCCTCTTTCCAAATTTGTCCTTCCTTAACTACTCTCCCTGTTTTCATGTTTATAGTTGTTCTCTTATCATTGTTTAATAATTTTTATGTTAAATTTCCCATGTTTAAATTACTAAGTCGATATTGTCTCTTGATTGTACCCAGGCCAATAAATGGTACTATAAATATTGTGTTTATATTTCAATATACATTGTTTTAAGGTGACTCCCATGGAGTTTATAAGCAAGATAATGCTTGAGCAAAATCTAGTACATTGCAATAACCTAGGTGACCACATCATTTCTCGTGCAATAATCATTTTTATGTCTCATAAGATATATGAATATATTATAAATTAGAAACAGGAATAATTAAACAGAAAACAATAGCATATGACATGGCAAAGGCAATAAAATAAATATATAGGCAATATAGGAGCAACTATGAAAGACTAGGACTTGCAATATCATATAAAGGAATTTAAGAACCGAAATTGAGTAGTCATTCTTGTTAACAGTGTATTCATTTTGTTTTCATAATCTTATTATCATGCTGTAACTGTGCTATAAAAGAGATATTGACAAAGACATGCTTCAGTTAAGGCAGTTTACATATGAGCAAAAAATTTTGGAAACATTGGAATTGTTAGTATAAGTATAGTGAATCCAATCCAGATCACATAATCGTATCTCTAGATAATCTGTATATTCCTAGGCACATTTTGAAAAAAAAAACAAAAATATTTGATTAAAAGATATCAAGAAAAGGCTGTTTTCAGTTGGAAAACTAAAAAAAAAAGAAAATAGAGAAAATGTCATGGATATCCTAGCACCCACCATCCATTTCCTAGGAATAGTTGTCATAATTAAATGTAAAGAGTATTTTGTCAATTAATAAACATAGGCTGTTATAAGGCACAGTCTTAAAAACTTAGAGATGTGTGATAAGGTTTACAAATGAGTTTACTAATTAAGAATGTTTTTGTGTTATCACGTTTTAAAAATTACCCAAATTGGATTTAAATCTACAAAAGATAAAGTTTTTATTTCACATGTTGGATTTCCTTACCATGTGGTATGTCAGTTCATTTATTTTGTTTATGTGTTTGCTTGATTTAAGGCTGGCATCAAATAACCTTAGATGATGTGGGCCATAAGCTGCAGCTGAGGCAGATACGAGCTGTCCACATTACACTCTATTTGGGTGCTGTTTCTGCATTCTGTGGCCATTAGAGTCCCATCTCTGATCATCCATTTGGGTCTACTGAGTATAGAAACTTGTCTCTAACAATGCCTAGAGAGGCATGCACTGTGAATACTTTATTTTGAATTACAATTGTATTATATTTTTGAATCATTATAGTATGAAAACTCCCTTCCAGTACCATTCAGAAACCAGGTACCAGCCCTCACTTGTTTTCCAAGGGCCTTGGATTGACTTGCAAAATATGAACCTGAAAATATTACAATTACAATTATTTCAAAATATTTAATAGTTCAGACCTTTTAAGTTTCTTTGCCACTGGTCTACATCAGGGGGTTAAATTTTGCAATTATCAGTAGAAATGTTCAATCTCATTTAAAGTATTATATAGAAATGTGATATTTGCAATGTATTAACACTATATTGTTAGCAAAATTTCATACTGCTGATATTGGAAAAATATAATTAACCTGGTTCCAAAATCTAAGCACTTAATGCCTTCAATATAGGTAAAGGAAAAAAATCTTTAATATGGTGGAGAAATTATAGTAATATATATTAATTATTATTAACATTTCAGATTATTTTGTCAAGAAATCATTGCTTGCTCCCCAACCGAGGTATTTAATTCTAAGCAATTTTTTAAAAAATACTAGACTATCCATTTTTTCAATGAATAAGATCAAGGCAAATCCTCATTTGACAAATAAATTATCTCATAATTTAGCATTAAAGAAAAGAAAAAGTGGAAAAAGTTCCAAAACCTTAAAAATGTCCTAAAATTACCAAATTTATTCTTGAAGTTCAGATTTTTTTAAATTCTATGACCAGGATTAAATAGAAGCTCAAAAAATAATGGTTAAAAACTCTGGGCTATTCTTTTGTGCTGCTCTATTTCATTTGTGTTGTTTTAAGTATATGTATATATGAAAAAATAATATACTTACAGTATTTTGGTAGTGGAATAAATGACATCAAATTTTAAACAATTTTTGGCAGGTGGCACTTCGTAATTGAAATTTGATAATTCATAGTCACTTCACCCTACTTGTTAATTAAATCCTAAGACTTGCTGAGCAACAATTACACTTCTACAGCTCTGTTGATATAATGGCAAAACCATATTCTCCTAAAGACACCATTATTATGCCTGTTTACATACAATAGAGGTGGATTCTAAGATCTCAAGCATCCTAGCAGGCATAATGTGATAAACAGAGCTTGAATTTTGAGTCACAATCCTAGATGCGAGCCTCATTTTCTGACCTGGTTCTTGCTTTTTTTCTTATTTCCTCATAAAAATGAGAATAATGATAATCTCTACTTTACACAGTTGAAGAGAGGAGTAAGTTAATAACAGACCTATCAAAATGCCTATAGATGCCCAATGCGCGTGAATTTTTCTATTCCTTGCCCAAGGTCGCACAAATAATAAATGCCAGAGCCATAACTCAAACCCAGATTTCTTGACTCCAAAACCAAGTACCATTTTCCACATGGTTGACTCATTCTCCATTCAAAAATCTAGTTAAACGAAATGCATGCTACACTCAATCAGAGCCTATTATGTCAAGTACAGGGTAATTGTGCTCTGCCGTGTCTTTGCATGATTACAGTTTTTCTGTGCAAGATGCCTATACATGAGAGAAAGCTGCTGTGGTCTGACCTCTCTCATAGGAAGCTGGTTGCATTTTACCAATTTTCCTATTTGTGCCTCTTAGGAGTATATTGGCCTTTATTGACAATGCATACTTTTGTAAGTACCATGCATGCAGTGAACTGTCAAGGCGTTAAATGTCTAGACCTCATTTAAATGCACAAGGGAGAGATGCACAATTTTAACGGTGAAGGATGACGAGCTCCAGGTGAAGTGCTTTTTCTTCAAACAAGTTTCTGTAACCCACAGAGAATTAGATCCCAGTGGAATGGAACAACTTTTAACTATTTTCTCACCAGTATGTGTTATAAGCATGCTCACTGTATGGCAGGCCGTGTACTAGACACTGGTGACAGAATAAGCAGCAATAATACACAGTCCTGTCCTAGCGGATCTAGCAGTGTTACTGGGGGTGGTGGGGCGAACATAAAGCAAATGTTGACTATGATGAGTGCTATCAGGGTGCTGTACAGAGGGGTTATGAGAGTCTACAACAGGATACTTGACCTGTTCAGAGAAACCAGGGAAGGCCTCCTGGAGGGCATAAATCTTGAACCGACATATGAAGATAAGTAAGAATAACCTAAATGAAAAGAGGAAAAAAGTACATTCTCATATGCAGAACAGAATATGCAAAGGAACTGTGGCAGGAGGAACATGGCAAATGTGAGGGACTGAGAGTTGCAGAGTGGCTAAAGTAGAAAGAGGGAAGGGGATACTCATCACCCTCACAAGGTGGAAAATGAAGGTCACAGAAACAAAACGGTCAGTACCAATAGGCTACTTAAGAAGGAGGGAGTATTAACGTGGGTTATAGCTTTGGCTGTAACATAAAGAATGGATTGGAGAGGGACAGATATAGAAGCTTACTAGTGCAGTAGGAGGAGATGGAGGAAAGGAACACACAGAGAAAATTTCAGGTTGGTAATGGATCAGACACAGAGCAGGAAGGGAGAGGAAGTTGTCGAGGATGAGTTCTGGGCTTTGGACTAGTGTGGCTCAGATAAATTCTCAGCAATTGGTCCACCATCAGCCTGACAGCACAGTAGAGGGAATGAGCAGTGTCTGGGTCCATCAGCATCGCACTCCAAGGGGACAAGTCCCTTGGCTGCTGAGCCCAATGTCTGCCCTCCTCAAAGAGACACCTGAGTTTAAACCCACTAAAACATGTCTTGTTTTTCATCATTTAATGCAATGTACAAAGTGTAAATTCTTTAGGGTCTCTGCTGTCCTCTACAACACCTTTGTACGAATTAAGAAAAAGTGCCTCCATGGGTGGATGCAGTTACATGAGTGAGTGGATTTTATCCCTCATCTGTTGGTCATGCATCTGTGTATAATCCACAACTGTTCAACCACAACACCGGTACCCTCTCCGAGCCTTGACCTAGGACCTATATATCCTCCATATTCCACACCCTTTCTACATTTCTCTAGGAACAAGCAAATGCTGCTATGCCCCATAATTTTGGGGATCTTTTCCTCTACCTTATTATTTTTAATCCAAAACTTGACTTACCCTCTGAGGATACCACCTTCCTATAGCCCTCTTCTTCCAAGTTATGCCTGGTTTTCTCATATCCACATATCTGAGGGCCAAGACTCTCATTGCCACTGTCAGGTCAGTATTCCTACATGCTCTTTAAATAAAAAGCCTCCTTGGATGTTTGTGCATTATACTACAGTTGGATAATCACAAGGGCTCTGAAATCTGACTCTCTAGACTCATATCCAAGCTCTCTGCCTCTTATTAGCCCTGAAACCTTCATCAAGTTATTGGACCACCCTATGCCTTCATGTCTTCATTTTATAATGTGAAAAATAATATTACCTAATTCATAGGATTTTTGAGAATATTAATGAAATAATACATGGGAAGCATTTAAAGTTGTGTTTCACATATTATGTTATACCCAACATGTTAGATATTATTATTAGTATTAATTAGCTATAAAATTGTTTTCCCTTACTTATTTACCAACAAACAGGAAATTCGCTGATTCATGGGATACACTGTCATCTGAACCACAGTCTTTCATCATGCTAGCTGACATCAGTACCCATATGACCAACCAGTCCAGAATCAAACTCACACTCTGCTCCCATAGTGATATCTTTGACCATGTCATTAATATAAAATTCATTTTCCAAAATCACTAATTCAAACCTCCAATTCTCTGACTGTAGCCTCCATCCAACTTTTTGCTCAATTTTTCTTGCTCTGTTTTCTGACCACAGAAGGAAACCCTAGCCAGTGACTCCTAAACTGTTTCCTAAGCAAACAGCTCTCCCCTCTCTTCACTTCCATATCATATTAGGCTGAGATTTTAGACTTTGCTATTCCACAAACCTTCTTGCTTTTATGCTAAGTTCCCTTGACCATCTTTCTTTTTGGCACAGGGCTCAGAAAAAAAAGTGGTCTTATATCAACGCAATAATATCCTTTTTCTGTGCTAGGCAAAACCACAGGAACCAGTAAAAATGATTCTGCTAAAATTCATGAACAACAAAATCAAACAGATCAGCAATGAACCCAGTTTTTCACATTATTCCAAACTAGTTCTGACTGATTCCTTTCACTCAGACTTACTTTCAGTAATCTGCAGTCTGTTAGATTTGTTGTACAAGAAAATGAGGGAGTTTTTATCATCAGGCTTATATTCTCAGACCTACATTTCACTGATATTCTAAGTGGACAGATACATTCGTACAAGAGCTTATAAGCTAAAAATATCTCCAGACATGTTAGTAATGCCATTTTTATCATGACTACTTTTCCTGGTTTGCAGATTGAATGGATGTTAGGGCTGAGGCAGAGAATCCTGAACAAGACTGAGTTTAGGAGTGGAGGCAGGAAGCCATAATCCCTGAATAAACTCTACAACCATATTACAGTTCTACTCTTACTATTTAGTAATTTTCATCTCTAGAATTCATTTAGCTAGCTAACAAAATACCAACGACTATTTTGACAGATGCATCTACAATAGTTGTGGCACAATCCTTGATTAGATTTAGCAAGTGATTATGTCACTCAAAGCAAAAGTATCTTTGACCACAACTTGGATTTCAAATTAACAAATTTCATTTTTGCTAAATATCAGTGTGATGATTGGTCAATGTTCTAACCTGTGTTGACAATAAAGGGCAGTGTTATCTTCTCCTAATGTAAGTGGAAGCATAGTACTCATGATGTACACATCCATGACACTTCAATACTGTTTCTTTTCAAAGATACTCAAAGTGCTTGACCTACTTATCATCCTAAGAGCAAGAATTGAGAGAGACCAAGTGTTATTGGTCATATTTAAAATGTAAAGAAATTTAAGCAAAAAAACTTACTTGATTTATCTAAAGATGCGTAAAAAGCAAATGGTAGAACTCAGATGAAAGCTGATTCTCAGATTCCCAGCCTTTTCTATTGAATTTTTTTTTTTTACCAAAGATGATATTTCCTTCCACTGTAATTGTCATTTAAGATGATTACTTAGGCTTCACCTATTTTTAAAAATTCATCTTTTATTAAATGCCAGTGGGCCAGGCATGGTGGCTCACGCTTGTAATCCCAGCACTTTGGGAGGCCGAGGTGGGTGGATCACAAGGTCAAGAGATTGAGACCATCCTGGCCAACATGGTGAAACCCCATCACTACTAAAAAGACAAAAATTAGCTTGGCGTGGTGGTGTGAGCCTGTAGTCCCAGCTACTTGGGAGGCTGAGGCAGGAGAATTGCTTGAACTCGGGAGGTGGAAGCTGAAGTGAGCTGAGATCACATCACTGCACTCCAGCCTGGGTGACAGAGCGAGACTCTGTCAAAAAAAAAAAAAAATGCTAGTGGAGGAGATATTCTATTCTTGATTAAGAAGTAACTGATACTTTGCCCTTGACCTCTCACTCCCCTACATAAGAGAAATTCCTGGCTTTAGGCAATAAAATACAATCATTTATTGATCACATCTCATGATAAGGTCAGTCCGCTCTTCTTGTTTCCAACGCATTGTCTTTAAATATTTACAAAAATACCGATCAGACACTTCTACCACTGAACACAAGTATAAAACATGGCGTCTTTATACGGGAGGTTTGAGAGTCAAGCAGTCTCTTACCCAACCATTGCAGTTCCCTGCAAATAACAAAAAAGCTGCTTAATGGCAATTCCAACACATTGTGGTTTATTCCTTTCATATAAGTTCTCCAGAGATAGAAAGCACATGGGCTACTTCCTGTTTTTTTGCTGTATCATTTTAAAAATGGCTGCTTCCAGGTATTATTTGTTCACTCTATACAAAAAGAAAAGAGTAGGGAAAGAACCCAACAGCAGACTCAGGGCAAAACAGTGTCACCTGGAAACTCCTAGCTGCAAATTGCCTGAGAATGTAATGCTTGTCTTTTATTTTAGAGGCAAAGGAAAAGTGAGGTGAAAGGTATATTAAAGGAGCAAACCCACTGTTTCTGCTCCACAATCTGTCTTCCACCTCCACTCAACTCTATCTTGCCTAATCAAATCAGCCACTGATTCAGAGGGGAAATAGAGAGAGATGCTTTGGGAAGTACAGACTAGAAAAATTTTCCAAATTAGTTCTTTTTAAGTGCAACCTATACAAGCTCTCTCTGGCTCCCAGAGTCATAATTTGAATATTTTCATAAAAATAGGCATCTGCAAAAGTTGAGATAATTAATAAAACAGATATACAAGCTATACCAAAAAGAAAAGAAAAGCTCTTACAGTGAAATACCCAAGATATCTAAGATAGGAGATATATTAAATTGCTATTTCTGCTGCGTTTTTCATACTCTCAACTTGCTAGTTGTGTGTGCATTTAACAATAGGGAGACCTGTAAATAGCAAGGCTACTAATCCATTCTCATGAGGATATTTGTATTCACTTTTTTTTTTTTTTTTTTTTTTGAGAGGGAGTCTCACTCTGTGGCCCAGGCTGGAGTGCGGTGGTGTGATCCTGGCTCACTGTCAACCTCTGCCTCCCAGGTTTAAATGATTCTCCTGCCTTACTCACCTGAGTAGCTGGGATTGCAGGCACCAGCCACCACGCCCAGCTAACTTTTGTATTTTTCTGTACAGAAAGGGTTTCACCATGTTAGCCAACCTAGTCTCGAACTCCTGACCTCAAGTGATCCGCCTGCCTCAGTCTCCCAAAGTGCTGGGATTACAGGCGTAAGCCACTGCACCTGGCCTCATATTTTTTTTTAATGACTTACTCCTCTTTTCTACTCAGGACCACTCTGCCTCTAGGAAAAAGACTGGAGTCAAAACAACCTGTCATATTTAGAATAATATAAGACAAAGTTTGTGGCGTTTGCTATGTGACCTTGAGCAAGATATTAAATCTTTCTGAACCATATTTTTACCATCTAAAAACAGGATCTTTATAAATATACCAGAAGGAGGCAATGAATGTCACATGAAAGAGCACTTGTCACTGTACATGTAAGAAATTATTAGCAATGCATGACTTCATGCCCAGAGAACACTTTGAGAATCAGTGAAAAGTTCTGAGTGTGTGAAAATGGAAGGTCACTCACAAATGATATTGCTCAAACTCCTAGAGCCAGGATCTGCCAAAGATGATAATGATAATAATAATAAATAATGTATTCACAGGAACAATAATATAATAATTCTTATTGACAATAATTGTCTATTATTATCATTGCTATTATTTTAGTTAACATAATTTCTGGGGCTTCCTAAGTGTCAGGTACCTTGCTAAGAACATTAGATCTTTGTTCCTCCAAAGAAACCCATAGCATAGATGGGGAAACTAAGATTTGTGCAATCAAGTAAGTTGTGACCCTGGATTCAAACCTACATTTTTTTACTTTAAATTATTTCCTAGGGCATAGTATTCTAGGTAATCAATAAAGAATCTAAAATGACTTCATATAATTTTTGTCTATGAATTGTACATCTCCTTAACTGAAACATGAGCTCATTGACAGCATACAATGTGTGAATCTGGTTCATTGTTGTATCCCCACAGCCTAGGACAGTGTTCTCAGTGAATGAATGAATGTCTATTATTAGAATCAGCACACTAATAGGAGACCTTTCTTCTGATATTCTGGAAATTCATAGTACAATTTTTTGCCAATCCCTTCAATTGGTAATGAAAATTATTCACCTACTTAATCATAGGAGTATAAACCTTTATAGAATATTTTCCATTTTCAGAAATAGGTATAATTTAAAATCTCAAAAATATTTCTGACATATTCTCAGAAGTATTGGTGTTTACGACCAAATGATGCTTTATTAGCTGCATTAGAAAATGCACATATACACAACAGGTTACCATAAAAAGGAATACAATCATGTCATTTGCAGCAACATGGATGGAAATGGAGGGCATTATGTTAAATGAAGTAAACCAGGAAAAGAAACTTAAACTCCAAATATACTCCCTTATGGAGAAGCTAAAAAGAAAATTAATCTCATAGAAGTAAAAATGAGAACAGAGCATACTAGAAGCTGGGAAACGTAAGGGAAAGGGGGAGTAGAGGGAGAGATTTGTTAAAGGATACAAAGTTACAGCTAGATAGCGGAAAGGAGTTCTAGTGTTCTATAGCAGGGGTCCCCAACTGCTGTTCGTCTGTGGCCTGTTAGGAACCAGGTCACACAGCAGGAGGTGAGTGGTAGGTGAGGGAGCGAAGCTTCATCTGTATTTACAGCCATTCCTCATCACTCACATTACCACCTGAGCTCCACCTCCTATCAGATCAGCAGCCACATTAGATTCTCAAAGGAGTGCAAACCCTATTGTGAACTGTGCATGTGAGGGATCTAGGTTGTGTGCTCCTTATGAGAATCTAATGTCTGATGATCTGTCACTATCTTTTGTCACCCCCAGATGGGACCGTCTAGTTGCAGCAAAACAAGCTCAGGGCTCCCACTGATTCTACATTATGGTAAGATGTATAATTATCTCATTATATATTACAATGTAATAATAATAGAAATAAAGTGCACAATCAATGTAATGCACTTGACATCCCTAATCCCCACCACACACACACACCATCCAAGGAAAAATTGTCTTCCATGAAACTAGTCCCTGGTGCCAAAAAGGGTGGCGACTGCTGTTCTATAGCACTGAAGGACGAGTATAGCTAATGATAATATATATATTTAATAGCTAGAGGGATATTGAATGTTCCTAATACAAAGAAATGATCAACGTTTCAGATGATGGATATGTTAATTTCCCTGATTTGATCACTACACATTGAATGTATCACAACATCATTATGTGCCTTTGTGTACCTCATAAATATGTACCATTATTATGTGTCAATTTTTTTAATTAAAAAAATATTGAAGGAGGTTGGAGAGAAGATGGTGATAACACTTTTGGTTACATTGAATTTCAAGATGTTCAAGAGGGGATATCAAATGTCAATTGTAAAGCTGTATTTTAAACTTCATTGAGAGATTTGGGTTGAATAAAGAAATGTGTATGTCATCTGTGCATAAGTGGATATGACCTCCCCGAGAGACAGTTTAAAGAAGAGTAGAAGTCTAGCACTGAGCCTTGTGATGCCACAATAGCTAAAGGCCAAGTGGAGGAAGGACCAAAGGAAACCAGTTGGGAAGCTGTTTAATAATCCAGGCAAGTGCCAGTGAAAATCTGATCTGGCATGATGACAGTAGGACCGTAAAGAAAGGGAAGAATAAAAAGAACGTTATTATTTATTTTTTTAACACAAAGGAAACCAGCTGGTATGTGAGTAATTTCTTTGTGTCTTCCAGTGATTCCCAAAGCCCACTATCCATCACCATTACCTTGGGATGCTTTTAGTAATGCAATTTCCTAACACTCACTTTTTCCCACTCTTTCCCCTGAAAACTGGATTCAATAGGTTTGTGATGTAATCAAGGAACTGGTAACTTTACAAAGCTCTACCATTGGTGTCAATGAGCAGCCAGATGTGAGAACTGTTGGTCTAGGTGACCCATTTCAACTCCATTCCAGCTCAGTGATTTAAGTGACATTAATTGAAGTTGAAGATATTCAAAATATTACTTTCCTTATGCAATCAGCAGATGAAACTGGTCTATGTATGAGTGTTCCTCAAAGGTACTTAAGATTGATCCGATGAAGTGATAGAAGTTTAAAACCAAAGCCTTGTAAAGATAATTGATCTTCCTTACCATATTATTGTGAAAGAATGTGGCAATCTTGAAGAATTTTCTGACAAAAGAAGTTGGAATGAGGCAAGGAGAAATCAGCTGACCAGAGGCAGTATCACAAGACACTGTGTGTAATCTAAAGAGAAACGTGACCCTGAAATGGAAAGGAGAGGACAAGAGAGATTGTGTAACTTAAAATGAGAATATAAAGGGCAGCCTCCAAAATTTTCTATTCGTGGCATTTTCATTAGAGAGAAGTTATCAACAACAATAAAATTGAGCCAAATATGCACAAACCTGTGCATAATAATTTATTTATTCTTCTAGATATACTTATTGTTATAGATATTAACAGCATTATCTATAACTATGAGAGAATGGAAACAACTTGTGTCCAACATCAGGGCAACAGTTCAATAAATTAAAATGTCACTAATTTATCAGATGACTTCATATGTATACATTAAAAATGACCAAGAAAACTTGTGAAAAACACTAAAAATAACAATAAAAAAAACTATTTGTGAGATAACAGGACCGTAAAATAAAAATCAGAATACAAAATAGTATTATGGCAATTTTGTATAACAACACGGTAACTAGGTAGCAATTAGACCTGGGTAGGTTGGTGTGGGAGTATAGATAACATCTTCCATAATAGTTAAAAATGTGCTCAACTACATATAGCAGGAAACATAATAGTGGCATAATCAAGTCAAACATTAATTCTTTCTTATATAAAATAATTCCTAAAAAAGATGGTCTAGGACTGGTAAACTGACTTTATAGTATAATTTACATCTTAGTTTCCTCTCTGTCTGTTTTTCAGCCCCAGAATACGCCTTGCATTCTTAAGGTCAACTCCTGGCCCAAGATTACATTTAGTGTTCCAATTATTCTATGTTACAGCAAGGGAAAAAAGAGAAAGGGAGGGAGAGGATAACACACTATTTCTTTTAAAATGTCATCTGAGAAGTCCCAAGAAGTACTTCCACTTATATTTCATTAATCATAATTTAGTTACATGATCACACCTAGCTGCAAGTGAGGCCAGGAAATACAGTCTTTCAGCTGGGCACATGGCTACACCAAGTCAACTCAAAATTCCGTTACTCTTCTATTAGGAAGAGAAAGTAAATGGTACTTGGAATACACAGATTTATCACATTGTCTTATCAAAAGCATTTTAGGTATTTTGCATAAATCACACCCCTACCTAAAGTTCCAGAAGCTCAATAGTCATGAAAGGCTTAGGGAAAGTAATACACAGTTTCCAGTCACATCCCTTGAGGTATCCTGGAAGAGAGAACTTGAACCCAGCTCATTATTTGTGTTCAGATACCTATAAATATTTTCCTGGGTACCAAAGGAAAGGAGTCTAGGAAAGCTGACCAAACTGGACAAAGGTAACTGAGCGTGATTGATTTGAAGAACTGGGAGGAGCTGTGTATATACCAAACAATCCCCCATAGCTCTAGTCTGACTCCAGTGTGTCCCTCTGTGAATTCTGGTAGGGAGAAAGTTAGGGGAACAGAGTAAGATCTGTGTGATCACCAGCTCAACATTTTCCAGGTAGGAGGCCTGACTCTGGGCCCAGTGGGCGACATATCCGTGCCCCACCTATGGTCCCCCACCCTTAACACGGGAGTGCACACAGACCAACCTTTAACTGCCAGATACTGCACTTCTCAGCCTCAGGATGTTCTCTTGCCTCCAGAAATGTGGCAGATCAGAAGTCAAGAAATTAACGTTCCTGGGAGCAGCCCTCATTCTGGGAGAAGCCCTCATTCTGTCACGGACTGGAGTTTCTCTATAAACACTTCCGTTTCCTCTCTCCAGGTGGCATGCAATCTTGGGCCGACAAATTATATAGCTAGTCCTGAACTGTTGTGAATGACTATGACTCCAAGTTATGGGGCACTGGCTGCTGCAAGAACTTATATAGTTGTATAATGGAAGGGACAAGCTCAAAAAAGAGCCTAACTGAAGTTACCAGGAAGGAATTTAGAGTGAAGCAAAACATATAGCTTTAAAATGATATATACACACTGATACTTTCCATATAGGACCTGCCATATTTCCCTGCATCACAATGTGAAATGCTCTGATTAATTGACTCTGTAACTGGGCAGCATGCAGGTGTTGTCTTATGAGGGGTAGGAGAGGTTAAACTATTGACAGAATCCCACAAGAGACCAAGGTATGCTCATTATATAGATTCCCAGGAACACTTGGAAGAAGTAAAATGCAAATGAGTTTTAATTACAGTTATCCATTTTTCAAAAATTATGCTATTTTCCAGTCTGCCCTACTCTTTCTGGTGAAAGGAAAGTTGTGTTGATTTCATACTAGATGCTTCATTCAATATATGTTTATCTCTGTCTCTTTATGTAGGATGGAACTAAAAAGTGTTATGAAACTTACCAGGGGTCCTTTCATTCATTCATTCTTTCATTTCATTCATCCATTCATGTATCAACAAAGCCTTGCTAAATGCTCTATGATTTCAGTCATCTTTCTAGAATGACTATTTGACTCTTAAGGATTTTGGCAAAGTGAATCAGAATATAATTGGGTACTGGATAAAACTTTTTAAAATAATAATTGACATCAGATTTTAAAATGATTATATTATTTCACTAGTTATTTGGCTAATAAACATTCCAGGAACTCTTGGCATTTACTATTGAGTAACATGACAAAAACAGGAATGATCACACAAACCATTCTGGCTTTGATCTCAATGGCTTTATGATTCTTGAACAGTTGTTTAAAACTAATGATTTAGCTCCTGATGCAAAAGTATTTAATTGTTTATATGGATTAGTCATTAAATCTTACTTTCTGTGTAGATGTAATTTTACCTCAGGGCAATATACATAAAAATGCGACTAAAAAATAAAGGTGATATTAACCTCTTTAATTGAAAATAAACAAGTTTTTACTTAAATACAGAGTTACTGGTTAAATAAATCACAGGATACTTGTAATCTTCATAAAGACAAAGGTCTTCATTATTGGTAAACAAAATTTATGTTACTAGAATTCTTCTATAAACTTGTGCATACTTCTACTGTTGAAAATAGATCTAACAGTGAAATGTTTTTTATTTAAAAATAAAATAAACGTACAGTTTTTAAATGTTTATTTTAACTTATATTCCCATGCTAATTTCTCCAAACAAATTGTGTTCTCATGAGAATCTCATCTGAGATTGTTTTGGAGACAGGGTTTTTGATGTCAGTATAAGCAAAACATGTGTTATCTACTGACATTTGGAGATCTCCATAAATATAGATCTCTTGCTTCCTGTCATGCTATACTATGGAGAACTCCACACTATATGACAGGAGGCAAGAAAACAACTGTGACTTAAGAAGACCCAGCCTAATGTCACAATAGCACTTGATGCAAAAATGGCCTTGGAAAGTTGCCTCATATTTCATAGTCCCAGTTTCCAAACCTATGAATTGAAATAATCACGTATCACATTAACTTTATATTTTAGCATTCATGGCTACTATTAAGAGAACTAATTTTATCAATAGCCCCTGATGTTAGTGATGGAAAATAAAGTATGCATGAAATTCAATTGTAAGAATAAAAGGAAATAAACAGTAATGATTAGTAAACTACTGTCAATAGTCATTTCCCTTTATCTGTGGGGGATATGTTCTAAGATTTCCCCTCAGTGTACCCCCTCCATCTACACAAAATTACTATCCTGAAACCACGAATAGTACCAAACCCTACACATAATATGGTTTTCCTTATACATATATACCTGTGATAAGGTTTAATTTATAAGTTAGGCACATTAAGAGATTAACAATAACTAATAATAAAAAAGAATAATTATACTACACTGAAAGTTATGAGAACGTGACCTCTTTCTCTCTCAAAACATCTCATTTTACAGTACTCACTTCTTCTTTTGATGATGTGAAACAATAAAATGCCTATGTGATGAGATAAAGAGAGGGACTGTGACATAACATTAGGCTACTATTGAGCTTCTGATGCTGTATCAGAAGAAGGATTGTCTGCTTCAGGTGATCCTGGTTCACTAAGCCATGACGATGTCATTGGATGTCAGGAGCAGACAGTGTTGATGACCAATGAGCAGAAAGTGAATACATTGTGTGTACACTGGACAAAGGGATGATTCAAATTGCAGGCAGAAAGGTGCAGGACAGTTTGAGATTTCATCACACTACTCAGAATGGCACTCAATTTACATCTTATATGACTTGTTTATTTCTGGAATTTTTCATTATATATTTTTGGACATTGGTTGACCATGGGTACCTGAAACTGCAGAAAGCAAACTCAAGCATAAAAGAGGAGCTACTGTATTGTACCAATGCTGTTAATCTTGTTATATTCATGTAATTAGGTTTTATTACCTTTTAAAAAGAAAAATGAAAGTATTTTCAGACTGTAGACATAAATATATATATATATATATACACACACATACGTGTGTGTGTGTGTGTGTGTGTGCGTGTGAATTTTATCACAATGTTATTTCTGAGATATTTGTAATAAAAGACGTAGTCTGGTGCAGGAATGGGAATAGCAATAGGGTCTCTTTTAATCCATTTTCTTCTATGGGCATTACATTTTTTAAAAGGTGGCCTTTCTGTGAGAAATGGGATTCAAATTCATCAATCTGGGTCATAGTTTAAGGTATGAACAGAGGCCGAATTGATATTAATTCTCTTGAGCTGGTTTGAATACTCAAGATTAACATTTGTCTCAGAAATATTTATTGAATTGTAGCTTGGAAACTAATCCTCCCAGAATCAGAAATTCTCATGTAAAATATCTCTTCCATTAGTTGTTCTAAATCATCACGGGTGAAAAAGGAAGTTCAACAGTTTCTTTACTCTCCCAAACCTCAAGAACGTTATCTGTCTCCATGCAGTGTAGATGATTAAATGTTCAAAGTAAATTAATTTCCATCTATCCCTACTTTCACATATTTTGGAAAATAATGATATTCAAAGAGATTGAGTACTAAAGCAGTAATTCAATTCAGGCCTGCCTTAAAATCTAAACAATAATTGTGTTTTTCAAGTGTTTTAAGGAATAATTCAGAGAGGATTTGATCAGAGGCCTTTCAATCACTCTTTCTTTTTATGATACTTTTCCTAATACCATGGAAAGTAGGTTACATTAAAATAGATATCGTCAGATAATGTATTTGCTTCAAATCTATGCCCTTCCCCATACTTTTTTAATCATTGCAACACTTTAAATATAAACAAAGATTGATTGCCTTCTCACTCTACATTGCTTAAATCCAAATAGATTGTCAGAAAGTAGTCTATTATTTCCTTAAAATGAAGATTGTGCCACTACCTACTGCATTTCAGTGTCTTCCGCAACAGTATAAAAAGTCAAACATTGTAACATTTTAGTTGTACTATTATATGTCAAAAATGAGAGTAGGGTATATTCCAGGTAACTTTCAATAATATTCAGACAACTCATTTTCAACCCTCTCTCTTAGTAACTTCTGATATTGATGGTGAAGAATAAAATACACGGCACTGATAGTATGAAATAAATTATTGTAATATCTAATTTTAAAATAGTTTATTATAATGATGCCAGAAAAACTCACAAAAGCAAAATGAACATTGTGCCAAGAGATCTAAATAAAATGCAAGTAAGTATAGACCATGCAAGTGAATCATGAGATAATTGAAAACATACAAAACAAACATACAAAGCAAAGATTTGGGTATCAAAAATGCCCACAGTGTAGTCTTTTCATTTTAACAACAATATTTGGTGTGATTTAGATTAACCATGTTAAATTAATAGATTTTGCAGCTTATTCTTAGGTGGTTGATGCCACAATGTTAAAAACATTTAGGACAAAATACTAGCTCAATTTTAAAATCAAATTAATTTTGAAACTATAGATCTCAAAATAATAGTCCATTTTGGAAGCAGAAAAAAAGGAATACTACTGAATTTTGCTTTCAGGTTGCAGCTTTGTTATTATTTTATTATTATTCACCCATCCTGAAAAATAAAATCCAGATGATGTAACAAAAACTTATCTTCCTATAGTCTGTAATGTTCAAATTAATTTTTTAGGCTAACCCATATGTGCATATTAACCAGTTTCAACTATACGCATAATTGTTTTGCTCTCGTTTTGTTTCGTTTTGAGACGGAGTTTCACTCTTGTTGCCCAAGCTGGAATGCAATGGCGCGATCTCTGCTCACTGCAACCTCCACCTCCCAGGTTCAAGCTATTCTCCTGCCTCAGCTTCCCGAGTAGCTGGGATTACAGGCATGCATCACCACGCCCGGCTAAGGAGATGGGGTTTCTACATGTTGGTCAGGCTGGTCTCGAACTCCTGACCTCAGGTGATCCACCTGCCTCGGCCTCCCAAAGTGCTGGGATTACAGGCGTGAGCCACTGTGCCCAGCCTGCTCTTGCTTTTATTGAAAAATTCATATAGATTTTCAAGTGATGCTTCCCTACATAATTATGAAGATACTTACAAATGTTAGTGGCTTTGCTGATTTGGGATGTTTTTGTTTGTTTTGCTTTTTTGGCCTCGATTTATCTTTCTGTTCTCTTATTTTCTGTATCATAAGAAAAAAATAGGTTTTCCTTAAATCAGAAAATTCAAAGCACCAGAATCAAGTTTGTAGCCTGTTTTTCAAGACTAAAATTATTTGAAAGTGAGAAATGTTCATATCCTAGATTCCTCTTAGCTCCATGCCTTGTTTAGAACTGAGTCACCACCCAGTCACACACAGACAGGTATGTGGTAGGCACAGGAACAGAAGAAAGGTGTGAGGAGCAGGTATCCCAACAGGTGACTTTATTAGAGCCACGTGGCCTCTTCCTTTTCATTACATCCCCTTTACAGAGTAGTATGCCCAAACCTTCTTCCATTTCTAGAAACTTTTGAGTAAAAATGTAAGGCTAAGAATGTGGCTACTTCTTCCTCCCTCCTATACCTTTCCCATTTTGCTTTGTTCTACTCTCACCACCACCACTATACAAAAATTCAATTGGACTAGCTTTGAAGGAGGGGAAAGGGTGGTCATTAAGGCCTCTCAATGATTAAATCAAGTTATGCCATGACACAGTCTCAAGGCCTTACAATCTGAGTGGAAAGTATGTATTTCACATTAGCAAGCCTCATATCTCTAGTGAGCAGTAACACACATGAACTACAAGGTTTGGTTCAAAGAGCTGCAAATTGTTGAGTTGAAGAGTTAGTGGAGCCACAAGTTTCGCTATGTTGTTTAGAAGGACCCTCCTGCAATGTTTCATGTTCACTAATTTAGGTTTACATGTAGCATAAAACAAGCAAATATAAAACCTTAGGATTCAATGATACTTTGGGTATTTACCACCTAGGGGGGCAACAACAAAACTTACATCAATGTTATTTTACAGCTACCCCCTCCAATACACACACACATATGACACCCTGACCTCAGATGTGACATTCATTAAGTAAAAGTAATCACTGGCTGAATTGATTTCATCTCCTATTCACTAGTCAAGTGAGGCAGGAGCACACATGCTATTGGAACAGTGGATTGAGGGACAATTTAGTGTCTTGTGTCTTCTGACTGTCATCATGTCATTTATCTGAAAGAAACATGAATAAGTTTGCAAATCAAGACTTATCAGCAACCTCTGTGGATTTCCTTATGCTTTATCATGTTTGAATTTCCTGTGAAAATATCTTAAAAGAGTTTTTCTAGGCATTTCACTTAATGTTTAGTATTTACTGGATTATTGTTTCTCTCTTGAGGTGTTCCTGCTGTCTCAAAGCCCATTTCATAGTTCATACAATCCAAGTATATCTTTCTCTTGGGTGGTGCCTTTTCCACCAGTCATCTGCTTCTCTTTATTTATTTTTTTTTTTTATTATACTCTAAGTTTTAGGGTACATGTGCACATTGTGCAGGTTAGTTACATATGTATACATGTGCCATGCTGGTGCGCTGCACCCACAAATGTGTCATCTAGCATTAGGTATATCTCCCAATGCTATCCCTCCCCCCTCCCCCGACCCAACCACAGTCCCCAGAGTGTGATATTCCCCTTCCTGTGTCCATGTGATCTCATTGTTCAATTCCCACCTATGAGTGAGAATATGTGGTGTTTGGTTTTTTGTTCTTGCGATAGTTTACTGAGAATGATGGTTTCCAATTTCATCCATGTCCCTACAAAGGATATGAACTCATCATTTTTATGGCTGCATAGTATTCCATGGTGTATATGTGCCACATTTTCTTAATCCAGTCTATCATTGTTGGACATTTGGGTTGGTTCCAAGTCTTTGCTATTGTGAATAGTGCCGCAATAAACATACGTGTGCATGTGTCTTTATAGCAGCAAGATTTATACTCATTTGGGTATATACCCAGTAATGGGATGGCTGGGTCAAATGGTATTTCTAGTTCTAGATCCCTGAGGAATCGCCACACTGACTTCCACAATGGTTGAACTAGTTTACAGTCCCACCAACAGTGTAAAAGTGTTCCTATTTCTCCGCATCCTCTCCAGCACCTGTTGTTTCCTGACTTTTTAATGATTGCCATTCTAACTGGTGTGAGATGATATCTCATAGTGGTTTTGATTTGCATTTCTCTGATGGCCAGTGATGATGAGCATTTCTTCATGTGTTTTTTGGCTGCATAAATGTCTTCTTTTGAGAAGTGTCTGTTCATGTCCTTCGCCCACTTTTTGATGGGGTTGTTTGTTTTTTTCTTGTAAATTTGTTTGAGTTCATTGTAGATTCTGGATATTAGCCCTTTGTCAGATGAGTAGGTTGCGAAAATTTTCTCCCATGTTGTAGGTTGCCTGTTCACTCTGATGGTAGTTTCTTTTGCTGTGCAGAAGCTCTTTAGTTTAATTAGATCCCATTTGTCAATTTTGTCTTTTGTTGCCATTGCTTTTGGTGTTTTGGACATGAAGTCCTTGCCCACGCCTATGTCCTGAATGGTAATGCCTAGGTTTTCTTCTAGGGTTTTTATGGTTTTAGGTTTAACGTTTAAATCTTTAATCCATCTTGAATTGATTTTTGTATAAGGTGTAAGGAAGGGATCCAGTTTCAGCTTTCTACATATGGCTAGCCAGTTTTCCCAGCACCATTTATTAAATAGGGAATCCTTTCCCCATTGCTTGTTTTTCTCAGGTTTGTCAAAGATCAGATAGTTGTAGATATGCAGCATTATTTCTGAGGGCTCTGTTCTGTTCCATTGATCTATATCTCTGTTTTGGTACCAGTACCATGCTGTTTTGGTTACTGTAGCCTTGTAGTATAGTTTGAAGTCAGGTAGTGTGATGCCTCCAGCTTTGTTCTTTTGGCTTAGGATTGACTTGGCAATGCGGGCTCTTTTTTGGTTCCATATGAACTTTAAAGTAGTTTTTTCCAATTCTGTGAAGAAAGTCATTGGTAGCTTGATGGGGATGGCATTGAATCTGTAAATTACCTTGGGCAGTATGGCCATTTTCACGATATTGATTCTTCCTACCCATGAGCATGGAATGTTCTTCCATTTGTTTGTGTCCTCTTTTATTTCCTTGAGCAGTGGTTTGTAGTTCTCCTTGAAGAGGTCCTTCACATCCCTTGTAAGTTGGATTCCTAGGTATTTTATTCTCTTTGAAGCAATTGTGAATGGGAGTTCACCCATGATTTGGCTCTCTGTTTGTCTGTTGTAGGTGTATAAGAATGCTTGTGATTTTTGTACATTGATTTTGTATCCTGAGACTTTGCTGAATTTGCTTATCAGCTTAAGGAGATTTTGGGCTGAGATGATGGGGTTTTCTAGATAAACAATCATGTCGTCTGCAAACAGGGACAATTTGACTTCCTCTTTTCCTAATTGAATACCCTTTATTTCCTTCTCCTGCCTGATTGCCCGATTGCCCTGGCCAGAACTTCCAACACTATGTTGAATAGGAGTGGTGAGAGAGGGCATCCCTGTCTTGTGCCAGTTTTCAAAGGGAATGCTTCCAGTTTTTGCCCATTCAGTATGATATTGGCTGTGGGTTTGTCATAGATAGCTCTTATTATTTTGAAATACGTCCCATCAATACCTAATTTCTTGAGAGTTTTTAGCATGAAGGGTTGTTGAATTTTGTCAAAGGCTTTTTCTGCATCTATTGAGATAATCATGTGGTTTTTGTCTTTGGCTCTGTTTATATGCTGGATTACATTTATTGATTTGCGTATATTGAACCAGCCTTGCATCCCAGGGATGAAGCCCACTTGATCATGGTGGATAAGCTTTTTGATGTGCTGCTGGATTCGGTTTGCCAGTATTTTATTGAGGATTTTTGCATCAATGTTCATCAAGGATATTGGTCTAAAATTCTCTTTTTTGGTTGTGTCTCTGCCCGGCTTTGGTATCAGAATGATGCTGGCCTCATAAAATGAGTTAGGGAGGATTCCCTCTTTTTCTATTGATTGGAATAGTTTCAGAAGGAATGGTACCAGTTCCTCCTTGTACCTCTGGTAGAATTCGGCTGTGAATCCATCTGGTCCTGGACTCTTTTTGGTTGGTAAACTATTGATTATTGCCACAATTTCAGAGCCTGTTATTGGTCTATTCAGAGATTCAACTTCTTCCTGGTTTAGTCTTGGGAGAGTGTATGTGTCGAGGAATGTATCCATTTCTTCTAGATTTTCTAGTTTATTTGCGTAGAGGTGTTTGTAGTATTCTCTGATGGTAGTTTGTATTTCTGTGGGATCGGTGGTGATATCCCCTTTATCATTTTTTATTGTGTCTATTTGATTCTTCTCTCTTTTTTTCTTTATTAGTCTTGCTAGCGGTCTATCAATTTTGTTGATCCTTTCAAAAAACCAGCTCCTGGATTCATTGATTTTTTGAAGGGTTTTTTGTGTCTCTATTTCCTTCAGTTCTGGTCTGATTTTAGTTATTTCTTGCCTTCTGCTAGCTTTTGAATGTGTTTGCTCTTGCTTTTCTAGTTAATTGTGATGTTAGGGTGTCAATTTTGGATCTTTCCTGCTTTCTCTTGTAGGCATTTAGTGCTATAAATTTCCCTCTACACACTGCTTTGAATGCGTCCCAGAGATTCTGGTATGTGGTGTCTTTGTTCTCATTGGTTTCAAAGAACATCTTTATTTCTGCCTTCATTTCGTTATGTACCCAGTAGTCATTCAGGAGCAGGTTGTTCAGTTTCCATGTAGTTGAGCGGCTTTGAGTGAGATTCTTAATCCTGAGTTCTAGTTTGATTGCACTGTGGTCTGAGAGATAGTTTGTTATAATTTCTGTTCTTTTACATTTGCTGAGGAGAGCTTTACTTCCAACTATGTGGTCAATTTTGGAATAGGTGTGGTGTGGTGCTGAAAAAAATGTATATTCTGTTGATTTGGGGTGGAGAGTTCTGTAGATGTCTATTAGGTCTGCTTGGTGCAGAGCTGAGTTCAATTCCTGGGTATCCTTGTTGACTTTCTGTCTCGTTGATCTGTCTAATGTTGACAGTGGGGTGTTAAAGTCTCCCATTATTAATGTGTGGGAGTCTAAGTCTCTTTGTAGGTCACTGAGGACTTGCTTTATGAATCTGGGTGCTCCTGTATTGGGTGCATAAATATTTAGGGTAGTTAGCTCCTCTTGTTGAATTGATCCCTTTACCATTATGTAATGGCCTTCTTTGTCTCTTTTGATCTTTGTTGGTTTAAAGTCTGTTTTATCAGAGACTAGGATTGCAACCCCTGCCTTTTTTTGTTTTCCATTGGCTTGGTAGATCTTCCTCCATCCTTTTATTTTGAGCCTATGTGTGTCTCTGCACGTGAGATGGGTTTCCTGAATACAGCACACTGATGGGTCTTGACTCTTTATCCAACTTGCCAGTCTGTGTCTTTTAATTGCAGAATTTAGTCCATTTATATTTAAAGTTAATATTGTTATGTGTGAATTTGATCCTGTCATTATGATGTTAGCTGGTGATTTTGCTCATTAGTTGATGCAGTTTCTTCCTAGTCTCGATGGTCTTTACATTTTGGCATGATTTTGCAGCGGCTGGTACCGGTTGTTCCTTTCCATGTTTAGCGCTTCCTTCAGGAGCTCTTTTAGGGCAGGCCTGGTGGTGACAAAATCTCTCAGCATTTGCTTGTCTATAAAGTATTTTATTTCTCCTTCACTTATGAAGCTTAGTTTGGCTGGATATGAAATTCTGGGTTGAAAATTCTTTTCTTTAAGAATGTTGAATATTGGCCCCCACTCTCTTCTGGCTTGTAGGGTTTCTGCCGAGAGATCCACTGTTAGTCTGATGGGCTTTCCTTTGAGGGTAACCCGACCTTTCTCTCTGGCTGCCCTTAACATTTTTTCCTTCATTTCAACTTTGGTGAATCTGACAATTATGTGTCTTGGAGTTGCTCTTCTCGAGGAGTATCTTTGTGGCATTCTCTGTATTTCCTGAATCTGAACGTTGGCCTGCCTTGCTAGATTGGGGAAGTTCTCCTGGATAATATCCTGCAGAGTGTTTTCCAACTTGGTTCCATTCTCCACATCACTTTCAGGTACACCAATCAGATGTAGATTTGGTCTTTTCACATAGTCCCATATTTCTTGGAGGCTTTGCTCATTTCTTTTTATTCTTTTTTCTCTAAACTTCCCTTCTCGCTTCATTTCATTCATTTCATCTTCCATTGCTGATACCCTTTCTTCCAGTTGATCGCATCGGCTCCTGAGGCTTCTGCATTCTTCACGTAGTTCTCGAGCCTTGGTTTTCAGCTCCATCAGCTCCTTTAAGCACTTCTCTGTATTGGTTATTCTAGTTATACATTCTTCTAAATTTTTTTCAAAGTTTTCAACTTCTTTGCCTTTGGTTTGAATGTCCTCCCGTAGCTCAGAGTAATTTGATCGCCTGAAGCCTTCTTCTCTCAGCTCGTCAAAATCATTCTCCATCCAGCTTTGTTCTGTTGCTGGTGAGGAACTGCGTTCCTTTGGAGGAGGAGAGGCGCTCTGCGTTTTAGAGTTTCCAGTTTTTCTGTTCTGTTTTTTCCCCATCTTTGTGGTTTTATCTACTTTTGGTCTTTGATGATGGTGATGTACAGATGGGTTTTCGGTGTAGATGTCCTTTCTGGTTGTTAGTTTTCCTTCTAACAGACAGGACTCTCAGCTGCAGGTCTGTTGGAATACCCTGCCGTGTGAGGTGTCAGTGTGCCCCTGCTGGGGGGTGCCTCCCAGTTAGGCTGCTCGGGGGTCAGGGGTCAGGGACCCACTTGAGGAGGCAGTCTGCCCGTTCTCAGATCTCCAGCTGCGTGCTGGGAGAACCACTGCTCTCTTCAAAGCTGTCAGACAGGGACACTTAAGTCTGCAGAGGTTACTGCTGTCTTTTTGTTTGTCTGTGCCCTGCCCCCAGAGGTGGAGCCTACAGAGGCAGGCAGGCCTCCTTGAGCTGTGGTGGGCTCCACCCAGTTCGAGCTTCCTGGCTGCTTTGTTTACCTAAGCAAGCCTGGGCAATGGCGGGCGCCCCTCCCCCAGCCTCGTTGCCGCCTTGCAGTTTGATCTCAGACTGCTGTGCTAGCAATCAGTGAGATTCCGTGGGCGTAGGACCCTCTGAGCCAGGTGTGGGATATAGTCTCGTGGTGCGCCGTTTCTTAAGCCGGTCTGAAAAGCGCAATATTCGGGTGGGAGTGACCCGATTTTCCAGGTGCGTCCGTCACCCCTTTCTTTGACTCGGAAAGGGAACTCCCTGACCCCTTGCGCTTCCCAGGTGAGGCAATGCCTCGCCCTGCTTCGGCTCGCGCACGGTGCGCACACACACTGGCCTGCGCCCACTGTCTGGCACTCCCTAGTGAGATGAACCCGGTACCTCAGATGGAAATGCAGAAATCACCTGTCTTCTGCGTCGCTCACGCTGGGAGCTGTAGACCGGAGCTGTTCCTATTCGGCCATCTTGGCTCCTCCTCCTGCTTCTCTTTAAAATGGAACGTATCTGTAGCTTTGTTTAACTTCCTTGGTGAAAGGCCTTTCTTACTTTCCTGTCTGTGTCCAGATACTTAATAAGTGTGTGCTGGATATACATCTTATAACGTACAACATAATTTAAATTAATTTTTGTTAAGGTCAAGTCTTTAAAATATTAAGATATTTAAAGTAATTAAGCAATATTCTTTGATATCCATGTCTCAACATCTTGGTTTTCAGATCATAAGATAAAGTTTACCTGCTTGAGCTATTGCCTTTGCAAAAATATAAAACCATCTGATATTCATTTTAACAGTGTGCAAATCATAGCGACACACATATATCAAAGCAGTGTTTTCAATTTAAGACTCCAAGAGCCCAGAAGAGATAAGCTAATCTTAAAAGATCCAAATAAATGAGGGAAACAGATGTCAGAGACTTTGTATTTCAGAATTTTTTCCTCTATAAGAATGTTAATTTTTTCTATTGGTCTTAAAGCCCTAAGAAAGCAAAAAGCTTCATGCTGTGTCCTGTTATATTAAGTGCCCCTATCACCCAGAATTAAAACACAAAGAAACAGAGTTAAAAATGAGAGTAATATATGCTGAATGGCTGACGAGAAATACTACATTCAGTGCCCTATTTAAAATGCCCAAAAATATAGACCTACTTCATGTGGGTTTCTCTAGAGAACTATTTAATCAGGTACTTTAGAAAAAAAGTATAAACACACTACTTTTAAGTTACTTGCATGTGTTATAATATATTAAAGATGCACTAGCATTTGACTTCAGATGGCAATAATAGTATTTTGAAAAGAGTACTGGAATATAAATCAAGATATGTGGGTTTAATATTTACTCTTCTACTATATTAACCAGAGTCCTCAGACAAGTCATTTAACAACTCTCTTTGATTTCTTTAACTCTTAGATTAGGATAATAGTATTTCTGTTAACCAATTAGGAAGGATGTTGTGAGAATTAAATAAGACTTTTAAAAGTATTTTGAGAAAATAAGATATATATAACCAATATTATTTTTAAGATGAAATTTATTTTGTCGTTTGGGGGGATGCACATTGGACATCTTGAATTTGAGGTACCCATGGGGACAGCCTGAGAGTTATGTAGTCTGGAACTCAGGGGGGATATCTGAATAAAATAAAGATTCTTAGGTCTTCAATATGCCTGCAGTAGTTTAAGTCATCAGAGTGGGTACAATGATCCAAGGAGAATGTACAGTGGCATGACTAGCACATTTGTCATGCAGAAAAGAACGTTTTTTAACATTTTATTTTAAAATAATTATAGATTCTCAAAAAGTTTGAAAGATAGTTACAAAGGTCTTATGTACTCATCACCAAGTTTCTCCCAATGGTTATATTTGCATAACTATAGTACAATATCAAAACCAGGCCATTGATACATGTAAAATTTATATGGATAGCTCTATACTAATTTATCACACATATAGATTTGTGCAGACAGCATCACAATCAAGATGTAGATCTATCCCATTACCATGAAGATTTCCCTTGTGCTTCTGCGCAATAGCCATGTAGCCACATCTACCACCACTTTTATCAATAGGTTAATCAGCTGGTAAGCATTTACCTCTCATGGTGAGCCTAGCACAAACTCCAATATTCTTTCCAAGAAGTGAGACTAATGGTTCGTTATAAGGATCTATCATATGTAACTCATCCTGGGTCTCTGAAGTTAGATGCCAAAATGCAGACATTTGAAGGGAAAAAACTTTAAATACAAAAATTCAGGTTAACATTATAAAGAAGAGAAAAAGAATTAAAACTCTCTTTCTCTTATGAACACACACACAACACACACACACACATTCATGCATTCACTAAAACCACAGTTATAGATAATTTCTCATTTCAACAATTCTCAGGAAAGAATGAGCAAAGAAACATTCAATTATATTAGTCCTCTTATTAGTCCTGATATCACTAAGTCTGAATAAAAACTGTTTCCTTTGATTTTTCCAAATTTTACAACTTTTGGTCAAGAACAGAAAAATAACATGGGCCAAATTTGACTGAATCTATTGCTTTTACACCAATATTACACTTCATTTCCCTTCTAACTCTGTATTCTATATCATTTATTCTTCAAAAACAGGCCATAAAAAATTAACCATACGAAAATGTAAATCAGACTACAAGGCTTCATTTCCAGAACTCTGCAGTGGCTCCCCATTGTGCTTGAAATAATATCCACATGCCCCCATCTCCCTTCAGGAATGAAGGACTTACTTCACTCACTGCTGGGAATGCTGCCAAGTCAGCTCTCGGGTATCAGCCTTCCTGATGGATTGTCTTGGCTAAGGAAAACTGCTTCCCCCAAAATCACACTTCCTCTCAGGAGCGGCCCATATCCAGTAACCGAGCACCATTGCAATATGACTTGGGACAACTCAAAAGAGCCATCCCAGATCCAGTGCTCCCAAGGAGTTGCTGACACTTGGTTGGACTACAGTGCAGCTCCTCCTCTCCTTTTGCCCCACCCTGCGTCATCACCACCTTCCAAAGTAGATCCAAGAGCACTCTCTAATTTGCCTCACATGCTAATTTCTGTCTCGGAGAAACAGCTTCCTGAGAATTCAACCTGGAACTGTGACCATGGCCTATATGGAGCTACATAATCTGAGCTCTGCATATCTTTCCAATTTACCTCATTCATTCTCTCCTTGCTCAATACTACACACAATGCTCTCTTTTGGTTCTTTAACTATTATACCACCCCCTTTAAAGACCTGTGCATTTTCACTTCCCTCTGCTAAAGCCCTCTCCTGGCTCTTTATTATCTGAATGTTTCTCATTCTTTAGGAATTAGCTCTTCAAGGTCCTTCTCAGACCACCTTAACTCCAGTAATCCCCAGAAAATTCTCCCCCAGACACCGTTTCTTTTTTCCTTTATCGCATTTAACACTGAAATGATCTTGACTGTCTGTCTCCTTCTACTTGAATAGAAGCTCCAGAAAGCCAAGGACCACGTCTGTTTGGTTCAACTTTGTATTTTTAGTGCTGTGCGGGAAGAGTACTTATCACCTAATAAGTAATTGAGAATTACTCAATGAATGAAATTAATTTCATTAATACCTCAGGAAGAAATTTTACTTCTTCCTTTTTTTTTTTTTTTAAAGAAAGCATAGTTCACTAATCCTGGGTAAATGCAGTGATGCACAAAATCTTTTTTTTTTTTTTTTTTTTTTTTGAGACAGTGTCTTACTCTGTCACCCAGCCTGGAGGCTGGAGGCCAGTGTCACTCTTGGCTCACTGCAACCTTCACCTCCCAGGTTCAAGCGATTCTCGTGCCTCAGCTTCCTGAGTAGCTGGGATTACAGGTGTGTGCCACCACACCCGGGTAATTTTTGTATTTTTAGTAGCAATGGGGTTTTGCCATGTTGGCCAGGCTGGTCTCAAACTCCTGACTTCAAGTGATCCACCCACCTCGGCCTCCCAAAGTGCTAGGATTACAGGCGTGAGCCACTGGCCCAGCCAATGATGTCTTAAAAGGACTTTTATTTTTTTCAACTTAAGTTTTGTAAGTCATATAATAGCAGAGTCAGTAACAACACACCACACATACACACACACGCACATACACACACAATTTGAACATTAGCATACAAGTTTCCTTCAAATTGTGATAGTATTTTAAGTGGTGAAAATTTGAATTTGACCTACCAAACTTTACACATGTATTTACCATTCATCTGGAGTTACTGAACTTTTTCAAAGGCTTTACAATAATTTAAAAACCCACATAGTATTAGGGCATTATTTCTCCTGTTTCTACTATTATGGAAGATGGATGTCCTTCAATAAGTAGAAACCAGGTGTCCCCACCCACTTCTTCTCTCAGGTGAAGGGATTATGCAAGAAAGTGACAGACAAGCATGACCTCTGACCAAGAGAGTATGTGATAACCCTGATAAGACAGAGGACATGGAAGCATGCTACAGGATAAGATGGGTAAGGATGAGAGACATTCACATATGAATTCACTTATGCAAATTATTCTTTTGATGCATCAGATCAATCACTCAGAGACAGTAAGATTTAAAATGAAAGGTAGAGCCTGCCCATAAATTCTACAAAATGTGCATCTTAGAAATTTCCTGGGACCTGGACCAAATAGTGAGTAGCTACATTTTTAGAGGACTACAGATGTATCTTGCTATCAGGAACCCAATACCCAAATATACTTTGAAGTTCCTGAGACTCATTTGCATCCGCATGTTCTTTAATCTCATGCTCCATTTTTGTGCCTACCAACACCTGGCTCTGGCAAGAAACCAGAAATAATATTCAAAGCAATTCTGTACCATCAGTACTGAGCACAAACAGATTAGTGATGTATATTTTACTTATGCTACTCCAAGTTTGAATTGCAAAAGGCTGAATAAATCATCCCAACCTCAATATACCAGCAACCTTCAAGATAACTAATTTACTTTGCAACAGAAACATCTTCTTGAAAAGAAGGCACCCTTTGATAGAAAATAAATTCTCTCTAGACACATATTTCTGAAGTGTGAATGTAAAACACACACTAACACTAACACTAATGAAAATACTAACACTTTTGGTAGGGATCTAGTTTTATTCATAGAGGCACACATAATTCAACTTTGGCTTTATTCCAAATCTTCCTTGTTAATTTTTCTAACAATGACAGGGTACTTTTTTTTTTTCTGCTGGAGTTCAGACAAGGAAAGTACTCTGTCCTATACAGATCCTATTATATAAAAATACCATAGATTTTAATTCAAATTCAGATTTTTAAAGACAATTACTAGCAAGAGATTTTTTTCTATTAAATCATACTTTAGCTTGGAATTGTCAAATAAATATTTTTATTATATGCTTACAAAAATGTAGCTCTTTTCTTTGTACTAAATGGCCACTGGTCCATCAACCAATATTTTATTTTTATTATTATTATTTTTGAGACAAAGTCTTGCTCCGTTGCCAGGTTGGAGTGCAGTGGCACCATCTCGGCTCACTGCAACCTCCACCTCTTGGATTCAAGCGATTCTCCTGCCTCTGCCTCCCGAGTAGCTAGGACTACAGGCGCTCGCCACCATGCCCAGCTAATTTTGGTATTTTTAGTAGAGATGGGATTTCACCATGTTGGCCAGGATGGTCTCGATCTCTTGACCTCATGATCAGTCCGCTTTGGCCTCCCAAAGTGCTGGGATTACAGGTGTGAGCCACCATGCCCGGCCAGTATTTTAGCACTTTTCATAAAAAGGCATTCATGGAACAATAAACATGTAAAATTAACATATACCAAACATTTTTTAAAGTTAAAAAGGTGGTCTTGCCCATACATTTTTACAGAAATAAGTCATCAAGGTACAGAATGCAAAGGATAAGAATTGTATGGGCAGGTGTGGTGGCTCACACCTGTAATCCCAGCACTTTGGGAGGCCGAGGCAGGCAGATCACCTGAGGTCAGGAGTCCAAGACCAGCCTGGCCAACATGGTGAAACCCTGTCTAATGAAAATGCAAAACAAAGAAATTAGCTGGGCATGGTGGCACAGGCCTGTAATCCCAGCTACTTGGGAAGCTGAGGCATGAGAATCGCTTGAACCCAGGAGGCAGAGGTTGTAATGAGCCAAGATCGCGCCATTGCACTCCAGCCTGGGCAATAAGAGTGAAACTCTGTCTCAAAAATAAATAAATAAATAAATAATAATAATAATAATAAAGTCATTGTAGGACACTAAGGTGGGTTTATAGAGCACATAGATATTGCTAGCTGTCGAGAAAAGTGCATTCTTTCTTTATTCAATAATAGTAGTTGTACTTGAGAAGTGGCCCATCCACAGCCCCAATTTAGAGCAGTAATCTCCAGCTTATCTGCAGCTGACTATGGCCATGTGACTATTTCTGACAAATAAAATGTGAGCAGATTTAAGTGTGCAATTTCTACCAAGCTTACTTTTCTGTGGATGGAACAGCAATGACTAGAACAGTCTTGAAAGCCTTCTGTTGAAGGTAGCAGATCCACCACCAGATTGGATCTCTAAATTACCATATGGGGCATGGTACTCATGCGTCTGAAAAGTACACTTCAGAACTGTTATATGAGGCAGAAGGAAACTTCAGGGTTCTTAGGTGTGATGGTTAATACTGAGTGTCAACTTGATTGCATTGAAGGATGCAGAGTATTGTTGTTGGGTGTGTCTGTGAGGGTGTTGCCAAAGGAGATTAACATTTGAGTCAGTGTTCTCAGGGAGGCAGACCCACCCTCAATCTGGGTGGGTGCAATCTAATCAGCTGCCCGGGCAACCAGAATAAAGGCAGGCGGAAGAACATGGAAAGATTAGACTGGCCTAGGCTCCTAGCCTACATCTTTCTTCAATGCTGGATGCTTCTACCCTCAAACATCAGACTCTAAGTTCTTCAGTTTGGAGACTCAGACTGGCTTCCTTGCTCCTCAGATTGCAGACGGCCTATTGTGGGACCTTGTGATCATGTGAATTAATACTCCTTAATAAACTCCCCTTTATATATACATCTATCCAAATAGTTGTGTCCCTCTAGACAACCCTGACTAATACATTAGGTGTCAATGCTGGTTGGGCATCTTTATTAGGCAGTCTAGCTTTAACCTAACTCATGCAGGTCAAGAAATTACATTGGTTATTTCTCGTTGGTTAGAAACAACTATCTCAAGGCCAAAGGAATAGAATATAAGAGGATTTCTTTTAGAAAGTATGTTAGCAGCTATAATAACCCAATTGTATACTCAAGCTTTTGCTTTGAGAGTCAGAAGAGTAAGACCAAAGATGACATTGTACAATTCCAGGAAGCACCACTCACATCATAGTCTAGGTAAATGATGTCCCTTGGAGTTGTTCACTGTGCTACCTCTATGGATCCATACAGAGGCCCAGCTCTGTTGGGCATTTTAAATGACAACTTCAACAGCAACCCTGTAGTCTACCCTAATTTGTCTCTTGGGAATACCAAGTTGGGCTTGACCTAGAGTATTTTTTTCCTGTTCCTTGGCCAAGCATATGTGATCTGTGACTTGTTTTATTTATTCTTGTTTAGCAGTTTCTAGCCTTAATTGGTATCTTCTCTAGCCTACATTCTCACTTGTCACTCCCCTGCCTGTTACCTTAGCTCTACGCCTGTAACCTCAAAGTAGCTTTAAATTTTGCTTCCTGATTGATTTTGCTACCCAGCTACCTTCCCCATCAAAAGATGCTTTCCTAATTACACTTTGGCAATGTAACACATTTAGAGATGGTTAAGCTTTAGCCAGCTAGAGGAGTTGTGAGATCTGAATATCAGAGCAGATGCTCTACAGAATTGGACTGAAAGAATGGAAGACTGCATCAGGAAGCTCTTATGGTCTCATAGCTCTCAAATTCTCTTGTAGTAATGTGTAGTATCTAGCAGGAGTGGTCAACAGTCTCTGATAATCCAGATATTTGTTATTAATTCAAAATACAGACCGGGAGCATTGTCATCACCTGGAAGGTAACAGAAATGTAGAATCTCAGGACTCACCGAGAACTCCTGAACCAGAATCTGCATTTTAACACAATCTGTGTTTTAACGAGATTTGTATTTTAACTGGTGATTTGTATGTACAATGAGGTTTGAAAAGCACTGATTGAGAGACCAGACTGGATGAGAACAGACATGTAGTCAGAAGAGAGAGATAAAATATTCACCCACGAAAAGATCCCCAACTCAAGACTAAATCAGCAGAGCAGTGACATTAAAGGAGCAACTCTGTCAAATACAAGCTCTCCACTAGGAAAGGTAGTGTTGAGGAGCGATTGGTGAATCTGCCCTAAACAATGAAAATACATGGTAGGACTTTGATTTCTGAATTTATTGTGTAAATATTTATACTTCTTAAAAATATTTTTTTGAAAATACATAGGTCAGCATGCTCCCAAAGTAGAATACAGTCCTAGTGAATGATTTCTCCTGTGTATTCTAGAAGTTGAAGAACAAAATCCTGAAGCTTAGTCTGCAATTGTCTCATGTGCCTCTAACAAGAAATGGAAGAGACATTTTTCCACTTTACTTCTATGAAACTACTACCTCTCTAGAAACATTTTTAGACTGCAACCTATTAAAGGATATATAAAGAAATAAAGCAGCTGGACCTATAGGTTTTGGTGGAAAAGTAATTAAATTTGAACTAATTTCCTACAAAACTTTTTTCTGCATGAGAAAAACTATTGCAATGCTCTGAAACTCAGTTAAAAATTATTAGTTCAAAAATCTAAATGTATTTAGTAGGGCTTATAAAGTTTCCATTAAGGGTGTAGCTATTTTGGTATGTTTAACGAAAAGAAATAATATTGCATGGAAAGTATGGGGTCTGGAGGATTGTAAAAAATACTACATTGCAATGGCAAACTCCAGCTCTTCCTATGTGTGTTACACACAAAAAAGCAGATCTGAGAAGCTCTCAAACCAAATAAACCAAACTTCCTTTCAAGCACAACTAAACCAATTCCAGAATAATAGACTGTGTTGGGAGGGTTGGCAACCAAATAGGAAATAGGAACAAAGGAGGGGCATTAGGGATCACTTCAAGTGACCATAAATCAAAGCAGCTCCGTCCGGAGAAATGACTTTAAAGCCAGTGAGGAAAGCCAATAACAGATCTACCAAAAAGGCTCTTGTATATTTTTCATCCTTCCCTTTCAAGAAAAAATAATGACTAATATAATTTTGTTTAAAATAACAGTAATTTTATTTATTTTAATTTAAAGTATCTTATGAAATTTTATCCTTGCTACAGATATAAATCTGCAAAGAGTCACAAAAAATTCACTGATGCTGTATTAGAAGGAAGTCTTTTCCTTGGCTGAAGTCAGTGGTAGAGGATGTTCAAAGGTCTTATAGATAATTAATGTTACTCTAACACAAATCCAGAGGTCAGAAAATCACTCATTAATTTAACCATATACTAGTTGAGGCTGAAAGTGCTTTCTTCTTTAATGTATCTACCATCTTTGAAAAGCTCTTCAACAAATGCCAATCCTGAGAATAAAGAAAACTTCAACACGTATCACAGCCCTGCCAAGAATGCTTGTGGGATGCTATTTTGATCATTTCTCCACCTTTTAAGTGGAATCCAAAAGAAGATTTTCAAACAAAGAATCTTGTTTTGAAGGTTTTATTCTCTAATGCAAAAACCAAAACAAGAATCCCAGACAACACTCCCCTATTCTTGAAATGCACATTTAAATGCACATAATGGGTCTACCCTAATGAAAAATTCTTACAAAAGGAAGCTAAATGGCCTGGTGAATTCTAAATCCTGGCATTTTGGTTATGAGGACTTTCTGCTGAAGACAAAGAAATTGGTGAGAGAAGTTAATTACTGAAAGAAATACCAGGGCAAGTTTGTCAGGGAATGCCATGGTCATAAACAAACATACACGTTACAATTATTACTTATCTTATTAGTATGACTATATATTTTGCTAATTACTTGGAAAATATAAATTAAATTAAATTAAATTATTAAAATAAAAGAAACTAAATAAAAATTAAAGTAAATGTAATAAAGTGAATTTTCAACTATCCAACTACACAACATTGCAAATATGATACATAGCTTGACACAGACTGTACATGCTATATTGTATTTGATATTTTCACTTGACATTGCCAGTATATTTTCTACTTCTGTCAATTCTTACAATTATTATTTTAATAGGTATATAATATTCCATTTTGTTGTTAAAAAACGATGTGCTAAATAATTTCCTATAAGAGTACTATTTGCTTTCCATTATAGCTAATGCCATCAATAATACAATCATATTTATAGCTTATAGCTTTTTTGCTTTTTCAGAATTATTTTCCTAGTATGAATGTCTCAACCTTGAATTTCTGCACCAAAGGATTTATTTATGATTCTTATTACAAATGTCCATACTGCTTTTCTAAAAATGTTTAGTAATTACACTTCAACTGAAAATTAATAAGGGCAGAGTCCTGCAATAATCTTTTCAACAAAGATTATATTCACCCTAAACAATTTGACTACTTTCTTATATACAAACTATATCATTTTCTTTAACTTAGATTGAGTTTGTTTTTAATTTTCTAGAAAGACTAAATTTTTTCATATATTTTTAGAAATTATACAAATAAACAGTAAATAAAATATCATTGAAGTTATGATTATTGTATACATAGAACCATGTATTTTTGTTTTAAATTGTTTGTTCATATTCTCAGTTCATTTGTACAATTATATTGGATTTTACTTCTAATCTGAATTAATTATATTGTGGTGTTTATCCACCATCTGTAATATTAAATGAGAATTTTTTTCCTTATCTTTAGGAAAGGTTTCATTGCATTGTAAATTTAGAAAAAGAATTGTTACTTGTCTTTATTTGGAAAATGTAAAATGTATGTATTCTAATCTGCTAATATAAAGAATGCCTTTAAATTTATAAGTAATAACAAAGAAAAGATTGTATTCTTCTGCATTGCAAAACATAAAATTGAAAGGCAAATAAAAAAGTAGAATATTCACATGAAATTGCTTGATAAAGCATTAATATCCTTTCTATATCAAATTCTGGCACAAATTTAAACTGAAAACCTTAAAACCACAGTAAATAGCAGAACAAAGGAAAATAATCTTCAAAAGATAAATAAACTCAAGCTAACAAGTGGAATTATCTTCATTTGTATCAATAATCAAAATGCAAATTTTAGGCAGGTAGATATCATCGGTTGCCTACCCACAACTTGGATGTGACATAGTTGTAAGTCCTCCCTTTTTCCATTTCTCTTCCCTCCTCCCCTTGCCTTCAGCCTCACTGTGCCAGAGACCAGATGACACCAGTGGCCAGAACCAGAAGGCAGGACAAACAGACTAGATAGTAGCCTCTCCACTCCTGACATGTGAAAACCAACATACATAACACCTTGTGAAATGCAAATAGCAATCGGGGGAAGAGGAAAGAAAAATATGGCAGAAAAATAGGGAAGCTCCAAGATGGAGAGTCTGTATTGGATAGACAGCAAGTTTTGTGACTGAACTAGATCAACAACAGCTTAACTGTTCTGAGTCTCCAGATTAAGTTTAGTTTTCTTTCCTAGGTCTCAGAAAAAAAAAGTTTTGGTTTTTTTCTGTCAAAAAATCAAGCAGTTACAAGTATAAAGCAGGGTTACAGCACTCATATCTATGTGGCACTGTCAGGTTACAGTCAATACATATATAAGGTTTGCAAAGATTTTATTTTTTATTTTGCATAATCACTACAGTCAAGGCGTAATGAAATGGGAACTCCCATACACTGCTGGAGAGTGAAATATGGTCACCACAATGCTACAGGTACCCCAGGTTCTCTAATGGGTTCCTTGGCCTCGACTTCCTTACGAAAATACTTCCTATTTCAAGTTTGCCACCTTCTCACAATAGCCAACTCATCTTCCCCCAATAGGATTGCCTGTGAGCATCTCTCCCCTATCAGCAGTTCAGTCCCTAATCCCTTCAGCCCCCGAGACAGTGAACGCTCCTGTTTCACCCCTAAGTCCTTTCCTTATTTTTCTGCCCTCTTCAAATCATTGGCAGTGAGACCATCCATTCTCTTCATGGAAGCCCCACATCCCTATATTCGGAAGGTGGACTTTTCCTAGGCTTTCACCAGGACGAGCTACCCTAATATGATACCTAACATTTTCTTTAAAGCAATGACACTTTGGTTAATTCACCATTCTCAAGTCCTCCCAAAGACAGTAGGTAGGTACTGTCTTTATCAGTATAACTAATGAGATCCCTCCAGTGAGATAGTTTCCCTCCAAAAGGCAAAATCATATCTTTATTCCAGAAAATCAAACTTTTAATGATCAATCCATTCTTCTCCGATTATAAAAGTTCAGTCTCTCTCAGACAACCCAAGACATTTGACTTCCATGAGAAATAATGAAAATAACTTCCACTTATTTTGAATGCTCATTTTATAACAGGCAGAATGTTAGCCATTTTTAAAATATATTTTCACATTTCACTAGGAGAATTGACCTTTGGATTAAACTCATACTATGTCAACTTCATCAAAAAGTAAATGACTCATTTAAATTTCACAATACAAACTTGTAAGGCTTTGAGATATGTAATTATCTGTGTTATATAGATGAAGAAACTGAGGTTCAGAAGGATTCCAAAAGCTAACAATCATTGCCCAACTAGTAAGTGGCCCAGTCAGAATTCAGCTGATCTGATTGCAAAGCCAGCTCTCCTTCCTGTCTGTGACAAGGCAGTCTTTGCAAGAAAGATTGTGTCTTGGTACCTTGCCTGGTGATGACTCCTTCGAGGGAAATCTGTCATGTTTCTGGAATTTTTATTAGTGAATGATATTAATTCAATTATCAGGACTGTCAAAGCAAGGGAAGTTCCAGATTATACCCTTACTGTAGCAGGAGAAGCTGCATAAAATCTTTCACTGGAGGATTCCCACGTAAAACTCAATAAATAATTTTGCTGACAATGGTGTTGATTCCAACCTAAAATGCAATGTTTAAAGTTTTTCCATTGTTGAAAATAGATCTCCTTTCAGCATCTGAGTATATAAAATATACTCAGTCTTTTCTAGAGTCTATTTCTGTTTGATAGATAACTTCTCTTTGGTAAACATAATTTCTGCTTGAAATTAGATATTTTGCTTTGCCCTAGTCTTCATGAATGCTTAAAATATTCCATGAGCAACAAAACAAACAATCCTAAATAAATAATGCACTGCAATGCTTTCAAGGACACTGGATTTTAATCAGCTGTTTGTTTGTTTGTTGCTCTGCTTGCTGTTTGGAGGAGAGCCGAATACAAACAAGGGTTAATATAAAACCTTCAATTTATTGTAAAAGGAGCTTTCTTACTTGGGTCTGGATAACAACATATCTGGCCTGCAAAACAAATCACTCAACTGTCTCAGATATTTCGGAATGAATGCTTATCCACTAATTGGCTTCAGCTGTTTTTTTCTCTTCATTATCTGAACTGAGAAAACAGCTGTTTTCGGCAAACGGTTAAGCCGTAAGTCACATGGTTAGTGATTTATGCACTTAAACGTGCTAATGGATGCCTTGTAGAGCATGGTTTTGTTTATTTGATTGTTACAGGCATAGTTAATGAATCATGACTTTGTTTAAACACATAGCAAACCCAGTCTCATGAACCAGCTCTTAATTTGGCAAGTTCACTTTCTTTTTTTTTTAGCTTATTGAAATTTGTTTGGTTTTACCTCTAGAGAATAACAAGAAAACTGGGAGAAATTAAGGATTTATATTTTTATGAGAACTGCTGTGCTTACAAGTGAGTGAAGAGTCAGTTGTCATAGAACAGAATATAAGTGGGAACAAGGGGGAAAGAAACTATTGTCTTTTGAATTATTTGAAATAATCATACTTCTGGTGCTATTTTCCTTCGAGCAAGCCCATTAATCTCAAGAGAACTGGCATTCTGTTATATTTGCTTCTTAAGAAATTGACACATGTTTAAATGAAATCTTTGAAGTTATTGAAAGAGGTATTTTCTTACTAGTTTGATTGGAACAGGTCAATAACAAATGTGGATGCTTTTTTGTAATTAAAAAGTTTTGTCATTCTATTAATAATAATAATGATATATTTGTGTAGATTCCACCACCTATAATTACATTCAAAGTAGACATGAAGTTAAAACAATGAGCAAAATAGCAAAAAACCTGAGATTTTACCTTCAAAATATAGTATTTTCAATTAGGGTTGATCTTAAATTATACTGAGAGGTGACAGCATGCTGGCAGTCCTCACAGCCCTCGCTCGCTCTCGGCGCCTCCTCTGCCTGGGCTCCCACTTTGGCGGCACTTGAGGAGCCCTTCAGCCCGCCGCTGCACTGTGGGAGCCCCTTTCTGGGCTGGCTAAGGCCGGAGCCGGCTCCCTCAGCTTGTGAGGAGGTGTGGAGGGAGAGGCGCGGGCGGGAAGCGGGGCTGCGCGCGGTGCTTCCCTGCCAGCGCGAGTTCTGGGCCAGCGCGAGTTCCGGGCCAGCGCGAGTTCCGGGCCAGCGCGAGTTCCGGGCCAGCGCGAGTTCCGGGTGCGCGTGGGCTGGGCGGACCCCGCACTAGGAGCGGCCGGCGGGGCCCCACCGCCCCGGGCAGTGAGGGGCGTAGCACCTGGGCCAGCAGCTGCTGTGCTCAATTTCTCGCGGGGCCTTAGCTGCCTTCCCGCGGGGCAGGGCTCGGGACCTGCAGCCCGCCATGCCTGAGCCTCCCCGCGCTCCGTGGGCTCCTGTGCGGCCCGAGCCTCCCGGACGAGCGCTGCCCCCTGCTCCATGGCGCCCAGTCCCATGGACCACCCAAGGGCTGAGGACTGCGGGCACATGGTGCGGGATTGGCAGGCAGCTCCACTTGCAGCCCCGGTGCGGGATCCACTGGGTGAAGCCAGCTGGGCTCCTGAGTCTGGTGGGGACGTGGAGAACCTTTATGTCTAGCTCAGGGATTGTAAATACACCAATCGGCACTCTGTATCTAGCTCAAGGTTTGTAAACACACCAATCAGCACCCTGTGTCTAGCTCAGGGTTTGTGAATGCACCAGTTGACACTCTGTATCTAGCTACTCTAGTGGGGACGTGGAAAACCTTTGTGTCCACACTCTGTATCCGGTGGGGACGTGGAGAACCTTTGTGTCTAGCTCAGGGGTTGTAAAGGCACCGATCAGCGCCCTGTCAAAACACACCACTCGGCTCTACCAATCAGCAGGTTGTGGATGGGGCCAGATAAGAGAATAAAAGCAGGCTGCTGGAGCCAGCAGTGGCAGCCGGCTCGGGTCCCCTTCCACACCATGGAAGCTTTGTTCTTTCGCTCTTTGCAATAAATCTTGCTAGTGTTCACTCTGGGTCCACACTGCCTTTATGAGCTGTAACACTTACCGCGAAGGTCTGCAGCTTCACTCAGGAAGCCAGTGAGACCACGAGCCCCAGAAGAACGAACAACTCCAGACACACCGCTTTAAGAGCTGTAACACTCACCGGGAAGGTCTGCAGCTTCACTCCTGAGCCAGCGAGACCACGAACCAACCAGAAGGAAGAAACTCCGAATACATCTGAACATCAGAAGGAACAAACTCCGGACACGCTGCCTTTAAGAACTGTAACACTCACCGCGAGGGTCCGTGGCTTCATTCTTGAAGTCAGTGAGACCAAGAACCCACCAATTCCGGACACAATACTAGTACATGAAATGATAGGCTTTTCATGGACTTTGAATATGGGTCATTTTAGCTTCCTCAAGTAACCTGTTCTAGCCTTTAATCCTTAATGTCAGAAAGTTATTCTTTTACCTAACAAAATTCATTTGATTTTTGACCAATTTAACTTTCATAGATTATAACAAATTACTATTTGACAGAGCATTAGAACTCCAGTAACCAAGTTCTCTGATTTTACAGATAAAGAAACAAAGCTTCAGAGAGGTTAAGTGTATTCCTGACCACATAAAAGAAGGCAAATTCAGACGTGTGATTTGCAAAAGTTTTTTTTTATTTCTATGAGTTGTGTCTTCACTTTGTTAACTATTTTATTTGCTGTGCAGAAATGTTTTAATTCGATGCAATCCCATTTGTTTTTGCTTTTGTTGCCTGTACTTTTGGAGTCATAGCTGAAAAACGATTACCTATACCAATATTGTATAGCTTTTCTCCTATGTTTTCTGCTAGTAGTTTTGCAGCTTCGGGTCTTATATTTAAATCTTTGATGCATCTTGAATTGATTTTTATGTATGGTGTGAGAAAGGATCCAATTTCATTCTGCTGCGTATAGATATCCTTTTCTCAACACCGCTTATTGAAGAAGCTGTCCTTTCCCCATTGTGTGTTCTTGGCACCTTTATCAAATATTATTTGACTATAATATAAATGTGTGGGTTTATTTCTGGATTTCTAATGCTATTCCCTTGGTCAACGTGTTTGTTTTTATGCCAGGACCATGATTTTTTATTACAATAGCTTTTTAATATATTTTGAAATCAGTAAGTGTGATGCCTCTGGCTTTGTTCTTTTTGTTCAAGATTGTTTCAGTTATTTGAGGTCTTTTATGGCTCCATATAAATTTAATAATTTGTTTTCTATTCCTGTAAAAAATGACATTGGAATTTTGGTAAGAATTGCATTGAATCTACAAATTGCTTCAGGTTGTATGGACATTTTAAAAATATTAAATGTTTCAATCCATGAACATAACCTATCTTTCCATTTGTTTATTCTTTAATATATTTTAATAAAATATGTTTAAAATTATTATACAATAAAATACGTTTTTAGAATACAACTATTTTTAAAATTTATGTCAGGGTATTCTTTCAGTTTCTAGCACAAAATAGGCACCTAATCAAAACCCATAATAATAACAATGGGAAAAATAAAAACAAAATGTATATGTTAAAATAAACACACAGGAATGTTTAGAAATATTTTGAGAATGATAAGAAGTAGCCATGCCAGGTATTACGTATAGTATAAAGTTACCAAAATAAAATTTATAATAGTATAAAAATAAGCAAAAACTCTGTGATAAAAATAGTTCAGAACAAATTTAAATGTATCAGAAATTTAGCAGGTAATAAATACAATATGTTACTGAGGGAAAAATAGATTGGTCAATAAAATATTTGAGATGAACTGATTTTTCCTGGAAAATAGCTAAGTTGAATATCTAGTTCTCTCTTTATATTAAAATAAATTCCAGATGGATTAAATATATAAAGTAAAAATAAAAATATCAAATTCCTTTAATAAAAAGTAAAAGATCACTTCATAGCATGAATATGGGAAGAGTCTGTATATATGGCATATATTCAAAGAAACCATACAAGATAAGATCAATAAATTTAAATATATAAAACTAAAGACATTTTCTTAAAAAATATAAACAGAGGCAAAGGATGAACTACAAACAGATGAGAATACTTACATTACATAAAAGGATAAAATTTCTTAAATATACAAAGAGTTCTTAAAAATCAGCAACACTATGTCCCACACACAAAAAACAACCTAATGATGAAAGGGTTTGAAGAGATTGTTCCAGGAAAGGAAATAAAAAGCAGAATTTAAACAAATGTAAAATATTATTCCTAATAGAAGAAATAGAAATTAAAACAAGGTGCTGTTTTCACTTACGAGATTAGAAAAAATCCAAAAGTTTAATAAAATGCTATGTCAGGGAGAAAGTAGAGAACAGGCAACCTCATACACTAATGATATGACTATAAACTAGCCAGATCAAGTAGTAGAAATGTTTGACAATATCTATCACGTAGTAGAAATGTTTGACAATATCTATCAAAATGTAAAATGCCACTCACTTCTAAGAAAATGTGTCTTGCAGACAGAGCTGCATGTGTATTAAAGTGTGTGGAATAATATTTATTTCAGCATTCCTTATACTGGCAAAAAGATTAAAAACAATTGCATTGTCCATCAAAAGGAGACTGATTAAATAAATTATTGTAAATTCATACATTTGTAGCCATTTTTAAAATGTTCATTGACATAGATTCATCCCTGAGTTTGATAGTAAGTTTAAAAAGCACAATGTGAATAGCATGCATCACACCATTGGGGTGTAGACGCTTAACAATACATAAATGCTGTAAGTGTATGCTTATATATTGGTAGAATACTTCTGGGATGATACATAAAAACAGCAATTTCCATTTTTTAAAAAAAGAATGGGATTGAAGTGAGAGTGGCATTTATTTCTCATTAGATTGTCTCCTGGTATGTTTAAAATTTTGAGTCATCTTTATGGATAAGCTATTCAAAAATAATAAAAATAAATGTAAGCAATGAAACATACTTGTTAAGTGATTTTTAAGATTCTGTGACTTAGACCAGACACGGTGGCTCACGCCTATAATCCCAGCACTTTGGGAGGCCGAGGTGGGCAGATCACCTGAGGTCAGGCGTTCGAGACCAGCCTGACAAACACGGAGAAACCTCGTCTCTACTAAAACTACAAAACTAGCCGGGCGTGGTGGCACATGCCTGTAATCCCAGCTACTAGGTAGGCTGAGGCAGGAGAATCGCTTGAACCTGGGAGGCGGAGGTTGCGGTGAGCCAAGATCGTACCATTGCACCACTCCAGCCTGGGCAACAAGAGTGAAACTCCGTCTAAAAAAAAAAAGATTCTGTGACTTAAATGGGTGTGGAAATAAGGATTACATTTGCTCATTCTGGTAATCACTTTAATACAAACACATCAACTAATTTTTATGGGACATATTATTTGTTGCCTTCTGCCAAATCCATCCACCTGTAATTTTTAACTTTTTCAAACTTCAGGCTCATTCCATTCCAATGGGATGATACAAATTCTTAGCAGTGCCTAGGAGTATATCAGGAGCCCAATTTTGATCAGTGGGAAGGTTCTGAAACGCATTGCTCTCCCAAACTTCAGTATCCACTCAGTCTAGGTCCAATCCATGTGTCTACACATATCATACACTAGCCTATACCCTTAGCCAAACAATTTTTTATAACTATAAATCTGTTATAGTATAGATATATACTATGGAATAGCAGACATGTATAGAATATTTAGTATCTAGTTTTATGTATGTAATATAAAATAAGATGATAAATATATTTATGCATATTTTTTTCCTGCTGCTTCTGTGGGGCTTAAAGTCTTGCCTTGGAAGATAATCCTAATTAGACAATAAACCCCAGCTGCAGATCCTACCAGAAAGATTAGACATTACTCCCAAGAATTTGCTCCCAAACATTGTTTAAAGGACAATTAAAAACCTAAAATTATTCAACACGTTGCTCCCACTGACTCACTTGAATGTGTGTTCTCCACTCCAGGATTCTGTGATCAAGTTAAACACCACTGTTTTTTTGATAAGTCATTTCATTACTTTATGTATTATTAAAATATTAAGTTATATATGTAAATATGACAGTGGATATTTTTATCACATTGATGATAAGATACATCCCTATTTCAGAGATGAAATACAATGTGATGAAAGCACTAGAATAAAGATAACTTTGGAAAAGATTCCACTCTCCTAGGAAACTACCACAAGTGACATTATATAACCAAACAGACAATTTGAACCCCAGTATTTGACTATATTATGTCAATATTTCTAAAGAAATCTAGTGTGAAGAAATAGGAAAGATATAGATAAATACTTTATTGAGGCATTGACACAGCATTAGTCATACAGAGGTTCAAAGAGATGCTTGTAAATTGAACTGAAAATTCACTATTTTATATACATAAAATAAATGTATAAAGTCAACAAATTAAAGGAAAAATACTAATTAAGCTTAAGCAAAACACATGTAAAAATCTGGCAATGTATCTCAGGATTCTCTTTGTAAAATACTTCAATCTTGAAAAGAAATGGACCAAAACTATTATTAAGGATTTAGGAAAAATCTCTCAAATAAACACGAGGGATTTTATTTTGATAGTTGGTTTATAAAATGAAATTCATCCATGGAAAAAGTGGAAAGTCATTACTCATTACAACTAGAAAACTCACATGCTGGTTTAGATGATGTAATTGTCTCTCAAGACTTAGCAAACTGGATCACAGATCATGCCTGTTTTTTGAATTCAGTTTTACTGGAACATATCCATGCTTATTCATTAATCTATTGTGGTTAGTTTTACACAACGATGCAGGACTGAGTAGCTGCAAGAGCTCAAAAAGCCTAAGATATTTATTACTCAGCCCCTCACAGAAAATAATTCCTGACCGTGGTCTAGATTCAGTTATTAAGTTCTCCTGTTTTATGCATTTGAATGCTATAGATTGATAAAGCTGTAGATAGCTGTCTTATTACATAGCATAAAACAATTTACTTCTCAGTAATACTTTTAAAAATAGAATTAAAAATACAAAATAAAAGGAATATAAATTTTTAAATATTTATCTATGAATCTCTACAAGAATATAATCTTTTATATTATGCATTTTCCTATTCTACACTTATAGAAAAATGTAAAAGATTTAAAAAGGACCACCTTAAGATGGGTTAATTAGCATATTTAAGTATATTTACATATTATATACTTATATAAAATATATAAATATATTTGGCCTTTTCTGCATAATTATTATCATAATTATAATAATCATACCATCACACATGAAGTGGAATCTTATGACTTTTAAAGTAACTTATAACCCTCTAGAATTCTATTTATTGATTGTCTTAAATAAACAAGGTTTTGCACAGTGTAGTTAGTATACACAAATTTGAAATTGAGTGTCTATGCCCTGCAAAACCTTGAGTTGAAACACAAAATATACATTTAAAAAATAAGCAACAATACAGGATAGCCATGCTAAATGACATGCATGTTGCAACAGGAGAAATCAATCACCACCAGGTAGGACACTCTGGAAGAGATGCTCACCAGAGACAGTGCTTAACATGAGTTGTGACTCACCTTAAGACTTACATAAAGAAAACAAAAGATTTACGCAAGAGAGAATAGTATAGTATCAAAAATAAACACAAGAATAAGCAAAATGAAACATTGGTCTTGCTTCAGTTTTCCTTTTTAAAAAATAGCTCATTTAGCCAGGCACGGTGGCTCAGGCCTGTAATCCCAGCACTTTGGGAGGCCGAGGCCGGCGGATCACCTGAAGTCAGGAGTTGGAGACCAGCCTGGCCAACATGGTGAAACCCTGTCTCTACTAAAAATAAAAAAATTAGCCGAGCGTGGTGGCACATGCCTGTAGTCCCAGCTGCTGGGGAGTCTGAGGCAGGAGAATCGCTTAAATCCAGGAGGCGGAGGTTGCAGTGAGCCGAGATCGCACCACTGCACTCCAGCTTGGGCAACAGAGTGAGACTCCGTCTCACCAAAAAAAAAAAATAGCTTATTTAAAATTTTAAGCAATACAATATCATCTGAGAAACTAATGTTCAGATAGAATAAAGACCAGTCCAGGGCCACACAGCTCATAAGTTAAGGATTATTTAAAATCAGCACTCTGACTACCAGATGCTATCATATTTAAATAAGTCCTGTTTTGTTGAAGAGGTTTCAAAGAGACGAGTAATATGAAATGGGTTTGGAAATGTAAGAAAATCTCAGTCAGAGTATGGAGGAATTTGAGGGTATAGTGTTTACACTACAGGAATGGGGAAACTACTGACAATCTTAAAGCAAGACAGTGAAACATCCATATGGGGAGATGGAGAAAGAAACCTGTATCAAAGGGAACACAGTCCTGTCTTTGAAAGCCTTTAAATCCAAATGTAGCGATGGCCTTTGTAAAAGTAAAATGACTTTTCTCTGTAATTCTTTAAAAATATATTTCTATTTGTAAGCTTATGCCAACACAATGATTACTTAAGATGACAAAGAGACCACCCACTACATTACGATCTGTCTTGGCAAGCTGGCAGTGTATTCATCTCATGTTAATTTTGTGGTTTGGTTTGTTCTTACAGGTCTTACAGGTCTTACAGTTCTTATGGGTATGCTTATCACGCCCTGGAGCCCCATCCGGAAAAGATCCTTTCAGATGCTGTCAGTTTATTATGAGGATAATTCACATAGAAGTGACCCGGGCCTCTAGTGCCAGGCCCTGCCTTGTTCCCTTGACCCATCTTATCTGAAGCCACTTGACATTACTACAAGCTAGCATCACAATAAGAAAAATTTAAAGAAGAAACAGCTCAACTACTCCAGGGCTCCGTAAACCATCAGTCTTGCTGCTGATTTACCTCTATTTTTTTTACCCCATTTGTAGTCACTGTTTCCTTGTCTTCTTTTCTTTCATATAACTTCCGATTATGCTAACTTGTCCAAGGTCTTCATTCTTTTAAAAGTAGGTCCCCAACTCCCATATTTATTCTGATTCTTGCACCCAGTGGTGAGGTCTCCACCACTATGTACTAAGCTCCTTTACATCACCTTCTTAGTACAAGGCCTTGGTACTCCTGGATAAACTGCAAGCATGTTTTATAATGCCATCTCTATTGAACTTTTCTTGTTAATTTTTTCATGGACACTTGTATTAGTCAGTTTTTCCAGTTATAATTATGCATAATCAACAAGCCCAAACTTTCAGGCTTACATTGTTCAGGCAAACATTGACTTCTCATTCGTGGGTCTGGGGATTGGCTGCAGTGGGTCTGTTCCAGGCTGTGGGTTGGGTACAGGTTTACTCTTTGTGTTTCCTTATTCTAGGATCTAGGTGAAAAGAGAAGCTTCCATCTGTGATGTGATAATGTCATGGCAGAGTGCAAGAAAGATGAGAAGAAGCACATAATGCCTTTTAATACCATGCTTACAAAGCATGATCTCAATTCTGCACCTTCCATTTGTCAAAGCAAGTCATGTGACCAAGCCAAAAGCCAGTGGGATGAGACACTTTACCATGTCCATGGGGAGTCCTAACAAGGGCAGAGAAGGAAGGATAATTGTGGACAATCTATCACAATATATATAAGCTACTGCATTATGTAAAGGAGGAGGATGGTTTGTTGATATAACATTAGAAGAAGTTGAGATGGTTAATGTTTGTTTTGCACATGGTCAAATAATCTGCTCTTTCAAATATTTTCCAAATAAGCTTACTTGGAAAACATATTACTCCATTTTAGGCCTTGTATCTTTCCACAGAAATATGTTGAATATGAATTCAAGTCTGAAATCATAGGTAGTACTAATGAGACAGAAATGCAACTGATTATTTTTTACTTTTTGTTTGTTTAGTGTTGCTATTACCTGTGTTACCTGCTGTTCAACCACATGCATTAATGTTTCTCAGTTTGATATTCATTTATTCAGTAGAAAACAGTAGAATGTGAAAAGGTGCCTGTTTCTATTTCTGGGACATTTTACTATTTTATTTTTCATTAATAACGTGATACTTTTTCTCTCAATCATTTGTTTTCTTTGTTAAAAACCAAGTTTAATTGTAGGAAATCAACCTATGACTTTTGCACCAAGAGGAAGCACAAAGAAATAATCTCTGCATTTTTTAGATTAATTTTTCTTTTTGTGTGCTAGGAGAAGTAAGGGGAAGTTTGTTGTTTAATGAACAAGTTCAAACAAATTCATAGACGTAAAACCCAAATGAACCTTAAGAGCTCGCCAGCTTGATATCATGTTTCCCTTCCCACAACTAAATAGTATTGTCTCTTTTTACCTGAAACAAAATGCACATCCTTCATTTGTTTGTGGTGACATTCTCCAACCTGCCAATATTTAATTCTTATCTGATTAAATAAAACAGAGAAGCATAAAAAGAAATGCTTATTAAAAAAAAGAAAGAAAGAAAGAAAATGTCTCCATGGCTGGCAAGCTTTCTTGTTTTTCTGTGTGTCCTGGCTAATGGACAAGGATATGTTTTAAAACTATATGATAGTCTTAAGCACATTTGTAATTTTTAACTTACCATCAGAGTACTTTAGCTAGAAATAGTTGTTCCAGAAAAATATTTGAAGAATGAGGAAAATGCACTTATTTATCCAATGACACATAAACTTAGACTCTCAGAATAAACCCTAAATCCTTTGAAACTGAATTAAAACCAAGAAAAACTTTTTATACACAGTGAAAATTAAACCAGAAATTGGCTTTGTGAAATGGTTACCCTAAAATCTCCTACACTAAATGGTGTAACTTAGTATAAGTTTCTTCTGATAGTCAAGAGCTGATTTTTACATGTTGAAGGACAAAAGATATCTTTTATTCAAAATTAATTCAGTTGCAGAAAATCTTGATGCCATATTTAAGAATACACACACACACACACACACACACGCACACATTGGAAAGCTATCTAAGTCCTCTAAATTTTGCCCAACTTGCAGGAAATAAATTTCTTAAATGATAATAATTTTGATAAAATATTATTTTCCAGAAATAAGTGAAGGTAAGCTCTCCTTATTTGGAATGAGAAAATTATGTTCTAGAATCTGTAGCTAATAAGCACACAAATAAGTGACTAATAATTATTCAAAAAGTGATATTTGTTCCTTTATTTACAGAAGCCCATTTGACCACATTAGAATATTTTTAAATAAGAAGTAGGATATAGACACATTTACCTTCTGTCTCTACCAAATCAGTAAACTTATTGAGATGCCTATAAATCTACTAATACGGCATTTGAGAGCTGCATAATTAGGAAGAATCTGATCATCATTAAACCACTTAATCATTTCAGTATTTTAAAAGTTACATATCATGATGGTAATAGCTCTTGTTTTTTGATCACCTGTTGTATGGAGGCACTGCACTAGACATTTTTTTCTGATCATTTGCAATCTTTGCTATAATCCAACAGATAAATATTATTATATCCATTTTATAAATGGGACAGCTAAAATGAAATAAAGTAGTTTCCCCAAATCTTTTAGTGTTTGACTCAAATTATTTCTTCTTTCTATTATACAATGAAACCTATAAAGGGGTGAATTATTAATTTCCTATTCCAATTTAGAACATGTTAAGTGTAAGATTATTATGGCAGTTTGCCGATATTTTGGGGATCTGACACCTCTCTGGTTGACATATCCATAAGCTCCCTTTTCATATTAGTGTCATCTATTAAGTTTCCTGTCGCAGGTCTAGATGTTAACCTTGAACTATGAAAAAAAACCTGTAAATTAAAGTAACACATGAAATAAAGTGACAATTGCAGTTTTGTCTCCTCTGTGAAAAGATGCTATGAAAAGATGCATATGTCAATGTCAACCATTAATTCTATTAATTAAAAACAAGAAAGCATCTCCCGTATTTCTGATCATATCAAGTGTTCATCATGCCTCTTACAATACCTAGTCTATAAATAAAATGTGAAGATGCTTATATTGACTTGTTTCCATAGTGATAAAAGTCTTTCCTTGAGTTCTCAAGGCAATGTGCAGTAGCCTAGCAAATTGGACAAGCATGGGAGCTATTTGTAAAGTAATAGGTTAAAGAGAAGCCAGGATAATCCAATAAGAAATGATCTAGATAAAAACAGAACCAAGAATCTCAGAATGTGAACATTTTGGTTTTAATGACCTGCTAACATTTTTCTCTTTGTGAAATAAATGTGAAACTATATTAAGAAAGCATAAGACAATGTGCACATCCAGTTAGCCAAGTCATGCTTACATAAATGATTTTTTTTCTAGAATATAATCATTTATTATAGAAGAGAAGTCAAACTTTTCCCACCTCTGAGGCTTAGTTTGGTTGGGTGGATGATTTACCAACAAATATTATATTTGTTTAAAGTTATTGGCCTTGACATCAACACAATCCTCAATTATGAAAATAAGAAAAAATAATTTTTTGGTAGTGGCAGGAAAAATGTTGAAAAAACAAAACAAAATGCATTCTCTTTCTTGAAAGAATTAAAAATGAATAATGCACAATTCTACAATTCTTTTTTTTTTTTATTTGAGACAGAGTCTTGCTCTGTCACTCAGGCTGGAGTGCAGTGGTGCGATCTCGGCTCACTGCCACCTCCGCCTCCTGGATTCAAGTGATTCTCCTGTCACAGCTTCCCAAATAGCTGGGACTACAGGCCTGTGCAACCACCCCCGGCTAATGTTTTGTATTTTTAGTAGAGATGGGGTTTCACCGTGTTAGCCAAGATTGTCTCAATCTCCTGACCTCGTGATCCGCCCGCCTTAGCCTCCCAAAGTGCTGGGATTACAGGCGTGAGCCACCGTGCCCGGCCCAATTCATTTTTAAATATCTTGATACATGACGCCTGTCATAACTGCTAGGGTAGTTGGAATCTGCCAGAAAACAAAACCGAAACACACACACACACACACACACACACACACACACACACACACACATTTATCTCCTTCCTTGAGTTCTTCCAGCATCTTCATTTTGACATTAATAAGCAGGTTGAAACCGTCAGATGAGAAAACACAAGATCACCTTTTTTATTTTCCAGAAACAATTTTTATAGCAACTTAATTCTGGCTGAATATGAGAGAAGAATACATGAGAGTCATATCCTTAAGCAAGTGCTCTGAGAAGATGTTTGCAGTTCATGACCAAAGAAATAGCAGAGTAAGGAGGTTACTCAAATACAAGCTATAAAATAGGCAGCAAAGGACTTTCCAGCTAAAGCTAAAGCTTTAAGTCACTTTCTAACAAAATATCAAGAAAAAAAAAACCTCAGTAACAACACCTTAAGCAACTACAATAACACAGAACTGTTCTTCAGCCTATAATAGGAGCAAAGCCTCACAGCATGAAGACTTTTCTGAAACATTTTCTTTGATAATACTTTTTTACTGGCCAATTTTTTTTTCTTTTTTTATTATTATACTTTAAGTTCTAGGGTACATATGCACAACGTGCAGGTTTGTTACATAGATATACATGTGCCATGTTGGTGTACTGCACCCATCAACTCATCATTTACATTAGGTATTACTCCCAACACTATCCCTCCCCCAGGCCCCCACCCCCAAAAAGGCCCTGGTGTGTGATGTTCCCCTCCCTATGTCCATGTGTTCTCATTGTTCACCTCCCACTTATGAGTGAGAACATGTGGTGTTTGGTTTTCTGTTCCTGTGTTAGTTTGCTGAGAATCATGGTTTCCTACTTCATCCATGTCCCTGCAAAGGACATGAACTCATCCTTTTTCATGACTACATAGTATTACATGGTGTATATGTGCCACATTTTCCTTATCCAGTCTGTTATTGATGGACACTGGGGTTGCTTCCAAGTCTTTGCTATTGTGAATAGTGCCACAATAAACATATGTGTGCATGTGTCTTTATAGTAGCATGATTTATAATTCTTTGGTTATATACCCAGTAATGGAATTGCTGGGTCAAATGGTATTTCTAGTTCTAGATCCTTGAGGAATTGCCACAATGGTTGAACTAATTTGCACTCCCACCAACAGTGTAAAAGCGTTCCTACTTCTCCACATCCTCTCCAGCATCTGTTGTTTCCTGACTTTTTAATGATCTCCATTCTAATTGGCATGAGATGGTATCTCATTGTGGTTTTGATTTGCATTTCTCTGATGACCAGCGATGATGAGCATTTTTCCATATGTCTGTTGGCTGCATAAATGTCTTCTTTTGAGAAGTGTCTGTTCATATCCTTTGCCCACTTTTTGATGGGGTAGTTTTTTTTTTTTTTCCTTGTAAATTTGTTTAAGTTCCTTGTAGATTCTGGATATTAGCCCTTTGTCAGATGGATAGATTGCAAAAATTTTCTCCCAATCTGTAGGTTGCCTGTTCAATCTGGTGGTAGTTTCTTTTGCTGTGCATAAGCTCTTTAGTTTTATTAGATCCCATTTGTCTATTTTGGCTTTTGTTGCCACTGCTTTTGGTGTTTTAGTCATGAAGCCTTTGCCCAGGTTTGAATGGTATTGCCTAGGTTTTATTCTAGGGTTTTTATGGTTTTAGGTCTTACATTTAAAACTTTAATCCATCTTGAGTTAATTTTTGTACAAGGTGTAAGGAAGGAATCCAGTTTCAGCTTTCTACATATGGCTAGCCAGTTTTCCCAGCAACCGTTTATTAAATAGGGAATCCTTTCCTCATTGCTTGTTTTTGTCAGGTTTGTCGAAGATCAGATGGTTGTAGGTATGTGGTGTTATTTCTGAGGCTTCTGTTCTGTTATTGGTCTATATATTGATTTTGGGACCAGTACCATGCTGTTTTGGTTACTGTAGCCTTGTAGTGTAGTTTGAAGTCAAGTAGCATGATGCTTCCAGCTTCGTTCTTTTTGCTTAGGATTGTCTTGGCTATGCGGGCTCTTTTTTGGTTCCATATAAAATTTAAAGTAGTTTTTTTCCAATTCTGTAAAGAAAGTTAGTGGTAGTCTGATGGAGATAGCATTGAATTTATAAATTACCTTGGGCAGCATGGCCTTTTCACGATATTGATTCTTTCTATCCACGAGCATGGAATTTTTGTCCATTTGTTGGTGTCCTCTTTTATTTCGTTGAGCAGTGGTTTGTAATTCTCCTTGAAGAGGTCCTTCACATCCCTCATAAGTTGGATTTGTAGGTATTTTATTCTCCTTGTAGTAATTGTGAATGGGAGTTCACTCATGATTTGGCTCTCTGTTTGTCTGTTCTTGGTGTATAGCAATGCTTGTGATTTTTGGACATTGATTCTGTATCCTGAGACTTTGCTGAAGTTGCTTATCAGCTTAAGGAGATTTTGGGCTGAGACCAAGGGGTTTTCTAAATATACAATCATGTCAGCTGCAAACACAGACAATCAGACTTCCTCTTTTCCTAATTGAATACCCTTTATTTCTTTCTCTTGCCTGATCGCCCTGGCCAGAACTTTCAATACTATGTTGAATATGAGTGCTGAGAGAGGGCATGCTTGTCTTGTGTCAGTTTTCAAAGGGAATGCTTCCAGCTTTTGCCCATTCAGTATGATATTGGCTGTGGGTTTGTCATAAATAGCTCTTATTATTTTGAGATATGTTCCATCAATACCTAGTTTATTGAGAGTTTTTAACATGAAAAGCTGCTGAATTTTGTCAAAGGCCTTTTCTGCATCTATTGAGATAATCATGTGGTTTTTGTCGTGGGCAATTTTCTTTAGTTATTTATTCATGTCAGTGGTTTGGCATTGATATGATTTATCAGTCTTGTAATTTACAGTTAATATTCAGGCAAATTTTCAAATGTGTCCAATAGAAATATAATGGACATGTGTATTTCCATCTGCCCCGTATTCTGCATCCTTTCACTGGATAACAGCAGGCGCTTTGCTCACATTTTTTCAGACTATATAATTCTGGTGAGCTGTCACAATTCCCTGCACACCTGACCACAATTCTCCAACAAGTGTTGGACCCATGACCCAAGCCTGAGCAATTAGAATCTTCTGGAGTTTTAGATATGGTCAATGGGAGCAAAGAGCTCTCTCATGCTTCTCTGAGCTCTAGCTAAGGTAATGTTAGCCCCCACCATCACCTTCTCTGCCCTCCTGGAGGTAGCCATCTGTATTAGGAGAGAATAAGCCAATAATTCCTAAGAAACAGAGCCAAGATGTGAGAGAGATAGGGAGAGTAGGAGCGTCAGTAACACTGTTTGAGTCCCTGGATGGAGTCTCACTTCAGACTAGATTTCAGTTTGTCTTTTTATTATTATTATTGTGGTAAGAATACCTAAGATGAAATCTACCCTTTTGCCCAGTTTTGAAGTGTACAATACAGTGTTGTTAACCATAGGCATAGTTTTGTACAACAGATCTCTAGAAGGTAACCATCCTCCAGAAATGAAACTTTATATCTACGGAAGTGAAACTTTATATCTACTGAATAGCAACTTACCATTTCACTATCCTCACAGCCCCTGACAAACACCCTTCTACTCTTTCTTTCTGCATTACTATATTAGATACCACATATAGGTTGAATCATGCAGTATTTATCATCTTTGACTGGCTTATGTCACATAGCATAATGTCCTCAAGGTTCATCCATATCATCACATATGGCAGGATTTTCTTCTTTTTTAAGTCTGAATAATATTTCATTGTATGTATATACCACATTTTCTTTATCAACTCATCAGTCAATAGACATTTAGGTTATTTTCACATGTTTGCTATTGTGAATAATGTTGCAGTTAATGTGGGAGTCCAAATATTTCTTCAAGATCCTGATTTCAATTCTTTTGGATAAATATTCAGAATCATTAGATCAGATGGTATTTGATATGGTTTGGCTCTATGTCCCCACCCAAATCTCATCTTGTAGCTCCACATGTTGTGGGAAGGACCCAGTGGAAGATGACTGAATCATGGGGGCAAGTCTTTCCCGTGCTGTACTCATGATAGTAAAGGGGTCTCATGAGATCTGATGGTTTTAAAAACAGGAGTTTCTCTGTTCAAGCCCTTTCTTTGCCTGTTGCCATCCACATAAGATGTGACTTGCTCCTCCTTGCCTTCCACCACGATTGTGAGACCTCCCCAGCCATGTGGAACTGTAAGTCAATTAAACCTCTTTCTTTTGTAAATTGCCCAGTCTCTGGTATGTCTTTATCAGCAGCATGAAAGTATTTCCATTTTTAATTTTTTGAAGAACCTCCATATTGTTTTTCATAGCAGGTGAAGCATTTTACCTTCCTACCAACTGTGTACAAGGGTTCCAATTTCTCCACCTCTTTGCCAACACTTCTCCAGTAAGAAAGATAATAATTCCATTATTTTCATTGTTGACTTTATTTTAAATTAGATTTCTTCCATTTGAAGAGCACTGTGGTAAAATAATAAAATAAAATAAAAATTTATTTCTGAATTGTGAGTACTCAAGGTAAAATCTATAGAAATTATATTCACATAGCAGCATATAATTTCTCTTGGATATATTTTTTTCTCAGTTACTGTTATTTTATTTTGCATGGAATAATTTGCCTAGCTTCATCTTCAGTCTTTATATAAGGTCAAGAAATATTCTCGGCAAATGTCCTTAAATACATCAATATTCTGTCTCCTTTGATTAAGCAGTTAGAAATATTTGAAATAACTTGGCAAGGTGATAGGCTGTTTTTATTTTTACCCACTGATTCACCCTAAATACAAAAGCTAAAGTGACATTTCCTTGTCAAAATAATTTTGGGCTTCATAGAAGACAATGACTTGAAGGGACTGAAAATTTCAGACTAAAGATTTAAGCTTTCAAGATGGACAGAGGAAGTGAGGGAAGAGGGGAAAGGAGGGAAGGGGAGGAGAAGGGAAGAAAGAGACAGAAGGGAGGGCATCGTGAGCGGGGGAGAAGAGGAGAGGTCTTAAATAATGATTGCATTCTGTTCTTCCTCTGGTATTTCTTATCTCAACAAAGGTCACAATCCCAATATATTTCTACAGAAACAAAAGAAGGCACTATTTTGGGATCCTCCTTCATCTCCTTGTTGCCCTTGCTTAATCAAGCACCAAGGCCTATAGCTCTAACTTGAACTACATCGCTATTAGTGGTGCTGCCCTAATTCCAGTCACTATCATCTTTCATGGGTTACTGCAAGAACCTCATGACTAGTCCCAAGGTCTCTTTTCTTATTTCCACTAGCATCACCCAACCTATTCCCTACTCTTCGGCCAAGATGAGAATTATACAATGAAAATCTGATCATGTCTATTTCAAATCCTGCAACGATGAATGCCTGGCATATGCCATTAAATCTCCTCTTTACCTTTTTATCTTCTATCCCTCCTTAAGGAATCAGCTTGGTATCACTTATTCAGGAAATCTTTTTCTAGCAGCCTAAGCATAGGCTAGGTGCTTTTCTAATTTGCTGATCTACTAGATAACTTATCATACTTTATTATAATTGTTTGCTTACTTTTTCCCCAGTATACTATAAACTGCAAAATAATAGGGCATTTTTAAAATTTTGTTAATTATTTTACTTCTGGTAGTAAAAATCTAGTATATACAGTCAGTATTCAAACAAATATTTGATGAGTGAATAAATAAATACATTTTTCAGTGTTTCTTTCATCATTTAATATATACTGAAATTGGACAGCATGTATTCAAGGAAAATTAACATTAAGCTGAAGAAAAATATCTTTATTTGCATTGAGCCTCCTCAGTAATAGGATGTTTCTACATATTACATTAAAAAGTGACTCATCATTTATGTATCAGTCAACAAGACTGTATTGATTTAGTAGAATGGTCAGTGTTTGGTATTAATCATCTCTAATTATATAATCAACCTTAGATATATATACATATATGTCTGTGTGTGTGTGTGTGTGTGTGTGTGTGTGTGTGTGTGTGTGTGTGTGTATCCTTGGAGAAAGAAAAGAAAAATACAGTCTAGAACAGAATTCAACAACTTTATTTTCATATCCAAATCCAGAGATGTAGAGAAATGGTGACAATATATATGTATAGGCATCTGTCAACTTTTCCAAAGAAATTTTTACTAGATTTAGAATCTAGTCTATTTTAGGATAAAAGAATGAAGATAGGCTCCTTTACAACCCTTGGTCTCCATTTCCATGGACATTTGATTAATTAGGCTTTCTCATACTTTTTTTTTTTTTTAGTAGAGTTAAGTGCTTATGAAACCCAAATCTGTTCTTTACTGGCCACTCTGTCCAGTTAGAAGCAACATTACAGCCTAGCACTGTGGCTCACACCTGTAATCTCAGCACTTTGGGAGACCAAGGCGGGTGGATCACCTGAGGTCGGGAGTTCGAGACCAGCCTGACCAACATGGAGAAACCCTGTCTCTGCTGAAAATACAAAATTAGCCGGGCGTGGTGGTGCACGCCTGTAATCTCAGCTACTCTGGAGGCTGAGGCAGGAGAATTGCTTGAACCCGAGAGGCAGAGGTTGTGGTGAGCTGAGATTGCGCCATTGCATTCCAGCCTGGGCAGCAAGAGTGAAACTCCGTCTAAAAAAAAAAAAAAAAAAAAATGCATTACAAACACTGATCTACTCCCTCTCAACATTCTGTAGAGACTGAAAGTGTGGTTAAAATGAACATCTAAGAGACCATAGTTGTCCCCGTGAGTTAATCTCCTAGCAAGATGTATCAATTCCTCAGCCTATGAATGTAAGATTCATCTCTCTAGAGTACCACTTCGATCGTATCCATCCCTATAATGAAAATATTCAGCAGTGCCCTCTTCTTCATCAGAGTAAATCTAAATTACTTGTATATTTAAAACAGAAACACTGATGGAGATTCAAAACGAATAAACTATCACAAGTGCATGAAAAGAGAGTCATAAAGAAAAAATTCTCAAGAAATTCAGAAATTCTAGAGGTCATAGAAAGATATTTTAGTTATGCTTGAAACAATAAAACAAACAAAAAAAAGGAACAATGTAAAGTAATTTGGAAAAATCAGACCCACTCAACAAAGAGTTTGTATATATCTTCTCCAGAAAGAATAATTTTGAAGCTGAGGGGTAGGACAAAATATGAAGAGAGAACTGAAATCCAAGCAGCTAAGAAGAATGCCGGTGAATACATGACTGTATTAAATAAGTTCAAGTTTGCATGTCCAGGAAAACTAAGATTTCTGCAGTAATTTACAGGTTTTGTCTCAAAGGAATTGTCACTAATATTGAAAAATAATAAAGGAGAAGAAAGTTTCCAGAAAACTAAAAAGGAGCACACATTGTCAAGTAATGGAAAAGCAGAAGAATCACAGAAAATACACAGAAGTAATTCTGATACTAATACACAATTATAGACAAAGAGAATGAAGGAACATTGGTTAACAGATGCCATGGTCTGAATGTTGATGTTCTCCCAAAATACATATGTTGCAACCTAATACCCAATGTGATAGTATTAAGAGGTGGGGTCTTTTGCTAAGTGATTAAGTTATGAAGGCTCCATGATCATGAATGGCATTAGTGCCTATATAAAAGAGGCTGAAGGGTGCTTCCTTGCCCCTTTCACCATGTGAGGACACAGCTAGAAGGTGCCATCTCTGAAGCAGAGAGAAAGCCTCATCAGCTAATCTGCCTGTGCCTTGATCTTGAACTTTCTAGTCTTCAGAACTGTAATAAATTTCTACTGTTTATAAATTACCCAGTCTGAGATACCTTCTTACAGCAGTGATTAGACTAAGAGATCAGACATATGGTTTTCAATTGACACATTTATTGTAAATTGTCAATATTTTCTAGCAGGTACAAAGTTTATATAATCTTAGTCTGTATTAGTTAGAGTTTTTATAACTCTATATTGAAAACTAAGAGTTCCTTGATTCTCTTTGATGGCTAAGACCAAATATAAAGTATTGTGTTTTTCATCAATTGTTTCTGAAAGAAAAATTTGTACCTATAAACATGTACAGATAAGGCAATCAAGATTATACAGGATTTAGAACTAATGACAAAAAAATGGAGAAAATTATCGTAGAAAAGACAAAGAGAAATAGAATAGCTCTATTCATAAATAGGAAATTTCACATGTAGGACCTGCCATTTCTCTCATGTGGCAAGAGAGCAGGGAAGAGATCATGAGCTGGAGCACAAGCTAGAGAGGTCTCTTCTTTTCCATACAAAGCCTAAGGCTGCCCAAATTGACATTCAGCAATCAGATTATCATTCCTTTCTCTTTGGGGAAGACTGAAGAAGAATTGGAGGAAAAGACTGGAGAGCTTCCAGCTGGATATCACTTTTAATGTTTGTATTTTCATAATAAAGGAATAAGATTGAATTGACTATTAATGATTTATATGTTTAGAATACTCTTGTTCTAAGCATAAGTGTATGTTCTGTCTTGGCTACAAGGAACGCATTAAATTATGATTAGATTGGCACTTTCATATTCCTTTAATATTCCATGTTCTTTTACATATTATTTATTATATTAGAAATTTAAAAAGAATTGAATTTTATAGTCCCCTACTCAAGAATTACAGACAGGCCAAGAGCTAAAATATATACCTGGCGGAGTTACTAAGAAATGATTTCAGAATGACATGAGTTCAATAGACAAAGCAAGGTTTTCTCAGACTATAAATGAGATTCTGCCAGGCTGGGCAGTAAATGCAAAGAGCCCGATTGTGTAACCACCCTTAAAGACATTATCTGCTATAAAGGAGAAGGCTTTTTATATATGAAATCTAAATTCCCTCATGCATGAGGACTCTGATCCTTTCTTCCAGCTACCTGGAAAATATTACCTAGAAACAAGCAAGTTCAGACCAACTATTCTAATTTTAGCTAACATTAAAAACAAATCATCTTTTTAAACTACGTGGATGATATAATTAAAAACAAACAAACAATCATGAGGTCCTCAAACTTCATTCTGCCTTCTGGTGAGATCAAACTAATTTATCTCAATGTGTATTGTACCCATAAGAATACACAGTGATTTGTCATGTTCAGCACCAATTTGATGTTCTCCTAAATACTACATGGTGTGGTTTGGCTGTGCCCCCACCCAAATTGCATCTTGAATTGTAGTTCCCATAATCCTCATGTGTTGTAGGAGGGACCCAGTGGGAGGTAATTCAATCACGGTGTTACAGAATCTTTGGGGTGTCGCTTTTCTGGCTGGAAACCTCTGTAGCCAGTGGTGCCTTTGCCTGAGCTCTTCTCTGACATCCAGGAAGAATGAGTTATGCAGACAAGTGAAGGGTGAGCAAGAGAAAGAGGAGCTTCATTGAGTGTTAGAACAGCACAGAGGAGGCCCACAGTGGGTAGCTCCTCTCTGTAGGCAGGTCATCCTGTTGAAGAGGATACCCTGGAGTGGGTGGTTCCTCTCTGCAGGTAGGTGGTCTCATCCTCTCTGCAGCTCTCAGCAGAGAAGAAGCCTGAAGTGGGTGGCTCCTCTCTGCCAGCAGGTCATCCCAAGGAGTGTTCAGCATTTGGCAGAGAGGAGGCCCTGGAGAGGGTGGGTCCTCTCTGTAACTGGTCATCCCAATATCTGCCCAGCTCCTGGCAGAGAAGAGGCCCTGGGGTGGGTTGTTCCTCTCTGCAGGCAGGTCATCCCAAGGAGTGTTCAGCTGTCTGGCAAGAGGAGGCCCTGGAGAGGGTGGCTCCTATCTGCAACTGGTCATCCTAACATCTGCCCAGCTCCTTGCAGAGAAAAGGCCCTGGAGTGGGTTGTTCCTCTCTGCAACTGGTAGTACCAATGTCTCTGCAGGTTTCTGAAGCTCTCAGCAGAGAGGGTAGCTCCTCTGTGCAGCTAGTTCTCTCTGCAGCTGGTCATCCTGTGGTCTGTTCAGCACTGGCTAATCCAGGGGCTTTTATGGGCCTCAAAGAGGAGGAAGTGCACACCAATCAGTCCATGGATGGCCATGGGTGGGCCCAGAAAAGGCACTACAAGTTCCTACTCCTGTCCATGAGACTGGCAGCCAGGATCCCAGCCATGAGGCCCTCCCTGGCTGAAATATGGGGTTTCACCAGGGACCCACACTTTTCTGCCCAGGAACCTGTCTCCTGCTGCCATTCATGGCAACTGGCTCTCCCAGTTTTGCTCTGAGACCAGAGCAGGCACTGACAGCAGGGAGAAGCCAGGCAGTGGGGGCAGGCACTTTTAAGCCTGCAAGGGCAGGGGGGCCTTCCTGGGCTCCCAAGTGTACAGGGTTGCTTGAGTCTGCAGCCACTGTTTGGGTGGCTATAGCTGTGCCCAGAGTGGGTGAGGCTTCTGCCTGCTCCATGGACTGGGAGGCCCAGATCTGTGGCCATGGTTTGGGTGGCTGCAGCTGCACCAGAGATGGCAGGGCTCCTGCCTCCTCCAGGCCCCTCAAGAGCACAGGGAGGCTTGGATCTGCAGCCACAGCTTAGGTGGCTGCAGCCACACCAAGTGGGACAGGGCTCCTGCCTGTTCCATGGAGTGGGAGGCCGGAGTCTGCAGCCATGGTTTGAGTGGATGCAGTGGCACCCAGAAGAGCAGGGATTCTGCCTGCTCCTGGCCCCCTACGAGCACAGGGAGGCTTGGATCTGCAGCCACAACATAGGAGGCTGCAGCCCCACCCAGGAGGGTGGGGCTTCTGCCTGCTCTGTGGAGCAGGAGACCTGGGTCTGCAGCCACAGTTTGAGTAGCTGCAAGGGCACCCAGGGAGCTCTTACCCCAACTCAGAAGGGGTGGGGACCCTCCTTGTCACCAGCTCCTGCTGGCCCCACTGATCGTGCAGCTCCAGTGATGCTTCCTTGCTGCAGCTGGCATGATGGCAGCAGCAGGGCATCTGGAGCAGCTACTGCTATCAGTGGAAGTGGGTTTTCCCAAGCTGTTCTTGTGACAGTGAATAAGTCTCATGAGATCTGATGGTTTTATAAAGGGAAGTTCTGCTTCACATGCTCTCTTGCCTGCCTCTATGTAAGACGTGCTTTTGCTCCTCCTTCACCTTCCACCATCATTGTGAGACCTCCTCAGCCATGTGGAACTGTGAGTCCATTAAACCTCTTTTTCTTTTTCTTTTTTTTTTTTTCTTTTTGGAGACAGAGTCTCGCTCTAATGCCAGGCCGGAGTGCAGCGGCACAATCTCGGCTCACTGCAACCTCTGCCTCCCGGGTTCAAGCGATTCTCCTGCTTCAGCCTCCTGAGTAGCTGGGACTACAGGCGTGTGCCACATGCCCAGCTAGTTTTTGTAATTTTAGTAGAGACGGGGTTTCACCATGTTGGCCAGGATGGTCTCGATCTCCTGACCTCGTGATCTGCCTGCCTTGGCCTCCCAAAGTGCTGGGATTACAGGCATGAGCCACTGTGCCCGGCCAAAGCTCTTTTTCTTTATAAATTACCCAGTCTCTGGTATTTCTTCATGGCAGTATGAAAATGGACTAATACACCACATCTTCTAATTACTTGTACTAAATAACTTTGGAAGGGGCAGTTTCTAAGGTCAGTCATAGTCCTTCAACAAGCTATTTATGTATCTGAACTCCTACAACAACATGTAAAGATATCACACCTTTGTCGAAGGACATGTGATCTTTTCAGAACTCACTTTATTGGAAAGCCACTTCTGCTTCAGAACAAGACAGAAATAACTTTCTTTTGATTTAACCATCACAAAAATAGCAAAATACCTGTATTTCAGAATTTAGCACTGAAGTTATCCAAATTAATGTAAAGAGATTATAGTATTCTTCCATTCGCTTTTGGTATATAAGAAACTCCTGGACTAGTTTCAAAATTTGATTGTGATCTAACTCAACCTAACTTGACACCTCTCTCTTCTATTCCCCTTCAGGAGCTTACTGATTCATCCATATACTAGTGCACAGTGAACATGATATTTCCTGTTGCTATGGAATTGATGACTAGGGCTCACAGCAAAGGAAAAAGAGTCACAGCACTTCACACCTTTTAAAGAGAAGCTCAGACATGAACTATTCTGCCATAATCTGGATAGCCTATCCCCAACACAGACACACACATACTTTCTCTCTCAAACACACACACACACACACACACACACTCTCTCTCTCTCTCTCTCTCTCTCTCTCTCTCTCTCTCTCTCTTCCAAATCCGTTTAAGCCAGAGATTAGGAAAGGAGAAGAGGGAATTGTCAGTGGTAAGTCCCAAATATAGCAGTATATATAGTGGATTTTCCTTTCAATCCTCAAGCCAACATTGAAACAGAGAATCAGTCACAGAGATTGAGAACTCCCTCAAGAAGGTGGCACTGTCACCTCATTCCTGTGTGGGAATTCTACTAACCCAAACAACTTGCCAGACAAGCAGTTCTGCTACTTTAATAGAATACAATACTAGTATCTGGATTTGAGCCAACCTGGTGGTACCTGGTCCAAGAGCCAATGGGCAAGGAGCTCCAGCAGCAAGAGCCTGGGTGGGAAGATGCAAGATTGTTGAGACAAAAATGGAAGAAACACCACATTTCCTCAACCACTATCATAATGAATGCCCCCTAAAGAACTCTGTCACGTGTTCCATGGGAGACTCAGCATTTGAGTGTCTGTTCCCAGAGATCCTAGGGTGCTGACAACAATGCAGTGGTATCCAGAGAAAGAGCAGCAACCAAGAGATGATTCATGTGAAGCAGAGTAAGCGGACAATAAATATCAGCTGCTATTAGTGTATCCTTGGGATTTTTTCCAGTTCTGATGAATTTAGAAAGTATTTGGCAAGTGGTGACATTAAATATCACTACTGAATAATTAAATGAGGACTTAAAAATCTGATGTATATTCTGAGATACATGTTATAACTCTCAAAGTCTGAGACTCACTATTTCTTCTTGAGATTACGGAGAATATATGTTGTCACCCCAAGTTATAGATCACTGCATATAACATTTTAATATTATTAAATTAAATGTAAGTTCAATCAGAGCATTTGAAATAACTGTCTTTGAGTATTACTCCCTGCCAATAATTTTGCCATGCAGCAGAGCTTTAGTCAACTCAAATTAAGGATGGGTCATAATTTCACCAATTTGAAAGCTAAAATTTAAGATAAAAAGTTGTAATTCACTTAAAAATTTCAAGAGGTGATTGATTAAGTAAATATGATCATGCATCACTTAACTACAAGGATAAGTTCTGAGAAATGCATCATTAGGCAATTTCATCACTGTGCACACATCATAGAGTGTACTTACACAAACCTAGATGGTACAGCCAGCTACATACCTAGGCTACATGTTCCTAAAGCAATAAAATTGTACAGGATTTTACTATACTGAATATTAAAGGCAATTGTAACACAATGGTAAGTATTAGTGTATCTAAATCTATGTACATACAGAAAAGGTACACTAAAAATATGTTATTATAATCTTAGGAGACCACATCATATATTTGGTCCATCACTGATGGAAACGTCATTATGTAGAGCATGACTATACATCCTTTTAGATCTTAAAATAGTTGTTTTCAGGCAGTTTTGCCAATAAAAATTAAAGAAACTACATTTTAAATCACCTCAATTATTTCCTCCAGTTACTTTAAAGCTTGTGTACTTATGTAGTACAATTTAAGTTTTCTTAAATAACTAAGTTAAAATAAAGGAGTATTTGAAAACTAGAAAGTATTTAGGTATATTTTCATGACTTATTTTAATAATCTTATTCATTTAAATATATTAAAAAGAACTTTCATACTAATATCTCAGGAGTGTATAATTTTAATCATTTTTAATTGATGTGTGGTCTCACTTTGCTTTTCTAGTCTTTTGAGTAATATCCTGCTATTTGCTAGCTTTAAAGGTTGTCAGTCACTTAGTCTCAATCTCATAATGACCCAACACCAAGCAGAATTGGATCCATTATCAAGCAACTTAAAATAAGTATAAAAGAGTGAGGTCTTTGCTGTTCCATTTAAAACATGGAGTGCTATGAGTTGAATGCCGAAACTTAATGCAACAGTATTGGGAGGTGTGGCTTTTGGGAAGTGACTGAGTCATAAGGGCTCCACCTTCATAAATGGGATTTGGTGCATTTATAAAACGGCTTGTGGAGGAAGTTTGCTCCTTTTCACCCTCTGGCCCTTCTGCCATGTGAGGACACAGTGTTTATTCACCTCAGGAAGATGCAGCATCAACTTGCCATCTTGGCAGCAGAGAGCGGTCAGCATTAGACAACAAACCTGCCAGCGTCTTGATTTTGGGCTTCCCAGCCTCCAGAGCTGTGAGAAATAAATTTCTGTTTTTATAAATACCCAGTCTCCAGGACTTTGTTATAGTAGCACAAAGCGGACAAAAACGTGGAGTATGAGTAACTGCAGCACCACTATATTGTCATATATCAGTAGGAAGCGCTGATTGTCAGAGACAGCCAATAGAGACCCCACTTTGTAAAATCAAATAAGGTGCACTTATCTAAAAGAAGTTAAAGTAGACAATGAAGGCTTACACTTTAGCATCCTAATCCTCACTAGGGGTACATGTTTATAGATTATAGCATCTGAACAAGCACCAAATCAGACCTTTGGAAGTTCTATTTCCCCATTCAAGTTAAGTCTTATATTTTTAAGTCTCTAACAATCTGCATGTAAGCCAGACTGAATATATACCAGGGACTGCTTCATTTCAGCCAAGTGTGTCCTATCAATCTTGATGTTATACAACATACCTGGTATGCAGTGCCATGGTTCAGCATGCACCAGTCCTCATTTGTCATACTCACGTTCCCCAGGATAATACATCCTGGCCCTGGCACTTTCCTGAGCACAGAGTTTCAGAATGAGAAGTAGGGTCAGATGTCTCTGGGAGACAGGCTAACGGGCTCTCAGACTAGCAATAAGGCTTATAAGCTCCCCTAAAATAGTAATAAATATTCCCATGACAATTTCTCCATACATTCCCCAAGCTCTATCTTCTTGGTTAGCTGAGAGAGCCTCCAGGATACACTGATGTTCTAAGGCCAATAAGGTCACTGTCATTTCTTCTACTAATTTACAATTATACGTTTTTAAAATAAAGTCTGTTTACATTCTTGTAGAAGCATGACAATGAAGAAAATCAAAGTACTTGTGAAAATATGAATGATAAGTACTCCATTTCATTATTAAAAAGGCCTAAATAGGCTAGTTTATTCTTGCCAAACTAAGATGCAAGCAATTCAATTATTTTTCACAGAACAATAAATAATATACATTTAATATGCACAATTATTTCATTTCATTTCAATTGTCATTCTTCAATTATAATAATCCCAGATATTTTCTAAAATAGGTTCAAATATATTTTAAAGAATTACATGTGCATGTGTGAAACCTCTGCATAATACAATTTTTTACAGGTCTATCACAGACTATAGACATTATTGTTATTATTCCTAAACTTTTAACACTTAGGAAAAAGGTATCAACCTTTTCCTATGAAAAAGTCACTTAGAGTTGGATGCACTGACTGAACTTAATGTGTAGTCACAGTTAACATTGGCACATTATTCACACAAATTCTGCCCACAGAACTTCATATTATAATTATTTGTCACGAAATTGTTATAGACACCTTAAGTATTACATATAATTTTTTTAATTTAATTTTTTTTTTTTGAGATAGAGTCTCACTGTCGCCCAGGTTGGAGTGCAGTGGCATGATCTCGGCTCACTGCAACCTCTGCCTCTTGGGTTCAAGTGATTCTCCTGCCTGAGCCTCCCGAGTAGCTGGGATTACAGGTGTGTGCCACCATGCCTGGCTAGTTTTTGTAGTTTTAGTAGAGACAGGGTTTCGCCATGTTGGCCAGGCTGGCCTCAAACCCCAAACCTCAAGTGATCCTCCCACCTAGGTCTCCCAAAGTGTTGGGATTACAGGCGTGAGCCACTGTGCCCAGACTTAATTTAATTTTTATAAGGAAGAAACTTTATAGTATCGGAAAATTTCTATCCAGTAGGTCCTGGTGAACTGCCTTGCTACTAGCCAGAGATTTTGAGGTACAGAGGCTTCCCCGCCACCACACCCACACTCCTATTGTATAAATGCAGTGACACCTTGAAAATAATGGCAGGTAGAGAACAGAAACAGTGATTATAGGAAAATCTCAAATAGTGAAAGGGTGAAAGCATGGGAGAAAATAGCTCAAAGAAAACATGCTGGTATTTTCACCTTTTCTTTTCACCAAGTATTACATCTGCTTTTGGATTTGACTGATTAATACAAGCTTCTATAATACCTACCATATTCCTGTGATCCAAGGAAAAAGTAACAAGATTAAATATTTAATGAGAGAGACTAAAAATAGTATTCTTTACCTGTTTAAAAGCAAAAATAACGGCATCTCTTCCTTTTCAGTCTTCTCAGCTGATTTTTTCCATTGATATGAATTCTACATAAAGTATGGATGCATTTTGGGCTGAGGTAGAGATTGAATTAAGAGATATGAGTTAGAAATAGATGTATGAAAAATGTAAACAAGGTCTAGATGATTAATCTGTAGTACTTCAACTCATTTTGTTCATTTAATCTGGTATCACAAAAGGATAATTTTCATGCACTAATGACAGATGTCACTATATTGTAAATATTGGCAGTCTTTATCAATTTTAATTGATTCAATCATAGAGTACCCTTAAAGTGTCAAAAACCTAACAAGACACACAAAAATAAGAAATTAAGTTTTTTCATTTTTCTAGATTAAAATCTTTCCTCTCTATAGTAAGATTTTTAATTTAAAAATTTACTTATACTAAAATTTATGTAATTTTGTATTGACATAAAATTGTCTCATTTAAAAAGTAATTATAGTGAAATTTCACCCATACAACAGGGCATAGGATCATTTCTTCCTGTTCTGCCCTGTTAAGTACAACTATAAATATCAACAATAATGCAAGAAACAATCAAAGGAGAAATCTGGAAAGTAGAGAGAACTGGTTAGGGGCAGCAGAACTAGAGGAGGAACATAGCAACAGGTCATTTTATGTCCCACTCACCCTCAAAGAATGCTCTCCAGGCTTGATGTTTCCTAACTCCCAATCTAGCAACAGAAGGCAGCCCAGGTAGACTCGTTCCTTTCCTGGATGGAGAGGCTGCTGAAAACACCCAGCAAGCCTGGCGGATGTAGCAACAGAAATTCTTCAGGGGCTCTGCTCAAAAGAAGTTGCCAGAGGCAATGCTATCTTTCCCCCATGAGCCTGAGACTCTCCTCATCCCAACCCAGAGATGCTGGACTGCCAGGTTGCAATGGCAAGAGGAAACTTGTCCCAATAACCAGCCTGTCTCAGGAAGCTTCATGTTCCTCACTGTCCAGAAAACATTTTCTCCCATGTAGAGACACCAGGTGGCTGGTGGCACCAGCAAAGAGAATCATGTTTCCACAAGTGACCCAGCCTAGAAAACACTTTTTGTCACTATGTGCAGGAGACCTCCTTCCCCTAGCAAGAGGCAGCAGGCAACCTGGCCTGGAGCGCTCCTTCCACCCACTCAGGAAACACCACAGGGACCAGTGGGATCCGCAGTGGCACCAGGTAAACCAAGCAGACCAAAATAATAACACGAAGGCTCTGAAAAGAAAAATGTTGACCCATAGCCCACAACATTAGGCCAAGCCCTGCACAGAAAACCTAAACAGGGTGACTACCTGCTAAAATAAAAGAATCTAAATGGGACTCAGGGTCTCCTTTCATCCAGTCCCTTCAATCTTGTTAGCATTTACTCACTTAGATGGCTTCTGCCTAAAATGCTGTAAGAGGGCCTCACAGAGAAGACCCATTTAAAGGAACTAAATCATTCTGTACTCTGTCTGCACAGATCAGAGATAAGTTTCATAGAGGCTTCAGGGTGGTGTACTGAGAGTAACAGAGAAAGAAAAAAAAAGAGAACAGAGTCCTTGCATCACCCATTGCAAGAGAGATTTCTCTTCTTATATTGAGGTCATTTATTAAATTGACTATCTTACTATTGGCTAAGTGCAAAGAACACCTGATTTACCTAAGTGTATTAAATTGTAGTATTTTCTTTATCTTTTTCTTTTTAGCTAATTTTTAATTAGTGAATCTATTTTCATGACCTTAATTTTTATGATTGAAAATTTAGACTGTATCTCCAAATACTCCCTCAACAATTTAATATTTCTCTATTTCCGGGATATTTTGCATTTAAAAGCTATTCTACTGCCAATGTGTTTAGCCAACTGCATTCAAAGCATAAGATAGAATATCACTATATAGGGAAAAGGCTGGGCATGGTGGCTCATGCCTGTAATCCCAGCACTTTGGGAGGTCAATGTGGGCTGATCACTTGAGGTTTAAGACCAGTCTGGCCAACATGGTGAAACCCTGTATCTACCAAAAGTACACAAATCAGCTGGGCACAATTGCGGGCACATGTAATCTCAGCTGCTCGGGAGGCTGAGGCAGAAGAATTGCTTGAACCCAGGAGGCAGAGCTTGCAGTGAGCCGAGATGGCGCCACTGAACTCCAGCCTGGATGACAGAGTGAGACCCTGTCTCGAAAAAAAAAAAAAAAAAAAAAAAGACTATCACTATATAGGGAATAGATCATTTCTAAAAAGCTATTATTTTGTATCATCCAACAGCAAATTCATACAATTTTTGTAAGTTCCCACAATTTTTCACTTAATAAACTTATTTAAATGTTGGTCATTCACCTTAATGCTTTATTTTGAATTTCAAATAAAATAAAACAGATTTTCTTTCTATAATGTGTCATGACATTAATACTTGGTGATTTCATTCATTCATAATAGTACAGTATAGAATAAGCCATTAACATATTTAAGAGAGTCATGACACCATCTTTTACTAAGAAGGAATCTATATTACCTTGAATTCTAATGCCTCTGTTTTCTCCTCAAAACACTCAATCTCTTTTTCCTTTATCTTAACAAACTATTAAGTTAAAGGATGTAAGTATACAATATTTCTGCTAAAGTAGAAAAATTCATCTTGAATTTCATACCAAGATTTCTGTAAATACTTAACCTTGTGCAAATAAGTGCAGCAGAACTGCAATGAACATATCATCACCTAATGGTGATCTCCATGACAAAAAGATGCTTCACTTTATGTAATTTAGTTTGCTATGGAACATATCACAAAGGAAGGCTTAGCAAGATAATGATCCTTTAAAATCCCTCAAAAGCTTGCATCACTGAATAAAAGCCAAGACACCACTTGCTTTATTGATTGCCTTTATTTGGAACCTATACTCCACAAGCAAATTGGCTCTATCATATATGTTATGGCTTCGACTTATAGTTTATATAACTGCACTAACTATCTCTCCAACATGTGTGTTCATGAGGCTGGGGAGGGAGGCGACAACAGCAACACCACACAATCGGTTGTGAAATACAAAATAAAACATGAAAATTAATTGCCATGAGTCTGTCCATGTGAGGACCACTTATTCTGGCAGGACGCTATCCATGTTCATAAGGTCACATGTCAAGTTCACAGAAAGGTCTACCTATTGAAGATAAACTATGGGAAACGCATGTGTCCATTCCACCCATAGACTGATAGGTAAAGTTGCAGTCCTGGCCCCATGCTTGCAAGAACCTCAGCCATTGTCACAAACACATGCTCTTGAGCTACTCTGGGTTAACACAGAATTCCTGGGTAACCTTATGAAATAAAACTGCACATGCCTTTTATGTTTTATAAGGGTGCCCTGAATAGGTGTGTGATAATGTCTTCTTCATCCTGCACCCTGCCTGTCACTGGAGGCAAGTTGGTAGACAGTTCCCTGTTCTGCAATTAGTGCATAAGGACATTGGATCCACCCATAGGATGTAATGGGAAGACATGGAGTGCTCTTCTTTTGCCAGCATACAACCACAGCCCAGTGAATAAACCATGGTGTATGAATGCATGCTTCCTAAAATTCCTAACATTGTGAATCAACTTTGGGAGCCCAACAAAGGAAGACATGAAAACAGACTTCCACACAAATTTATCCCATAGCCGTTTTATCTATTTTTGCCCCCCAATTATTCTTCTTAAGTATACTTCTTCCTAAAACCTTTTTCTTTCACTATTTTTACAGTAACAAATCAGATATCTAGGCTCATATCCCACTTATGGCTTGTAAGTGGTGGAACTGGGCTATGGGTAGGTAAGCTATCATGGGTAAGCTGCTTTACTGGATTATACTTCAATTTCTATTTTGTAAAATGAGAATGGAAGAGCATTTACTTCATAGGTTTGCTCATGAAAATTAAATTGGTAAATTATGAGAATTCCTTAGGATTTGTCTCATAATAATCAATAGCCATTATTAATATGATTATTATTATTTAAATAGGTTTTCAAATCTGACCAATACTGTAAAGATTTAGAAGCAATTAAGTAGAGAGTCTATAAGGGAAAAAGACATATAATTCTAGATAATTATCATGTAAAATTCTATTGAAAGATGTTATTTCCCATGAGCCTAATGCTTTAAAAATAATTATACTAAATAATTATTGATTTGTTAAGGTGGCAGGAACTCTGCCTTTTTCTTTCTACCATTATATTAGTCAATTCAGGCTGCTATAACAAAGAACCATATACGGGATGATTTATAAACAACAGAAATGCATTTCTCACAGTTCAAGAGGTTGGAAGTCCCATATCAGGGTGTCATCATGATTGGGTTCAGGTAAGAACCCTCAGGTTGCAGATCACTGACTTCTCGTGGTATCCTCACGTGGCCGAAAGAGGGCTAGCTAATCTTCTGGCCTCTTCTTGAAAGGACACTAATCCCATTTATGAGGGCTCCATTCACATGACCTCCTAAAGGCCCTACTTTTAAATACCATCACAATGGGATTAGGGTTTCAACATATGAATTTGGGGAAAACACAAATATTCAGTTCAAAACAGCCATAAAACCAAAACAATTAGGCATATTTTATGCTGCCTGAAGTAGGCCTTAAATATGAATTATTAAAATTTGATTCACGGCACACAGAGAGGAAAATATAATCACTAGAAAATAGATGGCTTCATTAAAAACAAATAAGTTTGAAAAACATAGATCAAGTATTGGTATGAGAATACAAGTTTAAAATAATTCTTCAAAGTGGTACAGTGTTGAGTGTTGGAAATGGCTTTTAAAAGGTTTAGATCTTGTTCCCAACTGCATATTCAAGACTCACAGATTATATTTTCTCTTGGTAGTCTCTGACATATGGGCACATCAGAAGGGGAATGAAAGATGCCTAATAACAACATAAATGTATCAAACACTTGCTCTGCATTACACTATTTTACTTAATCCTGAGAGAAACATTATGAGGTAGAAATGATTTTCCTAATTCTAAAGTTGAAGAAACCTGAATAATTTGCTCAAGATTGTATAGCTGAAATTTAAAATCAGGTTTTTCTTTATCAAAAGCCTATGCATTTTCTTTTTGCTATGACATGATGTCATTTATATGCCATTACCTGGGAAAATTCTTAAATGAATTATGTTTTAAAAACATTTATTGGCATTTAGAATAAGGAAACTGATCTTTAAAGTCAGTTTGTTGTCTCCAAGGAAAAGTAATTCAAAACAATTTTTACTTGCTTGTTTTTCAAGGATGCTGGAAAGGTTGAGCAGGGGAATCCTTTAGAAATCTGAGTATCAAAAAGGCATCATCTTTCATTATATTCTTGTGGTAAAAAAATGTATATAAGCTGGGTTATAGCACAAGTATGTACATTTAAAATTGTTTGGAAACAGCAAAGTGTTTTTCATAGGGACAAAAGTAAATATTGAGAGAAGTATTTAAGTGTATCAAAGGGCTTATCTTTAGTAGCACTCAGCCTATGCAATCAATACTTTACTAAATGATTTTGATAACGATATTCATGGTGGCCTCACATATAAGATGATATGACACTGAGTGATATGGAAAATACATTGTATGAAATAACTAATATTGCAAAAGAAACTCAACACATTGGAATAGTGTGACATATCTAATTAAATAAAGCTTGACAGGGATAAATGGAAAGCCCTGCTAGTTGCTCCAAGAAACTAACTTAAAAATTATAACTTGGAAACCACGACTCCAAAAAATGCACTCAAATATAATGATTGAAAATAAGCTCAAAATTTGTAAAGGAAATATGTGACTAAGAAAAATCTGATGGGATTGTAGGTTGCACTAATAAAATATAGTAGATAGAATAACTGGTGACAGTTCCTCATTGTATTGATCTAACTACATCTGGATTATTTATGTATTTCTATATTAATTTATTTATTTGCCTTAGCACTATTATTTCAAGAGTCATAAATCATCACAGTCTCAGGAGCAAGAAGAGAGCAATTTAAGGAGTAAAAGAATATGCCATATCAGACACATTTGAAAGAACCAGGAAAGCTTATACTAGACGAGAAAATGTAAAGAAAATGCTTTTTTTTTTTTTTTTTGCATTTGGGTCCAGGACATATAACTAGATGAGTGGTTAGAAGTTATAGGGAGATGGATTTTGTTTTCATACAAGACTAATACTGGTCAGAACTATTAGAGTAATAGAATAGGCTTTTTATGACCGTAGAAAATCCCACTTAAATGAAAGTATCAGAAATAGAAATGGGAGAATGGATAAACAGTGTGTAATTTATTTATGAAATGGAATACTACCCAATAATTATAAATAAATAAACTATTCAGATATACAGAAACATGATGAATCTCAAAAACATTATGCTGAGTGAAATAGACAACACAAAATAAGACACACCCTGTGATTCCATTGATACGAACTCTTGGACTAGGCAAGAATGTTCTATGTTGAGAGAAATCAGAACAATAGTTGCTTCATATGGAGTAGATAAGGGAAAGTAGGATGATATATGTATTGACTAGAATGGCTAAAAGGGGATGTTCTGGACTGAGAAAAATGCTCTATATCTTCATAAGAGTGTGCATGCCACATGGTATGTGCATTTATCAGAACTAAGTACATGTAAGATCTGTGCATTTCATAATATGTACATTAAATCTCAACTTTTGAAACAATGAAATAAACCCTCTCTTAATCTCATGTTTCCTTCCAGCTACCAGCTATTTCCCTAAAGCCCTTTAGATGAAAACTCTTCGAAAGAGTTATTTCTGTCTCCAGTTCTTCCTGTCTCATTATCTTGTGAACACTCTCCAATCTTGCTTTCACCTTGATCACTCCACTGAAATTTATCAGTCACCAGTGACCTCTGGTTAACAATCCAATGATCAATTCTCATTTCTTGCCTCATTTAATTCATCAAATTCACTGGACACAGTGGATCACTTTCTCCTCCTTGAAACCTTTTTTCACTTTTCTTCCAGGACATTTTTGTTCATTTGCTTACCTTCTATTTCACTGGCTACTCCTTCCTATATCCTTTCCTGGATCCTTCTCGTCTTCCTGATGTCTACGTATTGTCATGCTCTAGGGCTCAAGCCTCACACTTTTCTCTAACAACACATATGTTCTAGGTGGAAACGTTGAATCCCATGGCTTTAAAGGTTAACTTTATAAGCTAATAACTCCCTAGTTTATGTTTTTAGCTCTCACCTTTCCCATGAATGTTTGACTCAATCATTTAACTACCTAAGCAATATCTCTCCTTGGACGTCCATAAAATTGACTTCTCAACTTAAAATGTACCAAACAGAATTCTTGCTTTCCAATACTCAACTATATCTGCTCCTTTTCAAATCCTCCCATCCCACTAACATCCTAACCATTCACCAGATTGCTTCACTGTCTATCATTAGGGTGACTAAAGAATGCTTCTGTTATATCCTTGAAGGTCCTCTTCTTTTGACCGAATAAACTGCTTTAAGAAGAGCACATGTAAAACTATAAAGCAAGAAGAAGAGATTATTAAGCTAATCAAATTTGCTTCATCAAACCAGTAATCAATGGGAAACATAGGTCCCAGGAATAATTGTCTTCTGTGTCACAAAATAGTCAAATACACACACACAAATACATACATATAGTCACATACACATATATACATATTCATATACATACTTATTTTAGTAGTGAAATTAGTCATTCTTAATTTTTTAACTGGATTTAACTTCATAAATCCAAGAAATTTTTCAATTTACTAACAGCAGACTGAATTGGGGGAACTGGGAGACTACTTCATTTTGATATTTGGAACTCTGTTGCTTCATTCACTGAATAATATTATATACATGCAGTCATTCACAAATACGTATTTACTACAAGGCGGTGTGGTAAATGGTAATTAGCAGTGATCATATAGAAATGGAAAGAAATTGTTCTTTTAAGTAAAATAAATGGGAAATGCATCATTTAAGTGATACTGTTTAGAGTCAGGCATTTTTATTAATATCTCTTTCTCCTTTTTATGGTTGAAGATAGAATTATTGAAATAATAAAATCAGAAGAATTTATTTCACTAAGCAAAAAACATTGAGATGTAAGAATAATAAAGAAATAATGTGGAGCCTTAGCATTCATGAAACCCCAAGAAAGAGGAAGGAACTTGAGTTGAAGTAAGAAAGAATTTGTAAGAAGGATGATGACTAGGATGCTAAAATCATATAGAGGAATGTTTTGAGTTAGAATAAAAAATGAGTGCATTGAATTTGTACAGACAACCAAGAAATGAGAACAGAGCAAGATAGTATTCTTTACATTAAAATTTGTTCACAAAGTTATTGTGGTACAATACTATTAAAGTCCTAGAATTCGTTATGCAGAAAAGAGAAGGAAGGAAAGGAAGGAAGGAAGGAAGGAGAAAGGAAGGGAAAGAGGGAGAGAGGGAGGAAGGGAGAGAGGGAGGAAACTGCACTGAGCTTGCAAACTGGAGATTATCTTGATTCCATCTCTAGATATTATGCTTCAATGCAATGACCTTCAAATGAACACATCCCTCTAACATGTTTCTTTTCCCTGTTAAGGAAAAGAAACAAAATTAAGTAAAGCAAACTAAAAAAAAAAATGGCCTAGATAATATCAGATCTTATTCTTTTGGTAACTTTTCTTAGTAGGCTTAAATTTCTGAAATGTTAGCTGTCTGGACCTGACACTGCAATCTCTCCCCGTTGCTTGCTCTCACCAGAGTGGCTACATGACCCAGTGGAGTAACAGGCTGGGACAAAGTATTTAGGTAGCTGGAATAGAACAGTGACTAGCACAAGGTCTCTCTGATCATATGGAGTTTACAGTCTATCTGGGATATAGAAACTTAGCAAATCTTCGAAAGTATGATGGGTGCTACAAAAGACAAGTTTGGGTTGATATGGGAGTTAGCAATCATTGATATAAATTGGAACCTCATCAAAATCTTCACAATAAAATTAGCATTAATTTTAATTTAATTTTAATGCTAAAATTGGAAACCTAAGAGAACTTTGAGAATTATCCAGGTAACTATAATGGGCAAACTATTCCAGGATGAAGGATGAGCATTTGTGAAGTTACTGAGGTGGAAAATAACATATCTGATTGAGAAACTGAAAGATGTTTGGTGTGACCAGGGCACAGAGAACAAAAATGAGAGGAGCATGACATGAGACTGAGGATGTATGTAGAGCCCTGTTCACCATAACAATAATGGAACATTTTATTCGAAGGTAATGGGAAGCAATGGGAAGCTAATGAAGGCTTGTAAGTAGGAGATAACCTGATGAGATTTGCATTTGTAAAAACATTCAGGCCTTATTTAGAGAATAAATTGAAGGGGACAAGCATGGATTCAAAGAGACTAATTCAGAAACAATTATAAGAGTCTAGGTAAAGGTTACTGGTCCTTGAACTACTACAACAGTAGTAGAGATAAAAATACAGGGAGAGATTAGAAAGATGTTTAAGAAATATAATTGATAATAATTAAGAACTAAGTATACGTGGGAGTTAAGAAAAGGACAAAACAATAATGACTCCCAGCCTCTAGGCTTAAACAATTTGGTGTTTAAAGATGTAATTTATTAAGATGGGAATAGTGAAAAAATAATGTTATGGATCTCTGGGGATGGGAATATTTTGGATCTGTTGATCTGAGTCACAACTGGAGGTTCAAATAGAGAAGCCAAGTAGGTAATTGGATATTTGGGATATATGACCTTGGAATTCAGAAGAGAGGAGTAAAAGAGAGATGCAAATTAGGGAATATCTTAGGCTAGCTTCCCTAGAAAATAAGCCTGAAGCAAAAGCATGTTCTTATACTTTACTGGGAAATAAAATCCCATAGAAACAGGGGGAAAGGGGAAAGGGAAATGGAACAGGGAAAGAAAAAGATTACATGTTAGGGAACCCCTACCAAGCTGGGCATTGATGACCTGCAGTTATCTCCAGAGAGGCCATATGAACTGCTGCCCTCAGAAAGGACTAATCAGGGAAACATTTTATCTGCTGGTTCTCTCTGTCCCCTGGCTTCCGTTGGCTAAGTTTATCTTATCAAGACAAGGTATTACTCCTCTGCACTTCTGGTCATAACATCTGTTTTCTCAAGAAAGATGGTAGAAGCCCAAGTCCCTGTAGGTCCGTCCAACCAACGAGCAGGCCTGGAGATTTGGAGATCTGCCTTTGCCAGTTGGCATTCTGTACAGGGCTGCTCAGTCTTTACAATTGCAGCAGCAGTGACCTAGTTACAGAAATCCAAGTATGGCACAAGCTGTTCTGGGATGGTAAAAACTAGGTCTGCTAAGGAAAGTTCGGTGAACTGATGAAAAGTAAAGAACTTCCTGGCAAAATAGTTTAATATGAAGAAAAGAGGATCTGAACAGGGGAGGAAGAGAAAACAAAGGATGCATTGGAAAGTAAAATGATGAAGAATAAAATTGGGGTTATAATATATTAGTGCCTTCAAGCTCAAATAATATTTTAGAAATAAGCAGACTTTATTTGGGAGAAGTAGGTTGGGCCCAAAACCAGGAACAAATGCACCAATAGTGCTAGTATCTATAATATATCACAGAAACTAAAAGTGTTTGCTTATTTATGAAAGTCAGGTAACAGAAGTACTGAATGTTTTCAAACATTAGGAAGAAAGTCCACTGGTCTTAAGGTTTCCATTAAGGAATACTTCATAGTGAAATAAAGTTGTCCAGAAACCAAACCCTCCCAATATTTTAATCCCCCCCTCAAAATTCAAAGAGGACACAAAAGCAAGCAGTATGTGGAATCGTCTAGACTACTCCAAGAGAAGAATTACATAGAAAAGTCAACAACATACAAGAAAGGCTGGGTTTGTGCAATTCCTAAATCTAGGAGCATGTAAACTACTGACTGCCTCTAGGTTATTTGTAGTACAGTGGTTTTAAAATTATTTAGCAGCACTTGATCAGGAATTCAGATAAGAGTGGTACTGCTTTGGTTGGGGTGGGGTGAGGTGAACATGGAGCTTCCTTATTTTTTAATTCAAGTCTCCAAATTCTGTCTATCCAAAACTAAGTGCAGGTTAGATGGGTATGCTCTAAGCCAATGTGGCCAATTTGAGAGCAGAAACGGGGAAAAGGCTTGTTCAAAATAAGATCTATTCAAATTCCAAATGGGCTTTAATTTACCAGGAAACGGCCAACCTGATTTGCCAATTGAGGAAATATGGTTGCTTGTGATACATACAGATAATGTAACAAAAAAATGCATGAACATTGTTGTCTTCAAATGAATAATGTTCACATTGAAAGTAAATGGTTGGTTCACTCCAGCTATATAAAATCCAGAATCCACTTTTACCAAAAATTTGCCGAAAGACAAAGCCTCAAAAAACACCATAGTTATACTAAGCAACAGCACAGAATACTAATCATTTTTTTTGTATTGAGCTAATTCAATTCAAACAACTGTTAGCTCTTCAGAAATATATTTCCCTCCAAAGGACACCCTTCCGGCCACAGGATGTGACTTTGCAGACCAGAAATGTGTTTTTCTTCAGTTCCTAACAAATCAAAGCTCTCCTCTTTAAAAAGCTAGACTTTAGCTTAGTATCTGATGGGTGTATCTGCTCTTCTCAACAGAATATGCTGACACTTCTGTCAAAGGTGAGTTTTAAGTATGCCCAAAATAAATCCTTTAACTAATCAATGGGAACTCACTTTAAACCTCTGTTTAATCCTCTATTTAGTAGAGGTGGCAGGTTTCAGAAGTTTAACTCCTTGTGATAGAAGTTGTTCAATTTAATGTCTCTGTATGACAGTGGAACTCCTTGTCACGGAAGGCCTGTGACCATCAGCCTGACAACTGAGTAGCAGGTGAGTAAAACAGCGCATGTGGAAATGACCAGAAAACTTGTGTCACATCAAGGAAGAAGCAAAAGTGGTTGATGTATCACAGGCTCTGAGATAAACTCACATGCATCTTGTTTTCTGTAATAAAAATCCCTCTTAAAGAGAATATTTGGTAAGTCAAAACATGACAGATGTAAGGAGAAGATCACAATTAATAGGATATGTATACTATTTGTGTATCCATTTGTACTTGGTGGCAATATCTACTCTATACTGTCTTGAGCACTGCAGGCATTGAATTTTCTTAGGTTTTTTTTTGTATGTGTGAGGGAAAAAAAGTGAATCACTAGGATATAAATTCTACTGTCTATCTAGATCATAGAAACATGGAAAAATGGATGTTTGGTAGACAAGGAACTTTATATATCAGTAATCCAACCCCTGCCTTCTTTATTTTCCAGATGAGGAAACTTAAGACTGAAAGAGGTTGAATTACTTGCCCAGCATCATGTCCCTAATCAGCAGCAAAACCTAAATTTAATGATGGTTTCATTTCATTTTGCATTATAAATGTTTCAGGGAGGTTTTTCAGCTAAGGCTTATTTAAAATAAATAAATAAATAAATAAATAAATAAATAAGAAAAAAGGCATGAGAAAAAAATGAACAAATGATTATTTATTTATTTTTAGAGACAGGGTCTTGCTATGTTGCCCAGGCTGGAGTACAGTGGGGGCAATCACAGCTCACTGCAGCTTTGACCTCCTGGGCTCAAGCCATCCTCTCACCTCGGCCTCCCAAGTCACTGGGACCACAACCATGCACCATCACGCCCAGGCTGGGTACAGTGGGGGCAATCACAGCTCACTGCAGCTTTGTCCTCCTGGGCTCAAGCCATCCTCTCACCTCGGCCTCCCAAGTCACTGGGACCACAACCATGCACCATCACACCCAGTAACAGGTAATTCTTGATGGCATACTTTGAGCTAAGCAGATACAAGAAGATGATTCTGACAATCTCACACATATCTCAGTAGCTTTAACATCTCTCTTCCACTCATGGTAGGAACTTCCACTAAGAGTAATTATAGAAAATGGCCTTGCTCTGTGGATCTGTCAAATGGTACCTCCAGAAATCTCTCTAAGGCCTCCACAGGCACTATATTACCTGGCCTTTCATGCTCTCAGTGATCTGTCTCATCTCCTCCTCTGGCCCTAAGCTTTGCTCACATTGCATTGTTCTTACCTCAGAGCTTTTAACGCTGATGGTTCCCTCTGCTAAAGGACTACTTTCCAGCTTTTTAAAGAGATGATCCCTCTTATTATTAATGGTTTCAATCAAATGTCAGTCTCCTCAGAGAAGCCTTCCTTAATCACTCTTTTTGAAGTAGCCCCTCTCTGTCCCCTTACTCGGCTTTATTTTATTTTTAATATTTTTACTCTCTGAAATGATACTACCTATTTAATTTTTAGTGTCTGTCTCCTCCACTAGAATGTAGTTCCATGAGGCTATTTTCTGTTTTGTTTTTCCCCTGCCAGTGTTATTCTTAGCATATAAAAAGCAATAAATATGTGTTGAGTCAATACTTGAATGAAGGAATGAATGAATGGGTTCTGCCTTCCACCTACTAAAAATCCAGAACCTATTTGTTCACTTTTGATCATTGCAATTGCATACATTGCTTAAGGATAAATATTTTTTCTCCATCTGAATTTTTTGGATTTGTATAAAGGCAGCATAGCACAGTGGTTTATAGCATTCACTCTGGGGTTGGTGTACTTGGGTTAAATTTCACTCTATCAGTTGGTAGCTGTGATGTAACTTTATCTTTCTTGCTCAGTTTTCTAACAGTTATATCCATCTCAGGAGATTTTTCTGAGAATTAAATGAGAAAATATATTTAACTCACTTAAGGTTGGCACAACAGCAACTCTGGATATTTAATATCACTATTAATATTAATCTTATTGTTATTGAATATTTCACAGTTTTTCTGTCTCCTGTCCTCAGTAATGGCTGCTACTTTGATTCCCCTGCTTATCTCATGCCCCACAATCAATACAGCTGTCTTGTCCACCCAGGATCATACAGTGCTAGCCTCCTGCCAATACCCCAGCCATCTACCCTTAATCTGGGAGAGGAGATTGAAAATCACCTCATTGAACCTTGATTAATCCTATGAAATGGGTATCACCACTATATCCATATTCTCCTTAGAAAAGTTAAACCTAGTGGTATTAGAGAAGTTGAACCAATCTCCTAAGGTCACACAGCCTATAAGTATCTGAGCTGTGATTCAAATATGGTCTTGCAACTTAATTACACTTTCCTTTTAAGTGAATCTTCTTGACTATATTATCCTGTTCCTTAAGTATCACCAGTACTGAATACGCTACCTTAATGCTTACTGCTGCACTGGTCACATAAGCCTGCAAAGATTTTTTTCTGAGTACAGTGATCCACGTTAAACAGTGTTACTATTCAAAAGAAAAATAAAGTAGGATTTTACAAGAATTTGCCTATTTAAGATAGAAATGATTTTTTATAAGGGCCAAACTTTAGAAAGGCAGGTCTTTGACCAACCTAATACAAATTCACGGAATTCATTGGATATGTCAAAACATGGCTGCCATTAAATGCCCATTACCCCAACCTTTCAAGAAACTGACCTTTTTTCTAACCTTTTTTGGAAAAAAGAAGGGTTAATAAATAAATAGAAATAAATAAATAAATGGAATAAGACCACAAATATGCAATTTGAGCTTTTTGTTTATACAGTCTTTAGAGTAGATCTACGTTTTTTCAAATGTTTTTCTTTTATGCAAATACATTTAAAGTTCTTACAATTTTTAATAATATCATTATGTAAAAATGAAGTGCAATAGTTACATTCTGCAACTGAACACCTCTATTCTAACCATCTTTTTGTATTGTGACATTTCCTAAGATTTTCTGAAGAAAGAGCTTTTGTGCTAATCAGAGAAAAAGCTCAACCTTATGTTTCCTATGAAAATTTAGGGAGATGGAACTCATTTTGAATTGTAAGAATTTCTCAAATTCTTTAAACTATGTCCCAGAATAATTGCCTACAAGTAAGTTACTGCAAGCCTGGCCTGTTTTCCAATGGTTCTCATTATCAAACTGCAGATGTATTTCTATAGAAATTATGTGCTTCTCTAGGAGAATAAAAATCATATCTAAAAAGAAATTATAGTTATCATTATTAAAATACTGAAAACACTGAAGTTACCAATACCAGAAATGATGAATTAGAGATGTTACAAGATTTCATAAAATGTGAACCCTTCATTTTCTAACCATTTGTGTCACTAAAACATGCAAAGTAGGCTCTGTCATTTTTGGAGGAACAATGTGGAGAATAATATGAGCAGATCAAGTAAATTATCCCTGCTTTTTCCTGTTCTCTTCACTGCTCCACTGAAGTCCTGTAAAACATTATACAAACACCCTATTATTTTCTTTTCTACAGCTCTTCTCATTCTCAAAATAAAGTACAAATGATTATTGGTTTTTCTATCAGTTATCTATTGCCACAATAATGCTATGTGACAAAACACTCCAAATTTCATGGCCTTTAAACAATAGCAATTTATTTTACTCATTGGCCTCAGGTCAGCAATTGAGGCTGTGGTCAGCTGGGAGCTTCTTCTAGTCTGGCCTGGGCTTTCCCCTGCAGCTTAGGTCAACTATGGCTTAGAGCTGGGATAGAGTGACCTCGACTGTGACAACTGAATTCTGTTCTCTATGTGACTCTACTCTGCACATTTTCTTTTCCAGCAGGCTAGCCTGAGGATATTCTCCATGTAGATCTCTATATATGTTCTCATGGCAATTTCAGAAATGGAAGAAAGAGAAAAGCTAAAGTAGGCAAGAAAGTGCACACCACCTAATAATTCAGTGGTATAAAATAACAGCTATACATTATTATTACATTATTATTTATGAGTTTATAAGACTGCTGGGTAGTTATGCCAATCTTTGCTGTGCTTGTTCATGAGTGTTTAGTCAGCTGTAGAATGGGCAGTATGACTTTAGGTGAAAGACCCAAGCTCTGTTCCATGTGATTCATCTTTGGGAAAGCTGACCCAGGCATGATTTCGTGGTGGTCACAGAGGAAAAAAGAAGGGTAAAAACATGTAAGGACCTTTTTCCAGCCTTTGCTTGCATCACATTTTCTAATATCTCATTAGTCAAAGCAAGTCATACAGTTGAGTCTAGAGTCAAGAGGTGTGGCAGAATACCCCAGCCATAATGAGCTGGGTAAAGAATTGTGGTCATCAATATGAAGTATCTACTGTAGTTTACAAACATTTGTAAGATGTTTTGCCATAATGTAAACAAAGAAGTGCTCATGCTATAATATTTTTGCCTCATCAAATTTAAAAGTATTAACATAGTACAAAGTATATTCTCCGACCTATTGGAATTAAACTAGAAACCAATAAAGATATGTGGAAAAATATTTGGAAACGAAATAACATAATTTGAAAAACTCCATGGATCAATATGAAGTCATAAGGGAAACTGAAAAATCTATTGAATTCAATAAAAATGAAAACACGACATATCAAAACTTGTTAAATTTGGCTAAAGCAATACTTAGGGGAAATTTTATAGCATTTAATATTTATACTAGCAAAGAAGAAAGATCTAATCAATGTTCTAATCTCCTACCTTAAGAAACTACAAAGACAATAGCAAATTAAATACAAAGTAAATAGAAGAATACAATAAAAATGAGAATAATGAAATTACAGAGAAAATAAATGAAAACAAAAGTGAGTTAATTGAAAATATTAATGTTATAAGCCTCTAGCCAGACTCATTGGGAAAAAGAGAAGAACAAACGGTCAATATCAGAAATTCTTCATAGATGCAAAATCTTCACTAAAATCTTATCAAATTAAACCCAGAGATATATAAAGAGTATAATATCTCATGATTAAGTGAGATTTATCCTGAAATGCAAGATTGGTTCAAAATTTAAAAATCAACCAATGTGTTTCATCATACAGACTTTTTAATAGACTTAAGAAGAAGATCATGTAATTATTGCAAAAGATGAAGAAACCCTTTTGATAAAATTTAATAGCCATTTAGTATAAAAAGCAAATTAGAAATTAGATGGTACTTCCTCAACCTAATTAAATTGCAACAGCTACAGCTAACCTTATATTTAAAGGTGAAAGAATGATAAGGCCAGGATGTTTTATTTTACCTCTTCTATTTAACATTACACTAAAGGCTCTAGCCTGTGCAAGCAGACAATAAAAAGAAATGAAATGCATATAAATAGGAAAAGGAGAAATAAAAGTGTCTCTATTGGCAGATGACATATTGTCTACAAAGAAAATATTAAATACTTAAAAAGGTATTAGAAATAAAAAGTGAGCTCAGTCAGATTGCCAGTTTTCACGCTATTATAGGAAATCAACTGAATTTTAACTAGCAAAAAAACTTTTTAAATTTACACTTACAAGCAATAGTTATGATAGCACCAAAACATGAATTACTTTAAAAATATAATTCTAAAAAACATATACTACACCTTTATGACAAACCAAACAGAACTACATAAACGGGGAGATGTACCATGCCCATGGAGTACAAGACTCAATGTTGTTGAGATGTCAATTTTTACAAATTACAATGACAACCTAACTTCAATACTTGCATAAAAAAAAAGAATTTGAATAGCCCAAACAATTTTCAAAGACAATAAAGAAAAAAGCTAGAGGGTTCACTGCACCTGGTTTCAAGATTTACTATAAAGCAACAGTATTCAAGAGAGCATGATATTGGTTAAATGATAGACACATAGATCAATTAAAGAGCACAGAGAGTTCAGAAATAGACCTACATAGGCAGGGTGCAGTGGCTCACACCTGTAATCCCAGCACTTTGGGAGGCCAAGGTGGGCGGATCACTTGAGGTCAGGAGTTTGGGACCTGCCTGGCCAACTTGGTGAAACCCTATCTCTACTAAAAATACAAAAATTAGCTGGGTGTGGTGGCAGGCACCTGTAATCCCAGCTACTCAGGAGGCTGAGGCAGGAGTATCACTGAACCTGGGAAGCAGAGGTTTCAGTGAGCCGAGATCATGCCACTGTACTCCAGCCTGGACGACAGAGCAAGGCTTCATTTAAAAAAAAAAAAAAAAAGTGAAGAAATAGATCTACATAGATACACAACTGATTTTTGACAAAGCTGTCAAGGTTATTCAGTGAAGAAGGATGTAAAAATGGTGCTGGAAAATATAATCTTCATATATTTTAAAAAATGATTTTGACATATATTTTAAGTCACAAAAAAATACCTCTAAATGGACTATATCCCTAAAGATAGAGCCTAAAATTTAAACATTTTTAGAGAATATTATAGGAGAAAACATTTGTGGCTTTATTTAATATAAAGCCGTCTTATGTAGAAAAATCTAAGCATGATTTCAAAAAAAATGTTTTTAATCAAAATTTTAAACTTTTGTTCATTCAAAAATTTTGTGTGGAAAACAAAAAGACAAGCCACAGATTGAGGGAAAATATTTGCAAGAAACCTGTCTGGAAGAGAACTGGAATGCAGAATAAATTTAAAAATCTCTTACAACTCAATAATAGTAAGACAAGAAATCCCCCTCAAAATGTTTAGCCAAATATTTGATGAAACAAACCACAAAAAGATACACAGATTATTATTATTATTATTAAACACATAAAAAGATGCGTGATATCACTAGTCATAAGATGAGTATAGATGAATATCACAACTAGATACTACTACATACCTACTAGAATGGCTACATTTTTTAAAAGACAATATCAAATACTGGTGAAGAAGAAGAGGAACTAAATTTCTCTTACATTGCTGGTGAAAATGCAAAATGGTGCAATGACTTTTTAAGACAGTTTGAAAGATTTTCATAAAGTTAAACATTCACTTACCATACAACCCAACAATCTCACTCCTACCCAAGGGAAATGAAAACAGGTTCACATAAAATCTTGTGTATGAATATTTTAAAAACGACCTTATTTGGAATTTCCAAAAACTGAGAACTATCTGTATGTTCATCAACAAGTAAATGGATAAACAATTTGTATACATCCTTACAAAGTAATACTATTTAGTAAGAAAAGGGAATGAGCCATGCAACAACATGCGTGAATCTTTAATATATCAAGTGAAAACAACCAGACTCAAAATGCTACATACTAAATGGTTCTATTTTATGTGACCTTCTCAAAAAGGCAAAACTACAGGAAGAGAACACACAGACTGGTGTTTTCAGTGGGCATGTGGGAAGACCACTGCTTCCCACACGCCCACTGGGGTGTGCGGGAATTCTTTGGAGTTATGGAGATGGTCTATATCTTGATTGTGGTGACAGATACATAACTCTGCATTTGTCTAAATGAATAGAATTGTGACTACATATAGGGTATATTTTGTTGTATATAAATTATACCTCCACAAACCCAACTTCCAAAAAATGTATATTGCATTACGAAACTGCTTATATCATTCAAGGAGAAATGCTGTTACTCTGCCAATATTATCCTGTAACCCAAATGGTATATGTCAGGATATATTGTAACTATTTATTTCAATTTGACTGATTTTAAAGTCTTCAAAGGGAGAATGCTATCTATTACTTCCCTAAAGCAATTAAGGTAAAGCTGCTTTTTTTCCTTATAATTCATCAACATGTAAATTAATTTTTTCTCTTCATTGACTAAATGAACCCTGCAGCCCCTTTTTTCATGGATATACAATAGAAGTAAAAGCCATAGAGTTAGTTTGTAATAAAGTGCACTAAACTGACCAGTAAACAATAAAATATTGTTTAGTTAATACCCATTTAACCTCAAAATCAATTAAAGAAGGAATTAATACAGAGTATCAAAGCTGTTATGCATGCTAATTAGAGGAATGTTGAGTCATTTTTCCACTTCATTCTTAAGGATGTGAGATCTGTCAGTACATCCAATTAGAAATACTCATGGTTGATGCTGGCCTTACATTAATTGCTAAAGATATTTATTCATTTCATTCTTTGTATTTCTTAGTTTTGTAATATACAATGAGAATCAAGTACATAAAACTTAAAAAATAAAACTATGAAATTATAAGAAACATCACCTGTAAGAACCTGTCTTGAAATTTTGGCAGCAAACTGCTTTAAACTATTAAGCATTTTGAAAAAGAAATTTAAATATAATAGATAAAAATAATACACTATTGCAGGAAATATTCCTAATTTTAATTGTGAAAAATAATATTCGAGTTGAAGTACAAGTTTCTACATTTTTGAATGCAGGTAAATGTAGAGAACAGAATTTTTTTTGCCAGCGAAATACAGGACAGTAATAGATCACAGGATTTTCTCAACACTTTGTCAGCCTGCTCAAATTGGTCATAAGATGGCAGAAATCAGTAAGTAATAGAATAAGTCAGCACTTATCTGCCCAGCAAAACTGCACAAGTTGATAACAAAAAAGGCTTGTTCTGCTCTTTTTAGGCTTCGATAATCCATGCAGAACCAGGACAATCATATTTGCAGATTTTGAATCTGATTTACCACTGCCTTCCAGACATAGCTGCCCAAATGGGATTCATGGCCGCAAGACCATCTATAAATGCATACTTACATTCCAGTTATCCCCTGTGACACATACTCCATGAAACTCACAGTCCTTGGTAGATGATTAATCTCCTCATAATCTTTTGGTTAGATCTAACAATCTGTCCTTTCACTTTCAGAATTTCTCTCAAGAAATGTGGAGAGTATTTCTATCTGCCTATGTAAAAGCAAATATTTTTACTGTCACACTTATCTTTGTTAAAATATGTAATCTTAATAAGAAAATTTAACAAAGACTACATTTAATTTATTTGTTTCTTTCAATAGCAGTGTCTCCTCCATTTAACCAACTTTAACATCTTAAAATAAAATCACTTTATGATTAGGAAGATTGCCAAACAAAAGCAACGCTTTTTAGTAAAATGTTCAGTGATAAGTCTGGTGAATCTTACTCCTTAGAAATTCTGCCACAATGCAAATGTTTTAACAAATACAAATGTGGAGTCCTTAACTCAGTGGAACAAGTGGAGCAGACGTTTCTAGGACTGGTTAATTGTACTACTTTCTTTTTTTTTTTTTTTTTTTTTTTTTTTTTTTTTGAGACGGAGTCTCGCTCTGTCGCCCAGGCTGGAGTGCAGTGGCGGGATCTCGGCTCACTGCAAGCTCCGCCTCCCGGGTTCACGCCATTCTCCTGCCTCAGCCTCCCAAGTAGCTGGGACTACAGGCGCCCGCCACTACGCCCGGCTAATTTTTTGTATTTTTAGTAGAGACGGGGTTTCACCGTTTTAGCCGGGATGGTCTCGATCTCCTGACCTCGTGATCCGCCCGCCTCGGCCTCCCAAAGTGCTGGGATTACAGGCGTGAGCCACCACGCCCGGCCTGTACTACTTTCTAATTCATACCAATCTTTAAATATTTTCTCTGGCACTACCATACAATGATGACCGAAAAATACATTGGAAAGTTCTTTTTGTTTCCTAAATTGAATTATAACATAATATCTTAATTTAATTGACAGTTTCCCATAAACATGCTAAAATTTTCATATAGTACACAGACCCAAAGAACCCTCAAATATCTGTGAGAACTGTGGTGTTTAAAAAAAAACATAAATGCAATAAAATGGAAAATTTATAGTCCCAACTTTTTCCAGAAATATAGATAATATTAAAGATATAGATAATATTAAACTATCTATAAAGATATAGATAATATTAAAACAAAGTTGAGGATGCATTAAAATAACATAAAACTTGCTATAGTTGGTGACCAATTTATCTTTATGCCCATTGTATTAGTTGCATACCAAGATGCACTGAAGTAACTCTGAGAGTCAGCATCAAAGTATCAAAATAAGCATTAGGGTATTTGCATATTTATGCTCTGAGTCATAAAGACAGCTATAAAAACAGTGCCTTTGCAGAATCTGGAAAACCAATAAACAGTTGGGGAGCAATGGTGTGTTTTAGTATATGTATTATTAGTGGATTCAGCTTTAAGACATTTTCACTTAAAACATCTGTTTCTCAGTTGCACTCTGTGTGCAATGGTATGATTATTAGTGGTCTTGTTACTTCCCATAATATAGAGTTTGTTATTAACTTTCATAAGTTTATAATTTCACTTTGCTCTTTCCACATGTGTTACTGATATAAGATGTATTGCTTGTTTCTGTTTCAATTTGGCACCACTTACTATTGTTTTTGGTGAACAATTGAATTCACATTTTGAATGTTTTTCCATGTGGATTATGAAGTACACAATTGGAACTAAAGAAAACCTCCAGCAGATTTCTGTAATATTGTAGACTCCATGAAGCAGATAAATACAATGCATTGGCTCTGAAACAATATTTTTACCTCAAAAAAGTAATGAATAAATAATTTTAACAATATTAATTTGATATGAAATATGTAGATGAGCTATAACATAGTTGGAGTACATCCATAGGATTCTAGAGGCTGTGATAAGAAAAACATGGCTCATACCAATACTCATACAATTTTCATCCTAAAATAGCAAGTACTAGAGGAAGCATATGGTTACTTGAAAAATGGGTTATATTTGTTATCAACTTATTTGAGTTTTTTTACATGAGAATTAAATATGTAACTAGTTATTAAATACATCCTTATACATGAGAAATTAACAAGTCTTTCCTTCTTTCTCAACTCGCTCCCATTTGCCTCCCCGTTTTTGTCATGTAATGACTGAGACTGTAGACTAGACAATTATTTGGTTGATTTGGCTGGTTATGGCTTTATTTAACTTTTCTTTCTTTTTGAAAATATGGCTTGATAACCAAGTAAGTAAGCAATTTAAAAAGGTTTACTCAGTGTCTGTGTCAAGTGCTGGGGAGATAGGGGAAGTTAGTGTTCTCAGTGGAGACCAACATGAACAGTGGACATTAAATTCTGGAGACTTCATTGATTTGGGGATATTAGGAAAGTTGTCTTGATAAAGTATCATGTAACCTAAGACCTGAGGATGCTCATGAATTAACTAGACAAGGAAAGATGGAAGGAGATCAAAAGCATATGTAGGAGACAGAGAAGAATATATTGAGCTTTGCAGTGAGAGAAGCACAGCACATGACAGGAGTTGAAAGAAAGCATTTGAGACTGTTGCGTAGGGAATGGGTGACATTCATGTAGGGAATGGAAGAAGGTGTTGGTAAAAGGGGAACATCCCATGCAGTGCCTCTCGAGTCAGAGAGATACTTGGAATGGAACTAACAGTGTTGTTACTATCAGCGAGATGACGACATTGAAGAGAGAGTAATATGATCCGTGGTTGATTTAAAATACACCTGGCTACATTGTAAAGAGTGGATTAGATTGAGGCAGGCATGAATTGGGAGCAACAAATTAGGAATGTAGTTCAGAGTTCTATTCAAGAGACAGTAACAAATTAGGCTAGGATGGTATCAAGGGGATATGCAGAGCTGGGTAGATTCAAATACATGACAGAGAGTCTGTAAGACTCATTGACTGATTGAGTTTTGGAATAACTTAACAGAAAGAAAGTAATGATAGTTTTCAGGATTGTTTGACTCTCAAAAACTCCGTTGACAGATGATGTACTATTTTTCTCTTGCTGCATAACAAATTACCACACAATTTTGGCTTGAAACAGCACCCACTTATTTGTTTACAGTTCTGTAGCTTCCAAGTCAGGTATGGCATGGCTGCAACCTCATCTCAGAGTGTCACAAGACTGTAATCAAGATGTTGACTGGGCTGTATTCTTGTCTGAAGACTCTCAAGAAAACTTGTCTTTCAAGCTCATTCTTTTTGATGAATGTTAGATCTTTGAGGTTGTAGGACTAGGGCCCTGTTTTCCTTCCTAGTTGTCAACCAGAGGTCTGTTCTCTCTCTAAGAAGCCACCTGCATTTCCTTATCATGTGGCCTTCTCTATCTTGCAGGCAGCAATGCTATGTTGAGTCTCTCCCATTCTTTGAAATTTTGACTCCCTTCTCCACTTTTATAGGGCTCAGGTGATTACTTAGAGACAACTGTACTATATGACAACTCAATAACACAAGTGAAATCGGTGTTGTTCACAGTCCCAGGGGTTACAGAGGGCATGTACACCAGAGATTGTGGCCATTTTGGAATTCTGCTTAGAAAAGGGGGTGACACAAATGAGATGGAGAACAGTGGAGGAGGAAGAGGGTAGAGAGGAGGAGATGAGTTCGGGCTTAGATAGGATGAGTTGAGAAATCCATGAATATTCAAGTGGAGATAAAAGTGTGCTGCTGGGGATGTGACCCTGGGGTTCAGAAGAAAGGTCTAGTCCAGAGGAAGAGAAATGAGAGTAGTTGGCATATAGCTAATAGTTGAACCTAGGAGAGTGGGTTATATCACCTACAGAGAGCTGAAAAGGTCTAAGCCCTGATAAACTACAATATTGAAGGAATGAGTAAAAATGGAAAATTAGTGACCAATGAGAAAAGAATCTGCTGACAGAAGTTCCAAGGAAAGACAGAACACTTAAGGAAGTAGGATATTTTTTTCTGTGTTAAATCTTGCCGAGGAATCTATTAGGAAAAAGACTTAAATACACCACTGAGGATTTAGTGACTCAGAGTTAGTGGTTACCATGGACAAAGCAGTTTCATTAAAATGGTGGGTACAGAAGCCAGACTAGCTTTGTTTGAAGAGTGAGAGTCAGGACATGAAATCAATGAGTTGTAGACAATAATTGAAGTGATTTTGCTCTCCAGAAAAGGTACATAAGTCAGTATTTTGTTTATTTCTTTTAGGATGTGAGAAATTGAGCATATGTAAGCATAAATGAAAAGAATTCAGGAGAAAGGAGGAGAGCGGAGAAGGGGAATGTTATATTTCTTATCAACTTATTGATAACAAATTGAAACAGAAAAGTAAATGATGGGAATCCAGGTGAGGTATTGATTTTCTAGAAGCACCTCTATCACTACAACCTCGCCAAGGGAGGAAAGGATGGGTGTGAAAGAAGAAAGTTTATATTCCCATCCATTGTCTAAGTAAAATAAGAAGGAAGATAAGTTTTTGAGATCGAATGGGACAGGACTGAACCGAAGGTTTAAGGAAGAGAAAGTTTACATTTGTCTTTGTGGTTATAGGGAGAGGAATCTAACTAGAAAAATATCACAAGATTACTTGCCAGGCTTTAAACCCCAGAAAAGGACAGATTAACAGAGGAATCAGTTTATTTGTTTCTACATTATCTCTAGTAGCACACAGCTACTATCCCTAGAGTTATGTATACAAACTAAAAATAATTATATTCATTAAAAATTGATATTTTTTGCCAAGGAGTTGGGAAGACACTGGAGTAAACGAGTTTTATGTATTCACAAGAAAGTGGTTTAAAAGATGGATCACGGAAGCCATAACAAATAGAAGAGATGGTAGCGGGTAGCTAATGGATAATGCATAGGGAGAAATTGAAATTGATGTCTCAGTGAAACCAGAGATGCCTGTTATAGTGTGAATAAGTAAGCATTTTATCTAAGAGGATGAGAGGTATATTGGAGGACTAGAATGTCCATGTCAGTGATTTCAGAGAAAGATTTGCTCTCTCTTATAATTACATTCAACTTTATTTACCTTATGTTCTATGTTTATATGGTTTCAATACTCACTGCAAATTATTTAATACCATGACTTTCCTTTTTTCAGTCAGAAATTTTGTTTAATCTCTTGCTTGACTGATAGAACTCTATATATAGGTTTGTATATGTATATATATGTATGTATATGTATATATACACACACGTACATATGTGTAAGTGCTCTTTCTCTGTGTATGCATATATATGAATGTATACGTATACAGAGAGAGAGAGAGGAGAGAGAGAGAACTTACCACATTCATTCCAGCCACTTTGTTAAACACTTTATGTTCATTTTCTCATTTCATCTTCACAGTAAAGACACAAGTGTGTTAATTTTACAGATTAAGGAAATACTTAACTAGAGAGGTTAAGTAACTTACCCTAAACTACAGCCTATTGAGCTAGTAGTATTGAAAGAGGAACAGAGCTTCAAACAGATATGCTCAATTTCTAATTATAAATTTTAAATACTAAGCTAAAATTGGATATATATTTTTAGCCTTTATGTATTTGAGTGCCTTTCTGTTCTCTTATATATAAATGCTAGATTGACTAGCATATATCTCTGATAATGTATTCAAGTATTTTGCAATAAATGTATTAGAGTCATTGGTAATAATTCCAATAAATATGATTTCCTATTTTGAGGTCCTTGGAAAAATATGACAAAGGAGCATCTGATAAATAATTTGGATAATTGATAAGGCTTGATAATGAATTGATTATATCCAAGTCGAAGTCATGATTCAAAGTCAGGGTCAGGATTTCTGGCCATATCAAAATTTACATGGACTGTAGCTAACCACCTCCAGGTGCAGCAGAACTCATGCTGTGTTCTGTGGTCCCTCACAGACCATCGGCCAGACCGTCCTCCCACACACCAGGATTGCTGCTCTGCCAAATATTGACTTCTCTTCTCGTGCTCCTGTTTCTTGTCTCAATCCTCACTCCCACTCTCAAAGGAGAGTCCTGGTCTCAAGGCTGCTTTGTCTTTGCTTCTCTCTGTATCACTTTTAGATTTGCACACTGTAACAAGTATTTTTACTTCTTATTTTCAGTCTCGAATGGGGAAATACCTAGGTTGTGCAAAGTTCATCTTTCTCAGGATTATGGATTTCATCTCCTACTATATTCTAGATTGACTGTACTTCATTTATTATCCCCATTTTCTCTCCTCTTAGTATTCCACAAAGTCCCAATTCCTTGCCCTCAGCCTATTAAAAAACAAACAAACAAAAACTTTACTTGACAGTATCTCCTACCCTCTTCATCTCCTTGTCACCATGTCATATTCCTGAGACTTTGTGGCACAGGAGGAAATTAAAATGTTTTGGAAGCAGACTAAGAGATGTTGGATTTTTTGTTACCATCAAATACTACCATTTACTGCTTTGTCACTTAGCTTCCTCTGATTCAATTTCCTGACCTTCAAAATAGAAATGATGCATACCATTTAATAGCATCCTCGGCAAAGCATGGTAGAAAACATGTTACTGTCTTTCCAGCCTTTTAAGTGGCAAGCAGACAAGGAAAATAGATTCATAAAGATTTGTATGGCCAAGCCCCTATGTCTTCATTGCCAAAATTCTTAAAAAAAACCATTGTCATAATTTGTAATTCTTCAACTCCTACTCATTCCTTAGTTTAATGAAATACACTTTGACTTCTGACTTCACCACTCAACAGAAATTGGTCCAAGGTGGTCAAATACTTAAATCCCAAGATCTCTTTAACACTTTCATTTATCTCTTCCTTAGAATTTGTGTTTCCTCTGGGTTCTATTTGTTGTCTTCTTTTTTTATTATTATTATTATACTTTAAGTTTTAGGGTACATGTGCACAATGTGCAGGTTAGTTACATATGTATACATGTGCCATGCTGATGTGCTGCACCCACTAACTCGTTATCTAGCATTAGGTATATCTCCCAGTGCTATCCCTCCCCCTCCCCACCCCACAACAGTCCCCAGAGTGTGATGTTCCCCTTCCTGTGTCCATGTGTTCTCATTGTTCATTTCCCACCTATGAGTGAGAATATGTGGTGTTTGGTTTTTTGTTCTTCCGATAGTTTACTGAGAATGATGATTTCCAATTTCATCCATGTCCCTACAAAGGACATGAACTCATCATTTTTATGGCTGCATAGTATTCCATGGTGTATATGTGCCACATTTTCTTAATCCAGTCTATCATTGTTGGACACTTGGGTTCCAAGTCTTTGCTATTGTGAATAGTGCCCCAATAAACACACGGGTGCATGTGTCTTTATAGCAGCATGATTTATCGTCCTTTGGGTATATACCCAGTAATGGGATGGCTGGGTCAAATGGTATTTCTAGTTCTAGATCCCTGAGGAATCGCCACACTGACTTCCACAATGGTTGAACTAGTTTACAGTCCCACCAACAGTGTAAAAGTTTTCCTATTCCTCCACATCCTCTCCAGCACCTGTTGTTTCCTGACTTTTTAATGATTGCCATTCTAACTGGTGTGAGATGGTATCTCATTGTGGTTTTGATTTGCATTTCTCTGATGGCCAGTGATGATGAGCATTTTTTCATGTGTTTTTTGGCTGCATAAATGTCTTCTTTTGAGAAGTGTCTGTTCATGTCCTTCACCCACTTTTTGATGGGGTTGTTTGTTTTTTTCTTGTAAATGTGTTGGAGTTCATTGCAGATTCTGGATATTAGCCCTTTGTCAGATGAGTAGGTTGCAAAAATTTTCTCCTATTTTGTAGGTTGCCTGTTCACTCTGATGGTAGTTTCCTTTGCTGTGCAGAAGCTCTTTATTTTAATTAGATCCCATTTGTCAAGTTTGGCTTTTGTTGCCATTGCTTTTGGTATTTTAGACATGAAGTCCTTGCCCATGCCTATGTCCTGAATGGTAATGCCTATGTTTTCTTCTAGGGTTTTTATGGTTTTAGGTCTAACATTTAAGTCTTTAATCCATCTTGAATTGATTTTTGTACAAGGTGTAAGGAAGGGATCCAGTTTAAGCTTTCTACATATGGCTAGCCAGTTTTCCCAGCACCATTTATTAAATAGGGAATCCTTTCCCCATTGCTTGTTTTTGTCAGGTTTGTCAAAGATCAGATAGTTGTAGATATTCGGCGTTATTTCTGAGGGCTCTGTTCTGTACCATTGATCTGTATCTCTGTTTTGGTACCAGTACCATGCTGTTTTGGTTACTGTAGCCTTGTAGTATAGTTAGAAGTCAGGTAGTGTGATGCCTCCAGCTTTGTTCTTTTGGCTTAGGATTGACTTAGCAATGCGGGCTCTTTTTTGGTTCCATATGAACTTTAAAGTAGTTTTTTCCAGCTTTGAAGAGAGCAATGGTTCTCCCAGCATGCAGCTGGAGATCTGAGAATGGGCAGACTACCTCCTCAAGAGGATCCCTGACCCCTGATCCCCGAGCAGCCTAACTGGGAGGCACCCCCCAGTAGGGGCAGACTGACACCTCACACGGCCGGGTACTCCTCCGAGACAAAACTTCCAGAGGAACGATCAGACAGCAGCATTCGCAGTTCACCAAAAACTGCTGTTCTGCAGACACCGCTGATGATACCCAGGCAAACAGTGTCTGGAGTGGACTTGTAGCAAACTCCAACAGAGCTGCAGCTGAGAGTCCTGTCTGTTAGAAGGAAAACTAACAAACAGAGAGGACATCCACACCAAAACCCCATCTGTACATCACCATCATCAAAGACCAAAAGTAGATAAAACCACAAAGATGGGGAAAAAACAGAGCAGAAAAACTGGAAACTCTAAAAAGCAGAGTGCCTCTCCTCCTCCAAAGGAACGCAGTTCCTCATCAGCAATGGAACAAAGCTGGATGGAGAATGACTTTGACGAGTTGAGAGAAGAAGGCTTCAGACGATCAAACTACTCCGAGCTATAGGAGGAAATTCAAACCAAAGGCAAAGAAGTTGAAAACTTTGAAAAAAATTTAGACAAAGGTATAACTAGAATAACCAATACAGAGAAGTGCTTAAAGGAGCTGATGGAGCTGAAAGCCAAGGCTCAAGAACTACGTGAAGAATGCAGAAGCCTCAGGAGCTGATGTGATCAACTGGGAGAAAGGGTATCAGTGATGGAAGATGAAATGAATGAAATGAAGCGAGAAGGAAAGTTTAGAGAAAAAAGAGTAAAAAGAAATGAACAAAGCCTCCAAGAAATATGGGACTATGTGAAAAGACCAAATCTACATCTGATTGGTGTACCTGAAAGTGACGGGGAGAACCACGTTGGAAAACACTCTGCAGGATATTATCCAGGAGAACTTCCCCAATCTAGCAAGGCAGGCCAACATTCAGATTCAGGAAATACAGAGAACGCCACAAAGATACTCCTCGAGAAGAGCAACTCCAAGACACATAATTGTCAGATTCACCAAAGATGAAATGAAGGAAACAATGTTAAGGGCAGCCAGAGAGAAAGGTCGGGTTACCCACAAAGGGAAGCCCATTAGACTAACAGCGGATCTCTTGGCAGAAACTCTACAAGCCAGAAGAGAGTGGTGGCCAATATTCAACATTCTTAAAGAAAAGAATTTTCAACACAGAATTTCATATCCAGCCAAACTAAGCTTCATAAGTGAAGGAGAAATAAAATACTTTACAGACAAGCAAATGCTGAGAGATTTTGTCACCACCAGGCCTGCCCTAAAAGAGCTCCTGAAGGAAGCACTAAACATGGAAAGGAACAACCGGTACCAGCCACTGCAAAATCATGCCAAAATGTAAAGACCATCAAGACTAGGAAGAAACTGCATCAACTAACGAGCAAAATAACCAGCTAACATTATAATGACAGGATCAAATTCACACATAACAATATTAACTTTAAATGTAAATAGACTAAATGCTCCAATTAAAAGACACAGATAGGCAAATTGGATAAAGAGTCAAGACCCATCAGTGTGCTGTATTCAGGAAACCCATCTCACGTGCAGAGACACACATAGGCTCAAAATAAAAGGATGGAGGAAGATCTACCAAGCCAATGGAAAACAAAAAAAGGCAGGGGTTGCAATCCTAGTCTCTGATAAAACAGACTTTAAACCAACAAAGATCAAAAGAGACAAAGAAGGCCATTACATAATGGTAAAGGGATCAATTCAACAAGAAGAGCTAACTATCCTAAATATATATGCACCCAATACAGGAGCACCCAGATTCATAAAGCAAGTCCTGAGTGACCTACAAAGACTTAGACTCCCACACAATAATAATGGGAGACTTTAACACCCCACTGTCAATGTTAGACAGATCAACGAGACAGAAAGTTAACAAGGATACCCAGGAATTGAACTCAGCTCTGCACCAAGTGGACCTAATAGACATCTACAGAACTCTCCACCCCAAATCAACAGAATATACATTTTTTTCAGCACCACACCTATTCCAAAATTGACCACATAGTTGGAAGTAAAGCTCTCCTCAGCAAATGTAAAAGAACAGAAATTATAACAAACTATCTCTCAGACCACAGTGCAATCAAACTAGAACTCAGGATTAAGAAACTCACTCAAAACTGCTCAACTACATGGAAACTGAACAACCTGCTCCTGAATGACTACTGGGTACATAACGAAATGAAGGCAGAAATAAAGATGTTCTTTGAAACCAACGAGAACAAAGACACAACATACCAGAATCTCTGGGACACATTCAAAGCAGTGTGTAGAGGGAAATTTATAGCACTAAATGCCCACAAGAGAAAGCAGAAAAGATCCAAAATTGACACCTTAACATCACAATTAAAAGAACTAGAAAAGCAAGAGCAATCACATTCAAAAGCTAGCAGAAGGCAAGAAATAACTAAAATCAGAGCAGAACTGAAGGAAATAGAGACACAAAAAACCCTTCAAAAAATTAATGAATCCAGGAGCTGGTTTTTGAAAGGATCAACAAAATTGATAGACTGCTAGCAAGACTAATAAAGAAAAAAAGAGAGAAGAATCAAATAGACACAATAAAAAATGATAAAGGGGATATCACCACCCATCCCACAGAAATACAAACTACCATCAGAGAATACTACAAACACCTGTATGCATATAAACTAGAAAATCTAGAAGAAATGGATAAATTCCTTGACACATACACTCTCCCAAGACTAAACCAGGAAGAAGTTGAATCTCTGAATAGACCAATAACAGGCTCTGAAATTGTGGCAATAATCAATAGCTTACCAACCAAAAAGAGTCCAGGACCAGATGGATTCACAGCCGAATTCTACCAGAGGTACAAGGAGGAACTGGTACCATTCCTTCTGAAACTATTCCAATCAATAGAAAAAGAGGGAATCCTCCCTAACTCATTTTATGAGGCCAGCATCATCCTGATACCAAAGCTGGGCAGAGACACAACCAAAAAAGAGAATTTTAGAACAATATCCTTGATGAACATTGATGCAAAAATCCTCAATAAAATACTGGCAAACCAAATCCAGCAGCAGATCAAAAAGCTTATCCACCATGATCAAGTGGGCTTCATCCCTGGGATGCAAGGCTGGTTCAATATACGCAAATCAATAAATGTAATCCAGCATATAAACAGAACCAAAGACAAAAACCACATGATTATCTCAATAGATGCAGAAAAGGCCTTTGACAAAATTCAACAACCTCCATGCTAAAAACTCTGAATGAATTAGGTATTGATGGGACATATCTCAAAATAATAAGAGCTATTTATGACAGATCTATAGCCAATATCATACTGAATGGGCAAAAACTGGAAGCATTCCCTTTGAAAACTGGCACAAGACAGGGATGCCCTCTCTCACCACTCCTATTCAACATAGTGTTGGAAGTTCTGGCCAGGGTAATTAGGCAGGAGAAGGAAATAAAGAGTATTCAATTAGGAAAAGAGGAAGTCAAATTGTCCCTGTTTGCAGATGACATGATTGTATATCTAGAAAACCCCATTGTCTCAGCCCAAAATCTCCTTAAGCTGATAAGCAACTTCAGCAAAGTCTCAGGATACAAAATCAATGTACAAAAATCACCAGCATTCTTATACACCAATAACAGACAAACAGAGAGCCAAATCATGAGTGAACTCCCATTCACAATTGTTTCAAAGAGAATAAAATACCTAGGAATCCAACTTACAAGGGACGTGAAGGACCTCTTCAAGGAGAACTGTTGTCTTCTTATAATTCTATTTAGAGGATCCGAGACAACTCTTTAGCTCTAATAGTTTCAGTAACTGTATATCCATCTCAAAAACTATATATCCATCTCTGAAATGCTTATTGCAAATTGACTACTCAGTGTCAAATGCTAATTCAAAACTATCCAAAGGGACATCCCCATAAAACCTAATTCTGAATTCTTTAAATATCTGCTTAATGTTGTTCCAAGCCAACACTCCTAGGCAGGAAATCTTAGATTCACTGTCAGTTTCCCTACTTATTACTTCCTTCCTGCACTTATGATTTGAAACCATGTAGTTATAAAGTCAATTTTTTTAAGTGTAAATTGTTGGTAAATTTAGTATATTCTAGTAACTTAAAACTTAGTCTAAGGCAGGAATTTTCCTTTACTCAGTTTTGTAATCTCAGCCACGATGACAATACCCACAACATAATAAATAAATGACTCTACCAATCAAATCTGATGCAGATCTCATTAGTAAACAAAATATTTTAGCATACTCTCGGGATTTCTAGTACTATTAGATACTACAACAATTTTGTGTTAAAATCAATATTTGGTTTCATGTTTATTTTTTATGAGAAATGCAAATTAAAATACTAAATGTGCATATTTTAATGAAATACAGACTCTTCTGAAATTAAAATATCTGTTTTTAATTTTTCTTCATGGAGTGTAAATTAAGTTCTCTATATAAAATGAAGATATTGGGTAAAATTGAAATTTAAAGTAAATTAACACAAAACAAATCACATTACTACATTAATGAAAGTGAATTATTTGTTCATTGTATACTACCAGAATGTTTGGAAAAGCCCCTGGTTATTCATATATCCAACTTTATTAATTAATATGGCATTCTACTAAGCCATTCAGGAATTGTAAAACTTACATATTTTCTTTAATTGTTCTAGACAAAAGTTTTTTTACAGATTATTATTCAGTAAATTATTATTCTGTCCTTTATCTTTTAAATTCCAATTTTCTTTTGTTACTTGAGAAAACAAAGTATTTTTATAAATCCCATACACTGAATCTGGAATTCTTGTCATTATTGACTTTTTATAATATTAACAGCATAATGAAAAAAATGAAGAATGGGAAGTCAGGAAATTGGGAATTTTACCTAACACGAAATAATTTTATGTCTTTAGAAAAGTCATTTTATATTCTAGACTTGAACATCTTCATTAATAGCTGCTATGGAAATATTCTGCTTAGAAGCCTTTTGACTTTTAACTGTTAGTCACAGTCCTGTCTTTTCCCCTTTTTCAATAACACCCAAAAGTAAAACTAAGAATAAAGAATGGGAGGCTGGGCGCGGTGGCTCATGCCTGTAATCCCAGCACTTTGGGAGGCCGAGGCAGGCGGATCACGAGGTCAGGAGATTGAGACCATCCTGGCTAACACGGTGAAACCCCGTCTCTACTAAAAATACAAAAAAATTAGCCGGGCGTGGTGGTGGGCGCCTGTAGTCCCAGCTACTCAGGAGGCTGAGGCAGGAGAATGGCTAGAACCCAGGAAGCGGAGCTTGCAGTGAACGGAGATCGCGCCACTGCACTCCAGCCTGGGCGACAGAGCGAGACTCCCTCTCAAAAAAAGAAAAGAAAAGAAAAGAAAAGAAAAGAAAAGAAAAGAAAAGAAAAGAAAAGAAAAGAAAAGAATGGGAACTCCACTTTCCTTGAAACTATGAGATAGCTAAAATTTCAATGTAAGTAATAGGAAAGTGGCTTCAGAAGCATTAAAAATCTATAGTAAAAGAAAACATAGTTCAAGAGACCCTGTAACTACAAATCTCACAAAATCAGTCCAGGTGCACTTCTCTAAGTAAGCAGCACAAAGATGTTTGTTTCAGCTAAACTTAAAAGTTTAAACTGCAACCATTTTATGATAACTCATGAATGTGGTCAACAATTTCAGCAGTGTTCTGCTGAGTCATTCCTCTGTTCCATTTGGCCTTGACAGAAATCATTCAGTTGTAACCAACTGGTGACTGAGCTGGTCTGGATCATCCAAAACAGCTTCACTCACATATCTGGTACAGAGGGGATGACCAAAGTGCTGAGCTCAGCTGGGACTGTCTAAGCTTGTGCCTCATGTGGCCTCTCCACTACAGTAGTATCAGGGTACTTGGGCTTCCCACATCTTAGTTCAGATTCTACGAGCAAGTGTCCCATAAAATAGGGCAGAAGCCACATGGCCTGTTATGTCATCCTCTGGGGAGTCCCATTGCATCACGTTCACTGTACTCTATTGGTCAAAGCAGTCACAGCCCCGCTCAGATTTAAGGGAAACCTCAAACTTCAAAGTCTGAATGAGAAGAGTGTCAAAGAATGTGCATGTCCGTGTTTTAAAATTACTATCGTGCAAGAACAATAAAACTGTATTGGCCACACGGAAACATGTGAGTAGGCTGCTGTGAAGAGCTTCCTCACGTCTAGTTTGGTTACAAAGAAAAGCCAAGTTGGAGTTGAATAGAAAATCACAGACAACCCGTATTCCAGAAAGATAGAGAAGGGAAATACAACAATGTGAGTAGCCCTAGAGGTGTTAATCTCAGCTGACTTGTGAGGAATAAACTGAAACGTAATACTCAACGCTAAAAGCTATTGTAAATAAAATTCCTGTTTGCTCATAAGTTGGCCCTAGTCCTTCTTGCTAGTTCAGAAAGGATTCATTTTTTTTAAGATGGTTAATCAAAAAGAACGAAAATAAGACATTTTCTTTTTCTAAAAAAAGGAATAAATAGAAAAAAAATCCAAACAGCAGGTCACAAATATTAACTTTTTAAAAGGTTCTAATATTGATAAAGAATGAATAAAGATGTGGCTAACAGCACAGGAACAGACATAAGGTCCGGGATTTGAGGAAAGTAGGCAAAAAGAAAATGATGCCAATTTTCAAATGGATTATAGTGAAAATGTTAAATATGGAGTTTAGGTCAAAGAAATGCAAAACATTTATAACTGGAGTCCTAGAATAAAGGAAGAAAAATAATGGAACAGAGAAAAAAACATGTAAGTATATAATTAAAGACAGTGTTCCAGAAGTAAAAAAAAAAAAAAAAAAAAAAAAAGTTGAATCTAAATATTGAAAGAATGCCCTTTATCCATAGGAAAATGATGTAGAATGATCACTACTGAGGCATATCTTAGTTTAGTTACTAGTTACTGAATGTCATAATAATGAAAGAATCTTTTTGCCAAAAAGCCAAAAGATGATGTTATACATGCACCTGTAAAAAAAATGCCTGGCTAATGTCTGATTTCCCAATAAAACAGTCAACTTTGATAAAAGTGGAGCAATTTTTTACAAAGCCATCAAAAGAAAATAAAACCCAAGAATTTTATGCTCTAATTGTTGTTTAAGAATAAAAGAAAAGAAAATACATTTTAAAAAGCAAGAACTCATAGGCTATGGATCCCATGAGCCTTCTTGAAGAAAGTACTAGAAAACACTTCAATCAACCAAAAAATGTTTGATAATCAATTGTAAAAGGAGTGATATCAAATACTGAAACTAATTCTGTGACTAAGACAAAACAAATATGTTGATTACGATACTAGAAGAGAATGTAAATAGTAGAAATCCTGACAAGGTAGAAATGAGACAGCTGAAGAAAGTCGGGAAGGGGAAGGACAGAAAGATAGGAGGTAATAAGTAATTTTTTAGATCAAGGTGAGGATCAATCGAGATTATTTTAAATGACCAAGAAACAATAGAAGTATATTTATAAAAGAAAAGATAAATATTAAATATACAAATTAATAAAAATTCACTGTCAAAGGGAAAGGAGGGAAAGAAGAAGGACATAAAAATATATCAACTTCATCATTCTTTGACAGGTAACAATAGGAAACCAATACATTTATGAATAAAAAGTAAAACTTAAAACAATAATCATTAGCCAGGTGCGGTGGCTGACGCCTGTAATCCCAGCACTTTGGGAGGCCGAGGTGAGTGGATCACTTGAGAACAGGACTTCGAGAACAGCCTGGCCAACATGGTGAAATTCTGTCTCTACTAAAAATACAAAAATTAGTTGGGCGTGATGGCGCATGTCTGTAGTCCCAGCTATTCAGGAGACTGAGACAGGAGAATTGCTTGAACACGGGAGGCAGAGGTTACAGTGAGCTGAGATCACACCACTGCACTCCAGCCTAGGCGACAGAGTGAGACTCTGTCTCACTAAATAAATAAATAAATAAATAAATAATCACTAGACAAAGACAAATTTCAAAATTACTTTTTAAAACCCCTACATACACACATGCTAGGAAAACAGAAAGTATGACATAGGCTGTGATAACAGAACTATATAAAACCAAGCTTCTTTTTTATATAAAAATTTAAATAGACTAAACACAGATGTCAAAAGAAAAAAAAATACTTAACTATATGTTTTACACAAGGAAGTCGTCAGAGCCATGTTACTTGGAAAGATGATATGTCAGTATGGAGCAGAAGAATGAAATTATTTGAAAAGATTGAAAATTTAAAAATTGAAAAGACATATTAGACAAACACAAATAGAAATCAGAGATTGCAATTTCAGTATTAGATGAGATTGGATTCAGAGTGAAAGGTATTAAATGAGATGGAGAAGATACAATTCCGGTTTCAAACCAAATGAATATCTAACAGTATGAATATATCTATATCAGGTAGGACTGCACTGCATTAGTACACATGAAGGAAAAAAGTGTATAGCAGGGGGACAGCACAAGGAGAAATAGAAATCTGTTAAGAGCAGGAAACTTTAATTCACTTCTCTTAGTCAATGATAGTTCAAGTGAACACAAAATTAGAAAATAGAATACACAAATAGAGTGATGATTTTTAAGGTAGGTCTACTTGATATACATCAAAGTCAGTAGAATGAAAACAAAGTTAACAACTTTTTTCTAAGAACACATGGAATATTCACAAACAATATTTATATTAGGTTTAAAAAGGCAATAAATTTACTGTGTGTGTGTTGTGTGTATTAGCTTTCCTAATCACAATGCAATAAAAATAGAACTTAAAACAAATTTTTAAAAACAGCAAAAATAACTACTATTGCAAAACTATACTATTACCCTCCTATCCACCCAGAAGTCTTCTCTTAAACAATTCTGCTGTCCAAGAGAAAATGGAAACCAAAATAACAGAATATATTTTACAGTTAAAACAAAGGTCCAAAGAAAATCCATAGCCTTAACTCTTTATATTAATAAAAATTTTTAAAGTTAAAGAAACATCTATATAAGGTGGTTAGAACATGAACAATCAGACAAACTTAAAAAAGAAGACTTTTTTTTAAAGTTTGTTTTTGAGATGGAGTTTCGCTCTTGTTACCCAGGCTGGAGTGCAATGGCACGATCTCGGCTCACTGCAACCTCTGCCTCCAGGGGTTCAGCAATTCTCCTGCCTCAGCCTCTGGAGTACCTGGGATTACAAGCACCCACCACCACGCCTGGCTAATTTTTGGTTTTGTTTTGTTTTTTTTCTATTTTGTTTTTGGTAGAGATGGGGTTTCACCATGTTGGTCAAGTTTGTCTTGAACTCCTGACCTCAGGTGATCCACCCACCTCAGCCTCCCAAAGTTCTGGATTACAGGCGTGAGCCACTGTGCCTGGCCAAAAGAAGACATTTTTAAAGCAGAAAGTAATTAATTTGAAACATTAAAATGTAGAATTAATTGTAAAAAGCAAACAATGTTGATTTAAAGTATAACAAAACTATAAAGGAGACTTAACCAAATGAAGATAAAAGGGAAAAATACCCAATTTGTTGTATAAAAATGATTTTAAAAAAGAAATATCCACAATGAAGGAATTAATCAAATCATAAGTGTCCACTTTGATTAATTCTATGTAAAAAAAAGATGAACATCTGATGAAATGTCTTCTAGCAAATATAAATTACTTGAAATAACCTCCTAAGAGTTAGGAAATATAAATATAATAATTAATTTGGAAGGAATACACACGGTTATCATAAGCGACACTTCCCCAAAAGACACTAAAATAGGGTTGTGTCCCTAAACTTTTAAGTTCAGATAATTTCATTGTTACTGAAAGTGGTCCAAGAACATGGCAAATAAAGGAACATTTTTGAATTCTTTTATTAAACTAGTATATTATTGATTGTAAAACTCATCAAAGGGACACCAAAAATGAAAACTAGCAGTTCTTAAATGTAGTCAGCAAACCTCTTGGTCTCCCTCTGACACGTTCAGGGAGTCTGTATGGGCAAATTATTCATAATAATATAATGAAATTATTTGCCCTTTTGACTGCGTTAACATCTGCACTGCTGGTTCAAAAGTAATAGCAGAAGCAGCACAGTGCCTTAGCTTGAATCAAGGCAGAGGCAGCTAACTGTACTCTCCATTGCTCTACACTGGTGTTTAAAAATAAGCCAGTTTTGCTTCAGAATGCCCTTGATGAAGCAATAATGATTGTTAATTTTATTAAATGTAGACTTCTGGGCATGGTCTTTTTAATATTCTGTGTGAGGCAATGGGAAGTATGAAGAACACATAAAGCACTCCTGCCACAATCAAAGCATAGGGCTGTTTAGAGGAAAAGCACTTGTGTGATCTTTGGAATTGAGAACTGAACTAGCTGCTTTTTCTCATGGAAATTGCTTAATACCTGTGAAGGCATGAAATGCTATTCAGCCTCACTTTGAGTTACTCCAATAGAATGTGAATGAAGGACAGAAAACTAAGAAAAGGAACTCTACAATTACACATACTTATTGAATTCATTAGCTAGATGCATGTTTTCATGTAGTTGCTTTGCAGGATATAAGAACATTTTAGTAACTTTCTAGATACATTATATGTCTTAAATTTTGTGGATGAAATGTATTTATATATTTAGGGACAGAAGAAAGTTATTTTAATAAATATTAACAATTTCAGAAACTTTATCCTGTGATGGATAAAATCATGTCCACTCTGCCAGAGAAGCTGGCCTCTGTATTTTCTCCACATTATATTAATGTTCAAATTGTGCTCAGATATTAGATATGTTTAGCTTTCAATATAAACATTGGCTGGTCATTTCATAATAAAATTAAGAATTAACATGTTCACATATCTGTCAATAGTTTTCCTTCACCATGTTGCCATCAATCCAAGCACATGAAGCTCTTCCTGAACTTCCTGGTTATAGAAGCGTATGCTGCTTTGAGAGTAGACAGAGAGCACGGACAAACCACCCCCACAGGGGGCTGCCCATGGGGAGACTGAAAATGGGTGTTGGTGCTCTGTTAAGGTTTTGCTTTGTGTCTTTGTAGTCTTGAACCTCCAGGTCATAAAGCGAATGATCCTCCCTGTTATATGGATTCTCAGTCTTTATGGTTCTAAGTTTTCAGATATATGAAAATAGCTCAATAAGTGATTTGACTCTCATTTACAATAATTCTAAGTCCATCACTTTATAAATGGAAACTTGAGATACTGGAGGCATCAGGGACTTCCCCAAGCTTACCCAGTAAGGCACAGCCCAAGCAGAAACCAGAATTTACATATTTAGAGCAAATAATTATAAAAACCACATACCACCCCTTTATCCACCATCTTGGGAAAGCAAGTATTCCTATCCTTACAATATTCAACTTTTGAGGAAAAAATTACATATGTATGCACTATATCTATACTATATATAGTATACAAATATATTTTTTTAACTGGGGAAGGCCCCAATTTAAAAGCTTGAAGTGCTTATCAATCTTATGAAAAGAACAACTCTGTTTACTCATATGCAAATACTATATGATAGCAAGTTCGGCCAGAGGCCTGTATGTGATGACTCATCATAACTTCAGAACAAACCCCCTCCCTAAGTCTCTAAGGAAACCTACTCCGTGGTTTTACATAAGCTGAAATCCATTTTCATGCTCCAGTTTCTCTCATGTCTTTGAAATAACAGAAGGAAAAGAACCCAGTATATATAAGTAGTTTGAGAGCTGAGAAAGATAGCATATGGCAGTGGAAATGTAAGTGTTGCTTTGATTTTGGAAAGAGAAGTGAGAAGGAGTATTCTTGAGTCAGAGCTCAATTCCACCTGAATGAGATGATTTATTTTTATGCCACAGAATGAACTTTGTGTGGGTACAGATTTATGGCAAATATACAAACACCTGCACAGATCTCATTAGAGGTTTAGAGAAACACCATTTTCCCATGACAGAAATGATTACAGATGCAATCATAATAGTATTTTTATTTAATGCAAGTGGGATTTTTTCACTCCTAAAAGCACAAAGCATTTATTAAAATGAATTAACTTATTTCCAATAAACTTTACAGCATAAAAAGATAGATAAATGACAAGTTAGCTCAAAATGACAGGTTTAAAATATAATGGAATAGAGCTCTAAGTTTATCATTTTGATTTAAAACAATCAAATAAAATAAAGAGAATCAGTGCCTTCTAGTACCTCTTTAGAAGTTTTCTATTCTGCCATCTAATTTTTGTAAAATGTTATAAAGTGAAATTTAAAAGCCACTCTCTGAGGCTGCTCCAGCACTCCCCAATAAGCTGTCCAGATTCTTGATTAAAAACATTCTTTCCATCCTGGCTTTCAAGAGAAAGAGATACCATCATCAACACCTGTGTGTTTTACAAAATCTCTTGTTCAGTCTTGACCCATTTTAGTGTTTTAAAATTGTGCATATGAACTTTTACTATCACATGAATAACCTACACCTGAATGGGCTGGAAAAATCACTAGTTTACTTTTATTGCTACCCTAAAGGAGATCTGTCTGCTTACTGCAACCCATAGAAGGAGCACTCAACTCCAGCAGATAAAATTATTATGCCAATATTGTGCACTAGGGTCCAGCAAATGTGTCTGTGCCTGAAAGCGTGACATTAATACTATTTTTACCCATGGTGTCATGGTATACGAAAGTATAAGAATCCATCGTAACTTGATCATGAGAATAATCTGCAGATCATCAGGCCTTACCTATCTGTGGATATGAATTAAGTCACCTTAACATTAATAGTCAGCATTCAGTAAAGGACCTGTTCTTGTTTCTGCCTACAAAGAATCTCAGCTATCTCCCCTACAAAGTTACCCCAATTCATCAAGTATTTCCAAGAAACACTAAGGAGGATTCTGATGTGCTTCCTTAAAGTTAGGCTTTGCTCCATAGCCACCACATGGCATCTACAATATCTGCTTTGCTTTCTCATTGATATCTACTGCCTATAAAGCCATGGGGAAAAATTCACCATTGCTACTACTGACTGTGGCCCTCAGAACAATGCAGAGCCCTTTCCAAAGATGCTTCCAATGGCACAGTCTTCAAGATCCACAGCAGTGTGCTTTCTATCTGTTTTGTTCTCCACCCTGCATTCAGCATTGACCACAACGCTTGACAGAGAGCAGACATTCAATACTCAATGAATAAAACCGATTTTCAAAATTAGATGCTTTTTCTAAATCACCAAAATTCTTAAATGAAGTTATTTTGTCCTTCTCCACAAGTTATGTGACACACTGGGAATTTATTTTCCATTAGAGTAAGAAAGACCATAGTTCACTAACGCTGGGTAAATGCAGTGATGCACTAAATCATTTTTAACAAAGCACCAACATGATCATTTGGTGGGGTATGCTCACTGCATTCCCTCATGCTCTATTGCACAAATATACGTATGTTCCTAAGCTTCCCTATGTGACCTTGGAATCTTTCACCTCCTTGGGTCATTTGCCCTTTTACCAACTTTCACATTTGATTAGCTAATTTGTAGCTTTCCTACAAGTTTATTTATCCTAGATTTTACATTCTCAAGGAAGTTTTTGTGACCTTTTATGCCCTTCCATTGTGCTCCCGTAACACTATTTGGCAATATCTTAACACTCGCCACATGGTGGCCCCACCAGTCTCCTGTCCTGTATCCTCCTCCAGACTCTAGACAGCAGAGTATGTTCTTTGAAGGCAGTGAATGCTTTCTAATTCACCATTGTATCCCCAGCATTTCAAATGAAGCTTGGCAGCTCCTTAGTGTTCCGTGAATATTGAGAATGACCTCTAATAAATCATATAGATATAGTAAATACTTCTTAGATATTTTAAACATCTATAAGACACTTAACAAAGTCGAAGATGATTAATTTAATTAGTCATAAGTAACCATATTGTTTGGGCCCTGTTCAATTAGAAAGCTGCTTGCTATTACCTCTGGCTGGTCAATATGAAGTGAATTACACTCTTGAACCAGTTTGTTAATACCTATTTAACTGCTATTTTAGCTCATTTTACATCCCAGCTATTTTTTCTTGTGTCCAATATAATTCATCTGAAGAGGCTTCATTCTACTCAATCACTATTGCTTTCATGTCATTCATTCTTTAAACATTTATTTATTGATTAGATATTATGTGACACCAGATACTCAAAGTACTAGTAATACAACACTCAACTCCAAGACAGTCAAAGTCTTTACTTTCTTGGTAGTTACATTCACGTTGATGAAGGTAGACAGTAAGCAAATAGCCAATATATCAAGAATACAATAAGAATATGAAAGTGCCAAGGTGAAAATATATTAAGGTGCTATGCCAGTGAAACACCAAGGGACTGCAGTTTAGTTAATCAAAAAGTTTTCACCGAAGTTTGAGTTGAGACCTGAATGGCAAGAAGGAGTCAAGAATGAGAAGGAAGCTCTGGGGAAACAGCTTTCCAGCTGAGGAAATAACTAATGCAAACACCCTAAGTTAGGATCCCGCTTGGCATGTTCATAGAAAAAGAATGTCTTTCTTTCCTCAATTCTCAAAATTTTAAGGTGTGGTATGCTTGTCTCTTTCATTTAAATATCTGTGGATGACGCTCGCCTGCCTGCCCGCTCCCTTGCTAGCTCGCGCTTTCGCTCACCCTCTCCTCAAGGATCCAGGGGGCTCTGACCAAAGCCTGCGGCAAGGAAGGGAGACAGAGGCGGCGGCTCAGGAGAAATGAGGCTGCAGTGGTGGTGGTAGGAAGATGTAGGGTGAGGACGAGCAGCAGAAGCAAACTATCGCTGAAGACCTGGTTGTGACCAAGTATAAGATGGGGGGCGACATTGCCCACCGGGTACTTAGGTCCTTGGTGGAAGCATCTAGCTCAGGTGTATTGGTACTGAGCCTGTGTGAGAAAAGTGATGCCGTGATTATGGAAGAAACAGGGAAAATCTTCAAGAAAGAAAAGGAAATGAAGAAAGGCATTGCTTTTCCCACCAGTATTTCAGTAAATAACTGTGTATGTCACTTCTCCCCTTTGGAGAGTGGCCAGGATTATATTCTCAAGGAAGGTGACTTGGTAAAAATTGACCTTGGGGTCTATGTGGATGGCTTCATCGCTAATGTAGCTCATACTTTTGTGGTTGATGTGGCTCAGGGGACCCAAGTAACAGGGAGGAAAGCAGATGTTATTAAGGCAGCTCACCTTTGTGCTGAAGCTGCCCTACGCCTGGTCAAACCTGGAAATCAGAACACACAAGTGACAGAAGCCTGGAACAAAGTTGCCCAGTAATTTAACTACAAGCCAATAGAAGGTATGCTGTCACACCAGTTGAAGCAGCATGTCATCGATGGAGAAAAAACCGTTATCCAGAATCCCACAGACCAGCAGAAGAAGGACCACGAAAAAGATGAATTTGAGGTATATGAAGTATACGCTGTGGATGTTCTCATCAGCTCAGGAGAGGGCAAGGCCAAGGATGCAGGACAGAGAACCCCTATTTACAAATGAGACACTCCTGAAGAGTATGGACTGAAAATGAAAACTTCACGTGCCTTCTTCAGTGGATGGAAAGGCGTTTTGATGTCATGCTGTTTACTTTAAGAGCATTTGAAGATGAGAAGAAGGCTCGGATAGGTGTGGTGGAGTGTGCCAAACATGAACTGCTGCAACCATTTAATGTTCTCCATGAGAAGGAGAGTGAATTTTTTGCCCAGTTTAAATTTACAGTTCTGCTCATGCCCAGTGGCCCCATGCGGATAACCAGTAGTCCCCTCAAGCCTGACCTCTACAAGTCTGAGATGGAGGTCCAGGATGCAGAGCTAAAGGCCCTGCTCGAGTTCTGCAAGTCGAAAAACCCAGAAAAAAAAAAGAAGGCCTCCAAGACTGCAGAAAATGCCACCAGTGGGGAAATATTAGAAGAAAATGAAGCTGGGGACTGAGGTGGGTCCCATCTCCCCAGCTTGCTGCTCCTGCCTCATCCCCTTCCCACTACACCCCAGACTCTGTGAAGTGCAGTTCTTCTTCTCCACCTAGGACATCCAGCAGAGTGGGGGTCTCCCTGCCTCCACCCCAGTTACCCAACCCACTCCTTTCCAACAACAACCGGCTCCAACTGACTCTGGTCTTGGGAGGCGAGGCTTCCTGGGCACGGAAGACTACTTTAGATGAAAAAAAGAAATTGAATAATAAAATCAGGGGTCAAAATTCATAGTCTTCAAGCCCCTCTTTCTAGCCTTTTCTACTACTCTCTGCTTGGTCAAGGTTTGTGACCCTACTACAGAACCAGGCTAAATTGGCCACCACCACTGAAAACTCAGCCAAATTTTTTTATACCATTCTGATGTTAGCATTTTTTCATCCGTTTGGGGCTTTTTCCTTTTTTCCATTCTCCCCAAGTATTTTATCTGGCTTCAAAATTAGGATTATTTTTCAGATTGTTTTTATTCAGTGTGGCCAATTCCTCATCTGATTCAGGCTGTCCAGCCAGGCCCCTCCCATTTTAGGAGCTGGAGCCTTCATTTATGAAGCGATTCTTATCTATGAAATGGATCTGAATTAGTCAATCTTTTTTCTTCCATTTTCACAAAGCTGTAAAGAAATAATCCATCTCAACCTCACCCTTTTCTCTGGAGTCAGTGGGGTCTTCCCTGCTCCATTCTACAGAAAACTGAGCTGGAAGCTCAACTGGTTTTGTTCACTGTTTGAAATATTGTGATCTCCTTCCCTTGAAAGAAAAACCAAGAACCAGAGGAGTAGACTGTCTGAAGATACAACTCCTAGCTTTCTGAAGCTATGGACTTGGATTAAATTTCTAGGGGTTTGTAGGGAAAGGTGACAAATTTCAGTACATCTGGCATGCTGTCCCAGGAAACTAGGGCTCCTACTAATTTATGAGGTTTTTAAGCACATTGAAAATGACATGACATTAAAATAAATTTGAATTTTCTCATAAAAATAAAAATAATAAATAAATAAATATCTGTGGATAATAATAGAAATAAAATAGAAATGGCCTTATTTATAAAATGAAATTTTACATGCTTTTATTTAATTTTTTTAAAAAAAGTTTCTGGCCGGGCACAGTGCCTCACACCTGTAATCCCAGCACTTTGGGAGGCCGAAGCGAGTGGATTGCGAGGTCAGGAGATCGAGAACAGCCTGGCTGGCGTGGTGAAACCCCGTCTCTGCTAAAAATACAAAAATTAGCTGGGAGTGTTGGTGTGTGCCTGTAATCCCAGCTACTTGGGAGGTTGAGGCAGGAGAATCGCTTGAAACAGGGAGTTGGAGTTTGCAGTGAGCCGAGATCGCGCCACTGCACTCCAGCCTGGCGACAGAGTGAGACCCCATCTCAAAAAAAAACACACACACACACACACACACACAAAAATGAGTTTCTTAGGAGAGATCGTCACAAAGGCTGAGGAACTAGACAAGTGGCCTCAAACCTTTTTTTTGCTGATACATAATGATCATATACCTTCCTGAGGTACATGCAATATTTTAACACATGCATACAATGTGTAGTGATCAAATTAGGGTAATTGGGATATACAATGCCTCATATGTTTGCCCTTGCTTTGTGTTGGGAAAATTCCAAATCTTTCTTTCAGCTATTTTGAAATGTACAATAAGTTATTGTAACAGTAGTTTCCCTCCTGGGCTATCGAACACTGGAACTCAACTCTTGATCTGTGTATTGCACTTGGGGATTTTATAATTAAAGCCCCATTGCTATGACACAGACAGCACCCAAGGGCTTGCTGATCACCTTTAAAACTCCAGTCCAAATTTAGGCAAAATTCCTTCCTGTGCTTTCCTTTCGTATAGTTGAGATAGGCCAGCATAACTAGAAGTGCTCCCAGAAGGTTGGTATTGCCACTAGACACCAAGCTGGCCTCTGAAACAGGCTGCCTTGGTCCAGATTGTTTTCTTCTTTGTTCCAAATCTGAGCTAAAGCTATCTCTTTCCTTGTCACCAACAAATTCAAAACATCCTTCCTTCAAAAAGTACCCACGTTTCCTGATTTGAAATTACCAGCAACATTAATGTAATTTAAGAGACAGACTTGATTCAGAGCTAATGGGCAGGACTGTGCTAAATGACACAGTAACTTGGTTCCACCCACTCTATCATGGCCATCGGATGTGACCTTCCCCACTCAAAAGCTTATTATAAAAGAGTTACTTTCTCAGCTTTCTCTGTTGATGGAGTATAAGTAGCCAAACACATTCAAGTTATCAAAATGCATATGAGTTCATCTTTTAGCCAATTAATTTACTTGTAAAGCTTTGGCCTATTAAATAATTTGTCCGAAATGATAAAAAGGAATATAAGGGTGAGGATGAACTGTATTTCCAAAAGGATATTCAAAACCATTACCTTCACTAGGGATAATTTTCCCAAACTAATTGAAATTTGAATAGAATTCGAGCTGAGCAAACAGGAACAAAGAAAAGTGGCAAATAATACGATTAAAAAATGGACAAAGTGCCTGTATAGATATTTATCAAAAGAAGAAATGGGAATGGCCAAGAAGTATATGAAACAGTGTTCAACATCACCAATTATTGGGGAAATTAAAATTAAAACCACAATGAAATATCAACTCACATCTATTATCTAAAATATGAAAGATAAGTGTTTTGGTGAGGGTGTGGAGAAAAGGGAAGCCTGGTGCACTGTTGGTGGTAATGTAAATTAGTACAGCCATTATGGAAAACAATATTGGGGTTCCTCAAAAATCTTAGAATAACCATAAGATCCAGCAGTCTCACTACTGGGTATATATCCAAAGGAAATTAAATCAGTATCTCAAAGAAATATATGCATTTCCGTGTTTATTGCAGCATTTTTCACAAAGGCCAAGATATGGAATCAACCTGAGTGTCCACAGACAGATGAATGGATAAAAGGAGGAAATCCTGCCATTTGCAACAACATTGATAAAACTGGAGGACATTATGCTGAATGAAATAAGCCAGGCCCAGAAAGGCAAATCTTGCATGATCTCATTTGCATGTGGAATTTTGAAACGTCAGAGTCATCAAAACAGAGTAGAATGGTGATTGCTAGAGGCTAGGGATTGGGAGAAATGGGGAGATGTTGGTCAAAGTGTAAAAAGTGTCAGTTATGCAGAATAAGTATGTTCAGGAGATCTGATGTACAGCATGGTAACTATAGTTAATAATACTGTATTTTATTTACTTGAGATTTGCTGAGAGAGTAGATCTTGTGTTCTCACAACAACAAAAAAAGTGGTAACTATGTGAAGTGAAGAATATGTTAATTAGCTTGATTGTCATAATCACTTTACAGTGTATGTGTTTATCAAAATATCATATTTAATACAGTACATACATTCATTTCTGTCAATTATGCCTTAATAAATCTGGAAAATTTTAAAAAACAGAGGCAGAAAGGTAGAGGCCTCTAATTTTAAAAACATAATATTAATTGAAGATGAAAACAGGTGTAAAGGAGGCAATGAATTCAAAAGCAGAGAGAACTCGGGAGTGAAAGCAGGGTAATACAAAAGTCAACTTCCTTCTCTTCTTCCTCTTCCTGTCTTGCTCTCCTTTCCCTTCTCTTTGCTTCACTCCCTCTTCTTTCCTTATCTTCCCTTTCCTTTTCTTCCATCCTAAATAACTTAATCCAAAAGCTATTAGGGGAGGTAAAGCAAGGTAGACATTGGTAAGCAGGGGAGGAGGCACCCAGATCAGTGTTAGAGCTTGAGGAGGTATGGAGGCTCACACAGAGGGGCAGCCTAGCTCAGAATGTGACAGCCCAAGGGTGTGAGGAGAATATTAGAGTAGAAGAGTGGTTCAATAGGGGGTAGTAGGGCCTGAGCAGAGGAAGCATAGCATTTGTGTGAGGTGAGGTGGATATGGCTTAAGATTAGTTACATTTGGGGAGATTGATGAAATAAGTAAATATTTTAAGGACTACGAAAGCCAAGATTTTTGCTGTTGCAGATAGAAGCTGCAATTATGGAAAAGGAAAAACCTAGAAGAACTCTTGTGGCTTTGGTTTGGAATTAGAGACATTGGTGTGAACATACAATTTTCAATATATATGGATAGATGTAAAAATAATGATGTAATTGTGTGTGGAAATGCCACCTGATCAAGTTTATCAAACTTAATATCCCTAGAGTCACTATAACATAGTACAAATAAAAATAAGATGCAATAAAAACACTTCTGTGGTATTTCTGCCAAAAATTCATAACCCAAATGTAATCATGAAGAAACCTCAGATAAAAACACATTGAGGGATGTTCTAAAAGATAACTGACCTGTAATCTTCAAAAGCACCAAGGTCATAAAAGCCAAGGACAGACCAATGCCAACCTGCTCCCCAATGAGAGAGACTAAGGAAACATGACAGCTAGATGAGCATGTGATACTGGACCAGATCATCTGGTAATAAAGGATATGACTGGAACACTTGGTAAAACGTAGAGTCTGATGATTAGAAGGCAGTAATGTCTCAGTATCAGTGTCAATTTCATGATGAATATTAGTGTTTATGTAGAACCATGTCTTCATTTGTAGGAAATACATACTAAAATAGTCAGAGGGGATTAGATACCATATTAGCAACTTTCAAACAGTTCAGGGGGACAATGATTACTATTTGTACTGTGTCTATGAGTATTATGTGGGCTTGAGATTCTTTCAAAATAAAAATTGAGCAAATAAAAGGGGACAGGTGCAACTAGATCCTACTGTTTTTCACTGACCTATTTTTTCCCTTCAAAGGAGAGGCATGCCTAGAATTGGAGCAATTGTCTCATGACTTGATACAAGATATCAATCCACCAAGCATAGTGGTGCATAAAAATATAGGTGCTATCGGATTCTAGCTGCCATGCCAAGCCTGTCCTTCATACCTTTATGAGTTCTTCACTAGTGAAAATTATGACTATAATGCTTTATTTAAAAAAAATAGAAATGAAAGCAGGGAAAAATAAAGATGAAAACAATTAGTTGTTTAGCCAGGCATATATATTGTCTTTTCCAATCTTCTCAACAACTTTTTTGGGTAAAAGCTATACACAATAAGTTGGGAATCCAGTTTGATTCTGTCTTTTGGCTCTCAGGGCTGCTTGATAGGCATGAAGTCCATAGTCATAAATGTGAACTTGCCATGAAGATAATGGGACTCTTCTCTGAGAAAAGATAAATACTGCCCAAAGTATGGCCAAATACACTTGCCATGCAGGAGAATGATTATACCTTGATATTTGAAATGATGTGTTGTTCTTGTTGATGAAATGGGGGTGAGGGGAGAAAGGACAAAAGAAGAAAATGCAACAAGTTAACAAATGCACTTGAAACTCACAGGCACTGCATACTGGAAAAAGATGTGCAAAATGAAACTTTTTGCCAAAAATGTAGACTGTAGACTAAAGGCAGGACAAAAATAAGGAACTGCTACTTTTTATTTATTCAAAAATACTTAAATCACTGTTTTTATTGACCTCTAATTGGAAAACACCATGCTCTGGAGCAGAGGGAAAAATTTTAAAAAAGAAAAATTAAAAAGAAACCACAGGTTCTTTCATTTTCCTCATCAGTAAAATTGATCAGTCAATCAAAGAGTGCATGTAATTACAAAACCTTAGAACCAAAAAATTTCAATTTCAACACAGAAATCACAGAGTTTTCATCTTTAATGGAGTAAAGAAGGTGCTATGGTTTGAATGTTCATTCCCTCCAAAACTCATGCTGAAATATGGTTGTCATCATACCGGTGCTGGGAGGTGGGACCTTTGGGAGCTGATTGGGCCTTGAGGGCTCTGCCTCATGGATGGGATTAATGCCATTACAAAAGGACAAGTTTGGCCCCCTTTTGCCCCTTAGCCCTTCCACCTTCTGCCATGTGAGGATTAGCTTTCCCCTTGTTTGAAGGACACAGCAATGGAGCCAGAGACTGAACCGCTGGTGCCTTGACTTTAGACTTTCTATATTAGTCCGTTTTCATGCCGCTGATAAAGACATACCTGAGACTGGGAAGAAAAAGAGGTTTAATTGGACTTACAATTTCATATGGGTGGGGAGGCCTCAGAATCATAGCAGGAGGTGAAAGGCACTTCTTTTTTTTTTTTTTTTTTTATTTGAGACAGAGTCTCACTCTGTCACCCAGGCTGGAGTGCAGTGGTGCAATCTCGGCTCACTGCAACCTCCTCCTCCCAGGTTCAAGCAATTTTCCTGCCTCAGCCTCCCAAGTAGCTGGGATTACAGGCATGCACCACCACACCCAGCTAATTTTTGTATTTTTAGTAAAGATAGGGTTTCACCATGTTGGCCAGGCTGGTCTTGAACTCCTGACCTCAGATGATTGGCCCACCTTGGCCTCCCAAAGTGCTGGGAATACAGGCATGAGCCACCGTACCCCTCCAAAAGGCACTTCTTACATGGTGGTGGCAAGAGAAAATGAGAGAGAAGCAAAAGTGGAAACCCCTGATAAAGACTTGTTCACTATTTCGAGAATAGCATGAGAAAGCCCCATCCCCATGATTCAGTTACCTCTCACCAGGTCCCTCCCACAGCACGTGGGAATTCAAGATGAGACTTGGGTGGGGACATAGACAAACCATATAATTTCACCCCTGGCCCCTCCCAAATCTCATGTCCCCACATCTCAAAACCAATCATACCTTCCCAACAGTCCCCCAAAGTCTCAACTTATTTCAGTATTAACTCAAAATTCCACAGTTCAACGTCTCATCTGAGACAAGACAAGTCCCTTCCAGCTATGAGCCTGTTAAATCAAAAGCAAGTTGGTTACTTCCTGATACAATGAGGATACAGGCATTGGGTAAATACAGCCATTTCAAATGAGAGAAATTGGCCAAAACAAAGGGGCTAGAAGCCCCATGCAAGTCTGGAATTCAGTGTGGCAGTCAAATCTTAAAGTTCCAAAATTATATTCTTTGACTCCAAGTCTCACATCCAGGTCACACTGATGCAAGAGGTGGGCTCCCACAGCCTTGGGCAGCTCCGCCCCTGTGGCTTTGCAGTGTACAGCCCCCATCCTGGTTGCTCTCACAGTCTGGCATTGAGTGTCTGTGGCTTTTCCAGGTGCATGATGCAAGCTGTCCATGGATCTAACATTCCAGGGTCTGGAGGATGGTGGCCCTCTTCTCACATCTCCACTAGGCGGTGCCCCATTAGGGACTCTGTGTAGGGGCTCCAACCACACATTTTCTTTCTGCACTGCCCTAGCAAATGTTCTCCATGAGGGCCTTGCCCCTTCAGCAAACTTCTGCCTGGGCATACAGGCATTTCCATGCATCTTCTGAAATCTAGGCAGAGGTACCCAAACCTCAATTCTTGACTTCTGTGCACCAGCAGGCTCAACACCACATGGAAGCTGTGAAGGCTTTGGGCTTCCACCCTCTGAAGCAACAGCCCAAGCTGTATCTTGAACCCTTTCAGTCACAGCTGGAGCAGCTGGGATGTAGGGCGCCAAGTCCCTAGGCTGCACACAGCAGAAGGACCCTGGGCCCAAACCACAAAACCATTTTTTCCTCCTGGGCCTCCAGGCCTGTGGTAGGAGGGGCTGCCACAAAGGTCTCTGACACACCCTGGAGACATTATCCCCCTTGTCATGGTGATTAACATTCAGCTCCTTGTTACTTATGCAAATTTATGCAGCCAGCTTGAATTTCTCCTCAGAAAATGGGATTTTCTTTTCTATCACATTGTCAGCCTGCAAGTTTTCCAAACTTTTATGCTCTGTTTCCCTTTTAAAACTGAATGCCTTTAACAGCACCCAAGTCACATCTTGAATGCTTTGCTGCTTAAAAATTTCTTCTGCCAGATACCCTAAATCACTCTCTCCCATGTTCGAAATTCCACAAATCTCTAGGGCAGAGGCAAAATTCTGCCAGTCTCTTTGCTAAAATACAACAAGGGTCACCTTTGCTCCAGTTCCCAACAAGTTCTTCATTTCCATCTAAGGCCACCTCAGCCTGCACTTTATTGTCCTTATTGCTATCAGCATTTTGGGCAAAGCCACTCAACATATCTCCAGGAAGGTCCAAACTTTCCCACATTTTCCTCTTCTTCTGAGATCTCCAAACTGTTCCAACCTCTGCATGTTACCCATTTCCAAAGTTGCTTCCACATTTTTGGGTATCTTTTCAGCAGCACTCCATTGCTGGTTCCAATATACTGTATTAGTCAGTTTACACACTGCTGATAAAGATGTACCCAAGACTGGGCAATTTACAAAAGAAAGGGGTTAAATGGACTTACAGTTCCACATAGCTGGGGAAGCCTAACAATCATGAAAGGAGGCAAGGAGGAACAAGTCATGTCTTACATGGTTGGCAGCAGGCAAAGAGAGAGAGAGCTTTTTCAGGGAAACTCTGCATTATAAAGCCAGCAGATCTCATGAGACTTATTCACTATTGTGAGAACAGCACGAGAAAGACCTGCCCCATGATTCAGTGACCTCCCACCAGGTACCTCCCACAACATGTGGGATCTCAAGATGAAATTTGGGTGGGGATACAGACAAACCATATCACTTTTCAACCTCCAGGACTGTGAGGTGGTAAGTTGTGCTTTTTATACATTATTCAGCCAGTAGTATTCTGCTACAAGAGCACAAAACAGATTAAGACAGAAGAAAAAGAGTATGATTGAGTATAAAGGTACCTAGATGTGTATGTTTCAAGTTTACATCCCTGCCACACTACACAGAAGTAGTTGGGTATAAATAGTTTATGAATCGATGAGTGAAATGAACCTAGATTTCAGCATGTTTTCAGCTGAGTGCAATTCAAACTACTTTATTTTACTGGTGACAAGTGTCTACACATGAAAATATTCTTTATCTATGTCTATTTATGAATACTCACATATGCCAGTTTGTTTTTTGACAGAGAGCTTGGTTTAAGTGTGGCACAACAGATAGAACATGTTCTATAAAATGGGCATGATGCTTTTTTACCTTAATGGTTTTGTGAAACACTGTTTGAATGCCCATTAAAATGGCAAAAATTTAATTTCTCTTTAAATGATTTGATAAGTATCATTACGCTGATTCATAGCAACAAATACTGAGATTTTCATAATTACACAGCACTGTATTCTTGGTAAGTTAAAAAGAGCAAAGGGATAAAGGGTAAGTGGTCTGGGGAAAATTCAGCTATAGAAAAGTTTTTTCAATGTTTTAGACTATTTTAAATTTCAATTGTCCTGCAGTCATTTTGCATCTGTATTTCTAATAAGAGACTAAATTTCAGTTTTAGAAATTTACCCCTAAAATAACACCTTGTTTTGAAAAGTAAGAATTTAAAATTAGTTAGCAAGTCGATTTATAATTTAGAATTTTCACTAAAGGAAACAACATTGGTAGTGTGTATGTTTTTATCACAGTTGCCATAGTAATAAAATAAACAGCCCTAGGATCTCACAGCTTCACTGTCATTCAGAATACATTTTTCTTACCATCATTTTTCAGCAATATATTTTAATGAAAGTGATATTATATTTCACTGCAAGTTAATAAAGATCCAACAGCCATTAATTTGCCAAGCATTTGTTTTTAATGGTTATGAAGTTCGTGTCAGAATGTAAAATGCCAGAATATTATCCTCATCAAGCCCTTTAAGGCTAAGCACTCACAGATTACAGAGCAGTACATAATACATTTCTTAACTGGAAAGTTCATAACTATTAACCTTTTGACAAGGATCACCAGAGCTGCCATGCTGTAAATTACCTCCTGGCCTCCTTAGATCAAGAAGGTTGTAAAGAAGTGCTGCTGGCCATGGCAACCTGGCAGGAGCAGCCCAGCACAGCCCAGCTCAGCAGCAAGAGGTGGACCAGCTCTGCAATGTACAGCTTCTTCCTGGCTGACTCTGGCCTAATTTTAAAATGAAGTGCTTGAACTCTTTAATCAGCATCACATCACTCTGCAGAACATCTCTAAAAATTGTTTCCATGGTAGCAACTGAAGACGTATTCAGAAGTCCTCATATTGCCTACATAACCTACTTAATTACACAGGAACTACTAGACTACTAAACTGTGTGTATGCATATAAATATATAAATTTATGTATTTATAAATTTATAAATTTTATATTATATATTATATATAAATGTTAAATATAAAAATTTATATTTTATAAATAATTATTCCAAAAAGGATTAATGCTAATATATATGTACTAGAGTTAATCCTTTGTGAAGTTAATTGCCAAGCCTCATTACTTTAACAGAATTTTAAAAATACATATGCCCATAAAATCTTCAAAATTAATGGAAAAAGACAATAAAGAATGAAAATTCTAATATTTATTTTGTGATCCCATTTGATTTGATTTACAAAGTTTGCATAAGCTAAAACCTGTATTTTCACACCTCATGAAAATTCCTTCTTTATGTATTTCTAGAAATATTATTTACCTGAAATACAAAAACCAATTATTCTGCCTTTCAAGTCATCTGGATGTTTTTCTTTTTCTTTTCTTTTTTTCTCTTTTTAATTTTTTGAGCACACAGTAAGTGTATATATTTATTAGTTACATGAGATATTTTGATACAGGCAAGCAAAGCATAATAATCACATCAGGGCAAATGGGGTATCCAATCACCTCAAGCATTTATCCTTTGTGTTATAAAAAATCCAGTTATACTCTTTTAGTTATTTTTAAATGTACAATTAAATGATCTCTGACTATAGTCACCCTGTTGTGCTAACAAATACGAGGTCTTATTCATTCTTTCTCACTACTTTTTATACTCATTAACTATCCCCACTCCCCCCAACACTACCCTTCACAGCCTCTGGTAACCATCCTTCTACTCTCTATCTCCACGAGTTGAATTGTTTTAATTTTTAGTTCCCACAAATAAATGAAATATGCAATGTTTGTCTTTCTGTAACTGGCTTATTTTACTTAACACAATGACTTCCAGTTCCATCCATGTTGTTGCAAATGACAGGAGCTCATTCTTTTACATGTCTGAATTGTACTCCATTGTGTATATGTACATTGTCTTTATCCATTCATCTGTTGATAGACACTTAGATTGCTTCCAAATCTTGGCCATTGTGAATAGTGCTACAGTAAGCAGGGGAGTGCAGAGATCTCTTCCATATACGATTTCCTTTCTTTTGGGTATATTTCTAGGAGTAGGAATGCTGGATTGTATGGCAGCTCTATTTTTAGTTTTTTGAAAAATCTCCGAACTTTTCTTCATAGTGATGGTACTAATTTACATTCCCAGCAAAAGTGTACAAAAAGTTCTCTTTTATCTAGAGATAAATCTATACACATCCTTGCTAACATTAGTTATTGCCTGACTTTTGGATAAAGATCATTTTATCTGAAGTGAGATGATATCTCATTGTAGTTTTGTTTTGCATTTCTCTGATAATCAATGATGTTGAGTACCTTTACATACCCTGTTTGCAATTTGTATATCCTCTTTTGAAAAATATCTATTTAGGTATTTTGCACATTTTTTAATGAAATCATCAGATTTGTTTTTCCTATAGAGTTGTTTGAGCTCTTATATATTCTGTTTATTAATCCCTTGTCAAATGGATAGTTCGTAAATATTTTCTCCCATTTCTGTGGGTTACCTCTTCATTTTGTTGATTGTTTCCTTTGCTGTGTAGAAGCTTTTTAAGTTGATATGATCTCATTTGTCCATTTTGGCTTTGATTGCCTGTGCTTGTGTGACATTATTCAGGAAATCTGCTCAGCCCAATGTTCTGGAGAGTTCTCCAATGTTTTCTTTTAGTAGTTTCATAGTTTGAGGTCTTAGATTTAAGTCTTTAGTACATTTTGGTTTGATTTTTGTATATAGTGAGAGACAGGGGTCTACTTTTATTCTTTTGCTTATGGAAATCCAGTTTTCCCAGCACTGTTTATTGGATAGAATGTTCTTCCTTCAATATAGATTCTTGGCGCCTTTGTCAAGACTGATTTCACTTTAAATGTATGGATTTATCTCTGGATTCTCTATTCTGTTTCACTGATCTATGTACCATGACATTTTGGTTACTATAGCCCTGTAGTGTAATTTGAAGTCAGGTAATATGATCCTCTAGTTTTGTTCTTTTTGCTTAGGATAGCTTTGGCTATTCTGGGTCTTTTGTGCTTTCATATAAATTTTAGAATTGTTTTTTCTAATTCTATGAAGAATTTCATTGGTATTTTGATAGGGATTGCATTAAATCTGTAGATTGCTTTGGATAGCATGGACATTATAACAATATTGATTCTTTCAATCCATGAACATGGAATACCTTTCCATTTTTGTGTGTCTTCTTCAATTTTTTACATCAGAGTTTCATAGTTTTCATTGTAAAGATTTTTCAATTCTTTAAGTTTGTTCCTAGGTATTTTATTTTATTTGCAACTATTATAAATGTATTATTTTCTTGATTTCTTTTTCAGATTGTTTGCTGTTGGGATATAGAAATGCTACTGATTTTTGTATGTTGGTTTTTATCTGGCAACTTTATTGAATTTATCAGTTCTAACAGTTTTTTGGTGGAGTCTTTAGTTTTTTCCAAATATAAGATGATATCATCTGTAAACCAGGATAGTTTGACTTCTTCCTTTCCAGTGTGAGTGCCCTTTATTTATTCCTCTCATCTGATTGCCCTAATATGACTTTTAGTACTATGTTGAGTAACAGTAGTGAATGTGGGCATTCTTGTCATATCCCAGATGTTAGAGGAAAGGCTTTTCATTTTCCCCATTCATTATGATACTAGCCGTGGATCTGTTGCATATGGCTTCTATTATGCTAAAGTATGTTCCTTCTACCCTCAGTTTTTTGAGGATTTTCATCATGAAGAATGTTCAATTTTATCAAATGCTTTTTCAGCATCAATAAAAGTGATCATACTTTTTTGTTCTTCATTGTGTTTAGATGATATATCACATGGATTGATTTGCATGTGCCGAACCACCCTTGCATACCCAGGATAAATCCAGCTTGGCAATTATGAATGATCTTTTTAATGTGTTGTTGAATTCAGCTTGCTAATATTTTGTTGAGAATGTTTGCATCAATATTCATCAGAGATATTGGCCTACAGCTTTCCTTTTTTTAATATGCCTTTTTCTGGTTTTGATATCAGGGTAATACTGGTTTTGTAGAATGAGTTTAAAAGTATTCTCTCCTCCTCTGTTTTTCAGAATAGCTTGAGTAAGATTGGTATTAGATCCTCTTGAAATGTTTGGTAGAATTCAGCAATGAAGTCATCAGGTCCTGGGATTTTCTTTACTGGAATACATTTTATTTTGTCTTTGATCTCACTGCTTGTTATTGGTCTGTTCGGGTTTTGGATTTCTTTATGTTTCAATATTGGTAGGTTGCATGCATCTAGGAATTTATCCACTTAAATATTTTCCAATTTATTGGCATATAGTTGCTCATAGTAGGTACTAATGATTCTTTGAATTTCTGCAGTTATCAGTTGTGGTGTCTCCTTTTTCATCTCGAATTTTATTTATTTGGGTCTTTGTTATTTTTTTCTTAATTAGCCTGGATAAGGGTTGGTCAATTTTATTTATCATTTCCAAAAGCCAACTTTTTGTTTTGTTGATACTTTGTATTATATTCTTCATTTCAAATTTATTTATTTCTGCTCTGATCATTATTATTTCTTCTACTAACTTTGGGTTTGGTTTTTTCTTCCTTTTCTAGTTGTTTTTAAGATGCATCATTAGGTTAGTTATTTGAAGTTTGTGTTTTGTTTTGTTTTGTTTTTAGACGAACTCTCGCTCTTGTTGCCCAGGCTGGAGTGCAACGGCGTGATCTTGGCTCACTGCAAACTTCCCCCTCCAGATTCAAGTGATTCTCCTGCTTCAGCCTTTCGAGTAGCTGGGATTACAGGTGCCTGCCGCCAAGCCCTGCTAATTTTTGTATTTTTAGTAGAGACAGGGTTTCACCATGTTGGCCAGGCTGGTCTTGAACTCCTGACCTCAGGTGATCCACCTGCCTCAGCCTCCCAAAGAGCTGGGATTACAGGCATGAGCCACCATGTCTGACCTTATCTTCTTCTTTGATGCAGGCACTTATAGCTATAAACTTGCCTCTTAGTACTGCTTTCACTTTAACCCACAGGTTGCAGTATGTTATGTTTCCATTATCATTTGTTTCAGTAAATTTTTACTTTAGCATTTCTTGTAGGATCAATCTGGTGTTGATCCTACAAGATCAACTTTTGTTTGTCTGGGAAAGTCTATATTTCTCCTTCATGTTCAAAGGATATTTTTGCCAGGTATATTATTCTGTGGTAAAAGTTTTCCCCCTGCCCCTTCAGCATTTTAAATATTTCATGTCACTCTCCTGGGCTGTAAGATTTCCATTGAAAAATCTGGTGCCAGATGCATGGGACCTTCACTGTATGTTATTTGTTTCTTTTCTCTTGCAGCTTTTAGGTTCCTTTCTTTATCCTTGACCTTTAGGAGTTTGATTTTTAAATGCCTTGTGGCAGTCAGCAGCTGGCAAGGCCAACCAGGCTTGTGTCCTTCCCTTCAAGGTGGTGAGTTCCTCCAGGCACTGAGTGGGCCCAAAGGTGCTGTCCAGGAGCAAATCACTGGACTCAGAAACCTTAGAAGTCTACCTGATACTCTACCGTACTTCTGTTCAGCTGGCACTCAAACTAGGAGATGCAGTCCTTCCTACTCTTCCCTCCTCTTTCCACAGGCAGAGGAGCTTCACTCTATGGCCATCACCACCACCACAGGCCCATGGGGAGTACTGCCAGGCGACTGCAGATGTTCCCTTAAAGACCCAAGGACTCTTCACTCAGCTTGCTGCCTGGCCTGAGACTCACCCTTCAGGGAAATGAGCTCCCCTATGGTCCAAGGTAGGTCCAGAAATGTTATCCAAGAGCTAAGGCCTGGAATTGGGGACCCTAAGAGCCTGCTTGGTGCTCTTCCCCACTCGGTGGCCAAGCTAGTACCTAAGCTGCAAGACAAAGTCCCCTTACTTTTCCCTTTGCTTTTCTCAAGCTGAAGGAGCCTTCCATTGTAGCCACCACAGCTGGGAATGTGCTAGGTCTCATCTAAAGCCAACAAGTCTCAGAGTCTCATGCCAGGCCCACAGCATACTACCTGGGTATTGCTGCTGGTTACTCAGGGCCCAAGGGCTCTTTAGTCAGCAGGTGATAAACCCTGTTAGGACTGAGTCCTTCACTTCAAGCCAGCAGGTTTCCTTCTGGCCCAGCGTGTGTCTAGAATTGTTGTCCAGGAGCTAGGGCCTGAAAAGGGTGCATCATGACTCTAACTGGTCCCTATTCTACTGTGGCTTACCTGGTAGCCAAGGTGCAAGGCAAAATCCTCTTTACTCTTCTATCTCCTCTCCTCAAATGAAGGAAGGGGGTCTCTTTTGGAGCCACAAGCTGTGCATCCTGGGTAGGAGAGGGGTGGCTCAATTAATCCCTTAGCTGACCTAGCTGGTGTCTCAATAGATTGTGTGCCCCCCAAGTTCACTGGCTGAGATCAGTTCAACTCTAGGACTCACCTAGGAGTTGCAGTCCTTGTGGCCTAGGCTGCCTTTCAAGTTTATATAGGGCCCCAGAACATTTCAGCCCACCGTGGTGTGGTGGCTTGCCAGAACTCAAGTTCCAACCACTGAGATGAGCAATTCCCCTCCAGCTAGGGCTGGTTTAAATACTCCCTCCTTGGGCAGGCATCAGATGAGTTCAGCCCGGTTTTTCTTTCTGCTGTGGCAGGGCAGCACTGAGGTCAATTCAATGTCTCACAATTGTTGTGCTCTCCCTTCCCTGAGAGCACAGCGTCTCTCTCTCTCTCTCTGTGCCATATGTCTGCTGTCAGGGGGGAATGGGAAAGGGGTCAGTGATTCAAGACTACCTTTCCTACTTTTTTCAGTGCTCTTCCAGTGATATGAAGTTAAAACCAGGGATTGAGTGCTCACCTAATTTTTAGTTCTTCTGAAGATGTTTCTTTTTGTGTGTAATATTTGTTAACTTGGTATCCTTGCAGGAGGTGATGATCCGTGGAGCCTTCTATTAGGCTGTCTTGTTCCCCAAGTCATCTGAATTGAAGCGTAAATAAATAAGATGGGCATCTGGGGAGAGTGATAGGTCATCTGTATTTCTTTCCCCTTGTATCTAAAGCACGTATTCATTCTTTCAGTACATATCAATTTAGTCTCAGATTTTGCACAAGGTTTTGGATATAAAGCAATGAAAGATAGACAAATAGTTTGTGTGAAAATTGGCGAACACACCATGTGCAGTGGCAGCATTTAATAAAGACAGCAGGGGGAAGCCAAGAGGCTTCCTGGAGATGAAATCTTAGCTGAATTTTGATGGCTGAAGAAGAATCTACCAAGTGACGTAGAATGAGGAAGGGATTAAAAGCATTCTTGGAAAATAAACAGCATATGCCAAGCAAAGAAGACACTTGAAGGAAGTTGAAATAGTATTCTGTAGCTAGAATGTGAGATGCACCAGGAATGGCCATGTCAGGCTGGAGAGAATGGAAGTTAGCCACAAGGAGAGAAATGGAAGGATTTTGAAGAGTATATGAGTTTTCTAAAGGTCATTCCAGTAGCTTTCAAATGATGTACCTAAGAGGGCTGAAGATGAGGAGACCCAAGTAAAAATTAAGAGGAACTAGGCTAAGGGAGTCTGATAGAGATGGTGGGTATGAATCTGAAAAAGAAGAGGTAGAGCTGCCAGTTTTGAGTGATTGATTTTTATCTAGGCAATGAGTACGAAGAGCAGTTTTAGATAGCATCGAGATTTGTATTTGGATTATTGACTCACTTCTTAAAAGAAGTATTTGCAATTCCTCCCTCTATTTTCTCACATTATCCTCATTCCTCAACCCACTGAATTCTAGATTCTACCACTAATCTATTGAAATAACTCATACTAAAAACATATCTGACTTCAATGTTGCTAAATGCGATGGATCTTCACTTTGCAGCTGGAATCATTTGATTACATCTGCATCCTTGGAGCATCCACCACCTACAGTATCTGTCATAACCTATTTCCCAGAGTCTCCTTCTGCTCTTGAACCTCTCTTATTCTTAACTTCAGTCTCATGTATCGTACTCCCTGTAGGACTCAGATTTCTCTATGTTACCACAAATGAACGTATTGAATCCTAATTTCACCATTTTCCCATCTGCCTTTCCTCCCAAATTTAACCCTATTTCTTTTTCAGTGTTCCCTATCTCAGTAAGTATTTCCACAGCTACTCTTAGTTTTCCAAGCCTAACACTATTTATTATTATTATTAAATGCTTCGTTTCCCTTGAGTCCTATATTCAACCAATGACCATGTCCTATTAATTCTAGCTCCTAAAAATTCTCCCTATTCCCATTGCCATCAACCCGATACAAACCATCATCAACTCTTTTAATAATCATCTAATTGCTTGAAATTGCCTTTGTCCCTCTTCATTTTGTTTTCCAGACAACAGTGTGTTTCTTTTTTATTGCAAATCTGATTATGTCACTCTGTTACTGAAAACGTTTCAGTGGTTTTCTGTTACATTAAAAATAAAATTCACAACTGGTAACACGACCAGTGCCAACCTTGACTATCTTTCCACTGCCAACACTTCCACCCCTGCCTAGTATAATTATCCCCTTAAGATGTTGGTCTTTAACATTATGGAGGCAACGTATTTCCTATAGTTGACTAATCCAATATGGGGTCAGGAAAACAGGTTAAAAAGTCAAGGAGTTCGAAGGCCAAGGGCATAAGAGGTGAAGGTAATGTTATCTGTGTAGATATTAAATTTACACAAGATGATGGCAGGAATTAGAATAGAAAAACAATAGTTCTCCATGAATCTTTTTTTTTTTGGTTTGCTTTATTGATAATAATAAGTTTGTTGGTAAGAATTACACAGAACATGGAATAATAGAACAACAGATTTTGTGAGCTAACATACCAAGTTTTATTCAAGGAAAAAAAGTAATGGTTTAGTAAAAATAGTAGGAAGCTAATACAGGCCAGGGTTTATTAAAATTCTCATTCTGGGCACAACTCAGAGGCCACAGAATATTGCAGGAGGAGTTAAAGCTCTGAGTTCAAGACCTGATTTTATACCTCACTTTTCTTCTTATGTTGGGTATTAAAATTTCTGAAACTCAACATTCTCCTCAATAAAATAGCAATTATGCCAGTTTCCACGACTACCTCACAGAGACACAATGAAGACTAAATGAGATAATGTGCATACACAGACTCTACGTACCTTAAAACAGACTCTATGTGCCTTAAAATCTCTATGACCTTGGGCAACTTATTTTCCTTCTCATTCTCATTAAGGTGAACTACCTCAAATAATTTCTAAGATCTTTTCATCTCTATAGATAAAATTTATTGTTTTTTATTATTCAGGAGTTGTTTAAGAGGTAGAAATTGGTTAAGAAACTATCATCAAATGCTTGTGTCCACCATCATCTATTGGGGCATACTAAGGAAATGAATGAATAAAGCATGGCAATAAAGCCATGGGAGGTGTAAGTGTGAGCACCTCTCCTGTAGGCTTCAGAGTGCATGCGTGCTGTCCTTTGCAAGTTTACTTTTCATGATCAATCAGTTTTTGCAGTCTATGTCTTCTTCTGCGTCAGCCAAGTCCTGGCTTACAACTTTCCATCAACCTGTCCACAGGGCAACCATGACCCTCCTGTTATCCAATTGGCATTCCGGCCCAGGAAACATGCAGTAGACAATTAAGGTCACCCATTCCATAACTGGTGTCACGAAATGCAGAACTCAGCACCTGAAAAGAAATGAACACTAAGATTGTATCTGAGGAAAAGCTAACGAGCAATATGTTGTCTGAAACTAAAGACTGGCCATGCATTTAAAGAAGCTCCAGGCCTGAATTACAAAGTAGCTTGACAAGCTTTGTGTCTCCTAAACCCCAAAGCATATGTCTAATGCTCCAAGCAGGGAATTCCCATTCTTAGTAATCTAATCCACTTTCTATTTTTCATTCCCCTGGGTCAAAGAGAGTCCTTCATGAAACATAATTCTTGTTTATAGGTAACTGTTGCTTTAATAAATTATTAAGATTATTGAATTTATTTTTTCAAATTTAACATTCAGGTGGAAAATCTCTGAAAATTTGGTGTATGTTGAAGGTTTCCTGATTCTTGTGTTTCTGTTTCTATTGTTTCTGGCAACAACACTCAACCCTTGACAGGTGGAGAGTCACTTAATTTATCTAGCACAGCTTCAGAAAAGCCAAATAATAATGCTATCAAAATGGACTTCCACTGACATGCTGAAATTATGTTAATGAGGTTTCCAAATCAAAAGATTACAACTACTCTGATGGACTGTGCAAATGAGGTGATTGTTTCTTACATTTTGTATTTCATGTTCGGCTATGTAAAATAAGTAGCAAGTAGCAATAAGGAATTTAATTATATTTTTTAGTAGTGGAGTAGCAGATTGCTCTCTCTCCCATTATAGATGAACTGTATTTTCAACATGTATCTCTCCATGCAAAGATTATACAGTGAAAACTCTAAGATATTGGCATTTCCTGTTCAATTTAAGCCCCGGTAATATGATGGAAATAAAGTCATCTTAATTCCCTTTCTAATCACCTAGTCTAGGAGAAAGAGGGTTATAAGATTAAAGTCACTGCTGTCACACAATATTAAGATATTCACATGTAAATTACATTCAGAACATATATCTGTCTTATGCTCTGGGCTGCAGCAAAGAAAACTCTTTCCAGTGGTTAGGTAACTGGACATTACAGAAAATAGGTTACGGAGAATACATATGAATACAAATCATTGGGACAGATATTGATGGAAGCAAACAGAAAAGTCCCCCACATTTACGGAACTAACAAATAAATAAAAGATAAAGCATGAAATTCTTCTTCTGGCCAAGATGAAATAAAAGAAAATCAATTTGTTCTCCCATTTGAAGCAATCATAAAATGGAGAAAATGTGTAAAACAACAGTTTTCAAGACACTGAGCATCAGGCAATGAAAGAGAGTGATCCCTGAAATCAGTTAATTTTTCCTCACTGAACTTTTTTCTCTAGCAGTTTAAAATATATTCAACTGATTTTTAAAGTTGTTATTCTTCATTTATTCAACAAATTTTAATAAGCATCTAATATGTGTCTGACAATCTTCTAGGTAGTAATGATATAGCATTGGAGTAGGGGACAGACAGTAAATAAACTGTGTTGTATGTCAGAGACAATAAGTGTTATAATAAATAAGGTAGGAGTTTGGTTGTCTGTGGACAGAGCACTTGCAATTTTAAATGAGATCATCAGAGAGAGCTTGGCTTAGAAGGTGACTTTTGAGCAAAGTTGTGTAGATTGTCAAGGAGAAAGATATGCATGTATTGGAGGAAAAGCTGAACTAGAAATGGGAGTAAGAAAAATTCAGTGTGGTCCAGACATCCTATGGAATTACAAGCTGCTCTTCACACCCTCACTCACCCAAAATGCCAAACACTTCCGGCCAACAGAGGGTCTGAGAGATTTTTCTCCCCTTCCAGACAGCCAGCCACAAATGAGCTTTAGAATATGGAATTAGCAGGATAGAACCATGACATGCCAAGTGCTGGGAGTCAACCTTAGTCATCCTTGGGTTTGAGGAGTTACTAACTGGGAAATACTTGTGATTTGTTATTTTCTTCCATTCTCTACCATTCTATCACATGAACATCCAAGTCAAACTTCCGAGCTGGGTTAAGAAACTAGAATTCCTGGGGCTATGGCCCAGGCTCTTACTAGCTCTGACATTGGGAAAGTTGGTTAAGATCATTGTGCTTCAGTTTTCTTATCTGTAAAGTGCGGAAAATACATGAATTAATATATGTCAAGTGCTTAGTGGATTGTCTGGCACATGTAGAGTGCTATAAAAATGTTCATTGCTAAAAATAATAATAATAAACTTGAAATGAAGCCCTAGGAAATGGTTTTGCTAGATGTAATGATTTCTAAAGGTGAACAGTCAAAATAAATGGAGAAATTTTTTAAAAAAGAAAGAAAAATGGTATATGAATTCCATGAAGTTTCATACTATAGAATGTATGGTTCAGTGTAGAAGCAGGCACACCTCACTGACTCACAATTCCTCTGAAGGTGAAAAAGAGAATGTTGGGGAAATAAATGGAGGAATCTCAAAAGAATCCTATATAAAACTCCTAATTTGGCAAGGTAAAGACAGGCAGTAAGGCAGGCAGCCAAGACAAGCAAATTCAGTGCAACAGGGATTTCTTACAGGCTAAAATAAATCAACAAACTGTGTGGTGTGGCTTCCTTCCAGAGCAGGTGTCCCCCACAGGCGACCAACACAAAACAAAGTTCTGGAGAAAAAAACCTATCTTAGGGTAATTTTCTTTTCCAGTACAGGGGGCCAGAGACAGAAATCCATGGTCCTAAACCCACTGAAATAAGAAAAAGAACTAAACAACTTATCAAAAATAATAAGAATTTGCTTATTGAGGGTAATGGTTGAATGCTTTGTCACGAACCATCCCCACTCCTCCAACCCCTGCTGAACTGTTCCAAGAGTGACTAGAAAAGCTATTCAGAATATTTACATACAAATGAAAAAAATACATTGGAAACCATCAGAAAGCTACTAAGTCATCCAGGACTTGAGAGGACAAAGATCTTGGAGAAAATGAATGCTCCTTTGAAGAGGCCTAACATTATGTACTGCTTTTTCTGTGGCAATCTGTAAGTAGCTAGGTAGACTGAGAAACTAATCAGAAGGTGGCAGTGAAGAGACAAGAAGCTGAGCAGAACTACTGGAAACTTCAAGGGGCTGAGAAGACAAAACCTGGAGTTCAGGCCACACAAAGTAGGAAGGGCTCTGGTAAATACCCTAGTCATCCAACTAGGACATTAGAAGAGCTACGCTCTAAGGGTAAGGATAACTTGAACAACCATCATGAAAAACTCAAAACCAGTGTTCAACCACCTCATGACTGGTATTAAGGTACTCTTTCTTACTGTAACTGCCTACTGGAAAGAAATTGCTTCTGTCAACGAAGATGATCTCAGCCAGAGATTCAGAATATCTCTGTCCTTTTTTAACCATTATATCTGGCATTTTCAAAGAAAAATTACCATAAGTCAAAATGAAATAAACAAAGGCCAAGAGAAACAACAGAAAATAGAAATAGTCCCACAGGTGATCCAAATATTGGCTTGCAAAATGTGAACTTTAAAATAACTTTAAGTAATATATTCAACATATAAATACAAAAGAAGAATTTCACCAGCAATCAAAAAATTCTATAAAAGAGAAATTACATAGAAATTCTTGATATGAAAAATATAATCAGTGAATTTAAGGACTCAATAGATGGGTTTAGCCATAGATTAAAACCAGCTGAAAAGAAGATTAGAGGATTCATTTACTGAAAGATAGGCCAATAGAAAATATCCAGACTAAAGGACACAGAGGGTGAGAAAAGATGAAAAACACACACAAATAAGTGTAACAGCCATATGAGACAGGGTTTGGCAAACTTTTTAGGCTTTGTGGGCCATATGGTCTCTGTCATGATGACTCAACTCTTTAACTGTAGCACAAAAGCAGCATAGAAAATACGTAAATTAATGGATATAGCTGTGTCCCAGTAAGCTTTGGTGTATTTTGGAGTAACATTACCAACAAAATCCACGTCATCTGTAGGCCGAATTAAAATTTTATAACAGACTTTCAAAATGACTGGTTTCGGTCACATTTTGCCAAGAATTGAAGACATCCTTAGGGAGGAAAGTATCAGCCTTTGAGACATGCATGGTTTAATAAAAGAAGACATTCAAGGTTTAATAAAGCCCATGTAATATTATAGAGATGGCAGGACTCGGAGACTGAGAAGTGTCAGAGATTAACTGTATGGTTGCAAGATATAGTATTTGGAATTAATTGAATTGAATGCTCCAAAAGCATCTACCTCTGAGGAAAGATACCTAACAGCCCTCAAAGAAAAACACAGTGAGGTAGAGAGATCACTGGGGTAATTATGTTGAGCTAATAACTACAAGATGGCAGAGAGATGATATGCTCTATGTATGTTCAGACTTGCAAGATGTTTATAGCAAACCAATACTCTGATATAGAGCTTAGAGAATCAGAAATGGCCAGATCAAGTCAATTTATAGTCAAGAAGACAGAGCAAATTTATACCTCTCTCATCTAAGTGAACCTAATTCAGTATGAACACTGAAACATGACTGCTTTCAGGGAACAAGGACTGAATATCATTATAAGAATGGGAGCACAAACCAGGTGCAGTGGCTCACGCCTGTAATCCCAACACTTTGGGAGGCCGAGGTGAGTGGATCATTGAGGTCAGGAGTTCGAGACCACCCTGGCCAATATGGTAAAACCACATCTGTACTGAAAACACAAAAATTGGCAGGGCAGTGGTGGTACATACCTGTAGTCCCAACTACTCGGGAGGTTGAGGCAGGAGAATCGCTTGAGCCTGGGAGACAGAGGTTGCAGTGAGCAGAGATCGCACCGGTGCACTCCATTCTGGGTGACAGAATGAGACTCTGTCTCAAATTAAAAAAAAAAAAAAAAGAGAACAAACAGACTTGATAAGCTAGAGACGAAAACAGATACAACTCTACTCTCTCAAGTTTACTTCTTGGCGAGAAAATTTCACCCCAAACAAACATTTTGTCAGAATTAACTGGGTCTGACCTGGTGATGCTGCTACCTCCTTTGCTAGATGCCTGGCAGAGTTGGTCACCAAAGCATTTTTACAAATTATATTTTGTAGACCCCAGTATGTGGGAAGTAGTTTTAGTGACAAACCCAAGACTACATACATAGAACATCTTTGTATTCTCTATGTTCTTTAGGTTATGGCAAGGAAACACAGATTATGGAAGACTGCGCTGTGAGGAAAATTTATTAGCAAATATATCGTTTGGCTTCCTATAGAGGAAAGATCATGTAGGTAGATACTGAAATGGCAAAAAGTCTCACTTAAGCGCAATCCCTTTAAATCTTGATGTTAATATATTTTCCTCATTAAAGCTACAATTTCCCTTGCTATGTTATTTTGTTTATTTGTTTATATGGTACAAGAACAATAAAACATATTTTATCCAGAATTTTTGCATTGGGGCTTCTAATCTCACAGCTGGGGTAAATCTAGTGGAAGGTTTGCCTTTACAGAGCAGCATTAAGCTAAACAGTGTGTTCTGGTTATCTGCTGCTGCATAAAAAAACTGCTCCAAAACACAATGGCTTAAAAAACATTTATTTTACTCATAAATCTGCAATGTGAACATGGCCTGGGGGGAACTTCTTATCTCTGCTCTACTTTTTAGCTGGAATGGCATGAATCCTGGGAACTGGAATCAACTGAAGGCTACCTTACTCACATGTCTGGCAGTTGAGTACTCATCTGTCTGGATTCAGCTGGAACCCCCACTAAATCTGTGAAAGGTACACCTAGCCTCAGAAGTCAACCATGATTATTTTGGGAGGTGTTGGGAGATGCTTCACCATAGTCTCTTGTGTTTCTGCATGTCTTGTGAATAGAGGCTCTGACTGCCTTTGGTCTAGGCTATCTTTTCAAAAATGCTTATACAGTCGACAGCATTAAAATATACAGTGGACACTCCTGAGAAATGGGCAGTCATGCTTACTACCCAATATAATAAAAGATAATGACTCCCTCCAAAGGAAAAGAAGACATGCATACTAACCTTTTCTAAAAGATTTGAGTTCTCTAAGCTCAAGTTTCTTTCCTATGTGTGCAGATGTCACCTGATCCTCTTTTTGCCTCCCTGGGGGAATTAGAGTTTAGGTAATTAGGGACCAGAAAATGCTGATACTCGGGCTGTTGTTATTGTTATAAAATTCTTTTCTGACTCAGGAGGCTTCAAGCAATCCTAAAACTGTAGCAGGCAAACTCATTAGCTTGAATGTAGAGTAAACTCTCAGATCTTTTCTATTTTTTTCATGTTAAGATGGTTCTATATTCAAAGAAAGGCAATTGGACACCCTTTTGATGGGAGTGGTATTTTAAAAAATTCAAAAATATTTCAAATCACCACAGAATCCATACCAGAGAATATTGGAGCTTATCTCTCACAGATGTTTGACCAATGCATAATAAGGGGAATAACTGGACAGATGTTCAGCCAGAGAGGGAGGGAGGGAAAGTCAATGGAAAACATGGCTCAAAAAGAAGCCCAAAGAGTTTGAATATTTTGGTGTGCAGGGTATGAAATAGTTTGGAGAAAAATACTTGGGTAAAAATTTATGATTAATTCAAGACTTTGAGAGGCTAAATTTTGCCTTGTGCCTAGTGCATGAACCAGGGCAACAAAACGTGTTTTCACCCTGGAAAATACAGCCTGAACCAAAGGCAATCAGTGCCTCTATTTATAAGACATTTGGGAAGTAATATAAAACACATGTGTCCATTTTCTAATCAGCTAAACCTCACCCTCATATGATCCAAATTATTTAACCATTAAAAAAACGCTGTTTGACTGCACATCTGTGTGCTTTTTAAAAACAGATGATTCTAAACATAATCCACCTTTCCATTAATGATCAGTCACCATTATGACTGCCAATGTTGTACTTTGGTTTCCAGTTCATTTTTGTGGTCAGGTTGTCACCTGTCATTTCCGATATCAGTATGCCTGCTTCTCAGAGGCTCCACTTTTCCAAGTAACAGCTTTCAAATTTCTACAGCCCAAAAGATAAGATGACAACACTTGTAAATGCTTTAGAGCTTTGGAAACACATTGAAACATATTAGTTCTTTGAATCTCCACAAAATGCTACTCTTGCAAGAAAGAAATTATTATCTTTATTATATAAGAAAAAAATCAGGGCTTAAGAAAGGTGAAAGTTTGTCACAAATTAAATGATCAGTGAATAAAAAAAAAAGAAACAAAACTTAGAGCTTAAAACATATAAACCTTATTTTGGTGCTTTTTCTACTATATCAAGCTGCTCCTCTAGAGGATTCCACGTTGGGGGAGAAAATATTATATTCTTCAGGTTTTATAGGAGCAAAATCCTACTTTTCTTTCATAGTTCTCTAGTGAGCTCAAAACGGCTGGAGTTGCAATGCCAGAAATTCACATTTTGCCATGATGCTAATATTACATTAGGAGTTAATAATTAAAACAATCATTCTTTAATTTTGCGCCATCAAATTGTCTTACATAGGACATAATGACATCCATATGTCTTTCCAGAAAGACATAGATCCAGAATTTCCCTTCCAGAAAACCTCATCCCCACTGCATAATAAGTATCAGAATTTTCAAAATTTTCCAAACAGTAAAGACTATTGTCATTATAGAAAGAATGTCTCAGGGCCAAGCAACTGAAAAGCATCTGTATCCCTAAGTAAAAGTTTATATATTTTTGTTCCCTGGCATCAGTTAGTCCTGCCCAATGAATCCTTCTGTGGCAGAATGAAGGAATGCACAAGAAGATCAGCAAAACTTTGGAGGCTAAATGATTAGAGAATTATATTTCTCACCAAGCTAAGATTCTTCCCTCCTGAGACCATGCTGAGAATAGATTTAAATGTTAATACTGGAATCTCACAGTATATTGATCTGTAATACATTTTCTATAATTGTGCACAAGTAAAAACCTCTAGGCCAGGTGCAGTGGCTCATGCCAGTAATCCCAGCACTTTGGAAGGCTGAGGTGGAGAGATCATGAGATCAGGAGTTCAAGAACAGCCTGGCCAACGTGGCGAAACCCCATCTCTATGAAAAATACAAAAATTAGCTGGGTGTAGTGGCAGGTACCTGTAATCCCAGCTCCTCAGGAGGCTGAGGCACGAGAATTGCTTGAAACCGGGAGGCAGAGGTTGCAGTGAACCGAGATCATGCCACTGCACTCCAGCCTGGGCAACAAAAGCAAGACTTCATTAAAAAAAAAAAAAAAACCCTCTGAAGTGTGGTTTCTTACTCTCAAATAAACTTGCCTTCATAAATTCATAAATTTTAAAAACAATTAAATGTTATTATAAACATCATGAATTGGTTGACATTTAAGCAATTATTAAAGAGAAGATTCTGGTGCTTACAGAGGCAAAATTAGGCATAACTCACTCTCAACATTCCTGCTTTACCTAAGTTCTTTCCCCCGCCATCTTACTTTTCTAAAAACCATAATTGCCCATGCCAAAAGCTGATGTTTAGTCTCACATAAATTCATAATACCAGCATTAGGTTTCCTTTAGTCTATTAAAAAATAAACTTAATTTTACTAAATATTAGTTCCGATAAACATAAAATTATAATTTCAACTTTACAGACAAACATTCTTAACCCTTCACCCATCCACTCATGTCCCTACATCAGGCACTGACCACCAACATGAGCATATTTTAGCTACTTCTTAATATCTTCATAGAGTAGAATTAATCCAGCTCTTCAGTAGAGACTATCTCAGTCAAGATGGTACCTAACTAAAAGCAGAGGTTTATTACATGATGTAACAGAAAGTCCAGATGAGAGCAGTTACAAAGTTTATTTTTTCCACAGCCCAGAATTGTTAGAGCCTTTGGCTTACTTGCTATGATTACAGAATGACTGTCATAATTTTCACCATTTCATCCTCCCAGGACAATGTCCAAAAGCAGCAAGGAAGAAGGTATTTCTTTTCACTGGTCTCTCTTATTTTAAAATAGTAAAACCGTTCCAGAAACATGTAGCACTTCTTCCATCCCGTTGGACTTAACTATCAGGGATACCAGAAAATGGACATCTGGACTTTTTCTGCCTCTATGGTGGGTGGCAAATTCTGTCAGAATGGAAAAAGCAGGAGAAAATGGCCATTGGGTGAGCAATCATTGATATCTGCCATAAAGACAAACACGTCTTCTTATCAGACTCCATCCATTCTCATATGTTTGCTATTTCAGGTTTTCACTCTGGATTTTATCTTAAAAGCAAATAGGTAGAATATTATCTTTTTAAATGCATTATTTCTTCCCAATAAATTTGAGAATGTTTTCCAAATAAATAAGTTTATTTGAGAATATTAAATATATTTTTATAGTCTAAACATGTTAATGTATTTCCAAAATCAATTGTCTAAGTATTTAGTCACTATTCAGAGTATGCTAAACCCAAATTAATTGCCTCAGTATAAAACAAGAGAACCTATATTCATTCATAAAACATAGTGAACATATCATCCTTTTGTTCTATTAATATTTAAAATGAAAAATACTATTTTAGTAGTAATATTACTCATTCTCAAAAATAAATCTAGCTGTCAAGCCTGACTTGAAATATCTTTAAGTTTTTATAGGCACCACAAACTTTATATAGTTGGTATGAAAACAGGCAGAAAAATGTAGAAAAAGTAATGATAATCTAGGGTAGCAAGGAAAAATTACTAATAATAGAAAGCAAACTTCACCATAAAAAGGGGTATCTTGCTTCTTTTCTGATATGACTAAGAAGAATTTCACTTATTGAATTTCTATGATGCCATGTCTTTTTATATTGTATTATCTTAGTTACTGAAAGTGCAGAAGGACCAATAAAACAGAATTTGAAGCCAAGCTGTATTTCACCTAAATTTCAGTGTCTGGAAGAATTTTTTTTGTATTTAAATGTATCCTCACAGACCAAAAAATGGCAATTCTGAATTAGGTACTACTAGTGATAATGTCCGTATTCATTTAGTGACATTCAGTAAAGAAGCACTAAAAACATACTAGATCAGAAGGGACTGGGGTCCTTAAATAAAATAATTGTTGGTCAAGAATTTCATATCCAGCAAAATGAAGCTTCATAAATGAAGGAGAGATAGTCATTTACACACAAACACATGCTGAGAGAATGGCCACTACCCAACAAGCACTACAAGATATGCTAAAAGAAGTCCTAAATCTTGAAACAAAACCTCAATATACACCAAAATACAACTTCCTTAAAGCATAAATCTCACAGGGCTTAATTAACAATAACACAATGAAAACAATAGAACAAGATATTTAAGCAACAACTAATGTGATGAATAGAACAGTATCTCATATCTCAATACTAATGTTGAAAGTAAATGGCCTAAATGCTCCACTTAAAAGATACAGAATGGCAGAATAGATTAAAAAAAAAAAAAAACCACCAACCAAGTATCTGCTGTCCTTTAGAGACACACCTAACACATAAGGACTCACATAAACTTAAGGTAAAGGGGTGTAAAAAGATATTCCATGCAAATGGAAACCAAAAGTAAGCAGGAACAGCTATTCTTATATCAGACAAAACAGATGTTAAAGCCACAACAGTAAAAATAGACAATGAAGGCCATTATATAATGATAAAAAGATTAGCCTTACAAAAATATATTACACTTCTAAATATATATGAACCTAACACTGAAGCTCCCAAATTTACAAAACAGTTACTACTAGACCTAAGTAATGAGATAGTCACATAATAACAGTGGGGGATTTAAATACTCCACTGACAGTGCTGGACAGATCATCAGGACAGAAAGTCAACAGAGAAACAATGGACTTAAACTATACCCTAGAACAAATGGACTTAACAGATATTTATGGAACATTCTTCCCAATGAATGCAGAATATACATTCTTCTCATCAGCACATGGAACATTCTCCAAGATAGACCATATGATAGGCAACCAAACAAGTCTCAGTATATTTATGAAAATTGACATCATATCAAGTATCTTCTCAGACCACAGAGGAATAAAACTAAAAATCAACACAAAAATGAGCCCCAAAAACTTTACAAATACATGGGAATGAAATAAATAATCTGCTCTTAAATTATCTTTGAGTTCACAATGAAGTCAATATGGACATTAAAAAATTCTTTGAAATGGACAATAATGGTGACACACAACTTATCAAAACCTCTGGGATAAAGCAAAAGTGGTGCTAAGAGAAAAGTTCATAACATTAAATCCCTACATAAAAAAAGCCTGAAAGAGCACAAATAGGCAACGTAATACCACACCTCAAGAAACTAGAGAAACAAGAATAAAACCCAAACCGAGCAGAAGAAAAGAAATAAGATCAGAACAGAACTAAATGCATTGAAACAAACAAAAAATACAAAAAGATAAATAAAACAAAAAGCTTCTTCTCTGACAAGATAAACAAAATTGAGATACCATTAGCAAGATTAACCAAGATAAGAAGAGAGAAGATCCAAATAAGCTCAATTAGAAATGAAACAGGTGATATTATAATCAATATCACAGAAATACAAAAGATCATCCAAGACTACAATGAACACCTTTATGCACACAAACTAGAAAATATAGAGAAGATGGATACATTTCTGGAAATGTACAATTCTCCTAGATTAAATCAGGAAGAAATAGAAACTCTGAACACATCAATAACAAGTAGTGTGACTGAAACAGTAATAAAAAAATTGCCAACCAAAAGAAGTCCAGGATCAGATGGATTCACAGCTCAATTCTATCAGATGCTCATTCAAAGAGGAATTGGTACCAATCCTACTGAAACTATTTCAAAAGATAGAGAAAGAGGGAATGCTCCCTAAATCACTCTATGAAGCCAATATCACCACCCTAATATCAAAACCAGGAAAAGACATAAAAAAAAAAAGAGAAAACTACAGACCAGTAACCCTGATGAATATAGATGCAAAAATCCTTAACAAAATGCTAGCTAACTGAGTCTAATAGCATATAAAAAAGATAATACATCATGATCAATTGGGTTTCATACCAGTGATGCAGGGATGGTTTAACACACACAAGTCAATAAATGTGACTCATCATATAAATGAAATTTAAAACAAAAATCATATGATCATCTCAGTAGAGGCAGAAAAAGCATTCGATAAAATTCAACATCCCTTCATGATAAAAACACTCAACAAAATTGGCATAGAAAGGGCATACCTCAAAGTAATAAAAGCCATCTCTGACAAACCCACAGCCAACATCAGACTGAATGAGAAAGCTGAAAGCATTCCCCCTGAGAACTAGAACAAGACAAGGATGCCCACTTTCATCATTTCAATTCAACATAGTACTGTGAGCCCTAGCCAGAGCAATCAGACAAGAGAAAGAAATCAAGGAAGTCAAACTGTCACTGTTCACTGATGATATGATTATATACCTAGAAAACCTAAAGACTCATCCAAAACCTCCTAGATCTAAGAAATAAATTCAGTAAGCTCTTAGGATACAAAATCAATGCACACAAATCAATAGCACTGCTATACACCAACAATGACCAAGCTGAGAATCGAAACAAGAACTCAACTCTTTTTATAACATCTGCAAAAAAACATAAAATACTTAGAAACACACTTAACGAAGGAGAGAGGTTTCTACAAGGAAAACTACAAAACACTGCCGAAAGAAATCACAGATGACGTAAACAAATGGAAATATGTCCTATGCTCATGGATGGGTAGAATCAATATTGTAAAAATGGCTATATTGTCCAGAGTGATTTATTGAATCAATATTGTAAAAATGGCTATACTGTCCAATGCAATCCCCATCAAAATACCATCATCATTCTTCACGGAACTAGAAAAAAACAACCCTAAAATATATATGGAACCAAAAAAGAGCCTGCATAGCAAAAGCAATACTAAGCAAAAAGTATTGCTGGAGGCATCACATTATCTAACTTCAAATTATAGAACAAGGCTATAGTTACCAAAACAGCATGATTCTGGTATAAAAATAGGCATGCAGACCAAAGGAACAGAGTAGAGAACTCAGAAATAAAGCCAAATAAAGTGGGGAAAGGACACCCTATTCAATAAATGGTGCTGGGAAAATTGGCAAGCCACTTGTAGAAGAGTGAAACTGGATCCTCATCTCTCACCTTATACAAAAATCAACTCAAGATGGATCAAAGACTTAAATCTAAGACCTGAAACCATAAAAATTCTAGAAGATAACGTTAGAAAAACTTTTCTAGACATTGGCTTAAGCAAGGAATTCATGACTAAGACCCTAAAAGCAAATGCAACAAAAACAAAAGTAAATAAATGGGACCTAATTAAACTAAAAAGCTTCTGCACAGCAAAAGAAATAATCAGCAGAATAAACAGACAAGCCACAGAGTGGGGTAAAATAATTACAAAGTATACATCCAACAAAGGACTAATATCCAAAATCTACAAGGAACTCAATCTAATTAGCAAGAAAAAAACAAATAATCCCATCAAAAAGTGGGCAAAGGACATGAATAAATAATTCTCCAAAGAAGATATACAAACAGCCAACAACATATGAAAAAATGCTCAGCATCACTAATTATTAGGGAGATGCAAATTAAAACCACAATGAGATACCACCTTACTCCTGCAAAAATGGCCATGATTAAAAAATAAAATAATAGAGGTTGGCATGAATGTGGTAAAAGAGAACACTTTTACACTGCTGTCTGGGATGTAAACTGTACAACCACTATGGAAAACAGTATGGAGATGTCTTAAAGAACTAAAAGTAGAACTACCATTCAACTCAGCATTCCCACTACTGGTTATCTACCCAAAGGAAAAGAAGTCATTATATGAAAAAGACACATGCACTTGCATGTTTATGGCAGCACAATTCACAATTGCAAAAATATGGAACCATCCTATATACCCATCAACCAATGAGTGGATAAAGAAAATGTGGTATATATACGCCGTGGAATACTACTCAGTCATAAAAAGGAATGAAATAATGGCCTTTGCACCAACTTGAATGGAGCTGGAGGCCATTATTGTAAGTGAAGTAACTCAGGAACGGGAAACCAAATGTCATATGTTTCCACTTATATTTGGGAGCTAAGTTATGAGGACGCAAAGGTTGGAGAATAATATAATGGATTTCTCCCAGGGAAAAAACTGGGAGGTGGGTGAGGGATAAAAGACTACATATTGGGTATAGTGTACACTGCTGCACCAAAATCTCAGAAATCACCACTAAAGAACTTATACATGTAACCAAAAATAATTATGTGTTGTTTATATTAAAAATCCCCTGTACCCTCAAAACTATTGTAATTAATATATACAAAATGTTAGTCTGATAAAGTTGCAGTTTTGCTTTCCTAATAAAACATTTGAGATGGAAAAATGGAAGGCTTCTTATCAAAATAGATCTATACATTCACACTATGGTTTAATATTTTGTTGTTGTTGTTCTGATAGTAATTATAGATATAGTAAAACTAGGCTCAAAATATCTTCAATGTCCATAAAAGAACAAAAGCCTAAAATGATAAGCTGAAGAGAAGGCAGAATCCAGTTAGGCCCCTCAACCAAGAGTAGCGAGTTGGGCCTAGGTGTTGGCTCCTGAGAGATAGAAAAGAGCAAAAGTGATTGAGTGGGTGGGAGATTGGGGAACTAGAAAACCAGAGTCAAAGTTTTTCTCTTTAAACCCAAGACCAAGAGTGTCACTTGAAAGAATTTTCAGTGGTTTGTAGAAGGATGCAGTCCCAAAGAAATAAGAAAGCACAGATTCAAGAACTGAGGCAAGTTGCTCATTTGTTTGAAAATATTATTGTCATGATCCCACTATAATGGTGCAGGATCTCAGATGCTCTTATAGAACCTAATTCTGGACAAGAGGTCTGGCAAACTCCAGGGATGCAACAGAAAACTCACAGCCGGAGAAGTGTCTGCAGAGAGTAAGATAGAACAAGAGAAATAAAAATAGAAGGAAAAAAAAGCAAACACTTGAAAACACTGCCCACTTGAAATAACTCTAGAAACTACTATTTCAAAATGTCTAAAGCTAATATATTTTTAAATCACCAAGCAGTTCAGGAATTTACTTCAGATGAAATTACTTTTATGAAACAGTCTTTACAGATGACTTAAAATTAATATGTATTCTATGTTAAAAGAGAAAAATGAAAACACATCTTCCTTTAAAGTTCTGTTGAATATTTTTTAAAGTGGAAAGGAAATAAGAACAAGAAAACATGAAAAATCATGAAAGCAATAGATAAGATAAAGTCTAGATGAGTGCATTTTAAACTATTTGTGGTAAAAAATCATTCTTTTCCAATTTGATATTTTTATAAAATAAAATAATTAAATTACAAAAACTACAACAATGTGCAAAGTGCAAGCACAATCTTTATATTCAATAGACATAAAATACATTTTAATAAATAAGAGCAAAAAAAAATAATTTTGAATATTATACATCTGCTTTGAAAGCAATTAATATATGGAGTCATTATTGCACTAGTAATTTACAACCATTCCGTAGTTATTAGTAAAATAGTGATGCTTTTTCTTAAACACTTTGAATGACATCAATATATATCAATAAACATTTGAAGTTTTTTATATAACAAGTGTGCTTGCTCCTTGCTTATGAATTACTTAGGAATATATTAGCAAAAATGCTCCTCACGGGGCATAATGTGCATTTACAATGTTTCTATGTTTTGTTTTAATATCACTTATAATAGAGGAACCACATTCACAAGAGATCTCATGACACTCATTTTTAGCTTTCATCCAAAATGAAACAAATGACACTATTGTCAAACATCATCGTCAATTTTTCATTACTATCCAGATCCAACAATTTATAAGGCAAAATTATAATAATTAACTTTAAATTACCTTCCAATGAAAGAAATGGACTCTAGATCTATGAATTTTTTTCTAACCATGCATTTCTCTTTACTAAACAAAGAAAATCGGCCGGACTCAGTGGCTGGCAAAACCCCTTTTCCACTAAAAATACAAAAATGAGCCACAGTAGTGGCGGGCACCTGTAATCCCAACTACTCGGGAGGCTGAGACAAGAGAATCGCTTGAACCCCGGAGGCGGAGGTTGCAGTGAGCCGAGACCACACCATTGCACTCCAGCCTGGGCAACAAGAGCGAAACTCCGTCTCAAAAAACAAAACAAAAAAAGAAAATCAAAACATTCTATCACATTACTTCAGTCTAATCATGAGTAAATGTTAGATGGCCTCAAATTTAAGGACATGCCACAAAATACCTGCTCTAATCAAAACTCTTCAAAGTAATCAAAGATATTTAAAAAGAAAAGGAAAAGGCAAGACTGAGAAACTGTCCCAACTGGAAGAGACTAAGGATATGTGACAAGTAAATACAACGCCGTATTCTGGGTTGAATCCTGGAACTGAAAAAGGACATTGGCAAAAAACCAGCAAAATCCAAATGAAGCCTGGAATTTAAGCTAAAATGTATATGTTAAATCCAATGACGTTTGGTGATACATTTTTGCAGATGTGCAATAGCAAGACAATAACTTGTTTCATTGATACATAATTTTAAATCATGAAATTTGCCATCATAAGCAGTAGAAACTTGTTTTTGCCTTTAATCTTATCTGTAGTTAAAAAATATTTTGTGTTTCCTCCTTGACATGTGAGTATTGACATCATTAAAATACTGACTTAGACAATTAGGCAGGACAAAATTGTCCAGTTTGCATATTTAAAAAATTGAGACTGAATAGGTTTCTAATCTTTCAGGAGCACTAGGAGATCCTGCTATGGTTCTAACACTTCTACCAGAACATTTACCCTGGAAAACTGTCATTATCAGCAAGCATTAATAGTTGTTTATGATCAGCTATCGTATCATCAAATAATAAAGAGAATAATTTGGATGAACACAGTAGCATTTACCTAATTCACAATTCCATGTCATTAAGCACATGGTTCCTCTGACATTTATTTCCTCTAAAAAATCATTGCATCTCAGCATACAACAGCAGTAATTTATGATAATTTTTTTAAAGCGCACACAATTGGAAACTTACATATCCAATTCTAAATAGCTCATGTAATAAAGGTCAAATCATAGCAGTCATGAAAAAGCATTTAAAATTGAAAGTAAAAGGACCTATAAATTCCTGTTAATTTTAGTAAAGAAGCTATAAATTTCTGTTAATTAAAGCTGTCTTAATGGAACAAATATAGCTTAAAGTACAGGCTATGAAAAAAATCAAGAAAGATTTAAAAAATGGTTTCAGCAGTTAAGTCAAGCAGCTAGCAAAAAAATTATGGAGATAATAGAAAGACCAAAACAAAGGAGACAATTAAGCGTAAAAACTAACTGGTGGGGAGCAGTGGCTCACCACTGTAATCCCAGGACTTTGGGAGGCTGAGACAGGTGGATCACCTGAGGTCAAGAGTTTTAGACCAGCCTGGCCAGCATGGTGAAAACCTATCTCTACTAAAAATACAAAAAAAAAAAAAAAGGCTAATTTAGAAAATAACAATTGATCAATTGATTTAATAAACTGAAGTGGATATTATATCAAAAAATTAAACTAATATAAATAAATATTTATGAATATTTATCTAAAAATGACAAACCATTATGAATGAAAAGACAGCTACAGTAAAGATTTTTTTAATTTCAAAAGCTTTAAAGAAATAATTTTGTGTATAAATTCAAAAATAAAAACAAAAAAGATAATTATCTAGAAAAAATACAAATTATAAAGTCTGTTCAAGAAAAATTAGAAACTTGAATAAACTAAAGGCTAGTGAATAAATTGAATTTATAATAAAAAATTGTACCCCCAATCTCCCTTTCCCCTAAAATCTCCAGGCTTTTATTATTTCTATATGGGATTTATTTTGCCAAGCGAACAAATTTTTAAAAATTTCTATTCTAAAAAATTATTTCAAACAATTTAGAAAACAAAAACAGTTGAAATGCCTCATTTTATAAGGCTTGAATAACTTCAAACCGAAATCAAACAGATATAGTACAAGATAAGAAATTTAGAGATCAATCTCACTTTTGAACAGATGCAAATATTCTATATAAAACTCTAACATAAAATGTATAAAAAGAAAGATGAGTCATAAGCAACTTGGTTTTAAGCCAGAAATGCAAGGAGAGTACAACACCAGAAAATCTAGTATAAAATACAGCATTAAGATGGTAAAAGAAAAACTCCAAAGGTTCATCTTAGATGTTGATAAGCATTGAATACTGTTCAACACTTCTATGAAAAAAAGAAAAAACCTAAGCAAACTGCAATTATTGACTATTTTGAGCAGATAAAAATCATCTATGAATAACCTAAATCTAAAGTAAAAGTTAATGGTAAAATTTTAGATACATACCTTTTAAAATGAGACACCAAACAATGCTTCTATTCAACATTGTACTGAAAATTTTAGGTCTTGAAATAAAATAATTTTTACATAATAATTTCTTTTAATAAAACATATTAAAAGCATCAAAATCAAAAGATAAAATTAGGCCAAAACAGAGTATTTTGAAGATGATATGTTTACACAGAAATTATGAAAAAAATCCATAGACAAATGAATACAGCTAACAGTTCAAAATAATTTCCAGATGTAAAATGAATAAACAAAATCAAGTGTTCCTATATATTAGAAACAAAGCTATGGAAATTGTCAAAGGAAAAAATATCCATTTAAAATATCTGCAAAAACTTTAAGTAGAAATTGACTTAAGAAAAGATGATAATTCTCTATGGAGAAAATTGTAAAGCCTTATAAAGGTCATAAAATAAACTGTAAATTAATAGAAGCATATTATATATTTTTACAGTAAGGTGATATTGCAGAGATACTATTTCTTCCTGAATTATAAGTTCATGCAATTTTCTAACTGGGTATAAAAACCCTAAAATTAAAATAGACACAAAAAGGCTGATAATAGATCATTCCATTTTGAGGAATAATTGTCAGGTAGGTAGATTCGCCCTCCCAGATATTAATTCTTTTTATTTGTTTGTTTGCTTGAAACAGAGTCTTGCTCTGTCACCCAGCCTGGAGTGCAGTGGTGCGATCTCAGATCACCGCAACCTCCACCTCTCGGTTCAAGCGATTCTCCTGTCTCAGTCTCCCGAGTAGCTGGGATTACAGGCGCGCGCCACTGCGCCCGGCTAATTTTTGTATTTTTGGTGGAGACGGGGTTTCCCTTTGTTGGCCAGGCTGGTCTTGAACTCCATACCTCAGGTTATCTGCCTGCCTCCGCCTCCCAAAGTGCTGGGATTACAGACGTGAGCCACCGCGCCCGGGTATTAATTATTGATTTAAGGATATGATAATATACAAATGGAAGAGAATAAGGTAGTGGACTGGGAGACGGGCCAAAGAGACCCTCCATCTTCAAGAAAGGACTTGCTGCTGATGCTGTGTGCTTATAGCTTCAGCTCAGTTTCTTCAGGGTTTGCCTTGGGCAGAGGCCTGCCTTTCCACAGCACATCCCTCCCAGAGTGGTCCACATCCCAGGACTGATTGAGGAAGTAAAAGGGCCAGGGATTTTCAGCTACCCATGGGACAATTCTCAAGGCTTGTTATATTCCTATCCCACGTTCTCTGCAAGGTTGGCTGAGTCTTCTTTTTAGCCCTGTACCACAGGTTGACTTCTTATCTGCCCAATCCTGCTTCCTTTTCCTCCCTTCCGCAAGTGCTGATCCCTAATAAATACCCTGCATATCAAACATCTCAGCGCTGCATCTGGACTCCAAAACTTTTTCACAAAGAGCCAGAAACAATCCACACACATAAAGAATCCTGATAAAGGATGAATGAGAGGGCTTTCACTGCAAATCAATGGAGAAATAACATTTTCAGTACTAGTGCTGGGACAGTTATTACATGGAATACAACAATTATATCTTACAGTGGGTACATATTGTGTTGGAAACATTCCAATTCTACTCTTTTAGTTATTGTAAAATATACAATGGATTAATATTAACTGTATTCACCCTATTTTACTACAAAACATTAGATCTTATTCCTTCTGCTTAACTGTATTTTTGTTCCAATTAACCTTCTCCTCTCTCTCCCCTCTCCCCACCATCCTTCCTAGCCTCTGGTAACCATCAATCTACTCTCTATATCCATGAATTAATTTTGTTTAGCTTTCCCATATGAGTGAAAACTGCAATATTTGTCTTGTCTTTCTAGGCCTAGGTTATTTCATTTATTATAATGTCCTCCATTTCCATCCATGTTGCTGAAAATGACAGAATTTCTTCCTTTTCATGCCTGAATAATACTGTATTGTATACATGTACCACATTTTCTTTATCCATTCATCTATTATGGATACTTAGGTTGATTCTCTATCTTGGCTATTGTGAATAGTGCTGCAATAAACATGGGAGTGCACAGATTTCTTTGATACACTGATTTCTTTTCTATTGAATATATATCAAGCAAATTCATGCATTTACAGTCAACTCATTTTTCACAGAGGTACCAAGAACATACAATGGGAAAAGGAGTCTTTTCAAAATTTGTTGCTGGGAAAACTGGATAACCATATGCAGAAGAAAAACTAAAATTCAAGATCTGAAACTATGAAACTACTTGGAGAAAACACTTGGGAAATACTCTAGGTCCTTGGTCTGGGCAAAGATTTATTGAGTAAGACCTGAAAAGCACAGACAGAAAAATGGATAATGGATCACATGAAGCTAAAAAGCTTCTGCACAGCAAAAACCAAAAAAAAAAAAAAAAAAGAAAGAAAAAAATGAAAGAACTTCTGTTATTTTAAAAAATTGTATTAGGGCAAATAATGCTAGCAGTTATTCAGGCAAATCGTGCAATCTTACTCTCTTGACACAATACATGTTTATTTTTGGCTCATGTTATAGGCCAATATGGCTCATAGACTTTCAGATACACAGGCTCTTTGCCTTGAGTGGCCGCTCCAGCCCCAACCCTGGGCTTTGTCAAACCAGGGTTTTTGTCCTGGTTTGGCAAAAACCAAACCAAAACAAAATAAAATGAAAAAACAATCAACAAAATGAAAAGACAATCCACTAAACAGGAAAAAAAAAATTGCAGACCATCCATGTGATAAGGAATTAATATATAAAGAGCTCAAACAACTCAATAGGGAAAAATAATAATTCAATTTAGAAACAGACAAGAGGTCTGAATAGACATTTCTCAAAAGAAGTCATACAAATGGAAACAGCTATATAAAAATGTTCTGTATCACTAGTCATCAGGGAAATGCAAATGAAAACCTCAATGAGATATCATCTCACCCCAGTTAACATGGCTTTTATCCAAAATACAGGAAACAATGAATGCTGGGGAGGATGTGGAGAAGAGGAACCCTCATACACTGTTGGTGGGAATGTAAATTAGTACAGCCACTATGGAGAACAGTTTGGAGGGGCCTCAGAAAACTAAAAATAGAACTACCATATGATACATCCCTTTATATCTCATCTATGTAGTTTCAGTCTTTATTTCAATTCCTAACACTTTTGTTATTTTTTAAATAAATGATGTCTACAAATAATCTGATATTAAAACAGAACAAGACATGTTGGGTATGTTAATAATTCTCTAGTTAATGCCTTAAGCACACTTCATATTGCAAATATACCCTTTTACTTCTTGATAAATTGTCCAATGAATAAGAATCCCTAAGGCACATTCTTAGATGAAAATTATATTTTGGGTTTAAAATGAAACATTTCTGCCACTTTGATGACATTCCATAAAACCATAGCAAACATTTACTCAAGCAAATCTTGTACTTTGTTTTGAACTGCGTTTCCCCCTTTTTATTTAGTAAATAGAATTAATTTAAAATTAAATACAAGATAAAAGTCATTCATAATTATTCTACCCTAACAAATCCATTATAGTACTGAACATTACATGCTATATATTACATATAGCATTTATTAAACATAATCCAAAACTGTTCTATCAGGCACTATTGGTTAGCGCAATTTCCCTGCCTAGCCAGCCCAACCAGCGTCCCAATATTTCTCTTTGTCTGTTTGCTTCCACTCAATCCAAGAAGCTATATGGGCCCAAGACTCATAGTATTCACCAAAATCTATTTTTACTACTCCTTTGTGGACTCATTACTAGACTCTCTTGCATCTAGGCATGGCCAAGTGCCTCCTTGACAGTGGATGTGGGTGAGAGTTATGTGTGTCTCCTCTGGGCTAAAGTAATAAAACACAGCTGTGCTTTCTCCAAATGTACTCCTTCACCTCACCTGTGGACCCAGGGAGGCGAATTCAGTGCAGGGCTCTAAGGGCTTGGGGGTTGGGGCTGTAGCAGCCACTCAAGGCAAACAGCCTGTGTAACTGAAAGTCTATGAGCCATGTCGGCCTATAACATGAGCCAAAAATAAATCTGTATTGTGTCAAGAGAATGAGATTGCACAATTCACCTGAATAACTGCTAGCAATATTTCCCCTAATACAATTTTTTAAAATAACAGAAGAAGCGCTTTCAATTTTTTAAAATAGTTTCAACATAAAGCATTAATGGAAAGTGTTATCTCCTCAGGGATGCCTTCTATGATCATCTACTCACCCTACACCTGGCACTCCCTCCACCCTTCCAGGTTATATTTTCTCCACAGCACATATCACCATCCAATATACCATAAATGGAACCTATTCATTTATTTATTGTCTGCATCTCTCCATTAGTATGTAAGTTCCATGAGGGCAGGGGATTTTCTTTGTTCTGTTCACAGCTTCATCCTCAAAACCTCTGACAGTGACTGCCACATAATAGTTGCTTAATAATTATTGGTTAACTATCTATTGAAATACAATTTCAATTCAGAAATTGTAAAATGTCTACTCTCATTTAATAATCAGAATTTAAAATTATTTAAATTGTTTTCTCTCCCTTAGCTAGTGTCTTCTGTAGGTAGAAGATCAGGGAGTGAGGGAGTCCTTCTCTCTTCCCCTATCTTCCCCACTTCTACCACATTTAGCTCACCAAGTTTCCTCACCCCTTTTGGGTTGGAGCAAAGTTTAGAAAAGAGTCTGGGCCTGTGTGGAGAGAGGAGCAGGCCATCACTTAGTTGACTATTCTTATATTAAGATGGCTTCAAGCACCCTGAGCCAAGAAGATGTGTGAAGCCGACTATGTGTATGTTTTGTGGATTCTTTAGAAATTCCCAGGAGCATTTAATGTATTTCCTATGGTATAGGTGATGCATTTTCCTCTGGGTACATGTTCATCCCTCATCACTTTTTGCATTGAAGGCTTATTCTAAACAGACTCTCTATCATTCTTTCAGGTAACTCTCTTAGAAAGAATTAAAAATATCTACAGGATAGCACTGTCTGTCTCCACTTAGCCTACCTCTAGTCCACTGGAAATAAGCGTTATTTGTCCCAACAAAGGGTAGGAGTGTTATCTGATCTTATTCTAGCGTCAGGCTTTTCTCACTCAACCACTAAAGCAGCTAACCAGCCCATCTCTCATCCTCTAGCTTTCCCAGGCTGCAGTAAGATACTAAGTCCTCTGAGTGGCTCCGCTGGGGGCTGTCTAACTGACTTAAGATTGTGGAAGCACCTTTTCCCTCCTGCTTGATGATGGGAGGACAGGGAGGGTTGCCATCACTGGGCAGCTTTGTCCAAAGAAATTCTCTTCACACTTCTACCTAAAAATGTCAGCAATTAAATTTCTTTAAACTTTTGATATGAGAGAGTAACCTATAAGTTGTGTAACCCAGTTTTTGGTTATATGTTTCTAAAATGTTTATAGAAACACCTATCTCACAACACACTTTTGTATCTGATAGTTATTATATCTTAATCACTCAATTATAACTTCCAATTTACATCCTTATGCATTCATATACTTAGGTTTATAGCTTTCTATGTATTTTTATTTCCGTGCACATATTTTGGTTATCTCTTGCTGTATAACAAACTGCATGCTAGTCTCATAAAACAATAATGAATTATTATTATTACCTTTCTCACAAGGTACTGGGTGTTGACTGACCTCAGGTGGGCAGTTTTTTCTCAGGCTGTTTTGTGCAGTGGCTGGAGCTGAAATCATTGGAAGTCTTCCTCACTCACATATCTGGTCAAGCACTTCTTCCATGGAAGCTCAACACTCCCAAGGCATGTGTCTCAAGGGAGAGTGGCAGTTGGAATTTGTGTCACCTTTTATGACCTCGCCTCGAAACTCAAACAGTGTTATTTCTGCTGTATTCTATTAGTCCTAAACCCAGACAGGTTCAAGAGGAGGGAACACACTCTTAATAGAGGAATGGTAAGGTTCTGTAAGAGTGTATGAAAATAGAAATATTGTTGGAGTCTGCATTAGTCAGGATTCTCCAGAAAAACAGAATAGAATATATGTGTATGATGTATGTGTGTGCATATATATTATATATATAAAATACATATCAAATATATAATATATATTTTACATATTTTATGTATCAAATATACAGTTAATATATACTATATATTATATATCATATATCAAGAGATATTTATTATAAGTAATTGGCTTAATACAATAATAATACTTATATGATAATATATTATATAATTATTATTAATAACATAATAATTAATAATATAACATATTATTAATAATATAACATTAATAATATAACATATTATTAATAATATAACATATTAATAATATAACATTAATAATATAACATATTATTAATATAACATATTATTAATAATATAACATATTAATGATATAACATATTAATAATATAACATATTAATGATATAACATATTATTAATAATATAACATATTATTAATAATATAACATATTAATTAATAATGACATGTTAATTAATAATATAATATATTATTAGTAGTGGTATTCAATCCTTGAATAATAATAATCCTTAATATGACAATCTTTAATCCTTATAAAAATTACAAAGATTTACTATAATGGAAGCTGACGAGTCCCACACTGGAGATGCAAGAGAGCTGATGGTATAAGTACAAATCTGAGTTTGAAAGCCAGAGAACCAGAAAAGCTGATGGTGTCGATCCAGTCTGAATGCTAGCAATCTCAAGACCCAAGAAGAGCCAATATTTCAGTTCGATTCCAAAGGCAGGAAAAGACTGATGTCCTGGCTCAAAGCAGTCAGGTCACAGGAGCTCCATCTTGCTCAGCTTATTTTATTTTATTCATATCTTGAATTGATTGGGTGGGTACCAGGGTGGGGCCCACTCACATTAGGAAGGGCAATCTGCTTTACTCAGCCTACGAATTCAAATCCAGAGACACCCTCACAGATGTACCCAGACAGATATTTGACCAAATGTCTGGGCATCCCATGGCCCAGTCAAGTTAGCACATGAAATTAACCATCACAAAGTCTTTTTAAAACATATAATCCACTACAAGGCATATACCAAAACTACAAATAAAAGACTACAAATAGGTCAAATGTTAATATCTACTGTTTTCAGAATAAAAATGATGATGTACTTTGCTGGGAATGGTTGAGGGATACATCTTTGTCCTAGTCCTACCTAAATTCCCATATTTTACTCTAATTCTGTGTTGTACATTGGTTTCCTTTCTTATGCCAGGTGATCTCTGCTTCCATGTATCAGAACTTCTGTGCCTACTGCTGAAAGTTCTTATCAGGTATTTCTACAGTTGTTCAGTGTTCAGACTTTAAGCGTAAAGCCTTCATCAATTACCTTTCTACAATCCTCACAAGCCCTGCTCTTCATTTGCATTGCACAAATATTTGCAACCCTAGAACTTAAGGGAAGCTTGTTGCTGTTACTAAGTTCTAAAAAATGCCCATAGCATCCTTCACTTGCCAACAAGTGCTGTTCTCCCATGTGTAATAGCTAAGAAAACAGGTTTGGAATCACACAATCTTGGCTGCAAACACTGACTCTGCAACTTACAATTTGCATTACTTAGGGAAATAAAATTAATCACTCCGAGCTTCAGTTTTCTCATCTAAAAAAAAAATGGGCTAGTAAGACCTTGCAAATTTGTTGTGACAATGAAATAAGATGATGAATATTAATATTAACTTAACATAGTGCTTGGTATAAAGTAAAATCTCAAGTACTGTCAAATATTATTGTTACTTTGATGACTGCTGTTGTTACTTATGCCTTTGGTGTACCAGCTCTAGAAAAAAGTTTATATAGGCCATTTAACTTTGGCAAGAAGGGGATGGCTTCCAGCCAGCGGACTCACTAACCCCCACAGCATGCTTGACTCTGTGAGACACTCTGGCAAACAAGTAAGATCTAGCAAGCAACTCCCTGGCCCATGAGAGAGGCCAAACGTTTACTCTTTAATCATTGTTTGTTCACATTAGTAAAGGACAAGAGGAATAACATTAATTAGAACTGAATATGTAACTGCCACGATGTTAGAAACTTTACACTTGTTAAATTAACCTGGGTTTCAGTTTCCTTATGTCTAAAATGAAGGAAAGAATAATACAGATAATACAAATAGTGTTTTTGTAAGAATTAAAGGATAAAATGTATGTAATATTACAGTGTCTGAGTAAATAATTACAGTAGATTATGAGATACCATTAAGGTATAGTATTTTATTTTAAACATATATATACACACACATATATATTTTTTTCTGCATGGTATTTGTCACAAGATTTTCTTTTGCTTTGGGAAAGTTACAAAGAAACACAAGTTTGTTTGTCTGGCTTGAGTAAGCTGGAAGAAGTAATCAGAAGAGTAGCTAAGTATTTCAAGGTCATACTGCCCCTAAAATAAAGAGCTTTGACTCAAAACAAAGTCTGCCTGTGCTCTTTTCAATACACTGCTTTCTTCCAAACATCTGTAGGGATAATTATACACAATATTTAAATGAATTTTGCACCAGTTAATACAAACCCTTAAAAATTATTGGAACTCAACAAGCCAGGTCTGGGTTTCTAATACTATTTCCAGTAAAAGGAAGCTCCTTGAATAAATGGCCAGTTCTAGGACTGGGGCAAAACGAGATGATGTAGCATCTCACATAAGTGCCAGAAAGTGAGAAAGTACTTCTCCACCCTCACGCCAATAAAGCACCCCACTACACATTGATAGAAGTATGTTAAAGGCACATAGAAACCAAATAAATAACA